>NC_000001.11:224846292-226083649 GCF_000001405.40 Homo sapiens
TGTGATGCTTAGTTCAGGACAGCCCTGCTGAAATTGCTGGGGGCACTAATGAATCCAGTAAATAAATCATTGTCAGATGGAGCTTAGCTGTTCTCCTTGGAAATTGGCCACGGTCACAATGCAAGCAGTACCAGATGTGTCAGGGTGTCATACTCCAAGTATCAAAAAAATCAGTCTTTGTGGATAAATATCACAAACCAAAAATAAAATTCTAAGCTCTCCCAACCACCAGAATAGACCCTCCCCCTCCTGGCCAAGATACCCCAGAGAAATCTGAAACACTAAATTCCAGGTCACTGATGGAAGGGAAGTTGGACATACCTCTCCCTCTTGGAGTTTAGGCACAAATGACCAGCATTAACATTAAAATAGAGACAGAAGACTGACAAAACAGGCTCTTTGTGGCAATAAGATAACAAATTCCAACCTGACTCTAGTATAGCATCACATGCTGTCTGAGGGCTGCTAGCTAAGAGACTTCATCTACACAACAAGGGCCTTGGCTTCCACCACCCTGTTATCTTAGCTCAAATATTCCTTGCTACCGATTTCTTAAGTCTTTAGACAAAGCTTAACTTTTTCAAACAATTGCCAATCAGAAAATCTTTGAATCCACCAATGACCTATCTACTTCCTCCCCCAAACCCCTGCTTACCCACCACCTTTGAGATGTCCTGCCTTTCTTGTAAACCAATGTATCTCTTACATATATTGATTTATGTCTTTGCCTGTAACTTTTGTCTCCCTAAAATGTATAAAACCAAACTGTAACCTGACTGCCTCAGGCACATTTTCTCAGGACCTCTTGAGGCTGTAACACAGGCTGTGGTCACTCATATTGGCTCACAATAAGCCTCTTCAAATATTCTGCAGAGTTTGATTTTTTTGTTAATAATATATGGGATAAAGGATGTGATGCTATTCAGTTCCCAAGCCTGTGCACCCTTGAGGGCTGTGAGGCCAAGCCAGCTAGTCCGATTTATAGTGACTCTGTTTGCTAACATCTAAGGACTTTTTATCTATAGCATTCAGTTGCTAATTAATCATTAATTGATAATTAGTATTTGGATAACCACATACATAATTATTTTACCAACAGAATTTGTTATTACAAAACTTAATTTTTTTTTTTGAGACAGAGTTTTTGCTCTTGTTGCCCAGGTTGGAGTGCAATGGCACAATCTCAGCTCACTGCAACCTCTGCCTCCTGGGTTCAAGTGATTCTCCTACCTCAGCCTCCCAAGTAGCTGGGATTACAGGCATGTGCCACCACACCTGGCTAATTTTGTATTTTTAGTAGAGACAGGGTTTCTCCATGTTGGTTAGGCTGGTCTCAAACTTCTGACCTCGGGTGATCTGCCCACCTCATCCTCCCAAAGTGCTGGGATTGCAGGCATGAGCCACCATGCCTGGCCACAAAACTTAATTTTTTATGTAGTTCTCATGATGGTGCCAAATTTTTAAGGATCATGTGACCATGGTTGCATCTTTCTCTGTATAGCATTCCTCAGTGTCTTTCAGCACACATTGTAATCAGTTTTCTCCTTGAGTGCTCACCTGCGATGATGTTGATGGGCCTCCTCTTTGTGCGGGTTGGACAGCTGGGGGCCTAGGGGCCAGGAAACTGGAGAAAGCATTCATCCAGGCTCATTCATGCTTCAGTGTGGCTGAGTTTTCAAAATATTAGTTGGTCCTTTCTTCATATCTGAATTGAGTGTCATGCAAGACCCCTAAATGGTGCCCAGTGACTGATTAGATGGAATAATTAATTTTACATGAGAGTGGAATTTCCTTTAACCTTCACACAGATGTCACGTTATGATAATGTTGCTTAATGCCATGGTTCTAGTTCTGAAGATGGTTTCAGAGGGAGAACTATCACAGAGACTTTTACCTTAGGTGAGACCTTTGCACATGTAGGGTTTTGTCACAATCTGCTTAATTGTCTTGCAAATGGAGTTTCAAAAACAAAAGTGTGTAAATTAGTACAGCTGTTATGGAAAACAGTATGGAGTTTCCCCCAAAAGCTAAAAATAGAAGTACCCTGTGATCCAGCAGGTCCCACTGCTGGGTATATATATCCAAAGAAAATGAAGTCAGTATGTCAAAGAGACATTTGCACTCTCATGTTTATTGCAGCACTATTCACAACAGCCAAGATATGGGATCTACCTAAGTGTCCATCAACAGATGAATGGATAAAGAAAATTCAGTCTTAAAAAAGAAGGACATCTTGTCAGTTATGACAACATAGTTGAAACCGAAGGACATCGTGTTAAGTGAAATAAACCAGGCACAGAAAGACAAATACTACATGATCTCATTTTTATGTGGAATCTAAAAAAGTTGAACTCATAGAAGCAGAGAGTAGAATGTTGATTACTAGGGGATGAGGCAGGGATTGGCAGGGATAGAGAAAGGGGAGATAATGGATCAAAAGGTACAAAGTTTCAGTTAGGGGGAGTAAGTTCAAAAGAGCAATCATATGTCATGGTGACCACAGTTAAGAATAATATATTGGGTCAGATGTGGTGGCTCATGCCTGTAATCCCAGCACTTGGGATTTAGGAGGCTGAGCCAGGAGGATCGCTTGAGCCTAGGAGTTCAAGACCAGCCTGAGCAACATGGTGAAACCCTGTCTCTACAAAAAAAATACAAAAATTAGCCGGGCATGGTAGTATGCACTTGTAGACCTAGCTACCCAAGAGGCTGAGGTAACAGGATCAGCTGAGCTTGGTGAGATTGAGGCTGCAGTGAGTTGTGGTCATGCCACTGCACTCCAGCCTGGGCTACAGAGGGAGATCCTGTCTCAATAATAATATATACTTGAAAATTGCTAAGAGAGTAGATTTTAAGTGTTCTCACCACAAAAAATAAGTATGTGAGGTGATACATATGTTAAATTCTTGATTTAGCCACTCCACATTGTATACATATGTCAGAACATCATGTTGTGTCAGAAGCTTTGAATCAGAGCTATTCCATCTTGAGTAGGGGCTGGGTAAAATAAGGCTGAGACCTACTGGGCTTCATTTCCAGGTGGTTAGGCATTCTATGTCATGGAATGAGATAGGAGGTCAGCACAAGATACAGGTCATAAAGACCTTGCTGATAAAACAGTTTGTGGTGAAGAAACCGGCCAAAACCCACCAAAATCAAGACGGTGACAAAAGTGACCGTCTGGTCGCCCTCACTGCTCATTATACACTAATTATAATGCATTAGCATGCTAAAAGACACACCCACTAGCACCATGACAGTTTACAAGTGCAATGGCAACGTCAGGAAGTTACCCTATATGGTCTAAAAAGAGGAGGAACCCTGAATTCTGGGAATTGCCCACTGTTTTCCTGGAAAACTTATGAATAATCCACCTCTTGTTCAGCATATAATCAAGAAACAACCATAAAAATGGCCAACCAGCAGCCCTTGGTGCTGCTCTGCCTATGGAGTAACCATTCTTTATTCCTTTACTTTGTTAATAAACTTGCTTTCACTTTACGGATTCACCTCAAATTCCTTCTTTCACGAGATCCAAGAACCCTCTCTTGGGATCTGGATTAGGACTCCTTTCTGGTAACAGTTGTACACCATAAATACATACAATTTTTACTTGTCAATTTAAAAAATTTTTAAAAGAGAAGAGAATGAGAGAATGAGTCAGTGATCATAATTCAAAAGTGGGCAGATCATGAGGTCAGGAGTTCGAGACCAGCCTGACCAACATGGTGAAACCCCGTCTCTGCTAAAAATACAAAAATTAGCGGGTATGGTGGTGCACCCCTGTAATCCCAGCTACTCAGGAGGCTGAGTCAGGAGAATCACTTGAACCAGGCAGGCGGAGGTTACATTGAGCTGAGATCGCGCCACTACACTCCAGCCTGGGTGACAGAGCAAGACTCCGTCTCAAAAAAAAAAAAAGCATCTTCCTTGTTGACATGGTCATTTTCCAAAATGAATGATACCATCTTTACACTTATCATCTGGTGCTAGATTGAAGGTGCTCTCCTCTGAAGCATTTACCTACAGATCTTACCTGATGGCTGCCTTTTTGAAATCTGTGTCTGACGACTGAGGGGTCACCATGTTATTGCACCCACACACACGGTTGAGATGGGGCCCAGGTAGCAAGGGTCTTTGCCTACTGTATCATTGAAGCTCAAAAGCACACACAGAGTTTCCATATTGTATTTGGATCACTTTGGTGAACTGGAAACAGTAATCTGGCTGTGAGGGTAGTAGGTTTTCCCAGTGGGGAAGATGCCCCCCTAACCACAGGCATCCCATTGGTGTGAAGAGAAATGAGCCAGGAGCTTTCATCATCATCGGACCATCAGACCACACACATGCGCCCTCACACTCTGCTTCTAAATGCCCTGAATGCCTTAAAGGTAGAGAAAACACATTTTCTTTGGTTGTGAATCTGTGGTATGAACATAAGCAGAGGGTGCTACCTCCTTTGCCTTGTTTTGATATTTATTTGTTCAGGGACCATGTATTGAGAGGTATCTACATGCAGACACTGTGTTAAGCTGAGAGCAAATCTGGGGCAGAGCACAATAAATAGTCAGTGTTTGTGGCTTTTAGATTGATGAGCAAATATTCACACAAATAAATGTTCAATTCATTGAGTTGTCACCCTTTTCAACCTCAGACTGAGCTCCAGAATGGGGACTAGGCCATTTCACCTCTGCACCCCAGCATGCAGCCCAGTGTTTGGAGGAGTGGGTGCTGAGAAGTTGGCTGAAAGCACCATCCTCGTGCTGTCTAATGTCAGCTCCTGCAAGGGAAGCTCTTGGGTCCTAGCACCAAGGGTAGAGGTCACTGTGGTTGTCCTGCCAAGATATGCTCTCCTGAGGTGGCTGTTGGAGGAGCGGCGCGTAGAGACATGGAGTGCATCTCAGAGCTCAGACCTTGGCCGCTCCTCTGGGATGGTCGCAGCATCTCTCTTCCTGACCACACTACAAGGGTTGGTGACCAAAAGGAATGTTTGAGCCTTCAGTAGTTACAGAAGTGAGGCCCTAAGCACTGCCCATCCAGTGCAGGCTTGGAATGGGGGTCGTTCCAAGGTGTCCACAGTCAGACCCACCTGCTCCAGGGTGGCTGAGAGCATGAGAAAAGGTAACTTGCTCAGAGTGCTCAGTACTGACCTATGCTGGTCAGTGACAGCTGCCAATAAACAAGGGGGTGGGGACTGTGCCTCCCAAGGTAGGCCAGCCTAACTCTGTAAAGCACTGTTAGTTTAACTGTCCCAAAGCGAGCTATGGACAAGAGCCTTGAAGTCCAGTGTTTTATAATGGGCATAAACACAAGGTGCCAGCTTGGAGGACTTTCTGCTGATGCCCTCAACAGAGCCAGCTCTGGCATAGTGCCCTCTGCTGGTGATGTGGATCCATGCTCGGCAAGCCCGGGAAAAAAGGCAGGTCAAGACACTTTGAGACTCCTTCTCAGGCCACCACATGGTGTTTAATGATTATTGTTATATTCTAAGTTGATAGAAGTGCACTCTGGCCCTTAGCTGGGGACCAAAGCAAAGGAGTGGAGAGGAGCTAGGAGGGCAGTAGCAACACGGGGACACCCTCTAAGCAGCAGCTCAGCCCGTCCCTGCCCTGGCCTTTCAGCCCCTCACTCCTCCTGAGTCCTCTCAGCTCACTGCCATGAGGTGTTCTATGTTTCCTCCACGGGGCTGGGGGATCCGAAGGCAGGCACTACTTTGACTTTCTGCATCTGGAGGCCACAGTAGGTACTGAATACACCTTTGATGGAAGGGCTCATCACCTGTTCCGTTCCCACACTGTTTCCATGACAAATGACTGAATGCAGACTGTGCTCGAGAGGCTCGCACAGCAGGGCCGCTCCCACTGCTCTGTTGCTTAAACAGGAAAGGGTCCAGCCTAGGGCACCGAAGGCAAAGGAGCAGAGGGGGGTTCTCTCAATTCAGTGAGGGGCACAAAAGGCAACCCACCCCCAGCTCATCCCTGGGAGCCCAGAAGCCCATGAAGAAGGCTTTCTGGAGTGCCCTGGTTGTCCAGCATGGTACGGACAGACGGTGGGGCTAGTCAGCAGTAGCACACCTTGGTCTCCACTGCATCTGGGTTTGAATCCTTGTGCTTTCACTTGCCAGCTCTGTGCCTGTTAACATCTCTGAGCCTCTGTTTTCTCATCTAAAAATAGAAATGATGATAATACAGTCCTTTTCTGAGGACTACGTGAATTTAGTTATGTAATGTGTCACCTAAAATGATGCTTAACACATAGTCAGGGCTCAAAACCGGTTGTCATGGCTGCTGATATGGCTATTCCTAGGAACGTTGCAGAGATGTGGGAGATTCAAATGAATCCAAAAATTTAAATTCCGGCCTACCGTTACCTACAGTTACCTGCAATACACCATAGATATCGTGAAATGGAATAGAACAGTTTCAAGATGACATTAATATTTTAGTTTTTACCCTTTGATAAATCGCTTCGCATCTTTGGGTCTTGGTTTCTTCATGAGGAAAATGATGTAGTATAATTCAGTAATCATATGCTACATATAGTAATCATGCTAGGATCCTGAACATGAGATCATATAATACAAACCTAATCTAGGCAGTCCCAGCTTCTTGCAAAGTTGCATTTCCCCTACTCAATTATTCAGTTCTGAATATACATATGTACGTATATACGTGTGTACGTATGTACGTGTGTACGTGTGTACGTATGTACGTGTGTACGTGTGTACGTATGTATGTATGTTACTGCCTGCTGCCTTACTTGACTGGTTTAGAAACCAAGCGTCAGCCTGATTTATGCTTCCTGATTTTTCTTGGACAACTGAGTCAGCATTTCATCTTATAAGGTCCCCATCTAGTGGTAGTAAAAGAAAATTGCAAGGCCGTAAGTCCCCTTTTCCCATCTGCATTCCTGGTCCATAAAAGTGGGACAGATATGAATGAATGAATGCTGAGAATGGGACGAATCAGGTAAAACCAACTCAAGATGTGAGTTCTGAGTTGGGTCTTGAAATAAAATGGCAAACATAGATTGCCAAAGAAGCATTGTGAACTTTCCTGGTTGGAGGTAAGTCATGCACTAAAGCTCTGCATTGAAAAGAAGGGGAGTTTGGCATTCTTGGCCAAAAAAGCAACTGTTTGGGTGACAGTGGAGGGGCCATGTTGGTTAGTTGGGAATGACAAGAATGGTATAACTGGGCAGAAGAGTTTAGACTTGATGTGACAGTTTTCTAAGATGCCAAGTTGGTCTGTTACAGAATCCGCAACATATCAGTAGGGTTCCAAATCACACTCTCAAAAGCAGTGTGGCCCATGCCCTTCTCTATGGGTCTAAGGCTCTCTTCTTAATGGCTTTTATAGAGCTGTTACCCTCCCTCTCAACTTCTGTTAAGTGCATGGGTTTTGGATTCAGAAAGTCACCCTGTGTTCTTGAGAAAAGTATTAACTTCATTTTTCTCATCTGTAAAACTGCAGGAGGATGCAGGTTGATGTGAGGATTAAGTGATGTGATCTGAGCATGGAACCTAGTGTACAGCCTGACACAAAGTATAGCCCAATAAACAGCATTATGAATGCCTTTCTTTCCTCTCATGGATCACTTCATTGTCCCCTTCCTTTGAGTTGCTTATTTTTATAAAGGTCTCTTTTGTGTCACGTTTGTGAAACAGGATGTTAAACACAACTTTTTGTATCCTCTTAAGGCTTTAGCAAAAGCACTGGGGGCCAAGAACAACAGGTGCTGCACTATAAATGCAAAAATTATGAAACCAGCTTTGACCCCTATCCCATCAGCCACCTGGCACATATGTAAGAAAAGGCAAAGGTTTCATCAAGGGGTTCAAGAGGCCAGGAAAGGGCTGCCAGGATGCAGTGCACCACCCGCTGCCCCACCCATGGGGGCTGAGGAGGGAGGGCCTTTTCCTTCTCTGTCAGCTCAAGAGAAAGAAACCACCAAGAGAAAACTCACCTGGAGACATTGTCATGGGCTCTCTGGCGTTTGAGGGATCAGCCTGAAAATAACTGAAAGAACTCTGCCCCCAAAAGCCTTTCTGCCAGGCTCAGGCGTCTACAGCAGAAAGAAACTGGGGACACTGTTGGAAGCAGTGGCTGGGGTGGGGTTGGGGATGAGAAGCTTGTACATGGTCAGCTGGAGGACCAGCTACACCAGGGAAGGGGGTCCCCAGGAAGAGCATTCTCCGAAACCCATCAAAGCTCTCAGTCACAGCCAGAAGGCCTTTTCTGTCCCATGCCTCCCCTCCAAACCCCTGAACCACGCTGGAAAGGCCCCCAGGGAGGTAGAGAGTGAGACAAAGAGGAGTCTAACCCCTGAGGGAGGTCCACGCTGGAGCAGGAGGGAAAATTTAGATTGAATGGGAGTCTAGGGTTTTGATAATAATCGCTGGAAATCTAATTTTATTAGATTACATTTTATTAACTGTAAGTAGTCAGAGGAACTGTTATTACTAAAGAGTAATTAGAAAAGCTATGATACAAATCCAAGGTTCTATCCAAGGGTGGAGTGGTAGGGATAATGAATTCTTCAGGAGGGGTGGGCTTAAGGGTTAATGTAGCCTCAGAGTCCAACTTATTTAATAAACTGGTAACAGGTGTATTTATCCCATCATTGTTAGCTTTGCTGTAAGTTTAGGAGTTGGCTTTTATCCTGGGAGGACTATGTTGACATGACTCTATTATAATAACATAAATCTTCATGTCTCAGGGATTGTTGCATAATCCTGCCTGGAAACACAAAGATGAAGTAGACTTGATTATTCATTGATATTTATTGTTAATCTGCACTGTAATCAGACAATTAATACAACAGAAGAAGGGCTTTGGGGCATATAGAGCTCAGTTCAAATCCAGTCCCATTACTTCCTGTGTACTTATGTGCCCTCGGTTTCATCACCTATGCAATGGGTATTATTCACGGGTTACCCTTGAAGAGTTGCAAGGATTTGATGAAATAATGCATGTCAGAGACCCAGAATGGTGGCTGACACGAGTACAGTGCCTAACCTAGTCAGTGAATAAATGTGGCTGCTATTACTGTATAGGGCAGAGGGTTAAGCCCTATGGGTTACAGAATAATGCACAGTCTCTCTGTTCAAAGAGTTTACATTCTGGGGAAAGGTAGATGAAATGTGTATATGTATAACTTGCGCTGTCAGTTTTTGATGTAGGCTATTTATTTACCAAGGCTTTACTGATTTCTTTGTAGACAAAGTGGATAATTGGCACTTTGGGAGGCCAAGGCGGGCAGATAGATCACAAGGTCAGGAGATCAAGACCATCCTGGCTAACATGGTGAAACCCTGTCTCTACTAAAAATACAAAAAGTTAGCTGGGCGTGGTGGCAGGCACCTATAGTCCCAGCTACTTGGAAGGCTGAGGCAGGAGAATCACTTGAACCCAGGAGGCGGAGGTTGCAGTGAGCTGAGATCGCACCACTGCACTCCAGCCTGGGCGACAGAGAAAGACTCCGTCTCCAAAAAAAAAAAAAAAAGGTGAATAATTAGCATTGGGTGTCCATTTTCTCAGGCGAATTTGTAGCTGAATGAAAGACTAAACCCAAATAAACTTTAATTAATAGGTTTGATGCAAGAGACAGAATTAAGCAAAAATGATCCTGGGAACTTACCCTAAGTTGTTTGAACAACAAGCCAGCTGGGATTTGGGGCATCCCTTTCTCTAGTAGGGTGTCCCCATGGCATCCTCCCTGGAGCAGATGGGACTGCAACATCCCATGGGCCTTAGGGTCTCCAGGCACTGGCATCTTGCTTTCCCCCAGGAAGCTCCTGAGAACAGCTGGCACCCAAATCCAGACTGCCCAGTGCCCAATAAGTTTGTTCTCAGACTTGCCCCAAAAGAATAGAAAGCAGCTGAGGGCCAGGTCCCTCCCCTGGAACAACCTCCATGGTGAAGTCAGCTGTAATGCCCTGGCACCACCCACCTCTCATGAGGATAGTGGGAGAGAGGGAGCCCTGCCTTCCCTTGTTAACTCTCATTTTGTACGTTTGCTTCATTTTCTAGTAAAGTCCATTTCTTCCCCAGTCTATGTTATGTTGTGAAATTCAACCAAGCCTTAGTACATGACTCTGAAGGAATCTGCCTCAGATGAAAATGGGTTAGTTTTAACTGGAGAGGCAATTTCTTACAGCCTACCACGAGCTTTGTCCATCACAATGCTCTGCTAAGTGATTCAGCTTGGATAAAGATTTGGAAGGCAAGCTGCTCAGACCTGTAGGGGATATGAAGCTAGGACAGTGTGAATGGAGAAACCCCTGGAGGGCCAAGTCAAAATACTAAAAGAGCTCAATAAGATCTTTTTAAAATGCTGGGCCCATACATTAAAGAGAAAATATCACAAGATCAAATTAATTTGGGTTAAAAACATTATAAAGTACAAAATGGATGATATGATTTGGCTCTGTGTGCCCACCCAAATCTCACCTTGAATTGTAATAATCTCTACGTGTCAAGAACGGGACCAGGTGGAGATAATTGAATCATGGGGGCAATTCACCGATATTATTCTCATGATAGTGAGTCAGTTCTCACAGGATCTGATGGTTTTATAAGGGGCTTCCCCCTTCACTTGTCTCTCACTTCTCTTGTCTGCTACCATGTAAGATGTGCCTGTTTTGTCTTCCGCCATGACTGTAAGTTTCCTGAGGCCTCCCTAGCCAAGCACGACTGTGAGTCAATTAAACTTCTTTTCTTTATAAATTATTCAGTCTCAGTTATGTCTTCAAAGCAGCATGAAAATGGACTAATACAAGAACTTATCTTAATAGCAATTCTTATGAAAAATATCTGAAAGTTTAGTAGACCCAAGTTCCATATGAACCAGTAATATTATGTGGTTGACAAAAAAGCTGACTCAGCCTCCGGTGATGGAAATAAGAGAGACAGAGTTAGTTCCCCCAAGTTCTCCACTGGCTGGGTCAGATCTGGACCCAGTGACAACTTGATCAACATTCTGGGGAGTGCAAAAAGAATGTTGTAGGGTTTTATGGGGAAAGATTTAAAGAGCTGGAGAAATTTAGCTTGAAAAAGGCAGAACTTCACTATCACCAAACAGCTTTCTTAAAATATTTGAAGGGCTGTTATTCAATTGCCCAATAAAAAAATCCACTGTCACACTGAAGGAAAAATGTAGATTTGTTTTCAGTATGGTTTCATGGAACAGAACAAGTACAAATTGGTAAAAGTCATAGGAAAACAATCACCAGAGCCAAAACCAAACCAAAACAAAAGCTTTTAGACATTTATTGCTCCAAAAATGTGACAAGCTGATTCACAGAGAAGTGCCCTCCTTAGTGCTAAGCCTGGGGGATGGCCATCATAAGAGAGAGTCTGGAGAGGTCTTTGAGCTGTACCAAAAGGGAGACTGTAAGTCACCAACCCAATGTACATTCTGCCCTTCTTCAGTACAAAATCCTCATTTTATATGGGGCATCAATGTGCCTGGCCAAAAACCAGTGCCTTATTGCTAGGTGTGGCCACATATCTAAGTTCAGGACAAACAGTTATAAATGAAAGGGTTTTGTGGGAGGGCTCATTAAAGAGGGATTAGCAGGGAGGTACACTTTTGTGCTCTTCCTCTTTTATAAAAAGCTTAGAGTATGGATGTTATGGCTGGTGCACCAGCAGCCATCTTGGACCATGATGTAACTGTGAGGATAGAAACCTTACTCAGGATGGTGGAGCAGAAAGACGAAGCTGAGTATCTAATGATGATAGAGCTGCCATTCTGTACATATTTTGGGGGGTATTTACTGTTTTCCAAGTAGTGTTCTAGGCACTTGGTGAACAAAACAGTGTCTGCTTTCACAGACCTTACACTTGTGAGGAAGGCAGAGCTCTTGCTGCATTATTCAAACTCTGGAGATAGGGAGCATTATCCTAGAATGCAATGATGGCCTCTGAAGTTATGCAAAGAGTGGTCCTCAGGGGAGCTTTCCTCATAGTAGTACACATATTTATTTATTTATTTTTTGAGACAGAATCTCACACTGTTGCCCAGGCTGGAGTGCAATGGCACAATCTCGGCTCACTGCAACCTCCGCCTCCTAGGTTCAAGCGATTCTCCTGCCTCAGCCTCCCGAGTGGCTGGGATTACAGGTGTCTGCCACCATGCCTGGCTAATTTTTTGTATTTTTAGTAGAGATGGGGTTTCACTATATTGGCCAGGCTGGTCTTGAACTTCTAACCTCATGATCTGCCTGCCTCGGCTTCCCAAAGTGCTGAGATTACAGGTATGAGCACTTATAATCTTGACTAGATAGATGAGAACATTGAGATTTACAGATATTATTTCCCCAGGTTACTCAAAGAGTGATCAGACTGAGATTCAAACCCAAGTGTGTTGGCTCCAACCTCACTTTTGTAACCACTTCTCTCAACTTGTTCAAAGGCAAGAGATGGGAGAAAGATAGGAAGACACTCAGAGAAATAAGGAGGAGAACCAGGAGAGTGCACATTTTAGAAGAAAAGGAGGAGAAGAGTTACAAGAAAGAGAGAGGTGAAGAGAAGGAAGGTGAGGACCAATAATGGGTGACAGGATTTGGAGAGTAGACATTAGTGACCTTCAAGAAAACAATTTTAGTAGAGAATCTTCCTGGCTTACTTTAATTCTTTAAACCTGAGTCTTTTTTTTCTCTCTCTCTGTAACAGGTTTACAAAATCTTTCATTTTTATCTATTATTGAGATTTATGTTAAAAATAGATTTCAGCAACTGTTTGGTAGTATAATTATTCCTATGACATCAGTAGTACATCCAGTACCAATTTTTTTTCAAGCTACCAAATGCCACCAAGAATTGCATATTGTACAGTGGCAGCAGCTGTTTTGCAGGCATTTAAGTATAGAACTGAGATGTTTTTCACAAAAAAACTTCTTGTATCCACATCCATGGACCTGAAAGGTGTTTGCACACCATATGCTTCATTTTCTTCAACTGTAGAGTAATAAATAACATTGTCAAAATCACTACTGAAAAGTATGTGCTCATTTTCTTGGGGGTGGAGGGAAGTGGAGTTCATGTTTCTAAAACTATTTCCTCATTTGAATTTATCTTCATCGCTCAGGAGAAAACTGTCCTTCTAATTGTCAAGGAACTGTAGTAGGTTGTAAACATCCCTGGAAATTCCAGTTTCGAATGATATTTCCTATAATGTCTTGAGTCTGAAGGATGAAATGGAAGGAGAGGCAAGGTAAGCCGCAAACTACCCACGACTCTTTTCTCACCCTATCGTCTCACATCCACCACCCTCATCACTGATTTCCTTCCCCTCTACATGCCCAGCCTAATCAATTAAAACAGCAAGTTTATTTTCATATTTACCATTGAGAATGAAGGCTCTTTAGCATAACAGGTGTTAGTTCCACAAAATATTTCTTGGAAGACAAAGACCACACTTGTTGGGGGTTTGATGAATAATTTGTAGGGCATGTTATTAACATGCCCTGTGCCCAGACAATGGTACATGAGTAACTGCAGAAGGAGATACTTGCTTTCCTCCTAAGAGCTCATGAAAGGGCTATGTCAATGTGCAGTGGGTGTGTGTAGCGGATGTGGGTGGGAAGATAAACTCTATCCTGATGAAGGGGCCCATGCCAATCTCCCGCTCAGACTGTGGTCACCTGCCATGATGGTGATTGATTTGGTGGGGTCTGGGTGGTTACAAATTAGTCAAACCCAGAGTGGAAAGTACTATTGAATTTAAGATGAAGTTGGTTTTTTCCTTCTTAATTGTGTTTCTTTTTGTCATTTCACCCCGCATGAATTTATCTTATTATATTAGGGTTCTCTAGAGGGACAGAAGTAATAGGATAGATGTATATATAAAGCAGAATTTATTAAGGAGTGTTGACTCACATGATCACAAGGTGTGGTCCCACAATAGGCTATCTGCAAGCTGAGGAGAAAAGAAGCCAGTCTAAGTCCTGAAGCTGAAGAACTCGGAGTCTGATGTTTGAGGGCAGGAAGCATCCAGCATGGGAGAAAGATATAGGCCAGAAGACTAAACCTATCTAGTCTTTCCAGATTCTTTTGCCTGCTTTTATTCTGGCTGTGCTGGCAGCTGATTAGATGGTACCCACCCAGATGGAGGGTGGGTCCGCCTCTCCCAGCCCACTGACTCAAATGTTAATCTCCTTTGGCAGCACCCTCACAGCACCCAGGAACAATACTTTGCATCCTTCAATCCAATCAAGTTGACACTCAGGATTAACCATCACACTTATACTAACAAAGAGGAATTAAATTAGTAAAGTCCCTGTTGGTTAGCCTGCTGACTGCTGCACTGGGGATGGGGGTGGTTCCTTTGCTGTGAGAACAGGTGCAGTGAGAGGAAGAGGGAGGAATAACTTTGCCTTCTTGAAGCTGGACACTTGATACTTTGATGTATTACCTCATTTAATCCTTATGGCTTTGAGGTAGACATTATCCTCTCCATTTTTAGATTAATGAACTGGAATATCAAAAAGGTTAATGAGGTTCTTATGGTCACACTGTTAATAGACGTGAGCCAGAACTTAAATTTAGTATTTTTTCTCCCTGCTTTTAAACATATTCTTCTGCTAGACTACAACATCACCACGAAAGAAAAGAGTTTTAACAATGGGGAGGGTCTCCTAGGTAACACTCAGACCAGAATATATTCAACATCTCACTTTGTGTGGCAGAAAACTTCAAAGCCTTTTCTATCGCTGCGGTGGCTCAGAGGATATGGGAATTTAATTCACAACTCCTGCAGTGCAAGCATGGCACTTTTTCAATAGCAATTTGGGACAGAAATAAAAATAGCAAGGACAATGGCAATGCAGTTGCTGAACACTCAGTAGCTGAAGTAGAATATCTCTTTAAGAAGAGGACATGGAAAAGTCACAGACAAGTTAGCACAGCGGATCAGCCTGGAAGCCAAACAGAGATCCAGACAGAGGACCCTGATTGGAGAGCTGGTTAACAAACTAGGAGACTCCAGATGGGCGAGAAACACCACTCCAGCCTCTTTTTTAAGGGCTTCATCAGTCCATTAGCCAAATATATTGTACTAGCTCTTAGAACTGCGTATGGCTCATTTCCAAAGAGTAATTTTGATTTCTTCACAATTCATACTTTTGTTGCCTTTGAGAACAATGTCCAGATATTCTTAGGAGATAAGTGAGTTAGGTGGGCCCTCGTGACATTTATAACTACAATATCATCCCTCACAGAACAGTGCCTGAGCAGTTACTGTCATTCTCATTTAACCAAATTAACCCTTACTTGGACACAACTTTTAATGCAATTTGATTTAAGGGTTGCATGACTCATTAGGCATGTCTCAAACAGTTCCCTTTCATCTGTAATTCCATAATTAAGGTTTTGTTTTGTTTTGAGACAGAGTCTCGCTTTGTCGCCCAGGCTGGAGTGCAGTGGTGCAGTGGCATGATCTCGGCTCACTGTAAGCTCCGCCGCCTGGGTTCACGCCATTCTCCTGCCTCAGCCTCCCGAGTAGCTGGGACTACAGGCGCTCACCACCACATCCGGCTAATTTTTTGTATTTTTAGTAGATGGGGTTTCACTGTGTTAGCCAGGATGGTCTCAATCTCCTGACCTCATGATCTGCCCGCCTCGGCCTCCCAAAGTGCTTTTTTTTTGCCTTTTAAAACCTGAGTCATCTTTTAAGACCCAGCTAATGACTTACTCCTTCTAGTTCCATTCTATAGATCTTATTTTCCTTCAACTTGCTATTCTTTCCACACAATGAATACTTAATCATATAGTGCAGGGGACCTCAGCTATCAACGCATATCTGCAAAAATGGTCCTTCAGCTTCCTTGCAAAGAAAAGGAGAGACACACAGTTCAAGGATGCTTGTTGATTGGCTCTGCTTGTCCCTGAATGTGGAAATGGCCTGGTCGATGCTAAATTAGGTTCAAGAACCAGAAAAGTCCAGAATTTCCTTCAGTGGAAATGCATTCATTTGTATAGGTTCTTCTTAACCAGTGATGTAAGCCCTCAATTTAAAAAAAAAAAAAAAAACACCAGGTACGGTGGCTCACACCTGTAATCCCAGCACTTTGGGAGGCCGAGGCGGGCGGATCACGAGGTCAGGAGATCGAGACCATCCTAGCAAACATGGTGAAATCCTGTCTCTACTAAAAATACAAAAAATTAGCCAGGCGTGGTGGTGGTCAGCTGTAGTCCCAGCTACTCGGGAGCCTGAGGCAGAAGAATGGCGTGAACCCGGGAAGCGGAGCTTATAGTGAGCCGAGATGGCACCACTGCACTTCAGCCTGGGCAACAGAGTAAGACTCCTTCTCAGAAAAAAAAAAAAAGAAAAAAAAAAAAAGACATAGCTGGAGATAGGCTTCTCTGACCTAGCAAGACCTTCCTTCCATGAGCTGCAGCACAAACAGCTAGACACCTATTAGGGACTTTGGGGACCCAGGGAAGTGTTATCAAGACAGGTTTCCTTTGCTTCTGTTGCGTGGGACCTCTGCATATCAGCTGCATTGTTGTGTCTTTTTAAAAATATATTGAGAACTTGGTCTAATCTTTCTCTCCCTCTGTCTCTCCACTCCCTATCCATTTATAGGTACTGAAATGTTGCAGTAACCAGCTAAATTAGCAACTTAATTTCTTTACCCAACATTATGTTTTTGAGATCTATCCATGACATAGAATGATAGATATACATACAGTCCATTCCTTTTTAACTGCTCTATAATAGATCATTGAATGACTCTACCAGATTTTATTTATTCATTTCCCTATGATGGACATTTAGATTGTTTCTAGTTTTTTTCCTAATGCAAGCAATGTAGCTGTCCATATCCTCATACCAGGTTCCTAAGAGTGGTTGTATGATTTATTCACAATTACTTATTTTCTCAGTCCTTGTCACTGAGCAATGGGTTTACTGTCTAATGTACATAGAAGCTAATACTATGGTACCAGCCTTGGGGAAAAAAAAGCTTTATTGCAAGGTTGACTGGCAAGGAGACAAGAGGCAATGTTGAAATATGTCTCCCCAAGCAGGGGTCTTGTGGAAGGTTTTATAGGGAGGGATTAACTATGAGGAAGAAAGGAAAATGCAAAAAGTCATGATTTGTTTGGGTTTTTCAGAGACGTGGTGCCTGGCCCCTGGCTCTTAAGTTCAGACTGCAACAAAACAGTGCTCCCCTTGCTCCTTAATTTGGTCTGTGCTCTGGAGTCCAGGTACTTAGGTTCTCTATGTGGTTAACTTTTTTGTTCCAGCCACCTCCAGGGTCACTAATCAGGCATGCCTTGTTCATGTGCACGTGTTCAGGTTATGTGACTTGCAGCCTAGGAGTTCACTGCAACTGAAAAACAACTTATTCTGTTATTGACAAAGTTGAATCAGTTGGAACTGGTTCTGTGGTTACACCCTCGCTAAGCTTCCCTATGGGTGGAATATCCTTCCCTTCTGCATTGACTTTGGGCTTGGCTGTATGACCTGCTTTGGCCAATAGAGCTTATGCCATGTCTAAGCAAAATATTTCCATGTATTTAGTGTGGTTTGGCTCTGCTTCCATTGAGGGTCTGTTCTCTGTTATAAGAACATCATACCCCAAATACTAGCTGTGCCTTTAGCCTGAGAGGCAGTATGAGACGATACATGCATCCATTTGTATAAGTTCTTCTTAACTAGTGATGTGAGTGCCCAAAAAGAACACAGGTTGAGATTGGACTTCTCTGACAAAGACCTTCCTTGCATGGACCACATCCCAAATGGCTGCCAAAATGAGCCCAGCCTACCCCGGTCAAGCCCAGCTGAGCCCGACAACACCCAGGGGAACCACAACCAACCTGCAGCCCTTATGCTACACAAGGAAGAGAGAAATGTTTGTTGTTGTAATCCATTGGAATTTGAGGATTGTTAGTTGCTGCAGCAAAAGCTGATTGCTACAAACATAGGTCCCTAAGAGTAAGCTGACATCATAATAAAACCTAAAATATGTAGCTTTGGCTTCAGGATACTGCAGATGTGGCAATCTATGTTATGCAGTTCATATGGTAAAACCATAAAAAATGTACCTAATGAACTTCTGGGTTTGGGAAAGGAGATTTCAAGGTAGAAAGCTCAGAATTATCAGTTGGTTGTTATTAGCTATATTAGATAAGGTACTAAAAGAAAGGGATATTCATAAAATAACCAGCCTATTTGTTTTGTGTTTTTTGTTTATTTATTTTATTTTATTTTATTTTATTTTATTTTAGATAGAGTCTCACTCTGTCATCCAGGCTGGAGTGCAGTGGCACAATCTTGGCTCACTGCAACCTCCGCCTCCTGGGTTCAAGTGGTTCCCCTGCCTCAGCCTCCCGAGTAGCTGGGATTACAGGCGTGCACCACAGTGCCCGGTAATTTTTGTATTTTCAGTAGAGATGGGGTTTTGCCATGTTAGCCAGGCTGGTCTTGAACTCCCGACCTCAGGTGATCCACCTCCCTCAGCCTCCCAAAGTGCTGGGATTACAGGCATGAGCCACCATGCCCAGCCACCAGCCTATTTGTTTTATTGTGCTTTTTTGTTTGTTTGTTTGTTTTTTGGTGACGGAGTTTCGCTCTTGTTGCCCAGGCTGGAGTGCCATGGCGTGATCTCGGCTCACCGCAACCTCTCCCTCCCAGGTTCAAGCGATTCTCCTGCCTCAGCCTCCCGAGTATCTGGGATTATAGGCATGCACATGCCTGACTAATTTTGTATTTCTTTTTTTTTAGTAGAGATGGGGTTTCTCCATGTTGGTCACAGCCTATTTGTTTTAAGGTAGAATTTATTACAGTAAAAACCATCCTTTTTAGTGTACAGTCTGTGAGTTTTGACAAATGCATACAATCATGTGACTATCACCAAACTCAAGATACAGAACCATTCTATCATACTAAAGAATCCTCAAATTCCCTTTGGAGTCAGCCGCCAGGCCCAGCCCCAGCCCCAGCCCCAGCCCCAGCCCCTAGAACTACTAATTTGTTTTCTCTATATAATTTTGAATTTTCCAGAATGTCCTATAAATGGAATCACACAGTATGTAGCCTTTGAGCCTGGACTCTTTCATTTAGCACAATGCATTTGAAATTCATCCACATTGTTGCATGTATCAAGAATTTGGTCCTTTTTATTTCTGAGTATTATTTTATTGTATAGGTGTACCTTGATTTATCCACTTGTTGAAGGACATTTGAGTTCTTACCAGTTTGAGGCTTTTAAAAATTAAGCCACCATAAATATTTTCATACCAATTTTTTTGTGAACATAAGTTTTTATTTCCCTTTATAAAGATATGAGTGAGATTGCTGGGCCATAAGTATATGTTTAACTTTATAAGAAGTGGCCAAACTGTTTCCAAAGTGGTTGTACATTGTACATTACCACCAATAGTTGCTCTGCATTCTTGCCAACACTTGTTATTATTAGTCTTTTCAATTTTAGCCATTCCAGTAGCTAATTAGTTGTATCTCATTGTGATTTAAGTTAGCATTTCCCTAATGACGAATGTTCAAATTATGTTGAACATCTTTTCATGTGCTTATTTGTCAACCATATATCTTTTTGGTGAAGTATATGTTCATATCTTTGCCCATTGTCTTAGTTCATTTGTGCTATGATAACAAAATGCCAGAAACTGGGTAATTTATAAACAATAGTAATTTATTTCTCACAGTCCTGGAGATGAAAGTCCAAGATCAAGCTGCTAATAGGTTCAGTGTCTGGTGCAACACCCAGTCTATGCTTCCAAGATGATGCCTTGTTGCTGTGTCTTCCAGAAGTGATAAACACTGTGTCCTCACATGATAGCAGGGACAGAAACAGTGAACTCACCTCCTCAGACCCTTTTATAAAGAACTAATCCTATCTATGAGGACAGAGCCTTCATTGTTTAATCATTTCCTAAAGGCTCTACTTCTTAATACTCTTGCATTGGGGATTAAGTTAAAATCAAGGGCACGGTCCCACAGAAACCTAAAGTATTCGTAATTAATTTAGAGAGAGAGAGGCAATTCTCAAAAAGAACTATGGGTCTCCCTTTTGCCACAGGAAACCAACAGAAACCAAATAGACAGCAAAACAGGAAAGTTACCGAGAGAATGTTTTGACAAAAATGCTACCAGCCTGCACTAATACAGACAGTCATAGTTCAAGAAGTAAAAACATCTCTTGGGCACCTAACTTTCTACAGATGAGGAGCAGGCCAAGAAAGGTTCTCAGCTGCCAAGCTGGGCATATTCTGCAGTGGTCTCTTCAGATATAGCCAAAGAGGATGATGGAAAATAAAGGACATCTCAGAGGGCAGAGCCAACAGCTATGGAAAAAATGTTTAGAGAACCACTTCCAGGAGTCAGAATCAGGGCCCAATCTAAGACCATGTTTTTACCCCATTTAAAGATTTTTAGAAAGGTAAAATAATGCCTCTCACACAGGTATAAAATGAACCAATGTTAAAAGATTTTATTTAACCATTATTAATGAGGGAACCCAGCAGATGTTGCAAAGAAAATTCTCAAAGAAGAATCTAAAAATCAGACACCTTTGTATATCAGGAATGTGCAAGTGGAGATGAAATCGGCATCTTTCACAGTTGGAGAGAGAAGTCAGTTAAAATTCTATTGGACAGAATTTTTTGCATGTCTATAGGTAAGAATTATTTTGCATTGCTATCATTTATCTACAATTTACAGAGTTGTAAAACAGCTTAAAGACAATGAAAGACACAGAGCTCTTACAGCATCAGAGTCAGACAAAGAAGAGTATATGTTCAACAATGGATCATTTTCCAATGAGGTATACATTTTTCCCTATAGCCCCCAAGATTTGTCCAGCAGGATTTCAGAATTGCTATGGACCACTGACTGGGCTATTGTGCCTCCTTTTGCTCCCCTTTTCAACTGGGAGTATTTATTGCAATTATCTGGTTCTACCATTGTATGATGGACACAGGTTGAGTATCCTTTATCTGAAATGCTTAGGACCAGAAGTGTTTTGAATTTTGTATTTTTTCAGATTTTTAATTATTTGCATACACACAATGAGATATCTTGGGGATGGGACCCAAGTCTAAACATGTGTGGAAAAGTTATAGCACAGGTGAAGGGGGTGGAAGAGTCTTCTTCCCTTGGAAATACTGAAAAAACTGTGCATTGTGTGCCTGCATTTTGACTGTGTGACCCATCACATGTGAGAGGTCACATGTGGAATTTTCCACTTGTGGCCTCATGTTGGCACTCAAAAAGTTTCAGATTTTGGAGCATTTCAGATTTTAAGATTGTCAGATTAGGGATGCTCAACCTCTACATAGGTCTTTTATGGCTGGAGGGGAACTATCACTACAATCAGAGCCTGATGAAGGTCATGAGGTCCTGGACTTGAAGCCTGATGTTGAATTGGATGAGGCTCTTGAGGTATCTTGGAAAGAAGATGAGTAAATTTTGTGGAGAGAAATGAATATTTGTGTCCAAGAAGGTAGATTGAGTAGACAATATCATTTAGTAATTATTCATTAGAATGCATTGGGACAGATTCTTTAAAGGCATTTTTGTGGTTTGGCTCTGCTCTCTTGATCTTCTGTTCTCCATCATAAGAATGACATGTCCCAGATAGTGACTAATACTCCAACCTAGGTCTCTGAATGGAAAGACACATGAAAGTTGGCTAAATTCAGTAGATCTCAGTCAAGCCCAGTAGAGTCCAGCTTAGTCTAGTAGAGTTTTAGCTGACCTGTAGTCCTCAAGTAAATGAACAAGAAAGAAATATTTGTTGTTGCAAGCTACTTGGGGTAGTAAAAGCTAATACATTTCTTACTTGCATCCTTTTAAGATAATTTGAAGGCATTTATCACATTTTAAAATGTTGTCAGATATTGAATAATTACTCTATGAGGTACTTACAGAAATTTACATGACCAGCAGTAGTATACAGATTTCCAGACTCATCAACTTTGGTATTTTCATGTATTTTTATTTTTGCTCATGTAGTAGTTGAATGTAACACTTTTATAATCTGAAACAACATTGAAATGTTTGCTTTAAAAATAAAGTGATGAGGTTCTGGCTGGGCGCGGTGGCTCATGCCTGTAATCCCAGCACTTTGGGAGGCTGAGGTGGGCGGATCACAAGGTCAGGAGTTGGAGACCAGCCTGGCCAACATGGTGAAACCCTGTCTCTCCTAAAAAAAATACAAAAATTAGCCAGGCGTGGTGGCGGGGGCCGGTAGTCCCAGCTACTCGCAAGACTGAGGCAGGAGAATTGCTTCAATCCAGCAGGCAGAGGCTGCAGTGAGCCAAGATCGCGCCACTACACTACAGCCTGGGTAACAGTGAGACTCTGTCTCATAAATAAAAATAAATAAATAAATAAATAAATAAAGTGACGAGGTTCAAATGAAGGGAAGCCCACTCTGATGCCAGATCTAAAGGATGAAGATGGGGCTGACCCTGCCCTGGGAAATAGGAGACAGAAGGGGAAAATCTGGGGTCCTGCAGATAAGGAGCATGTGGAGGCAGTAGGGATAGAGAAATCTCAGAAGCAAAGGTGGAAGCTGGTGACAACAGGGTCCAGGATGTGTATCATGAAAAGAACCAGCTTATCTAGCGCTCTCAACCCTGGGATGCCAGTGATGGATTATGGGCCTGCCCCTCAGATGTAAAAGATGCACTGGCTTAGGTACACATTGTTTTAATCTAAACTTGTTTCTCACTTTTTCATACCACAAGATTATTGTGGGATGAATGGTAGTGTCAAGAGAACCAGACTGGAAGTTAGAAGACCTGGGTGTAGGTCCCTCCTGATAAGCTGTGTCTCTCAGCAAGTCAGTGATCTCTACGAAAACGAGGGATTTGAACCATTTGACTTCTAAGTTTCTTCCAAGCCAAAAACAATGATTTTACTATTTAGTGAATCAATTTTTCTAGTCCACAATTTTGCTGTGCTAGAACAGTAACCTGCAAATCTTCAGGGTCTAAAACACCCCAATCTTATTTCCTTTCACTTGTTTACCTTGCTGGATTACCCTGAATAAAAGGACAAGAAGGCATATCTTTTTAAAAGTCAGAGGTATGTTTATCCAAGTAAAAGAATATGTTCACAAAAAGACTAATACAAAAATGTTTGCAGCTGCTTTATTTATAATAATACGAAATGGACCAGGTGTCCATCAACAGGAGAATGAATAAACAGTGCACTGTAATCTTACAATGGAATACTACTTAGCAATAACAAGGAATGAACTATTGATACATACAACATAGATGAATTTTAAAACATTGTGCTAAGTGAAAGAAGCCTTACAAAAAACAGTACATTATATGATCCTATTGCGATTATAGAGCAGTCCAAACAAATCTATGGTGGATGGTAACACTTTTATAATCTGAAACAAACAACATTGAAATATTTGCTTTAAAAATAAAGTGATGAGGTTCAAATGAAGGGAAGCCCACTCCGATGCCAGGTTGGTGATTGCATCTGAGAGGTGGGGGCAGGGATTGACTGTGAAGGGGCATGAGGGAATTTTCTGGGGTTTATGGTAATGTTCTGTATCTCAACAGAGGTTTGGGTTACAAAGGTTAATGCATTGTTCCAAATGCAGTGAATGTACTCCTTCAATGTATATACATTTAATGTCTGTAAAATTTACATAAAATACTGCAAAAAATCAAACTTTATTATGAACCATATTAATTATATGCACATTGAAGTATTTCAGAGGAAGTCTACCGATGTCTTCACTTTACTTTGAAATGCATCAAGCAACAAGATGGATTCATGCCTGAATAAAAGGATGGCTAGACAGACATGTAATAAAGCAGGCATAGTAAATATTAATAATAGTATTTAAGTGATGAGTATACCAACGTTTACTGTAACATTCTTTTAACCTTGTTATTTGCTTGTAATTTTTCATGATAAAATATTGAAAGAAATCAAGGTAGTTGTTGTGTTTGTAATTTTAAGAATTGCATTAGATGATGATAAAAAGACATATATATGAGTATTATGAAATCAGATTAAGAATCACTATTGTCTTATTTCAAAGGTCCATTAAAATCTGTTATTAAAATTAACAGATGCTGATGAGAATCTGGAGAAAAAAGAACTCTTATACACTGTTGGTAGGAATGTAAATTAGTACAGCCACTACAGAAAACAGTATGGAGATTTCTCAAAAACTAAAAATAGAACTACCGTATGATCTAGGAATCCCACTATTGGGTATTTATCGAAAGGAAGAGAAATCAACATTTCAAAGATGTATCTGCACTGCCATATTTATTGCAGCAGTATTCACAATAGTAAAGATATGGAATCAAACTAAGTGTTCGATAGATGAATAGATAAGGAAAATGTGGCATATATACACAGTGTAAACTATTCAGCCACAAAAAAAGAATGAAAAATCATGTTCTTTGCAGCAACATGGATGGAACTGGAGGTTATTATGTTAAGTGAAATAAGCCAGACACAGACAGACAAATATTGTATGTTCTCACTCATAAGTCAGAGCCAAAAAGTTGATTTCATCGAGATGGGGAGTAGAATGATAGATACTGAAGGCTGGGAAAGGTGTCTGGATGGGATGGGGGAATAAAGAGAAGTTGGTTAATGGGTGCAGACAGTGAGATAGAAGGAATAAGTTCTAATGTTTGATAGCAAAAAAGAGTGACTATAGTTAGCAACAAAGTATTGTATAGTTGAAAATAGCTAGAAGAGAACACTTGAAATGTTCCCAACACATAGAAATGATAAATACTAGAGGTGATGGATACCCCAAATACCCTCACTTGATTATTACTCATTCTTGCATATAACAAAATATTACATGTACCTTATAAATATGTACAAAATTATGTATTGGTTAAAAAAACACCCTTGTAGAGGCAGAATTATGTATCTCTACATCTCCCAACAGTGAGCACTTTATTCCTGATTTGCCAAGGAGCTAGTCTGATGGACAGAAAGAAGTGTGGTAGACCTTCTCTAAGATGGTCCTCATCTCCTGGTATTCATGCACTGTGTCAGCAGTCCCCTTCTCTGCAGTGCGTCTGGACTTACCAATTCAGTTATCATGAATAAAACATAGCAAAAGTAATTGGATGTCATCACCAAGCTTAGATTATAAAAAGATCATAGTTCTCATCTTCGGCATTCTCTGGCTTTCTCTCTCTCTCTCTCTCGGATCAGCAGTTTCCATGTAGTGGGGACACTCAGGTAGCTACCTGGGCATGCTACTTGAACTCTCTGAGCCTCAGAGAGGCTCATACCCATGCCTACCTCATAAAGTACTAAATGAGATAAAGCATATAAAGCACTTAGGAAGTGCCCGGCATAGAATATGTGTTCAAGCAATTCATTTATTCATTCAGTGTAGACTTCTTGGGCATTTAGTAGTCAATAGTACATGTCTGATGCCATTCTAGGCCATGGGGATCCTGTGGTGAGTGAAAAAAGTCCTTGCTCGGATCGAGCTTACAGTCTGGCGAGGGGAAAACAGATGTACAGTGCAGGTGGCAATAAGGTCTGTGAAGAAAAAGTCCAGCAGGGGAAGGGGATCGCATGTGTGAGTTTATAGAAGATGGTCACATTTGGGTGTGAACCTCTGCCTGCTTTGGGGAAAGGTGCTCTAGGCAGAGGCAACCACAGCCGCTAAGGTCCTGGGTTGGGGTCTTGTTTAGTATGTTTAGAATAGGAAGGAGTTGGGGCCGAAGCAGAGAGAGATGAGGGCAGAGAAAAAAGTCATGGGGGCCAGATTCTGCAGGGCCTTGAAGGCCATTGTTGAGAGTTTGCATTTGACTCTGAGTGAGGGGAAGCTATTGGAAGGTTTAAGGTAGACCAGTGATATCATCAGACTTATGTTTTAAAAGCATTACTTTGTCAGAGCAGATGGATGGAATACAGGTTGATTGCTGTTTTTATTATTATTACTAGTATTCTTTTGTACATCTTTCTTCTCTGGGAGAACCAAGTGTTTTTCTTTCCCTCAGAACAGGTATAAAAATGTGAATAAATCCCCCCGAGGTGCTGTCATATGGTAGAGAGCAGTATTTTGGGGCTGTCTTATTTTCTTATAAAGCTAACTTCTCTTCAGAGCCTATTATAATTTTTTAGTCTCAGTTGAGGGACTTGAGAACAATATATTTAGATTATTTTCTCAAAGAGCTATTGGTACAGATTTTAAACAACAATCAGTGTGTTCAGTAAAATCACTCATGGCCTTATTAGTCATGCAGCACTTGTGGATTGGTCCAGAAAACAGAATTTAGAGGATGGGTGCATATGTATATGTGCATGCTTGTTTATGTGCATAAGTGTGCATGTGTGTGCAGATGCACAGGTACGTGTATGTGTATTACAGTCCTGGTGTAGGTATGTGAGTGAATGTGTTTCTATGTGCACGTGTATGGCACATGCACGTGTGGCATATGCATGTGTGCGCATACATACATGTGTGCGTATGGATGACAGAGTGTATTCTCTATGTGTGCACATATGTGTGCTTTATGTGCATTGTATGGCTTGGGTGTTGCATATTTATAAGCATGTGCAGTGTTCATGGGCCTCTGTTTGATGCAAAACTAAGAAGTGGCTCGTCACCATCTCTGTCCTTGATATATTTTCAATCCAGTTGGGGAGATTCAATATAGAAGCAGCTGTGAAATAGCACTGCCATCAATAGGTCATCTTTTATTGGACGTTTTCTACAAAGTGTGTCATTATTCATGAGAGTATGCTGCAATAAAATATGGTCTTTGTTTTCTTTATCCACAAAGTTAAAAGGTGGAATCGAATAAGTTTTAGGTTCCCTCCTGTCTAAAGTATGATTTAAACACTCATTTTCCAGTATTACAACCATCATTTAAAAGTCTTTGAGAAAAGCAGCAACTGTAAAAAATGTTGCAGTGTTGAGCACCCTGGCCAGGCTTCTGCAGTTTGGAGCATTTTCTCCAGCTCTGGGGCTGCAGAGCTGAGGTAGGGTGGCTCCACCTCCTTCTCCAGAGAAGTGACTAGAGCACCTTGAAAGGCTAGGGAAAGGCTAGAGGCTTTAGGGACTCATCCAGCTACTTCTGCCCAGGTCCACTTGTCACCAGGCTTGATGAGTGTGAGTAACCCATCACCTTCACGCATTGACCTCCCTGCATCACTCATTCATTACTCATTCATTTATTCTCTTTCCTTTCTCTTCTCCCTCCTTGTCTCCTCTCCTATTCACTCCCTCTCCTTTCACCAACTCTCCCCTCCTCTCCTTCACTGAGGAGGCAGGCAAGATCAGACACCCAGCTGGGGGCTGGGCATAAAGAAACATGCATCTGACCTTTTCTACATGACAACTGTGGAAGTCTGCTGCTAAATCTTTCATATGATCTGCAATTCTTTTTTCCCACCTACAGATTACTCCACGCTTCCTAGCTCTTGTCATAAATCCACAGATGCCTCATTTCACAATAAGGAAAACTGAGCCAAGACGGGTTTTAGTGACTCATTTAAAATCTCACTGCTGCTTATGGCACCTCTGATTATCATCCCCAAATAAAGTTTAAAAGCCACCACATCATGGGCTATTTTAAAAGATAAACTTAGGCACATTAAAACTTTAAAGAGTATATTTGAGTAGACAGGAATTCATGAATCAATAACACTGGACCACCCATGGTTCAGCACTCCACTGTGGGGGACCCGGGAGGCAGAGAGAGGAAAATTTTATAAGGTGTTTGGGGAAGTAAAAAATATTTACTTTTATATAAAAAAAAATTTGGCTAAAGTGGAAAGTTCCTAGTTAGAGGTTAACTGGTGGTTTCTGATTGGTTAAGCTTAAGTTTCATTTTTCTGTTTATATTGAGCTTAGGTTTGCTTTTGCAGGAATCTGAGGCACAAGAGTCTTCTCAGCCTAATGGACTCACAATTTTTTTTTCTTTTTAACAGCTACAGTCCATTTACAGGTTAATCTTTAGGTGAACTCTGGAGCTGAGTTCAAAGTCTTCCTTGTAATCCTGGGAAAGAAGAAATGAGAGGCCAGACCTGGCAATTTCTGAGCCATGGTCAGAGAGCAAAATATGAGGATCATGTTGACTGTAGACCTAATGCATTTTTATTTTAAAATCCTTTTTCTTAACGAATCCAGACCATTGAAATCTATCTGTAATGGGTTTGCAATTCTACTGGATTTCCTACCCTCACTCTTTTAAATATTGATTTGATATTGCCTTTAAAAGTTATATTTGGAGCTTGGAGGATTTTAGACTTCTAATATAATATTCAGTAAAAATTGAAATATGGAGGAGATGTGATGAAATAGCTGGTGACAGCAACTTCCACAGTGTTCAGTTCATTTTAGAAACAATATGAATGATTATTAAATGAATATGTTGCTCTGTGTATATACATTTATATATAAAGTCCCATCAAAAGTGGGAAAATGACATTTATAATAGCAATATTAAATGTAACTATTAAATATAAATATTGAGTCAAATTAACAACTAGTAGGGTTTTCATTTTTCTTTTGCAGTGATTTTTCTTTTGACATGAATGCCTGAATGGTTTCTGCCCTAAGCTGAATAAAGGGCAAGGCTTCCCCTCTGGCTGCCGGGCTGGGTGACCAGACCGCACACTTCAGTGCACCTGTGAAAAGCAGATTATGAGCCGTGTTAGTCTTGCGGCGTCTGTTCTGGAGAAGGCTGTATTAGTCTTAAGGCCCCGAGAAGGCTGTGTTAATATTAAGGCACGTGTTCACTGTTGGGAGAGGAACAGCCTTTTGCTCAAAATGCTTGATTTATTGCAGGAACAAGCCAGCTTTCTGAGCAAGTCTGTCTGGCTTCTAGGGTGAGTTAGAAAAATAATCTAAATGGATCTATTACAAGCATAGAGACTGAGGCATGTCAAACAAGACAGTAGAAACCTAGCGCACCAGCCATATAGAAAGGAAGGGGCTATGGGCATTTGTTCTAAGTCTATAAAAAGGGTAATTACTTTGGAAAGTAGTTCATTTTCTGCCTCATAAAGGCAGCAGTAGATTAGTTATAAATAAGTAATGGCTCATAATTCATTAAAAGCAAGAGGAGGGAAAAAGTTTTAAGGAAGCATGAGTTTTAAGGATAACCTTTAAAATTCAAGACAATGCACTGGGACAGCAAAAGTCCCTCCCCAAACATGCATCAAAATAACCAAAAGGAGACATTGAGCTCCACATAACGGCAGTTTCTTCCAGCTCCCATCTGCAGTGGGCACATTCCTGGGTGTCGTCCTTCTTCCGTATGCACAGGCAGAACACCACACTTGGAATCAGAAGAATTAAATTCAAGTTGCTCCCTGTAATCTTAGACAAATCACTTAATGTCCTTCAGCCTCAGTTCTTCAGTTGCAAATGAGATAACAGCACCTGACTGACAGAGGGGTTTAAAGCTGCTTGTTTTATTCACTCAACAAACACACGATTTGTAATTGAAGTCCTATTTTGTTCCACGTCCTGGGGAAGGTGCTGAGGATGAATCCAGTGCCCCAGAATTCAAAGTACCTCCCTCCAGGGCTCACCCTAGACCAGCAGGGTCTGAATCTCTGGGTGTAGGGCCCAAGCATTGGTTTTTGGCTTTTTGTTTTTGAGACAGTCTTGCTTTGTTGCTCAGGCTGGAGTGGAGTGGTGTGTTTGTGGCTCACTTTAGTTTCAACCTCCTGGACTCAAGCAATCCTCCTTGCCTCAGCCTCTCAAGCAGCTGGGACCACAGGCATGCACCACCATGCTCAGCTAATTTTTAAAATGTTTGTAGAGACAGGTCTCACCGTATTGCTCAGGCTGGCACTAGTGTTTTTTACAAGATCCCCGAGTGAGCTCAGGGCTAAAGATTACAGGTGTAGGCAATAGTGGTAAGTATCCTAATGGAGGTAACATTAAATGGAAGTCAAGAGAGGCTTCAGTGAGCTAAGTCTTGAAGGAGGAGTGAGAGTTTGCCAGCAGAGGGAACCCAGTGAACAAAGGCAGGGTGCATTTGATCTGGTAGTTCAGAGTGGCTGAAGCCTGGGATGCATTTACTCAGGCTTGGGAGATGAGTTTGAGGTAGCAGTGAAGGCATAATGCTTGGGCAAAGGAGTGCTGGGCTCTCACAAACGCAATGGAAGTCCCTGCAGGTTTTAATATTGATATACTAGGAAAGTGGGGAAAGGATGCCCTATTCAATAAATGGTGCTGGGGAAACTGGCAAGACACATGTAGAAGAAGGAAACTGTATCCTCATCTCTCGCCTTATAAAAAATCAACTCAAGATGGATCAAAGACTTTTAAGTCTAAGACCTGAAGCCATAAAAATTCCAGAAGAAAGCATTGGAAAAACTCTTCCAGGCATTGGCTTAGGCGAAGAATTCATGACTAAGACCCCAAAAGCAAATGCAACAAAAACAAAAATAAATAGATGTGACCCAATTGAACTAAAAAGCTTCTGCACAGCAAAAGAAATAATCAGCAGAGTAAACAGACAACCCAGAGTGGGAGAAAATCTTCACAATCTATGCATCCAAAAAAGGACAAATATCCAGAATCTACAAGGAACTCAAATCAGCAAGTAATCCCGTCAAAAATTGGGCAAAAGATAAGAATAGACAATTCTCAAAAGAAGATGTGCAAACAGGCAACAAACATGAAAAAATGCTCAACATTACTAATCAGGGAAACACAAAACTACAATGAGATACCGTCTTACTACTGCAAGAATGGCCATAATTAAAAAATTAAAAAATAGATGTTGGCGTAGATGTGGTGAAAAGGGAACACTTCTGCACTGCTGGTGGGAATGTAAACTAGTACAACCACTATGGAAAACAGTATGGAAGCCAGGCACGGTGGCTCACGCCTGTAATCCCAGCACTTTGAGAGGCTGAGGTGGGTGGATCACCTGAGGTCAGGAGTTCGAGACCAGCCTGGCCAACATGGCGAAACCCCATCTCTACTAAAAATACAAAAATTAGCCACACATGGTGGCTTGTGCCTGTAGTCCCAGCTACTTGGGTGGCTGAGGCAGGAGAATCACTTGAACCTAGGAGGCAGAGGTTGCAGCGAGCCAAAATTGCACTACTGCACTCTAGCCTGGGCAAGAGAGCGAGACTCCATCTCAAAACAAAAAAAAAAGAGTGTGGAGATTGCTGAAAGAACTACCATTTGATCCAGCAATCCAACTACTGGGTATCTCCAAAAGAAAAGTCATTTTATGAAAAAGACACATGCACATGCATGTTTCTTGCACAATTCGCAATTGCAAAGATATGGAACCAACCTAAGTGCCTGTCAACAAACCCAGTGTATAAAGAAAATGTGGTATATATATATACACCATGGAATACTACTCAGCCATGAAATGGAATGAAATAATGGCCTTTGCAGCAACTTGGATGGAGCTAGAGGCTGTTATTCTAAGTGAAGTAACTCAGGAATGGAAAATCAAATATCGTATGTTCTCACTTAAAGTGGGAGCTAAGCTATGAGGATGCAAAAGCATAAGAATCATATAATGGACTTTGGGCACTCTGGGGGAAAGGTAGGAGGGGGGTGAAGGATAAAAGACTACATATTGGGTACAGTATACACTGCTTGGGTGATGGGTGCACCAAAATCCCAGAAATCACTAAAGAACTTATCCATGTAATCGAACACCACTTATATCCCCAAAAGTACTGAAATACAGAATTTTAAAAGTTTACATTAAATATATATATATATATACATTTCATTTTCATATGCTAGGAAGATTGTTCTGACTCTAGAAAGGGAGTGCAAACTGAAGGCAGAGCACCCTGTTACAGTCTTCCAGGTGATATGGCATAGGAAACAGGTACACAGATGGGAGGAATTATTATCCCCAGTTAGCACTGCTCATGCTCTTTCCTTGATGGGAGACACAAGGGGTGGAGAGGACTCCACACATTCTTCTTTTCAAAATCTGGAGCATCCCTAGGGAGCTGCCCCCGACCCCAAGGCAGGCTTCCTCCCAATGCAGCTTCTCTTCCAGACCTGTCCCTCTTCCTCCTTATTCCCAAGGAAATGATAATCTGTGCCTCTTGCTTTCAGAGCCCATTTGTGTGGAGTGGGTTTGGAGAGGTGGCCATGGCCAAAAGAAATGATCCTGATAGCAGAAATTTTGAGTACCTTTGTTCATACTTTTGTGAGATTGCAGTTTATTGTTTGTTTTGTTGTTTTATTTTGCCAAAGCATCCTGCTCCACCCAACACCAGAACGTGAATGACCCAACCACTATTCCTGTGACTCTGGGGGTTTTGTTCCCCCGTATGCTCTAGCAGCAGTGTTCCCCAGTTTGAGGTTGAAGCAGGACCACAAGGATGGGGATGGACATCACTGTGCCTCCTGGTGGCTGCACCCTTCCCAACCCTCGACACATATACAAACACTGGTCCAGCTCCCTGCAATGTCCTTGCTTTCTCCACCTGGGCAGATAAACTGACTCATTAGAGAAGAAGCTTAGGAGTTAAGGGCGCACATTTGAGCTCCAACTGCATGGATTCTATTTCTGGCTGGGTCACATATTAGCTGTGTTAACATTGGGCAAGTTTCTTAACTTCTCTGTGCCTCTGGTTTCTCACCTACAAATGTGATTTTTAAAAAACCCAACGATTGGCAGGGCACAGTGGCTCACGCCCGTAATCCCAGCACTTTGGGTGGCCAAAATGGGTGGGTCACTTGAGGTCAGGAGTTTGAGACCAGCCTGGCCAACATGGCGAAACGCCGTCTCTACTAAAAATACAAAAATTAGCCAGGCGTGGTGGCAGGCACCTGTAGTCCCAGCTACTGGAGGCTGAGTGGGGGGAATCTCTTGAACCCAGGAGGTGGAGGTTGCAGTGAGCTGAGATCGCAAAACTGCACTCCAGCCTGGGTGACAGAGCAAGACTCCATCTCAAAAAAAAAAAAAGATTTTTATCTCATGGCAGTGTGGTTAAGATAAAATGAGCTCCTAATCATAAAGCACTTAGGGTAATGCCCAATACAGAGCTGGCAATATGTGTTTGTTATTGTCACTTCCAATCCCAGCTCTAAAGCCCCTTCCTCTGTGAGGTTCATCAGTGTCCTGCAATGAATGGCCCCTCTGTTATCTCTTACCATTTGTATAGAAATTATCTGTCTATAGTAGTTCCTCTATCCACAGCTTTGCTTTCTGCAGTTTCAGTTACCCGCAGTCAACCACAGTATGAAAATACTAAGTGGAAAATTCCAGAAATGAACAATTCATAAATTTTAAATTGCACATCATTCTGAGCAGTATGATGAAATCTCATGCTGTCCTGCTCTGTCCTGGGCATCTCACTCCGTCCTGCCTGAGACATGAATCATTCCTTTGTCCAGCGTATCCAGCTGTCTCTACTCTCCACCGTTAATCACTTAGTAGCTGTCTCAGTTATCCGATTGATTGTCACTGTCTTGGGGTGTTTGTGGTCAAGTAACATTGTTAGCAATCAACAACAATCTTTCATTGTATTTTAAAGACTAGGATCTGATTCTTTCATATGTTGACAAAGGGCTTAGAAAGACAAAGACATTTCAATATTTCATTTTTTTTCCATTAAAACTTTGGCCTTACTTGTGGCATTTTCTTGCTGCAAATCCTATAAAATATTTAGTTTCCTAAGCACCTTGAAATTGAATCCTCATAAAGGAACTTCCGTCTGGAAATGTCAGGCATAATTTATTAACTCCTGTTTTTTGCATGTTGATTGTGATAGTACTGCAAATTCTGCAGCTCTGATTGGGAATGGACTGCAAATACAATATAGATATTGAAATAGACCAATTGCTTTCAAGGTAGAGGTAGAGGAAGTGGCTTGGAATCACTTTCAACTTTAGTGAATATGAGATCTGATGCACAGGATAATTTCAGCTCTCCAGGGCCTTAGCTGTTCCCTCTATCTGGTGTCCACCTGGCTAATGCCTTCACTCCTTGTAGGACTTTGCTCAAATCTAACATTATTTCACGTACAACCTATTTCATCCTCCTCAGGCACTCCTGACCTCCCCCACTTATGCTTTCTACTTTTGCTTTTTTCCAAACCATTTTAATACCTTCTATAGTCTACATAATTTATCTCCTTATGTTTATTATCTGTCTCACCCCAGTAGAATGTAAGCTCATGAGGGCAAGGACTTTTTGTTTTGTTTCAGGATGTAGCCCAAGTGCCTAGAGCATTTCCTGGCATGCAGTAGGTGCCCAATAAATATTGGTTGTATCAAAAGAAAAACTTATAACAAATTTAATTTAAAGATCAAATTGGCTTTTATTTACTATTTCAGAATCAGGCGACACTTCATTCTGAGACAGCCAAGTTAAAAGGGCTCCCCGGAGAATCTCCGACCTGTTTGCACACTGGGAAGATGGGGTGGAGCCTCAGGAAGTTTGTGCAGTTTGCAGGGTGAGGAGCCTGGCCTCTGCTGTTTCTGGGTGGTAACCAGGGATTCCATCTGTGAGGCGGGAAGCCTGCTAGCAGGATTCTCGCATTGCTGAGATTCCTTGTTTCCTTTTTTTCCTTTTCACCGAATAAACCCTGCCCTTCTCACCCTTCAAAGTGTCTGCAAGCCTAACCTTTCCTGGTCATGTGACAAGAACCCAGTTTTTCCTACAACAATTCTATAAAATAGAATGAATTTCCAATGAGCTGAGCAGAGGATGTTGGCTTTAGAGAGAGACAAGGGCTGAAGAAAGCAGATTGGTCATTTGTAAGTTACTTTCCATTTAGAATTTAAACAGAGGGGACTTTATTATACTGACACATATTGACCGGAATATCCTGGTTTTCTTTGGGAAACTGGCCTGTTTCAAGGTTCAGTTTGATTAAATGACACAGCACAAGTGACTCCATTCTGGTTTGGTTTGGTCTGCCGGTGCCTAGTGCAGGAGATAATCTAAAACAATGGCCTATGGTATTAGTTTGTTCTCGCACTACTATAAAGACATACCTGAGACTGGGTAATTTATGGAGAAAAGAAATTTAATTGACTTACAGTTCTGCAGGCTGTGCAGGAGGCATAGCTGGGGAGGCCTCGGGAAACTTACAATGATGGTGGAAGGCAAAGAGGAAGCAGGCACAATCTTCACATGGTAGAGCTGGAGAAAGAGAAGGGGGAAGTGCTACACACTTTTTTTTTTTTTTTGAAACAGGGTCTTACTCTGTTGCCCAGGCTGGAGTGTAGTGGCATGATCTTAGCTCACTGCAACCTCTGTTTCCTGGGTTCAAGCAATTCTCCAGCCTCACCCTCCCAAGTAGCTGAGACTACAAGCACGTGCTACCACACCCAGCTAATTTTTGTATTTTTTTGTAGGGACGAGGTTTTGCCATGTTGCCTAGGCTGGTCTCGAATTCCTGAGCTCAAAGTGGTTTGCCTGCCTTGGTCTCCCAAAGTGTTGGGATTATGCGCATGAGCCACTGCGCCTGGCCAGTGCTACACACTTTTAAACAACCAGATCTCATAAGAAGTCAGTCACTACCATGAGAACAGCAAAGGGGAAATCCACTCCCATGGTCCAATCACCACCCACCAGGTCCCTCCCACAACACTGGGGATTACAATTCAACACAAGATTTGGGTGGAGACACAAACACAAACCATATCACCTCCCATAAATTTTGTTTAACAATTCCCCTCTTTGGTCACTCTCACCTAGACCATTAGTGCTATTCTCAGTTACCATCACTTTGGGTTTCTGGTCTGAAAACATTATTTATAGGTTACAGTGTCCTCATTAACATACTTTTTTGGAGTTTTCTCAGAGCAAAGATAAATATCTAAGAGGGAAAAGCCACAGGGTTGGGTAGTGTAATGTTTTCACAATGTTTCTTTAATGCACAGAAGTTTTCTTAAGGCTGGCATGTACCCTAGTGTCAGAACTAACCCTTGCTGTGACTCAGCTTATCCTAACACAGGTTACTTATTTTTAGGTGGCAAGTGCTTTAAGCAATGTGTAGGTGCCTAACACTTGCCCAGCAGTCAAATTGTGGCTTTGGCCCTGAGATCCCTTGACCAACATAGCCAATGATATCTTCCTACATGGGCACACAAGAAAAATAAACGAAGAGGAAAGAAGTGAAATCGCTCAGAATTTCTGAGAGCCAGAGTTGCATACCTCCTGCAGTAACAGACACTTTTTGCAACTGCTGTCAGTTACCTTTAAAACTGCAGCTCTTGCCAGTTGCTCATCAGTCACCACAAATCCCAAAAGGTCATATGCTCTCTCAGTACAAACTAACCCTGGATTTGAAAGCCAAAAAGATTGGAGAATTTCAAGGGAGGGAGGCAACGCAAAAAAAAAAAAAAAGCGAGTCCAACCCTAGAAAAACTTATTTACAAACCTTGGGGGCTCATTGAGGAAGGCAGGGGACCTGAAAAGGGGTCAGCAGTGCCTGTCCTGCACTCCCCAAGGGGGCTCAGGAATCATCAGCAGTCTCCCTTGGTTCCTTTTGTGGTTGCCCAAAATGGTTAAAAGACAAAATTATAACAAATTTAGCTTAAAGATATAATTGACTTTTTAATTGTTTTTGAGGTGGAGTCTCACTCTGTTGCCCAGGCTGAAGTGCAGTGGCACAATCTCGGCTCACTGCAACCTCTGCCTCCCGGGTTCAAGTGATTCTCCTGCATTAGCCTCCCTAGTAGCTGGGGCTACAGGCACGCACCACTATGCCTAGCTAACTTTTGTGTTTTTAGTAGAGATGGGCTTTCACCATGTTGGCCAGGGTGATCTCGAACTCCTGACCTCAGGTAATTCACCTGCCCCGGCCTCCCAAAGTTCTGGGATTACAGGTGTGAGCCACTGCACCGGGCCAGCTTTTATTTGTGATTCTAGAATTCTCATTTTAGAAAATAGAATGAGTTCAAGGAGCTGAGCATATGAATGTGACTTTATAATAGACAGAAAAGGGCTGAAGAAGGCGGAAATATTGAACAAAGAGCAGATGTGTTGTTTCAAAGTTACTTTCTTTAAAAGGATAAAACAGAGGGGATTTCTTTATCACACTGTCTGGTTGACTGAAATCTCCTATATTTTTGGAAAACTGGCCCCTTTGAAAGTTCAGTTAGATTATGTGACACTTAGCAAAAATGACTCCATTCTGATTTGGTCTGGTCTGCTGAGGCCTCATGTCAGAGGCTAGGACAAAACAGTGAACTCCCATAAAATTTGTTGAATAATTATATCAACTGCCAGGTCCCCAGCAATCGCCGATATTACCGACTAATAAGGCAAGGCTGAGTTTATTGCTCACTGCAGTGAGGGAGGGCACCTTGACCGAGCTTGCATAGGGTCTTGAAGGGAGAAAGAAAGACAAATTTATTGAGAACTTGAAGTTTGGTTTAAGGCAAGTCTTTCAATGGAGGGAGGAAAGCTGTTGAGAATGTTTTAATATCTTTATCTGTTTCTATTTTCCTACACGAAAACATAAGGATTCTGATATAGGGAAAGAATAACTCCCCTAGGTTCTAAACTGGAATAGACCCCTGTTACAAAAGACAGATTAAATAAGAGGAAAACAAACAGAAGTGTATTAACATGTATATTTCATATATACATGGGAGACACCCAGAGAATGAGTAGTTTTCAAAGAGGTGCGTTAGAATTCCAGTTCAAACAGTACATTTTTAGGATGTGACAAGACAAAGGAAAAGGACGTTGAGTCTCTAAGGGCAGCAACTTGGAGGAAGGAAATGAGTGGCAATAAAGGCCAGTAAGTAAAGCTTGTTAATGTAGATTCTTCTGGTATCATCTCTAGGCCAATAAGGGTCCGAAGTTGTCTTTGGTAGTTAATATTTTTGCTCTTCCCAGTAGAAGGTGGGGCAGGATACCTTTTGTTTTTGTAAATCTATGTCCTGCTTTTAGGCAAATAGAGGGAGGGCAGAGAGCTTTCTTGCATCTGCTGCTTCTTCATTGCCTTCAGCTCAACAATCCTTCATATTTTCCTGTGGCATATTTCTGATCTCCCACACTGGATCAAGGAAAATTATTATTACTTATTATAGCCGTAACTGCTGCAGTTCCCCACACCCCAGTTATTCCCTCTTCTGAGGTGATGTGATGAGGGCCAGATGGCTGGGCTCTGTGTATAAAGGGGTCTTCTTGTACTACAAGAGAGGAACCCTGAAATTATCCATCTGGCAGTTTACATAGGATGGCTTGCCCAGCAGGTTTTCTGAGAGAAAAAAAAAAAAAATCTCTGCTATAAAGAAAATCTCCTTGGAAAGAGAAGGGGAAGAGCCCTTTGGAATGTAAATACATGTCTCTGGGGAAAGATAAGACAAGCTTGGCAGAGTTTACAACCTTGGAATGGCTCCATGTCTGGGTTTTATTCTCCTTTGAATCTGGTTCTTACTCTCCTTTGAAATGTAAACACATACCTCCATGGAAGTACCTCCAGGGAGATAAATCTTTCAGGAGTTCTCCGGTGATCCAATTACCCTTTAACTTCCAAGATTTGTCCTTTAACCCAGATTCCAGTAAAATTTACTCAAGAAGAAGCCTAACAATGCAGAAACATGAAAATGTTTACTTCCTGACATGACCTTGATTAGGACTTGATAAGGATCATGATCTAACAGTTATGGAAATAAATGAAGGCCACTCAAAGGAGACGAGGCAAAGGCTATTTATTTGGAGCTTACTATAGCAAGGAAATCAGCCACCATCACTTGCAGTTGGCATTGACTCAAAGGAAGGCAGAGGAGTGGGAACACTTTATATTGGGAAAAAGGGCATTCATGCATGCCCTGATTGGAGGCTGTTGGCAATGGGAGGTTAAATGCAGATTGATCAAAATTGGGGCATTCCATTGATTGGTTAGGGGTGCATATTTAGCTTTCTCCAGTTGGTCCTAAGTTGGAAGCAGGGACAAAAATGAGGTAAGTTGGCAGTTATTAATAAGTCCTGGCTGTTTGGGGTCAATTGTGACAGGGTTATTTTTTGGCTCCTCGGACTGTTTGTAGAGATAGTGGTCTAATTTCTTATGTATTAGTCTGTTCTCATACTGCTAATAAAGACATACCCGGGACGGGGTAATTTATAAAGAAAAAGAGGTTTAATGGACTCACAATCATGGCAGAAGGTGAAAGAGGAGCAAAGGCATGTCTTACATGGTGGCAGGCAAGAGAGCATGTGCAGGGTGTAAGGTCCTCTGAGCTGGCTGCACCATGGTCAAGCCATCGTGACATTCCCCTGCCCTTGTGATAATGTACTTTGTGATATTCCCAGTCCTTGTGAATGTACTTTGTAACATCCTCCCCGCCCTTGTGAATGTACTTTGTAACATCCTCTCTGCCCTTGAGAATGTACTTTGTAACATCCATCCCCTGCCTGCAAAAAATTGCTCCTAAATCTACCACCTATCCCAAACCTAAAAGAACCAATGATAATCCCACCACTCTTCACTGACTCCTTTCTCAGACTCAGCCCACTTGCACCCAAGTGAATAAACAGCCTTGTTGCTCACACTAAGCCTGCTCAGGTGGTCTCTTGCATGGACATGCATAACATTTGGTGCTGAAACCCAGGACAGGGGAACTCCTTCGGGAGAGCGGTCCCCTGTCCTCACACTCCCTCTGTGAGGAGATCCACCTACAACCTCAGGTCATCAGACCAGCCAGCCCAAGGATCATCTCACCAATTTCAAATTGGTAAGCAGTTTTTCACACTCAGATAAGTGGCTTTTTCACTCTCTACCTAACCTCTCTCACTTCCCTTCAATCTCTCTTCTTTCAACTTCAGTTTCTCTCCCTTCCTGGTAGAGACAAAAAGCAGACAGACTTTATCCGTGCATTCAAAAACTCCGACGTCGGTCATGGACTTGGGAAGACAGTCTTCCCTTGGTGTCTGATCTCCACGGGGACACCTGCCTTGATCATTCACCCACATTCCCTTGGTGGCAGGTCAATTGCAGGGATGCCTGCTTTGGCTGCTCACCCACATTACAGCCCAGGACTCAGTCAGAGATGCCTACCGAAGCCTGGTAGCTGCCCACCTCCATTTCTCTGTGTCTCTACCTTCCTCTTTAAACTTACCTTCTCCACTATGGGCAACCTTCCGCCATCCATTCCTCCCTCTTCCTCCTTAGCCTGTATTCTTAAAAACCTAAAACCCCTTTGACTAACACCTGACCTAAAACCTAAATGTCTTATTTTCTTCTGTAATACTGCTTGGCCCCAATACAAATTCGACAATAGTTCCAAGTGGCCAGAGAATGGCACTTTTGATGTATCTATCCTACAAGACCTAGATAATTTTTGTTGAAAATTGGGCAAATGGTCTGAGGTGCCTTACGTCAAGGCATTTTTTACACTTTGCTCTTTCCCTAGTCTCTGCTCCAGATGCGACTCATTCCAGATTTTCCTCCTTTCTCTCCCATCTGCTCTTTAGGTCTCCACCCAAGCTCAGAGTCCTCTGAATCCTCCTTTTCCACTGACCCCTCTGACCTCTCTCCTCCTTCCCCAGCCGCTCCTCACCAGGCTGAATCGGGCCCCAATTCTTCCACAGCCTCTGCTCCCCAACCCTATAACCCTTCTATTAACTCCCTTCCTCACACCCAGGCTGGCTTACAGTTTCGTTCTGCGACTAGTTTTCCCCCACCTGCCCAACAATTTCCTCTTAGAGAGGTGGCTGGAGCTGAAGGCATAGTCAGGGTACATGTGCCTTTTTCTCTGTCAGACCTTTTCCAAATCAGCCAGCATTTAGGCTCTTTCTCATCAGACACCACTAAATACATACAGGAATTCCAATATCTAACTCAGTCCTACAATTTAACCTGGAGTGACTTAAATGACACCCTGACCTCTACCCTCTTCCCAGGTGAATGAGAAAGAGTTTATTTTCTAGCCCAGTCCTATGCAGACACCTGCCGGCTTCATGAGCCAGGCCTCCAAGAGGGCACCAGAGCAGTTCCCCGAGGGGATCCCCATTGGCAATACCAGATGGATTCCCCAGGTATAGCTAGGTGAGATTACATGGTCTCCTACCTAGTCAAGGGGCTCAAAAAGGCAGCATACAAAGCTTTTAATTATGACAAGTTAAAGGAAACTACCCAAGGTAAAGATGAAAACCCAGCCCAGTTCATGGCCTGCTTAGCAGCTACCCTTAGACGCTTTACAGCCCTAGACCCAGAGGGTCCAGAAGAATTCCTTATCCTTAATATGCATTTTATCACCCAATCCACTCCTGACATTAGAAAAAAACTCCAAAAGTTGGATTCTGGCCCTCAAACCCCACAACAGGATTTAATAAACCTTGCCTTCAAGGTGTTCAATAACAGAGAAGAAGCCGCCAAGCAGCAATGTATCTCTGAGTTACAGCCACTTGCCTCCGCTGTAAGACAACCCACAACCACGTCTCCAGCATACAAAACCTTCAGAACATCCAAGCCACAGCTCCCAGGGGCTCCTTTAAAACCTCCTCGTGGACCTTGCTTCAAATGCCAAAAGTCTGGCCACTGGGCCTCAGAATGCCCACAGCCTGGGATTCCTCCTAAGCCATGCGCTATCTGCACAGGCCCCCACTGGAAGTCGGATGTCCAACTCACATCACTGCAGCTCCTAAAGCTCCTGGAGCTCAAATCCAATGTTCCTTGGCTGACTCCTTCCCAGATCTCCTCAGCTTAGCGGCTGAAGACTGACACTGCCTGATCGCCTCAGAAGCCGCTGGACCATCACCGATGTTGAGCTTTGGGTAACTCTTACAGTGGAGGGTAAGTCCATCCCCTGTTTAATCAATACAGGGGATACCCACTCCACATTACCTTCTTTTCAAGGGCCCATTTCCCTTGCCCCCATAACAACTGTTGTGGGTATTGATGGCCAGGCTTCTAGACCCCTTAAAACTCCCCAACTCTGGTGCCAACTTGGACAACATTATTTTATGCACTGCTTTTTAGTTATCACCACCTGCCCAGTTCCCTTGTTAGGCTGAGCCATTTTAACTAAATTATCTGCTTCCCTGACTATTCCTGGACTACAGCCACACCTCATTGCTGCCCTTTTGCCCAATCCAATGCCTCTTTTGAATCTTCCTCTCGTGTCTCCCTACCTTAATCCACAAGTATAGGACACCTCTACTCCCTCCTTGGTGACCGATCAGGCACCCCTTATCCCATTAAAACCTAATCACCCTTACCCTGCTCAACACCAGCACCCCATCCCACAACAGGCTTTAAGAGGAGTAAAGCCTGTTATCACTCACCTGTTACAGCATGGCCTTTTAAAGCCTACAAATTCTCCTTACAACTCCCTTATCCTACCTGTCCAGAAACTGGACAAATCTTACAGGCTGGTTCAGGATCTTCACCTTATTAACCAAATTGTCTTACCTATCCATCCTGTGGTGCTAAACCCGTATACTCTCCTATCTTCAATACCTCCCTCCATAACTCATTATTCCATCCTCGATCTCAAAGAAGCTCTCTCCACTATTCCTTTGCACCCCTCATCCCAACCTCCTCTCGCTTTCACATGGACTGACCCTGACACCCACAAATCTCAGCAACTCACCTGGACTGTACTGCCACAAGGCTTCAGAGACAGCCCCCATTACTTTAGTCAAGCTCTTTCTCATGATCTACTTTCTTTCCGTCCATCTGTTTCTCACCTTATTCAATATATGGGCGACCTTCTCCTCTGCAGCCCCTCTTATGAATCTTCCTAACAGGATACCCTCCTGCTCCTTCAACATCTATTCTGAAAGGGGTATTGCGTATCCCCTTCTAAAGCCCAAATTTCTTCCCCATCCATTACGTATCTCGGCATAGTCCTTCATCAAAACACATGTGCTCTCCCTGCTAATCATGTCCAGCTAATCTCCAAAACCCTAACCCCTTCTACAAAGCCACAACTCATTTCCTTCCTAGGCATGGTTGGATACTTTCGCCTTTGGATACCAGGTTTTGCCATCCTAACTAAACCACTATATAAACTCACAAAGGAAAACCTGACTGACCCCATAGACCCTAAGTCCTTTCCCCACTCTTCTTTTCATTCCTTAAAGATGTCCTAGAAACAGCTCCCACATTAACACTCCCTAACTCGTCCCAATCCTTCTTCTTACATACGGCTGAAATACATGGCTGTGCGGTCGGAGTTCTTACACAGGAACCAGGCCCACGACCTGTAGCCTTCCTATCCAAACAACTTAACTTCACAGTTCTAGACTGGCCCTCATGTCTACGTGAGGCGGCAGCCACCACTTCAATACTTCTAGAGGTCCTCAAGGTCACAAACCATGTCCCACTTACTCTTTACATCTCTCATAACTTTCAAAATCTATTTTCCTCCTCACACTTGGCGCATATACTTTCTGCCCCCCGACTCCTCCAATTTTACTCACTATTCATTGAAACTCCCTACATCACCATGCTGTTATATGGGCAGAAAGAGGTTTTGTCACTACACAAGTGTCCTCCATCATCAACGCTTCCTTAATAAAAATCCTCCTTAAGGCTGCTCTACTGCCTAAGGAAGCCAGAGTCATTCACTGCAAGGGGCCTCAGAGGTCACCAAATCCCATTACTCAAGGCAATGCTTATGCTGATAATGCAGCAAAAGAAGCAGCTAGTATTCCCACATCTGTCCCTCACGGCCAGTTTTTTTCCTTCACTCCCACATATTCTCCCACTGAAACTATTATCTATTAATCCCTTCCTACTCAAGGCAAATGGTTCTTGGATCAAGGAAAATACCTCCTTCCTGCCTCACAGGCTCATTCTATCTTATCTTCCTTTCATAACCTCTTTCATGTGGGTTACAAGCCAATGGCCCATCTCTTAGAACCTCTCATTTCTTTTCCATCATGGAAATCCATCCTCAAGGAAATTACTTCTCAGCATTCCATCTGCTACTCTACCACCCCTCAGGGATATCTCAGGCCTCCTTCCTTTCCTGTACATCAAGCTTGAGGATTTGCCCCCACCCAAGACTGGCAGGTTGACTTTATCCATATGCACCGAGTCAAAACACTAAGATACCGTTTGGTCTGGGTAGATACATTCACTGGATGGGTAGAGGCCTTTCCCACAGGGTCTGAGAAGGCCACTGCAGTCATTTCTTCCCTCCTGTCATATTGGCCTTCCCACCTCTATATAGTGCAATAACGGACCAGCCTTCATTAGGTCACTCAAGCAGTCTCCCAGGCCCTTGGCATCCAGTGGAACCCTCATGCCCCTTACCGTCCTCAATCTTCAGGAAAGGTAGAAAGAACTAATGGTCTTTTAAAAACACACCTCACCAAGCTCAGCCTACAACTTAAAAAAGACTGCACAGTACTTTTACCGTTTGCCCTCCTTAGAATTAGAACCTGTCCTTGAGAAGCTATAGGGTATAGTCCATTTGAACTTTTATATGGATGTACCTTCTTGTTGGGCCCCAACCTTGTGCCAGACACCAGCCCTCTAGGCGACTATCTTCCAGTCCTCCAGCAGGCTAGACAGGAAATTTGCCAGGCTGCTAATCTTCTCTTGCCTACTCCAGATTCCCAGCGATACAAAGATACCCCTGCTGGATTATCAGTTCTTGTTAAGAATCTGACCCCTCAAACTCTACAACCTTGATGGACTGGACCCTACTTAGTCATCTATAGTACCCCAACTGCCATGCACCTGCAGGACCCTCCCCATTGGGTTCACCATTCCAGAATAAAGCTGTGTCCATCGGACAGCCAGCCTGATCTCTCCTCTTCCTCCTGGAAGTCACAAGTACTCTCCCCTACTTCCCTTAAACTCACCTGCATTTCTGAATAACAGTAATAACCCTTATGAGCCTAATACATCCCTTCATTCTATTAGGTCTATTCATCCTTACCCTACTTTTTGCAATGGGGCTTTACGCAGTCACCTGCACTACTTGGACTGCACCCCAAAAACTTGTCATCCCTACTATCTTCTGTCTAGTCATACACCTATTCACCATTCTCAACTACTCATAAATGCCTTGCCCTTGTTTACACTGCCGGTTTACACTTTTCCTCCAGACCATCATAACTGATATCTCCCGGTTTTACCTCAAACCGCCACCCTTAACTCTCTCTTGGAGTGGATAGAAGATCTTCAATGGCAAGATACACTCCAATTCTTCTATCCTGATGAAGTGCTTTTTTTTTTACTTTTCTACTCACTCTTATCCTTACCTCCATTCTCCAGTCACTCTCTACCTCTCTCTAGTTACCTCCAGCATACTATCAGTCTCACCCACTCTCTCCTCACTGCCTCCAATCCCTCTCTAGCAAAGAATTGTTGGCTATGCATTTCCCTTTCTTCCTGCTCTTACACAGCCATCCCCGCTCTGTAGGCTGACTGGGCTACCTCTCCTGTCTGCCTGCACCTCCGAACCTCCTTTAATAGCCCTCATCTTTACCCACCTGAGGAAATTCTTTACTTTCTAGACAGATTTGGTGAGAACTCCCCAGACATTTCGCACCAACAAGCTGCCACATTTCTCCGCATCTAGTTACAGCACCTTTTTCCTTATGTCAATTCCACCCTCACCCCCCATATTTGGACCCCTCAGCACACAAACAACCATCCCTGTGGCTGCTCCTTTATGCATCTCCCGACAACACCCTACTGGAATCACTTTAGGCAACCTTCCACCATCCAAATGTTCCTTTACTCTTCATCTTCAGAACCCAGCCACACACATTACCAAACAGATGGGAGGATTCCAACTTCGCATTACCGATAAGCCCTCTATCATTACTGACAAACTAAAAAACATTGGCAGTCACTATTGTTTAGGAAGACACCTACCCTGCATCTCACTCCATCCTTCGCTACCCTCCATCTGCTCATCTGACTCTCCTCCTGGCCCCTCCTCTTGTTTGCTTATACCCAGCCCCATGAATAGTAGTGAAAGGTTACTCATAGACACTATGTTCTTTCTCATACACCATAAGAACCGAACCTCTCCCTCTATGCAGTTGCACCATCAATCCCCATTACAACCTCTAATGGCTGCTTCCCTTGCTGGATCTCTAGGATTTTGGGTGCAGGACTCCTCTTTCAGTACACCCTCTCACCTTTTCACTTTATATTTCCGGTTCTGCCTGACACTAGGTCTCTTCTTTTTATGTGGCTCTTCCACCTACATGTGCCTACCTGCCAACTGGATGGACACACGTACTCTAGTCTTCCTTACCCCCAAAATCCAGTTTGCAGATGGGAATGAAAAACTGCCTGTCCCCCTCATGACATCAACACAACAAAAAAAAGTCATCCCACTAATCCCTTTACTTGTGGGTCTAGGACTTTCTGCCTCCACTATTGCACTTGGAACTGGAATAGCAGGCATTTCAATCTCTGTCACAACATTTTGCAGCCTCTCTAATGACTTCTCTGCTAGCATTACAGATATGTCACAGACGTTATCTGTCCTCCAAGCCCAGGTTGACTCTTTAGCTTCAGTTATCCTCCAGAACTGCCGGGGCCTCGATTTACTTGCTGCTGAAAAAGGAGGACTCTGTATATTTCTTAATGAAGAGTGTTGTTTTTACTTAAATCAATCTGGCCTGGTATATGATAACATCAAAAAACTCAAAGACAGCTCAAAAACTCGCTAATCAGGCAACTAATCATGCTGGATCCACCTGGCCACTCTCTAACTGGGTATCCTGGCGTCTTCCAATCGTTAGTCCTCTAATATCTATCTTCCTCCTCCTTTTATTTAGGCCTTGTGTCTTCCCAATTAAACTCTCAATTCCTATGAAACTGCATCCAGGCTATCACTAATCACTCTATATGACAAATGCTGCTTTGAACAGCCCCACAGTATCACCCCTTACCCCAAAATCTTACTTCAATCTAATCTCTCCCACTTTAGGTTCCCACACCGCCCCAATCCTGCTCGAAGCCACCCTGAGAAACATCACCCTCACCCCTCCATACCGCCCCCAAAATTTTCACCCCAAGTTTTCACTACTCTTTCTCGTTTTATTTCTTAATTATTAATATAAAAAGACAAGAATGTAAGGTCCTCTGAGCTGGCCGTACCATGGTCAAGCCATTGTGACATTCCCCTGCCCTTGTGATAATGTACTCTGTGATATTCCCCATCCTTGAGAATGTACTTTGTAACATCCATCCCCTGCCTGCAAAAAATTGCTCCTAGCTCCACCGCCTACCCCAAACCTATAAGAACCAATGATAATCCCACCACCCTTTGCTGACTCCTTTCTCAGACTCAGCCCACTTTCACCCAAGTGAATAAACAGCTTTGTTGCTCACACTAAGCCTGCTCAGGTGGTCTCTTATATGGACGCACGTAACGAAGGGGAACTACCCTTTTTAAAACCATCAGATCTTGTGAGAATTACTCACTATCATGAGAACAGCATGGGAAAACCCACCCCCATGATTCAATTACCTCCCACTGGGTCCTTCCCACGACACGTGGAGATTATGGGAGCTATAATTCAAAATGAGATTTGGGTGGGGACACAGCCAAACCATGTCAACATCTAACTTGTAGATGGCAGTTTGGATTTCTAGGCTGCTTAATGTCATTAAAAAGCTGATTTCCTCAGCTGGCTGCTACAGATTGTAGATCAGAGTTCTATTTTTATGTATGGTCTGGCCATTGTCTATTTTCCTATTCAGTCTCTCACAGTTTAGAGTTGGGGAAATAACAAGGCAAAGATTTTAAAGCAAGGAAGTTTTAGGACATAAGCTGTCTGTTGCTGTTCCCTATTGAAGAATTGATGAATCCTTTGCGAAGTTCCTAGAATGAACAATCAGGTTGCTTGCTTGAGTGAGACTATCCTGAAATGGTAAAGTTGTGCTAGTGAGGATAATGAAATAGTAAAGTTGTGTTAATGTAGACAGTATGGTAGGGGACAGAGGCAGAAAGATAGGTGGTTTTGGTTTTCGGTTGAGTGAATTGAAAGCATGGGGACAAGCATCTGTCTAGTTTAGCAGATATTCCTCAATGTTACTTCCTCTTCACTTCCACTTAGCTGTGCGTGATGCTGTAAGAAAGGTGTAAATATTCCTATGTTACACAGATGAAGATTCAGAGCTTAAATAAGTTGTCCAAGGTCACACTTGAATTGTAGTAAAGTCAGAATTCAAGCCCAATTCTGCAGGACTCCAAAGCCCCATGCTCTTTCCAGAATACCATCATGCTACCTTACATAAATTTAAGTATTACCCAAATCACCTTTTCATTGCTGTGCATGTGTGTGAATGTGTATATTAATATGTATGTCTTTTGGGGAAAGAAAAATAGTGAGATGGACCTTGGTGTGCCACAAAATAAACACGTTTTGAATTTAGGGGTTTTTTTTCTGAGTGTTTTTGGGAGTGAGCTCAATATTTAAACTTGTATTAGCTCTTCATTTCAAATATTCTCTGTTCTAATAGAAGGCCCTTTTAGCTACTGAACTGTAACATATATCTTCTTAATACATGCTTTCTGCCTTTTATTTAATTAAGAACAATTGGTAAAATTAGCTAGATTTAACTTTAAATAATTAAAAGTATGTAATTCTTGGGAATGATTTCAGATTTTGCAAGTAATATGCAGTTTTTAAGAACGATGGAAATAAAACTTCAGGCTGTGCCTAGATTTACAGTCTTCACAGTTTGTAGTCTATGCTGCTGGCAATTTTACTTAGCTGGCACACACTCCACAGAACATCATTTTATCTTTTAAAAACAATTACAATTATAATTAGTATTGTTATTACTTTCTTAGCCACGACAGGAGAATGCAATGATCCAGCCTCCAGTTCATCAACGTGAAATGCTGAGAATGCAGCCATGTTAGGCTGCCAGAATGGACTCCATGTTGCCTTCAGCTGAGCTAAACTCTGAAACGATGGGTAGGAAAAAACCTCAGGAACAATATCACATTTGAGGAGAGGGAGTCCCCCCTAGAGGCCACACTTGTAATTTTCTTTTCTTCTTCACTGAGAGGTTATCAGCTTCATCAGTTGCACCCAAACCTGGCTGTACATTGGGATCACCTGGGGAGCTTTGAAAATTTCTGATGCCCAGGCTGTACCCCAGACCAATTAAATCAGAAGCTCTGTGGGTGGGGGCCAGGTGCGGTGGCTCACGCCTGTATTCCCAGCACTTTGGGAGGACAAGGCAGGCAGATCACCTGAGGTCAGGAGTCCGAGACCAGCCTGACCAACATGGAGAAACCCTGTCTCTACTAAAAATACAAAATTAGCCGGGTGTGGTGGCACATGCCTGTAATCCTAGCTACTCAGGAGGCTGAGGCAGGAGAATCACTTGAACTCAGGAGGCGGAGGTTGTGGTGAGCCGAGATCACGCGCCATTGCACTCCAGCCTGCGCAACAAGAGTGAAACTCCATCTTAAAAAAAAAAAAAAAAAAAAAAGCTCTGTGGGTGGGGCAGGCATTAGTAGCTTCCAAAGCTCCTGTTAAAGAAAATATTATTCAATGATATTTGTTTAAGTATTCTAAAGAAGACCTCATTCAGGACCATCATGACAGGTGTAAGGACCACTGCAATGGAATTTTGCAGCGTGAAGAGTGATTGGGCTCAACTTTGACTACAGCATGGGCAAGTGGAAATTTAAAGCCAAGGAGCAGGGTGGGGCCCATGGATGCAAAGTTACTAAGAGGAAATATCAGGAATAAAGGAGATTCTAGCTAAACCAGCTTAATAGGATTCTTGCTGAAGACAGGCCTGGATGTCTTCAACCAGTGGGATGGTGGAGGATGAGGAACCCAATCCAATATTGAGGTTTGATCAGACATCAAGGGTGAAGGGATGACCTAGCAGGGATCTTTGCTGAAGCTGAATTGTAAGTGCACAGATAGGCTTAGGAAGATGTTCAGGAGTCTGACTAAAGTTTGGTCAGGCAAAGAATCTTTGTCACTCCCTAGATGATTCCAACTTGCAGTCAAGTTGAAGAACCAGTGAATGACAGCACGTTGCAGGTGGGTTTCAGAAACTCCCTGAGAATCTCTAAGGGTAGCTCCAGATAATATCCTGGACAGAGGTGGACAATGGGGAGGCGATCACAGTGGATCTGGGCTATGAGGTGTCAGATGCTGGTACCAGTCCTAAGTCTGCACATAGGACTGGCTCGTGCTCTGGGATGTGGCTGCATGTAAGCATTGGACAAACTGACCACTACAGTACTCGACAGACACTGGATCCAAGCCTGCAGGACCTAAGGACTAGTGGGGATTGGCCTTCTTTGGAATAACTGCTTCTGTAGTAGCTGGCAGAGCTGCAGGTTACTGCTTTATAAGAGTGAGCACTACCTTGCAGCTCCATAACCCACATGTCAGGTTGGCCTTGGGCACTACCATCCACATACCCAGCACTTCTGAGCAGCCCTGGCCAGCCTCTGCAGCCAGCTGTCCCCAGCTTCTGTGACCATGTTCAGGGAAGGAACAAACAGGCAGCTTACAGCTGAAGGTTTGCATTTGTCTATTTAGGAACAAGGACACATAGCCACATGGCATGCAAGGCAGCTTTTTAAAAGAAGCAGTACACCTCCTCAGTAGACACACGTCCAGATGGGGCCACACCATACAGGTTCCACTAATGACTTAGATGCACTAGGCACCCCAGGCACATCAGGGAGAGAGACGTGGGAGCCTTGTCAGGGTAGCCTGGACTTTTAGATTTCCCCTCTTACTATGGTTGATGAGAAAGATCAAGTATTTACACACCGCAGACCAATGGAGCATATTTGTTGTATCCAAATGGAATAGAACAGTTGTTTTCAATCTGTACTACTCCACAACATTAAGACTTTTTTCTATTTTCTCAAAGTTTCAGCAGAAGTGTTACAAAAGAGGCCCCAGAGAGCTGCCTTGTCCTTTCCACAATGTGAAGATACAGCAAGAAGATGCAGTTTCTATGAACAAGGAAACAGGCCCTCACCAGATAGCCAATCTGCGGTGCTTTGATCTTGCACTTCCCAGCCTCTAGGACTGTGAGAAATAAATTTCTTTTGTTTATATTCTACCCATTTTATGGTCTTCTGTTACAGCAACATGAACAGACTAAGACAACCCTCACGACCAAATTACTTCCTAAAGGCTCTGCTTCTAATATCATCACATTGGGGGGTAGGATTTAAACATATGAATTTGGAGGGGACACAAACATTCAGTCCATAACAGATGAGAATGAGGTTAGAAGGTTAGAGGAGGCAGTTGATCACAAATTATTTGAAACCATTTCTAGTATTCTGTGATTAAGAAACAGAAGCTATTTTAGAGATATAGTTTAGGCCTCCACTATTCCCACTTTATAACTAGAGAAACCTAACTCTCCAGCAGCCACATGCCCAGAGTCACAAAGTGATTAGCAGTGTGCTGGGACTACAATAATCATCTCTTAGCTCCAAGCCTCATGCGCTTTCCATGCCACCAGACTGACTCATAGTAACCTGACTGTCATAGGAATACTACTTCTTTCAACTGGATTCAGAAAATAGTTAAGCAGATTCTAAATCAGGCTAGGATATTAAATCCAAACAGCCTGTGTGGAAATAAAGACCAACCACATGAGAACAGGGAGTGGATATGCATTCAGAGATTACTATAGTGAGGGAGTCATCCCTTGCATTTTGGCAGAGATTCAAAGGCAGGCAGAGGAGTGGGAAAGCTTTATAGTAGGGAAAAAGAGAATTCATGTGTACCCTGATTGGAAGCTGTTGGCATGGGGAAGCTGCAGACAGACTACCTATAAATGAGGCATCCTGTGTAATGTTTAGGGGTGCATATTTGACTTTTTCTGGTAGTTCCTAAGTTGGAAGTAGAAAAATTAAAGAAGCTGTCAATTATTGAAGCAAGTGCTGGCCATTTGAGGCCAATTGTTACAGGAGTTATTGTTTGGGTTCCTGGACTGTTTCTTAGAGATAGTAGTCAAATCTCCAGCAAGTCTGACTTGTGGATCATAGACTGGCTTCCTGGGCTGTTTATTGTAGATAATAGGGTTGTTTCCTGGCCTGATTGCTGCAGGTTGTGGATCAGAGTTCTATTTTTATATATGTTCTGGCCATTGTCCATTTGTCTATTCAGTCTCTCAGTTGTCTCAATCCATTTACCATCCCCATTCTCTCATAATCCAGAATTTTTGTCATGAACTACATCTTCTGATTTATGTATTTGTGGTTTGCAAAGTTGTGGTGGGTGGGAGATTGTTTGGATTTTCTTATTCACAATGCAATGAATGTTTTAATGGGCAAGCAAAGATTGAATCAAAAATATCTAGCAGCTCTGAAAAGCTTCACTCTGAGTACTGCTGCTTGCTGTTCTCATGAGAACAGTTGCTAGGATAAAATACAGCTTTTCTTTGAAGTATTATTACTTTATTCATTCATTATGTCTTTGTAAAATACCTACATCACACAAAGAACTATTGCAATAGGGACTATGGGGTTATAAATATGTGTGTCCTTCAGGGGGCATACATATGTGAAACACCTAGATAAAAATAATGACGGTGGATTGTTCTGATTTTTAAGTAAATTGGAAAGCATGAAAACTGTTTTATTGGGGAAAAAAAGCCTATTGGAAGAAACATCCTAAACAAATAAGAGATGGTTGATTATCCAGAAAAATTCATTTCCTCTCAATTTTATCAGACAAAAGATTATGCATTCCTTAGCCATCAGGGAAATGCAAATCAAAATCACAATGGCATACCACTTTATACCCACTAGGATGGCTGTAATAAAAAGAGAGATAATAACAAAGTGCTGAAGGAATCAGAACCTTCATATACTCCTGGTGGGAAAGTACAACGGTGCAGCTACGTTGGAAAAAGAGTTTGGCAACTCAAAAGATGAAACATAGAGTCAGTTACCATAAGACCCAGCAATTCCACTCCTAGATATCTACCCAAGAGAAATAAAAACATATATCCAGACCATAACTTGTACATGAATGTTCATAACAGCATTATTTGTAATAGCCCCAAAGTAGAAATCACCCAAACATCTATCAACAGATGAAGAGATAAACAAAATGGTATATCCATACAATGTTATGTAATTCACACATGAAAAGAAATGAAGTACTAATACACACTACAACATGGATAAATCTTGAACGTATCAGGCTAAGTAAAGAAGTCAGTTCCATTGACATGAAATGTCCAGAATGGGTAGATCTACAGAAAGTACATTAGTAGTTGCTTCATGGCTGTGGGCTGGGAAGAAATTGAGAATGACTGCTAAATAGTATGGGATTTCTTTCAGGTATGATAAAAATATTTTAATAGTGATTATGGTGATGGTTGTACAATTTGGTGACTATATGAGTACTAAAAACAACCGGCTTGCACACTTTAAATGAATACATTATATGGTATGTGAATTATATCTCAATAAAACTTATTTTTAAAAAGATGACAGATTGTAGCACTATCTTATGTAGTGAACATAAGTAGTGAACAACACTTCTGTCAAGGAACATTACACAAAACTTTAGGGCTTTAAGAAGAATATGCATCTTATTTCATCATTATCATAGTCATATGCACAAAGGAGCACAGTACTAACAGATTTGGTGAAAACAAAGTATATGAGGGAGATTTACATGGAATCAGAGTTGGCTGAACTACATACATATTTCCTGTAAAGTTCTTGTGAGTGTGTCCATCATTTTATTCACGGAGTCAGAATTTTCAGATCATCAATTATCTATCAGATACTATGTTTGGTGCTGGGGAATAAGTAAGCAAATGGAAAAAAGCTATAAGTTTTAAAATATACACTTTGGAGGGCCTAGGTGGGAGGATCGCTTGAAGCCAGGAATTCTAGACCAGCCTGGGCAGCAAAGTGAGACTCTGTCTCTACAAAAAATAAAAAAAACTTAGCCGGGTGTGGTGGCATGCACCTGTGGTCCCAGGTACTTGGAAGGCTGAGGTGGGAGTATAGCTTGAGCCCAGCAGTTGAAGGCTGCAGTGAGCTATGATTGCAATACTGCACTCCACTCTGGGTGACAGAGATACCTTGTCTCATAAATAAATAAATAAATAAATAAATAAATAAATAAATAAAGTCAATGCTATAGCACATGTGAAAGTAAAAGCTACTTGCTCTCAAAGAGAGCTTCCCATTTGAGAAACAAAAACACAGTTGCATGACCCTACTGGTTGAGCACCGGCACTAATCAGGATTATTCAGTAGCAGGTTGCATAAAACAATTTGAGCAATCGTAAGCCAAAGGGTTTTTCTAAGAGCAGGAATGCAGCTGGGTCTCAGGAAAGAATGGAACTGGAAACCAGAAAACCTTCATCACCACCCCTGCCACTGCCCATAGTGTTTTCTTCCTGCCTCTTGGTTCTGTACCTCTCTTCCTGCTGCTGCTCTTTCTCTACAGGCTTCTGCTAATTTATCCACAAGAAAGAGTATGGTCTCTCAGTTTATATGTCCAGCCACAGAGACAATCTATTTTCTTTTTTTCCTCTCTCTCAGCATCTTCAATTTTAAATTCCGTCTATAACCAAAAGCAAATTAAGTGACATTCTTTCCACTGAAACTAACAGAAAGCCCAGGAAAGAGTGGCTTTAGTCTTTGCTACTCCAAGTCTGTGGACGAGCATCATCGGCATCATCCATGGGCTTGCAAGAAAAGCAGAATCTGAGGCACCACTCCAGACCTACAAAATCAGGCTCTCTGCTTTCACAGGACCTCCAAGGGATTTGAATTGAACATTAAAGTTTAAGAGTTGGGTTAATCAATTTAAAATATTTATTATCTCATTTAACAGGAAGGCCCAAGAATGGTGGTTCCAGGCTGGTTGATTCAGAGGCTCAACTGTGTCATCAGGACCAGCGATGACCAACAGCATCCTTCCACTCTGTTGTTTTCCTCTCAGTTCTTAAGAAGGTTGCAGCCTTTCCAAGCTTCCCATCCATGCATAACAACGTCTAGTAGCTGGAGGAAAAGGTATTTATTCTTTGGATTCCTTTTTAAGTGGGAGAAAAATCTTCCCAGTGTCCCCTCAGCAGATTTCCCATCACATATCACTGACCATAGTGTGTCACACAGCTGTTCCTAATGTAACCACTAGTAAAGGAATGGAATCCTCATAACTGACAGACTGATCAAGATTCACCCCCTGGATCTGGGGAAGGGCTTAACTTCCCTAGAAGCAACTGGCCTCCTATTCTCTTAACAGAACTGGGATCTATGAGTAAGGAATAAGGGGAGAATGGGAGTTGGGTAGGCACCCAACAGTGTCTGCCACACCACTCCAGCAATAAGCACCCATGTGTGAAGCATAGTGTAGGAGGTATGAAGCAGAAAGTGCCTACGTGTGAAGCATTAGTAGCAGAAGAGTTGCTATATCAAATGGAGACCGCACAGAAGGGTTCTTTGATCATTTCACACAAATTCCTCAGCAACCCCCATGTTCATATACTTGCCCGGCAGCCTTTGCTTCCTCACTTGAAAGCAATTTCTTCAAAGACAACCAGATTGAAAGCTCATTGCAACTATATTTTGGAGAGCTGGGAGAGGAATGAGTGAAACGCACATGGATATTTTCTGACATGTAGGTTCCCACAATGGGAGGTGGAATGTTTTAGTTACTCCATAACATCTTAATAAGCTGAACATTGGATTGATATATAAAACAATGGAAATTGAAATTTATTTAACATTCATTAGGCACTTGGCAGTATTCTAAACACTGTACATAAATTAGGTAATTTAATCCTCCTAACAACCCTATAAAGTATATACTATTATTATCTCCGATTTATAGAGGAAATGCTGAGGCAGAGAAAAAAATATTACTTGCCCAGTTACATACTGTGTAAGACACAGAGGCAGGAATTGGAAAAATGAGAAGCTGTAGGCAGGCTAACTGGAAGTGGGGCATCCTATGTTATTGCTTAGGGGTGTGTATTTGGATTTCTCTGGCTGGTCCTAATTAGGGAAGCTGTCAACTATTAAGTACTGGTCATTTTGCAGGGGTTGCAGGAGTTATTGTTCGGCTTCCTGGACTGTTTCTTAGAGATGACAGTCTGGATTTAAACCCAGAAGGTCTAATGCCAGGGCTTGTGCTCATAATCTTTGCAGCAAATGAGCATTCAGTGGTTTTTATGCACATCTCCTTCTGAAACTGGAAAAGTCACTGGCTAAAAAGATCTCAGGTACCATTATAAGAATCTGGGATTAACAGCCGAGGAAGATGTCTTTCTCTTAAGCAAATATTAAACCACACAAAAATTCATTGCAAAGTTATAAGCTTAAAGGAGCTTGCTGCCAATTTTATTTTACTTCATCCACCTAACTAGTGGTGTTATAGTTGATTTGTTGAATCAACTCAAGGGAAAGAAATGTGCTTGTTATCTAATAATGCTACCTACCAATTTGAACACTTGATAGCCTCTAAAAGCCTACATTTATATATCCCAATTACTGGATAATAATGTGGGGGAAAATGTATTATAGCTAAAACAGCCAAGGGTTAGTATCCCCAGTTTTTTTCTCTCTTGGCTGCTGGATTTTAGTAGCTACATTTGGATGTGATTTGATAAAATTTGAAGCTAATTTAATCTGTACTCTATATGATAACCATAATTTCATTATTCTTAGGTTGTTTTTGTAAGAAAAAATTTAATAACCTTGTTTTTCAATAAGAATGAAAAACCTTGCTATGTTGACTCAATAAACTCATTAGTTTTTTTTTGTTTCATTTTGTTTTTTGCTTATAGTACTTAGAGTTACCTAAAGTAATAATATATAATTCTTTGATCTTAGTTAGAAATTTTATTCTGTTAATCACATCCCTTGTCTCTGTGGTGAATTCAAATGGGCAAATATAAATTGAGTTATAAAATTTATGAGTTTGAAAAAATACTAGAGGATCTATTGGTTCACACACAGGAAATTGTTAAGGTATTGGCTAATCACTTATTCATAGAACTAATGAGGAAAAAATTTTATTGACCTCAAATTAAAAGAAAAAAGAAGAAGAAAGAGAAGGAAAAATGTGGAATGTTTTGTACTTGAGTTATTTATTAAGTAATGGTCTACCTAAAAAAGAATATTTGGTAGAATTGCATATGTAAATGATCTCATTTAAATTATAATAACTAAATTTTTATTTGAGTACAGGTTTTTTTTGCCTTTAGAGCAACTCTAGCATCAATTAATTTAGCAAGGTAAAAACTAACCAAATAGTTTCTAATCACTTAGAGGTTCATTCAACTTGCCAAAGACTCCTGGCTTTATCTTTCCCTATCATTATCTGGTTCATTAAGCACTCACTGGAACTTTCTTTTGCAGAAACTGTGGAAATTTGATACAATATAAGGAAAGGTCAGATGTGGGCAAGTGCTCATAATCTAAGAGAGAAACTGAAAAAAACACATATTAAAATTAGCTTATGAATATAAAAACAGGGTTCCTTTCCTAAGTACATTGTTTTGTTTTATTTATTTATTTTTAGAAATCAGCCTAGGGTCATCTTGAACTCCTGGCCTCAAGTGATCTTCCTGCTTCAGCCTCCAGAATAGCCAGGATTACAGGTGAGAGTCACCGAGAGCCACCGCACCTGGCCACATTTACTTTGTTTAATTCAATCTTAATGGATTGATCAAATAGAATATAGCATATTAATTTTTTAATGGAACCTGAAAGCTTAATGTGAGACATTGTTGACAGTGAAACATCTTTACATGCTGGTTGGCCCCCCTGTGATGAGGTTGATATTATCATCTTGTATTATCAAACACTTTATTTTCAACCTCTTTTCCATCACTCAGTTTACTCAATGCATTTGCTTTACTCCTTGCAGAGTTTAGACTCAGACGGTAGCCTTTGAAGTTCACAGACAGTACACCTGTGGCTCCTATGTGGTCACCCTTTCCCTTTTCCCAGCCACTGGCAACCCTGCAGACGTAGCCTAAGAATTCTCCAAGTGTGCTCTGGGTCACCATGACCAACCTGTCAGTGTTAAAATGAAACTTGGCACTGGTTGCCCTTACTGCCCTAGAGCCTATCACAAGTTTCTCTTTCTGCTGAGCATGGCCTCAGCTAAGAATCTTCAATCTTGTCTACTTTTTCTTTCTCATTCTGGGTGACAGAATAGCCCAGAAAAAAAATCAACTAACTACCAATGCACCCAAGCCTCTGCTTGGAAATTCTCTCATTGGTTTCTGGTTTATTTTATAGCATTTCCTTCTTTCTTTTCTTTATTTTCCATCACAACATCCACAATTCCTCTCCGTTGCATTTTTTTTTTTTTTTTGAGACAGAGTTTCACTCTTGTTGCCCAGGCTGGAGTGTAATGGCATGATCTTGGCTCACTGCAACCTCTGCCTCCCGGGTTCAAGCGATTCTCTTGCCTCAGCCTCCTGAGTAGCTGGGATTACAGGCATGCGCCACCATGCCTGGCTAATTTTGTATTTTTAGTAGAGAAAAGGTTTCTCCATGTTGGCCAAGCTGGTATCGAACTCCTGACCTCAGGTGATCCTCCAGCCTCGCCCTCCCAAAGTGCTGGGATTGCAGGTGTGAGCCACTGTGCCCAACTTTCTCCATTGCATTTTTAACTGTTTCTCCTGCATGTATCATATTTTGTTCTATGTTAACTTTTTGGTCTACCTATTATTCTCAATGGTAAAGACTTTGAAGAAATATAATTGGTCTCATCCTCATTGTTTGTTTCACAGCCCCTAGCATAGGCAGTGTTCAGTAAATATTTGACAACTATATTGTTGAATGTGAGGGCAGGACGAATTTGGGAATATCAGAGTGTGGGGTTCTGTGCAGCATGCATGCATTCATTCACTCATTCATTTATTCATTTAATAATCATGCCCCAGGTGCTGCAGTGTGTGATGGCTCTTACAGAGTTTCATGATTTAGAGAAGTTCCACAAATGGGAAGATGGAAGACTCTTAGAAACAAACTGTTCCCACCATAGCACTTTGTCCAGACATTGTTGAGTGTGGAAGGACTGATGGAAACTGAGTAGGCTCACAGATTTACTTGCAAGTGTCTTATGGTATTAGAAAGTTTAATATATTCTTCACAGTGTGATGAAGGGTTGTAAAATCTCATTTCTAATGATTTCATGAAATAGATAGCATGTAAGAAGACTTTTTTTGCGCCTGCTTTCTAGATATACAGTTTCACAAGATTTTTTGGTTGGTTTAGTATCTGCTCTTCAATGCTGTGTTGAAAATACACTTAAAAGAACCCCATTTTAACCTTGCAGAATGAGTTGCATGTGTTTTTCCTCATTTCTTTGCCCAAATATCAAGTTAAGAGAATCTCAGCCTTGTAATTATATACTAATACTACATGAGCTGCTGATTATCTGCATGCGATTCACTAATTATATTGTCTTTCCTCTTTCCTTACCTAAAGGTTACATTTACATAAAGGATATTCAAAGATAACACTTTATCATCAAAGTGGCTTCTGCCTTTAACATTTAAATTACAAAGTGTAATGAGAAGGACTAATCTGAGAGACATCTCAGTGATCGGATACAGGCTTTTTGACACTGTCATGAAATTATCTTCATCGAATAGCTATAAAATCCTAATGTCTCAATTACAAGCCTCACTTCCCACACCTTCTGTCTTTCTACTCGGTCTTTTGTAATCCTCCACTCAATTAAGATCACAAAAGTGGAAGAATTACAACAAACTTTTGTGCAGTTCCCAAAGTGAGCTGTGCATCAGAATCACCTGAGCGGTTTACACACACACACACACACACAGAGAGAGAGAGAGAGAGAGAGAGAGAGAGAGAAAGAGAATATTCTGTAAATCTAAGTTGCAGCCCAGGAATTGTATTTTAGAAAGCTTCTCAGGTGCTTTTGAGGCAAGCAAGGGTTGTAAAATAATGGCTTACTTAGTGAAGCAAGTTACATACAAGCTGCACAAAAGCAGGGGTTTAATGGTGATACACAAATAATATCCCAGAATCCAAGGACTTCTAAAAAAATAAGGTAGCCTTTTTTTTTTTTTTTTCCAGTTGGGCTCGTGCTACAAGCAAACGATTTCTCTCTAAGTCATTTTGGGGTATAAGTATCTCTCTACATCTTCCCTGCCCCTAATTACCACTGACTATAGCACCAGAGAATAATAGAGGCAGCTGTACACAATGTAAAAGACATCATTCCCTTAGTAAAAGAGGCAACCTCCATTTCAGAAAGATTCTGTGTTTGATTTTACATTTTTCTTAGCTCAGTTTCCCTCAGACCCCAAGGCAAGGACTTAGATGCAAGAGAGAGAGTAGAGAAAGTGAAACAGGGAAGGGAGAAAAGCCAATAAAGGGTGCATCATTGAGCAGGCTGCTTTTGTAGGTAACTGGGTCTCAGTCACCCTGGCTGGGGGATCTCCAGGAAATACTGTTGCCGCATCCCATGAGTTCCCCATCAGAAACTGAGAAAGCTAGAGTATTTATCCAATAGCAGCAGTCTCAGGCTGATTGATGGTTGCCCCTGGGGGCATTAAATCCCAGTCCCCTATTCTTGGAGGATGCCCTGTCATGAACTAGGCATGTACCTAGAGTGCCCAAAGAAGCCTTGAGCAGAGAAGCAGAGGTGTGGGTCCTTGAGTGCGGAAATTGTCCATGTGCATAAACTGTTCACCACTGCTGCAGGTGACTTCAGAGTGGGCTGAGGGAATATGGGGCAGGGTGTCTAACATCTGTGACAACATCTAAAGCCTTCATTTCGAGACATTTCCAGCTGGATATGGTGTGTGGTGTTTAATCTCAAAGGCCCAGGTGTACAGAAGTGATTCTGCCAGTACAGACTGATTTGGGACATGGTCAGCAGGAAAGAGAAGACAGAGGGGAACAAAGATAGAGACAGTTCCCTTCACTACAGCCATAGAAAGTGTCATTTAGTCCTAGGTAGGAGATAATGGATGGTGTTCTATTATTGGACTGTCTGCTCTCAGATCCTGTCTTTCCTATGTGCTGTATGTCAAGGAATACATTTTCCAGGTACATTTGCTTTCTGGCTTTCTAGATAGGTTTGGTGTTGCCAAAGATTGAAGGGCAGGAGAAAGGGAATGTCAGAGCATTTTTTCCCATTTTTCCCTTCTTTGAGGGCTGTCTCCAGCAGTTCCTCTATTTTCTCTGTGATTCCTGCTCCCACAGGATAGCCCCACTCTCCTGGTCTCAGCTCCTGCCAGGCAGCCCTGGCCAGAAATCTAGCTCCTGTTGGAAAGCCCCACACTCTGGGCTCTGGAACCCCATTCTCTACCTTACTTTATAGTTCTGGAGATCAGAATGCCAAAGTGACTCTCACTGGGCTGAAATTGAGAGGTTGGTAGGGCTACATTTCTTTCTGGAAGCTCTAGGAGAGAATGTGTTTTCTTGCCTTTTCTAGCTTCTAAAGGCTGTCCTCATTGCCCCTTACATTTTCAAAGCCAGCAATGGCTGGTCAAATCTTCATTACACGACACCTTTCTGATCTATTTTTCTGCTTCCCTCTTCCACATTTAAAGACCCTTTGATTTCTTTGGTCCCACCAAGATAATCCAGAATTATCTCCATATTTTAAGGTCAGCTGATTAGCAACCTTAATTCCATTTACTACCTTAATTCTCCTTTGCCATATAATGTAACATAGTCATAGTTTCTAGGAATTTAGACATGAACATCTTTGGGAAGCCATTATTTGGCCTGCCATACCACATTTCTCATATATCAACATCTCTGTTTCTTCTAAAAGACAATGCCTTCATGTCCTGGAAGTGTGCATAGTTATATCCCAGGAAAAAGAAGAAGCAGCTATGAGGAGAACAATGCAATAGTATTAAGAAGTGGGGCATTTAGGGGGTGATTAGGTTATCAGGGCATAACCCTTATGAATGGGATTAGTGTCCTTGTAAAAGGGGCTCAAGGGAGATTATTCTCCCCTTCCACCATTAAGGACACAGCAAGAAGGCACTGTCTTTGAAGCAGAAAACCCTTGTCAGACACTACATTTGCTGGTGGCTTAATCTTTGACCTTCCAGCTTCCAGAACTGTGAGAAATAAATTTCTGTTATTTATAGATTACCAGTCTCAGGTATTTTGTTTGTAGCAGCACAAATGGACTAACACAACTAGTGATTCATGTATTTTCTTTCAGCTTAAAAGGAAGATGAGTTCTCATTATATGTTTGTCAAATATTTAGTTCACATGAACATGATGTTATGTATAAAACATCTTCCCAGTGTAACATGGAGTATATGAAGTTGGATCTGAAATGCTTTTACACTCAAGAAAACTTTAAATCTACCATAGGCTTAAACATGTACACAATTTAGAAAACTGAATGGAGGGAATGAGAAGAGATGAGTGAAATTCTGTGTGTTATCACAGAATTGCTAAATCAGTCTCAAACTTCTAAATTCAAACAGTGGTGATTTGTCGATAACCTTAGAAATGTCTTTTAAATATCATCCTGGGGAGTGGGTAAGGGAAACAAAAGCTCCTGGGAGTTTTGGTTACAGGAAGTGAAATATATTACTCTATCTGAATTTAAAATTAAATGTGGGTTTTATTTTCTAATCATTTGGAGTAAATAGGATGCTCCCTTTTTCTATCTCTTTTTACTCCTTATGAATTCATCTAACAAATAGTTATTATCATGTGCCAGCCATATGGATTTCTCTGTATCATTTTTTCCTACTCTTTCAGGTCCATCTCCTGCTTCTCAGTAATTTGCCTTTTACTATTCCCTGTTTTAAATCCTATTAGCTACCCCTCCTTTTCCCCTTTTCGATAGCTATCTGTCCTTCATTTCAGAATAAAGTATTCCACTTTTGAGAAAGAAAAGAAACTTGCTATCTGAAGAATGAAAGCCCCCTTTAATGATTAGGCCCAAAGAGGCATTGAAATGCAATAGCAGGCATCTCACTTCTCCCCTTGAGCTAAATAACAGGTCATTGCTATGTGTGCTCTAGATTAACTGACACCAAGTAGTCATAGAATGCCATATGCTGGACACCATAACTCATATGTTATAGTTCAGCAATGCATAACTAATCACTAACTGTATTAGTCCATTCTCACACTGCTATAAAAATACTACCTGAGACTGGGTAATTCAGAAAGAAAGGAGTTTTAATTGACTCACAGTTCTGCATGGCTAGGGAGGCCTCAGGAAACTCACAATCACAGCAGAAGGCGAAGGGAAACTCAGGTACATCTTACATGGTGGCAGGAGGTGTGGGGAGGACACTGCCAAACACTTTTTTTTTTTTTTGAGATGGAGTCTCACTCTGTCACCCAGGCTGGAGTGCAGTGACACAATCTCAGCTCACTGCAACCTCCACCTCCTGGGTTCAAGCGATTCTTCTGCCTCAGCTTCCCAAGTAACTGGCATTACAGGTGCCACCATGCCCAGGTAATTTTTTGTATTTTTAGTAGAGACGCAATTTCACCATGTTGGCCAGGCTGGTCTGGAACTCCTGACCTCAAGTGATCCACCCGCCTCAGCCTCCCAAAGTACTGAGATTACAGGTGTCAGCCACCGTGCCTGGCTGCCAAACACTTTTAAACCATCAGATCTCATGAGAACTCACTCACTGTCATGAGAACAGCATGGGGGAAACCACCCCCATGATCTGATCACTTCCCACTGGGTCCCTCCCTCCACGCATGGGGATTACAATTTGAGATGAGATTTGAATGGGGACACAGAGCCAAACCATATCATTCTGCCCCGACCCCTCCCAAATCTCATGTCCTTTCCACATTTCAAAACCAATCATGCCTTTTCAACAGTCTCCCAAAGTCTTAACTCATTCTGGCATTAACTAAAAAGTCCAAGTCCAAAGTTTTATATGAGACGAGGCAAGTCCCTTCTGCCTATAGCTTGTAAAATCAAAAGCAAGTTAGTTACTTCCAAGATACAATGGGGTTACAGGCATTGGGTAAATGATTCCATTCCAAATGGGAGACAGTGGTTAAAACAAAGGGACCACAGACCCCATGCAAGTCTGAAATCCAAAAGGGCAGTCATTAAATCTTAAAGCTTTGAAATTATTTCCTTTGACTCCATGTCTTACATCCAGGGCACGCTGATGCAACAGGTAGGCTCCCAAGCCCTTGGGAAGCTCTGCCCTTGCAGTAATGCAGGGTATAGCCCCTTTGGCTGGTTTCACAGGCTGGTGTTGAGTGCCTATGGCTTTTCTAGGCTCATGGTGCAAGCTGTTTTTGGATCTACCATTTGGGGGTTTGGAGGATGGTGGCCCTCTTCTCACCGCTCCACTAGGCAGTGCCCTAGTGGGGACTCTGTGTGGGGGCTGCAATCCCACATTTCCCTTCTCCACTGCCCTAGCAGAGGTTCTCTATGAGGGCTCCACCCCTGCAGCAGACTTTTGCCTGGGCATCCCGGCATTTTCATACATCCTCTGAAATTCAGGCAGAGGTTCCCAAAGCTCAACTACTGTCTTTTGCTCATTTGCAAACCCAACACCATGCAGAGGCCATCAAGGTATGGGCTTGCACCCTCTGAAGCAAGGGCCTGAGCTGTACATTGGCCCCTTTTAGCCACAGCTAGAGCTGAGCAGCCAGGATGCAGGACACCATGTCCTAAGGATGCAAGGAGTAGTGGGGCCTAGGGCCAAGCCCATGAAATAATTTTTCCCTCCTAGCCCTCCAGGCTGTGACGGAAGGGGCTGTTGCCAAGATCTCTGACATGCCCTGGAGTCATTTTCCCTGTTGTCCTGGTGATTAACATTCGGCTCCTTGTTACTTATGCAAATTTCTGCAGCCAGCTTTAATTCCTCCTCAGAAAATGGGTTTTTCTTTTCTACCACATGGTCAGGCTGCAAATTTTCCAAACCTTTATGCTCTCCTCCCATTGTAATCATAAGTTCTAATTTCAAATCATCTCTCTCAAGTTCAAAGTTCCATAAGTCTTTAGGGCAAGGGTAAAATGCCACCAGTCTCTTTGCTAAAGCATAGCAAGGGTGACTTTTGCTCCAGTTCCCAATAAGTTCCTAATCTCCATCTGAGACCACCTCAGCCTGGACTTCATGATCCATATCACTATCAGCATTTTGTTCAAAACTATTCAACAAGTCTTTAGGAAGTCCCAAACTTTCCAATATCTTCCTGTCTTCAGAGCCTTCCAAACTGTTCCAACTTCTGCCTGTTATTCAGTTCTAAAGCTGTTTCCACATTTTCAGGTTATCTTTATAGCAATACCCCACTCCTGGTACCAATTTTTTGTATTAGTCCATTCCCACACTGCTATAAAGATACAACCTGAGACTGGGTAATTTATAAAGAAAAGGGGTTTAATTGACTCACAGTTCTGTGTGGCTGGGGAGGTCTTAGGAAACTTACAATCATGGCAGAAGGTGAAGGGGAAGTCAGGCATGTCTTACATGGCAGCAGGAGGGCACAGGGGACACTGCCAAACACTTTTAAACCATCAGATCTCATAAGAACTCACTCACTATCATGAGAACAGCATGGGGAAACCACCGCCATGATCCAATCACTTCCCACCAGGTCTCTCCCTTCACATGTGGGGATTACAGTTTGAGATAAGATTTGGGTGGGGACACAGAGCCAAATCATATCACTAACCAATGTTATTTCTATAAATCAGTGAGGATTCCTGTCAAACAACTTTGTACAAGCCCATTCCTTGTCCTCTTTGCCTTTAAAATCCTATTTGTTGTATCAAAGGCCAAAGGGAGAACTCACTCCCTAAGGCAATTTGGAAGTGTATCCCAGTCTTCAATCTTGGCTCACATAAACTGTCTATATTAATTTTGCCTCAGTTTCTTTCTTTAGGTTGACACATCTGTTGTAAGTCAGCAGGATTCAGTGATCTTTCCACTCATGACCACTCAGCATTTCCTCTTGCACTTGGTGCTTGGCGCCAGCATGAACCCATTGAGTTCCTCTAATTCCAGAGGATCACTGGGTGGAAAGGATGAGACTCCTGAATCTGGAACCTCCCTTTCTTTTCAGGTGAGGTCTAGATTTTATTTGGGCTGATCTTTCCAATCCTCCCTTTCTAGAATGAAGGTTCCATCTTTGTCTTGTGGACAAAAGATTAGGATTTCAGGGAAAACAAAAAGGTAAACTGCCTTTTCCACCTCTGCCTTAGGGCCTGGAGGTCTGGATGAAGGTACTGGAAGTTTTGCATAGATTTTTTTCCTTTACATGGCACTCTTTTAAAATTGAAGATGTTTCCTGTTCTTTAAAATATAGACTTGGATATTCATTTATGACAAATTCCTTAGTTTTAAACTGAAAGGTGAATAAAGATGAGTTCTTTTGCCCTGGTGATAAGGAATTTGAAAAAAAATTGTTTTAGAGAGCTCTCCTTTAACTCCCCAGAAAAACCCTTTAAATTCCCAACCTGCCTGCAGGCTTTTCTTAGTCCGTTGGAGATGTAAATCTTGCCATGTCATTGAAATATTAACATCCGGAGAATAAGCTAAGCAATGTTCCAGCTGACATCAGATTTGAAACAGAGTTCAAGTTCTTAAAATCCATCAGGAAATTCCTTTTCCTAAAGGGTATCTTTAGTCTGGGAGAGAAACATATAAAAATTATTTTGTTTTAATTTACTTGTATGAATCTTGACCTTTCAAGGCATATGTTTGTAATCCTTTCCACTGAAGGAAACTAAAATATTTCTTCCTAAAATACTGAGGATTGTTGGGCTGAAAAGAGTTAAAATGCTGGGAGAAACATTATTTCTTACTCTGCTTGTCTGATGGCAGAATAGCAATTTGCAAAGAGAAAGGGTTTCCTGCATGCTATTCCCACATAAAGATGGACTCCTTTACAATGCTTGCTCATTAGCTAGGAGACAGCAATGCCAGGGAATTTAGGAGCAGACTTAACTCTTCCCACAAATGTACCATCCTATATTTCCCTGCCTTTTGGCACTACCCCACAGGCACCATTTCCCCCCTACTTTACCAACTCTCTCTGTAAATATTCCAACTGGACTTTGTGTGTAGATGGTTACCTGAGAAGCTGAGACCCCAAAGAGTATAGTCAGGCAGTTGTGGGTTGTACCTCACTTGCAGCTAGTGAAACTTTCTTTTCTTTGAGCTGTCTTTGGGGTGGTTCTGGATCTTTTGAGGATTGCATTGCACATCTTTGGAGATGCCTGGTGAGTCCTTAATTAAGTCATAACCTCAGTTAAGGCGTATTGGCTTGGATGACTCACTTGAAAAGGTATCTTTGGTTTAAAAAGGAGAAAAAAAGAAGTAGGAATAAGGCTGTTTGTTCTGGCTGAAATCTGATAAGAGTTTTGAAAAATTTTTTAAAGAGCTTTATAGCCAAAAGATGATTTAGGCTGGGTGCAGTGGCGCATGCCTATAATCCCAGCACTTTGGGAAACTTGAGGCCAGAAGTTTGAGATCAGCCTGGGCAACATAATGAGACACCATCTCTAAAAAAAATTTTTTTTAATTAGGTTGTTGTGGTGGTGCATGCCTGTAGTCCCAGCTGCTTGGGAGGCTGAGGTAAGAGGATTGCTTGAGCCTGGGAAGTTGGGGCTGAGCCATGACCACAACACTGCACTCCAGCCTGGGTGACAGAATAAGACCCTGACTCAAAAAAAAGTTGACTTAATTAAAAGCTGGCATTTAGCAGATATGTGTGTGTGTGTGTGTGTGTGTGTGTAGACCTCTGTTGTCTCCATAGAAGCTTATCAGTCAACTGAATTCATTTCTTCTTAAACCTTTAATTATAGGCACTCCTTTGTTCTGCTTCTCTTTTGATGACATAATTTTTGCCAATGATAATGTAAAACTTCCTTGACCTTTTGGAAATCTTGAATTCTCCCTCTATGAAATGTAAATTTGCTATCCTATTTTCTCTAAAATTCAGTAAAAGCTTTGGACATAACTTGTTCCATTTACAGAGGTACAATTTAATCCAAGTGTTCTTTTAAATGAGTGAGTTTTACTTGTCTTATGGCAGAAATTATAAAATCTATACTATAAAATATTTATTTTGTATTTTTACTATACATATATGCATGTCTGTGTTTGTATATTGCCTACCTGGTACCAAATTGACTTGTAAATAAATGAGTACTCATAAATTAAGTAAATATGTGCAAAAACTTTTCAAGTTCACATGACTTTAGTAATCTTTGATAAATAAAGCTAGTTTTAAAATTGCTGATAAAATAAAACTTGAATGTCTTCAGAACAGTCAGTATTAAATACAATTCAGACATTTTGCCTGGGACTACTGGTCAGAAAGGTTTAGACTGTCTCTGATAGAAGTTTTCAGGTCATAAAACTGTTGTTTTCTGTGACATTTTTGATAGCTGTTTGGTTTATCTATGATCTTATGTGTTTAGTTTTGAGCCTTCAGATTGTAAGGTCTAGACAAGTGCCCATAGTGAGGTCTGGTGACTTAGGCCACCCCAGCTTTGGTACAGAGCCAAGCCCAGGATGTCCTCCCTGACTCGGCTGTGCCTTCTAGCCATGCTGGGAGGAATCAGATCCTCCAGGACTTGTCTTCACAGCCTTCTCTGTCCTGGGTTCTACACCTGGTACATAACAATTAAAATTGCTTACTTCCTAGGTTTTTCAGTAAGAATTAGGGTTACTAAGAGTTAACATTGTAATTAATATATGTGATTAAAACTACTAGATGTAAGAGAAACTATTCTGTATATAAAGTGTAAAAGAAAAATAGGATGTGTTTTGGTAAAGAAAGTTTTCTAAAAAGATGTTAAAATGTTTAACAGATAAGTAAGTTTGCCTGGCTTAAAGGTGATGTAAAAGTTATTTAAATTAAAAAAGATAAACTAAACATATATAAAAAACTGGGGAAAAAGAAAATGGGAAAAATTGTAATAGGTTATAAAAGGCTTATGAAAATCTTATGCTGTGTGATCAAAGCTGATCAAGATTCGATGGATCTGTATATAAGGTTTTATTAAAATTAGATTTAATAATAATACATTGATACAAGGGTTACATTTGTTTTTTTCTTCTGAACAATATTTTCATATAGTATTAATAAGATATAGTAAAATATTTTTGTTCACCTTTTCAGTAAATTGCAAAATTTTTAAAAGGAGAGGAGAATGGGAGAGATAATCTGATGCTGCCTTTATTAGGTCTTTTGATTGGAAAACTGAGTTGCTGCTCTATTGAGTAAAAGTTTTTGCTTTCTGAAATCTTTGAATTATCACTTTAGCTAAATAGATGACTATTATTTTAGAGTGACCTGTGATTTATTTTAATATCAAGTGTCTTCAACCTTTGATATTTGACATACCTCCCAAAAACAAAATTCAAATTCTAAAATTGAGTCTTTTTGACCTCAAAGTAACTCTTGGACATTCAAAAAAATGGAGGGCTCTTGAAAATCCAAGAGGGACATATTAGGCTTATTGGGATGTTAAAGGGATGTTAAAATCATATGGGAAGTATTATCCAATAAGAAATGGTGTTTGACTTTCTTTGAATTATCTTTGTGTGGATGTTATTAATGTATGCTCTCCAAAATTGTATGAGGTTTTATAAAAATCTGATATGTCTTGATATATGCAGTAAATCACTTTTTATCCTCAAACCTTTTTGCAAATGCTAAAGCATTGTGTCTTCAAGGAAATTAATGGAAAGGACTATGACAAGTACTCTTGAATACAGGTTTCTGATAACTTTGGAGATTATACCATTGGATGAGGTAAAAACATTCAGAACTCTAATAAAAAACTGATGGGTTTATAAACATTGCTAACCCAATTTCAAACACAGCAAAAGTTAATTACATAGGACTGAATGACAGAAGACTGAAATAATTTGTTATGACTTCATTTTGTTTGAAATACTGCTGATTGTTTTTATATTTTGCTTTCTAGAGTCAATACATTTTTTAAGCTATTTATAGTTTACAGCAATTGAGTAAAGTATACTTTTGTGAGAAAAATTGAAACATTTACCTTTCTCTCTACCTGATTTCTCTAGAATTTGAAAATTGTATTCTCATTTTATTGCAATGTGGCTATTTGTATAAGTTCAATAAGAATCTCTTTTCCTTTTGTAACAGGACACATTGGAAACACTGGTTATTTTACTAAAGCTTTGAATGGAATGTCATATTTTCAAGTTTGAGCAGACTGCTTTGAGGGATTAATGTTGACTTTATAAAACCAAGACTTGGAAAAAATGGCCTGGTACCTTGTCTATATTTTTCCTTTGCAGGATCCTGACCTTGGGGTAAGTAATGCCACTTTCTGATAGGCACAGAAACCTCAAGATATTTGGGGATCTTTGGAAGACAGGCTATTTTGGGACCTTTGGAAGATAGGAATTCAACTGATTTATGAGCTGTCCTCAACCTTGCCCCAAATAAACTCTCTGTATCAACATTGCCTCAGGTTTTTTCTTTTGGTCAACACTTAAAAGTCATCTTATCCTTAGAAACTCTTGCCCTTCTAGAGTAATTATTTTATATACTAAAAATTGATCTGCATCAAAAATATTACTGCTCTAAAGGTCCTTTTCATAGTGTATGTCATGGCCAGACTGAGATGACCACGGACAGAACAGGAGATGGGGAGCTAGTTCCAAGAATTAGACTAGAATGAAGGGGAACTATCAGGTGTCAGATAGGACATTTGTGTATAAGTAAAAGAAACCAATTCAAGCTATCAGGTAGCATCTGGAATTCATGAAAGGAACTGGAAAATAAGAATTGGAAAGACATCTGCTTCTGTGTGTCTGTTTTATTCTTCTTTATCTGCAGACTGGCTTTCTTGTCAATTCAGTCTACATTGTAGCATACGGCCCCACACAGAGATTGGCTGTCTCTCAATCCCAATTCCAAATTCTGCAGGGGCTGGGGGAGAATCTGATCGGCCAGTTTGGGTCAAGCATCCAGCCAACTATGGTTACAAAGGCAAGAGCAAGAAGTATGAATCGGCCATTCTTAAAGAAAGAATAATCCCTGAGAGATTTAAAAGGGCAACAACACTAAGTCTGGGCATGTTCAAGTTCAAGTCCAGAAAAGGCAGCTACCTGAAGTTAGCCAAATTTGAGTTTGAAGGCAGAGTTCTCCAGGCTGCCAAGTCTGTCCAAAACTTCTGACACAAATTTCAAGTTCACAGGTTTCCCCAGATTACCCTCAGGTTTGATAATTCACTAAAAAGACTCAAAGAACTCACTGAAAGATATTATACTCATAGTCACATTTATTACAGGGAAAGGACATGACTTAGAACTAGCCAAAGGATGACACAGGGCAGAATCTAGGGAAGGTTCCAAATAGGAAACTTCTGTCATCCTTACAGGTTACCTTCTTGACATGAGTGAGCGGCAATATGCGTAGAATATTGCCAAGCTGAGAAGCTCACTCCAGTTTCCGTGTCCAAAGATTTCACTGAAGTTTCATTACCTAGGCATGTCTAATTGATTGCTCACATGTTTGAACTCAATCTCCAGCTCCCTTCCCCTAAGGTCAGGCTAATATCAGTGGCCCCAAACCCCAACCTTCTAAGCACACACAGTTGGTCTTTCTGGCATGGCACCCTAAAACTATTGGGTGTGACCCACCCCACCCTGAGTCATTTTGCTAGTATAAACTATTCGCTGTAGGCAGAGGGGCCACCATCAATTAAAAAAAAAACACTCATATGAGGAAATTCCAAGTGTTTAGAGATTTCCTCTCAGGAGCTGAAGACAAAGGCCAGATCTCTCTGTATGTGGCCAAATTTCTTACTACACAGCAGCAAATACAGCCACTATTCTGTTTTCATGATCTTAACAAGAAAAGCATGGTAAGGTTGGCTCTAATCTTGACATAAAGCTACGTGTTTTCTGCTCCATGATGATTATAAAGAATAGAGTCAGAGGCCTGGTGGTGGACACCATCTTTAACTGACATAGGAGAGAGATTCTGGCAGCAGCTCGCAGTGGGATTTGTGGTAGTCAGTAGTCCATGATGGCTGAACAGGGGGGTAGTACTTGGCATGCTAAAGGTATACAGGGCAATAGATGGTTCTGAAATCCATGGTGGTTGAACAAGGTGGTAGTACTTGGGATGCTAAAGGTATACAGGGCAATAGATGGTTCTGAAAGGTATAAAGGGCAATAGATGGTTCTGTTGACTGGGACAGGTTCCAAATCCTTTGGAGTAAGTGAATTTAACCTTGTAGATTCTCCCACATTCCTTTTCTATATTCTTTTCTTTATTCACATATTATCTTAGGTCCTCACAGCTACCTTCCCAAGGCAGTGGCCCAAACCCCAGGAAGATTGCTCTTCATTTTCTACAACCTGCTCCATTCACACAAACCCACACCCATAATCAAAATCACTTAGTTTCCAGGGAGAATTGTAATCAGACAAACTAACGCGTATTTCAAGTTAAATTGTATATGTTCTTTGAAATTCCACTTCTATTCTATCCACAGGAAAAGAGAGTCAAAGTAAGAATTCAAAGTTACAGTCAGGGACCAAGCTGTGAAAGTTATAGAAAGCAAGATTAATCTGTTTTTTAAACAATTTCATGCAAATGAAAAAAGCTGAGTTTAAAGAACAGAAAATTAAGCAGCATAAATGAATCAGGTGGAGAGGAAATTCTCTCTAATTGGAAATAGATTGCTGTAGGGTTTTTCACAAACTCAAGTCACGTAGATTCCTGCCTGCCTTTTTCTAGTGGGGTGGTAAACTGATTATTTTAGCTGAAACATAAAGAACAGATCAGAGGGAGAGAAACCATTTAAATCAACAATTCTGTAAGGTAAATTTGGTGTAATGAGTCCCTGAGAAGGGACTTGTTCAAACTCGATCCCTTTTCCTGGCTTCTTCTGAATTTTGAGTATACTTCCTACTGTGCACTGTCAAGAGTTTAGTTCCCAATGAAACTAAACTGCGTAAGTGAATTGTATGGAAGTAGAGAAAGAACTAATCTAGATGGATGTGAGCACTGCAAGAGTTTTAACATTTAATCCTGTGTAAAAACAATACAGAAGTTGCAAAACTGAATAGAGATCAGCTTTCCCGTGCATTATGAGATGCAAACCCCAGGATGGCTCCCAGGGTTTGGTTTGCCAAAAGGCTTTCTCCAGACTTAATCTCCAAGTCTGTAGGATTCACATTTGAGTAGGTTAATCTGGGAACTGTCCATGAATTCAGTAAGAAATCCAATAGAGTTTCCAAACGACTGCCACATCTAGGACACTAATATTAAATAGCATAGTAGACTCTAACTAGTGAATTGAGAGAGATAACCTCTCTATATACATGTTACCGGTAAAGGGTCTTGACCGCAAGTTATCCAGGTTCTTGGCATTTCGAACAAAGAATTGGACAAAACGCACAATAAAGCAAGGAAAGAATGAAGCAACGAAAGCAGAGATTTATTGAAAATGAAAGTACATTTCACAGGGTGGGAGTGGCCCGAGCAGTGGCTCAAAGGCCCTGGTTACACAGTCTTCTGGGGTCCAAATCCACCATTGGCCACTTGATGTACACCCGGTGCAAATGAAGCAGTGGCCCACAATCAGAGGCCAAAGTGAAGTTACAAAGTTACACTCCTATGCAAACATCTGCTTGGTTGCTTTCTGCAACCAATCAGAGGTACTTTCAATTTTCCATCTGCCATGTAGAAAGTGTTGCAAAGGGAGTAGCCTCTGGTCCTTTTGTTACTTAGGTGTGGAAAATTGGGGTTTTCCTTTTGATTTAGTTCTAGGAAGTCAGCATGAACTGGCCTTAGGTTCCTTGCCTCCACACCCTATTCTCCTGCCTCAAATTCACCAGATAATAGGATACCTCCACACAGGTATTCTCTCTTTCAATTCTCAAGGATAGTAGGATAGAGGCTATCTCTGCATAGTGGCTTGAATTAGCCCCTACCTGTGTAGAGATATCCTATATCCTACTATCTTTGGGAAGTATTCTGGACTTGGGCAAATGCTCTGACAGTGGCCTCTGTTACCAACATTAACAGCATGTTACCAGAGAGGAATCTGAGAAAACTCTTTATTTGGGTAACATTGATTTTTAACATGGCTCAAACCTGTTATTTCCACAGCTGGCATAGGGAAATCATTAGGTTTCTCTCCAGATGGATAATGATTTTTGTAACTTGATTTACATTTAGGAATTTAAGGTTCTTAATGAAGGTTGACATATTTGTGAATCCAAGTTATTGCGTAGTTCTATTGATGATAGTAGTCATCTTATATGCTTAGAAAATATTCCTTTGGATGGCTATGTTAATTGCTATAATTTTCTTCTGTCATTTTAAATCATTTTTTCTTTGTGAAAACAAAATGTTACAAATCACCATTTTGTACTATTTAGCTGTAAATTACAGTGTATTGAACTAAAATGTTTCAGTTGTAACAAAGGATGGAGAAAATTATCAAAATTTACATCTATACTAAAATAGCTCAATGCTCATTGCCTTTTGTAAACACTGAAATTAAAACAAATAGCTGGGCGTGGTGGTTCACACCCGTAATCCCCTGCACTTTGGGAGGCCGAAGTGGGCGGATCACCTGAAGTCGGGCGTTTAAGACCAGCCTGACCAACACAGAGAAACCCTGCCTCTACTAAAAATACAAAATTAGCCAGGTGTGTTGGCGCATGCCTGTAATCCCAGCTACTTGGGAGGCTGAGGCAGGAGAACTGCTTGAACCCGGGAGGCAGAGGTTTCAGTGAGCTGAGATCGTGCCACTACACTCCAGCCTGGGTAACAGAGCGAGACAGCATCTCAAAAAAACAAAAACAAAAACAAAAAAACCCCAAAACAAATAGCAATAATAAATGAATTTATATCTGTTTACAAACACAATTAATTCTATTGATCTATATTTTTCTGGTCTTTATGAAACCCATTGTTCCTTTTGTGATAGTGGGATAGGTTTAGACTACTTTGCTAACTTTTATCTTAAATTAAACATGCTTGATAAATATTTATACAGTGCCTACAGTTGCTAGGTACTGCAGGGGACACAAAGGAAATACATCTGCTTTTTTGTCCTTAAATATTGAGACTCACATAGAGACATAAAGATTCAGGTTCAGAAACTATTGTCTAGAGATTTCCATATATCTTCATTTGTGTCACCAGACAACCTTTCAAGATAGATAAACTACTTTAGGTAGATATTATAAGGTAGATAGAAAACCAAGGCCTAGCAGTTGACTTGTTAATGTCACACAGTAAGTGAAAAGACTGGGATCTGAAATATGTTCTTTTCAGTGCTAGTCTTACACTTTCAGCAAAATTCAAGGCAGAACAGGGTGAGTGACACAGTGCAAAGAAAATGCCATGGGAGTTTGCGGGAGGTCACACAGAAACTTCTAAAAATTTCCCCATAAGTGATAATAATTTCCCCATGTGGGCTTTACTTTCCTCTTAATAGCCTCCCGCCTGAGGACTTTTGACCCCATTATTCTAGTTATTTCTCTAAGAAGAGATAACTTTGGTAGGTATGCCTTCACTTCTTTGACCTGCTTCTCTCTTATGGTCTCTCATTCTTTTCACCTCTTTTTCCTCTGTATTCTGGGAGAACTGTTGGGGTTAAACTGCCACATCACTTATTCGCTTTCCTGCAGTAATAATTTTCCTCTGTACTGCCTTTAGTACGATTCAAATTCTTCCACAACATTTTTGGTTTCTCTTAAATTTTATTTTGCTAGCTTCTTTTTAAAATTCTGCCTGCATCCAAGTCTATTCTCTTCTTATGTCTCTGTTCCTATAGGAAGGCTGTATTTTCTTGGTTCCTTGGGAAAACCAAACAGATGTTTTCTAAAATTTTCTTCTATATCTTACAAAAAATATTTGTTTAGAGGGTGTTTTTCTTCTGAGTCTTTAGATTAAAAAATTTTCGAAACAAAGACAAGGTTGTATGAGTTACCTAACCGCACACAACCTCTTCATTAGAAAAATGATGTCAGTAATGGTACTCACCTCATACAATTGGTATGGTAAGTAAATGAATTAATACATGTGAAGTATTTGCAGTAGTCTGGGTCCAGTCAGGATACAGAAACCAGAGAGTAGGCTAAACTGGGAAAGGTTGATGTATAAATGTATCAACAAAAGGGTAACTATAGAATATAAGGAAACTACATGGTACCCTACGGTTGAGGGTGGCAGGAAAAAACAAACTTGGAAGGGGCTCAGACCTTGTTGGAGAAGATGTGATTCAGCCCACTGGATAGCAGAGAATTTTGTTGGCTTGGCCAGCCTGGAGCTGACCTGGGACTGCTGGGCAAGCAACAGGCCACCCTCTGGACTGCAGGCTTGCACCCAGCAGCCAGGGGTGTGGGTCTGCAGTGAGAGTCGGGTCATCTTCAGGGATAGGAGCCCTTCAGAGTACATGGGCTGTGTGGGTCTGTGGTGTCTGTGTCCCGAGGGCTGCAGAAAGGCTATTGCCAGGCCAAGTCTTCAAGGTCACAGAGAGACCAGTTCGAGGTCTGTACCTGGAGCAGGCTCTGCCAAAATGGCCTCACACCTATACTGCTAACTCCAGGTTATGCTGGAAAGGGCAGGAGCTCCTCTTCCTTTGACAATGTTCCTCTACTACCATCTACTGGAAAAAACATAACACTGCATTCACTTTAAATAGCTCGGGAATTTCATTATCACAGAGCTATAAACTGAAATGTGTATTCAAAGCTGAGCAATCCTATATTGATAACTGACACAGAACTTAAAATTGTGCCTGGCACATGGTAAATATCACATTGCTAGAGATAACATTTTGCTATTATTATTGCATTCTTTTCTTTGCTTAATAATCTTTGAATATAGAGACATCTATCCAGCTTGGTGTGGGCCAAGAGGCCAGGTATACTGAGTGCCTTTAGTTCTTCTCGGTACTAATTTGAGAGCTAGTAGATTCTCTCTCTCATATCTAGAATGAGCCTTAAGGTTGATGTAAACAATCCTTAGTCACCCTTATAGGCACTGATCTGATGAGCCTATACCCTACCCTTCTAGCTGATTTTCCTGATTATCAGAGGCTCATGTAGTTTGCAGTTTTTCTTTGTACAAATGTAAGTCAAAGATACAACTCCTTCACATGCCCAGCTCCCAGGGCCTGTTTTTTGGCCCTGCCCACAGTGCTTCCAAGATAGAATGCCTCATAAGATGTAATGCACCCTTTCCTCTGCTGGATGCTGTTGGTTCTGTGGCATCACAGGAGTTGCAGTCTCTGACTGGGTATGTGGGGACAGGGAAAGAGGTCATCAGTCTGCCTGAAGCATTAAATTATTCTGGTGCAGTGAAGACATAACTGTACAATTTTCTAGTCAGGCCATTCTAAAGACCAAACTTTTACCTACCTTCTTTGCAGCATTATATTTGCTCTTCTGTTTTAGAAGATGGGTAGCAGAGTTCAGGAACATATATCTCAGCCAACTGCCATACATTCCACTATTAATAGACTATCCCAATAGACTCTGGTTTCCAGAGTTGCAGCCACTGTTTGCCATTTTATGTATCATTTCAAAGATTTTTTTGAGAAGGTGAGAAAAAGGATATTAGAGAACATTAGCATGCCTTTTTTTCTTTTCTTTTAGAGATGAAGTCTCACTCACTATGTTGCTCAGGCTGGCCTTGAACTCCTGGGCTCAAGTGATCCTCCTGCCTCAGCCTCCCATGCCATTTTGTCAGAGGAGTTTTAACCAGAGCAACTCCAACTTAAATAGGGGTTGGGTAAAATAAGGCTAAGACTTACTGGGCTGCATTCCCAGACGGTTAGGCATTCTAGGTCACAGAATGAGACAGGAGGTCAGCACAAGATACAGGTCACAAAGACCTTGCTGACAAAACAGCTTGCAGTAAAGAAGCCAGCCAAAACCCATCAAAAACAAGATGGCGACAAGCGTGACCTCTGGTCGTCCTCCCTGCTACACTCCCACCAGCTCCATGACTGTTTACAAATGTCATGGAAATGTCAGGAAGTTACTCTGTATGGTCTAAAAAAAGGGGAGGTTTGAATAATCCATCCTTTGTTTAGCATATAATCAATAAACAACCATAAAAATGGGCAACCAGCAGCCTTTGGGGCTGCTCTGTCTATGGAGTAGCTATTCTTTCATTCCCTTATTTTCTTAATAAACTTGCTTTTGCTTTGCACTGTGAACTCGCCCTGAATTCTTTCTTGCACGAAACCCAAGAACCCTCTCTTGGAGTCTGGATCGGGACCCCTTTCCGATAACAACTTCTGTTAAATCATGAATTTTTCAAAGTATAAATAATAATAATAGCTACCATTTAATAAGTGCTTGCCATGTAGCAGCTGCCACCTTTTCTCATTTACCTTTAACGTGATACCATGCTGGAATTCAAATTCAGGTTACCATAACTACAAAGTCCATGTTCTATGTTATACTGTACAGCTATACTATTTTACATTTTCTTTTCTTTTTTTTTGGAGACAGAGTCTCGCTCAGTCACCCAGGCTGGAGTGCAGCCGCACCATCCTGGCTTACTGCAACCTCCACCTCCCAGGTGCAAAGGATTCTCCTGCCTCAGCCTCCTGCATAGCTGGGATTACAGGCGCCCACCACCACTCTCAGATAATTTTTGTATTTTTAGTAGAGACTGGGTTTCACCATGTTGGCCAAGCTGGCCTCAAACTCCTGGCCTCAAGCTATCCACCCACCTCAGCCTCCCAAAGTGCTGGCATTACATAGGCGTGAACCACCACCTATAATCTACTACAGACCCAACCTCTATTTTACATTTTCATTCCATATATTTTTTACTTTATTTTTTCCTAGGAAAAGCGTATGGGCTTTGTGATAGACAGAATAATCAGCACCCCAGAAGATATACATAATCCCTGAAACCTGTGACTGTTACGTTACATGACAAAAAATAAATAAATAAATAAGGTGGGGGGGGTGGGTGGGAGCTTTGTAGGTGTGATTGAGTTAAGGCTCTTGAATTAGGGGATTATCCTGGATTATCTGGGTAAGCCCTAAACGTAATCACACTTCCTTATAAGAGAGAAGCGGAAGAGATCTGGCATATAGGGGAGGATAAGGTAATGTGACCACAGATGCAGGGACTGGAGTGAAACAGCCACAAGCCAAAGAATGCCAGCAGCCACCAAAAGCAGGATGAGGCAAGGAATAGATTCTCCCTTGGAGCCTCTGCAGGCAGTGCAGCCCTGCAGGTGTCTGATTTCAGCTTAGTGGAACTAGTTTTAGACTTCTGGTTTACAGAACTGCGAGCATAACATTTTCTTGTTTTAAGAACAAATTTGTGGCCAGGCGCCATGGCTCACGCCTATAATCCCAGCACTTTGGGAGGCCGAGGCAGGCGGATCACCTGAAGTCAGAAATTCGAAACCAGTAACTCCGTCTCTACTAAAAATACAAAAATCAGCTGGGCGTGGTGGCGGGCACCTGTAATCCCAGCTACTCGAGAGGGTGAGGCAGGAGAATTGCTTGAACCTCAGAGGCGGAGGTTGCAGTGAGCTGAGATCACGCCATTGCATTCCAGCCCAGGTGACAAGAGTGAAACTCCATCTCAAAAAAAAAAAAAAAAAAAAGAACAAATGTATTACAATAGCCACAGAGAATGCTAACTGGTTTCTAGAGTGTCAACTCCAAACTGTTGGTGGTTTCCAAAGTATACACACTAGCTCAGTGGTAGAGGAGGTGGTGGAGTATCTGCTGTGGGCGTGGTTCATTAGCTCCACAGTATTCCATCTATTAATACTTGTCAGAAGGGATCTTATAACTCATTGAATGTATCTCATCCAATGTATCAACTTCCCCTTCAACATTCTCTTCAAATGATTGTCAGGCCTCTGCTTACACAACTTAGACAAGTCCCCCGATTCTGCTTCAAACAAGTCCTCCCACTGGCAGAGGTTTCGCTACTTTTCAAGGTGTGGGATCCATACTTAGACAGCTTGACTAATCAGACATTTTTTCCCTGATATTTAATGTCAATCTGCCCTCTTATAGTTTTCATGCATGGGCTCTGGTTGTATACCCTGGAGCATCAAAGAATATGTCTATTCCCACTTCCTCAGGATAATTGATGAACTTTACCTCCAGCCAAATCATACTGTGAACTCAAGAAATTCACAATCAACTAAAACCCTTAAGATTTTGTTCATGATTACTATTGTTAAACCACATCTACCCCCATATGTTTTTGCAAAGTTAGTTTTTTGGACCCAACTATATTCTACACATACCCCTATGAAACTGGACCATGTTAGACTTGGTGCATTGTTTCAGTTTATAAAGATTCTCTTTGATCCTGGCTCATTTATTTACCCATCCCAGTTTCATATTGTATGCACCTAAACCAGCATGCCATGATGTCAATATCGAACTCTTTAATAAAAACTTTGAAAGGAATTAGGCCAAGGAGAGCCTAGCAATATAGCATTAGAAACCTTTTACCATGAATTAAAAAATTCCTAAGCACAATATCACTTTTTTATCCATAAGGATATCATGAGAATCTTTACCAAATGTCTTGCTAAAAATCCAAATAATACCATATCAATGTTATACTCTTTATCCATTTATGCAGTTCATACTTGAAAGTGCTATTTGAATTTGCTCATATATCAAATTGCTTTATAAAATTTAAGTCCCTTTATACTTATTCAAGGAATCCAGTGGCCTAATAAGCTTGTCAAAAAAAAGAAAATGCATGAACAAATTCTCAGAAGTTCACTTTGTATTATAGAATTAAAATATCTGGTAGTTTTCTTGAAGTAGAAAAAAGAGTAATATTTTTCAGTGATATTTATGACTATAAAAGAGCTACACAAAGGTTCATAGAAAAAAGCCCCATTGCCGGGTGTGGTGGCTCATGCCTGTAATCCCAGCACTTTGGGAGGCCGAGGCAGGCGGATCACAAGGTCAGCAGATTGAGACCGTCCTGGCTAACACGGTGAAACCCTGTCTCTGTTAAAAATACAAAAATTAGCCGGGCGTGGTGGCGGGCGCCTGTAGTCCCAGCTACTCGGGAGGCTGAGGCAGGAGAATAGCTTGAACCCGGGAGGTGGAGCTTGCAGTGAGCTGAGATCGCGCCACTGCACTCCAGCCTGGGTGACAGAGCACGACTCCATCTCAAAAAAAAAAAAAAAAAAAAGAAAGAAAGAAAGGAAAAAGCCCCATTAACACTGAAGCATTGGGTAGAAAATAAACTAATCTCCTGAGTATAATGAAGATGAGTGTTTGAGAGGTTCAACAATTCCAGTCTTCACTGCAACACTGTCCCCAGTTAGCCAAACCACAATGAGATACCATCTCACACCAGTCATAATGGCGATTATTAAAAAGTCAAGAAACAACAGATGCTGGTGAGGCCGTGGAGAAACAGGAACACGTGAACACTACTGGTGAAAATGTGAATTAGTTCAACCATTGTGGAAGACAGTGTGGCGATTCCTCAAGGATCTAGAGCCAGAAATGCCATTTGACCCAGCAATCCCATTACTGGGTATATACCCAAAGGACTATAAATCATTCTACTATAAAGACACATGCACACATATGTTTATTGCAGCACTATTTACAATAGCGAAGACATGGAACCAACCCAAATGCCCATCAGTGATAGACTGGATAAAGAAAATGTAGTACATATACACCATGGAATACTATGCAGCCATAAAAAGGAACAAGGTCATGTCCTTTGCAGGGACATGGATGAAGCTGGAAGCCATCATCATCAGCAAACTAACACAGGAATAGAAAGCCAAACACTGCACGTTCTCACTCGTAAGTGGGAGTTGAACAGTGAGAACACATGGACACAGGGAGGGGAACAACACACACCAGGGCCTGTCAGGGATTGGGAAGTAAGGAGAGGGAGAACATTAGGACAGATAGCTAATGCATGCGGGACTTAAAACTTAGATGATGGGTTGATAGGTGCAGCAAACCACCATGGCACATGTATACCTATGTAACAAACCTACACGTTCGGCACTTGTATCCCAGAACTTAAAGTAAAATTAAAAAAAAAGTTTAATACACTTTTGCCAATACAATTTTAAAGACATTTTTATGTTTTTCAATTTTTTTTTGTCAAAACTGTGAATCTGTGGATTTAGCTCATTTAATTTATGGAAAATGTCTGCTGTATAATCAGCATTGTCAAATCAATTAGCCAAATCAGGCTGACTTTTTATCATAAAATCTGACTTCATTTTTCCATTGAAATAATTTCATTAAAAAACATTTAAAAAATGATTACAGAAAGCACTGGGAAAGAACGTATAAATGCATTTAAAAAAATAGATTACTAAAACCAATCAAGTTAAGATGAAATACTATAGATATACTTTATTCACTTTTATAGTAAGTTATACAAAAAAGAATAAGCCTATATAAGGTAAGGGAGTGGGAAATGTCAAGGATAACGCCAGTGATTTTTGGTTTAAGCAAATAGAATTGCTATTTACTGAGATAAGGAACACTGGATGTGAACTCAGGCGGCCCTTCATAGTCTGTCTTTTTTGTTGATCTTATTTTGTTTTAGACAGTCTATTGACTGATTTTTTTTAAGTTACGACTCTCAACTTTTTGGCCAATTTTATTCAAATGGAAATGATTATTGGCATATAAAAACATTATTTCCAAAATGTTTTTCCTTTTTAAAGTGACATATTTCCTTACCCCCAATACCTAAACCCTCTTACCAAACAGCGTCTCAAAGACTCAAATTCATACATAGATTTTACTGTAATATGCCGAATGGTTATATATTTAAACTTATTAAATATTGTAACAAAAATGGGAAGCTGATTTTTAAAATATTAAACACAGCCTTAGATGTAATAGGCCCCAACAAATCTCTACATTTTTTTTTCCTGTGGATCCCACCAAGAAATATGAAGTCACCCAGGTATTTTTTGTGCCTAGCTCAGTGCCTGGCACATAGTAAGTGCTCAATAAATATTGTAGTTGTTGCGTGAGTGAAATATAGAACATTAACTTACTAAATTTTTATAAGACCTTTAAAAAGAAATGGGGTATTTTAATATATATGTAATTATTTTTACCTTAGAATTGTATACCTCTTAGACCTGTTTTATTACATATATACGATCCTTCACTAGTAAGTGAGGCTTTTTAATGAAAATTCACGCCCACGAGTTGTGAAAATCTTAAGTGTAAGTCACCTCTTTCAGAGGTCTCAGAGCCACCTGTTCTGCAAAGGCACACATTTCTCCCGCCTTTAGGCCATACCTAGGTAGGCATGCAGGTGGTAGAAAGGTCAGACTAGAGTCTTTAACTTGGGCACCATATCTGATCTGCCTTTAGGGCACACTTTTGGGCCACACTCTGCACCCCCAACACCCCCCTTACCCCCAGCACCGTCGGTGTCACATCGGGGGCCGCCGCGTACCCGCGGTGGAATCTCGCAAGAGCCAGGGCCCCTCCTCACCTGCCCGGCACCCAGGATCCCTTGCGCCGCGTTCGGGACCCCACCCCCATTGTGGCCTCTTCGCCAGGGCGCAGGCGTGGCTCTTGGTCAGGCGGTTACGGCCAGGAGGCGTCGGAGCCTGGCGTGGTAGGGCTGTGCTGCGCGGTCCTTCCCATTCACCCTAGTCTGGCGCTCGCCGGCGTGGGCGGGCCGGACCTTCGCCGCTTCCAGGAAGGGCCACAACGGCCGTCGGACCACGGCGCGGCGGGTAAGGTCGTCAGCGTCTTCCTGTCAGCGGTCGGCAGAGCCTCGGCGGGCGGGCGGCGCGTGGGGCAGCCGGTGTCGCACTGGGAGGGCTGCGTGGGCGCGGAGGGCCTGGGCGCTCCCCACCCAGCTGCTGTGGGAGCGCCTCCGAGTCCCCGCGCGGAACCCTCACCAGGCAGATGCTGGCGCATCCACCAGGCGCCGGCGCCGCCACGCCGGTAGCCCCGACCGCAGGAGCTCTCAACGCGAGGTTCTTCTTAGTTGCTCTCCCTCAGGCAGGCCGCGTTCCCTTCTAGTCCTATATTTCTGAAGTTTTTTAAAATTTTCCATTTATAAACGAATAATGAGCTATTTGAAAAACCTTGCCATCACTTATTGTATAATATATACATATACACTCTCAACACAAATATATATGGATTATTATAAGTGATTTTGTATGTAGAGATATAACTTTTCTAAGAAGTTGATGAATTACATTAGGGACACTAATGGATATTTTACTTGCGTTTGTGGGATAGACTACGCTAGGAAATATATGTACATATACAGTCATGTGCCTCATAACAGCGGTAGTCCCATAAGATTATAATGGAGCTGAAAAATTCCTGTCGCCTAGTGATGTCATAGTCAAGGCATTATGTGTTTGTGGTGATGCTATTGTAAACTGTGCTGCCAGTCATAAAAGAGTAGCACATACAATTATGTACAGTACATAGTACTTGATAATAACAGATGAGTATGTTACTTGCTTATGTATTTACTATACCATACTTTTTTTTTTGAGACGGAGCCTCGCTCTGTCGCCCAGGCTGGAGTGCAGTGGCGCGACCTGGGCTCACTGCAAGCTCCGCCTCCCGGGTTCACGCCATTCTCCTGCCTCAGCCTCCGGAGTAGCTGGGACTACAGGCGTCCTCCACCATGCCCGGCTAATTTTTTTGTATTTTTAGTAGAGACGGGGCTTCACCGTGTTAGCCAGGATGATCTCGATTTCCTGACCTCATGATCTGCCCACCTCGGAGTCCCAAAGTGCTGGGATTACAGGCGTGAGCCACGGCGCCCGGCCTCTATACCATACTTTTAAACGATTATTTTAGTGTACTCCTCTTTATTAAAAAAATGTTACCTGTAAAACAGCCTTAGGCTGGTCCTTTAGGAGATATTCCAGAAGAAGGCATTGTTATCATAGGAGATGACAGCTCCATGTGTTATTACCCCAGAGACCTAGTGGGACAAGATGTGGAGTTGAAAGACAGTGATATTGGTGATACTGATCCTGTCTATGCCTAGGCTAATGTGTGTGTTTGTATCTTAGTTTATAATTAAAAAGTTTAAAAAGTAAAATAAAATTTTAAAATAGAAAAATGCCTATATTAATAGAATAAGGATATAAAGGAAATATTTCTATACAGCTGTACAATGTGTGTTTTAAGCTCAGTGTTATTACAAAAGAGTAAGAAATAAAGTTTATAAAGTAAAAAAGTTACAAGAAGCTATGATTTATTATTGAAAAATTTATTTTTATATTTAAATGTTTTTATTTGTACCAGATTATGAGGTACGTGAGAAATTTTGGTACATGTATCTAATGTGTAGTGACCAAATTACGGTACTTAGGTTGTCCATGACCTGAGTACAATATATTTTTGTTAAGTACATTTTACTCCACTATCAAACACTGAATTTATTCCTTATATCTTACTGAGTCTTTGTACCCTTAAGCCCACTTCTGTTCATCCTCCCACTTCCTGCCATTCATCCTTCTCAGTCCGTGTTATCTATTTGTCCACTCTCTACCTCCATATAGTATTCAAATTTTAAACTTAAATTTTATTCAAATTTTGTAGCTCCCACATATAAGTGAGAACATGATATTTATCTTTTTGTGCCTGGCTTATTTCACTTAAGATAATAACTTCCAGTTCCATCTATGTTACTGCAAATGATGTGATTTCATTCTTTTTTATGGCTGAATAATATTTCATTTTGTATATATGTACCACATTTTTTATCCATTCATCCATCGATGGGCACTTAGGTTAATTCTGTATCTTTGCTTTTGTGAATACTGCTGCAATAAATGTGTGAGTGCAGGTATTCCTTTTATATATTGATTTCTTTTACTTTGGTTAGATACTCAGTAGTGAATTGCTGAATTGAATGGTAATTGTATTTTTAGTTTTTTGAGAAATCTCCCTACTGCTTTCCATAGTGGCTGTGCTAGTTTACATACCCACTAACAGTGTATAAGAGTTCCCTTTTCTCCACATCCTTACCAACATCTGTTATTTTTTGACTTTGACTTTTTATTAATAGCCATTCTGACTGGGGTAGGATGGTATCTCATTCTGGTTTTTGATTTGCATTTTTCTGGTGGTGGTGAGCATTTTTTTCAAATACCTATTGGCTGGTTACATGTCTTCTTTTAAGAAATGTCTATGCTTGTCCTTTGCATACTTTTTAATGGGATTGTTTGTGCTTTTCCTGTTGAGTTGTTTCAGTTCCTTGTATATTATGGATCTTGGTTCCCTGTCAAATGAATAGTTTGCAATTTTTTTCTCCTATTGAACAGGCTGTTTTTTCACTCTGTTGATTATTTGTTTTGCTGTGCAGAAACTTTCTAGTTTAAGTCCGATTTGTCTATTTTTATTTTTATTGCCTGTGCTTTTGAGGTCTTAGTCACAAATTATTTGCCTAGCCTAATGTCCAGGAGAGTTTTCCCTAGTTTTGGATCTTATGTTTAAGTCTTTAATCCATTTTGAGATGATTTTTGTATATGGTGAGAGATAGTGGTCCAGTTTCATTCTTCTGCATGTGGCTGTCCAGTTTTCCAGGCATCATTTATTGAAAAGGGTATGCTTTCTCCAATGTAGGTTCTTGTCAGTTTTGTTGTAAGTCAGTTGGCTATAAATATGTGGCTTTAATTCTTGGTTCTTTATTTGGTACAATTGGTCTGTGTGTCTGTTTTTATACCATTGCCATGCAGTTTGGGTTATTATAGCTTTGTAGTATATTTTGAAGTCAGGTATTGTGATGCCTCCAACTTTGTTCTTTTTGTTCAGGATTTCTTTGGCTATTCAGGCTCTTTTTTTATTCCATATGAATTTGGGGGATTTTTTTCTAATTCTGTGAAGAATGATATTGGTATTTTGATAGGAATTGCATTGAATCTGTAAATTGCTTTTGGCAATACGGTCATTTAAATGATATTAATTCTTCCTATCCATGAGCATGGGATGCTTTTTTATTAGTTTGTGTTGTATTCAATTTCTTTCATTAGTGTTTTATAGTTTTCTATGTAGAGATCTTTTACCTCCTTGGTTAAATTTATTTTTAGGTATTTTTCTTTTGTGGCTATTGTAAATTAGATTGCCTGCTTGATTTATTTCTTGGCTAGGTCATTATTAGTGTATAGAAATGCTACTGATTTTTGTACATTGATTTTGTATCCTGCAGCTTTACTGAATTCATCTATAAAATCTAAGAATTGTTTGGTGGAGTTTTTAGGTATTTCTAGATATAAAATCATATGATCAACAGAGAGGGACCATTTGATTTTCTTTTTTTCCAATTTCAATGCCTTTTATTTCTTGCTCTGGCCTGAATGTTCTGGCTAGGACTTCCAGTATGAGGCTGAATGAGAGTGGTGAAAGGGGACATCCTTATCTTGTTTCAGTTGTTACAGGAAAGGCTTTCAACTTTAATCCATTCAGTATGATGTTAGCTGTGGGTCTATCCTATGTGGCCTTTGTTACTTTGAGGTATGTTCCTTTTATGCCTGGTTTGTTGAGAGTTTTTATCATGAAGCAATGATGAATTTTGTCCAATGCTTGTTCTGCATTTATTGAGATTATCAAATGGCTTTTGTCCTTCATTCTATGTGATGTATCATGCTTATTGATTTGCATATATTGAACCATCCTTGCACTCCTGGTATAAATCCCATTTGATCATGGTGTATTATTTTTTTGATGTGCTGTTGGATTTGGTTTCCTAGTATTTTGCTGAGGAGTTTTGCGTCTATGTTCATGAGGGATATTGACCTGTTGTCTTCTTTTTTGTTGTTGTTGTGTTCTTGTGTACTACAGATATCACTAACGTTGTTTACAGCCAAAGAAATGCGGAGACTACACTAATACACACACGCAGACTCAAAGCCAAAGTACCGTAACAGCCAGTACCATAGATATATCTTCAGGGAAAAGTCCTTCCCTATGAAAGTATCAAAAATAGGAAGAAGTGACTGTTACACCAGATGCACAGATATCAGCATAAAAACATAAAAAACATGAAAAAGCAAGGAAATATGACACCTCCGAAGGAACACAGTAAACCTCCATCAGTAGATCTTAATAAAAAGAATTTTCAAAATCTCAGATACAGAACTCAAAATACTGATTTTAAAGAATCTCAGTGACATACAAGAGGATTGTTAAAAAATACAAATAAATCAGAAGAATAATTTAGGACATGAATGAGTAATTTCCTAAAGAGATAAGATTCTTTTGAAAAGAACCAAATAAAAATTCTGGAACTGAAGAATTTATTGAAGTAAATACAAAATACATTTGAAAGCTTCAACAATTGATTAAATCAGGTAGAAAAAAGAATCTCAGAACTTAAAGATAAGTGTTTTGAAATAATTCAGTCAGAAAAAATAAAGAAAAAAGTATAAAAAAGAATGAGCAAAGTCTTCATGACATTTGGGACAATAAAAAGTGACAAAAGTTATGAATTATTGATATCCCCAAGGGCAAAGAGAGAAAGGATTAGAAAACCTGTTTTACAAAATACTAGATAAAAACTTCCCAAGTCTAGCAAGAGATTTAGACATTCAGACACTAGAGGCTCAGTGATCCTCAGGCAGAAACAATGTGAAAAGATCCCCACGGCACATTATGATCAGACTGTCTAAAGTCAAAGATAGAATCTTAAAAACACCAAGAGAAAAGATCCTTGTCACCTATAAAGGAAACCCCATTAGACTACTATAGATTTCTCTGCAGAAACCTTACAGGCTAGAAAAGAATGAATGATATATTCAAAATGCCAAAAGAAAAAAATGCCAACCGAGAATATATTATCAGCTAAAATGAAGTGAAGGAGAAATGAAGTCATTCCTAGACAAATGCTGAAGGAATTCAGGATCACAAAATTGGTCCCCTAAGAAGTGCTCAAGGGAGTCTTAAACCTGGAAGTAAAAGGATGACATTTATCATCATGAATACACATGAAAGTATAAAACTCAGTGGTAAAGCAATCACACAAAGGAGGAAGGGAAAGCACTCAAATGATACCACTGCAGAAATTCACCAAACCACAACAACAAAAAGAGAAAAATAAAGGAACAAAGAATATATAAAACAACCAAAAAACAATTCACAATATGACAGGAACAAAGCCTCACATGTCAGTAATAACCTTCAACATAAATGGATTATTCACTTAAAAGATATAGAATAGCTGAATGGATTTTAAAAAGATTCAGCTATATGCTGCTTACAAGAAACTCACCTTATCAGTAACGACACATATAGATTGAAAGTAAAGGGATAGAAAAAGATATTCCATGCAAATGGAAGCCAAAAGGGAGTAGGAGTAGCCATACTTAGATAAAACAGACTTTAAGTCAAGAATAGTAAAAAAGACAAGGTCGTTATATAATGATAAAGGAATTAATCCAGCAGGAAGATACAACAGTTCTAAATATATGCAACCAACACTGGAGCACCCATATTAATAAAGCAAATGTTACTAGCTATAAAGACTGCCATACAATAATAGTAGGGGACTTCAATACCCCACTCTCAGTATTAGACAGATTATCTAGACAGAAAATCAAAAAAGAAACATTAGATTAGAACTGGACTTGAGACCAAATGAACTTAACAAACATTTGCAGAACGTTCTGTCCAACAATTGCAGAATATATATTCTTATTAGCACATGGAATGTTCTCTAGGACAGACTAGATATTAGGCCACAAAACAAGTCTCAACACATTTTTAAAAATCAAAATCAAGTATCTTTTTTGGCCACATTGGAATAAAACTAGAAAGTAATAAGAACAACTCTGGAAACCATAAAAATACATGTAAATGAATGTATTTCATTCAACATGCCCCTGAATGACCAGTGAGTCAATGAAGAAATTAAGACAGAAACAAAAAAAATTTTTGAAACAAATGAAAATGGAAACATAACGTACCCAAACCTGTGGAATATATCAAAGTAAGTGCTAATGGGGAATTTTATAGCAATGAATACCTACATGAAAAAAAGTAGGAAGATTACTAATTAACAATCTAATGATGTACCTCAAGGAACTAGAAAAGCAAGAACAAACCAAACCCCAAATTAGTAGAAGAAAAGAAATAATAAAGATCAGATCTAAATGAAATAGTGACTAAAAAACATAGAGGATCAATGAAATGAAAAACTGATCATTTGAAAAGAAACAAAATTGATAACTGATAAACCACAACCACCAGCAAGACAAACCAGAAAAGGAGAGAGAAGACCTAAATAAACAAAATCAGAAATGAAAAGGAGACACTACAACTGATACCAAAGAAATATAAAGAATTATTATAGATTATTATGAATAACTGTGTGCCAAAAAAATAGGAAAACCTAGAAGAAACGGATAAATCCCTGGACATATACAACCTATTAAGATTGAACCATGAAGAAACAGAGAACATCAACGAACCAATAGGTAGTAACAAGTTCAAAGCTGTAATAAAAAGTCTTCCATCAGAGAAAAGCCTGGGACCTGATGCCTTCACTGCTGAATTCTACCAAACATTTAAAGAATAACTAATACTAATCCTACTCAAATCCTTCAAGAAAAGTGAAGAGGAGGGAGTACTTCCAACCTCATCCTACAAGGCTGGCATTAACTTGAAGCCCAAACCAGAGAAGAACACACAAAAAAGGAAAACTATACGCAAGTATCACTGATGAAGATAGATGCAGAAATTCTCAACAAAATTCTAGCAAAATGAATTCAACAACACATTAAAAAAATTATTCTCCATGATCAATTGAGATTCTTCCCAGGGATGTAAAGATGGTTCAACATACACAAATCAGTGAATGTGATACATCACATTAACTGAACCAGGAACAAAAATCATATGATTATTTGATTAGTTATCAAAAAGCATTTTATAAAATTAAACATCCTTTTATGATAAACATCCTCATCAAAATGAGTATAGAAGGAACATACCACAAAATAATAAAGGCCATATATGACAGACCTACAGCCGACATCAGGGAAAAATTGAAGGCTTTTCCACTAAGAAGTAGAACAAGACAAATATACCCACTTTGCCACTTTTATTTGACATACTTCTGGAAGTCTTGGCCAGAGCAACTAAGCAAGAGAAAGAAAGGTCATCCCAATTGGAAAGGAAGAAATCAGATTAACCTTGTTTGCAAATGTCATGATCTTATATCTAGAAAAATATAAGGGCGCTACCAAAAAAACTGATAGAACTGATAAATGAATTCAGTAAAGTTGCAAGTTACAAAATCAACATACGAAAATCAGTAGCATTTATATACACCAAAAGCAAACAATCTGAAAAAGAAATCAAGAAAGGAATCTCATTTACAGTAGCTACATAAATATAAAATACCTAGAAATCAATCTAATCAAAGAAATGAAAGTTCTATACAAGAAAACTATGAAAATTTGATGAAAGTAATTGAAGAGGACACAATGAAATATATATTCCATGCTCATGGATCAGAAGAATTAATATTATTAAAATGACAATACTACCCAAAGCAATTTACATATTCAGTGCAGTCCCTAGCTAAATACCAATGACATCCTGCACAGAAATAGAAAAAACACTTCTAAAATTTGTATGGAACCACAAAAGATTCTGAATAGCCAAAGCCCTCCTGAGCAAAAAGAACAAAGCTAGAGACATCACACTACCAGACTTTAAAATGTACTCCCAAACTATAGTAACCAAAACAGTATGATACTGGCATAAAAACAGATCCATAGACCAATGGAACAGAAGAGAGAACCCCGGTATAAATTCACACATTTACAACCAACTGATCTTTGACAAAGTCACCAAGAACATTCAGTGGGGAAAGGCAGGTCTTTTCAATACATGGTGTTAGGAAAGCTGGATAACTCTATGCAGAATAATAAAACTGGACCCCTATCTCTCACCATACACAAAAATGAAATCAAAATGGATTAAAGACCTGAATCTAAGAACTGAAACTATGAAACTACTAAAAGAAAATGTTGGGAAAATGATCCAGGTATTTGGCAAAGATTTATTTTGTGTAAGACTTCAAAAGCACTGACAACCAAAGCAAAAAGAGATTATTGGATTACATCAAGCCATAAGCTTCCACACAGCAAAAGAAACAATCAACAGAGTGAATAGACAATCTACAGAAAGGGAGAACGTATTTGCAACCTAAGCATATGACAAGGGATTAATAACCAGAATATATAAGGAGCTCAAATAACTCAATAGCGAAAAAACAAAAGGATTAAAAATAGACAAAAGATATGAACAGACATTTCTCAAAAGAAGTCATACAAATGGCCAAAAGGCATATGAAAACGTGTTTGACATTGCTAATAATCAAATAAATGCAAATCAAAACCATAGTGCAACATCATCTCACTTCAGTTAAAACGACTTGTATCAAAAAGACAGGCAATAACAGATGCTAGTGAGAATGTGGAGTAAGGAGAATCCTCATACACTGTTGGTGGGAATGTAAGTTAGTACAACTACTATGGAGAACAATATGGAGGTTCCTCAAAAAACTAAAAATAGACCTGCTATGTGATCCAGCAATTCCACTACTGATTATATATCCAAAAGACAGGAAATTAGTATATCAAAGAGATATCTGTACTTGCATGTTATTGCAGCACTATTCATAGTAGCCAAAATATGGAATCAACCTAAGTTCCCATCAATGGATAAATAAAGAAAATGTGGTATATATACAAAATGGAATACTATTCAGCTGTAAAAAAGAACCCTGTCGTTTACGGCAATGTGAATGGAACTAGAGGCTATTATGCTAAGTGAAATAAGCCAAGCACAGAAAGACAGATATCACATGTTCTCACTCATATGTGGGAGCAAAAAAAGTGGCTCTCGTGCAAATAGAGTAGAATGGTAGTTACCAGAGGCCGGTAAGGGGAGGGGGATGAATGGAAAAAGAATAAATATATTTATTACCACTGAACTATACATGTAAAAATGTGAAAGATGGCAAATTATATATGTATATTTTACCTCATTAAAAAAGAGAAATAACAATTTTAAAAATACAATACTTGACTGACAGTTATTTTCTTCTCAGCATTTTGAGGATATTAATTTATTGTCTTCTGGCTTCTGTTGTCTAATAAACCAGTTAAACAATACACTTTTAGTCTTTTTATTTTCACAGAGTAAGTAGAACCCTCAGATGCACTGGATTGTACTCTAATCCTTTTCCCCTATACCCAGTCATCATTGATCTTGGCATGGCCCTTTTAAAACGAATCAAAAAACGGCCGGGTGTGGTGGCTCATGCCTGTAATCCCAGCACTTTGGGATGCCCAGGTGGGTGGATCACGAGGTCAGGAGATTGAGACCATCCTGGCTAACATGGTGAAACCCTGTTTCTACTAAAAATAAATTTAAAAAAACACGAAAAATTAGCTGGGTGTGGTGGTGGACGCCTGTTGTCCCAGCTACTCAGGAGGCTGAGGCAGGAGAATGGCGTGAACCCGGGAGGTGGAGCTTGCAGTGAGCCGAGATTGTGCCACTGCCCTCCAGCCTGGGCAACAGAGTGAGACTCCATCTCAACAACAAAAAAAACTAATCAAAAAACATGTTCAAATAATAAACATCTGCAAGCCCACTATATAAGAGAAGACTTAGAATATTGAACAATAATTTTTATCTGTGAACCTCTTTGATATGGTTTGGCTCAGTGTCCCCACCTACATCTCTTGCTGAATTGTAATTCCTAGTGTTGGAGGAGGGTCCTGGTGGGAGGTGACTGAATCATGGAGGTGGATGAATCATTTGTCACATATATGTTAAATGTTATTTCACTTATCTATTGCTGTGTGACAAACCACCTTAAACTCTAGTAGCTTCAATCAACAACAATTTACTCTCTCTTGATTCTAGACTGAGCTGAGTAGTTTTGCTGCTCTATGTGGCATTGGGTCACTCATTCAGCTGGCTGCATTCATTTGATGGCTGAGCTGGGCTGAAGTGAAGAAAGCTTCACTTACATGTGTGGTGCTTTAGTGCTTTCCCACATACTATTCCATGTGGCTGATTTGGGTGGTCATGGTCATCTCAGGGTAGTCAGATTTCCCACATAGTGCTTAGCTTTAAAAGGGAAAGTGAAACCTGGCAGGTCTCTTTAAGGGCTGGGCCTGGAACTGGCTAATATTATTTTCACAGTATTCTGTTGGTCAAAGGAGTTCACTAAGACCAGCCCAGATTTAAAAAGAGGAGAAATAGACCCCACTTTTTGATGAGTGGAGTAGCATCCATGTATATCAATCAATTAATGGTGGTTATCTTTGGATACTGTGTATTACATATTTTTTGTAAATATCTCACAGTATGCAGCTTGTCTTTTTATTTTCTTTAGAGTGAGGTTTAATAAATTCCTAATTTTATTTTATTTTATTTTTATTATACTTTAAGTTTTAGGGTACATGTGCACAATGTGCAGGTTAGTTACATATGTATGCATGTGCCGTGTTGGTGTGCTGCACCCATTAACTTGTCATTTAACACTAGGTATATCTCCTAATGCTATCCCTCCCCCTTCCCCCCACCCCACAACAGGCCCCGGTGTGTGATGTTCCCCTTCCTGTGTCCATGTGTTCTCATTGTTCAATTCTCACCTATGAGTGAGAACATGTGTTTAGTTTTTTGTCCTTGCGATAGTTTGCTGAGAATGATGGTTTCCACCTTCATCTATGTCCCTACAAAGGACATGAACTCATCCTTTTTTATGGCTGCATAGTATTCCATGGTGTATATGTGCCACATTTCCTTAATCCAGTCTATCATTGTTGGACATTTGGGTTGGTTCCAAGTCTTTGCTATTGTGAATAGTGCCGCAATTAACGTACCTGTGCATGTGTCTTTATAGCAGCATGTTTTATAATCCTTTGGGTATATACCCAGTAATGGGATGGCTGGGTCAAATGGTATTTCTAGTTCTAGATCCCTGAGGAATCACCACACTCACTTCCACAATGGTTGAACTAGTTTACAGTCCCACCAACAGTGTAAAAATGTTTCTATTTCTCCACATCCTCTCCAGCACCTGTTGTTTCCTGACTTTTTAATGATTGCCATTCTAACTGGTGTGAGATGGTATCTCATTGTGGTTTTGATTTGCATTTCTCTGATGGCCAGTGATGATGAGCATTTTTTCATGTGTCTTTTGGCTGCATAAATGTCTTCTTTTGAGAAGTGTCTGTTCATATCCTTTGCCCACTTTTTGATGGGGTTGTTTGTTTTTTTCTTGTAAATTTGTTTGACTTCATTGTAGATTCTGGATATTAGCCCTTTGTCAGATGAGTAGATTGCAAAAATTTTCTCTCATTCTGTAGGTTGCCTGTTGACTCTGATGGTAGTTTCTTTTGCTGTGCAGAAGCTCTTTAGTTTAATTAGATCCCATTTGTCAATTTTGGCTTTTGTTGCCATCACTTTTGGTGTTTTAGACATGAAGCCCTATGTCCTGAATGGTATTGCCTAGGTTTTCTTCCAGGGTTTTTATGGTTTTAGGTCTAACATTTAAGTCTTTAATCCATCTTGAATTAATTTTTATACCAGGTGTAAGGAAGGGATCCAGTTTCAGCTTTCTACATATGGCTAGCCAGTTTTCCCAGCACCATTTATTAAATAGGGAATCCTTTCCCCATTGCTTGTTTTTGTCAGGTTTGTCAAAGATCAGATGGTTGTAGATATGTGGCATTATTGCTGAGGGCTCTGTTTTGTTCCATTGGTCTATATCTCTGTTTTGGTACCAGTAGCATGCTGTTTTGGTTACTGTAGCCTTGTAGTATAGTTTGAAGTCAGGTAGCGTGATGCCTCCAGCTTTGTTCTTTGGCTTAGCATTGACTTAACAATGCGGGCTCTTTTTTGGTTCCATATGAACTTTAAAGTAGTTTTTTCCAATTCTGTGAAGAAAGTCATTGGTAGCTTGATGGGGATGGCATTGAATCTATAAATTACCTTGGGCAGTATGGCCATTTTCACGATATTGATTCTTTCTACCCATGAGCATGGAATGTTCTTCCATTTGTTTGTATCCTCTTTTATTTCATTGAGCAGTGGTTTGTAGTTCTCCTTGAAGAGGTCCTTCACATCCCTTGTAAGTTGGATTCCTAGGTATTTTATTCTCTTTGAAGCAATTGTGAATGGGAGTTCACTCATGATTTGGCTCTCTGTCCGTTATTGGTGTATAAGAATGCTGGTGATTTTTGTGCATTGATTTTGTATCCTGGGACTTTGCTGAAGTTGCCTATCAGCTTAAGGAGATTTTGGGCTGAGACGATGGGGTTTTCTAGACATACAATTGTGTCATCTGTAAACAGGGACAATTTGACTTCCACTTTTCCTAATTGAATACCCTTTATTTCCTTCTTCTGCCTGATTGCCCTGGCCAGAACTGCCAACACTGTGTTGAATAGGAGTGGTGAGAGAGGGCATCCCTGTCTTGTGCCAGTTTTCAAAGGGAATGCTTCCAGTTTTTGCCCATTCAGTATGATATTGGCTGTGGGTTTGTCATAGATAGCTCTTATTATTTTGAGATATGTCCCATCGATACCTAATTTATTCAGAGTTTTTAGCATGAAGGGTTGTTGAATTTTGTCAAAGGCCTTTTCACATCTATTGAGATAATCATGTGGTTTTTGTCTTTGGTTCTGTTTATATGCTGGATTACATTTATTGATTTGTGTATGTTGAACCAGCCTTGCATCCCAGGGATGAAGCCCACTTGATCATGGTGGATAAGCTTTTTGATGTGCTGCTGGATTTGGTTTGCCAGTATTTTATTGAGGATTTTTGCATCGATGTTCATCGGGGATATTGGTCTGAAATTCTCTTTTTTTGTTGTGTCTCTGCCAGGCTTTGGTATCAGGATGATGCTGGCCTCATAAAATGAGTTAGGGAGGATTCCCTCTTTTTCAATTGACTGAAATAGTTTCAGAAGGAATGGTACCAGCTCTTCCTTGTACTTCTGGTAGAATTCGGCTGTGAATTCATGTGGTCCTGGACTTTTATGGTTGGTAAGCTATTAATTATTGCCTCAATTTCAGAATGTGTTATTGGCCTATTCAGAGATTCAACTTCTTCCTGGTTTAGTCTTGGGAGGGTGTATGTGTCAAGGAATTTATCCATTTCTTCTAGTTTATTTGCGTAGAGGTGTTTATAGTATTCTCTGATGGTAGTTTGTATTTCTGTGGGATCGGTGGTGATATTCCCTTTCTCGTTTTTTATTGTGTCTATTTGATTCCTCTCTCTTTTCTTCTTTATTAGTCTTGCTAGCGGTCTATCAATTTTGTTGATCTTTTCAAAAAACCAGCTCCTGGATTTATTGATTTTTTGAAGGGTTTTTTGTGTCTCTATTTCCTTCAGTTCTGCTCTGATCTTAGTTATTTCTTGCCTTCTGCTAGCTTTTCAGTGTGTTTGCTCTTGCTTCTCTAGTTCTTTTAATTGCGATGTTAGGGCGTCAATTTTAGATCCTTCCTGCTTTCTCTTGTGGGCATTTAGTGCTGTAAATTTCCCTCTACACACTGCTTTGAGTGTGTCTCAGAGATTCTGGTATGTTATGTCTTTGTTCTCGTTGGTTTCAAAGAACATCTTTATTTCTGCCTTCATTTCATTATGTACCCAGTAGTCATTCAGGAGCAGGTTGTTCAGTTTCCATGTGGTTGAGCGGTTTTGAGTGAGTTTCTTAATCCTGAGTTCTAGTTTGATTGCACTGTGGTCTGAGAGGTGGTTTGTTATAATTTCTGTTCTTTTACATTTGCTGAGGAGAGCTTTACTTCCAACTATGTGGTCAATTTTTGAATAAGTGCGGTGTGGTGCTGAGAAGAATGTATATTCTGTTGATTTGGGGTGGAGAGTTCTGTAGATGTCTATTAGGTCCACTTGGTGCAGAGCTGAGTTCAATTCCTGGATATCCTTGTTAACTTTCTGTCTTGTTGATGTGTCTAATGTTGACAGTGGGGTGTTAAAGTCTCCCATTATTATTGTGTGGGAGTCTAAGTCTCTTTGTAGGTCTCTAAGGACTTGCTTTATGAATCTGGGTGCTCCTGTATTGGCTGCATATATATTTAGGATAGTTAGCTCTTCTTGTTGAATTGATCCCTTTACCATTATGTAATGGCCTTCTTTGTCTCTTTTGATCTTTGTTGGTTTAAAGTCTATTTTATCTGAGACTAGGATTGCAACCCCTTTTTTTGTTTTCCATTTGCTTGGTAGATCTTCCTCCATCCCTTTATTTTGAGCCTATATGTGTCTCTGCACGTGAGATGGGTTTCCTGAATACAGCACACTGATGGGTCTTGACTCTTTATCCAGCTTGCCAGTCTGTGTCTTTTAATTGGAGCATTTAGCCCATTTACATTTCAGGTTAATATCGTTATGTGTGAATTTTGATCCTGTCATTATGATGTTAGCTGTTTATTTTGCTCGTTAGTTGATGAAGTTTCTTCCTAGCCTCAATGGTCTTTACAATTTGGCATGTTTTTGCAGTGGCTGGTACCAGTTGTTCCTTTCCATGTTTAGTGCTACCTTCAGGAGCTCTTTTAGGGCAGGCCCGGTGGTGACAAAATCTCTCAGCAGTTGCTTGTCTGTAAAGGATTTTATTTCTCCTTCACTTCTGAGGCTTAGTTTGGCTGGATATGAAATTCTGGGTTGAAAATTCTTTTCTTTAAGAATGTTAAATATTGACCCCCACTCTCTTTTGGCTTGTAGAGTTTCTGCTGAGAGATCAGCTGTTAGTGTGATGGGCTTCCCTTTGTGGGTAACCCTACCTTTCTCTCTGGCTGCCCTTAACATTTTTTCCTTCATTTCAACTTTGGTGAATCTGACAGTTATGTGTCTTGGAGTTGCTCTTCTCGAGGAATATCTTTGTGGCATTCTCTGTATTTCCTGAATTTGAATGTTGGCCTGCCTTGCTAGACTGGGGAAGTTCTCCTGTATAATATCCTGCAGAGTGTTTTCCAACTTGGTTCCATTCTCCCCGTCATTTTCAGGTACACCAATCAGATGTAGATTTGGTCTTTTCACAGAGTCCCATATTTCTTGGAATCTTTGTTCATTTCTTTTTATTTTTTTTTCTCTGAACTTCTCTTCTCGCTTCATTTCATTCATTTGATCTTCCATCACGGATACTCTTCCTTCCAGTTGATCGAATCGGCTACTGAGGCTTGTGCATTCGTCACGTAGTTATCGTGCCTTGGTTGTCAGCTCCATCAGCTCCTTTAAGGACTTCTCTGCATTGGTTATTCTAGTTAGCCATTCATCTTATTTTTTTTCAAGGTTTTTAACTTCTTTGCCATGGGTTTGAACTTGCTCTTTTAGCTCAGAGTAGTTTGATCATCTGAAGCCTTCTCTCAACTTGTCAAAGTCATTCTCCGTCCAGCTTTGTTCCGTTGTTGGTGAGGAGCTGTGTTCCTCTGGAGGAGGCAAGGCACTCTGATTTCTAGAGTTTCCAGTTTTTCTGCTCTGTTTTTTCCCCATCTTTGTGGTTTTATCTACCTTTGGTCTTTGATGATGGTGACGTACAGATGGGGTTTTGGTGTGGATGTCCTTTCTGTTTGTTAGTTTTCCTTCCAACAGTCAGGACCCTCAGGTGCAGGTCTGTTGGAGTTTGCTGGAGGTCCACTCCAGACCCTGTTTGCCTGGGTATCAGCAGCAGAGGCCACAGAACAGCGGATATTGGTGAACAGCAAATGTTGCTGCCTGATCGTTCCTCTGGAAGTTTTGTCTCAGAGGAGTACCCGGCCGTGTGAGGTGTCAGTCTGCCCCTACTGGGGCTGCCTCCCAGTTAGGCTACTCGGGGGTCAGGGAACTGCTTGAGGAGGCAGTCTGTCCGTTCTCAAATCTCCAGCTGCATGCTGGGAGAACCACTACTCTCTTCAAAGCTGTCAGACAGGGACATTTAAGTCTGCAGAGGTTTCTGCTGCCTTTTGTTTGGCTATGCCCTGCCCCCAGAGGTGGAGTCTACAGAGGCAGGCAGGCAGCCCTCTTTGAGCTGTGGTGGGCTCCACCTAGTGGGAGCTTCCTGGCTGCTTTGTTTACCTACTCAAGCTTTGGCAATTATGGGCGCCCCTCCCTCAGTCTCACTGCGGCCTTGCCCTTTGATCTCAGACTGCTGTGCTAGCAATGAGAGAGGCTCTGTGGGTGTAGGACCCTCCGAGCCAGACATGGGATATAGTCTCCTGGTGTGCCATTTGCTAAGACTGTTGGAAAAGCACAGTATTAGGGTGGGAGTGACCCGATTTTCCAGGTGCTGTCTCTCACCCCTTTCTTTGACTAGGAAAGGGAATTCCCTGACCCCTTGAGCTTCCCTTGCTTCGGCTCACGCTCGGTGTGCTGCACCCACTGTCCTGCACCCAGTTGCTGACACTCCCCAGTGAGATGAACCCGGTACCTCAGTTGGAAATGCAGAAATCACCTGTCTTCTGCATTGCTCATGCTGGGAGCTGTAGACTGGAGATGTTCCTATTCGGCCATCTTGGTTCCACCTATCCTAAATTCCTAATTTTAATACAATGTAGTTTTGGAATTTCATATTATATTCTTGTTTTTAAGTTATTCACTATCTCTAGATCAGAAAATTGTTCAGTTTTCAAGTTTTACTTCTCACATTTCAGTCACTTTGGAAAACTTTCTTTGTCCTTGTTTTGTTTGTATATTTGGTGTGAGTCAGGAAATGAATCTAATTTCATTTTTTTCCCCTTATGGCTTTTTTTTTTTTCCTAGCTGGATTATTTTTCCAACTGATTTGATATGTTACTTGTTGTATATCAACGTTTCATCTACTTTTTTTTTTTTTTTTTTTTGAGACAGAGTCTTGCTCTGTTGCCCAGGCTGGAGTGCAGTGGCCTGATCTCGGCTCACTGCAAACTCTGCCTCCCAGGTTCCAGTGATTCTCCTGCCTCAGCCTCCCGAGTAGCTGGGATTACAGGCATGCACCACCACGCTCGGCTAATTTTTGTATTTTGAGTAGAGACGGGGTTTTACCATGTTAGTCAGGCTGGTCTGGAACTCCTGACCTCAGGTGATCTGCTCACCTTGGCCTCCGAAAGTGCTGGGATTACAGGCGTGAACCACCGCACCCAACCTCATCTACATTTGGTACTGTTTCTGTGATTTCCATAATGTTATCTGTAAATTTCTATGTTCCATTACTATGCTGCCTCAGTTATTAAAGCTTTAGTATTAATTCTACTATTAGACTCTCCTTCATGTTATTTTTTTCTCAGAAATGTCTTGGCTATTCCTGACCTTTTATTCTTCTATATAAATTTTTAATCACCTTGACAAAGTCTGTCAAACAAACAAAAAAACTGTTGAGATTCTGATCGGAGTTATTTTGACTGTAAAGAATTGATGTCTTTGTTTTTTCTACTCAGTAATATTTTGCTCTTTTGATCCTCTTGATTGAGGTTTATTTTCTATTTTTAAACATTTCTGCTTTAATCTTTAGTATTATTCTACTTTGGATTTATAAAGTTTTACTTTTTCTAACTTCTTAATTTGGATACTTAATTTAGATAATATTTCTTGTTTTCTAGTATAAGCATTTTATGGCTGTATATTTACGTATGAGTACCTCTTTAGCTGCATCTCACAAGTTTTAATTTTAATATCTTAACATTTATTTCTTAATATTTTAAATTTTCTATCATTTCTTTTTTTGAAATATGAGTTATTTAGACAGGTATTTCTTTATTTCCAAATTTATGGGGTTTCATGATTCATCTATTTCTACTCTAATTGTATTGTGGTCATAGAATTTGGGCTATATGATGATAAATCATTTCAAATTTGTTGACTTACAGTATGATCCAGTAGGTGGTTGATTTTCAAACTATGCCATATGTGCTTAAAATTATATGTATTCTGCACTTCTTGAGTTTTATATAATATATATGTTAAATCAAACTTTTAAATTGGACTGTTAAAATCTGTATCCTTAATGTTTTCATTTGTTTGTTTGCTAGTTTTGGTAGGAAAAGGTTGGCCTGATTAACTGAAATAAGTTTGTTAAAATGCCTCATTATCATACTAGATTTATTTTTTCTCCCTATGGTTCTTTCAGTTTTTGCAATATATATTATATGTTTACACATTTGCATTCCATATTTAGAAACCATGTTGTTAAGTCCAAATTCCAAACTCTTCTGTTTTATTTTCCTGGCAAAATGAAAATTTAGTCACTATGTAGTGATTATCTTTCTATCTAGTGACTCTTTCTGCTTGAGTACCTTTTTTCTGATATGAATATAGCTATAATATTTTTATTTTCTTTAATAGTTGCCTGGTATATCTCTTTCCTGTACTTGCATCCTTGTTGTATCTTTATGTTTCGGAAATTTGTCTTTTGAATAGGGTATAACTGAAATTTCTTCCCAATTTTGCTATCATTGTCCTTTTAGATAATTTAGTTCATTTATATTGATTATAATTAGTAATATGTTTCTATTTATTTCTGCCACTTTATTTTGTACTTTCTCTTTTGTTCTGACTCTTCTATTTATCTTTCTGTCTCCTCTTAGATGGGTTGCTTATATATTTATTTTTATTTCACCCCCACTCCCAACTGTTAGCTTGAAGTTATGCATTCTATATATACTTTAGTCATTACCATAAAAATTTTAAGATGCATACTTATCAAAGCATAAGTTTAATCCATCTGTTTTTCTTCCCCCAGAAAATGCAAGTATCTTAAAACACTTTAGTTCTGGTCATTCCCCCTCCTGACCTCTATGCTGTTATTGTTGGGTAATTTAGTTCCATCTCACTTTTAATCCCATAAGAAATAATTATTGTTTTATGCAGTGTTTGTTTAGCTTTACTCACATATTACTTTTTTTGCTCATAATTTTTTCTTTCATCTGAGACCTTTCACTTGGGATCATAGTACTTCTTTTTTGAAGTCCTTTAGGATAATTTTTACTTGTGTTTATTGATTTTATTTGCCTAGCAATGTCTTTATCTGGTTAAAAAAACACATATTTTTACCAGATATAGAATTCCAAGTTGATGGTTATTTTTCCTTAGCACATTGAAAATATTGTATCATTTTCTTGGTTTAGATTTTACTGTCAAGAAGCCCATTCTTAGTCCAATGGTTTTCCAGCTTAAGTAATCTATCTGTAGTACCATTAGGATCTCTTCCTTGTCTTTGGCATTCTGCAGTTTCACTATGTTGGGTGTGTGTGCGTGTGTGTGCATGTGTGTGTGTGTATCCACATGTGGCTGCTCATATGTATGTATATATATGAACATATGTTCATTCTGCTTAGAATTTGTTGGACTTTATGAAACTGAAGGTTTATGTCTGGAAAATTATTCTCAGTCATTATGGTCCCCATTTCTCTCTTCTTCCAGACTCTTGATTTGTTTTGTCTGATTTATTACTTTATTCTTTGTAATAGTTAACCCATCTTTTATTTTTTCAGATCTACCTGAATAAAAATAAGATTACTGTTTGGGAAAGTGAAGGAGGAAATGAATATTGTATGGGCAACCTATTAAAGTCAACCACACTATTCTTTATTTTAAACTTTTTCTCATGTTTTTAATCCCTCTCTTGTATAAACACATAATTTGTTTTGCCTCTGATACTTTGGAAGGTTCATGCATTATTATATTTCTTCAAGACTTAATACATTATATTTCAACCTGTAGTTTGTGAGCTGTGCATTTTAGATAGCATCTATTGACTCTCTATTGCAAAATGAAGATATTAGAATATAATTCATGAATTTACCTTTTATCTGATATCTCCTACTCCCAGATTTCCATTGTTTATGTTATAATTTTTGTTCTTCTTATGGATAATTTTATACTTTTTAATAATATATTTACGCTTCTGTTATTTTATCAGCCTTAACCAGTGTCTGTTGACCTCTGTATCAGAAAGATGAGGAAAGCAAATCACTTATGCTACCTACATTCCATCTACCTCCCTTTCCTCCCATCTTGATTTTTTTTTAGTACTTGCACTATTACTTCAATACTCATATTTAGATTTTATTTACTATCTCAATATAAGTATAGAAATAAAATTTTGTTCTGTGTTCATAAGTCCCTTCGTTGTTTTGACTTAGTTCTGTATTTAAATGAGTTTAATGCTGTTATTATTATTTTCTTTATTTACAAGTTGTCCTTTTTTTATGTCTGTGTTGGTGGGATTTATTTTCATGTGCCTTTTATAAGAAGGTATTATGGGTGATATTTTTCATGAATTTTGCATGTTTTGAAATGTTTGTTATTTTCATGCTTAAATGAAAACTTGACTCTGTATAAAATTCTTGAACTATTCTTTTTATTTCCCTTAGGAAATGTTCTGGTATTTGAATGTTGCTGTGAGAAGTGTGAGGTTAACTTGATGTTTTTTACTTGTCTGATATGAAAAAAGTAGCTCATTTAATTTTTTTTTACAGTTTGATTAGTAATGAGTTTGAGCAACCTTTCTTGTTTATTAGATGTTTGTTGGTAATGATGAGAGCATGAATATGTAAGTCACTCCAAAGTCAATGCTGAGGTTGGGGTTAGCATATACTCTCTTGAAGGAGCTGGCAAATGATGGCCTATCGGCCAAATCTGACCTGCCACCTGTTTTTGTATGTCTACAAGCTAAGAATGGTTTTTACACATGAAAATTCACAACCACTTTAGTGATAGGTAACACTAACTTCGAATCCCAGTTAAGTGAGATGTTATCTTCCCCAAAAGAACACTATTTTGCTCATAGGCCTACTGTATTACAAAAAAAAAATACTTAATTATTATTACCACTTATTGAATTTCATCAATAAAACATTTGTGGCAATTTGTTTTCTCTTTTGTTATATGGTACCTATGTAATAGCCTCAATTTTGCCTTTTGACTCACAAAGTCTGAAATATTTACTCTTTGGCTCTTTTTATTTTATTTTTTGAGATGGAGTCTCGCTCTGTTGCCCAGGCTGGAGTGCAGTGGCACGATCTCAGCTCACTGCAACCTCTGCCTCCTGGGTTCTAGCGATTTGCCTGCCTCAGTCTCTCAAGTAGCTGGGATTACAGGCATGCACCACCACTCCTGGCTAATTTTTGTATTTTTAGTAGAGGCGGGGTTTTGCCATCTTGCCTAAGCTGGTCTCGAACTCCTGGCATCAAGTGATCCATCCACCTTGGTCTTCCAAAGTGCTGGGATTACAGACGTGAGCTACTTCACCTGGCCTTGTTGGCTCTTTTTCAAAAAAAGTTTACTGACTCTTGCTTTATTGCAAGTCCAGAATGGATTTGATTTAGGGATTTTTTTTTTTTAATCCAGTGCCATCTACTTCCCTTAGGCTCTGTTTTTTCATCTTATCTCCAGTTATGGTCAAAGTTGTATCCTTCAGTTATTGGCTGCAGTGAATGATCCTTCTGTGGCCTTTCTTGGTATTCTTTGGGTCATGACTAGGACTCTTTCTGCACCCTGAGTCTCGTCAATAGGTAGACTGTCCTACATTGATGTTATAGTTGTCAGCTTCATACCTACTGTGTAGATTTCTGGATTTTTTTTTTTTTTTTTTTTTTTTGAGACGGAGTCTCGCTCTGTTACCCAGGCTGGAGTGCAGTGGCACAATCTCGGCTCACTGCAAGCTCCGCCTCCCAGGTTCACACCATTCTCCTGCCTCCGCCTCCCGAGTAGCTGGGACTACAGGCGCCCACCACCAATGCCCGGCTAATTTTTTGTATTTTTAGTAGAGACGGGGTTTCACCGTGGTCTCAATCTCCTGACCTCGTGATCCACCCGCCTTGGCTTCCCAAAGTGCTGGGATTACAGGCGTGAGCCACGGCGCCCGGCTGGCATTTCTATTCTAGTAAGAACTACTCTTACCCCTGGCTTATTTCAGTCTATCTTAGTTGATTTATCTGAAGCATATTCACTTGCCAGCTAAAACTTTTTCTATTCTCCATTGATTCCAGTCTTAAATTTTTGCCTTTAATTCTTCAGTTACAGTACACGGCCATGTAGCACATCAACTTTATTTAGAGACTTTCTGTATCTTGTTAGATTTCCCTCAGTCATCAGAAAGAAACTCCCCTTTTTATATTTCATAACCCACTCCCTTTTGTTCTATTCTATTCTGTCTGAAGAACGCTAGTAGTATATGGATGTGGCCTTTTAGTGCTTAGTGAATGATGAAATTAGTTCATCAGCTTCAGCTACCACTTCTGATGACTTTCCTAAGTTCTTTTTGATAATTTCCCCTAAGAAAATAATCTTAAAACTTATCATTATCTTTAGCATGCTATTTAATGTAAGCTAAAATTGTATGTACATAAACCAATGCATGTAAGATGGAAACAAATTGCCATAGAAAGGAAGTTAGACAATATAGAGATTGCCCTGAGAAGGCTAACTAGCTTAGTGAAGGGTTTGGAAATTATACTGTATATAAGAAACAAAGGCAGTCAGGATATTATATTAAGCCTATTGAGAAGCTGGGAACTATATATGCCATTTTGAATACCAATTGTCATAGCTGTCAGATTGTATTGTATATTAAATATAATAATGTGAATTTTGTTACAGCCAGTTCCTTTATAGTTTTGTTCAGAAAAACATATGGAGACGTTTATACCCATTGATTTGACAACTGAAAATCAAGAGATGGACAAGGAGGAAACCAAGACAAAACCAAGGTAAAAGTAAGATAAAATATAATGAGTTTTTTTCTAAAGTAAGATTTCAGCAGTGTATGGCTGGTGGTAAGCCATTCTGACAGTGAAAGACTTAAAATATCTTATCAGAATTTATTGATGATTCTAGAGTTTAGAAAACCTTAGTTTCTCAGGGAGTGTTTTCTGATAAGACAGGCAAATTAACCCTGGTTGTTGGCTCCTTCCCCCAGACCAACCTTGGATATGCCAAAAAAGTGAGAAGGAGGTTGTTGGATATGAGAAATTAACCAACAACTGAGAAATCCTAGGAAAGCAAAAGGTATCATTTGTAACAGTATCAAAAAATAGGTACATTAGATACATAGAAATACTTTTTTTTTTTGAAACAGAGTCTCACTCTGTCGCCCAGACTGGAATGCAGTGGCACGATCTTGGCTCACTGCAACCTCCGCCTCCCAGGTTCAAGCGATTCTCCAACCTCAGCCCCCCGAGTAGCTGGGGTTACAGGTGCCCACTACCACACCTGGCTAATTTTTTTTGTATTTTTAGTAGAGATGGGGTTTCACCATTTTGGCCAGGCTGGTCTTGAACACCTGACCTCGTGATCCACCCGCCTCGGCCTCCCAAATAAATACGATTTTTTAAAATGATGTAATTATGACCTTTATGAGAAAATTATAAAGTTTAATTGAGAATTCAACAAAATTTATATAGAAGAGCAAAGGGCCAAGAATATGTAAAACACTCCTTAAAAAGAAAATCTGATAATCTTGACCTACAACTATAAAAAACTTATTATAAAGCTATCATAACTAAGAAGTGTGCTGTAGAAACAAGGATACACAAATAAAGAATAAAGAACCCAAGAACAGACAATTATATTCATTTTAAGTGAACATAGACTTGGCGTTATAGGTTAGTGAGGATTGAGTGGGCATGTTCAATAATGGTGCTGTGACAATTGTATATCCTTATTGGGTGGGGGCAGGGGAAGAAATGGAGTCTGTCTCTTACACTATACCAAAAAGTCAAGGATTTAAAGACTTATGTATTAATTAAAAGACTTGTAAAAGGTAAAACTTTATGTTAGGAAAACATATAAGCTCATTTTGTTATTACCTTGGACTAAGGAAAGATTTCTTAAGAAGCCATAAACAATACAAACCATAAAGGAAAAGGTAGATAAATTATATTAAAATTAGTAACTTCTGTTTATAAAGACATCAAGAAAGTGAAAAGATAATTCCAAATCAGAGATACAAAGTGACATTTTGATTGCTGCTCAAAATGTGTAAATAACTACTACACATTGTTAAGAAAATGGCAAAAAATTCAGTACCAAAAAAAGAAAAAAAGGTGGGGAGGACAACAGATATGGATAGACATTTTAATGAAGGGGAAAATTTTCAAGATGTTTATAAACAAAGAGGGAACTTAAAGCGCTCAAAGGAAAAGGATTTAAGAATAATACCTAATAAATGATCTATAAATAAGTTCAAAGACATTGTGCTTTCTTTGTCCTAGAAAAGAAATATTACCTTCTTAATGATATAAGTATTTTTCTTTAATATACCAATAAAGTGCTTTTTTCCCCTTAACACTACATATAAGACTTTATGGAACCTAGAATTTTCTCTGCTTTGTAAAACTGTGATCTACCATATAAGTCTATTGTAGGCAGTAATTTTGGATTCTGTTCTTATGAAAAAGTTTTTCCAGCAGTAGACAGTTTGCCAGTGTCCTGTGAAAAAAAAGGAAGGCAACATATGAGTATGAAATTTCAGAAAATTGTGTTCTGACTTCACTCTGCTTAATTGGGTAACAATTCTTCATCTCCTAAAATGAGATCAAGATTCATAAAGCCCTTCTAAGTTTAAATGTTCAGTGATAATTTATATTTATTTTTTAGTGGTAACACCAGTTAGACCTATTTAAAATTTAACTAGACTCTCCATGTAAATGTTGCAGATCTTTTTCAAAGTGCCTATCAAAAATTACTTGAGTGAATAGATATTATATTGTATTGTTCAGAATAAATATTTAATCTTTCAATTATGGAGCATGTTAACCATAGCATTTATTAAACCTAAGAAGCTGTTTTAATTATAAATGTGAAATTTTGGTAATATGCTAATAGCTCAGTATTTTATTGGTGTGATTTTCCATTTATTTTCTTAGAATTGTTTTCTTTGTCATTTAGACTTTTAAGATATGAAGAGAAAAAATATGAAGATGTGAAACCATTAGAGACTCAACCAGCTGAAATAGCAGAAAAGGAAACATTGGAATATAAAACAGTTAGAACATTCTCTGAATCTTTGAAGTCAGAGAAAACAGAAGGTATTTATCAAGATTACTATTCTGGCATGTTGATTTATATTTTAGTTTATGGAAATTGAAAGAAATTTTTCATAGCATTAAATTAAGGAAACAAGTGAAACATATTGAAATATTAGTGTCTATTTTACTAACTTCATTAGTTATAGCAGTTAGCAGTGTCTTCAAATAACGGGAACATTAACTACTCATAATAAAAGTAACGAATATTACTAATACCAGTGAAATGTCAGAATATCTGATATGTCTGTACCACTTTACAGTTTCCATCACTTTTTCATGCATATCATGTCATTTTTTTTGAGGTACAGACCTTACAGGTGGGTCACGGTTCTCCTAAGTCCCCAGTGCCTCTAGCTGTATTGTGACCTCCTTTATTGGTCTTACCTACTAGTGTCTAATTACTCCCTCACATACTTCCATTTTTTAAGTCTTTTTTCCTTCTTCACTCAAATTCTGCCATTTTCAGGATTTGATTTTATTTTTTACCACAACTTCCTTTCTCATCCAGCACTCTTATGTCCTCACTTTTATAAGCTTCCAGCCCCATTTATGGTGCTTGTGTGGGGAAAACTGTACCTCCTCTCCTTTAAAGTAAATCCCACCACCTCTGGAGCTCCGCTTCTGCCATTTCCATAGGAAGTTGGGGTCCATCAGATATATTCTCTTATGTCTTTTTTTCTCCTAGCTCTTTTTGTCAGCACATAAACATGCCACATGCTTAAACAACTTAAACAAAACAACCCAGAAGCATCTTTAGTTCTGTATTAGCTTTTCAGAGTTATCAGTCCTCTTGAAAGAGTAGCCTAGACTTCCTTACCTCTAATTCATTCCTCAACCTGGATTCTACCTCCTTCATTCTACCGATAAGACTCTTTCAAGGTCACCAGATACCTCCTCGTGGCTAATCTTTATAAAATAATTAATTTATAAATAAAATAATTTGTATTTTACTGCACCATTCTGCAATATTTTATTATTTGACCACTTATTTCCATTTTTCCCCCTTGACTTTTAAGGAAATTTACTCACCTGGCTTTCTTTATACTTGTCTATCTGCTCATTTTCAGTCTCTTTTATGGATTTTTACTTCTCTGTGTTCCCTTTAAATGTTATTGTTTCTCAGGTGTTTTAGGGTCTGCCAAAATTAGTGTTTCCTGTTCTCTCTGGACTAGACCATACTTTGTTTTTAGTAATAATATATAGTCATGTACTGCATAACGACATTTTGGTCAATGATGGACTGAATATATGATGATGGTCCCATAAGATAATAATACTGTATTTTCACTGTACCTTTTCTATGTTGAGATGTGTTTAGATACACAAATACATACTATAGTGTTACAGTTGCCAACAGTATTCAGTACAGAAACGTGCTATACAGATTTGTAGCCTCGGAGTAATAGTCTATTCCATATAGCCTTGGTGTGTACTAGGCCGTACCACCTAGGTTTGTGTAAGTGCACTCTTAGATGTTTGTGTGACAGAATTGCCTAATGATGCATTTTTCAGAATGTATCCCTGTCATTAAGCAATACATGACTGTATTTCTTCCTATTTTACCTATTAAATCCATACCACAAACAATATTTAGGTACACCTTTAGTTGTCTTCATCCTCTGCCTGAAGATGGGTATATTTGATTTCTGGAAGGGGCCTGAGCTTCCAGAATTCTGGCCTTCATTGGGCCAGAATGTTTTAATCTGTGGAGTGCCTAGACCTTACAGATAGCTGTGTTTGCAGGCTGGACAAAGCTTCCCCTCCAACAGAGTGAAAAGTAGAAGTACTCTGAGCCTTTTGCTATTTTTCTTAGGAAAGAGGAAAGAAATATAAGGCTAGATAGGGATACAAGTGTTGGGTAAAGCAAGGATTTGGCCACGTTAAGGAATTTTGTCATTATACTTTGAAGATAAGAGCCGTGGAAAGGTTCTAAGCAAGGAGTTAATATGAGGATTTCTGTTTTGTAAAGATCACTCTGGCTGTATATTGAAGAACAGATTGGAAGAGAACAAGAATCGATATAGGGGGACCATTTATGAGGCTGTAGATATTCTGAAGGTAGAATTATCAGTTACGGTGATGGGTTGGTGAGAGAGAAGGAGGTGTCAAAGATGATACCTACACTTTGGGCTTGCTTAAAATAATGAATAGTGGTCCCATTCACTAAGACAAGAAGTCCTAAAAAAAGGTCAGGAGTTTAGAGGAAGGATCATGAGTTCAATTTTGGACATGTTGAATTTGGGGTACCTTTGACACATGCCAGTGATGTCTAGGAGGCAGTTGAATATATGTGTCAGGAGCTCAGAGAAGTTAGGGCTGAGGTGTTGTATTTGGGAATAATCATGTGTGTGGATGTTTAAGCCATAGTCATGGATGAGATTGACCAGTGAGAATGTATAAAGTGAGACTAAAACAGGGCCAAGGAACAGTAGCAATTACGAGCCAGGAAAAGGACAGCTGCAAAGGACATGGGATTGGTCAGAGTTAAGCTGAATAGGATGACAAGAAAGACAGAGTGTGAGGTGTCACAGGACTCACCCAAAGGAAACAACTGTATCCAAAAGGAGGAGTGGTCTAAAGTATCAAATAACACTGGTAAGTAACATGAGGACTAGAAAATGTCCATTGAATTTACTGACCTCAAGAATATGGGACGTGAGTGCTGTTTTTGTGGCGTTCCAAAGCCAGACCAGAGTAGAATAAGAAATGCATAGTAAATGAGGAAATAGAGTTAGTGACTATATGCAACTCTTGAGAGAAGTTTAGCTGTGAAGAAAGGCAGGATGTAGACTGATAACCAGAGGAGCTGTGGTTTTATTTGAGGCAGGAGCTGCTTGGATATGCAAAAGAAAAAAGGAGTAGTTAATAGTGTAGGCATGAAGAGACGTGATCTAAACAAAATGTGGAAAGGATTGGTCTTGGATGAGAGGAAAACCAGACACCTCCTTTACTAAGTCAGGAGGACAGGAGGGAAAGATGGGTGCACATGTGGGTTGCTTTGTTTGTTTGAAAATGGCAAGTTGAAGGAATTCCCACTGATGCTTTTTTTGTTCCCTGGGAAGTAGGCTTTGAGATCATTTAGAGGAGAGAGACTGAAAGGTAAAGGTTTAGAGATTTGAGGAGCATGGAGAAAATCTGAAATAGTCATTGAAAAGGAAGAAGAGCAAGTTAACTGGACAGACAATAGGATTTTTGGTTTGTGTTCAGGATCCATTTGTGGTTAATTAAAATGAATTTTGGGGGTTACCAATCCACGTAGGGCCTCTTTCAAATAGCACTAGGATGTGCAGATGTAGGCACAAAGAACACATAGAGTTGGTTTTATCCAGGGGCAGCGTTTTGCCATACAGGTGAGGCCAACAGAAAGTGGGAGTTTCGGATATTGGCAAGAGTGCTGTGGAAAGACATAATCTAAGCTGGATAAAGAGAAAGGTGAAATAAAATAGAGGGATGATGGATTGTAAGAAAGGAATGGGGCAATGGACTGGAGTTCCTGATGAGCTTAAAAAATGGTCATGTTGGGAGAATTAAACAAGCTGAGAGGATGGAGGGCAAGTGATGACAAGCACTATTATGTAATTGTGAATGTGGTTGATTGATGTAGACTTAGTGATGGGAGGACATCTAGAAAATGGGGGAGGAGAGCACAGCTTTAGACAGGGTCTTAATTCATGAACACTGAAGTCATCCATGTGATGGCAGATTTAGTATGGAGAAAGTTGGCTCTCCCGTGAGCCAGAGTTCCAGATTGAGTGACCAGGCAATTGGTACTTATCAATGAAGAGTGGAAGAATATAGTGGAATCAAAAAGCATGAGCTTCTAAGGAATAGGATTTTTTTTATTTATTAAAGAAAGAGGGCAAGTTGTTATGATTTGGAAGTGGTGAATGGAGAGTAAGGAGTGTTAAAACAAGCTCACTTTCCAATCTTGAGGTAAATGGAGTGTGGGAATATAAACAGCCTCTAACCAGAGGGTTGCATGTCAGTAGTGCCATAGGGAATAACTAGGTTTCAACTAAGGTAGAGAGGTCAGAGAAATTCTTGGAATAGAGCTTAAAGATAGAAGAAAGTTTTCACAACTACCTCACCAATCTTTCCACTAATGCCCACATTTTTTTCATTGTGATCTCCTGAACAGTCCTCTTGTTTTCTTATCTTTCTCTCATCCCCAGCCACCCTCCTCCTCATTACCCCACAATTGAAAGCCTTACCATCATTCAACATTTGATCTTTGGAACAGGAGAGGTCTGTGGTCTCCTGATTATACAAGTGGGAAATTATCTCTCTTCTGAATTAGGACTATTGGTTGAAATAAAACTTACTGTTTATTTCATTTGTATCCCTTTGTTTTGTTTGTAATTATCGTGTCTTTTGCCTTACTAAATTGTAGCACAATGCCTTGCACTACAGAAATATTTGTTCAATGAATGAGAACAAGAAAATGTATTTCTTTCTTCAAAGGTCTGTTTTTAATATTTTCCCCATTCTTCTATGTGTTAAGTCTACCAATTAGGTAAGCCATAGACAAAATAAGAAATAGACCTTTTGTTACTTTTCTGTATTTATCTCTAAATATTTTCTCTGCTCAGTTATCAAATTACAGTTAATAAACAGGGTCCTCTTCTGTATTTATTTCATGTGAGGATTCACACTTTAAAGATTTAGTATAATATTCAAAAACCACAGTTACTTTTGTATCAACCTAATAATAAAGTTACCTAACATTTACCTTAGTAAGCACTTACTGTGTGCTTTAAATGTATTAACTAATTTAATTCTTGTAACAACCTATGAGGTTCTTACTGTGACAATTCTCATTTCAAAGGTGAGGAAAGCAAGGCAGATAGGTAACTTACAAAGTAAATCATGTGACTATGAGTGTTAAAGCTTGTATATGAGCTTGGAACCCAGGCAGTGGGATTCAGCCTGTGCTCTTAACTACCATGCTATACTGCCTTATATAATCATTAACTGTATTGCTGGGTATGTGGAATTACTATGGTATTATTTACAGCTCACACTAGTTATTCAGTTAATAATGGTTTTATTTTCAGATTACCTTAGAGAAAGTATAATTCAACAACATATGGTTTCTCCAGAGCCAGCTTCCCTTAAGGAGAAAGGGAAGTCAAGGAGAAAAAAGGATCAAACTCATGCTTGTCCAAATGTTAGGAAAGCCAGGCCTGTGTCCTATGATAGAACAGGTATGTGGTATCACTGAACCAATTGCTTAGAAATCACTATACTTTTTCAGATTATTCTGTGGTTTGTGTGCTTATATTGGACACTGACTTTAGAAAAAACAGTCTTACTGAATTTTATGTGTTTGGTTGCTTAAGGATTATTACAATGCTTTTAAAATTCTTTTTGAAAATCTAAAATATTATGTTGAAAAATTGACAGAGACTGTTTAATGACTGTTCTTAACTAAGAACAATATCTGAAGGCTATGATTTTAGAACTATAATATAAACTGTATGGTTTTTTACATACAACTGTAGTAAAACTTGATGATTTCATTTTATTTAACAATTTTATGCCTTTGCCTGATAGAGTTTAAATCCCCAAATAAATAGTTTATTTAAATAGATTTTCTTCCACTAACATCTTCTAGTTTGTGTTTTCTCTATAACTGAAATTCTTCTTAGTATTAATATTTTAATTTTATAAAAGAAAGGAAACTTTTCTATTTTCACTGAAACACCATGGTACAGAGGTGGATTTATCATAAAGCTATTGAAGCCTAAGCTTCAGGGCCTCTCACTCACACAGGCTTCATCCCTTCATCCTTTCTTTAAATAAATATCCTCAAAATTATAAGTACCTCATATAGCACAAAACCTCCACGGACGTGGTGGTGTTCATGCCCTTGTATAATTCTCTCCCCTTGAATGTGGAAAGGACCTGTGACTGCTTCTAACTAATAGGTGATGGGTTGTCACTGCTGTGATCATATTACATTATCCAATACTCCATTTTGCTGGTGGACTTGTTCTAGAGTCTCTCCCCTTTGCTGGCTTCGAAGAAGCAAGCTGCTATGATTCCAATCACAAAGAAATGAATTCTTCTTACAACCTGAGGGAGCTTGGAAGCAGATCTTTTCCCAATAGAGCCTCCAAATGAGAATCCATTCCCAAGCAACACCTCGATTACAGCCTTTGAGACTTTAAGCAGAGGATCCGTTAAGCTGTATCCAGACTCCTGACCCACAGAAACTGTGAGATAGTAAATGTATGTTGTTTGAAGCCACTAAATTTGCAGTAATTTGTTATGCATTGTATTAGTCCTTTCTCACACTGCTATGAAGAAATACCTGAGACAGGGTATTTTATAAAGGAAAGGGGTTTAATTCACTCACAGTTCTGCATTCCTGGGGAGGCCTCAGAAAACTTACAATCATGGTGGAAGGCAAAGGAGAAGCAGGCACCTTCTTCACAGTATGGCAGGATGGAGTGAGTGCAAATAGGGGAAATGCCAGATGCTTATAAAACAATCAGATCTCATGAAACTCACTCATTATCATGAGAACAACATGGGGGAAACCACCCCCATGATCCACTTACTCCACCTGGTCCCACACTTGACACATGGGGATTATGGGAATTACAATTCAAGGTGACATTTGGGTGAGGACACAGAGCCAAACCATATTATGCATCCAGGAAACTGACACAGTGGCTTTATTGCAACAAATGTTGCTGTACATTAAGAATTCTTAATATTTTGTTGCATTGTCCTTCAGTGTTTTGAAATTGGTATCTAGTGTAAGAAAGGCCAAAAATTTAGGCTTAATGGCTGCCAGATAAATAAAATTCTAATTCTTTACTGATTGCATTTCTTTAATTTGCTTCCCTCATTTAGCTTCTATAAATTCATGAATATGTAAACTGATAAAGACCTAAGTGGCATTTTGTTTAGATTTTAGAACAATTATTAAATATTTCAAATATACAATATAGAGAAGATAATTTAGTATTCATGTACTTATTACCAGGATTTAACAACATTTTGTCATTTTGTTAAAAAAGAAAGTTGTAGACAGAATTCTAAGATGCCCTCCAGTATTCCTACCCTCTGGTGTACATGCTTTGTATAATTGCCTCCCCCTAAGTGGAAGCAGAACCTGTGAATATGATGGACTGTCACTCCCATGCTTTTATGTTATTTTATATGGCAAAGGGATTTTCAGATGTATTTAAGGCCCTTAATCAAATCAGTTGACTTTAAATTTATCAAAGGAGACTATTAGGGGCATGCCTGACCTAATCAGATATACCCTTAAGAGACCAGAAGCAGTAGCAGAGGCCCTGTCACTGCCTTTGAGGAGCAAACTGCCATGTTGTACAGAGGGCCACATGGCAAGAACCCTAAAGCTAGCTGAGAACTGTACCCAGCCAACTACCAAGAAAATGGGGACCTCAGTCATACAGCCATAAGGAAACGAATTCCACCTCAAACCTGAGGGGCTTGGAGGCAAGTCTTTCACTAGCCCAGCCTCTAGATAAGGGCATGGTCAGCTGACACTTTGATTTCTGCCCTGCGAGAACCTGAGCAGAGGACCCAGCCAAAATTTGCCAGACTCCTGACCTTGTTTCTTTTTAGTAAGCATTCTTGATTCTGTCATGAACTAACCTAACTCTCTTTTAGAAAAATGTTTTCTTTCCAGCTTTTTGAAAGTTATGTGTTCCTTATATTTTACTATTTATTCTGAAAAAGTGTTCTTTATTTTATTTGCTGAAATTGCCTCCATTTTCGAACAGTCTTTGTCAGATCTGTTGAATCTGCCAAATTACACTAAAAAATGGAAATGCTAATTTATGATACTTTCACGATATTACACAAGGGGAATACCCTTGCCAATAGTTGATATTTTCCAATTTTAAATTTTTTGCCAGTCTGAGTGAGATATGTGTTTTCAGTTTTATTTTAGTTTGCAATTCCCTGATTACTAATGAGGTTGAATATTTTTCCATATGTTTATGGGCCATTTATCTTTTCCTGTAAATTTTTTGTTCATCTTTCTATCAAAATGTTTATTTTTTAATCATTAAGAATTCTTGAAATATTTGGTATAGTAATATCTAGCCTGTTATGTAGGTTATAAACATCTTTTTAAAATTTGTTAATTATATTTTAACTTTGTGTATGGTAGCTTTTCTTGTGTATAAGTTGCTAAGTTTGAGCAAGTCAAATTTATCATTGTTTTCCTTTTAACATGCTTTGATTCTTTTTCAAGAAGCCTTCACTACCCCACATTTATAAACATATTCTCCCATATTTTCTTCTAGTATTTCTATAATTTGTTTTTCCACATTTATAGCTCTAATCCATCTATAATTTATACTTGCATATAACTGCATATTTATTTCAAATGGCTAACCACTTTTGCATTATGATTTATTGAATAATCGCTCTGTTGATTTGAATTATCTTTTTCACTTATTAGATTGGCTTATATACATAGTTATATTTCAAGACTCTAATTTTTTTCTACTTCTGTGCTTTTCTACGTCAATACCACACTATTTTGATTTCTAGAAGGTATATATTTTTATATCTGGGTCTATGATGTTACTTATCCTCTTGTCAGACATACACAGTTTGTACCATATCCTTAATACTAATTTTCAATACCTCACCTAGGGCACAAAATGTAAAGAGGGACTCACTCTTAGAGTCATGCAAGTGCCTCATCCTAGTTATAATAGTGTCTTATACAAGAGCTCAAGTCTCATTTCATCCTTAGCAAAGAAGTTGTTTTAGTCCAATGCTGTTTGTAAGTTCTAGAGGGCCAGAAATATAACTTCTTAGCATGGCTTTTTGTATGCTTCTCTTTCCATGATTTGTTCTATCAAGAAAGGAAGTTTAAGGGCCAGGAGGACAACCTGTATTGCATGGTAAATAAAAGCCAAGAAAAGAGACTCTTTCAAGAAGGAGAAGATTGTCAATTGTCAGCTAAGAGATTAAGTGAGAGATGTTCTGAAAGGTGTCTGTGGGATGAGCATCCTTAGGAAAAATGTCTCCATCCCACACTGTCATCCCTACTTTTCTGATCCAACTGTCCCTACCCCAGCTTAGGCATTTATTAAGAAAAGCCGTATAACCAGTTCCTATTCCTAGTCTCTTCTCTTGTTACTACCTGTGTAATTATGAATTAGGTCTTTTGTGACATCTTTCTTAAATTCATAAATATTATTCCCTCTTTCTAACTTCTGTTAAAACTGAGTTTTGAGCTATTTTTTCTCCTCTAATAATCGTTATGTATACTTTGTTACCATTTAAATTTTTCTCTATATAGAAATATTTGTAATATTATGCATTATCCTTAAGTGATGCCCACATTTGCACTTATACTGGATTTTTAAATTGTTCTATACCAGAACCAAAAGATGATGATGTGATAAGAAATATTATTAGGCTACGAGAAAAGCTTGGTTGGCAAACTATATTACCGCAGCACAGTTTGAAATACGGAAGCTCCAAAATTGCAATTCAGAAGATTACTTTAAAGGTATTGTTCTATTTTATTTAATTTTGATCTTTAAAAATCAATATTGAAATTATATTTTAATTTTTATTTCATTTCAGATATTATGTCAAAGTCAAACATTACATTAATATCAAGTTACAATTATTTCATGGTAAATGCAAAAGTATTTGACATCATTTCATTTTACTTATTTAAGAAATGGAGAATAGATAAAGCATATAAACTTTAAGTCTATAACACATCAAAATGTTTATGTCTGTCACCTCTCATCACTTTCTCTGAGTGAGTCCCCAGGAAAGGGGTATCATCTGCCTGAAACTTGAATCTACTGTTTGGTTTCTGGATATCACTTTTTCTGTGATTTAAGAAGAAATTGTTAGGTAATGTAACATTCTGTTCTTCTCACACTCTAACTCCCTGGTACCTGATTTTCTATCTCGTCTGGTCTGTATTTCCTTATGCTATTCATTTTTTTCTTACCCATTAGCCTCTTTCTTCAGAGAAATTTTAGCTTGTCCAAGGTCACATGACCAGAGGGTGAAAGCTATGGTAAGAACTAAGGTGTGTGTCCTGAGACCTCATTTATTACAGGTGCTCTAAGATTGAACAGGATCATCTCTCCCTACTGTTAGATAGGGAATTCTCAAAATGTGGTCCCCAGGCAAGCAACACTGGAATCACCTTAGAACTTACTAGACATACACATTCTCATCTGCACCCTAGACCCACTGAATCAGAAACCTTGAGAGGCAGAGCCTTGCAATCTGTATTTTATTCAGCTCTCCACATGATTCTAATGCACAATTAAGAACCACTGCTTCCAACCAAGGATCAGTAGATTTTTTTCTGAAGAGGACCAGGTAATAAATATTTTAGATTTTGAAACTACTCAACTCTGTCACTGTAGTACCAAAGCATTGATAGATAATACATATATAAATGGATGTGACCGTGTTCCAATAAAACTTTATTTACAAAAACAGGCACCTGGCCCTGCTCTACACTGTTACCATGAAGATAAATCATCTTTTAATCATTTTTCAGAGGCAACAATATGAAGGAAAGTACATGTATAATCAAATCAGATTCACCTGGTTTTGAACCTATACACTCACCATATTATCAAGTTCCTAACCTCTTGAGCTTTCATGTTTTGACCTTGAAATGGAGATAATAATAGTTACTGTGGAGGACTGTGAAAATTAAATATATGCCATGGTGCCTGGCAGGTAGTGGGCACAGTAGTTTAAAAACAAAACAAAACCATAGCTGTACATGGGTTCCTTGGACTCCCAAATAAAGTGAATTTCATTTGTGTGTGAAGAAAGGATTGAGAATATGATTAAACACTTGTTTTTAATTGAAAAAATAATTTAATTGGAACATATTCTTATGCTTTTATAATTTGATTTTTAATTATATATATGATCTATTTGGAAGATTTGTATCTACCTTGTTTCTTAGTAATGTTTTGAAACCTAATTTAGAATATAGATAACTCAAATGGCCAAATAACTATTAAAAAGGTCATACATTATACAAGTCATCATTTAGAGCTCATTTATTTCCTGTTATTTGCAGTTTTTAAACTTGTTTTTGAGGATTTAATATTGATTATATTAGAAGCTGAAATAAGAAAGTGAAACAGCTAAAATAATTGAGAAGAAACAAGTAATCTTCAAGGAAGACAGAATTTTAAAAAGTGTAAAACTGGATCCAAAATTTAAAACTACAGTGATTGGAAACCATTTAGTTACACAATAGCTTCTGAGGACATCACTAAATACTAAATGCTTTTTTATGGTAAAATTTAATTATCCAGAAAAGACTAAAGTTTTCTTATGATTTTAGAATTTTTTATCAATAAAAGTTAAAAGTTTCAAGAAACTTTTATTTTAAAGCTAAAAGAAATAAATTTTCCTTAAAATTTTCCTTAATGTGGAATGGCTGATTTTTCAATGCCAAGTGTGGGAGAGGCATTATAGTTTATTGCAATAGCTCAGAATATGGGTTTACAGTCAGACTTGGATTCACATCCCTACGTCACCATTTCCTGAATTTGTGACTTTTCTCAAATTATCTAACTTATCAAAATATTCATTTTTTAAAATTTGAAAAACAGGGTCTTTCTCTGTCACCCAGGCTGAAGCCACAATGGTGTGAGTAAAGCTCCCTGCAGCCTCAAACTCTTGGGCTCAAGTGACCTCACCTCAGCTTCCTGAGTAGTTGAGATTACAGATGTGAACCACCTCACTCAGCTCCATCAGAGTATTAATTTCTGCAATTGTTTAATGAAGTTGAAAATATTAAGCCTTAGTTTCTTTAAATATGAGAGATGAAAGTTAATAAACTCTTATGGTTGTAAAGATAATGTATATGAAAGAGTTATTACTCATTAAATATTTATTACTTAACAAATAATAGCTGTTTTTATCTTATACCAAACCACCATCATTATCAAAATAAATGACAAATTTAATATGCCCAAAAGATTTCTGGTGTTGGCAGACAAATACTAGAAGATGGCATATATGTAAAAGGTATGTCATCAAGTTCTTTGGATTAGTAAGCATGTATTATTAAGTATATAGATAATTTTTTCTGAATTAAAGATCCTTTTTTAAGGATGAAAATTAAATATATTAAATCTTTCATAAGATTGATCTTGTTGAACATTGTTTAGACATAATTTGATGTTAGCTTTCTCCAAATATAGTATTCTTATTTTTAATCTGTATTAAAATTGTTTCAATTTAGTGGGTAATCTGTTCACCCATTGTATTAATTTAGTTAATTTAGTCAAATTAATTAAATTTGTTTATTATTTTTTTTTTAATCTCAGAAACCTTTGGAAGATGATGGAGAATTTGTTTATTGCCTTCCTCGGAAAAGTCCTAAATCCCTTTACAATCCATATGATCTTCAGGTAGTATCGGCTCATACTGCTAAACATTGCAAAGAATTTTGGGTTATTACTGCTTCATTTATCTCAAAGGTAATGTTTAATGGATGTTTTAAGCTTTCAGAATTATATTACAAAAATATTATCCAAGGTAGAATTTAATTGCATACATTTATCTTTGTGTTTCAGAGATACTTGGTCATTTGTGGAGCAGTTTATATATAAGAATCTCCTTGGGAGCATGTTATTTAATAGTGAAGTTTTTCCTTTTGTGTAGAGATTTAGGTTTGAAGATTCAACTTTAATAAATTTTTTCATCTATCAAATACTTTGTTAATACTTGGGGTAAATTTTTACAGGAAGAACTACAAAACAAGCATTTGCTAGCTTAATGGGAACTATAATAATAAAGAAAAGAATATTCTTTATTGGCACATTTGTCAGAAACTTTATTGCCAGATGTAGAAATCCCCCTTTTACACTCTTATATAGCATTTTGATATTTATCACAAGTTGAAAATATACAATTACTTGTTTTAATGATTTGTTTAATGTCTGTCTGCCTTTTTCTGCCTTCCCAGCCTCCCATAAAATGAACTTTATTAGTGGGCAAGACCACATCTTTGCATGAGGTAGATCTGTATGTGCAAATAAAGAAATATCTCTAATATGCAGTATCAAGTGAGAATGGAGGAAAAACTTCTATAGATATATGAATATACACGTAGATACATATGTGCTGATAAAAATATGTATACTTTTCTCTCTGGAATAAATTTTTTTATGTGGTGACATTCAGATAGGGGAGGGGCACTCATGGGAAGAGAGAGAACTCCTTGATGAAGGGCATGTAGTTTTTGAATGTCAATATAGGGTATGTGGGTGGTGAGATTATAAGATTATACACACATTTCTGTAGCTAAAATTAAGTTCATAAATACTACTTTTATAGAAAATGTAAAAATTATGAGACTCAAATCTGAACAGCTATTTGTGAAAAGTATCTCAGGGTGAGGAGGAAGTTTCTCTTCTCTCTGTTGGAGCACAAGAAATAGCATTAGAAAACGACAAGTACAGAAGCAGTGTGTTGAGGGAAATCAAATTTGGGTATAGATAAAGTGGCTGAGGATTCATACATAGAAAAAGCTTAATTATAAAGGCAAGAAGTTACAAGAAGTTATCAGCCAAATACAGGCTTTCTTAATTTCTTGAAAATGGTACATATTTTTTAAAGAAATAAAATAATGCTTTTGTGCTTTATTTTGTAGGTTATTAATATAGTTGGTAGTGTAAAGGAAGTAGAACTCATACCTACTTTGGAATGGCTATCAGAAAGAAGACATTACTATTTATTACGGCAATTCAAGATATTTTCTGATTTCCGGTGAGGTGAAAAAAATGAAACCAATTCTTTGTAGTTTGATCCTATTGAAGGAGCAGTTGCCTGAGTGACATCTGGGTTCTACTACAGTAATACCAGTAGAAAATAGTACTAATTCTTTTATCTAAAAATTTTTTACGGAACACCCCATTTCCTCTGTAACTTATGAAGAAATGCCAATAATTTTGGCATTTAAGAAGCATTTTTCCTTTCAGAATTAATAAAGCATTTGTTACCTGTAACTTATGAGGAAATGCCATAAGTTACAGAAGAATGAGATGTTCCATAAAATTTCTTTAGATAAAGGAAGTTTACTCTTTTCAGTATTAAAACTCTTAATTTTAGTCTCTTTGGATAAATATTGTAAAAATATTTTATGGTCAAGCAAACTTAAATACACCCTACAGTTGACTCTGGAACAACGCAAGGGTTAGGGGCTCTGACCCCCTACACAGTTGAAAATTTGAGTATAACTTTTGACTCTACCCAAACTTTGCTATTAATACTAATAGTCTATTGTTGACAAGAAGCTTTATCAGTAACATAAACAATCAATTAACATGTTTTGTCTGGTAGATATATACTGTATTCTTACAATAAAGTAAGTTAGAGGAAAGAAAAAGGAAAATCATAAGGGAGAGAAAATAAATTTACTACTCATTAAATGGAAGTAGATCATAATAAAATTCCTTCATCCTCATCATTTTCACATTGAGTAGGCTGAGGAGGTGGAGGAAAAGTAGAGGTTGGTTTTTGTTGCAGGAAGTCAGGGACCCCGAACGGAGGGACCGGCCGAAGCCATGGCAGAAGAACGTGGATTGTGAAGATTTCATGAACATTTATTAGTTCCCCAAATTAATACTTTTATAATTTCTTACACCTGTCTTTACTGCAGTCTCCGAACATAAATTGTGAAGATTTCATGGATACTTATCACAATAAATACCCTTGTGATTTCCTATGCCTGTCTTTACTTTAATCTCTTAATCCCGTCATCTTCGTAAGCTGAGGAGGATGTATGTCACCTCAGGACCCTGTGTTGATTGCGTTAACTGCACAGATTGTGTGTAGAGCATGTGTGTTTGAACAATATGAAATCTGGGCACCTTGAAAGAAGAACAGGATAACAGCAATGTTCAGGGAACAAGAGAGATAACCTTAAATTCTGACCACTGATGAGCTGGAACAGAGCCATATTTCTCTTTCAAAAGCAAATGGGAGAAATATCTCTGAATTCTTTTTCTCAGCAAGGAACATCCCTGAGAAAGAGAATGCGTCCCTGAGGGTAGGCCTCTGAAATGGCCGCTTCGGGGGGCGGCTGTATTTTATGGTCAAAGCTGTAGGGATGAAATAAGCCCCAGTCCCGTAACGCTCCCAGGCTTATTAGGACGAGGAAATTCCCGCCTAATAAATTTTGGTGAGACCGGTTGTCTGCTCTCAAACCCTGTCTTCTGATAAGATGTTATCAGTGACAATGCGTGCCCGAAACTTCATTGGCAATTTTAATTTCGCCCCGGTCCTGTGGTCCTGTGATGTTGCCCTGCCTCCATTTGCCTTGTGATATCTTATTACCTTGTGAAGCATGTGATCTCTGTGACCCACACCCTATTCGTACACTCCCTCCCCTTTTGAAAATCACTAATAAAAACTTGCTGGTTTTACCGCTCGGGGGCATGATGGAACCTGCCGACATGTGATGTCTGCCCCGGACACCCAGCTTTAAAATTTCTCTCTTTTGTATGCTGTCCCTTTATTTCTCAGACTGGCCGACACTTAGGGAATATAGAAAAGAACCTACGTGAAATATTGGGGGTGAATTTTGCCCGATACCTGGCTGAATTTCCCCTGATAGGTTTTGCTGTCTCAGGGGTGGCAGATGTGGAAGAAAATGTACATATAAATGGACTTGTGCCGTTCAAACCCATGTTGTTCAAGAGTCAACTATGTTGACTTGGGTTTGCCTTTTTTTCTGTGCATATATTTATTTATATGAATATTTATTGAGAGTCTGTTAAGAACCAGGCATTATTCTAGATGCCAGGGATATTGTATTGAACAAACCAAACAATTATCCTGCACTCAAATATTTATATCATAGTAGGTGAGAGATAATAGAAAACATGCAAATAGGTAAAATATTGAGTGGAGACTAAATGTAGTTGAAGGAAAATAAAACAGAGTAAGGGAGCTGGGGCAGCTTGTTGATTCAAGTTCATGATTAAAAATTTATCTAGTTTTAAGGTACATTATGTTACATTACATTATATCACATCACATTAGGATTCTCAAGACTCTGATTCTTCACAAAGTAGTTCCAGATTGTTGTTCTTTTAGTGTGTATCTAGTTCTATAATTTTCTTGTTTCTTCTCTAATGTCTGCATTTTCTTGTGATATGTTTTTGTCCATTGGGGACTAGGAAAACAGAAAAATAATATTTTAAATTGTTTATTTAATATGTAAATAGCTTAAATAACTAAGGACCTGAGAAACTTTTTTTTTGTAAGAGAAGAAGGATTTTGTGACAGAGAAATTAATTATTGAATAAATGTTATCATGTCCCTATTTTGTTTCACTGGTGTAAGAACTGGAGATAGAACTGTGAAAAAATATACAGGTTTCTGTTCCTATAGAACTTAGATTCTAATGGAGGGAGATAGATAATAATAGGTAAATAAATAATTTCAGATAGTGATGAGGCCTAGAAATATAATAAAACAGAGAACTAGAGACGTCTGTGTGCATTGCTTCTTTAGATAGGTTGGTCAGAGATGTGGCAGTGAAGCAGAGACCTAAATGATGAAAAAGAGACAGCCATGTGGGGCTTCCAGAAGGAGAATATAGCAAGTTTCAAAGTTGTGAAGCAGGAACAAGTTTAGTATGGATTTGATGGTAGAAGTGGTGTTCCTGGAATGAAGTTGGTAGGAAATGAAGCTGGTTCTGTTATTTTCTGGGACCTGTCACATGTAGTGTAGATGACTGAGTAACAGTTCTGAGAAGTTTCTCGTCAAAGATAGGTGATAGTTGCATCCCTGTAATTTAGGAACTAGAATTGGGGCTAGATAGGTTTTTGATTCTGGATTATCAATTTAAGATATTATCCAAAGTACTATTTTCTGTATCTTTTTATTTGAAACTCTGTCAGTGTCAGACTTTCCACTGTTGTCCTTGCCTTCTGATAAATCCTCAGGGTCTGCTCTGCTGTAAATAATTATCATTTATTAAACTTTTTAAGTTCAACTGCAGATGGGACAAGAATCATCTTTTTACATGACATTTGGCATCAATGTCTATAGTCAAAATGATTCATTTTCTTTATTCAAGTTAAAAATACAAATTAAATTTTATATTTACTTAATTTGTACTTAATTTTATATTTACTGAAGTTGTACAATTAATATAGACTTACTTAATTTTTAAATTTTATGATTTATTTATTTATTATTTTTTTTGAGACAGAGTCCTGCTCTGTCACCCAGGCTGGGGTGCAGTGGTGCGATCTCGGCTCACTGCAAGCTCTGCCTCCTGGGTTCAGGCCATTCTCCTGCCTCAGCCTCCCAAGTAGCTGGGACTACAGATGCCTACCACCGCACCTGGCTAATTTTTTTTTTTTTGAGATGGAGTCTTGCTCTGTCACCCAGGCCGGAGTGCAGTGGCATGATCTCGGCTCACTGCAAGCTCCGCCTCCCGGGTTCACACGATTCTCCTGCCTCAGCCTCCCGAGAAGCTGGGACTACAGGCGCCTGCCACCACACCTGGCTAATTTTTTGTATTTTTAGTAGACACAGGGTTTCGCTGTGTTAGCCAGGATGGTCTCGATCTCCTGACCTTGTGATCCGCCTGCCTTGGCCTCCCAAAGTGCTGGGAATACAGGTGTGAGCCACCGCGCTTGGCCAATTTTATTTTTAATATCTTTATAGTTTTTCTTAGATCACTATATTATAAAAGGTAATATTTCAAATAGAAAAATGAGATAAAGATGAAGTGTTAACAACTTAAGCTGGTGATGCCAGTACAGGGGTGATTAGACCATCAGCATCATCGTTTTACCTCATGAAACTTTTCTGGTATATTAGTTTTTGTGACCTGGTGCAGATACTCCTTACACTATCACTGGGTTCCCCTCTGATTCTTATGGATTTTCAGGGATCTTCTAGGGTTCTGAGATACCATGACTCTATGGATTTGGATTAAAGTGAAATAGTAACTTATGTGGAGTGCTTCTTTGGAGCCGGATTTAAGGTCAAGTTACTAGATTTTGATTGAGGCAGTCCTGATTTCCAAGGCCTCAGGTGGGCCTGTTTGAAGGATATCATGGGATGCTCTTTGAACTGCTTGGATGGCTCCAGGCCTCTTTCAGCCATCTTTGATTCAAAATTAGCCAACGTCATCACTAGGATTGGCTGTTTGGTTGGCTTCTCAGACACACCCCTATCCCCACTATTTTCCCACTAGCTCTCACTAGCTGCATAAGTAATCTCACATTGGCAAACAAGTATCACATCTCAGTGTTTATTTAAAGGTGGTTGTTTTCCTCTAGATGCAAAGGCTACCAAGGGAGTGATTGTGATATTGCATTAGACTAGTCCCACACGTGCATAATATAGGTGGCCATATTCATTTAGAGTTGAGAGAGCTTTGCAGAAACAGTTGGCCTGTCTTTTTCAAAATGCATGACAATTATTGATGATGAGTAATAACCAGGGAAACTTTCCAATTCTTTCTCATGTAGGTTCTTTGAGTTTTAAAAATTACAAGTGCATTTTTTACATAAGTATTATATAATATCAAAATGACATACATTGCCTTAATTTTTTACTTACCACTATACAGACTTTTTATCAATGTACCTTTTCATTATCACTGAAAATTGAATCTTGATTTTATTGAAATATGAAGTCTCTTTTCGAAGTAAGCCAATAAACATATAAAGGAAAACGGTATTTTAAAAATAATTTTTAATATTTATTGGAATGTTGCAGCTAAGTGAATCCTGTATCTATGAGAATTATAAGGACTTTCATTTACATTTACCTTTTGCTCTATATTCTGTTGATAGTTTGGGAGAAAATTTATATGGCTTAGCATTTCCTTTAGGTAACTCAGGATGAATGAAATATGTTCTAGAGAATATTCTGGTATTACTAAGCTTTTACTAAATTTATTCCATATAAATACGTGGTTTATGGATATGGAATATAAGAAGCATTTTTCCTTTCAGAATGAATAAAGCATTTGTTACCTGGAAATTGAATGTTAAAAGAATTAAGACAGAGAAGAGCAGGTAAGTTTTGATACGCAATATATAAAAATTTCAAAAGGAAGCTGTATGTTTTACATGTACTATGGAAGCAGATATAATTTCATTTTCATTCAGTGATTAGAAAGTCACATTCCATTGCTTTACGATTAAACTTAACCCATTTTTATTTTTAAAAGACTATTAAACACTGTGTTTTGCAGTGTACCATTCTATGGTCATAGAACTATGGAAAACCTTGATGAGTTCCCTTGGTCACTTTATCTAACTTCTTGCTTCCAGGAAGAAGAATAATTAAGTCATTTAAAGTAGACAACAGTAATCTTATTTTGTTAGGATCTCCATCAGCCAAATGTTTTTTAAAATTGTTTTTATTAAACTTTTTATTTTGAGATAATCGTGGATTGAGATGCAGTTATAAGAAATAATAGAGATATCCCATGTACCTTTTACCCAGTTTCCCTCCCAAATGTTGCAAAACTACAGTCTATGATGACAGCCAGGGCATTGACAATGATATATAATCAAGATATAGAACACTGCTATCACCACAGTTTCCCTTGTGTTGGCCTTTTATAGCTATATCCACCTTCCTCTTATTCCTACTCTCTCCTTGACCTTTGGCAACCACTAATCTGTTTGCCATTTCTGTAATTTTATCTTTTCAAGAATGTTCTTTTCAAAGGGAATGCTTCCAGTTTTTGCCCATTCAGTATGATATTGGCTGTGGGTTTGTCATAGATAGCTCTTATTATTTTGAGATACGTCCTATCAATACCTAATTTATTGAGAGTTTTTAGCATGAAGCGTTGTTGAATTTTGTCAAAGGCCTTTTCTGCATCTATTGAGATAATCATGTGGTTTTTGTCTTTGGTTCTGTTTATATGCTGGATTACATTTATTGATTTGTGTATATTGAACCAGCCTTGCATCCCAGGGATGAAGCCCGCTTGATCATGGTGGATAAGCTTTTTGATGTGCTGCTGGATTCGGTTTGCCAGTATTTTATTGAGGATTTTTGCATCAATGTTCATCAAGGATATTGGTCTGAAATTCTCTTTTTTTGTTGTGTCTCTGCCCAGTTTTAGTATCAGGATGTTGCTGGCCTCATAAAATGAATTAGGGAGGATTCACTCTTTTTCTATTGATTGGAATAGTTTCAGAAGGAATAGTACCAGTTCCTCCTTGTACCTCTGGTAGAATTCGGCTGTGAATCCATCTGGTCCTGGACTCTTTTTGGTTGGTAAGCTATTGATTATTGCCACAATTTCAGAGCCTGTTATTGGTCTATTCAGAGATTCAACTTCTTCCTGGTTTAGTCTTGGGAGTGTGTATGTGTCGAGGAATTTATCCATTTCTTCTAGATTTTCTAGTTTATTTGCGTAGAGGTGTTTGTAGTATTCTCTGATGGTAGTTTGTATTTCTGTGGGATCGGTGGTGATATCCCCTTTATCATTTTTTATTGCGTCTATTTGATTCTTCTCTCTTTTCTTCTTTATTAGTCTTGCTTGCGGTCTTTCAATTTTGTTGATCCTTTCAAAAAACCAGCTCCTGGATTCATTAATTTTTTGAAGGGTTTCTTGTGTCTCTATGTCCTTCAGTTCTGCTCTGATTTTAGTTATTTCTTGCCTTCTGCTAGCTTTTGATTGTGTTTGCTCTTGCTTTTCTAATTCTTTTAATTGTGATGTTAGGGTGTCAATTTTGGATCTTTCCTGCTTTCTCTTGTGGGCATTTAGTGCTATAAATTTCCCTCACACACTGCTTTGAATGTGTCCCAGAGATTCTGGTATGTTGTGTCTTTGTTCTCGTTGGTTTCAAAGAACATCTTTATTTCTACCTTCATTTCGTTATGTACCCAGTAGTCATTCAGGAGCAGGTTGTTCAGTTTCCATGTAGTTGAGCGGTTTTGAGTGAGTTTCTTAATCCTGAGTTCTAGTTTGATTGCACTGTGGTCTGAGAGACAGTTTGTTATAATTTCTGATCTTTTACATTTGCTGAGGAGAGCTTTACTTCCAACTATGTGGTCAATTTTGGAATAGGTGTGGTGTGGTGCTGAAAAAAATGTATATTCTGTTGATTTGGGGTGGAGAGTTCTGTAGATGTCTATTAGGTCTCCTTGGTGTAGAGCTGAGTTCAATTCCTGGGTATCCTTGTTAACTTTCTGTCTTGTTGATGTGTCTAATGTTGACAGTGGGGTGTTAAAGTCTCCCATTATTATTGTGTGGGAGTCTAAGTCTCTACAACCATAAAAACCCTAGAAGAAAACCTAGGCATTACCATTCAGGACATAGGCTTGGGCAAGGACTTCATGTCTAAAACACCAAAAGTAATGGCAACGAAAGCCAAAATTGACAAATGGGATCTAATTAAACTAAAGAGCTTCTGCACAGCAAAAGAAACTACCATCAAAGTGAACAGGCAACCTACAAAATGGGAGAAAATTTTCGCAACCTGCTCATCTGACAAAGGGCTAATATCCAGAAAGTACAATGAACTCAAACAAATTTACAAGAAAAAAACAAACAACCCCATCAAAAAGTGGGCGAAGGACATGAACAGACACTTCTCAAAAGAAGACATTTATGCAGCCAAAAAACACATGAAAAAATGCTCACCATCACTGGCCATCAGAGAAATGCAAATCAAAACCACAATGAGATACCATCTCATACCAGTTAGAATGGCAATCATTAAAAAGTCAGGAAACAACAGGTGCTAGAGAGGATGTGGAGAAATAGGAACACTTTTACACTGTTGGTGGGACTGTAAACTAGTTCAACCATTGTGGAAGTCAGTGTGGCGATTCCTCAGGGATCTGGAACTAGAAATACCATTTGACCCAGCCATCCCATTACTGGGTATATACCCAAAGGACTATAAATCATGCTGCTATAAAGACACATGCACACGTATGTTTATTGCAGCACTATTCACAATAGCAAAGACTTGGAACCAACCCAAATGTCCAACAATGATAGACTGGATTAAGAAAATGTGGCACATATACACCATGGAATACTATGCAGCCATAAAAAAGGATGAGTTCATGTCCTTTGTAAGGACATGGATGAAGCTGGAAATCATCATTCTCAGTAGACTATCGCAAGAACAGAAACCAAACACCGCATGTTCTCACTCATAGGTGGGAATTGAACAATGAGAACACATGGACACAGGAAGGGGAACATCACACTCTGGGGACTGTTGTGGGGTGGGGGGAGGGTGAAGGGATAGCTTTAGGAGATATACCTAATGCTAAATGACAAGTTAATGGGTGCAGCACACCGGCATGGCACACGTATACATATGTAACTAACGTGCACATTGTGCACATGTACCCTAAAACTTAAAGTATAATAATAATAATAAAAAAGAATGTTCTTATGATAAATAACAATAAATCAAGAGGAGGGAAGGAAACTTTTGGAGGTGACAGTTTATGGCATAGATTGTTCACAGATGTATACTTATCTCCACATGCACCAAGTTGTATACATTAAATAGGTACAGCTTTTTGCGTGTCAATCATACTTCAATTAAATGGTTTTCAAAAAAAGAATGCTGTATCTGCGCAGCAAAGGAAATAATCCACAGGGTGAAGAGACAGCCTGCAGAATGGGAGAAAATATTTGCCAACTGTTCATTCTATAAGGGATTAATATGCAGAATATAAAGGGGACTCAAACAACAGTAAAAAATAAATAATCTGATTTAAAAATGGGCAAAGGATTGGAATAGACATTTCTCAAAAGAAGGAATACAAATGGCCAGCAGGTATATGAAAAGATGCCCAACATCCCCAATCAGGGCAATGCAAGTCAAAACCACAATGAGATATCACCTCACTCCAGATAGAATGGCTGTAATCAAAAAGACAAAAAATAAATGCTGATGAGGATATGGAGAAAAGATAACTCTTATACACTGTTGGTGGGAATGTAAATTAGCACAACCATATGGAAAAACAGTACGGAGGTTTCTCAAAAAACTAAAAATAGAGCTACCATACAAGCCAACAATCCCACTACTGGGTATTTATGTGAAGAAAGGAAATCCATATATTGAAGAGACACCTGCATTCCCATGTTTACTGCAGCACTGTTCACAACAGCCAAGATAGGAATCAATCTAAAAGTCCATCAACAGATGAATGAAGACAATGTATATATACACAAAATAGAATACTATTCAACCAGAAAAAAAAGATTAAATTCAGTCATTTATGGCAAGATGGATGAGTTTGGAGGACATCATGTTAAGTTAAATAAGTCAGGCATGGAAAGATAAATATTCTTGTTCTCACTAATATGTGGGAGCTAAAATATTTGAACTCATAGAAGTGGAGAGTAAAACTGTGGTTATTAGATGATGAGAAGGGTGTTGGGGAGGGGAGGATAGAGAGAGGTTGGTTAACAGATAGATGGGAGGAATAAGTTGTAGTGTTCTATAGCTTTGTAGTAAACAATAATTCATTACATTTTTTCAAATAGTTAGAAGATTTTGCATTTTATTCTTATTTCCTTTTTTTAGAGACAGAGTCTCACTCTTGCCCAGGCGGCAGTACAGTTGTGTGATCATAGCTCACTACAGCCTCAAACTCCTGGGCTGAAGCAGTTCTCCCACCTCAGCCTCCTGAATACCTGGGGCTACAGGCATGCACCACCATGCCCAGCTATTTTTTATTTTTATTTTGTAGAGATGGGGACTCACTATGTTGCCCAGGCTGGTCACCAACTCCTGGCTTCAAGTAGTCCTCCCACTTTAGCCTCCCGAAGTACTGGGATTACAGGCAATGGTCACTGTGGCTGACCCTTAAAAAAGAGGATATTGAATGTTATCAAGTCAAAGAAATGATAAAGGTTTGAGGTGATGAATATGCTAATTACCCTGATTTACTAACACATTGTGTACATTTATTAAAATATCACAATTATTTGGATTAGGGGTGGGGCAAGATGGCAGAATAGAATCCTTCACTGATCATACCTCCTGCAGGAACACCAAATGTTCCTTCATAAAAAAAGCATCTTCATAACCAAAACTCAGGTGAGCAACCACAGTACCTGGTTTTAACTTCATATTGCTGAAAGAGGCACTGAAGAGGGAAGGAAACAGTCTTGAATCACTGATGGCATCTTTCTCCCATGCCATGGCAGTGGCTGTGTGGTGTGGAGAGATAATCTGAGCACTTAGAGGAGGGAGAGTGCAGTGCTTGTGGGACTGTTCATTGAACTCAGTGCTGCCCTGTCACAGCAGAAATCAAAACCCAGCCGAACTCAACTGACAGCCACCCACAGAGGGAGAATTTAGACCAGTTCTAGCCAGATTGGAATCGCCCATCCCAGTGGTTGGAACTTGAGTTCCAGCAAGCCTTGCCACTGCAGACTAAAGAGCTATGTGGTCCTAAATAAACTTGAAAGGCAGTATAGGCCACAAGGACCACAATTCTTGAACAAGTCCTAGTGCTGTTTTGAGCTTGGAACCAATGGATGTGGGGGGCACCCAACCTAGTGAGACATCAGCTGGAAAGGCTAAGAGAGTGCTTGCACCTACCTCCGCTAACCCCAGGCAGCACACCTCACAGCAAAGAAAGTGGCTCCTTCCTTCTGTTGAGGAGAGGAGAGGTAAGACTAAAGAGGACTTTGACTTTGTCTTGCATCTTGGAGACCAACTCAGCCACAGTAGGAGAGGGTACCAGGCAGAGTCATGAGGTCTCCATTCCAGGTCCTAGATCCCAGACATTTATAGACATACCCTGGACTAGAAGGGAACCCACTGCTGTGAAGGGAAGGACCCAGTTCTGGCAAGATTCATAATCTGCTGACTAAAGAGCCCTTGGGCCCTGAATGACCACCAGTGTTAACCAGGTAGTACACTATGGCCTTGGGTGAGACTCAAACATGCTGGCTTCAGGTGAGACCCAGCACATTCACAGCTGTGGTGGCTATAGTGAGACTCCTTCTGCTTAAGAAAAGCAGAGGGAAAAGTAAAGGGGATTTTGTCTTGCACCTTAGGTACTATCTTGGCCACAGTGGGATGGAATACCAAGTAGACTCTTGGTGTCCCCGATTCCAAGCCTTGGTTCTTGGATGGCATTTCTGGACCTGCACTGGGACAGAGGAGAGCACACTGCCCTGAAGGGTGAGTCCCAAACCTGGCAACGTTCACCACAAGCTGACTGAAAAGCCCTTGGTGAACATCAGTGGTAGCCTGGAAGGTACTCCCTATGGGCCTGTGGTGGTGGTGGCCACGGGGATTTCCTCTGCCTGTGGAGAGAGGAAGGAAGAATGGGAAGGACTTTGTCTTGTGGTTTGAGAGCCAGCTCAGTTGCGGTAGTATAGAGTGTCACATCAATTTCTAAGGTTTTGGACTCCAATCCGTGGCTCCCAGACAGCATCTCTGGACCTATCCAGGGCCTGGGGGATCTCACTGCCATTAAGGGAAGGATGCAAGCCTGGCAGGCTTTGCCACCTGCTGATTGTGGAGCCCTAGGTTCTTGAGTGAACATAGGCAGTAGCCAGGTAGTGGTTACAAGGCTTTGGTGAGACTCAGGCCTGTTGGCTTCAGGTTTAACCAGAAGGACACAAGCCTGGCTGGCTTTGCCAACTACTGATTGAAGAGTCTTAGGTCCTTGAGTGAACATACATCCGACCCAGTGCAATCACAGTGGTGGTGGCCACAGTGGGGCTTGTGTCACCCCACCCCCAGCTCCATGTGGGGGGCTATGGGAGGGATAGCATTAGGAGAAATACCTCATGTAGATGACAGGTTGATGGGTGCAGCAAACCACCATGGCACGTGTATACCTATGTAACAAACCTGCACGTTCTGCACATGTATCCCAGAACTTAAAGTATAATTAAAAAATAAAATAAATAGCTGTATTGGATTTTGTCTAATGCTTTTTCTGCATCTATTGAGATGATCATGTGTATTCTGTTTATGTGGTGAATCACATTTATTGACTTGGATATGTTAAACCATCCCTGCATCCCTGGTATGAAACCCACTTGATCATGGTGGATTATCTGTTTGATATGTTGTTGGATTCAGTTAGCTAGTATATTGTTAAAGATTCTAGCATCTCTGTTCATCAAGGATATCAGTCTGTAGTTTTCTTTTTTGGTTGTGTCCTTTCTTGGTTTTGGAATTAGGGTGATGCTGGCTTCATAGAATGAATTAGGGAGGGTTCCTTCTTTCCCTATCTTGTGGAATAGTGTCAAAAGGATTGGTATCAATTATTCTTTTAATGTCTGGTAGCATTCTGCTGTGAATCTGTCTGGTCCTGGACTTTTTTTTTGCTGGTAATTTTAAATTACCATTTCAATCTCGCTGCTTGTTATTGGTCTGTTCAGGGTATCTAATTCTTCCTGATTTAAGCTAGAAGGGTTGTATTTTTCCAGGAATTTATCCATTTCTTCTAGGTTTTCTAGTTTCTATGCGTAAAGGTATTCATAGTAGCCTTGAATGATCTTTTGTATTTCAGTGGTGTCAGTTGTAATATCTCCTGTTTCGTTTCTCAGTGAGGTTATTTGGATTTTCTTTCTTCTTTTCTTGGTTAAACTTGCTAATGGTCTATCAATCTTATTTATCTTTTCAAAGAACCAGCTTTTTGTTTCATTTATCTTTTGTATTTTTGGTTGGTTTGTTTCACTTTCGTTTAGTTCTGCTCTGATCTTGGTTTTTCCTTTCTTCTGCTGGTGTTGGGATTCATGCAGGATTGTGGCAGAAATATTAAAGGGAAATATTAGGGAAAGTTATAGGGAATAGTCACAAACCTTTTGGAAGGCCGAAAGGTTACATAACTTATAATAATTGAACAGGCTGAAGGCAGCCGGTTTTTACCTTAGAGCATTAGGTCATAGGGTAAATACTAGGGACAATAGAGGCTTCCCCAGTTAAGTCTGTTTACCCTACCTCCATTAACTAACCTTTGAGACAAATGGCCCTCTCAGGGGGAGGTCAACTAGGGATATTGCCCCCTACTGGTGTTTACTTTAGACCACCAGTACCTGAGCTTTAATCATTCCTAGAACTACTCTCTTAACCATGTTAATTATCCACAAGTGTATTGACTCAGAGCTTCTGTTGTTATTTGTATACTAAGTAAATGCCTAGAGTGCAAGCTGCTCAGGGCTGGCTGCAGTGTCAAACCTCTCTTGGTGTGCAGGCAGTCTGACACTCAGCTGGACTGGCAAAGCAGAATATCTGTGTGTCAGTGTACATTTTATTCATCCGTCATTTGGGTCAGGGTCTGCTAATGCACTCTTGTGAGGAGCAATACCCAACTGGTGCCACGTGTGAGGAAAAATACAACAACTGATGCTCCGTGTGAGGAAAAATACAACATGCTGGGTTTGGGTTTGGTTTGTTCTTGTTTCTCTAGTTCCTTGAGGCGTGACCTTAGACGGTCTGTTTGTGCTCTTTCAGACTTTTTGATGTAGTCATTTAGGGCTACAAACCTTCCTCTTAGTACCACCTTAGCTGTACCCCAGAGGTTTTGATAGGTTGTGTTATTATCGTCATTCAGTTTGAAGAATTTTTAAATTTTCATCTTGATTTCATTTTTGATCCAGTGCTCATTCAAGACCAGGTTATTTAATTTCCATGTATTTGCATGATATTCCATGTATTTGCATGATTTTGGAGTTGATTTCCAGTTTTATTCCACTGTGGTCTGAGAAAGTGGTTGATACAATTTCAGTTTTCTTAAATTTATTGAGGCTTGTTTTATGGCCTATCATATGGTCTATCTTGGAGAAAGTTCCATGGGCTGTTGAATAGAATGTGTGTTCTGCAGTTGTTGAATGAAATATTCTGTATATATCTGATAAGTCCATTTGTTCCGAGGTACAGTTTAAATCCATTATTTCTTTGTTGACTTTCTGTTTTGATTACCTGTCTAGTGCTGTCAGTGGAGTATTGAAGTCCCCCACTATTATTGTGTTGCTGTCTATCTCATTTCTTAGGTCTATTAGTAATTGTTTTATAAACTTGCAAGCTCCAGTGTTAGGTGCATATATGTTTATGATTGTGATATTTTCCTGTTAGACAAGGCCTTTTACCATTATATAATGTCTCTGTCTCTTTTAACCGCTGTTGCTTTAAAGTTTGTTTTGTCTGATATAAGAATAGCTACCCCTGCTTGCTTTTGGTGACCATTTGCGTGAAATGCCTTTTTCCACCCCTTTACTTTAAGTTTATGTTAGTCCTTACATGTTAGGTGAGGTTATGATCAAAACCCTCAGCAAAATCGGCATACAGGGATATACCTTAATGTAATAAAAGCCGTCTATGACAAACCCACAGCCAACATAATACTGAATGGGAAAAAGTTGAAAGCACTGAGAACGGGAACAAGACAAGGATGCCCACTCTCATCACTCCTCTCCAACATAGTACTGGAAGTCTTAGCCAGAGCAGTCCAACAAGAGAAGGAGATAAAGGGCATCCAAATTGGTAAAGAGGAAGTCAAACTGTCCCTGTTTGCTGACAATATGACCGTTTACCTTGAAAACCCTTAGTACTCCTCCAGAAAGCTCCTAGCACTGATAAAAGTATTCAGCAAAGTTTCCAGATACAATATTAATGTACACAAATCAGTAGCTCTTCTGTACACCAGCAGTGACCAAGCAGAGAATCAAATCAAGAACTCAACCCCTTTTACAATAGCTGAAAAGAAATACTTATGAATATACCTAACAAAGGAGTCAAAAGACCCCTACAAGGAAGACTACAAAACACTGCTAAAAGAAATCACAGATGACACAAACAAATGGAAACACATCCCATGCTCATGGATGAGTAGAATCAATATTGTGAAAATGACCATACTGCCAAAAGCAATCTACAAATTCAACCCAATCCCCACCAAAATACCATCATAATTCTTCACAGAGTTAGGAAAAACAATTCTAAAATTCATATGGAACCAAAAAAGAGTCTGCATAGCCAAAGCAAGACTAAGCAAAAAGAACAAATCTGGAGGCATCACACTGCCTGATTTCAAACTATATCACAAGGCCATAGTCTCCAAAACAGCATGGTACTGGTATAAAAATAGGCACATAGACCAATGAAACAGAAGAGAGAACCCAGAAATAAACCTGAATACTTACAGTCAACTGATCTTTGACAAAGCAAACAAAAACATAAAGTGGGAAAGGACTCCCTTTTTAACAAATGGTGCTGGGATAATTGGCTAGCCACATGTAGGAGAATGAAACTGGATCCTCATCTCTCACCTTATACAAAAATCAACTGAAGATGGATTAAGGACTTAAACCTAATACCTGAAACTATAAAAATTCCAGAAGATAACATTGGAAAAACCTTTCTAGACACTGGCTTAGGCAAGGATTTCATGACCAAAAACGCAAAAACAATTGCAATAAAAACAAAGATAAATAGGGGGGACTTAATTAAACTAAAGAGCTCTTGCACTGCAAAAGGAATAGTCAGCAGAGTAAACAGACAATCCACAGAGTGGGAGAAAATCTTTACAATCTATACATCTGAGAAAGGACTAATATCCAGAATCTACAATGAACTCAAACAAATCAGTAAGAAAAAACAATCCCATCAAAAGTGGGCTGACAAAGGACTAATATCCAGAATCTACAATGAATTCCAACAAATCAGTAAGAGAAAAAACAATCCCATAAAAAAGTGGGCTAAGGACATAAATAGAAAATTCTCAAAATAAGATATACAAATGGCTAACAAACACATGAAAAAATGCTCAACATCACTAATGATCAGGGAAATGCAAATCAAAACCACAATGCGATACCTTACTCCTGTAAGAATGCCCACAATCAAAAAATCAAAAAATAATAGATGTTGGCATGGATGCAGCAATCAGGGAACACTTCGACACTGCTGGTGGGAATGTAAACTAGTACGGCTGCTATGGAAAACAGCGTGGAGATTCCTTAAAGAACTAAAAGTAGAACTACCAATTTGATCCAGCAATCCCACTACTGGGTATCTACCTAGAGGAAAAGAAGTTATTATTCGAAAAAGATACTTGCACATGCATGTTTATAGCAGCACAATTCACAATAGCAAAATCGTGGAACCAACCCAAATGCCCATCAAACAATAGGCATGTAAAGAAACCCTGGTATATATATGATGGAATACTACTCAGCCATAAAAAGGAATGAATTAACAGCATTTGCAATGACCTGGATGAGATTAGAGACTATTATTCTAAGTGAAGTAACTCAGGAATGGAAAACTAAACATGGTATGTTCTCACTGATATATGGGAGCTAAGCTATGAGGACACAAAAGCATAAGAATGATACAATGGACTTTGGGGACTTGTGGGGGAAGAGCTGGGTGGGGGTGAGGGGTAAAAGACAACAAATATGGTGCAGTGTATACTGCTCAGGCAATGGGTGCACCAGGTTCTCACAGATCTCCACTAAAGAATTTACTCGTAACCAGATACCACCTGTACCCCAATAACTTATCAAAACATAGAATTAAGAAAAATAGCTGTATTGAGGAAGCTCAAAGAAATTCAAGATAACACAGAGAAGGAATTAAGCAACCAGATAAATTTAACAACAAATTGAAATAATCAAAAAGAAGCAGAAATTCTGGAGATGAAAAATGCAGTTGATCTACTGAAGAATGCATGAGTCTCTTAATAGCAGAATTAATCAAGCAGAAGAAAGAATTGGTGAGCTTGAAGACAGGCTATTTGAAAATACACAGAGAAGATTAAAAAAGAATAAAAAAAAATGAAGCATGCCTACAAGATCTAGAAAATAGCCTCAAAAGGGTGAATCTAAGAGTTATTGGCCTTAAAAAAGAAGTTAAAAAAGAGCTGGGGTAGAAAGTTTATTCAAAGGAATAATAACAGAGAACTTCCCAAACCTAGGGAAAGATATCAATATTCAAGTACAAGAAGGTTATAGAACACCAAGGAGATATAACCCAAAGCACACCTGAAAATACCAGTAACAAGTAAGAAGATCAAAGCTGTAATAAAAAAAAGTCTCTCAGCAAAGAAAACCTTAGGACCTGATGGCTTCTTCTGAATTTTGCAAACATTTAAGGAAGAACTATAGCAATCCTACTCAAACTATTCTGACAAATAGAGTATTTGGGAATATTTCCAGACTCATTGTATGAGGACAGTATTACCCTGATACCAAAACCAGACAAAGGCTTATTAAAAAAAAAAAAAAAAAAAAGAAAACTACAGGCCAATATCCCTAAAAAAAAATGATGCAAAAATCCTCAACAAAGTACTAGCAAACTAAATTCAACAGCATATTAAAAAGTTTATTCATCATGACCAAATGGAATCTATCCCGGGGATGCAAGGATAGTTCAACATATCAACATTTGTATTTGCAACATTTGCATATTGATTGATATGCAAAGCAATCAATGTGAAACATTATATCAACAGAATGAAGGACAAAAACCATATGATCATTTCAATGGATGCTGAAAAAGGATTTGATAAAATCCAACATCCTTTCATGACAAAAATTCCTAAAAACTGGCTATAAAATGGAACATACCTCAACATAATAAAAGCCATGTATGACAGATTCACAGCTAGCATTGTTGTACTGAATGTGGAAAAGTTGGAAGTCTTTCCTCTAAGATATGGAATACAACAAAGATGCCCATTTTCACCACTGCTATTCAAACTAGTACTGGAAGTCCTAGCTGGAGTACTCAGACAAGAGAAAGAAATAAAGGCCATCCAAATTGGAAAGTAAAATATCAAATGATCCTTGTTTGCAGATGATATGATCTTGTATTTGGAAAAACCTAAGGACTCCACTAAAAATCTATTTGAATTAATAAACAAATTCAGTAATGTTACAGGATACAAAATGAACATACAAAAATCAGTAGTATTTCTATATGCCAACAGCAAATAATCTGAAAAAGAAATCCAGAAAGTAGTCCCATTTACAATAGCTACAAGTATATGTGGAGAGAGAGGAGAGAGAGAAAGAGACAGAGACAGAGACAGAGACAGAGACAGAGACAGACCTGAGACCTGTAGTTGGTAAACTAGAGTCCCAGGAGATGTGATGGTATAGTATAGTTCCCCTTCTAGTCTGAGTCCAAAGGCCTAAAAACCAAGAGAGAGAGTGATTTAAGTTCCAGTCCAAGTTCAAATCCAACAACAGGAGAAAGCCAGTGTCTCAGCTTGAGGATGGGAAGAGAGAGACAGAATTATCTCTTACTCTGCATTTTTGTTTTATTCAGGCCACAATGGATTGGATGAGGCCTGTCTCAGTTCATTTTGTATTGCTATAGCAAATACTACGGACTGGATCATTTATGGAGAAAAAGAAGCATATTTGTCTTACGGGTCTGGAGGGCTGGGAAGTTTAAGAACTTGACAACTGGCATCCGTTTAGGGCCTTTGTACTGGGTCGTTCCATGGAAGAAGGTAGAAGGCAGAAGGGCAAGCAAACAAGCTTGTGAGACAGAGGAAATCAGGTTGAATTCTTTTATTTTATTTTAGTTATTGAGATGGAGTCTTGCACTGTCACCCGGGCTGGTGTGCAGTGGTGCAATCTCAGCTTGCTGCAACCTCTGCCTCCCGGGTTCAAGTGATTCCCCTGCCTCAGCTTCCTGAATAGCTAGGATTACAGGCGCCCGCCACCATGCCCAGCTAATTTTTTGTATTTTTAGTAGAGATGAGGTTTCACTATGTTGGCCAGGCTGGTCTCGAACTCCTGACCTCATGATCCACCTCCCTTGGCTTCCCAAAGTGCTAGGATTACAGGTGTGAGCTAAGTTCTGGGGTACATGTGCAGGACGTGCAGGTTTGTTACATAGGTAAATGTGTGCCATGGTGGTTTGCTGCACCTATCAACCCACCACCTAGGTATTAAGCCCAGCATGCATTAGCTATTTTTCCTAATGCTCTCCCTCCCCCACCTCTACCTCCAAGCAGGCCCCAGTGTGTTGTTTCCCTCTCTGTGTCCATGCGTTATCATTGTTCAACTCCCACTTATAAGTGAGAATATGCGGTGTTCAGTTTTTTTCCTGCGTTAGTTTGCTGATGATAATGGTTTCCAGCTCCATCCATGTCCCTGCAAAAGATATGATCTTGTTCCTTTTAATGGCTGCATAGTATTCCGTGGTGTATATGTACCACATTTCCTTTATCCAGTCTATCATTAAGGGACATTTGGGTTGATTCCATGTCTTTGCTATTGTGAATAGTGCCGCAGTGAACATTCATGAAAAAGCTCAACATCACTGAACGTTAAGAGAAATGCAAATCAAAACCACAATGAAATACCATCTCATGCCAGTTAGAATGGCGATTATTAGTCAAGAAACAACAGATGCTGGAAAGGCTGTGGGGAAATAAGAACACTTTTATACTGTTGGTGGGAATGTGAATTAGTTCAACCATTGTGGAAGATGGTGTGGTGAGTCCTCAAAGCTCTAGAACCAGAAATACCATTTGACCCAGCAATTCCATTATTGGGTGTATACCCAAAGGAATATAAATCATTCTATTACAAATATATTTTTTAAGAGGATCTCACTCTGTCAGCCAGGCTGGAGTGCAGTGTTGTGATCATAGCTCACTGCAGCCTCAAGCTCCTGTATGCAAGCACTCCTCCCACCTCAGCTTCCCAAGTAGCTGGGACTACAGGCATGTGCCACCATGCCTGGCTGATTTTTAAAAACATTTTTACAGATAGGGTCTCACTGTGTTTCACAGGCTCATCTGAAATTCCTGATCCTTCTGCCTCAGCCTTCCATTAATGGGATTAGAGGTGTGATCCACTGTGCCCAGCCTGAACTCTTCTTTTTTATCAGGAGCCTACTCCAGCAGTAATAATGCATTCCCAGAATAATGGCATTAATCCATTCATGAGGGCAGAGCCCTAATGACCTAATCACTCTTAATAGTCCTACCTTTTAATATCTTCACAATGGTAATTAAATTACAACATGAATTTTAGAGGGAACATTCAAACCATATTAAGGCCCAACCCCTCTGGAGAGGGCAATCTGTTTTACTCAGTTTACCTACTCAAATATTAATCTCATCCAGAAATACCTCACAGAAACACCCAAAATAATGTTTAAATAAAAATCTGGGCACCTGCTGGCCCACTCAAGTTGACACACAAAATTAATCACCAGAAATGTTTTGTTAGATTTATGTCTATTTCATTTTATTATGAGTAATTATAAATGGGATTGAGTATTTAATTTACATGTTCATGCATTCATTGCTAGTATATAGAAACACAATTGATTTTCATATATTGATCTTATATGCTATAACCTTGTTGAACTCACTTAATAGTTCTAGGAGTTTTTTAATATATTTTTTGGGATATTCTACATAGAATATTGGTTATCTGTAAATAGGGACAATTTATTTCTTCCTTTCTGATCTATATGGCTTTATTTCCTCTTCTTGCCTTATATAATGGATGGAATTTCCAGCATTATGTCGAATAAGTGGTGAAGAATAGACATTGTTGACTTTTTCCCTATCTTAAAGGAAAGGATTGAGTCTTTCACTATTAAAATGTTAGCTGTAGACTTTTGTCAATGCTCTTTGTCAAGTTGAGGCAGTTTCTCTCTATTCCTATTTTTCTGAGAGTTTTTATCCTAAAAGTGTGCTGAATTTTGTCACATGCTTTTTTCTGTATAAATTTATTTGATCACGTGATTTTTTTCTTCTTTTGCCTGTTAATAATGGTAAAGTACATTGATAGATTTTTGAATACAAAACCAGCTTTGCATCCCTGGAATAAATCCCTATTGGTCATGATGCATAATTCTTTTTACATATTTTAGAGAATTTTCTTGGATAATATTTTGCTATGGATCTTTGCATGAGGAATGATGGTCTGTGTTGTTGTTTTTTTTTTAACTTTGCCTGATTTTGATATCAGGATATTACTAGCTTCATAAAATGAACTAGGAAGTATTTCTTCTTCCTCCTGTTTTCCAGGAGAGATTGTTGTAGATTGGTGTCAATGTTTCTTTTTTTCTGACTTAAATGATATTATATATTTACTTACTTTTATTTTACATTGACAGATTATAGTCGTATATATTTATGGGATACACAATGATGTTAAAGTTTATGAATACAACGTGGAATAATTAAATCAAGCTAGTTAACATATTTATCACCTCAAACACTTATATTTTTGGGTGAAAACATTTGAAATTTACTCTTAGCACTTTTGAAATGTACAGTACACACCATTATTAAGTATATTCACCACACTGTGCTATAGATGTCAAAACAACAACTTATTCTTCCCATCTGAGGCTTTGTATCTTTTGACCATAATCTCCTCCATTTCCCCTACCCTCAGCCTGTGGTAAACACCATCCTACTCCCTGCTTTTTTCAGTTTGATTGCCTGAGATTTTGCTTATGAGAACATGTGTCATTTGTTTTTTTGTGCCTGGCTTATTTAACTTAGCATAATGTTCTTCGATTCTATCCATGTTGTGTCATAGAACAGAATTTCTTTCTGAATAGTATTCCATTGCATATAGATACCACATTTTCTTTATCTGTCCATCTGTTAATGGGCACTTGGGTTGATTCCATAACCTGGCTGTTGTGAATAGTGCTGCAGTGAACACTGGAGTGCAGATATCTCTTTGACATACTTACTTCAAATCTTTGGGTAAATATTTAGAAGTGGGATTGTTGAATCATAAGGTAACTTTATTTTTAGTTTTTTGAGGAACCTCCATACAGTTTTCCATATGGCTGTACTAATTTATATTCTCACAACATTGTATAAACCTTCCCTTTTCTCCACATCCTTGCCAACACTCATTTATTTTTCATTTTTTTGATAGTAGACTTTTGGAGGTGATATTTCATTGTGTTTTTTAATAGGCTGGACTTTGGCTAGATCATTATAGTTTTAATTTGCATTTCCCTAATGATTAGTGATGTTGAGCTTTTTTTTTTTTTTTTTTTTTTTTTTTTGAGACGGAGTCTTCCTCTGTTGCCCAGGCTGGAATGCAGTGGTGCGATCTCAGCTCCCTGCAACCTCTGCCTCTTGGGTTCAAGCGATTCTCCTGCCTCAGCCTCCCAAGTAGCAGGGACTACAAGCATGTGCCACCATGCCCAGCTAATTTTTTTTTTTTTTTTTGTATTTTTAGTAGAGATGGGCTTTCACTGTGTTAGCCAGAATGGTCTTGATCTCCTGACCTTGTGATCTGCCTGCCTTGGCCTCCCAAAGTGCTGGGATTAGAGGCGCCCGGCTGAGCATTTTTCCATACATCTGTTGGCCATTTGTGTGTCTTCTTTTGAGAAATGTCTATTCAGGCCTTTGGCCCATTTTCTAATTGGGTTGTTTTTATTTTTGAGATGGAGTCTTGCTTTGTCACCCAGGCTGGAGTGCAGTGGTGTGATCTCGGCTCACTACAACCTCTGCCTCCCAGGTTCAAGTGATTCTCCTGCCTCAGCCGCCTGAGTAGCTGGGATTACAGGTGTCCGTGACAACACCTGCCTAATTTTTGTATTTTTCTTTCCTTTTTTTCTTTTCAGTAGAGACGGGTATCTATATGCTCCATCCATGTCCCTGCAAAGGGTGTGATCTTGTTCCTTTTTATGGCTGCATAGTATTCCATGGTGTATATGTACCACATTTTCTTTATCCAGTCTATCATTGATGGACATTTGGGTTGATTCCATGTCTTTGCTGTTGTGAATAATGCTGCAATGAACATACGCGAAAAAGGTCAACATCACTGATCTTTAGAGAAATGCAAATCAAAACTACAGTGAGATGGTTTGACATGGTTGCAGTTTAATTCTTCTGCATATGGATGTCCAGTTTCCCCAACACTATTTATTGAAGAGACTATCCTTTATCCATTGTGTATTCTTGACAACTTTGTCAAAAATCAGTTTGTACACGCATAGGTTCATTTATGGGTTCCCCTTTCTGTTTTATTGGTATATATGTCTGATTTTTTTTTCTGGCCAATATCGTGCTGTTTTAATTGCTATAGATTTAAGATTAGTTTAAAATTAGGTAGTTTGATGCCTCCTGCTTTGTTCTTTTTGCCCATAATTGCCTTGACTATTCAAGGTTTTGTGGTTTCATACGAATTTTAAGATTTTAAAAAATTTCCATAAAAATAACATTAGTATTTTGATGGCAATTGCATTGAATCTGTAAACATTTTAACAACATTAGTTCTTCCAATCCATGAACATAGGATATTTTATCATGTATTTGTGTCTTCTTCCATTTCTTTTATTAACATTTTATAGTTTTCAGTGTATAGGTCTTTCACCTCATTGATTAAATTTATTCCTAAGTATTTTATTATTTTTTGTGTGGCTATTTAAATGCAGTTGTTCCCTTGAGTGTTTTTAGATGGTTTATTATTAGAGTATAGAAGCACTACTGATTTTTATGTGTGATTTTGTGTTCTGCAACTTTACCATATTTGTTTATTCTAACATTTTCTTCGTGGAATCTTTAGGTTTTTCCTTAAGAACATGTTGTCAGGAAACAGCAACAACTTTAGTTTTTTCTTTCTTATTAGGATGTCTTTTATTTCTTTTCCTTAACTGCTCAGACAAGGACTTCTACTACTATGTTGAATAGAAGTGGTGAGAGTGGACATCCTTGTTTTGGGTCTCAGAAAGTACTTCAATTTTTTACTATGCTTACCAACAAGCATAGTGTTAGCTGCAGCCTCATTATATATGGCCTTAAATGTGTTGAGGTACAATCCTTCTATCCTTAATTTGTTGAGGATTTTATCATGAAAGAATGTTGAATTTTATTAAATGCTTTTTCTGCACCTGATGAGATGATCATACGATTTTTGTCCTTCATTCTGTTAATGTGATGTATCACATTTATTGATTTGTGTATGTTGAACCATTCTTGCATCCCAGGGTTAAATCCTAGTTGACTTTGGTAAATAATCCTTTTAATGTGTTGTTGAATTTGGTTTGCTAGAATTTGGTTTAAGATACTTACATCCATGTTTAAGGATATTGGCATGGCCTGTAATTTTCTTTCCTGTAATATTTTTGTTTGGCTTTTGGATCATGATAGTGCTGGGCCTCATAAAAAGAGTTTGGAGGCATTCTCTTTCCAATTTTTGGAAGGGTTTATGAGGTACTGGTATTAGTTCATAAAATTTTTGGTAGTGTTCTGCTGTGAAGCAACCAGGTCCTGCACTTTTTTTGATGGGAGATTTAGTTACTGATTCAGTTGTCTTTCTTATTTTTGGTCTGTTCAGATTTTCTGTTTCTTCATGATTAAGTCTGGGTAGGTGATATGTGTCTAGGATTTATTTATTTATTCTAGGTAATCCAATTTGTTGGTGCATAATTGTTCATAACAGCCTCTTAGGATCCTTTGTATTTCTGTGGTATCAGTTGTAATGTTTTCTCTCTCATTTTTGATTTTGAGTTTTCTCTCCTTTTTTCTTAGTCTAGCTAAAGATTTGTCAATTTTATCTTTAAAAAAAACCTAACTCTTAGTTTTGTTGATCTTTTAAATTATTTTTTCTAGACTCTATTTTATTTGTTGCTGCTCTGGTCTTTATTATTTCTTTCCTTCTGCTAATTTTGGCTTAGTTTGTTTTCTGTGTAGTTTCTGAAGGCGTAACATTAAGTTGTTTATTTGAGATCTTTATACTTTTTTGATGTAAGCATTTATTGCTATAAACTTCCTTCTTTGAACTCCTTTTACTGCATCCCATAAGTTTTGGTCTGTTGCATTTCTATTTTTGTTTGTCTCAAGATATTTTTAAATTTCATTTTTAATTTCTTCATTGGCTTTTTCGTTGTGCAAGAACATGTTGTTTTGTGTCTATGTATTTGTGAATTACCAAAAATTCCTCCTTTTATTGATTTCTATTTTCATACCACAGTAGTTAGAAAAAATAATTGATACTGTTTCAGTCCTCCTAAAATTGCTGAGACTTGTTTTGTGGCCTAACATGTGATCTCTCCTGGAGGGTGTTTTGTGTGCACTTGAGAACAATGTATATTCTGTTGCTGTTAGATGCAATATTCTGTATTTACCTATTAAGTCCATTTGGTCTAAAGTGTTAAGTTCAATTTTTTTTATGAATTTTCTGTCTGAATGATCTGTCCATTGTTGAAAATTGGTTATTGATATCCCCTACTATTATTGTATTGTAACCTATCTCTCCCTTTAAATTCTTTAATATTTGCTTGATATATTTAAGGTCTCAAATGTTGGGTGTGTATATAGTTATGACATATCATCTTGATGAGTTGACCCCTTTATCATTATTTAATGTCATTTTTCATCTATTTTTATAGTTTTTGACTTAAAGTCTATTTTATCTGATATAACTATAACCACCCCTGTTCTTTTTCTTTCCATTTGTGTGGAATGTCTTTTCCATCCCTTCACTTTCAATCTATGTGTGTCCTTAAAAGTGCAGTAAATGAGTGTCTTGCAGGCAGCCTATAGTTCAGTCTTTGTTTTTTAAATCTATTTAGTCACTTTTTATTGAAGAATTTAATCCATTTATATTCAAGGTAATTATGGACAGGTAAGGACTTAACAACTGCTGTTTTGTTCATTGTTTTCTGGTTGTTTTATAGATACTTTGTTTCTTTCTTGCTGTCTTCCTTTGTGTTTTGATGGTTTTCTGTAGTGGCATGCTTTGAATTTGTTCTTTTTTTGTGTTGGGTCTAGTATAGATTTTTGCTTTGTGGTTACCATGAGGCTTACATAAAACATCTTATGCCTGTAACAGACTATTTCAAACTGATAACTTAACTTTGATTGCATACAACAATTCTACACTTTTATTCTTCTTGAAACACATTTTATGTTTTCGATGCCAGAATTTGCGTCATTTCGTAATATGTATCCACTGACGAATTATTTTAGCTATAGTTATTTTAATAGATTTGTCTTAATCCTTGTACTAGGAATTGCTTTACACGTTACCATTGTAGTCCTACAGTATTCTGAATATGGTTCAGTATTATTTATAGCATTGAATTTTGTGCTCTTGATTTATGTTATCATTTAGTGGCTTTTTCAGCTTAAGTAACTCTCTTTTACAATTCCTGTAAAGCAGGCCTGGTACTGATTAACTTGCTTAGCATTTATTTGTCTGGGAAAGTTTTTATTTCTGCCTCATTTCTGAATGACAGCTTTGCTGGGGAAAATATTTTTGGCTTGCAGGGGTTGTTTTTTTTTCCCCCTTAGCATTTTTAATATATCATCCCATTCTTCCCTGGCCTACAGAGTTTCTGCTGACAAATCTGCTGATTGTTATACTGGGATTTTTTTTTGTATATGATCTGTTTCTTATCTCTTGCTGCTCTCAGAAATTTTTCTTTGTCTTTGATTTTGGTAGTTTAATTATTATGTGTGTTGTTGAACTCTGGGTTAAATTTAATTGGAGATCTCTGCACTTCCTGGATATTGGTATTTTTCCCTAGATTAGGGAAGTTTTTAGCCGTTATTTCTTTAAATGTGCTTTCTGACCTGTCTTCTCATTTTTCTACTTTGTAACTTCTATTTTGAGACTCTTGGATCTCTTGACAGTGTTCTATAATTCATGTAGGCTTTTTTTATTCTTTTTTATTCTTTTCCCTTTGCTTTTCTGACTGGATAATTTCACATGTTCTGTCTTTGACCTTATTCATTCTTTCTTCAGTTTGACTGAGCCTGCTGTTGAAACTCTCTATTGCATTATTTAGTTCAGTCATTGTATCTTTATTTTTAGGATTTGTATTTTGCTTCTTTTATTATTTCTTAGTCAGACTTCTAATTTTGTTTGTATATAGTTTTCTAAGTTAATTTTTTATACATATCTTTTTGTAGTTTACTGAGCTTCTTTAAGAGGATATTGCTGAATTATTTGTCTGCTATTTAATAGGTTTCCACTTCTTTAGGGCCAAGTGATGGGGCTTTGTTAGTTTCTTTGGGAGGTGTCATGATTTCCTGAGTCTTTGTAATCCCATGTTCTTGTGTTGATATCTGTGCCTGTAAGGAGACAGACACCTCTTTCAGCTTTTATAGGTTTTTTTTTTCTTTTTTGAGACAGAGTCTTGCTCTGTGGCCCAGGCATGATTGTGGTTCACTACAGTCTCAACCTCCTGGGCTCAAGCAATCCTCCTCACCTTCCTGAGTAGCTGAGACCACAGGTGCATGCCACCACATCCACTGAATTATTATTATTATTATTTTTTGTGGAAACAGTGCCTCACTGTGTTGCCCAGGCTGGTCTTGAACTCCTGGGCTCAAGTGATCTACCTGCTTCAGCCTTCCAAAGTGTTGGGATTAGAGGCATGAGTCACTGTGCTTGGTCATAGATTTTCTTTGGCAGAGATACACCTTTCACTGTTTAGCTTGTTATTCTGAGTGGACCAACTGGTAATGACCTTGGTCAGGCAGAACTTGCTTTTGGGTTCTGAAGATTGCTGAGCTGCTGTCTTTAATCTGAGTTAGGGTAGGGAAGCTGGCTGGGCTCTAGTCTCTGGTGAGACCCCGACTGAGCTCTGTAATCAAGCAGAACTGCTGGGTGGACACTGCAATTGTCTTTTATCTGGCTGAGCCACAACATATATTCCCCTGGCCTAATGGTACCACTGATTGAGTTCTGCAGTTGGATGGGCACTGCTTAGGATGGAGGGGACCAGCTGATATGCTTAGTAGAAATACACAGATGAGGTTTGCCTTCCTGCTTATGCAGGGCCTTGGGGTGGGCTTTGAGCCTGAACTGAGTGCTGTTTAACCTGCTGGGTGTAGAAGAACTAGCTCCTGTGCTTTGTTATATTGCGCTGTGGTGGGTATTTCTCTCTCTGTGGGGTGTGGGGGCAGGGTCTGAGGCTGGACTGGAGGCTGAGCCATCTAGGGATATAAGCCAGGTAGAATGTCCCACCACTTCTGGGAGTGACCAGCTAGGATTTGTGAGGGAGCTATGCTGTTAGCTGGTACCTCAGATTGTGTACTACTGCTGGCAGGTACACAGAGCTGCCACCAAGATCTGTAGGCTGGTTGCCATGGGCTCTGTCTCCTTGCTTTATCTCTACCTGACCCTAGGTGGTCTAGCCATGCTGTTACCCTCTGTGTTCCTTATGAAGTGAGACTGGAGTGGACTTCTTGGGAAGCATATCAGAATGCCAGGGAAACTGGATGTCTGTTTTCTATTCTATTTTCCCACTGTAGAAACTGTGGGCCCTGGGAAATTTTTTCTTTGTTGAACTGAGCCATCTTGGGGAAAGGAGGAGCAGTGGGATCAAAGTGAGATAATTTCTCTTATCCTTCAAAGGCAGGTTTTTTTTTGTTTGTTTGTTTGTTTGTTTGTTTGTTTGTTTTGGTTCTGTGTTCTGTGGTCCATGCAGCTTTCTCAGGCCTTTCCAAGTTTTGGGAACACAAGGGTATTCTTGTCTGTGAATAGTTGCTAGTTGAACTTTCTTTGGGAGGTAATAAAGGCCTGAGACCCTGTATTTTGCCCTTTTACTGATATCAGTCTGTGTTAATTCTTCTTTAAACATTTGGTAGAAATGTCCAGTGAAATAATCTGGGCCTGGAGATTGCTTCTTTGGAAGTTTTTAAATTATGAATTCAATTTTCTTTTTTTTTCAGATTATCGATTTTTTAAATTATTATTATTATACTTTAAGTTTTAGGGTACTATGCAGCCATGAAAAATGATGAGTTCATGTCCTTTGTAGGGACATGGATGAAATTGGAAATCATCATTCTCAGTAAACTATCGCAAGGACAAAAAACCAAACACCACATGTTCTCACTCATAGGTGGGAATTGAACAATGAGAACACATGGACAGAGGAATGAATTCAATTTTCTTGATAGGTATAGGGCTACTGAGATTATCTGTTTCACATTGGGTGAGTTGTTGTAGTTTGTGTTTTTTGAGGAATTGGTACGTTTCATCTAAGTTGTCAGATTTATGTATAGAATTATTCATAATATTCCCTTATGATACCTTTGATGTCTACAGAATCAATCTTGATATCCCCTATTTCATTCCTGTTCCTGATACTTTGTGTCTTTTCACTTTTTTTCAGTCTTATTTGAAGTTAGGTTTATTGATGTTTTTAAAGAATCAGCTCTTTGTTTCATTAATTTTTCTCTATGGTTTTTCTTTTCTCCATTTCATTGATTTCTGCTCCTATCATAATTTCTTTCCTCTGTTTGCTTTGGGTTTCATTTGTTCTTTGTTTTCTAAGTTCTTAAAGTGAGAGCCTAGATTATTGATTTCGCAATGCCTCTTTAATGTAAGCATTCAGTGCTATAAATTTCTGTCAGCACTGGTTTGGCTGTATACCACATATTTTGATATGTTGTATTTTCATTCAGTTCACTGAATTTTTAATTTTCCTCGAGTCTTTCTCTTTGACCCATTTTGCAGTGTTTTGTTCAATTTCCAGTGTTTAGATATTTTATTATTTTTTCCTATTACTAATTTCTAGTTTGATTTCATTGTGGTGAGAAATTGGTCTGTTTGATTTTTAAAAAATGTGTTGAGTTGTTGTTGTTGTTGTTGTTGTTGTTTCCAGGATATGGTCTTTATTGATACATGTTCCATGGGAACTTGAAAAGAATGTGTATTCTTCTATTGTTGGGTGGAGTATTCTATAACACTGCTTAGATCCACTTGGTAGAAAAGTTGTTTAGCTTTCTATATCTTTGCTGATCTTCTGCCTAGTTGTTCTGTCAGTTGTTGAGAAAGTGCTGAAGTCTCCAGCTGTAATTGTGGATTTGTCTCTTTTTCCTTTCAGTTCAGCTTTTGTTTGACATTTTGCAGCCCTATTGTTTGGTGCATACCCTTTTAGAATTATTCTGTCTTCTTGGTGGATTGATGCTTTTAACATTGTATAGTGTCCCTCAGTATTTCTGGTAGTTTTCTTTGTTCTTTGTTCTGGTAGTTTCTTTATTTGGTATTAATATAGCCACTATGTTTTCTTTTGATTAGTGTTTACACAATATATCTTTCCCATCCTTTTACTTTTGATATGCCTATTATTTGAAGTGAGTTTCTTACAGACAGCATATAGTTGTGCCATGGATTTTTTTGTTTGTTTTTTTGTTTTGTTTTGTTTTTGAGATGGAATTTCACTCTTGTTGCCTAGGCTGGAGTGCAATGGCAAGATCTCAACTCACCACAACTTCCGCCTCCCGGGTTCAAGCCATTCTCCTGCCTCAGCCTCCCAAGTAGCTGGGATTACAGGCGCACACCACCATGCCCGGCTAATTTTGTATTTTTAGTAGAGATGGGGTTCTCCATGTTGGTCAGGCTGGTCTCGAACTCCCAACCTCAGGTGAGCTTCCTGCCTCGGCCTCCCAGAGTGCTGGGATTACAGGTGTGAGCCACTGTTGCCTAGCATATGCCATATTTTAAAATACATTCTACCAATCTCTGTCTTTTAATTGCCATATTTAGACTATTTAAATTTAATCTGATTATTTATATGGGCTTTAAGTTGTAAGCCATTTTTTTTATTCTGTTCGTTCTCTCTGCTGTTTGTTTCTATGTTTTATTTTTCCTGCCTTGAACATTTTTAAGAATTCCATTTTGATTTATCTATAGTATTTTTCAATATGTCTCTTTGTGTAGCTTTTTTAGTGGTTGCTATAGTATAAGATTATATATATATTACAGTCTACTGATGTTATAATTTTATCAGTTTGAATGATATGTAGAAACTTTCATGTTTCTTTACCTTCCTGTTTGTAATATATTGTCTTAAATAGTTTTTATGCATACATTTGAAACTTTATCAAACATTGTTATAATTTTTGCTTCTGTCATCAAATAGAATTTAGAAAATTCATGAGAGGAATATTCTGTTTGATTATATTTTTGTTTATCATGTTCTTTCTTCCTTTTTAATGTTGCAGTGTTCCTTCTTTTATTGTTTGGTTGTTTGATTTCTGTTTAAAGAACTTTCTGTAGCCATATTTTTAGTGTGGGTCTGTTAGTATACAGGTTCTACTTTTCATTTGTCTTAGAACGTCTTAATTTCCTCTTCATTCATGAACATTTTTGCTAGATATAGGATTCTGGGTTGACAGTTCCTTTCTTTCAGCACTTGAAAAACATTGTGTGACTTTCTTCTAACCATGGTCATTTGAATTGTTTTTCTCCTATGGATAAAGTGTTTTTCCTCTTGCTGATTTCAAGGTTTTTTCTTTGTGTTTAGTTTTCAGAAGTTTGACTTTGACATGTTTTTGGTGTGGATTATTTTGTCTTTATTCTGTTTTGAGTTCCCTTAGCTTCTTGAATCTCTAGGTTTGTGTTTCTTTTGACAAATTTGGAATGTTTCAGCCATTATTTCTTCAAGTATTTTTTTTTTTAGCCCTGTCTTCTTTAACCTCTCCTTCTGGGACTTCAGACACAAATGCTAGATCAATTTTATAATCCCACAGGTGAATGAAGGTTTGTTCTTTTTTTTTTTTTTTCTTTTTTCTGAGGTGGGATCTCACTCTGTTGCCCAGGCTGGATGGAGTGCAGTGGCATGATCTCAGCTCACTGCAGCCTCTACCTCCTGAGTTCAAACGATTCACTTCCCTCATTTTTTTCCTGTTGTTTGGATTGCATAATTTATGTTTTTCTGTCAGTTCACTGATTTGTTTCTCTGTCTGCTTCATTCTGTCATTGAGTTCAGCCATTGAGTTTTTTTTGTATTTCTGTCATTGTATTTTTTAATTCTAAAATTTCCATTTGGTTCTTCTTTATGTCTTCTATTTCTTTACATATTACCACCCAATGGGGACAAATGTCCAAGCTCCCTACTTCAGTTTCCCTGAAAACCCTCCATGGAGGCATTAAGGGTGCTTTATAACAATTCACCAAGAGTAGAACTCTAGGCTTCCCACTGACCCTTTTTTCCCTATGGCATTTGGCTGGAATAGAATAGTTATCGAATAAAAGTTTCTGTCATGGTAGGCTGCCCCTTTCCTGGTCCTTTAGCTAGGCAATGGACTTTTTTTTTTTTTAATCTGTACCCATTGGCGTTTCTAGGTTACTGGTTTCTTCAGCTTCAAGTCTGGGATATATTGGGCAAAAAGGAAACCCAGGGAACTTACCACCATGTCATTTCTAGCCACCTTGCTTTTTCTTCCCCACCCTTCAATGTTTTGTTATGTTTGCTTTAATGTAATGTCCAGAGTTTTTAGTTGTACTGAGCAGTAAAACAGTGAAAAGTATGTCTATTTCATTTTTCCTGGAATCCAGTACCTGAGTAGTAATAGTCTTTTGTGATATGTTCCCTAATACCCAGCAGTTCTAGTTTGTGTGTGAGTTATGTTGTGGAGAATGTATTTTGTTTTCTTTTGTAATAAAATAGAAATTTGTGGTGAATTCCTTATAATACTTATGCTTGAAGACAGTCATCAGTCAATGTGTTATTTTTTTCTTGTTAGATCATGCATTACAGCTATAAATTTTTTCATGTTTTCCATGCCTATAGTTATTTTTATGTGCACCCTCCCCATTTTCATATCTATGTTGAAATATGCAAACCAAAATTTAATACATTTTTAAAGGAAAAAAAGAAAGCTTTAAACAAACACTGAATAATGTGAGTTTATTATTACCTAAATTTTGATAGTCACCATCTTGTTAATAAGTACTGAGATTGTGTTTGCTTTTTGTGATATTTTACTTTCTATGATGTGCCACATGTCTTTAGCATAATCTCTTTTTCTGTATCAGATACTTAGAGGGATGTCATCAAATTCTTCTATGACTAGGAGTAGTTTTATGTTATGTGAGGCTTATATAATTGGGGAGGGTTCTTTAAGATAAATAGTACAAGGCTTTGGAATAGGCAGTGTAAATGATGAACCCATGAAGCTTAAACTTCACTAGCTTTATAATATATAAAGCCCTCAACTGTAAAATAGAAAGAGGGAAGAGATAATTTCTGATTATTATATTTTCTGTATATTATGAGCTTGATAACCCTTAAAAATCAGCCACTCCAAAGGGATGATTCAGGGCAGAAGTCCCCCTCTTCTCCACACACTGTTGCACAGGGAAGTTTGCTTTACTTGATCCAATTTTTAAGGAACCTCATCTCTTCTACTCTGCCCTTTTCTCCCCGAGTTCTGTCTTTCTGTTATTTCCAGTGTAGTTAGTAGTGATTTGTCTCACCTTTATTTAGACTAGTAGAAAAAGACAGATAAAAGAAAAGGGCCCATCTTCTTTATTTTATGATATAGGTAGTTGGAGATTTTAAGAAACATTCTCCCAGTGGTCCCTATTCCAGTTAGTATTGTTTCCTATAATTGGGAGAAAAGTACATTGAAGGAATTTATTTAGATTTAGTGAATTTAATACATTGAGGACATATAATTCATTTTACATAATACTTCCTCATATTTCAAAATTATTAGAACTCAGTGGCATAACAGAATGTCATTACTTGTTTCCCCCTCCTATTTTGTTCTTATTCAACACACCTAGTCCCCAAAACCTTGCCTACAACATTATCATCCAAACACAACCCCTAATGCTTACTAATCATTATCGTTTAAAATGGGGTAGATGTAAAACATTTCAACTATAAGGATATTAACTAAACCACACTACTTACCTCTAAATTAATTTTATTCATTTTGAATGAGAGATATATCTGTAGAAATTTTTTAACTTTCAGGTCATTTTTGTACCACCATCTTTTTTTGGCTGATGACTTGTTTCAAACCTGTTTGGTTTATATAAGAGGACTTTGTGAAGATGCAATTAATCTCAAAAATTATAATGACCATGAAAATAATCTATCTGCCATATGCCTTGTAAAGGTGAGTAGAAGTATACTACTATAAGCTAATATTGGTATATAGAAACTAGGAAGAAAAATAGCATTTTGAATTAAAAAATACAGATTTCTAAATTCATAAATAAACCATCTCTTTCGATTACTACCGTTCTAAAATATCTGCAAAGAATGTGAGTTCCTTGCAATAAATTTTAATAGTTAACATTTCTTGTAATTTCTTCCTTATGCCTAACCTAAGTCTATAAGACCCTTTATTTTCAAATGTATTTCCGAATGTGTAATATGATTTAAAATAATCAGTTATCTCTTATACATAATTGATATTCTTCCTCTAGTATAGCATGTCAAGATAGTATCATAAGCTTCAACTCAGAAGTTTTGGTTAAATTTATGAATTCTCCTATTTCAAGATTCTAGAAAAAGTGAGCCTGTTAATGGAATAACTTAATTTATATAAGATAGCTCTTTTGAGTGGTTAAGTACCTAGAACTAATTAAGTCTACAATTGAACAAGATTCTAGCAGATTTTACTTCACTCACTCAATGTATGGGGAAAAAAGTAAAATTGATAGAGTTATCTAGACTAAGAAAGAGGAATTGTTAAGGGGCTTAGACAAGTTAAATATTTGAAAATTAGCTCGAAAATCAGTTGTGTTGACTGCATGTAACAAGATCAATACTTGTAAATCAACATCGTATGTTTAGAATTGATTATGTGTAATGACAGATACATAGTAGGTGCTCACCAATAGTCTTTGAGTGAATAAAAGAATAAACTAATGAAGGAGGAGGAATTATCACATAGATGTATATTTTTTATACTTATATAGAGAATGTTTATGTTTCAAAAGGATTAAATTCACCTTAAGTAGGAGACATTTCACAGAGGAATCTCTTTGATTTGGTTTTTATGTAGAAGGAAATAGGATATGGTTTTCTTGTAGAAGGAAATAAAATAATCTGTAATATCAGATTATTTTGTAAATGGCTGAGTGACAAAATTTATTAATTTTTAATGATGGGTGGGAAGGCATAAAAGACTTTAAAATACCTTTGAAGTCTGTGCCTTAAATGCCACCAAATGATAGAGAACATTACTAGTGATAGAGAAGAAATGTTAGGACTCTTTCCTAGAGACCTCAGGCCATGTCAGCTTTAATATAGAACATCAGGAGGAAGAGAACAAACTTTTCCAGACAGTATGTAAGTATTTATTATCTATTATATGCGAAATGCTGTGCAAAAGAGATGAATACAAAGTGAAAAACAAAGCTTTGCTATTTTCAATCTGCTTACAGTTCATGGGAAGAAATAATTCTTTATATATAAAAATGAAAACTAATTCTAGAGATAGTTTCTTTGTTATGCTAATCATTCTACCTAACCCATTAGCAAAGTATAAGGTAAGGAATGTTTACTGGCAAATAATACTTGTAAAACAGTCATGTTACAGAAATCCAGAGGAGGCAGAGATTAGCCTTATTTGGAATTAAAGTTAGGTCATGCCTCATATTTTGAGCTAGGCTGTGCTGGATTTGAATAGCCATAGAAGAGGAGATAAGGCTTTTAAATAAAGAATATAAATGTGAGTAAGGCATTCAATATATATTTGATTTGAAAGTTAGATTGGCTCATGAATGTCAGGCCAAGAATAACACAGTAGGGGAAAAGTAGGATTTCAACCTGCCCATAGGGCAGGGGCACTCCTAGTGGTGATTGTTATGAGGGCAATTTACAAGAATGGGAATTTCTGATACTGTATGTGGAAAAGCCAGGTTTAGATGGAGGAAGAGTGGAGATTCATATCCTGGAGAACCAAGCTGGGGTCAGGAGTCAAGGTGGCCAGTTGTGCATTAGAATCGGAAGGTTATGCATAGCCCAGGGATGCAGATGCCAATGAAGACTGACAACGAGGATGTAAGGAGAATGAAGCAAGGTTATGAATGTGAAGAATGGGATTGTTCAGAAGTTAATGCCGTTAATGGTGGTCATACGTGTACTCTGCTGGGATGAAAGCATACCTTTAAAGAGGGTGGAATTTCTCGAACTGGAAGGTAAAGAACATATGTTCTTTGTTCAAATCTTCACTTTCAAGTGGATGGAATATTATGTTTTTGTATTACCAGAGATTAATTCTTAGCTTAGTTGATGGAGATTTCTCCCAGCTAGATTCTGAATGAATTTTGAATAAAATTCACCTATTTGAACAAAACTTAGTTCTAGAGAGATTGCCACTTATCCAAGTTGACAGAATCATCTAGAGTTGAGACTTTGGATCATGTTTCATATTCGGGTGAAGTTTGTTTTATTGAGCAGTATTTGGGTGCTTAATAAAAATGTAAATATTTGTGTCCCACTCCTTTTGCAAGAGAGGGCAGTGAGTGGTGCTGGTAATCTACATTTTAAATCGGTTCCTCAGTTAACTGTTAGGCAGGATAAATTTTGAGAACTACTTTTAAAGAACAACTATTCAAAGTTTTTGAACATGGTATTTTAGGAAAATTATTGTGATATTGGTTTTTGGGAAAAATTGGTAGTGGAGAGATACTTGAGTGATAGAGATCAATTATTATAGTACTGGATAAATGCAGGTATAAGCAATAAAGACTTTAATTAGGATGTCATCAGTAAGACCAGAAAGGCAGGGAAATTTTGAAAAATTTGGACCTGGTAGTCAGATATGGGACCAGGAGAATGGAAACTTAAAGAGTAAATCCAAAATTTTAAGCAAGAGCAGTACTTTTCAATCTTTTTTGTTGTGGGAAGATACATTTATTAATTTTTATAATATAACTATATGATAAAAGATAAACATATCTGTATATTTATTAATGAAAATGTATTTTGTTAAGAGAATTAACACAGTAGTGGAAAAACAATACTGAAAGAAGGAAGAATGATGTAATATACACGCATGTATGGAACATTATGATTTTGTATTACCAGAGATTAATTCATAGCATAGTAGATAGAGATTTCTTCCTTATAGATTCTGAATGAATTCTGAATAAAATTAACCTTATTTGAATTATTTAATTTTACCCTCTTTATGCTGTGTTGTGGGAAGTTGGGGACCCCAAACGGAGGGACCGGCTGAAGCCACGGCAGAATAACATAAATTGTGAAGATTTCATGGACATTTATTAGTTCCCCAGATAAATACTTTTATAATTTCTTGTGCCTGTCTTTACTGCAATCTTTGAACATAAATTGTGAAGATTTCATGGGCATTTATCACTTCCCTAATCAATACTCTTATAATTTCCTATGCCTGTCTTTACTTTAATCTCTTAATCCTGTCATCTTCGTAAGCTGAGGATGTATGTCCCCTCAGGACCCTGTTATGATTGCGTTATCTGTACAAATTGTTTGTAAAACATGTGTGTTTGAACAAGATGAAATCTGGGCACCTTGAAAAAGAACAGGTAACAATGATTTTCAGGAAACAAGGGAGATAACCATAAGGTCTGACTGCCTGCAGGGCCGGGCAGAACAGAGTCATATTTCTCTTCTTGCAGAGAGTGAATAGGAGAAATATCGCTGAATTCTTTTCCCAGCAAGGAATAACCCTGGGAAGGGAATGCATTCCCAGGGGAAGGTCTCTAAAATGGCCACTCTGGAAGTGTCTGTCTATTGGGGTTGAAGATAAGGGATGAAATACGCCCTGGTCTCCTGCAGCGCCCTCAGGCTTGCTAGGATTAGGAAATTCCAGCCTGGTGAATTCTAGTCAGATTGGTTGTCTGCTCTCAAACCCTGTTTCCTCTTAAGACATTTATCGATGACAATGCATGCCCAGTGGGACATGGAACCTCATCAGTAATTCTAATTTTGCCCTGGCCTTGTGATCTTGCTCTCCCATTTGCCTTGTGATATTGTATTGCCTTTTGAAGCATGTGATCTCTGTGACCCACTCCCTATTCGTACACTCCCTCCCCTTTTGAAATTCCTAATAAAAACTTGCTGGTTTTGCGGCTCGGGGGCATCACGGAATCTGCCGATATGTGATGTCACCCCCAGAGGCCCAGCTGTAAAATTTCTCTCTTTTGTACTCTTTCTCTTTATTTCTCAGACCGGCTGACACTTAGGGAAAATAGAAAAGAACATACGTTGAAATATTGGGTGCTGGTTTCCCCAATAATGCTGTATTTTATCTTTGTGTTTTAAATTGTTACAGATAATGGTGACTTCAAAAGTAAAAGTAGTTTCTGGGATTGGTGGATTCTCTGCATGCATAAATGTTTAAAAAACACATCAGCTCTTGAATTTTCTGCTTCAGTTTAATCTTACTTATTGTTTAAAACACCAATGTATTTTTCTGTATTTTAATCAAGATTTAGTTAGATTTAACAAGTGTTTAAATTTGAAAAACATGTAAGTCATATAGGATATACAGAAGAAAATGTAAAATATGGAGTCTTCTTTATGACCTGAAAAGACCAAATATTTTATCTTTTTTAAATATGAATTTTGACTTTCTAACACTGAACATTTACTATCATCTAATTAGCTGGATAGTTCTCGAACATATTCTCTAGATGAATTTTGTGAAGAGCAGTTACAGCAAGCTACCCAGGCATTGAAACAACTTGAGGACATCAGGAATAAAGCAATTTCAGAGATGAAAAGTACTTTTCTAAAGGTAATTCTTTAATTATATCATATTTATCAAAGTTGCAATTTACTAGCTGAAGCAATTGATCCAAATTGCATCCCTGGAAAAAGTATCTGAAATGGAAAGGTAAGGAACAAAGGTGGTTAATTAACCAACTAACTGGTACTATGTATTTACTATATACAAGAATTTTTCCAGGTATGATATAAAATGCAAATAAATATATATTTATATATATGTGAATGCATATATGTGTATATCTATATACAACTTATGAAATTTAATATATTTAAATGCTAAGGATGATGATTCTCAAACTTTAGTGGCCAAGAGAATCACCTAGAAGGCCTGATAAAACAAGAGATTTCTGTTTCAGTAGGCACAGCCTGAGGATGTACATTTCTTTTTTCTTTTTTTTTTTTTATACTTTAAGTTCTGGGATACATGTGCAGAATGTACAGGTTTGTTACATGGGTATACATGTGCTATGGTGGTTTGCTGCACCCATCAACCCATCATTTACATTCGGTATTTCTCCTAATGCTATCCCTCCCCTTACCCCCAACCCCGCGACATGCCCCAGTGTATGATGTTCCCCTCCCTGTGCCCATATGTTCTCATTGTTCATCTCCAACTTATGAGTGAGAACATGCAGTGTTTGTTTTTCTGTTCCTGTGTTAGTTTGCTGAGAATGATGGTTTCCAGCTTCATCGGCATCCCTGCAAAGGACATGAACTCATTCTTTTTTATGGTTGCGTAGTATTCCATGGTGTATATGTGCCACATTTTCTTTATCCAGTCTAACATTAATGGGCATTTGGATTGGTTCCAAGTATTTGCTATTGTGAATAGTGCTGCAATAAACATACGTGTGCATGAGTCTTTATAGTAGAATGATTTATAATCCTTTGGGTATATACACAGTAATGGGATTGTTGAGTCAAATGGTATTTCTAGTTCTAGATCCCTACTATCTTCCACAATGTTCAAACTAATTTACACCCCAACAACAGTGTAGAAGCGTTCCTATTTCTCTATAGCATCTGTTTTTTCCTGACTTTTTTTTTTTTTTTTTTTTTTTGTATTTTTAGTAGAGACAGGGTTTCACTGTGTTAGCCAGGATTGTCTTGATCTCCTGACCTCGTGATTCACCCACCTTGGCCTCCCAAAGTGCTGGGATTACAGGCATGAGCCACCGCGCCTGGCCGTTTCCTGACTTTTTAATGATCGCCCTTCTAACTGGCATGAGATGGTATCTCATTGTGGTTTTGATTTGCATTTCTTTCATGACCAGTGATGATGAGCTGTTTTTTTTCATATGTTTGTTGGCCACATGAATGTCTTCTTTTGAAAAGTGTCTGTTCATATCCTTTTTTGGCCACATGAATGTCTTCTTTTGAAAAGTGTTTGTTCATATCCTTTGCCCACTTTTTAATGGGGTTGTTTTTTCTCGTAAATTTGTTTAAGTTCTTTGTAGATTCTGGATATTAGCCCTTTGTCAGATGGATAGATTGTAAAAATTTTCTCCCATTCTGTAGGTTGCATGTTCACTCTGATGGTAGTTTCTTTTGCTGTGCAGAAGCTCTTTAGTTTAATTAGATCCCATTTGTCAATTTTGGCTTTTGTTGCCATTGCTTTTGGTGTTTTAGTCATGAAGTCTTTGCCCATGCCTATGTCCTGGTATTACCTAGGTTTTCTTCTAGGGTTTTTATGGTTTTAGGTCTTACATTTAAGCCTTTAATCTATCTTGAGTTAATTTTTGTATAAGGTGTAAGGAAGGGGTCCAGTTTCAGTTTTCTGCATATGGCTAGCCAGTTTTCCCAACACTTTTAGTTAAATAGGGAATCCTTTCCCCATTTCTTGTTTTTGTCAGGTTTTTCAAAGATCAGATGGTTGTAGATGTGTGATGTTACTTCTGAGGCCTCTGTTCTGTTCCATTGGTCTATATATCTGTTTTGGTACCAGTACCATGCTGTTTTGGTTACTGCAGCCTTGTAATATAGTTTGAAGTCAGGTAGCATAATGCCTCCAGCTTTGTTCTTTTTGCTTAGGATTGTCTTGGCTATAAAGGCTCTTTTTTGGTTCCATATTAAATTTAAAGTAGTTTTTTCTAATTACGTGAAGAAAGTCAATGGTAGCTTGATGGGAATAGCATTGAATCTATAAATTACTTTGGGAAGTATGACCATTTTCACATTATTGATTCTTCCTATCCATGAGCATGGAATGTTTTTCCATTTGTTTGTGTCCTCTCTTATTTCCTTGAACAGTTGTTTGTAGTTCTCCTTGAAGAGGTCCTTCACATCTCTTGTAAGTTGTATTTTATTCTCTTTGTAGCAATTTTGAATGGGAGTTTGCTCATGATTAGGTTCTCTGTTTGTCTATTATAGGTGTATAGGAACGCTTGTGATTTTTGCACATTGATTTTGTATCCTGAGACTTTGCTGAAGTTGCTTATCAGGTTAAGGAGTTTTTGGACTGAAATGATGGGGTTTTCTAAATATACGATCATGTCATCTGCAAAGAGAGTTAATTTGACTTCCTCTCTTCCTATTTGAATACGTTTCTTTCTTTCTGTTGCCTGATTGCCCTAGCCAGAACTTCCAATATTATGTTGAATAGGAGTGGTGAAAGAGGGCATCCTTGTCTTGTGCCAGTTTTCAAAGGGAATGCTTCCAGCTTTTGCCTGTTCAGTATAATATTGACTGTGGGTTTGTCATAAATAGCTCTTATAATTTTGAGATCTGTTCCATCAATACCTAGTTTATTGAGAGTTTTTAGCATGAAGGGGTGTTTAATTTTATCAAAGGCCTTTTCTGCATCTATTGAGATAATCATGTGGATTTCATCATTGGTTCTGTTTATGTGATGGACTACGTGTATTGATTTGTGTATGTTGAACCAGCCTTGCATCCTAGGGATGAACCTGACTTAATCTTGGTGGATAAGCTTTTTAATGTGCTGCTGGATTCGGTTTGCCAATATTTTATTGAGGATTTTTGCATCGATGTTCATCAGGGATATTGGCCTGAAATTTTCTTTTTTTGTTGTGTCTCTACCAGGTTTTGGTATCAGGATGATGCTGGCCTCAGAAAATGAGTTAGGGAGGAGTCTCTCCTTTTCTATTGTTTGGAATAGTTTCAGACAGAATGGTACCAGCTCCTCTTTGTACCTCTGGTAGAATTCAGCTGTGATTCCATCTGGTCCTGGACTTTTTTTGGTTGGTAGGCTATTAATTACTGCCTCAATTTCAGAACTTGTTATTGGTCCATTCAGGGTTTCATCTTCTTCCTGGTTTAGTCTTGGGAAGCTGTATGTGTCCAGGAATTTATCCATTTCCTCTAGATTTTCTATTTTATTTGTATAGAGGTATTTATAGTATTCTCTGATGGTAGTTTGTATTTCTTTGGGATCAGTAGTTGTCTCCCCTTCATCATTTTTTATTGTGTCTACTAGATTCTTCTCTCTTTTCTTCTTTATCAGTCTGGCTAGTGGTCTATCCATTTTGTTAATCTCTTGAAAAAAAAACAGCTCCTGGATTCATTGATTTTTTGAACTTTTTTTGTGTGTCTCTATTTCCTTCAGTTTTGCTCTGATCTTAGTTATTTCTTGTCTTCTGCTAACTTTTGAACTTGTTTGCTCTTGCTTCTCTAGTTCTTTTAATTGTGATGTTAGGGTGTCGATTTTAGATCTTTCCCACTTTCTCCTGTGGGCATTTATTGCTATAAACTTCCCTCTAAACACTGCTTTAGCTGTGTCCCAGTGATTCTGGTATGTTATGTCTTTGTTCTCATTGGTTTCAAAGAACTTAATCATTTCTGCTTTAATTTTGTCATTTACCCAGTAGTCATTCAGAAGCAAGTACTATATGGTGCTGAGAAGAATGTGTATTCTGTTGATTTGGGGTGGAGTGTTGTGTAGATGTCTATTAGGTTTGCTTGGTCCAGAGCTGAGTTCAAGTCCTAAATATCCTTGTTAATTTTCTGTCTCATTGATCTGTTGACAGTGAGGTGTTAAAGTCTCCCACTATTATTGTGTGTGAGTCTAAGCCTCTTTGTAGGTCTCTAAGAACTTGCTTTATGAATCTGGGTGCTCCTGTGTTGGGTGCATATATATTTAGGATAATTAGCTCTTCTTGTTGGGTTGATCCCTTTACCATTATGTAATGCCCTTCTTTGTCTTTTTTTAATCTTTATTGGTTTAAAGACTGTTTTATCAGATGCGAGGAATGCAACCTCTGCTTTTTTTTTTTTTTTTTTTTTTTTTTTTGCTTTCCATTTGCTTGGTACATCTTCCTCCATCCCCTTATTTTGAGCCTATGTGTGTCTTTGCACGTGAGATGTGTCTCCTGAATACAGCACACCGATGGATCTTGACTCTTTATCTGATTTGCCAGTCTGTGTCTTTTAATTGGGGCATTTAGCCTGTTTACATTTAAGGTTAATATTATTATGTGTGAATTTCATCTTGTCATTATGATGCTAGCTGGTTATTTTGCCCATTAGTTGATGCAGTTTCTTCATAGTATCAATGGTCTTTACAATTTGGCATGTTTTTGCAGTGGCTGGTACCGGTTTTTCCTTTCCATATTTAGTGCTTCTTTCAGGAGCTCTTATAAGGCAGGCCTGGTGGTGACAAAATCCCTCAGCATTTGCTTGTCTTTAAAGGATATTATTTCTCCTTCACTTGTGAAGCTTAATTTGGCTGGAAATGAAATTCTGGGTTGAAAATTCTTTTCTTTAAGAATGTTGAATATTGGCCCCCACTCTATTCTAGCATGTAGAGTTTCTGCAAGAGATCCACTGTTAGTCTGATGGGCTTCCCTTTGCAGGTAACTCAACCTTTCTCTCTGGCTGACCTTTACATTTTTTTTTTCATTTTAACCTTGGTGAATCTGATGATTATATGTCTTGGGGTTGCTCTTCTCGAGGAGTATCTCTGTGGTGTTCTCTGTATTTCCTGAATTTGAATATTGGCCTGTCTTGCTAGATTGGGGAAGTTCTCTCTTGCTAGATTGGATAATATCCTGAAGTGTGTTTTCCCACTGGGTTCCGTTCTCCCTGTCACTTTCAGGTACACCAATCAAACGTAGGTTTGGTCTTTTCACATAGTCTCATATTTCTTTGAGACTTTGTTCATTCCTTTTCATTCTTTTTTCTCTAGGCTTGTCTTCACACTTTATTTCATTAAGTTGATCTTCAATCTCTGATATCCTTTTTTCCACTTGATTGCTTTGGCTGTTGATGCTTGTGTATGCTTCAGAAAGTTCTCGTGCTGTGTTTTTCAGCTCCGTCAGGTCATTCATGTTCTTCTGTAAACTGGTTATTCTAGTTAGAAATTCCTCCAGCCTTTTATCAAGGTTCTTACCTTCCTTGCATTGGGTTAGAACATGCTGCTTTAGCTTGGAGGAGTTTGTTATTACCCACCTTCTGAAGCCTACTTCTGTCAGTTCATCAAACTCATTCTCCATCCAGTTTTGTTCCCTTGCTGGTGAGGAGCTGTGATTCTTTGGAGGAGAAGAGGCCTTCTGGTTTTGGGAATTTTCAGCCTTGGTGCGCTGGATTTTCCTCATCTTCGTGGATTTATCTACCTTTGGTCTTTGCTGTTGGTGACCTTCAGATGGAGTTTTTGCATGGTCATTTTTTTTTTGTTGATGTTGATTCCATTGCTTTCTGTTTGTTAGTTTTGCTTCTACCAGTCAGGCCCCTCATCTGTAGGTCTGCTGGAGTTTGCTGGGAGTCCACTTTAGCCCCTGTTTGCCTGGGTATCACCAATGGAGGCTGCAGAACAGCAAAGATTGCTGCCTGCTCCTTCCTCTGGAAGCTTTGTCTCAGGGGGACCCACCAGATACCAGCCGGAGCTCTCCTGTATGAGGTGTCTGTCGACCTCTACTGGGAGGTGTTTCCCAGTCAGGAGGCACGGGGGTCAGGGACCCACTTGAGGAGGCAGTCAGTCCTTTAGCACTGTGCTGGGAGATCTGTTACTCTCTTCAGACCTGGCAGGCAGGAATGTTTAAGTCTGCTGAAGCTCTCCCACAGCCACCCCTTTCCCCAGGTGCTCTGTGCCAAGGAGATGGGAGTTTTATCTGTAAGCCCCTGACTGGGGCTGCTGCCTTTCTTTCAGAGATGCCCTACCCAGAGAGGAGGAATCTAGAGAAGCAGTCTAGCTACAGTGGCTTTCAGGTGCTGTGGTAGGGTCTGCCCAGTCCAAACTTCCCAGGGGCTTTGTTTACACTGTGAGGGGAAAATTGCCTACTCAAGCCTCAGTAATGGTGGATGCCCCTTTCCCCACCAAGCTTGAGCATCCCAGGTCGACTTCAGACTGCTGTGCTGGTAGCGAGAATTTCAACCCAGTGGATCTTAGCTTGCTGGGCTCCTTGGGGGTGGGATCTGTTGAGCAAGACCACTTGGCTTCCTGGCTACATCCCCCTTTCTAGGGGAGTGAATGGTTCTGTCTCACTGGTGTTCCAGGTGCCACTGGGGTATGAAAAAAACTCCTGCAGCTAGCTCGGATTTTTGCCATACAAGCCATCCAGTTTTGTGTTTGAAACCCAGGGCCCTTGTGGTGTAGGCACCTGAGGGAATTTCCTGGTCTGTGGGTTGCCAAGACCATGGGAAAAGTGTAGCATCTGGGCTGGATAGTCTTGTCCCTCATGGCATAGTCCCTCATGGCTTCCTTTGGCTAGCGGAGGGAGTTCCCTGACCTCTTGCACTTCCTGGGTGAGGCGACGCCCCACCCTACTTTGGCTTGCCCTCTTTGGGCTGCACCCACTGTCTAACCAGTCCCAATGAGATGAACCAGGTACCTCAGTTGGAAATGCAGAAATCACCCACTTCCTGTGTTGGTCTTGCTGGGAGCTGCAGACTGGAGCTGTTTCTATTTGGCCATCTTTCCTCACTAGTTTTTTTTTTTTAATGTAGGCACTTATTGCTATAAATTTGCCTCTTAGTATTGCTTTTGCCGTGTCCTATAGGTTTTGATATATTATGTTTCAATTTTCATTTGTTCAAAGAATTTCAAAATTTCATTCTTAGTTTCTTCACCCATTTGTTGTTCAGGAACATGTTTAATTTTCATGTATTTGTATAGCTTCAGCTGTTTCTCTTGTTATTGATGTCTAGCTCTATTCCCCTGTGCTCAGATAAGATACTTGATATGATTTTAATTTCTGAAATGTGTTGAGACTTGTGTTCTAAAATATGGTCAATCATGGAGAATGTTCCATGTGCTGATGAAAATAATGTGTATTCTGCAGCTGTTGGGCAAAATGTTTTGTAAATGTTTATGAGGTCCATTTAGTTTATTGTTTAGTTCAAATCTGTTGTTTCTTTGTTGGGCTTCTGTCTAGATTATCTATTTGATGCTGAGAGTGGAATGTTGAAGTCTCAAAGTATTATTATATTAGGGTCTATCTCTTCCTTTAGATCTGACAATATTTGCTTTATATATCTGGATAGTCTAGTGATGTGTGCATATATATTTACAATTGTTATATTATCTTGCTGAACTGATTCCTTTATTATTATATAATGTCCTCCATGTCTATTATTATAGGTTTTCACTTTAAATCTGTTTTGTTGATATAAGCATAGACACTTCTGCTTGATTTCGGTTTTTGTTTACGTGGAGTATCTTTTTTATCTCTTCACTTTCAGTCTGTGCATGTCTTTACAGGTGTGGTAGGTTTCTTGTAGGCAGCATATAGTTGAGTCTTGTATTTTAATCACTCAGCCAGTCCATGTCTTTTAAATGAGAAATGTAATTCATTTACTTTCAAGGTTATTCTTGATAGATGAGGACTTACTCCTGTAATTTTAGATTGTTTTCTGGTTGTTCTTTAATATTCTTTGTTTCTTCCTCTCTTATTGTTATTTTTGCAGTTAGGTGGTTTTCCGTAGTGATAAGGTTTGATTGATTTGCCTCTCTCCTTTGTATATCAGCTCTACTAGTGAGTTTTATAGTTTTGCATGTTTGCACGATGGTGGTTATCATCTTTTCACTTCCAGCTTTAAGACTCTCCTGAGTATTTCTTGTAAGTCCATTCTAGAGGTGACGAACTTATTCTGTTTGGGAAATGTGTGAGAGAAAAAAGATACACACACAATACCTTTAAGGGTAAACAACGTTTACCCCATGTAAATGGCAATGCAGATGTAATAAGCAAATGTTATAGTAAGCAAATGATATACTAATAATCAAATGATATAATAAGCAGATTGATATAATAAGCAAATTGCAATGGGAAGAGGAGAAGGAAAAGATATTTACACTCACCAGACTATGGAGGATTCACCACCAGAGTGGGAAGCAACAGCCTGGGCTCCAGAGGTGGATACCACACTCACCAGACTATGGAGGGTTTAACACCAGAGTGGGAAGCAACAGCCTGGGTTCCAGAGTCGGCCACTCATCTGTGCACAGACAAGGAGAGGTCTCATGTAGCTTTGGCGCAGTCTGGGACTGTAGCTCTTATTGTAATGAATTTTTTGGCATGATGTCCACTCACGAGGGCCCTTCAGGACAGGGCTTAAGGAACACAAAAAGGTCAACTTTTTTTGGTGATTGTCTATTGTTTTTCAATAACTAATGTATAGGCTCTGAAACAGTGCTGGATGAATACCTCAAGGGGCTCACACAACCTGTTCTGGGACTTGGTGACCATTGTCCCTTGGTGTCCATGTTCAATTGAGTTCAGATTTAACTTTTTAAGTTTAATTTAACTTTTCCTCCTCAGAATTCCCTCAGTTTTTGCTTATCTGTAAAAGATTCTATTTATTCTTCATTTCAGAAGAATTTCTCTGCTGGGAATAATATTCTTGGCTGATAGTTTATTTCTTTCAATATTTTGTATATATCATTCCAATGTCTCCTGGCCTGTAAAGTTTCTGCTGAGAAATCTGCTTATCTAATGGAAATTCCCTTATATGTGACTTGACATTCTTGATACTTTTAAAATTCTTTCTTTCTCTTTGACTTTGTCAATTTGACTATAATGTGCCCCAGAGAGGACATGTTTGAGTTTAATCTCTTTGGGTTTGTTTAGCTTATTAGACCTGGATGTTCATTTCTCTTCCAAGACATGGGAAATTTTTAGCTATTATTTCATTAAACATATTTTTCTTGTTTTTCTCTTCTCTTTCTGCAACAACCATAATCTGAATATTTGTCACTTAATGGTGTTCCATAAATCCTGTGAGTTTTCTTCACTGTTTTTTTTCTTTTTCTTTTCTTTTTTTTTGTCTGCCTGTGTTATTTCAAATGCCCGGTCTTCAGGTTCAGAAATTTTCTTCTGCTTGGTCTAGTCTGTTGCTGAAGGTCTCAGTTGCATTTTTAAATTTCCTTCATTAAATTTTTCAGTTCTAGGATTTCTATTTGGTTCTTTTCTATGATATATATCTTTATTTAATTTTTCATTCAGTTTATGAATTGTTTTCCTGGTCTCATTGAATTGTCTATCTGTATTCTCATATATTTCACTGAATTTCCCTAAGATTAATATTTTGAATTATTTTTCTGGCATCTTATACATTTCTTTATGACTGGGGCCTGTTACTACAGTATTATTGTTTTCATTTGGAGGTGACATAGTTTCTTGTTTTTCAAGATGACATTCAGTATGTTGGAGGATGATCCCTTTATGTAGGAACACACAGATATTTATTAGTATATACTTCCTTGTTTGATTTCCAAAACTTAAGTTATCTGCTTATAAGTGAGACACCAAACTTTATAGGCTTCAGCACATATAAGTAGTCTTCTTTTTGTCTAATGTTTAAATACAGTATGAGCATGTAGTAAAAGTTGTAATGAAAGTTGTTGATAAAGTTAAATTCCAATATATATTAATCAGGCTAATAAAAATACTGTAGACTTTGCTGGTCTGCTGTTGCCAGCAGCCACTGCCATTGTGCTTTCTCATGAGGCTCCTGCTACCCCACTGGAGCACTTTTGCTGGCAGCCCCCTGCCAGAATGTGTTCACTCATGGCACCCCTGCTGCCCCTACCAGAGTACTTCCCACCTGGGGTGCTCATGCTTCCCCCATTGGAACACTTTTGCTGACAGCCTCCCACCAGAGCATGGTCACTAAGGACTCCACCACTGCCACATTGGAGTGTTTCCCACCGATGGTCACCCTGCAACCCCTAGCGCAGTGCTATTGCCTGCAGTCTGGGAGCACCTTGGCCTCTCCAGCCCAGCTGGGGCTTGCCCATGAGTGATCAGAGCACAAAGCTATGGGCCCAGTCCTAGCCACCCAAGGTTAAAGCATGCTGCCCAGGAGTGTTGAAGTGAGAGTTGGCCCACTGAAAGCATTCAGAAACAAAGCCTTTCAACTTTACCCAACTTGCACCACAGCCAAATACTTGAGGGCAATAAAGAACATAAAAACAAAGCCCAGTCCAAAGAACAACAACTTCAAAGGATAAAGGAACATCAGCTTTCACAGATCAGAAACAGACAGTGTAAGAACTCTGCAACTCTAAAAGCCAGAGTGTCTTCTTACCTCCAAATAATCACACTAGCTCTCCAGGAAAGGTTCTTAACCACGTTGAAATTGCTGTAATGTCACACATTTAATTCAGAATCTGAATGGCAAGGAAGCTCATCGAGGTACAAGAGAAGGTCAAAACCAAATCCAAGGAAAACAGTAAAACAATCCAAGAGTTGAAGGACAACCTAACCATTTTAAGAAAGAACCAAACTGAATTTCGGGATATGCAAAATTAACTACAAGAATTTCAAAATATAATTGGAGGCATTAGACCAAGCTGAGGAAGGAATCTCAGAGCTGGAAGATTGCTCACTTGAAGCAATGAAAAATAAAGAAAAAAGAAGTTTAAAAATGAACACAACAGTTGAGAAATACGGGATTCTGTAAAGAGATCAAACAGCAAAGGTTCTTAACCAGATTGAGTTTCCTTAAAGAGGAGAGCAAGCCACTTTGGAAACATATTTGAGGATATAGTCCATGACAATTTTGAAATCTTGCTAGAGAGGTCAACTTGCAAATTCAAGAAATTCAGAGAACTCCTGTGTGAAGGAGTTGATCATCCCCAAGTTAATCATCCCCAAGACACATAGTCATCAAATTCTCCAAGGTCAACATGAAAGAAAAAATCTTAAAGGGAGTTAGAGAGAAGGGCAGATCACTGGCAAAGGGAACCCCTTCTGGCTAACAGCAGTCCTTTTAGCAGAAACCTTACAAGTCTACAGAGATTAGAGGCCTATTTTTAACATCCTTAAAGGAAAGAAATTCCAACCAAAAATGTCATATCCCACCAAACTAAGCTTCATAAGCAAAGGAGAAATGAAATCCTTGTCAGAGAAGCAAATGGTAAGGAAATTTGTTGCCACTAGACCTACCTTACAAGAGGTCCTAAAGGGAGTGCTAAACATGGAAATGAAAGAACATTCCCTGCCACCACAAAAACACGCTTGAGTACATAAACACACTTAAGTACATAGGCCATTGACATTTTAACACAACTGTAAAATTAGGTCTACATAACAACAAGCTAATAACACAGTGACAAGATCAAATCCTCACATGTTAATATTGACCTTGAATGTAAATGGGCTAAATGCCCCACTTTAAAGGCCAACTGTGACAAACTGGATAAAGAAGCAAGACCCAACTGTCTGCTGTCTCTAAGAGACCCATCTCACAAGTAACAACACCCATAGACTCAAAGTAAAGGGTTAGAGAAAGACCTGTCTGGCAAATGGAAAACAAAAAAAAAAGAGCAGAGGTTGCTATTCTTATATCAGCTAAAACAGACCTTAAACAAACAATGATCAAAAAGGACAAAGAAGGCCATTACATAACAATATAGAGTTCAGTACTAAAAGACTTAAATATTCTAAATATATGCACACCCAATATTGGAGCATCTAGATTCATTAAACAAGTACTGAGAGTCCTACAAAGAGTTTTAGACAACCACGCAATAATAGTGGTGGACTTCAACACCCCAATGACAGCATTAGACACATTGTTGAGGCAGAAAACTACAAAACTATTCAGGACTTAAACTTGATACTTGACCAGTTGGATCTAACAGACACCTACAGAACACTATGCCTAACAACAGAGTATACATTCTTCTCGTCAGCACATGGCACATACTCTAAGATTGACCACATATTTGTCCATAAAGTAAGTCTCAACTAAATCACAAAAATCAAAACCATAACAACCACACTGTTGGACCACAGCTCAAGCACAACCAGCTTCTGAGTGACTTTTGGTTAAAGAATAAAATTAAGGCAGAAATTTAAAAAAATTATTTGAAACTAATAACAGACACAACATACCAGAATCTTCAGGACACAACTAAAGAAGGATGAAGAGGAAAGTTTATAGTGCTGTACACCTACCTCAAGAAGTTAGAAAGATCTCAAATTAAGACTCTAATTATTGCACCTAGAGGAACCAGAAAAACAAGAGAAAACAAATCCCAAAGCCAGCAGAAAAAAAGAAATTACAAAAATTAGAGCAGAACTGAACAAAACTGAGGCATGAAAATCCATACAAAAGATCAGCAAAACCAAAAGTTGATTCTTCAGAAGATTAAACAAGTTTGATAGCCTGGTGCCTAGATTTATAAGGAAAAAAATAAAGAAGACCCAAATACACCCAATCAGAAATGACAAAGGTGGCATCATAACTGACCCCAGAGAAATACAAAAAAAAATCTCAGCCAGGCAAGGTGGCTCATGCTTGTAATCCCAACACTTTGGGAGGCCAAGGAAGGCAGATCACCTGAGGTCAGGAGTTTGAGACCAGCCTGGCCAACATGGTGAAACCTCATCTCTATTAGAAATACAAAAATTAGCCAGGTGTGGTGGCATGTGTCTGTAGTTTCAGCTACTCAGGAGGCTGAGGCAGGAGAATCACTTGAATCTGGGAGGCGGAGGTTGCAGTGAGCCAAGATTGCACCACTGGAATCCAGCCTGGGTGACAGAGCAAGGCTCTGTCTCAAAAAAAAAAAAAAAAAAAACAACTCAAAGGCTACTATAAACACCTCTTTGCATACAAACTAGAAAACCTACAAGAAATTAAATTCCTGGAAACACATAGCCTCCCAAGATTAAACCAGGAAGAAATTGAAATCCTGAACAGACCAATAAAGAGTAATAACAGACCAATTGAATCAGTAATAAAACACCTAAAAACCAATAACAGCCTTGGACCATATGGATTTGATTCTACCAAATACGCAAAGAGCTAGTACCAATCCTACTGAAATTATTTCCAAAAATCAAGGAGGAAGGACTCCTCCGTAACTTATTTTATGAGGCCAGCATCATTCTGATACCAAAACCTGGCAGAGACACAACAAGAAAAGAAAACTTCAGGCCAATATACCTAATGAACACAGACACACAAATTATCAACGTAGTACAGCAAACTGAATCCAGGGAGCAGCACATCAAAAAGTTAATTTACCATGGAGAAGTAGGAAGGTTGGTTTAACATATGCAAATCAATAAGTGTGATTTATTATGTAATCAGAATTAAAAACAAATACCACATGATCATCTCAACAGATGCAGGAAATGCTTTTGATAAAATTCAACATCCCTGCATGTTAAAAACTCTCAACAAGCTGGGCATTGAAGCCACATACCTCAAAATAATCAGAGCCATATATGGCAAGCACACAGTGAACATCATACTGAACAGGCAAAAACTGGAACCATTCCCACTGATAACTGGAACAAGAGAAGGATGCCAACTCTTACCACTCCTGTTAAACACAGTACTGGAAATTCTAGCCAGATCAATTATGCAAGAGAGAGAAGCATAAGGCATCCAGATAGGAAGAGGTCAAACTATCTGTTTGTAGATGATATGATTCTCTATCTAGGAAACCTTATAGTTTCTGTCCAAAAGCTCCTACATCTGATAAAATAACTTAGGAAAGTTTCAGCATATAAAATCAATGTACAAAAATCAGTAGCATTTCTGTACACCAAAAACATCCAAACTGAGAGCCAAATCAATGCCATTCACAATAGCCACAATAAGAATAAAATATCTAGGAATACAGTTAACCAAGGTGGTGATAGATATGTACAATGAGAATTACAAAGCACTGCTGAAAGAAATTAGAGATGACACAAACAAATGGAAAAACATTCCATGCTGATGAATAGGAAAAATCAATATTGTTAAAATGGCCATACTGCCCAAAGCAGTTTACAGACTTGATGCTATTCCTGTCAAATTACCAACATCATTTTTCACAATTCAAAAAAAAAACTATTCTAAAATTTGTGTTGAACCAAAGAACCTGAATTGCCAAAGCAATCCAAAGCAAAAAGAGCAAAGCTGGAGGCATCACATTACCCGACTTCAAACTATACAAGACTACAGTAACCAAACAGCATGGTAAGGGTACAAAAACAGATACATAGACCAATGGAACAAAGTAGAGAACTCAGAAATAAAGCCACACAGTCTACAATGACAACAATGGAGAAAGAACTCCCTTTTCAATAAATGCTTCTGGGATAACTGGCTAGCCATATTCAGAAGATTGAAACTGGATCCCTTCCTGTCACTATATACAAAAATTAACTCAAGATGGATTAAAGACTTAAATGTAAGACCTAAAACAGTACAAACCCTAGAAGAAAACCTAGGAAATACCATTCTGGACATCAACCTTGACAAAGAATTTATGACCTAGTCCCCAAATGCAATTGCAGCAAAAACAAAATTGATAAGTGGGACCTAATGAAACTAAAGGGCTTCTGCATGGCAAGCAAAATTATCAACAGAGTAAACAGACAACTTACAGAATGAGAGAAAATATTCACAATCTGTGCATCTGACAAAGTTCTAACATCCAGAGTCTATAAGGCTCTTTAACACCCCAACAAACAAAAAACCAAATAACTCCACTAAAAAATGGGCAAAGGATATGAACAAATACTTCTCAAAAGAAGACATACATGTAGCCAACAAATATATTAAAAATATGACCACCAATCATTAGAGAAATCCAAATCAAAACCAAAATGAGTTAACATCTTACACCAATCAGAATGGCTGTTATTAAAAAGTCAAAAAACAATAGATGCTGGTGAGGATGTGGCAAAAAGGAAACACCCTGCTGGTAGCAATGTAAATTAGTTCAGCCACTTTGGAAAGCAGTGTGGAGACTTCTCAAAGAACTTAAAAGAGAACTACCATTCAACTCAGCAATCCCTCTACTGGATATATACCCAAAGGAAAATAAATTGTTCTACCAAAAAGACACATTCATGCTTATGTTCATTGCAGCACTATTCACAATAGCAAAGACATGGAATCAACCTAGATGCCCATCATTGGTGGACTGGATAAAGAAAATGTGGTACATATACACTATGGAATACCACCCAGCCATGAAAAGAACGATATCATGTCCTTTGCAGCAGCATGATGCAGCTGGAGGTCATTATTTTAAGCAAACTGACACAGGAACAGAAACCAAATACCACATATCTTCACATATAAGTGGGAGATAAACATAGTTACACATGGGCAGGAAGATGGGAACAACAGACACTGGAGACTGCTTGAGGGAGGAGGGTGAGGGGAAGGTATGGGTTAAAAGGCAACCTATTGTTGACTATGCTCACTACCCATGTGATGGGATAATTCATACCCCAAGACTCAGCAATACACAATTTAACCGTGTAACAAACCTGCATATGTACCCTCAGAACCTAAAATAAAAGTAGAAGAAAAAACAAAGAAACAAATAAAAACAAAACGAACAAGTAAAAACACAATGTAATTTTCATATTGTTAAATTTAGATCTACTATTATTTGTTTTTGGTTAGTCTCCTCTGTCTTTTTTTTTTTTCCTCTGTCCTTCCTCTTCTGGCTTCTTTAGTATTACTTAAATAATTTTTAGAATTCTATTTTAATTTATCTGTTGCTTTTTAGGCCTACCCTTTAAATCATTTTTTGCTTGAGGTATTAAAATATCAATTCTTAACATTCACATCTAATTGAAGTTGATAAAAAAAACTAAACTAGAAATCATGCTATATTAACAAAGAAAATCAATACTTGTTTCTCAATTGTTTTTTAAATTGTAGGTTGCAGAAAAGAATGAAATCAAAGAGTATTTTGAGTCAAAACTCTCTGAAGATGACACAACACATTTCAAGCTGCCTAAATATAGACGTTTATTAGAAACATTTTTCAAGTTTGTAATGCTGGTTGACTACATATTTCAGGAACTCATTCGTCAACTTATGAACACTGCAGTCACACTACTTTTGGAATTATTTAATGGTTCTGCTGGAATGCCATTTTCAGTGGAAAAAAAGAATGAAAATCTTATCAGGTAAATTACTTTTTTGAAGTCAAAAAGTAACTTACAATTATAATATTTTAACATTGCCACATATGGAGGAAATATTCAATAATTTAAGCTAGAGTTTGAAAATTCTCCTTGTGGCAGAGTACATGTACTCATTTTTGCTATTAACAGAACTTATTATTTGGTAATACCTTACTTAATATCGGTGCTATAGGATGCGCAGTAAAATTTGAATTTCACATAAATGGTAAATAATTTTAGTATACTTCAAGTATTACCTATGTTAAAATTATTGTTTATCTGAAATTCAGATTTCTCTGATAATTTAGCAAATATATTTTTTATTTGTTATATCTGGCAATTCTGTGCCTAAGTATACTCTGTCTTCCAGGTTCAGAGTTAGTTTTTAAAGATATGTGAGAATTCTGGAAGGAGCTACAAAGTCCAATTGGAATTTGAGTCAATTCCAAGAAATATCTGTTGAATATTTTCCCAATGAAAAAACTATCTGAAAAACATTTTTACCTTCTAAACACTACTGTTAAAAACAAAGCATTTTTCTTATTTTCCACAACTGGATATATCTACTGTAACTGGTGAAACAGGAATATTAATTGAAATGATGGCATACTTTGTAGCTGGTAAACAGGACTATGAATTGAAATGTTGGCATACTTTAATTTCTATTTATCAAAATTTAATAATATTTTAGGCTAATTAAAGTTTTATAACTAGGTAGCTGAAAATATATCAATTCAAAAAATTTTGAAGATTATTCAAGATAATATTTTGTTTTTCTAATTATTACTGAATCTACAGAGCTAACATCACTTACCTAAGGACTTATAACTGGTTTGAGTCAGTGCCAGGATTCTAACCTATGTAAGAACACAACTATTTAGTGATAGTGCATTATAATTTTATTTCCTTTAAAACATTGCGTGTGTGTGTTTAGGAAAGGTCTTTATATTCTTAACATAGTTTTTGAAAGATATTATTATAATTAATTCATCATATTATAGCAAATTTGGAAAACAAATATCACCCTTAATTCTGTCACTGAATTACAACATCTTATCATTTTTATATGATTTTTGTAGTCTTTTCCTAAATGTTTTTCCATTGTTGTAATCCTAGTATACTAATTTATAGCTCGTTTTTTAAACACAATGTCTCCTGTATGCATTTTTTATGTTACAGGAATAATATATATAGGTCAGGCACAGTGGCTCACACCTGTAATCACAACACTTTGGGAGACCAATGAGGATGTATTACTTGAGTCCAGGAGTTTAAGATCAGCCTAGGCAACATGGCGAGACCCTGTCTCCACAAAAAATACAAAAATTAGCTGTGCACGATGGCACTGGCACACACCTACTTGGGAGGCTGATGTGGGAGGATCACTTGAGCCTGGGAGGTTGAGGCTTCAGTGAGCTGTGATCATGCCACTCCACTCCAGCCTGGTCAACAGAGTGAGATCTTATCTCAAATATATATATATATATATGTTTTGTGGAGTCAGACCACATGGGTTTTAATCTCTGATTTGACTCTTGCTAGTTTTACTTAGTTGAGCTATTAACCCAACAGAGGTTGAATAAATTTGGCTGGGCATGGTGGTTCACACCTGTAATCCCAACACTTTGGGAGGCTGAGGTGGGAGGATCACTTGAGTCCAGGAGTTCAAGACCAGTCTGGGCAACAAAGCGAAACCCCATCTCTACAAAAACAACAACAACAACAACATCAAAACTAAGAAAACTAGCCAGGCATGATGCTGCATGCCTGTAGTCCCAGCTCCTCGGGAGGCTGAGGTGGGAGGATCACTTGAGCCCAGGAGGTTGAGACTGCAGTGATCACTAAATATATAAATAAATAAATTCTTTAGACTTCAATTTTCTCATCTATAAAATGAAGATAACAGTAATACCTATGCCATAATGTTGTTTGAGAATAAACACAGTAAATGTCTGATAAAAAGCATCAATCATTGTTGAATCTGTTTCCACTGACCTCTTAACAATATTGATTAGTATAATATTTCCATAATGACTAATGATATTGAACATCTTTGCATGTGCTTTTTGGCCATTTATATATGTTCTTTGAGGAAATATCTATTCAAACTCTTTGTTCATTTTTAAATTGTGTTAGTTAATTAATTAATTAATTTAGATGGGGTCTTGTGTTTCTCAGACTTGTCTTGAACTCCTGGGCTCAAGCGATACTCTCACCTCAGCCTCCCACATAGCTGGGACTACAGGTTCATGCTATCATGCCCAACTAAGTTATTTGTCTTTTGATTGCTGAGTTCTAAGAGTTCTTTATTTATTAGATTCTGTGGGTCTTCTTTTCTTTTTTTAATAGTATCCTTTGGAGTAAAAAAGTTTTTAATTTCTAATTTTTATTTAATTTTTAATTTTATTTTTATTTAATTTAACTTGTATTTGATTGATTGTGCTTTAAGTGTATCTAAGAAATCATTGCCTAATCCAAAGTCTTGAAGATTTACTCTTGTTTTTATCTAAGATCTTATAACTTTAGCTCTTGCATTTAGGCTTTGATGCATTTTGAGTTAATTTTTGTAGATGGTATGAGATAGGGTCCAAATTTCTTCTTTTGTATACGAATATCCAGTTGTCCCAGTACTATTTGTTGAAAAGAATAACACTATTTCTTTCTCTATTGAATTGTCTTGGCACCCTCGTTGACAATCAGCTGACCAAAAATGTGTGGGTTTATTTTCAGACCCTCAATTTCATTTCATTGCTCCATGTCTGTCCTTATGCCAGTACCATACTGTCTTGATTACTATAGCTTTGTAGTAAGTTTTGAAATTAGGAATTGGGAATTTTCTAACATTGCTCTTCTTTTTCAACATTGTTTTGGCTATTGTGGGTCCCTTGCATTTTCATATGAATTTTAGAATCAGCTTGACAATTTCTGCAAATATTCAGCTAGAATTTTGATAGAGGCAGCATTAAAACTGGAGATAAATATGAGGAGTATTTTCATTCTAATAGTATAGTCTTCCAGTCCATGAACATGGTCTGTCTTTCCATTTATGTAGGCATTCTTTAATTTCTTTCAATATTTTGTGGTTTTCAGTGTATGAATCATGCATTTTTTTTGGTAAAATTTTTTGTAAGTATTTTATCATTTTTTATGCTGTTGTGAATGGAATTATTTTTAAATTTTATTTTTCGGTTGTTCATTGCCAGCATATTGAAATACAAATGATTTTTGTTTATTGATCTTATGTCCTGCTACTTTGTTGAACTTTTTTTATTATCCCTGATAGGTTTTTACAACTAATTGTTTAGGATTTTCTTTATGCAAAATCATGTCATCTGCAAATAGGATAATTTTACTTCTTTACCAATCTGATACCTTTTATTTCTTTTTATTGCCTAATTCCTCTGGCTAGTAAGTACTTCAATACAGTGTTGATTAGGAATGGTGAAAGCGAACATCCCTGTCTTGTTCCAGAGCTCAGGAGGAAAACATACAGTCTTTCATCATTAAGTATGATGTGCCTGTGGGTTTTTCACAGATGCTTCCTATCAAGTTGAGGAAGTTCCTGTCTGTATTAGTTTGTTGTCATATTGTCATAAAAAACTACCTGAGACTAGGTAATTTATAATGAGAAGAGGTCTGATTGGCTCATGGTTCCACAGTCTATACAGGAAGCATGTCTGGGAGGCCTCAGGAAACTTACAATAATGGCAGAAGGTGAAGAGGGAAGCAGGCATGTTTTACATGGCTGGATCAGGAGGAAGAGATGTAGGGGGAGGTGCTATACACTCTTTAAAACAACCAGGTCTCATGAGAACTTACTATCATGAAAACAGCACAGAGGAAATCTTTCCCCTTAATCCAGTCACCTTCCACCAGACCCCTCCTTCAACACTGGGAATTACAATTCGGCATGAGATTTGGTTGAAGACACAAATCCAAACCATATCACCATCTATCTTTCTTGAATGTTTTTGTCATGAAATAGTGTTGGATTTTGTCAAATGCTTTTTTTTTTCTGTCTGTTGAGATGACCGTATGTCTTTTACTTTATTAATGTAGCATATTACATTACATACATACATTTTCATAAATGGAACCAATCTTGCATTCTTGGGATAAATCCCACTTAATTTTAGTTTATTATCCTTTGTATATGCTGCTGGATTCAGTCTGGTATTATTTTGTTGAAAATGTTCACATCTATATTCGTAAAGGACATTGGTCTGTAGTTTTCTTGTGATGTGTTTGTCTGGTTTTGGATTCAGGATAAGACTCACCTCATAGAATGAATTGGGTAGCATTATTACCACCTATCTTCTGAAAATTTTATGAAGGATCGGTGTTAATTCTTCCTGAAATGTTTAAAAGATTCATCTGTGAAGTCTGGGCCTCAGCTTTTGTGTGTGTGTGGGATGTATTAAAATTACTAATTAAATCTCTTTACTTGTTATAGATTTGTTTAGATTTTCTATTTATTCTTGATACAGTTTTGGTAATTTATGTCTTTCTAGGATTTTGTCCATTTTATCTAACTTATTTAAACTGTTGGTATACAGTTGTTTATAGTATTCACTTATAATTGTTTTGATTTCTGTAAGGTCAATAATGATATCTTCTCTATCATTACAGATTTTAGTAATTTGAGGCTTTTCTCTTATTTTCTTAGTCTAGTTAAACATTTGTTAATTTTGTTGATCTTTTTAAAAACCAGCTTTTGGTTTTATTGATTTTCTTGTCAATTAAAAAAAATCCCAAACAAGTTAATTTTAAAATGGGTGAAAGATCTAAGCAGACATTTCATCAAAGAAGAAACAGATTGCAAATAAATGTTTTAAAGATGCTATAAATCATTAGACATTAAAGAAATACAAATTAAAATCACAATGAGACACTTTTACATACCTACTAGAATGGCTAAAACAATACCAACAATACAAAGTGCTCATGAGGATGAGGAGCAACTGGAACTCTAGTACATGGCTGGTGGGAATGCAAAAGGATACAGATGCTCTGGATAACAATTGGGCAATTTCTTATAAAGATAAACATAAACTTACCCTATAATGTAGCAAGCCTCCTCCTAGCCATTTACCGCAAAAAGCAGAAAACATTTTTCTATGGAGAAAAACCATATGTAAATATTTATAATGGCTTTATTCATAATTGTTCAAATCTGGAAATAATTTAAATATCTATAAGTGGATAGCCATGAAATGCAGTACTTCTCAGCAATAAAAATGAGTGAAATATTATACTTACTTATGCAACACGAATAAATCTCAAATGTTAAGTGAAGGAAGCCAGACTCAAAACACTATATATTATATGATTCCATTTATATGACATTTTGGCAAACCAAAACTGGAAGGGCAGAAATCAAGTCAGTGATTGCCATGGGCTAGGTGGGGGTGAGAGGAACCTTCTATAAAGGGGCCTGATACAATGTTTTAGATGACAGAAATGTACTACATTTAGTCATTGTGATTGTAGTGGTTGTTAACTGTGTGTGATTGTCAAAATTCATTAGAACTGCATACCTGAGAAGCATGAATTTTACTGGATATAAATTATACCTCAATAAACCTGACATTAAAAATAAAGTATTATTTATTTAGCACATGTAACTTGTCAGATACTTTGTTAGATCCTGGACATACAATGCTGAGCAAAATAGACAGTTTTTGCTCTAATGTAGTTTACAGTCTAGAGGAAGGGAGAGATATTAATCTACTGACCACACAAATATATTTAACATTACAATAAATGCTACAAAGAAGAAGTTTGGGGTATTGTGAGACTGAATCTGGTCTGGGAGAAGTTTCGTTGATAGGAGTTAATGAGGAAATCAAGAAGAAAGGGTGGTCAAGTCATCCCTAAAAAGTGTATCATATACCCTACAGAACAAGAAGCATATTTGAAAAAGTGAGAAGAAGACAGTGTGACAACAGTAAAGTGATAAGAAAATAGCATAAGACATAATGTGATTGGTCAAACCTATAAATAATAAATGTCTTTTCTACCATCCTAAAAGTTTCTGAAAAATTTTGTTATAAAATCAACTAATCCTAAATCATCATTGCAACCCATGGATACCAAGTGGAGAGTGTTTCAAAAAGTAAAAGTCTTCATATGTTAGGTGATAAAACAGATCTCAATAAACTTAAAATGATTAAAATACAAAGTATGTTCTCCAACCAACATAAATTAGAATTAGAAATCAATAACAGAAGAAAGTTTGGGAAAGGTCACAAATATATGGAAATTAAATAACATACTCCTAAATAACCAATGAGTCAAAGCAGAAATCACAAGGGAAATTAGAATAAAATACAGTTTTATAAATGAATGAAAATGAAAACACAACATAACAAAACTTACTATAGGCAGCAAAGGCAGTGCTTAGAGGGAATTTATACATGTAAAAACTACATGATATCTGTGTTCTACAAATATTTTATCCCAGTCCATAAATTGTCTTAATTTTCTTAAGTGGCTTTTGATAAACAAGAGTTTTTAATTTTTATGAAGTTCAATTTATCTGTTTTTTCTTTTAAAGGTTTGGGCTTTTGGTTTCCGATCTAAAGCATTGTTTCCTAATGCAACAGCATGATGAATTTTTCCAATATTTTCTTTTAGAAGTTTTATACTTCTGGATATTATATCTGTTATCCTTTTTGAGTTAATTTTTGCAAATGGTGTCAGGTGTGGTTTGAGGTATATATTGTTATATGTTGGTATTTAATCACTCCAGTAGTTTGTTGAAAAGACTAATCTTCCTCCAGACAATTACCCTAACATCTGGTAGAAAATTGATTAATTAAATATATTCATGAGTCTATTTCTGAATGCTTTTTTCTAGTCCAGTGATCTGTGAATCTGTCCTTCCACCAATATCTCACAGTCTGCATAACTATAATTTTATAATAAGTCTTGAAATCAGGTAGTATGTATTCTTCAGCTTTGTTCTTCTTTTTCAAAATTGTTTTAACTATTTTAATTCATTTACTTTTTCATATATATCTTATAATTAACTAGCAGATTTATTCAAAAGGCCTACTGAGATTTTGATTGAGATTGCATTGAATATATAGATCAATCTGGGGAGAATTGACATCTTAACAATATTCAGTCTTTTAAAGCCCTGAACATGGTAGACTTTTTCCTTTGTTTAGATCTTCTTTGATTTATCTCTTCAGTGTTTTGTAGAACTCAGTGTGCAAATATTGCACATTTTTGTTTTAAACTACCTATTTCATATTTTGATGGTATTAAAAATGGTACCATATTTTAAATACAGTTTCTAATTATTCATTGCTGGTAAAAGAAATGCGGTTGATTTTGCATATTGACCTTGTATCTGTAACCTTACTAAGCTCACTTATCATTTGTAATAACTTTTCTTTGGTAGACAATTTAAGAATTTCTACTTAGACCAAGTGTCAACAAAATATAGCCCATAGGCCAAATCCTGTGGCAGCCAGTTTTTATAAATTAGTTTTGTTGGACTATAGCCACGCCCATTTGTTTACCCATTGTCTGTGGCAACTTTTGCACTACAAAGGCAAAATTCAGTTGTTGTGACCGACCACCACATATGGTCCACAAAACGTAAAATATTTCCTGTCTGGCCCCTTACAGAAAAGGTTTTGCTGACCCATGCTCTAGAGTAACCACTAAAAGATAGTGATAGGATGTCTAAAAAGCTAAAAGAAGGAAAAATATTAAAAGAATAAAAAAATCGATTAATCTAAAACCAGCTATTCTTACAGGCTAATACAAATTATTTTTGTTACTTTTATCACTTCCATGGTACTGCTAAAACTTTAGCTTCTTCAACTCCATTTATTTTCCTCTTGCCTTTTACAGCATTCTTTTACTGTATTTTAAATACATTTTTAGTTGTTCATGTATTTTAACTCCAGAAGACATTAAAAGTATTGTTTTGAATGGTCAATATCCATTTATGTTTATCCATATAATTACCATTCCTTGTGTTGTTTCCTTTTGCTTGTTTCTGTTTGTGTGGGGTCATTTTCCTTCTTCCTGAAAAACAATCTAGTATTTCTTTCAGTTGCAGTAATGCTGGGAAAGAGTTCCCTCGGTTTTTAATTGTTGAAAAGGAACTTTATGTCACCATGATTTATAAAGGATATTTTCACTGGGTGTAGAGTTCTAGATAATGTGAGACTCTTTGGAAAGACTTCTCAGTTTAATTTTTTTTTAATTTTTATTTTAGGTTTGGGGGTACATGTGAAGGTTTTTACATAAATAAACATGGGTCATGGGGGTTTGTTGTACATATTATTACATTACCCAAGTATTAAGCTCAATACCCAATAATGATCTTTTCTGCCCCTCTCCCTCCTTCTACCTTCCTGGCTCAAGTAGACCCCAGTGTCTGTTGTTTCCTTATTTGTGTTCATAAGTTCTTATCATTTAGCTCCCACTTATAAGTGAGAACATACAGTATTTGGTTTTGTGTTCTTGCATTAGTTTGCTAAGGATGATCACCTCTAGCTCCATCCATGTTCCTGTAAAACACGTGATCTCATTCTTTTATATGGCTGCATCGTATTCCATGGTGTATATGTACCACATTTTCTTTATCCAGTCTGTCATTGATGGGCATATAGGTTGATTCCATATCTTTGCTATTGTGAACAGTGCTGCAGTGAACATTGGTGTTCATGTGTCTTTACGGTAGAATGCTTTATATCCCTTTGGGTATGTACTCAATAACGGGACTGCTGGGTCGAATGGTAGTTCTCCTTTTAGCTCTTTGAGTAATCGCCATACTGTTTTCCACAATGGTTGAACTAATTTACACTCCCACCAGCAGTGTATAAGGGTTCCCTTTTCTCCGCAACCTCACCAGCATCCGTTATTTTTTAACTTTTTAATAATAACCATTCTGACTGGAGTGAGATGGTATCTTATTGTGGTTTTGATTTGCATTTTTCTAATGATCAGTGATATTGAGCTCTTTTTCGTATGCTTATTGGCTGCTGTATGTCTTCTTTTGAGAAGTGTTTGTTCATGTCCTTTGCCCACTTTTTAGTGGGGTTGTGTTTTTCTTGTAAATTTGTTTAAGTTCCTTATATATGCTGGATATTAGACCTTTGTCAGATACAAAGTTTGCAAATATTTTCCCCCATTATGTAGGTTGTCTGTTTACTCTGTTGATAGTTTCTTTTCCTGTGCAGAAGCTCTTAAGTTTAATTAGATCCTGTTTGTCAATTTTTGCTTTTGTTGCAATGGCTTTTTGTGTCTTCATCATTAAATCTTTGCCCATTCCTGTGTCCAGAATGGTACTGCCTAGGTTGTCTTCCAGGGTTTTTATAGTTTTGGGTTTTGCATTTAAGTCTTTAATCCATCTTGAATTGATGTTTATATATGGTGTAAGGAAGGAGTCCAGCTTCAATCTTCTGCATATGGCTAGCTAGTTATCTCAGCACCATTTATTGAATGGGGAGTGTTTCCCTCATTGCTTGTTTTTGTTAGCTTTGTCAAAGATCAGATGGTCATAGATATGGGGCCTCATTTCTGGGCTCTCTATTCTGTTCCATTGGTCTATGTGCCTGTTTTTGCACCAGTACCATTCTCTTTTGGTCACTGTAGCCTTGTAGTGTAGTTTGAAGTTGGGTGATGCGGTTCTTCCAGCTTTATTCTTTTTGCTTCAGATTGCCTTGGCTATTTGGGCTCTTTTTTGGATCCACATAAATTTTAAAATAATTTTTTCTAGTTCTGTGAAGAATGTCATTGATAGTTTGATAGGAATAGCATTGAATCTGTAAATTGCTTTGATCAGTATAGCCATTTTAATGATATTGATTCTATGAACATGGGATGTTTTTCTATTTCTCTGTGTCTTCTCTGATTTTTTGAGCAGTGTTTTGTAATTCTCTTTGTAGAGATCTTTCACCTCCCTGGTTAGCTGTATTTCTAAGTATTTTATTCTTTTTATGGCAATTGTGAATGGGAATTCATTCACAATTTGGCTCTTGGCTTGATTGTTGTTAGTATATAGGAATGCTAGTGATTTCTGTACATTGATTTTGTATCCTGCAACTTTGCTAAAGCTGTTTATCAGCTGAAGGAGCAGCTTTGGGGCTGAAACTATAGGTAAAGAATCATGTTGTATGCAAACAGAGATAGTTTGACTTCTCTCTTCCTATTTGGATGCACTTTATTTCTTTCTCTTGCCTGATTGCTCTGGCCAGAACTTCCAGTACTATGTTGAATAGGAGTGGTGAGAGAGGACATCCTTGTCTTTTGCTGTTTTTCAAGGGGGATGCTTCTAGCTTTTGCCCATTCAGTATAATGTTAGCTGTGGGTTTGTCATAGATGACTCATTATTTTGAGGTATGTTCCTTCAACACCTGGTTTATTGAGAGTTTTTAACATGAAGGATATTGAAATTTATTGAAAGCCTTTTTTGCATCTGTTGAGATAATCATACAGTTTTTGTCTTTAGTTCTGTTTATGTGATGAATCACATTTATTGATTTGTGTATGTTGAGCCAACCTTGGATCCTGGGGATGAAGCCTACTTGATCATAGTGGATTATTTTTTGATGTGCTGCTGTATTCAGTTTGCAGGTATTTTGTTGAGGATTTTTGCATCAATATTCATCAAGGATATTGGCTTGAATTTGTGTGTGTGTGTGTGTGTGTGTGTGTGTGTGTGTCTGCCAGGTTTTGGTATCAAGATGATGCTGGCCTCATAGAATGATTTTGGGAGAGAAATTCTTCCTCCTCAATTGTTTTAGCATAGTTTCTGTAGGAATGGTACTAGCTCTTCTTGGTACATCTGCTAGAACTTGACTGTGATTTCATCAGGTCCTGAGCTTTTTTCTTGGTAGGCTGTTATTACTGATTCAATTTTAGAGCTCATTATTGGGCTGTTCAGGGAATCAATTTCTTCCTGGCTCAGTCTTGTGAGGGCGTATGTGTCTAAGAATTTATCCATCTCTTCTAGATTTTCTAGTTTGTGTGCACGGAGGTGTTTGTAGTAGTTTCTGATGGTTGTTTTTATTTCTATGGGGTCAGTAGTAACATTCCCTTCATTGTTTCTAATTGTGCTTATTTGGATCATCTCTCTTTTCTTCTTGATTAGTGTAGCTAGTAGCCTCTCTATTTTATTAATTTTTTCAAAAACAACAGCTCCTGGATTCTTTGATCTTTAAAATGTTTTTTTTGTGTGTGTGCATGTGTCTCAATTTCCTTCTGTTGGGCTCTGATTTTGGTTATTTCTTGTCTTCTGCTAGCTTAGTGGCAGGTAGGTTGTATGTGTCTAGCAATTGATCACTTTTTTCTAGGGTTTCCAATTTGTGGCATATAGTTGCTCATAATAGCCTCTACTGATCCTTTGAATTTCTGCAGTATCGGTTGTAATGTCTCCTTTTTAATCTCTGATTTTATTTATTTGGGTGTTTGCTCTCTCTGTTTTTTTAGTTAATGTGGCTAAAGGTTTATCAGTTTCCTTTATCTTCAAAAACCAACCCTTTGTTTCACTGATCTTTTCTGTAGTTTCCTTGCTCTGATCTTTATTGTTTCTTTTCTTCTACTAACTTTGGATTTGGTTTCCTCTTGCTTTTCTCATTCTTTAAGATGTATCATTAGGTTGTTTATTTGAAGTTTTTTTTTGTTTTTTTTTGAGGTAGAAACTTACACCTATATACTTCCCTGTTAGTACTGCTTTTGCAGTATCCCATAGGTTTGGGTATGTTATGTTGGTTGATTTCCATGTGTTTGTATAGTTCCCAGAATTCCTTCTGTGATTGATTTGTAGGGTTTTTGTTTTGTTTTGTTTTGTTTTGTTTGTGGTCAGAGAAGATGCTTGATATTATTTTGATGTTATTGAATGTTTTAAGACTTTTTTTGATCTGACATATGGTCTATCTTTGAGAATTATCTGTGTGCTTAGAAGAATGTGTATTATCTAGTCATTGGATGAAATGTTCTGTAAATATCTATTAGGCCCATTTGGTTTTTTCTGCATATTAAGTCTGAGGTTTGTTTGTTGATTTTCAGTCTGGATGATCTGTCCAAGGGTGAAAGTGTGGTGTTGAAGTCTCTAGCTATTATTGTATTGGGGTTTATCTTTCCCTTTAGATCTAATAATTGTAAGAATTAAAGAAAGAGGAAAGAAACATGAAAGGCGGCTCGCCAGTCAAGACAGGTTTATTTTAAAGAAAAGAAACCTGAGAGGAGCCTTCTGTCTGAGTTAGGTCAGAGACCCACTCTCTTACAGACTAAGAGGTTTTTTTTCTTTTGTTTTGTTTTGTTTTTGAGATAGAGTCCCACACTCTCACCTGGGATGGAGTGCAATGGCGAGATCTTGGCTCACTGCAACCTCCGCCTCCCAGGTTCACGCAATTCTCCTGCCTCAGCCTCCCAAATAGCTGGGATTACAGGCACACACCACCACACCAGGCTAATTTTTTGTATTTTTAGTAGGCATGGGGTTTCACTATGTTGGCCAGACTGGTCTCGAACTCCTGACCTCGTGATCCACCCACCTAAGCCTCCCAAAGTGCTGGGATTACAGGCCTAAGCCACCACGCCCTGCCCAGACTAAGAGTTTTTAAGGATTCAGGGTGGGAGAGTTTATTAGAGGTTTGGACTGCTTCTGTGTCTCTTTGTTGTGCTTATCTGGGAGGGAGAGTTGCGTGTCTGTTCCCATACATCTTTCTGCAGCTGCAGGCATACCCTCCAAGTCTGCTTTTAGGTTCCCTATCTTAGTGCACCTGAAGGGAAAGGAATATGCTTATTAAGGCCTACTGTTTTACTGGGGTCCATTGTATGAGGGTGAAGTTTGGCAGTTACCCAAGAGACTTTCCCTTCACTTCCCTCTGTGCCTGAGCTGTCTTGTCTGTGTTTTACTGTCTGCTCTTTCTGGCTGCTTGTAATTAGAAGAGAATGATTTCCTTGAAATGCATAAGGCTAGAAAGGGAGCTGGAACTTAAAGTGGCAGTGTTTGTCCAAGATGACAGTGCTCCTGCTCTGTCAATAATACTTGCTTTTTATATCTGTGTGCTCCAGTGTTGGGTACATGTATATTTACAAGTGTTCTATCCTCTTGCTGAATTGACCACTTTATCATTATATAATGACCCTCTTTGTCTCTTTTTATACTTTTTGTTGTATAATCTATGTTGTCTGATGAAAGTATAACTACTCCTCTTTTATGGTTTCCATTTGCATGGAATATCTTTTTTTGTAGCTTTATTTTCAGTCTGTGTTTGTCAAGGTGAAGAGTGTTTCTTGTAGGCAACAGTAGGTTGATTCTTGGTTTTTCATTCATTCTGCCACTCTATATCTTTTGATTAGAGAATTTGGTCCATTTACATCCATTCTTATTATTAAATAAGGACTTACTCCTGCCATTTTGTTATTTGTTTATTTTTGGTTCTTTTGTGGTGGCCCCTTCCTTCTTTTCTTCCTTCCTGTCTTCCTTTTAGTGAAGGTGATTTTCTCTGGTGATATGTTTTAATTTCTTGCTTCTTATTTTTTGTGTATCTGTTGTATGTTTATAGATTTTAGGTTACTATGAGTCTTGTAAATAATATAACCCATTATTTTAACCTCAGGACAACTTAATGTTGATTGTATAAACAAACATACAAACAAACAAGATAAGGAGAGTTATAAAATCTCTATACGTAATCTCCTTGCTTCTTAACTTTTATTGTTTCTTTTTATATCTTATTTGTACAATCTGTGTCTTGAAAAATTGTAGTTCTTTTTGATCAGTTCTTCATCTTTCTGCTTAAAATATGAATAGTTTACACATCACCGTTACAGTGTTATAATATTCTGTGTTTGTTTGTTTTCTGAGACGGAGTTTCACTCTTATTGCCCAGGCTGGAGTGCAATGGTGCAATCTTGGCTCACCACAATCTCCGCCTCCTGGGTTCAAGCAATTCTCCTGCCTCAGCCTCCCGAGTAGCTGAGATTACAGGCGTGTGCCACCATGCCTGGCTGATTCTGTATTTTTAGTAGAGACAGGGTTTCTCCATGTTGGTCAGGCTGGTCTCCCAACTCCTGACCTCAGGTGATCTGATCTGCCCGCCTCGGCCTCCCAAAGTGCTGGGATTACAGGCATGAGCCACCATGCCCGGCCAATATTCTGTGTTTTTATGTGTACTTACTGTTACCAGTGAGTTTTGTGCCTTCAGATGATTTCTTAGTGCTCTTCAGTGTTCTTTTTCTTTCAGATTGAAGCACTTCCTTTAGCATTTCTTGTAGGATAGATCTGGTATTGATGATAAGTGTCTGGCAAAACCCTCAGGTTTTGTTTGTCTGGGAAGGTTTTTATTTTTCCTTTGTGTTTGAAAGACATTTTTGCCAGATGTACCATTCTAGGGTTGAACGGTTTTGTTTTTCTTCTGTACTTTATTTATTTATTTATGTATTTGAGACAGGGTGTCACTCTGTCTTGATCTTTGGGAGTTTGATTATTAAGTGCTTTGGGGTAGTCTTCTTTAGGTTAAATCTGCTTGGTGGTCTGTACTCTCCTTGTACTTCCAACCCTAGCCAACATTTATTATTTATTATTTTCTGTTTTTTTTAATAGCCATCCTAATGGGTATGAGGTGATATAGTATCTCAGTGTGTTATGGATTACATTTCCCTAATGATTAGTGATATTAAGCATCTTTTCTTGTGCTTATTGTCCATTTGTGTATCTTCTTTGCAGAAAGGTCTAGTCAGGTCCTTTGCCTGTTTTTTAATTGGGTTGCTTTTTGTTGTTGAGTTGTAGGTGTTCTTTATATATGTAGATATAAATGATTTTTAAATGATTTTTTTCTTCCCATTTCTTAATCCAGAACATTCAAGGACAACTCTTTTCCTACTGGAAAGACAACAAATGATTGTGAAGAACTTGTTGATAATTCAAAGTTACATGCTATTTCTGTTCAAAAGTCAGAAGTAAAAACAGACACTGATATTAATGAGGTAAAATGATCTTTGAAAAATATAAACATAGATTTTTTGCTATAAAATGAATACATTTTAAAATTTAAAATGTGATTTATGATTAATACCCACAAGCCCTTACCCAACATACCCTCGCCAACACACACACACACTTAGCTGCTCCCACTGTAAAAAGCCATATTGACACTTATCTCATTTAGTTCATTTGTTCATTCATTCACCACATGGTTTATTGAGTACTTACTATGTTCCAGGCACTGAACTAGGTAGGCACTGAAATAACAGCAGTGGGCATACCAAATTCTCTGACCTCTTGGAGCTTATATTTTACCAGAGGAGACAGATAAATGAAGTGATGAGTACTGTGAAGAAAAATAATGGAAAAAAAGGGAATGCAGGAGTGATGTTGTATGCTATTTTACATAGGAATGGTAAGGGAAGGCCACCCTATGTAAAGTAGCATCTACCCCCTCCTCCCACTGCTACACTACTCTGTCTTTGCTTTTGTTCAAAGCATTTTTGTTGTGTTCTTAACTTAAAAATGGGAGAAGCAAAATAGGAAACCTTGAAGGAATCCTAGATAAACTTATTTTTTTTTAGAATTGCCCCTAATATCTTCTAAAATTTATTACAGAATGTAAAATGCTTATTACCCATCAAATGTATCTGTTATGTTTTGATTTATTTTTAAACAACCATATAAAGAACTTTGGAAGAGATCAGCTGGAAATATATCTCATTTATTTTATGAATAAATATGAAAATTCTCTTTAGTATGAAAAAAAAAAAGAAATCTTTTCTTGCCAGAATTGTTTTTCTCTCCGTTGGTATTATTTTCTTGAGATTTAAACTTTATATGTTAAGTGCTTATCCTATTTGGTAAAAGTAGCCTTGTACCCCGTCTCTACTAAAAATACAAAAAATTAGCCGGGCGTAGTGGCGGGCGCCTGTAGTCCCAGCTACTTGGGAGGCTGAGGCAGGAGAATGGCATGAACCCGGGAGGCGGAGCTTGCAGTGAGCCGAGATCCCGCCACTGCACTCCAGCCTGGGCGACAGAGCGAGACTCCGTCTCAAAAAAAAAAAAAAAAAAAAAAAAGTAGCCTTGTGTAATATGGCCTTTATAGTTATCTTTTCTTTTTTTTTTTTTCTTGAGGTGGAGTGTTGCTCTGTCTCCCAGGCTGGAGTGCTGTGGTGTGATCTCGACTCACTGCAAGCTCCGCCTCCTGGGTTCACGCCATTCTCCTGCCTCAGCCTCCCGAGTAGCTGGGACTACAGGTGCCCACCACCATGCCCAGCTAATATTTTTTGTATTTTTAGTAGAGACGGGGTTTCACCGTGTTAGCCAGGATGGTCTTGATCTCCTGACCTCGTGATCTGCCCGCCTCGGCCTCCCGAAGTGTTGGGATTACAGGCATGAGCCACTGCGCCCGGCCATATCTTTTCTTTTTAAAGTATTTAGGTAGATTTGATGACAAGGAAAAATATTCACATGTATTAGTGAAAACAAACATATACAACATACACACTATGTAGTTTGAAGTTTGAAAATATATGCATCGAAATATTAACAATGGTTATCTGTGGGTGGTAGGAATCTTGAGTAATTTTACTTTCGTATATGTATATTTCTAGATAGTCTAAATTTTGTACAATGCATATGTATTTTTTTAATGTTTTTTATTAAGTATACGATACCTGCAAAAATAAGCAAACACTCATGTAGGCTTCACCCAACTTAAAAGTATTCAATGTCTCCTATTCATCCTTTATTGATGAAACAGTTCACTTACCATTCCACTGTTGATAGACATCTGGGTTATTTTCAGTTTTTGTTTTTGCTATTACCTATAATTCTGCCTTGCACATTCCTGTATATTTCTCCTTTGGTGTATATGAACAAGAGTTACTATTTCTTTATTTACTGCTAAGGAGTGAAATTTCTGGGTGAAAGCATATGTTATTTTCAACTGTATTGAGTAATATAAAATTGTTTTTCTAAAATGCTTGTACCAATTTCAATGACCTTTAGCAATTCATAAATTTTTATTGCTCCATAAGCTTACTAATCCTCATCAATATTTAATGTCAATCAGATAGGTGTGAAATGGCATTTTGCCAAAGTTTTAATTTGAATTTCCCTTATTACTAGTTTGAGCATTTTTTCATGTAACTTGCATTAGGGTTCTCCTGAGGGACAGAACCAATAAGATTCACGCATCTATTTCATATATGTATATATACATGTGTGGGTTCAATGCAGGCTGACAGAGTGGAGATTTGGACACAGGCTGCATGAACGAGCAGACTGCCACTAAGGTGGCCTAAATTTATGTCCACTTTTGTCCCATAGCCCAAGTTTGGGCATCTTGCCCCTGCTTTGCCCTCTAGTATCTGACCTTGGTTTGCTCCTCTTTTTTACTGTACAGAGCTCAAAATGTTGAAAATATAGATCTGAATCTCAAGCGAGAGATAAGAGCTAAAGTTGTGGATCTGGTAATCATTGGTGCTGCCTCCTCCTTCCCTTCCTAATCCCCATTGTAATCTGTAAAATTTACAGTTCCATTTAGCTGTGGCTATTCCTCTCTTGTAGTTTACAATCTAGAGGAAATAAAACTATTTACTGGTTCATTCTTGTTGTCACAAAAAGTGTAACAGCTAAGAGATTTCTTCACTACAAAAATATTTTCAGGCCCCAGTTAGTTCATATTATAACGATGTGCACAGACCCATGAGTGAACTTCAGCCTTACCACATGCTAGCAATATAGCCTTTGACAAATTAAGCTTTCAGATTTTTTTTGTATGTGCAATGAGAGTAATAATTTCTGTCTCTTGGGGTTTTTATGAGGATTAGGTGAAGGTAGTAACTTGTTTACTATAGTGATACTCATTCACTGTAACCATAATTACATTTAAAGAATGATTTAATGCAAAATATTTAAATGCAGTAATATTAGAAGGTATATATAGCTTGAGGTCCAGTATTCCCAGAGTTAGTTAGAGGTTATTTTCGAGAATAAGCTAAGCAGCACATTATATATTTATTAAGAATTGTCTGGGTGGACTTTCTTTTATTGTGATAAAACATACATAACATAAAATTTTCCATTTAACCGTTTTTAGGTGTACAGTTTGGTGGTATTAGGTACATTCAGTGTTAGGCAACCATCACCACTTTCCATTTCTACAGCTTTTCCATCATCCTGAACAAACACTATACCCATTTGTGTGAACATTTAAGATTTGCAAGTCACCTTCAATATCTACTCATGCTCTTTCACCGGCAGCTTAATAAGGTGCTATGAGGTTTATTTATAACGTTAACTGCCTTAATTTGTTAATGTCTGGAATTAGAGGTTAAGGTTCCAGCAGATTATTCAAGTGATCACCCTGAGAAACACAGAGGAGTCATTATGCAGTAGGTAACTTAAGCATAACGGATTATTTATGATGTAGGAAGGAACAGTAGATTAATTGAGAACCCAAGCCCAGACAGAGCCTAAGAACAATTATTTACATAAATGAGATATTTATCCCCTAGTGTTTTTCACTGGAGATGTCCATGTTAGTATATGTATATTAAAGTGAAGAGCTAGGACTTACTCTAGTGGGTTTAAAGTATGTTTTCTAGATTTGTAGTTCTTAAACCCAGGTGCACAATAGAGTCACCTGTTGAGCTTGTAGATGATTAAGAGTCCTGGGCCCTGCCTCTGACTTTTTAACTCAATATCTCTGGGGATAGGACCTAAGAATTTGTATTTTAAATAGGCACTCAGTGACTAGGACTAATGATATACTGACTCTGGCATCAATTTACAGTCTTTGGGGGGAACTCCTTCATTACAATGTCATTTGTTTCACATGCAATTTACTTATTTTAACATGCAAGTGTCAGGTATTTGGTAATACAGTGTTACTCGGTTATACTGGAGTTATGATTTCTCATTTAAAATTTTGGTCTGTATTCTAAATTAAATGTTCTGTAAGTTATATGTTGTCACTGGCACCCTCACATTATCCGTTAAATTAGATTTTGAATAGTGTTGAAGTGGGGAAGGATTTGAGAAAAACATATGCACCAATATTTGAAGTAAATCTATGCTTGAGAATTCCTGCTGAGAGTGATTCTTCAGAAAATTCTAAAGAGAACTTTCATGAGTCTGACCAGTGCCCTGAAGAGTGTGTGATGTTTGAAGATGAAATGTCAGAAAATAAAGACAATTGTGTCAAAAAACACTCAAGTGAAGAATTGCTCCCAAAAGCCAAGAAATCAAAAGAAATTAGTTACAATCTTGAAGATATTATTTCAGGTAAGACAATTGAGACTATAAAGAATGAGGGGTTGCCAGGTGTGGTGGCTCATGCCTGCAATCCTGGCACTCTGGGAGGCTGAGGTGGGAGGATCACTTGATGCCAGAAGTTTGAGACCAGCCTGGGCAACACAGTGAGACCTTGTCTCTTGTCTCTTGGGGAAAAAAAAAAAAAAAAAAAAAGAATGGAGGGAAATATCTTAACAACTGGAAAATAACAAATGAGAGATCATTTTAATAGTCTGTTGTGTCTTCTAATTTATAGATTATGATTTTATAAATCTTAAGGTAAATACTGCTAAAAGTAAGGATAAACTTACAGATCATTGTTGTGCATGTCAGTAATGACACCATTATTCATTTTCATCTCAAAACCCAAACAGTTTCTCACTGAAGCAGAGCCGAGGGCCCCGTTCATCAAGAGGAACAACATCTAGGATGTTTGTCCTCAGATCTCTTTAATCAGAACCTTGGAATGGGGTGTACTGCTTCAGTATTGTGTTTCAAGTGACTTCTTGAGTTTATTCTTAGGATATGTGTAAAGCACTGGCATATATTAATTTGTCATTTACCTGATATAAATATCAATCAATTTTGTATTTTCTCTTTCTTTCAATGGATTCTAATAGACACAGAAATTGAGACTGAGTTTGAGAATAAATACATGTATTATGAGTAAGTATTAGACATTTTAAAAATTACGAGTAATTGTATTTTATATGGTAGTTATTATATTCCTCTGAAATATGCTTTTATTGTTTTCTCTGTTAGATTTCCAGAATTTCCTACAAATCTCTTTATAGATCCCAACAGATTGGAGTTTTCAGTAAAAATTCAAAATATGTTGACTAATATGGAAAAATGTATAAGTAAGTGTTTTTAAAGCTTAGTGAAATGCATTGTCTTCTTTGGCAATATTTTTTTAAATTTAAGCATCTGATGCCTTTACCCAGGGATGTGGCAGATGTTACAGAATATTAGTATATCATAAATGCACAGTCCTTGGGATCAAACACTGAATTTGGAATTATTTGAGGATGTGTGAATTTTACACATGGCCTTAGAGTGCATAAAAGATGAGAATTAGGAAAATATTCAAGGTTTGGATTTTTTCAGTTACATTCTATAGAATGTTATGACACTTAATACAAATGAGCAAGATCTTTTATGTCATAGTATAACAAAGATATTGTTTCTACCTTAAAGAGACTTTAATTATTTTGCAGCTGTATGTACACAATCTGAAATTGCAGGCAATTACTAGCCTGACCAAAGAATTTATTCTTTTCTCACAATAAGTTTTACAAAGATCTTAAAACAGCAGGAGTTTTGGCAACTTCTTAAAAGTTGCATCATTCTCCAGTCATGTCACCATAGTTTGCTGAGTTCAGAGGGCCCCTATTTCCAAGCTAAGCTGGTGTCTAATGCATTGTTTGATTTTGTTTATGCAAGTCCCAGTAATTCAGTCTTTTTCACTATGCTTTGTAACTACCACCACATATTAAGTTACTCCATTCCCCCAAACTGGCTGAAAGGTAGTCAGTATGTCCCTTGACATCTCATATTTATTTTAAAGTTTGCATTGTATTATGAAGATGAAATGTGCATAAGAACATGGGTTTGTTTTAAAACCAAGAATTATCACAAAGTTGTTATAATTTTTTACCCAGTCCATTTTGAATCAGTTTGGTAAGGGTTTCTTGCTGAGTAAAATCCAGAGATATTAGTATCTTGCAACATTATACACTTACAGACATTCTAAACAACTGTGCTCTCTTGTTGGGATGACCCCTCCCATACTCATTTTATTCAGTGCCCATAGATTTGTTCTACTGCCTTCTAGCTTTTAATAATGTAAATAAGAAGTCTGATGCTACTCTGATTCTCCTTCCTTTGTATACTTGTGATTTCTGTCTAGTAATTTATCATTTGGAGTTACGAACTTTTCTATAATAAAGCCATATATATAATTCTATGTTGATCTTTCTTAAAATCCAGTGAGGCTCTTCAGTCTGAAGAACTAAGTTCTTACCAATCTTTCCATATGTTCCTTTTTTTCCCTTTGGATTTTTTGTTTTTCATCTTAGATTTCCTGGGTCTAAACATCTGATTATTTCTATTTCTTTTTTCTTTATTATGAAATGTTTCTACTGTTTTTTTTTTAAGTTTCTATAATGAGATAATTTGAGACTTCTATAAGTTGGAAGCGTAGTACAGAGTTTCTGTATACTCTTTATATGCTTTAATCTAGTTATGAAAATGAAGAAATTAATATTAGTATAATAGTATTAATGAAATGATAGATTTTATTTGGATTTTCCCAGTTGTTTCCCTAATGTTCATTTTCTGTGCCAGGATCTAATCCCGGATCACACATTGCATATATTAATAGTTGTTATGTCTGCTAAGTCTTTTCCAGTGTGTACCAGTTGCTCAGTCTTTCCTTGTCTTTTATGACCTTGAGATACTGGTAATTTACTCTACAGATTGTCCATCAGTTTTGGATTGTCTGATGTTGTCTCATGATGAGTTTGAGGATATACATCTTGAGGGAGAATACCATACTGGGTGTGTGCCCTTTTCAGTACATCAGCCTAGTAGTACATGACATTGATATACCTTTTCACTGGTGCTGCTCACCATGACCACTTAGTTAAAGTCATGTCTGCCAGGTTTCTCCATGATGAAGTTACCATATTTCCTCCTGTAACTAATAAACTTGGGGTGGGAGGAGAGATTTTGAGATTATACAGATATCTTGTTTCTCCTGAAAATTTTGCCCACTAATTCTAACATTTATCAGTGGATCTTACCTTGCCTGCAAGTTATTACTGTGGTGTTCTTAATGGTGATTTTCTATTTCTTTCATCCCATATACATTCATGAATTAGAATTCTTCTGTAAGGAGTAGCTGTTCCTTTTCCATTTATTTAATTTTTCAGTCATTTATTTATATGAATATGGATTCACTAATATTTGCATATATATGATAATATGTATATATGTATATAAATATACATAGGTATGTATATATGTGTGTATATATATTTACCTTAGAAATAGTCATTTAAATCACCCCATTTCAACTACCCATATATAACAATTATTTTCTTTTGCAATTTACATTCATATTCATACATTAGTCAAATGTATATTTTAAATGTTATATGATCACTTAGCATTATATCATAGACATTACAAAGGTATTTAGAACCTCTTCTAAAAGGCTTCAGGATATGGTATCATAAGAGAGGACTTCCCAATGATCATATTATAAAAACATTCTCTCACTTATTTTCTAATTCTATTATGATTTCATTTTTATATTTAAATATTTGTTCACTCTGAGATTTATCTGGCGTATGTTGTGAAGTAGGACTTCACTTTTAATTTTTCTCAGATGACTAATGATCTGTCTGTCCTAGCATCATGAATTGAATAATCCATTCCTTATCCCCACTGATTTGAAATGCCACATTTATCATTTTTTATTTTCCAGAATGTTTTCCATTGTATTTCTGGGCTATGCAGATGATATGTCTGTAACTTATGTACCAGTATTATACTGTGTTAGTTATTAGGTAGCTTTGTACTATTTTTAGCATCTGTTAGCCGTCTCCTTTTTCTCTCTTTTTTCCTTGGAAATTTCCTGGGTTCATTGATATTTATTTTGGTCTTTAGACTATAATACAGTATTACTGTTATTTATTTTGTTGCTCAAGTTGTTCTGGCTTAATTTTGGAAGAGTAATTCTCCCCAGTTGGCTCCTGTGCCCTTCAATATACCTCCATCCTTGTCTTGTGACTACTTCCTTAGTTTCCGTCACCTCAAGATACTTCAGGCTCATCTTGTATTTTCTCTGCCCCAGCCCTGAAATTAACTGTTTCTCCAAGGAACCCTGGATTAGAGAAGGAAATTTAGGAACTAAGATCTATGCACTAGATGTGCTCATTGCTACAGGAGTGTCACTACTTCCTGGCCTACCAGAGAAAATATCTAGAAAATATATGTATGTATGCTAGCTCATGCATACACACACAACTATATTTATTCCTAGATCTTTTTGTTTGTCCATTTTAAACTGAATTCATACTGATACCTCAGACCCCAATCCAATACCTCAGGGTTCATTCTAGCCTTTTCTTTTCCTTATATCTAACTTTTTTCTCTGGCTATGAGAAATCTGGCTGACATAATCAACAACATAGTTACTTGTTTGTTATACAGTCATGCACTGCATAAAGATGGTTCAATCAATGACAGACCACATGGTAGTCCCATAAGATTATAATACCATACTTTTGCTGTATCTTTTCTATGTTTCAATATATAATCCTTACCACTATTTTACAATTGCCTACAATATTCAGTATAGTAATATGCAGTAAAAGTTTGTAGCTAGGGCAACAGGGTATACCATATAGCCTAGGTGTGTAGTAGGCTATACTATCTAGCTTTGTGTAAGTACAATCTATGATAGTCACACAATGATGAAATTGCCTAAGGACACACTTCTCAGAATATATCCCTGTCATTAATTGCATTACTGTACATGTAATTTCAGAATTGCTACTCCTTGCTTCTGCGAAAAACAAATGTATCAACTAAAATACAGTGTTTGTGTTTATGTACAGTTTTTTAAAAATGTAACCTTAACAGTTTCCAGTCCAAACTTGTTTTCTAAAGTTGCTTAAGTCAACCCTTTTCTTTCCCACCCTCTTCAATGAGGTTATGTAGTTTGTAATAGTTAGATTAATTTGTCACAATCTGCATTCCAACTTGGATTCTTTCAGTAACCTGGTTGATGTTTTAAAACTTATATAAAGTACAATTTTCTCTTTGTGGGTGGTGTTAAGGGTTTTGACAAGTGCACAGGTACATATCCACCATCACAGTTCCATACAAAACAGTTCCATCATCCCCCAGTTCCCTTGTGCAGCCCTTTTGTAGTCACACTCTCTCCATTCCCTTATCTGTGGCAACCACTCATCTGTTTTCTGTCCCTATTGTTATGGCATTTCCATAATGTCATATAAATGCATATGTAGCTTTTTGGATCTGGCTTCTTTCACTTAGAAAAATGCATTTCAAATTCAGCTATGTTGGCCATGTACAGAGGTTCATGCCTGTAATCCCAGCACTTTGGGAGGCCCAGGTGGGTGGATCACATGAGCTCAGGAGTTCAAGACCAGCCTAGGCAAGATGGTGAAACCCTGTCTCTACAAAATATACAAAAAATTAGCCAGGCATTGTGGCACGCACCTGTAATCCCAGCTACTTGGGAGGCTGAGGCAGGAGGACGGCCTGAGCCCAGGAGGTCAAGGCGCAGTGAGCCAAAATTGTACCACTGTACTCCAGCCTGAGTGACAGTGCAAGACCCTGTCTCAAAAAATAAAAAATAAAAAATAATTATCCATGTTGTTACATGATTCAATAGTCTTTTTTTAAATTGCTATGCTGTATTCAACTGTTTGGATGTATCGCAGATTGCTTATCCATTCACATCTGGGTTGTCTCCAGTTTGGGGAAATTATATATAAAATTGCTATACACATTCACATATAGGCTTTTGGATTAATCCAAATTTTCCTTTTTCTTGGACAAATATCTAGGGGTAGGATTGATGGGGCATATGGTAGTAATATATTTAACATTATGAGAATGGCCAGACTGTTTTGCAAAGTGGTTGTATCATTTTGCATTCTTACCAGCAATCTATGAATTCCAGTTGCTCCATATCTTTGCCAGCACTTGGTATTGCCAGATTAAAAACAAAAACAAAAAGCTTTTAGCCTTCTAATAGGTGTGTAGTGATATCTTATTGTGGTAATTTTCATTTCACTAGTAACAAATGATATTGTTCATCTTTTATTATGCTAGTTTTCCATCTGCATATCTTATTTTGCCAAATGTCTTTTTAGATCTCTTGCCTATTTTTTTTTTTTTTTTTTTTTTTTTTTTTTGAGATGGAGTCTTGCTCTATCACCCAGGCTGGAGTGCAGTGGCACTATCTCGGCTCACTGCAACCTCCACCTCCCAGGTTCAAGCAATTCTCTGCTTCAACCTCCTGAGTAGCTGGGATTACAGGTGGCCCACCACCACGCCCAGCTAATTTTTTTTGTATTTTTAGTAGAGACGGGGTTTCACCATCTTGGCCATGTTGGTCTTGAACTCCTGACCTGGTGATCCACCCACCTCGGCCTCCCAAAGTGCTGGGATTACATGCAGGGGCCACCACACCCAGCACCTATTTTTTTTTAATTGGGGTTTTTGTTTTCTTATTGTTGGTTTGTGAGAGGTCTTTATGCATACTCTGAATACAATTCTTTTATCATACATATGACTTGCAAACAATCTTTGTGAGATTTTCTCCCAATCTGTGCCTTATCTTTTCATTGTCTTTCACAGCGCTAAACTACTTACTTTTGATAAAGTACAGCTCATCAGTTTTTTTCTTTTATGGGTTATACCTTTGGTTTTGTTTCTAAGAGCTTTTTGCCTAACTCAAGATCACACAGATTTTCTCTCCTATATTTTCTCCTTGAAGATTTATGGATTTGTGTTTTATATTTAGGTATATGATGCATCTTGAGTTGAATTTTTTAATAAAGCGTAAAGTCTAGGTTGAGGTTTGTTTATCTATCTGTCTATCTATCTACCTATCTATCTATCTATCTATCTATCTATCTATCTATCAATCATCTATCTATGCCTGTGGACATCCAGTTGTTCAGCTAGACTGTGAACTCTTGAGGCTGTGTCTCCTGATTTTTATATCCTTGTAATGGTATAATGCTCTCCACATAACAGATACGTGTCAAATATTTGTAAACTGAATGACTTATTTTCAGTTTATGTTTCAATCATGCCTCCCATCACCTCCACTCAATTACCTGTGAGTAGCTCTTTGTTTCTATAGTATTAAATCTAAATCCTTACACCTATTTTTAAATTCCAGTTATAAATATAGAATATTGTCTAACCCTCATAATAAATCAGCCCCCATTTTCAATAGTTCTAGATGTCATGGATAATTTTGAAGTGTTGCTTTCAATGGCATTTCTGAAGTACTGACTTTTAAATTATATATTTTAGCCACAATTACTCCTCTTTGCCAAGATCCCCAGCTGTCTATCTTCATTGATTTGGTTTCAATAATGGATTTACCTAATAAGACAGGAAGCATAATACATTATAAAGAGCAGACCAGATGGCCAGATTGTCACATCCTTTTTGAAACAGATCCTGCCTACCAAAATATAGTAAGTTTTAAAACAGTTCATTTTAGGAAATGTTTAAGGAGCAGAAACCCACTGAATTCTTAAATGAAATGAATTTATTGAAAAATTAGGGTATCCTATTCATAGCAATTGAAAAATCATTTCCAGCTTATCTCCCCATTTGTTTTTCCCATGATCTGTCATCGCTGCTCACCTCTGTGTGATTTTTCCAACTTCTGTGAAAATAAGTTTTCTCTTTTATGGCTACCTCATAACGTAGGCTCGTCAGTTGTTGACTTGCCATACCTCAACTCTTTCCATTAGCATCAACTGGGTATTTTTGTCCAAATTTACAAGAGAATCTAATTGGCTTAGATTGATTTAGGATTCTACCCTATCTAAATAGTTACGTCTTTGGTGAATTGGGTGAGGTCACATACTATATACCAGTGGCCCTTAACCCTTTTGGCACCAGGGACTGGTTTTGTGGAATACAGTTTGTCCATGGACAGCAGCTGAGGGGTGGTTTCTAGATGAAACTGTTCCACCTCAGTTCATCAGGCATTAGTTAGATTGTGATAAGGGATGCACAACCTAGATCCCTCACATGTGCAGTTCACAATAGGGTTCAAGCTCCTATGAGAATCTAATGCCACTTCTGATCTTGCAGGAGTGGAGCTGAGGCAGTAATGCTTGCTCACCCACCACTCACCGCCTGCTGTGTGGCATAGTTCCTAACAGGCCGTGGACTGGCACTGCTCTCTGGCCTGGGGGTTGAGGACTGGCCTTTTCTAGGGCTAAGCGTAGTATACTCTAAAACAGGGTAATAAGCAAGGGGATAAATGATTGGTGTTTCCAGTACATGGCTCAAAATAACATGTTAATTATAAAGTTAAATAGCCTAATAAGCCTTTAGGTAAAAGCCAAATATTAGAAAGCCATCTAAATTTCTTAAAGTCTTGTGTTTCCAACATATTTCGATTTTTAATAGAGGTTCTTAAAATAAACTCCACATAGCACTATTATTTTATTTTGTCAGAAACTATTAGCATGCCAAACCATTTTTCACTCTTAAAATAAAAATTCTGACTAACATCTCAACATTCTTCTTTACAGATTGTGAATCTCCTGACTATTATTGGTAATTCAATGGGCCTAGTTAATGCTTACAGCCACAAGTTTATAAAGTATTGTACCATGACAGAAAAGGCCAAAATCATGAGTATGAAAATATCATCTATGGGAGAATTAACTTCAAAAGAATTTGAAGCTATTCTAAATAGATTCAGAAACTATTTTAGACATATTGTGAATATGGCCATTGAGAAGCGTATTGGTATTTTCAACGTTGTAAGTCTTGATTATCAATCAGAATGCTTACTGTATATTGACAACGTCATACATATGAGCCACACCCTCATACAATCTGTAATTGAAAAAAAGAACAAAAATTTATTGGAAGTAAGTATTTTGAAAATTCTTATTGTGTAAGAATGTTTCAGATTAGTAAATTTTAAATTTAAAATATGTACTTAGAGAATATATGATATCATGTCACATGCAGAGTATGATAAAGGTGAAAAAATGAAGATATACATAAATATTATACTCAGAAAATTTTAATGTGTATTACATTTGTTTGTATCTTTGATAAAATATCACTTCCTCAGAAAACCTTCTCTGATCACATCTATTGCATTCCCTATCACTTCCCTGCTTCTTTCCCTGTTTTATCTTTATGACATATATTACTACTGGACATTATGTTATTTATTTGTTTGTTTGTTGATCATCTATTCCATTAGAATGTAAGCTTCATCAAGCTATGGAGTATCTAAGATAAATCTTTGAATACAGATGAATATTGGAGTTTCACTGTATATTAGGGCTGACCTCTTTAAGCAAGTATTCTGGGTGGGCAGATCTCCTCTGGGACCACAGTGGTTTGGAGACTCTATGGAGATTCCCAAGCTGAGAAAGTATGAAGATCTGGGAGCAAGATAACCTGCCCCTTCATTAGTTATTTCTACCTATCATCTATATAAGTTTCTAGGACAGCTTAGATCCTAATAGACCAGCCATTGTCCACACAAGCACCCTCAGTTGTACCTCAGACCTGTTTAAGGGTACGAACTTATAATAATACCTACTATTTGTTCATTTATTAAATCAGACCACAAATATTTGTTGAGCATTGATTATATGCCAGGCATTGTACTAGGCCCCTGGAATATAACCATGAGAGGGATAGATTCAATAGAGTCTAATCTGGAAGAAAATGCTAGCTGAAATACCTAACATAACCCAGGTGAACAATCACAGACAATTTTCTAGAAAAAGTAGTACCATCTAAAGGAGGAGTGGGAGTTGCATAGCCAATGGGGGATGGCGTGGAAACACTGGAAAGAAAGGTTAGAATATTGCAGGAGTAGGTTGATTTAACTTAGATTCAGTTGCGTACGACAGAAAGCAAAAGGTAACAGTGGCTTACACAAGTTTGAAACTAATTTTTCTCTCAGGTAAAATTAGTGGAGAAAGAGACAACATAGGGCTAGTATGGTTGGCTTCACGAAGCCATCAGGGACATAGGATGCTTCTAGCTAACCACTCTGCCTTCCCTGGAGCATGATGCTCATGCACTGGTTATCATATCCTCATTCCAGGCAGCAGGATGGAAGAAGGCAGCAAAGAAAATCTCTGAATTCCACTTTTAAGGATATTTCCCAGGGGTACCCCCACACTTTTGCTTTTATTTTATTTACTAGAACTCAGTTATGTGCCCTCACCTAGCTGCAAGACTGACTGAGAACAGTAGTCTTTTAACTGGGAGCATGGTACCCCACACAAATTCAGGATTTGTTACTAAAGTGGTGAAGGAAAATGAAGTTTGGGGTAGGCATCAAGCAGAAACTGACATCACGAAATGGGGACAGCAAGGGAAAGGTCAAAAGAGAACAAGGCATACCTGAAGAAGACCTGAATGAATCCAATTAGGTGGGAATATAGTCTGTGAAAAGGCACTGGCAAGAGGTGAAGCTAAGAAATGGAGAAAAGGGCCTAGTAAGCCATGTCAGGGACTTGGAACATTATTCTTAAGACTATAGGAATTATTGCAAGGTTTTAAGCAGAGAAGTGACTGATGTAATTTGCATTTTTGTGTGGACCCTCTGGCTGCAGTGTGAAGAATAGATTGAAGTCGGGTAAAACAGGAGGAAAGCTGTTTCCATCATCTAGGGGAGAGGTGATGATAATCTGATTCAGTGTAGTAACAATGAGAACTCTGAGCAATATATAGATATGAGATACATCTAGGACATGAATCAACAGGATATGGCATTGACTGAATGTAAGGTATAAGATAAAGTTAATTATGTTTTCAGGTTTTGGGTTGGGCAACAGGGTGGGCAGCAATGCAAATTATTGGGAGGAGGAACATAGTACTTGTTAAATTGCATAATAATATTCAAGTACGGATAACCAGATATACATGTCTGGGTATCAAGAAAGTGTCTACACTGGAAATATATATATTTAAATGATCAGAAACAAGTGGTTGTTGAAATCAACAGAGTGAATGACAATGCCTTGTTTATGTGTGTAGTGAGACTAGAAGAGAACCTACAATAGAAGCCTAAAGAACCAGGAAATTACAGTTGTTGGGTTCCCAGTGGAGAATCACTGAGAATCTGTGAGTGCTCCCCATGAGACAGAGTCAGCTCTAAACATCTGCCCAGCTCAGAGACGTTAATGCCGGGTCAGACAGTGGCAGGCAGTAAAGACATTTTCTGCCTCCTCTCTCCTTCTGTCTCCTACTATACCCCTGGAGGGGTCAGAAGGTGTGGGTAGGAACTGGAAGTAATTGAATAAATAAAAGGCGTAGAAATATAAAAGCAGCTAATTACATACCCACCTTCTCTACCACAGACATTAATTTTAAATAAATTTTGGAGGCTTGACTGTTATTAATACATGGGGACTTGATATTTAAATTATGGATTTTTAAAATTAAAAGTGACCAGAGGACTTTTATTATCTGTGACCAGAAAAGTCTTGGGTATTGATGTATATTTTATCCAAATGTCCGTTCTTCATTTAAACCCCAAAAAGTGGGAGGAAAAATTAAGTTATTTCATTATAATACTGTCTATAAAGTTCTACTCTTTCAAATTAATGGTTTTAGTATATTATATATTTCCTCTATATCCTTATTTATTTTTGGTGTATCAGACATACATAAATCCTGAAAACCTGTTTAAAACTTCTCATTATAATTATGCTTTAAATGAATTTCTTCTTGCATTTCTGGTGGTTTTTCCTACATATAGTTAGCTTCTATACAGTATGGTTTCTGACTGTTAAATCATCTTCACAAAGCATGTCATTTATCAAAACATTATAGGAATCTTTAAAGTACTTTTAATTTGCCTGATAAAAACTACTTCTGTTTCTTTTGTGTATGTATATTTGCCAAGTTAATTTTTGCCCGTTGCTTTATTTTTTATATTCTCCTTAAGTGTGCTTCTTATAAATAGCATAATTCTGAATTTTGTTTTATAACTCAGTTAATAATTATCTTTTAAAAAGAGAAATCAATCTGTTAGCTTATAACATTTAATGCACTTTTTTTCCATTTCACCTTATATTTTACTTTTTTCTTAAAGTTTTTGTCCTTATTTTTGCTGTATTGATCAGTTGATCTTAAGTGACCTCCCTCTTTTTTTTTTACTGTGTTCATTTTGGGAGTTTTATTCTACTTTTAAATTTCTTTGATGATAATCTTCCCTCTCCTGATTCTCATAATAAAATGTATTTATCTGCTATTAAGAGGAAACAAAATGTTTATCCTCTAAGATGCCGTATTTCTACATAGCATTTCCTCATGCCAGTAAAATGAGATCTCAAGAATGGTGTCGTTTTCTAATTCTCCCCTTCTTCAAAAATGAGATGTTGGAACAAACTAACTCCCACTCCCTTACCCAACAGTTAGTGTTCACTGAGATAGCTTAGTACTTTCAGTTCTAGACTATTACTGAAATAGAAGTATGTCTTTTCTTTATTTGCAGTGATGGGGGCTATAGTGCAGTGGCAATCATAGTTTACTGTAACCTCAAACTCAAGTGATCCTCCCACCTGAGCCTCCAGAATAGCTGGGACTACAGGCATGTACAACCATAGCTAAATTATTTTTTTATTTTTATTTATTTATTTATTTTTATTATACTTTAAATTTTAGGGTACATGTGCACAACGTGCAGGTTAGTTACATATGTATACATGTGCCATGTTGGTGTGCTGCACCCATTAACTCGTCATTTAATATTAGGTATATCTCCTAATGCTATCCCTCCCCCCTCCCCCACCACACAATAGGCCCTGTTGTGTGATGTTCCCCTTCCTGTTTCCATGTGTTCTCGTTGTTCAGTTCCCACCTATGAGTGAGAACATGTGGTGTTTGGTTTTTTGTCCTTGCGATAGTTTGCTGAGAATGATGGTTTCCAGCTTCATCCATGTCCCCACAAAGGACATGAACTCATCATTTTTTATGGCTGCATAGTATTCCATGGTATATATGTGCCACATTTTCTTAATCCAGTCTATCATTGTTGGATATTTGGCTTAGTTCCAAGTCTTTGCTATTGTGAATAGTGCTGCAATAAATATACATGTGCATGTGTCTTTATAGCAGCATGATTTATAATCCTTTGGGTATATACCCAGTAATGGGATGCCTGGGTCAAACGGTATTTCTAGTTCTAGATCCCTGAGGAATCACCACACTCACTTCCACAATGGTTGAACTACTTTACAGCCCCACCAACAGTGTAAAAGTGCTCCTATTTCTCCACATCCTCTCCAGCACCTGTTGTTTCCTGACTTTTTAATGATTGCCATTCTAACTGGTGTGAGATGGTTTCTCATTGTGGTTTAGATTTGCATTTCTCTGAAGGCCAGTGATGATGAGCATTTTTTCATGTCTTTTGGCTGCATAAATGTCTTCTTTTGAGAAGTGTCTGTTCATATCCTTCGCCCACTTTTTGATGGGGTTGTTTTTTGCTTGTAAATTTGTTTGAGTTCATTGTAGATTCTTGATATTAGCCCTTTGTCAGATGAGTAGATTGCAAAAATTTTCTCCCATTCTGTAGGTTGCCTGTTCACTCTGATGGTAGTTTCTTTTGCTGTGCAAAAGCTCTTTAGTTTAATTAGATCCCATTTGTCAATTTTGGCTTCTGTTGCCATCGCTTTTGGTGTTTTAGATATGAAGTCCTTGCCCATGCCTATGTCCTGAATGGTATTGCCTAGGTTTTCTTCTAGGGTTCTTATGGTTTTAGGTCTAACATTTAAGTCTTTAATCCATCTTGAATTAATTTTTGTATAAGGTGTAAGGAAGGGATCCAGTTTCAGCTTTCTACATATGGCTAGCCAGTTTTCCCAGCACCATTTATTAAATAGGGAATACTTTCCCCATTTCTTGTTTTTGTCAGGTTTGTCAAAGATCAGATGGTTGTAGATATGTGGAATTATTTCTGAGGGCTCTGTTCTGTTCCGTTGGTCTATATCTCTGTTTTGGTACCAGTACCATGCTGTTTCGGTTACTGTAGCCTTGTAGTATAGTTTGAAGTCAGGTAGCGTGATGTGTCCAGCTTTGTTCTTTTGACTTAGGATTGACTTGTCAATGCGGGCCCTTTTTTGGTTCCATAGGAACTTTAAAGTAGTTTTTTTCCAATTCTGTGAAGAAAGTCTTTGGTAGCTTGATGGGGATGGCATTGAATCTATAAATTACCTTGGGCAGTATGCCCATTTGCACGATATTGATTCTTCCTACCCATGAGCATGGAATGTTCTTCCATTTGTTTGTATCCTCTTTTATTTCATTGAGCAGTGGTTTGTAGTTCTCCTTGAAGAGGTCCTTCACATCCCTTGTAAGTTGGATTCCTAGGTATTTTATTCTCCTTGCAGCAATTGTGAATGGAAGTTCGCTCATGATTTGGCTCTCTGTCTGTTATTGGTGTATAAGAATGCTTTTGATTTTTGCACATTGATTTTGTATCCTGGGACTTTGCTAAAGTTGCCTATCAGCTTAAGGAGATTTTGGGCTGAGACAATGGGGTTTTCTAGATATACAATCATGTCATCTGCAAACAGGGACAATTTGACTTCCTCTTTTCCTCATTGAATACCCTTTATTTCCTTCTCTTGCCTGACTGCCCTGGCCAGAACTTCCAACACTATGTTGAATAAGAGTGGTGAGAGAGGGCATCCCTGTCTTGTGCCAGTTTTCAAAGGGAATGCTTCCAGTTTTTGCCCATTCAGTATGATATTGGCTGTGGGTTTGCCATAGATAGCTTTTGTTATTTTGAGATATGTCCCATCAATACCTAATTTATTGAGAGTTCTTAGCATGAAGGGTTGTTGAATTTTGTCAAAGGCCTTTTCTACATCTATTGAGATAGTCATATGGTTTTTGTCGTTGGTTCTGTTTATATGCTGGATTACGTTTATTGATTTTCGTATGTTGAAACAGCCTTGCATCCCAGGCATGAAGCCCACTTGATCATGGTGGATAAGCTTTTTGATATGCTGCTGGATTCAGTTTGCCAGTATTTTATTGAGGATTTTTGCATTGATGTTCATCAGGGATATTGGTCTAAAATTCTCTTTTTTTTGTTGTGTCTCTGGCAGGCTTTGGTATCAGGATGATGCTGGCCTCATAAAATGAGTTAGGGAGGATTCCCTCTTTTTCTGTTGATTGGAATACTTTCAGAAGGAATGGTACCAGCTCCTCCTTGTATCTCTGGTAGAATTCGGCTGTGAAACCATCTGGTCCTGGACTTTTTTTGGTTGGTAGGCTATTAATTATTGCCTCAATTTCAGAGCCTGTTACTGGTCTATTCAGAGATTCAACTTCTTCCTGGTTTAGTCTTGGGAGGGTGTGTGTGTCAAGGAATTTATCCATTTCTTCTAGATTTTCTAGTTTATTTGTGTAGAAGTGTTGATAGTATTCTCTGATGGTAGTTTGTATTTCTGTGGGATTGGTGGTGATATCCCCTTTGTCATTTTTTATTGCGTCTATTTGATTCTTCTCTCTTTTCTTCTTTATTAGTCTTGCTAGTGGTCTATCAATTTTGTTGATCTTTTCAAAAAACCAGCTCCTGGATTCATTGATTTTTTGAAGGGTGTTTTGTGTCTCTATGTCCTTCATTTCTGCTCTGATCTAAGTTATTTCTTGCCTTCTGAAAGCTTTTGAATGTGTTTGCTCTTGCTTCTCTAGTTCTTTTAATTGTGATGTTAGGGTGTCAATTTTGGATCTTTCCTGCTTTCTCTTGTGGGCATTTAGTGCTATAAATTTCCCTCTACACACTGCTTTGAATGTTTCGCAGAGATTCTGGTATGTTATGTCTTTGTTCTCGTTGGTTTCAAAGAACATCTTTATTTCTGCCTTCATTTCGTTATGTACCCAGTAGTCATTCAGGAGCAGGTTGTTCAGTTTCCATGTGGTTGAGCGGTTTTGAGTGAGTTTCTTAATCCTGAGTTCTAGTTTGATGGCACTGTGGTCTGAGAGACAGTTTGTTATAATTTTTATTCTTTTACATTTGCTGAGGAGAGCTTTACTTCCAACTATGTGGTCAATTTTTGAATAGGTGTGGTGCTGAGAAGAATGTATATTCTGTTGATTTGAGGTGGAGAGTTCTGTAGATGTCTATTAGGTCCGCTTGGTGCAGAGCTGAGTTCAATTGCTGGATATCCTTGTTAACTTTCTGTCTTGTTGATGTGTCTAATGTTGACAGTGGGGTGTTAAAGTCTCCCATTATTATTGTGTGGGAGTCTAAGTCTCTTTGTAGGTCTCCAAGGACTTGCTTTATGAATCTGGGTGCTCCTGTATTGGCTGCATAGATATTTAGGATAGTTAGCTCTTCTTGTTGAATTGATCCCTTTACCATTATGTAATGGCCTCCTTTGTCTCTTTTGATCTTTGTTGGTTTAACATCTGTTTTATCCGATACTAGGATTGCAACTCCTGCCTTTTTTTGTTTTCCATTTGCTTGGTAGATCTTCCTCCATCCCTTTATTTTGAGCCTATGTGTGTCTCTGCACATGAGATGGGTTTCCTGAATACAGCACACTGATGGGTCTTGACTCTTTATCCATTTTGCCAGTGTGTGTCTTTTAATTGGAGCATTTAGCCCATTTACATTTCAGGTTAATATCGTTATGTGTGAATTCGATCCTGTTATTATGATGTTAGCTGGTTATTTTGCTCTTTAGTTGATGCAGTTTCTTCCTAGCCTCGATGGTCTTTACAATTTGGCATGTTTTTGCAGTGGCTGGTACCAGTTGTTCCTTTCCATGTTTAGTGCTTCCTTCAGGAGCTCTTTTAGGGCAGGCCTGGTGGTGACAAAATCTCTCAGCATTTGCTTGTCTGTAAAGGATTTTATTTCTCCTTCACTTATGGAGCTTAGTTTGGCTGGATATGAAATTCTAGGTTGAAAATTCTTTTCTTTAAGAATGTTGAATATTGGCCCCCACTCTCTTCTGACTTGCAGAGTTTCTGCCGAGAGACCAGCTGTTAGTGTGATGGGCTTCCCTTTGTGGGTAACCCGACCTTTCTCTCTGGCTGCCCTTAACATTTTTCCCTTCATTTCAACTTTGGTGAATCTGACAATTATGTGTCTTGGAGTTGCTCTTCTCGAGGAGTATCTTTGTGGCGTTCTCTGTATTTGCTGAAGTTGAATGTTGGCCTGCCTTGCTAGATTGGGAAGTTCTCCTGGATAATATCCTGCAGAGTGTTTTCCGACTTGGTTCCATTCTCCCTGTTACCAATCAGATGTAGATTTGGTCTTTTCACATAGTCCCATATTTCTTGGAGGCTTTGTTCATTTCTTTTTATTTTTTTTTCTCTAAACTTCTCTTCTTACTTCATTGCATTCATTTGATCTTCCATCACTGATACCCTTTCTTCCAGTTGATCGAATCAACTACTGAGGCTTGTGCATTCGTCACATAGTTCTCATGCCTTGGTTTTCAGCTCCATCATGTCCTTTAAGAACTTCTCTGCATTGGTTATTCTAGTTAGCCATTTGTCTAATTTTTTTTCAAGGGTTTTAACTTCTTTGCCATTGGTTCGACCTTCCTCCTTTAGCTCAGAGTAGTTTGATCGTCTGAAGCCTTTTTCTCTCAACTCGTCAAAGTCATTCTCCATCCAGCTTTGTTCGGTTGCTGGTGAGGAGCTGTGTTCCTTTGGAGGAGGCAAGGCACTCTGATTTTTAGAGTTTCCAGTTTTTCTGCTCTGTTTTTTCCCTATCTTTGTGGTTTTATCTACCTTTGGTCTTTGATGATGGTGATGTACAGATGGGGTTTTAGTGTGGATGTCCTTTCTGTTTGTTAGTTTTCCTTCTAACAGTCAGGACCCTCAGCTGCAGGTCTGTTGGAATTTGCCGGAGGTCCACTCCAGACCCTGTTTGCCTGGGTATCAGCAGCAGACACTGCAGAACAGCGGATATTGGTGAACAGCAAATGTTGCTGCCTGATCATTCCTCTGGAAGTTTTGTCTCAGAGGAGTACCTGGCCGTGTGAGGTGTCAGTCTGCCCCTACTGGGGCTACCTCCCAGTTAGGCTACTTGGGGGTCAGGGAACCACTTGAGGAGGCAGTCTGTCCCTTCTCAGATCTCCAGCTGCATGCTAGGAGAACCACTACTCTCTTCAAAGCTGTCAGACAGGGACATTTAAGTCTGCAGAGGATTCTGCTGCCTTTTGTTTTGGCTATGCCCTGCCCCCAGAGGTGGAGTCTACAGAGGCAGGCAGCCCTCCTTGAGCTGTGGTGGGCCCCACCCAGTTCGAGCTTCCCAGCTGCTTTGTTTACCTACTCAAGCCTCGGCAATGGCAGGTGCCCCTCCCCTAGCCTCACTGCTGCCTTGCAGTTTGGTCTCAGACTGCTGTGCTAGCAATGAGCGTGGCTCCGTGGGCGTAGGACCCTCTGAGCCAGGCGCTGGATACAATCTCCTGGTGTGCCATTTGCTAAGTCCATTGGAAAAGCACAGTATTAGGGTGGGAGTGACCCGATTTTCCAGGTGCCGTGTGTCACCCCTTTCTTTGACTAGGAAAAGGAATTCCCTGACCCCTTGCGCTTCCTGGGTGAGGCCGTGCCTCACTCTGCTTTGGCTCATGCTCGGTGCGCAGCACCCACTGTCCTGCACCCACTGCTGACACTGCCCAGTGAGATGAACCCAGTACCTCAGTTGGAAATGCAGAAATCACCCATCTTCTGCGTCGCTCATGCTGGGAGCTGTAGACTGGAGCTGTTCCTATACGGCCATCTTGGATCCTAGATTATTGTTTTTTAAAGATGGGGTCTTGTTATGTTGCCCAGGCTGATCTCTAACTCCTGGCCTCAAGTGATCCTTTCAGCCTCCTGAATAGCTAGGATTATAGGCACAAGCCACCACACCTGGCTGTATATTCTATTTTGAAAGTCCTTATATAGCACTTAAATTACATACTCCCAGAAAGTTCATCTTCATCCATTTAGCTATATAGACAGGAATGAGAATGTAATGTTTAGAACATTGATTATGATGTGAGACTGCCTATGTTCAAAATCTGTGATCTAGCCATGATGGAGAAACAAAGACTGGACTTAACCTCCTTCCATAAACAACTAAATAAAATAAAGGAAAGAAATACTGGCTGGGTACATTGGCTCATGCCTCTGTAATGCCAGCAATTTGGGAGGCCGAGGCGGATGGAATGCTTGAGCTGAAGAGTTTGAGACTAGCCTGGGCAATGTGGTGAAAACCCATCTCTACAAAAAATGCAAAAAAATTAGTCAGGCATGGTGGTGCACACCTGTGGTCCCAGCTACTCAGGAGACTGAGGTGTGAGGATGGCTTGATCCCAGGAAGTTGAGGCTGCAGTGAGTGGATTGTGCCACTGCACTCCAGCATGGTCAACAGAATAAGACTGTATCTCAAAAAGAGAGAGAGAGAGAGAAAGAAAGAGAAATAAATAAATAAATACCTTCAGACACTGATTAGTGTCTGATTAACAGGTAGTACAGGATTATGATTCTTGAAATCAGGGAAACAAGTGAGAGAGAGGATTTCTGCCTGGGGATAGTTTTTGGACTGCAAATATGTACAGGGAGGGGGAACTGGCCTCAATAAGTTGAGGATATGGCTGAAATTTTTAGGGCAGAGTCCTATAAAGAAGGAAGCTATGAAGAAAAAAAAAGCCCCAGAAATCTGCCCTGGGGTCCTGTGACTCAGTAGGCAGAATGTTCATAGAGTGAAAGTTCACAAAGATGAATTGGAACCACTAATTGTAAGCAGAACAATCTTTTGAAATCACCAAGTTCTCACTGCTCAGAGTGGAGGGTCTCAACAATTATACAAGGCATTCAGTGTGGACCCCAAATGAGTAAACCTTAGCAATAGAGCTAACTATCCCTAAAGGAAAGTCCATTTTATAACTACCCTTCCAAAGATTAAAGATAGACCTCAAAGAGATCAAATTGTTCTGCATTTAATTACCTGAAAAAATGAAAGACAACACTCTTTAAATGAAAACAGCAAAAATCAGATACGTAACATGTAACACTGACAATGCTTGGTTGTCAACCAGAAATTACTAAATATGCCCAGAAGCAGTAAAATGTGACCTACAACTAAGAGAAAAAAAATAAATGGAAACAGAAATGACGAGATGGGGCTAACAGAAAAAGACACTAAAACAGATTATATATTTATGTAGAAGTATTTAAATGAAAACATGAACATAACAGACAAATGAAAGATATTTAAAAAAAGCAAAATAGCAAAACTTAAAGAGATGAAAAATACAATATAGTCATCCTTTTGTATTTGTGGAGGATTTGTTTCAGGGCTCCAAGGATACCAAAATCCATAGATACTCAAGTCCCTTATGTAAATCATGTATTTGCATATAACCTACCTATGCACATCCTCCTGTATACTTTAAATCACCTCTAGATTACTTATAATACCAAATACAATGTAAATGCTGTGTAACTAATTTTTATATGGTAGGTTTTTACTTGTATTATTTTTTATTGTTATAATTTTTTTGTTGTTTTTTAAAAACACTTTCCATTTGTGGTTGGTTGAATCTATGGATGCGAAAGCCACAGACATGGAGGGCTGACTGTATCTTAAATGAAAACTTCACTTGATGAGATTAATTGATTAGACACTGCAGAAAAAAATCTGAACTTGAAATAATAGAAATAGAATCAATTGCAAAGGAAGCACAGGGATGAAAGAAGACTAAGAAATCAAACAAAAACAGAGACTCAGTTGCCTGTGGGATAATACCAAGTGATCTATCATATGTGTAATTATAGTTCTATGGGAAATGAGAAGGTGGAGAGACAAAAGTTATCTGAAAAATGATGAAATAGTTTCCAGATTTGATGAAAAGTATAAACCAATAGATCTGAGGAGCGCTCAATGAAATCCAATGAAAACGAAAAAAGAAAACAATGCCCAAAACATGATAAAATTACTGAAAACAAGTGAAAAGGAGAAAATTGTAAATGCAGCAAGACCTCCTCCCCAAAAAAAGATAAAGAATAAAAAAGAAAAAAAAAAGAAATTTCACAGACTTCTGGTGAGAAATTATGTAAACAAGAAGACAATGGAATAACATTTTTAGAATGAGAAAAATCTCTTTGGATTTTGTGTATCTAACAAAGGACTTGTATCCAGCATACATAAGGAAGAACTCTTACCAGACAAAGTACCAATAAAAATAACAAGACAACCCAGTAAAAAGTGGGCAAAGTATTTGATCAGACATTTAATAAAAGCAGATGACAGATACAACCTGTGCTAAACATCATAGTCATCAAGGATATGTACTTTAAAACTCCAATGACAATTCACTATATAGCCATTGGAATGGCTAAAATTAAAATACTGACAATATCAGATGTTAAAAAGGTTATGGAGAAACTAGAATTTTCATACATTGCAGATGATAATGCAAAATGGTACAGTCACTTTGGAAAACTGGCAATTACTTTTAAAGTTAAATACTCACCATTTAATCCATCAGTTCCATTCCACATTATTCACCCATTAAAAATGAAAACAAGTCCACCCAAAGACTTGCACCCAAGTGGTCAGAGAAGCTTTATTTGCAATTGCCAAAACCTGAAAACAATCCAAGTGTATATCAATAGGTGAACAGATAAGAAAAATTTGATATATTCATGTATTAGAATAGTATGCAGCATTAAAAAAAAGAACAAGCTACTACATGCAACAACTTGGATGAATATCAAAAACATGTTGAACAAAAGAAGCCAGACACAAAGGAGTACCTACTATGTGATTCCATGTACTCATATATGAAACTTGACAAGACAAATTTAATCTATAGCAACAATAACTAGACAGATTGTTTTCTGAAGCCAGGGTTGGGAGGAGATTGGGATGGGTCACAAGGCATCTTTCTAGGACAGTGAAGTTTTCTATATTTTGTTTATGGAGGTAGTTACAAATATGTATGAGTGTGTTAAAACTCATCAAAATAAACAATTAGCATTTTTCTATATACAAATTATGTTTCAGCACAAATGATTTTTTTAAAAACCTAGCTGTTCTGTTTACTATTTGAAGGAAGGTATTAATGTAGATACCCTGTCTGTACCACAGTTTCCTCAAAGGTAAATTGGGGATAATATTATTACCTTACCTAGAATGGTTGTGGAATTAAGTTAATGGTTGCAAAGCTGTTTCTTAATTTTATTTTTTGTCTTTTTGAAAAGTTTTATTGCAAATGAACAAATTCATCATGAAATCTTTGCCCATGCCTATGTCCTGAATGGTATTGCCTAGGACATCTTCCAGGGTTTTTATAGTTTGGGGTTTTACATTGTTGTATATATTTATATTGTTGTATATATTTATAGGGTACAAAGTGATGTAATGATTTATGAACATAAGGAATAATTAAGCTAATTAACATATCCATCATCTCAAATACTTATCATTTTTATGATAAAGACATTTGAAATTTATTCTCTTGGTGATTTTGAAATGCACAGTACACTATTATTAAATATATTCACCATGCTGTGCAATGCATCTCAAAAAAAAAAACCAACAACAACACACAAATCTTACTCCTCCCATCTGAGGCTTTGCACCCTTTGACCATCATTCCATTTCCCCCACCCATAGCCTTTAGTAAACACCATTCTACTCTCTTCTTTTATGAATTCCACTGTTTGAGATACTACATGTAATTGAGAACATGTGATATTTGTCTTTCTGTGCCTTGCTGTGCCTAGCTTATTTTATTTAGCATGTCTTCCAGTTGCATCCATATTGACACAAATGACAGAATGAATTTCTTTTTTAAAGCTGAATAGTATTTTATTGTGTACATATACTACATTTTATTTGTCCATTCATCTGTTGATAGACACATAGTGTCCACAATTGTCCATAAGTGAATAGTGCTAAAAGGAACATGGAAGTGCAGACATCTCTGACATACTTATTTCAGATCTTTTGGGTAAATACCCAGAAGTGAGATTGTTGGATCATGTGGTAATTCTATTTTTAGTTTTTTGAGGAACCTCCATACAGTTTTCCAAAAGGGCAGTATGAAATTATATTCCAAACAACAGTGTTCAACTGTCCTTCTTTCTCCAAATCCTTGCCACATGTACTTTCATCATTTTGATAATAACTATTCTGACAGGTGTGAGGTGATGACTCACTGTGATTTTAACTTGAATTTCCCTAGTGATTAGTGATATTGAGCATTTTTTTCATATATCTGTTGGCCATTTGTATGTCTCCTTTTGAGACATATCTACTTTTTATTGGATTGTTTGTTTTCTTTCTGTAAAGGTATTTGAGTTGCTTATAAATTATCCCCTTATCAGATGTATAGCTTGCAAAATATTTTCTCCAAATTCATAGGTTGTCCCTTCAGTCTGTGAATTGTTTCCTTTGGTTTGCAGAAGATTTTTAGTTTGATGTAATCCTATTCATCTCATTTTGCTTTTGTTGCTTGTGTTTTCAGGGTCATATCCAAGAAATCATTTTTTAGGCCAACATCATGGAGCTTTGCCCCTGTCTTCTTCTAGAAGTTTTACAGTTTTCAGTCTTCATTTTTAAATTTTTAATTTATTTTTATTATGTATTTTTATTTCGATAGTTTTGGGGGTACAAGTGGTTATTGGTTACATGGATAAGTTCTTTAGTGGTGATTTCTGAAATTTTGGTGCACCTGTCAACTGAGCTGTATACACTGTACCCAATATGTAGTCTTTTATCTCACACCCCCCTCCCACCCTTCCCACCTGAGTCCCAAAGTTTATTATATTGTTCTTACGCCTTTGCATCCTTATAGCTTAGCTCCCACTTATAAGTGAGAACATATGATATTTGGTTTTCCATTCCTGGGTTACTTCACTTAGAATAATGGCCTCCAGTTCCATCCAAGTTTCTGCAAAAGACATTATTTTGCTGCTTTTTATGGTTGAGTATTATTCCATGGTGTGTGTATACCACATTTAATTTACCCACTCATTGGTTGATGGGCACTTAGATTGTTTCCATATTTCTGCAATTGTAAAATGTGCTGCTATAAACGTGTGTACATGTGTCTTTTTTTACTTTTAAGTTCAGGGGAACATGTGCAGAATGTGCAGGTTTGTTACATAGGTAAACATGTGTCAAAGGAGTTTGTTATATGGATTATTTCATCAGCCAGGTATTAATCCATTAGTTATTTTTCCTCTCTCCCTCATCCCACTCTCCACCCTCCAGTAGGCCCCAGTGTGTGTTGTTCCCCTCTATGTGTCCATGTGCTCTCATCATTTAGCTCCTGCTTATAAGTGAGAACATGTGGTATTTGGTTTTCTATTCCTGCATTAATTTGCTAAGGACAATGGCCTCCAGCTTCATCCATGTCCCTGCACAGAACATGATCTCATTCTTTTTATGGCTGCATAATATTCCATAGTGTATACATACCATATTTTCTTTATCTAGTCTATCATTGATGGGCATTTAGGTTGATTCCATGTCTTTACTATTGTGAGCAGTGCTGCAATGGATATATGTATGCATGTGTCTTTATAATAGAATGATTTATATTCCTTTGTGCATATACCCAGTAATGGCATTGCTGGGTCAAATGGTAGTTTCATCTTTAGGTCTTTGAGGAATCGCCACGCTGTCTTCTACAATGGCTGAACTAATTTACACTCTCATCAACAGTGTATAAGTGTTCCTTTTTCTCCACAACCTCACCAGCATCGGTTATTTTTTGACTCTTTAGTAATAGCCATCCTGACTGGTGTTAGATGGTAGCTCATTGTGGTTTTGATTTGCATTTCTCTAATGATCAGTGATGTTGAGCTTTTTTTTCATGTGATTGTCGGCTGCATGTAGTGACTGTTGATGTCCTTTACCCACTTTTTTATTGAGTTGTTTGATTTTTCTTGTAAATTTGTTTACATTCCTTATAGATGCTGGATATTAGATCTCTGTTAGATGACTAGTTTGCAAAAATTTTCTCCCATTCTCTGGGCTGTTTACTCTGTTGATAGTCTCTTTTGCTGTGCAGAAGCTCTTTAGTTTAATTAGATTCCATTTGTCAATTTTTGCTTTTATTGCAATTGCTTTTGGCATCTTCATCATGAAATCTTTGCCCATGCCTATGTCCTGAATGGTATTGCCTAGGTCATCTTCCAGGGCTTTTATAGTTTGGGGTTTTACATTTAAGTCTTTAATTCATCTTGAGAAAATTTTTGTATATGGTATAAGGAAGGGGTTCAATTTCAATCTTCAGCATATGGCTAGCCAGTTATCCCAGCATCATTTATTGAATAGGGATTCCTTTCCCCATTGCTTGTCTTTGTCAGGTTTGTTGAAGATCTGATAGTTGTAGGTGTGTGGTCCTATTTCTGGGCTTTCTGTTCTGTTCCCTTGGTCTATGTGCCTTTTCTTGTACCAGTACCTTGCTGTTTTGGTTAGTGTAGCCCTGTAGTGTAGTATGAAGATGGGTAGTGTGATGCCTCCAGCTTTGTTCTCTTTGATTGGATTGTCTTGGCTATTTGGGTTCTTTTTCTGGTTTCACTTGAATCTTTAAATAGTTTTCTCTAGTTCTGTGAAGAATGTCAATGGTAGTTTAATGGAAATAGCATTGAATCTAAAATTGTTTTGGGCAGTATAGCCATTTTCACAATACTGATTCTTCCTATCCATGAGCATGGAATGTTTCTCCATTTGTTTGTATCCTCTCTGATTTCCCTGAGCAGTGGTTTGTAGTTCTCCTTGTAGAGATCTTTTACCTCCCTAGTTAACTGTATTCCTAGGTATTTTATTCCTTTTGTGGCAATTGTGAATGGTAGTTCATTTATGATTTGGCTATCAGCTTGATTGTTGTTGGTGTATAGGAATGCTAGTTATTTTTGCACGTTGATTTTCTATTCTGAGACTTTGCTGAAATTATCAGCTTAAGAAGCTTTTGGGAGGCCGAGGCGGGCGGATCACGAGGTCAGGAGATCGAGACCATCCCGGCTAAAACGGTGAAACCCTGTCTCTACTAAAAATACAAAAAATTAGCCGGGTGTAGTGGCGGGCGCCTGTAGTCCCAGCTACTTGGGAAGCTGAGGCAGGAGAATGGCGTGAACCCGGGAGGCGGAGCTTGCAGTGAGCCGAGATCCCGCCACTGCACTCCAGCCTGGGCGACAGAGCGAGACTCCGTCTCAAAAAAAAAAAAAAAAAAAAGAAGCTTTTGGGCCAAGACAGTGGAGTTTTCTAAATATCGGATCATGCCATCTGCAAACAGGGATACTTTGACTTCATATGTGGATGCCCTTTATTTTTTTCTCTTGCTCAGTTGCCCTGGTCAGAACTTGCAATACTGTGTTGAATAGGAGTGGTGAAAGAGTACATCCTTTTCTTCTGCCAGTTTTTAAGGGGAATGCTTCCTGCTTTTGCCCATTCAGTATAATGTTGGCTGCGGGTTTGTCAGAGATGGCTCTTATTATTTTGAGATATGTTCCTTCAATACCTAATTTATTGAGAGTTTTTAACATGAAGGATGTTGAATCGCATTAAAGGCATTTTCTGCATCTCTTAGATAATCCTGTGGTTTTTGTCTTTAGTTCTGTTTATGTGATGAGTCACATGTATTGATTTGTGTATATTGAACCAACTTTGCATCTTGGGGATGAAGCCTACTTGATCATGGTGGATAAGCCTTTTCAGCCCAGTGCTGCTGGATTCAGTTTCCTGGTATTTTGTTGAGGACTTTTGCACTGGTGTTCATCAAGGATACTGGCCTGAAGTTTCCTTTTTTGGTTGTATCTCTGCCGGGTTTTGGTATCAGGATGATGCTGGCCTCATAGAATGACTTAGGGAGGAGTCCTTCATTTTTAAGTTTTTGGATTAGTTTCAGCAGGAATGGTACCAGCCCTTCTTTGTTCATCTGGTAGAATTCAACTGTGAATCCATCTGGTCCTGGGGTTTTTTTGGATGATAGACTTAATTACTGCCTCAATTTTAGAACTCATTTTTGGTCTGTTCAGGGATTCAATTTCTTCCTGGTTTAGTCTTGGGAGGGTGTGTGTGTCCAGGAATGTATCCATTTCTTCTAGATTTTCTAGCTTATGTCTGTAGAGGTATTCATAATGTTTTCTGATAGTTGTTTGTATTTCTGTGGGGTCAGTGATAATATCTCACTTGTTATTTCTGATTGCATTTATTTGAATACTCTCCCTTTTCTACTTTATTCGTCTAGCTAGCAGTGTCTCTTTTATTAATTTTTTTCAAAAAACCCAGCTCCTGGATTCATTGGTCTTTTGAATGGTTTTTCATGTCTCTTTCTCCTTCAGTTCACTCTGATTTTGGTTATTTCTTGTCTCCTGCTAACTTTGGGATTTGTTTACTCTTAGTTCTCTAGGTCTTTTAGTTGTGATGTTAGGTTGTTAACTTGAGATCTTTCTAGCTTTTTGATGTGGGCATTTAGTGCTATAAATTTTCCTCTTAATACTGCCTTAGCTATGTCTCAGAGATTCTGGTACATTGTATATTTGTCCTCATTAATTTCAAAAAACTTCTTGATTTCTGCCTTAATTTCATTATTTACCCAAAAGTCATTCAGGAGCAGCTTATTCCATTTCAGTGTCATTGTATGGATTTGAGTGAATTTCTTGGTTTTGATTGTGGATTTCATTTTGCTGTGTTGTGAAAGACAGTTTGTTATGATTTCAGGTCTTTTGCATTTGCTGAGGAGTGTTTTACTCCTGATTATGTGATCTATTTTAGAGTAAGTGCCATGCGGTGATGAAAAGAAGTATATTCTATTGTTTTTGTGTGGAGAGTTCTGTGGGTATGTCTCAGGTCCATTTGATCCAGTGCTGGGCTCGGGTTGTGAATATCTTTGTTAACTTTCTGTCTATTAGACATATTGTCAGTGGGGTGTTAAAGTTTCCCACTATTATTGTGGCAAGGTCTCTAGAAACTTTCTTTATAAATCTAGGTGCTCCAGTCTTGGGTGCACATATATTTAGGATAGTTAGGTTTTCTTGTTGAATTGAACCCTTTAACATTATGTAATGTCCTTCTTTGTCTTTTTTATCTTTGTTGGTTTAAAGTCTGTTTTGTCAGAAGCTAGGATTGCAACCCCTGCTATTTTCTGTTTTCCATTTGCTTCGTAGATTTTCTTTCCTCCTTTTATTTTTAGCCTATGTGTGTCATTGCATGTGAGATGGGTCTCTTGAAGACAGCATACCAATGGGTCTTGACTCTTTATCCCAGCTTACCACTCTGTGTTTTTTAATTGGGACACTTAGTCCGTTTACATTTAAGGTTAGTATTGGTATGTGTGGATTTGAACCTATCATCATGATGTTAGCTGGTTATTTTGCAGACTTGTTAATGTGGTTGCCATATAGTGTCACTGGTCTGTGTACTTCAGTGTGTTTTTACAGTAGTTGGTAATGGTCTTTCATTTTTATATTAATGCTTCCTTTAGGAGCTCCTATAAGGCAGGTCTGGTGGTAACAAATTCTCTGAGCATTTGCTTGTCTGAAAAGGGCCTTATTTCTCCTTCACCTATGAAGCTTAGTTTGGCCAGATATGAAATTCTGGGTTGGAACTTTTTTTCTTCAAGTATGTTGAATATTGGCCTCCAATCTCTTTTGATTTGTAGGGTTTCCACTGAGAGCTCCACTGTTAATCTGATGGGTTTCCCTTTGTGGGTGACCTGGCCTTTCTAGCTGCCTGTATGAGTTCATTCTCACACTGCTAATAAAGACATACCTAAGATTGGGTAATTTATAAAGGAAAGAGATTTAATTCACTCACAGTTCAGCATGACTGTGAAGGCCTCAGGAAACTTACAATCATGGTAGAAGGGGAAGCAAGCATGTTTGTCTTCACATGGTGACAGGAAGGAGAAGTGCCAAACAAAAGGCAGGAAAGCCCCTTTTGAAACCATCAAATCTCGTGAGAACTTACTCACTACCACAAGAACAGCAGCATAGGGGTAACTGCCCCCATGATTCAATCACTTCCCACGACATGTGGGGATTATGGGAACTACAATTCAAGGTGAGATTTGGGTGGGGACACAGCCAAACCATATCACCGCCTTTAACATTTTTTCTTTCATTTTGACCTTGAAGAATCTGATGATGTGTCTTGGGGATGATCTTCTCGTGGATCTTACTAGGGTTCTCTGAATTTCCTGAATTTTAATGTTGGCTTCTCTAGCTAGGTTGGGGAAGTTCTCATGGATGATATTCTGAGATATGTTTTTCAAGTTGGCTCCATTCTCTCCATCTCTTTCAGGTACACCAATCAGTCATAGATTCAGTCTCTTTACATAATCCCATATTTCTCAGATATTTTGTTCTTTTCTTTAATTCTCTTTATTCTTGTCTGCTTGTTTTATTTCCGAAAGGCAGTCTTCAAGCTCTGAGATTTTTTTCTCTGCTTGGTTTATTCTGCTATTAATACTTGTGATTGCATTATGAAATTCTTCTAGTGTGTCTTTCAACTCTATCAGGTCGTTACATTCTTCTCTTTACTGGCTATTTTGTCTGTCAGCTCCTGCAATGTTTTAAGATGATTTTTAGCTTCCTTTCATTGGGTTACAATGTACTTCTTTAGCTCAGTGATCTTTGTTCCTGTCCATATTCTGAATTCTACTTCAGCCATCTCAGCCTCAGTCTGGTTCCAGAGTCTTGCTGGAGAGGTATTGCAGTCATTTGGAAGAAAGAGCGCATTCTGGCTTTTTGAGTTTTTAGCATTCTAGAACCATCATTTAACTGATGCTTTCTCATCTTTGTGTGCTTATCTACATTCAGTTTTTGAGGTTGCTGACCTTTAGATGGTTTTTATTTTTCCTTAACAGTCTGGCCACTTTTCTGTAGGTCTGCTTGTGGTATGCTGGGGGTCCACTGCAGTTTCTAGTTGCCTTGGATTTTCCAGTATTTGGAGTTATCGTCAGTGAAGTCTGTGAAGCAGCTAAGATGCCAGCCTGCCCCTTCTCCTGGGAGTGCCATCCCAGGGAGGTAAGGACCAGCTGCCAGCCTGAATGCACCTGCAGGACATGGCTGGAGACCCTAATTTGGTGGTCTCATCCAGTCATGAGGAATGGGATTGGGAACCCACTTAACAAAGTAGTCTGGCCATGTTTTCATAGAGTAGCCATCCTGTGCTGGGGAGTCCACTTCAGCCCCTTGTTGCCTCAGACATGGCAAGGATATGTTGCCAAAACCTCTGTCAGCCAGAGAACACCAGTGGTGGTAGCCAGAGACCCCAGTTGGGAGGCCCCACAGGATGAATAGGAATGGGGTTGGGGACACGCTTAAAAAAGCAGTCTGACCATGTTTTTGTGGGGGTGTTGTGCTGTGCTGGGGTACCACTTTTACCCCCAGTCAGCTGGGGCTCTCTAAAGCCCGAAGGCTGGTACTGCTAAGTTGCCCAAGCAGCAAAGATGGCAGCCTGCCCCTCCCTCTGGGAGTACCATCTCAGGGAGTTTTCAAATCTGTGTAGGCCAGAGAACACTGATGGGGGTGGCTGGAGGCCCTGGTTGGGAGGTTCCATCCAACGACAAGGAACAGGATTGGGAACCCACTTAAAGAAGCAGTCTGGCCATGGTTTTGTAGAGCGGATGTATTGTGCTGGGGTGCCACCTCTGCCCCTGGTCAGCTTGGGCTATCCAGAGCCCAGAGGATGGAATGACTAAGTCACCCAAACAGCAAAGATGGCGGCCCGCTCCTCCCTCTGGGAGCTCTGTCTTAGGAAGTTTGTTGTTGTTGTTGTTGTTTTCAGTTTTTTGTTGTTGTTGTTGTTTGTTTTTGTTTTTGTTTTTTGTTTTTTGACAGAGTCTTGCTCTGTCACCAGGCTGGAGTGCAGTGGCGCAATCTCGGCTCACTACAACCTCCGCCTCCCAGATTCAAGCAATTCTCCTGCCTCAGCCTCCCAAGAAGCTGGGACTACAGTGTGCCACCATGCCCAACTGATTTTTGTATTTTTAGTAGAGACGGGCTTTCACCATGTTGGCCAAAATGTTCTCAATCTCTTGACCTTGTGATCCACCTGCCTCGGCCTCCCAAAGTACTGGGATTACAGGCATGAGCCACCGCACTCAGCTGTTTTAGGAAGTTTTTTTTTTTTTTTTTTTTTTTTTTGAGACGGAGTCTCGCTCTGTCGCCCAGGCTGGAGTGCAGTAGTGGGATCTCGGCTCACTGCAAGCTCCGCCTCCCGGGTTCACGCCATTCTCCTGCCTCAGCCTCCCAAGTAGCTGGGACTACAGGCGCCCGCCACTACGCCCGGCTAATTTTTTGTATTTTTAGTAGAGACGGGGTTTCACCGTTTTAGCCGGGATGGTCTCGATCTCCTGACCTCGTGATCCGCCTGCCTCGGCCTCCCAAAGTGCTGGGATTACAGGCGTGAGCCACCGCGCCCGGCCTGTCTTAGGAAGTTTTTAAACCTCTGTCCGCTGGAGAACACTGGTGGGATTGGCTGGAGAACCTGGTTTGGAGAGTCCACCCAGTGAGGAGGAACAGATACGGGACCTACTTAATGAAGCAGTCTGGTCATGCTTTTGTAGAGAAGCTGTGCTGTGCTGTGCTTCTGCCTCTGCCCCCGATTGGCTTGGGCTCTCCAAAGCCAGTAGGCTGGAATGGCTAAGGGGCCCAAACAGCAAAGATGGTGGCCCACCCTTCCCTTTGGGAGCTCTCTCCCAGGGAGTTTTCTAATCTCTATCACATGGAGAACACCAGCGGGGTGGCTGGAGGCCCCAGTTTGGAGGTCTTGCCAAATGAGGAGGAACAGATAAGGGACCTGCTTAAGCAGTCTGGCCACCCTTTGGTAGGGTAGCTGTGCTGTGCTGGGGAACCCCTTCCACCTCCAGTCAGTTTGGAATCTCCAAAGCCGCAGGCTATAGTGGCTAAGTTGCCCAAACAGCAAACATAGTGGCCTGCCCCTCCTTCCAAGAGCTTCATCTCAGGTGCAACACTGCTACCTGTGGCTGGCTGGAATTCCAAGCCACTGGATGTTATCCTGTGAGGCATCGTGAAAGTAGCACCCCCAGACTATCACTGCTTGGTGCCCTGGATTCAGCTTCTTTCCTAGGGGTATATATGGGGGTCTAACCTCCCACTTTGCCAGCATTGCAGTTACTTTTGCTGGAAAGCCTGGAGCTGGACTATCTAAAGCTCCTGGGTTTCTGTGCATACCTGAGTGACTACTCTGCCAAGACTCCATGTAGCTCTGTGTGTCAGACTGAAGGCCCTGGTGAAGTGGGTTCACAAGGGGTTCTCCTGCCCCAAGGGTTGCAAAGATCCATGGGAGAAGTGTGGTTTCCTGTGGTCACACATTCACTCACCACTTCCCTGGGTGGGGGAGGTTCACTTGGCTCTGTGTCACTCCTGGGTGGACCATTGTCCTTCCTTGCTTTTCTCTGTTCTCCGTGGGTCGAGTTGTTTCCTTTATTAGTCCCAATGCAAGTACCTGGATGTTTCAATTGAAGGTACTGTATTTACTCACCCTTTTCATACCTCTCTGTGAGAGCAATGCATTCTAGCTGCTTCTAGTCAGCCATCTTGGCCACTCCCTCCAAATTCTTAAAAATTATTTAAATCTCTTTGTTAAATTTCTAAATTTAGTCATTTATTATTTTCTATATGTTGTTGAGTTGTTCCTGTGTAATCTTATGAAGTTTGCTAAGCTTCCTTAAAATAATTATTTTTAACCTGGGTGTGGTGGTGTTTACCTGTAGTCCCAGCTACTCAGGAAATTAAGGTGTTGTTATTGAGTCCAGGAGTTCAGAGACAACATAGTGGGACCCTACCTCTAAAAAAAAAGTTATTGTGAATTATTTCTCAGTCAGTTCATACAACTCTATTTCTTTAGGGTCAGGGATGGGTGCTTTATTTTGTTCCTTTGGTGATGTCATGTTTTCCTAATGATTTTTTATCCTTGTGGCCATGCTTTGGTGTCTGTGCATTTGAAGAAGTAGGTAATTATTAATTACATACTTTGCAGACTGGCTTTGTCTGGGAAAGCCCTTTACTAGTCAGCCTATCCAGATATTCTGGTGAGACCATCTGGAATAGTTCATGGGCCAGCTTGCTGCTACAGCACTTAGGCTGGCTGGTCCAGCCTAGGGCCTGGATCCACTTGGGTGAACCTGTTGACTGGGTCTGCTGGCATCTGCCTTGAGCTTGTATCCCTGGGGGCCAGCCTAATGCTTGTGACTACCAAGGGTAGTGTGGTGCTAGGTGGGCTTAAAGCCTGGGGTCACTGGGCTTAGTCTTCCACGGAGGGCTGTCTGGAACCCAAGGCCACTGAAGGTGGCATGGTAGTGGGGAGAACCAGAGACTGAGTCCAACATGTGGGCCTCAAAACATGGGACTGTGGGGTATAGTCTGGTGCCAGGGTGGGTCTGGAGGCTCAATCTGTGAGGACCAGCTTGGAGTTGGGTTATAGGTCCCTGCCTGGTGCTGAATTTTACTGTGATGGGCCTGGTATTGGAATAAAATTGTCCTTCTTTCTGTCTTCAGTGTGCCTTTTCTTATTTCTATGCTACATGCAGATATTGTCATCTCTCACTTGATTTCCTTAGCACTTGTGAAGGTACTTTTGTACATGGATAATTGTTATAGTTGATGTTTCTACAGGGATATGATTGCTGGAGAGTACGATTCCACCGTCTTGCTCCCTGTTATTATCTGCAAAGCACTTAAACAGTTCTTGACCCACATAGTGACACTATGAACCAAATTTCTATAGTAAGAAAAATGATAAGTTTTGGTTCCAGAAGGTTGTTTCTGAGCTGTTTTTCAAAGAATCTGTTCTGAAAGTTCTGTTTATTCATCCTCTTTCTGGCTGCTCTTTGTCCTGGGTGTATTTATATTTCCTGAGGGTTTTGGTAGCTTCCCTTTGTAAGGTTAAATAAAATACCTTCTTTTTTTTTTATTATACTTTAAGTTCTAGGGTACATGTGCACAATGTGCAGGTTTGATACATAGGTATAAATGTTCCATGTTGGTTTGCTGCACCCATAAACTCATCATTTACATTAAGTATTTCTCCTAATGCTATCCCTCCCCCAGCCCCCAACACCCAACAGGCCCCGGTGTGTGATGTTCCCTGCCCTGTGTCCAAGCTGGAAACCATCATTCTCAGCAAACTATCAAAAGGACAGAAAACCAAACACCACATGTTCTCACTCATAGGTGGGAATTGAACAATAAGAAAATACTTTCTATTTTTAGTTTGATAAGAGTTTTTATTATAAATGAATTTTATCAAATGCTTATTCATTACATCTATTGAGATAATCTTGCAGTTGTTTTCCTTTAATCTTTTTCTGTGGGGAGTTATATTAATTGACTTTCTAAGGGTAATCTCACATCCAAATTGATAGATTTACCTTACCAGCATGTGCATACACAAGCTTACATATTATTTTTAAGATTTTTGTGTTTATGTTTATAAGTGAAAATAGTCTATAATTTTCTTTTACCATCCTTATCTGGTTTTGGTATCAATATGTTACTAGTGTCATAAATGAAGTTTGGGTATATTTTACCTTTTTATATTCTCTTGGTTTATATGAGATTGGAATTATTTGGTTGTTTGTGATATAAATGTGTATTTCAAAATTTTTTGGGCATTTAATTAGTATTTGTATTGGAGTCTAAATAGTTATGTTTACTCAGTCTACTGACACGATCATTCTTGGTGCACTTTCCATATGCCAGGTACATTGTAAGTCTATTACTGAATTATTTTATTTGATCTCCAAAGTACAGATGAGGACAATAAGTTTATCAGAATAAAGCTATTTGCTTAGGTTCACACAGTTAGTAAATACTGAGGCTGGGATCGAAAATAAGTTTCTCTGATTTTAAGGCCTCTTAATATAAACTCTGTGGCAAAGAGACACACACATGCCCCATAATAAAATTTCTGATGGATTAACAATGGTAATCTCTGGGTAATGGAATAATAGTTGACCATCTGATAAACTTTTCCATCTTATAAACTTTTTTGTATTGTGATTTTTGCATGAACATTTATTTTAATATCAAATTAGACACACACATATGTGAAATTAATTCAAGGCTGTAAAGATTAAAAATTGAACTGACTTTCATACCAAAATTACATAAAATTATGCAGGCATACTCCTTAAGAACCCTTGAAACATGAAAAAATATGAAAAAATTTTAGTTCCAGCACAGAAATGCAATTACTTCAAGCATTTTATGGAGTAATTTATATACACTTTTGACAAGTATGGTTATAAATATAATAGATATAAGTATGGTGGAAAATAATGGGACGTGGAATCAATTTGGGTTTGAATCACAGTTGTATAACTTGCTACATTTCTGATCTTGGTACAATAAACCCTCTGAGACTCAGTTTCCTCCTGTGCAATTAGAAAAAATACCTAATTAGCAAATATACTATCTGAATAAAGTATGATCATGTACGTAAAGAACCTATCACATACATGCCCAAAAAGTTGTAGCATTTATTATGCACCGTTCACATTTCAGTCATAATTTGCCATTTGTATTACATTTCTTGAAAATTGTTATTCATAACTTACTTATTTTATGTCTTAATAGCATCTATTTTATATGTGGAATACATTCAAGTGTCTTTTGTTAACAGTAGAAGGATTTGGTCATGTTAATGCCCCAGTACTTAAATAACACTTAGAATTATGTCTAGATTATGTGATATGGTTTGGCTCTGTGTCCCCAACCAAATCTCATGTCAAATTGTAATCCCCACATGTTAAGGGGGGTCACTGGTGAGAGGTGATTGAATCATGGGGGTGGACTTCCCCCTTGCTGTTCTCGTGATAGAGTTCTCAGGAGGTCTGGTTGTTTGAAAGTGTGTAGCACTCCCCCATTCTCAATCTCTCTCTCTCTCTCTCTCTCTCTCTCTCTCTCTCTCTCTCTCTCTCTCTCTCTCCCTCTCTCTCTCTCTCTCCCTCTCTCTCTCTCTCCCTCTCTCTCTCTCTCTCTCTCTCTCTCTCTCTCTCTCTCCCCGCTTTTCTGCCTTGGTAAGATGTGCTTGCTTCCCTTTCACCTTCTGCCATGATTGTAGATTTCCTGAGGCCTCCCAGCCATGCTTCTTCTACAGCCTATGGAACTGAGTCAATTAAACCTCTTTTCTTCACAAATTACCCAGTCTCAAGTAGTTCTTTATAGCAGTGTGAGAACAGACTAATACATGATGTTTTAATTATTTTCTGAAATTAGACTTATATAAGTCAGAGAAATTAAAAAGAGTAATTAGTCTTCCAAAATGATGAAAAGTCATTACACAATTATAATTGACATGTTGATTTCAGGTTGTGGAATCATCATTGCAGCAGCTGGAATGTGATCCCACTGAAATAGAAGAATTTCTGGAGCATTTTATTTTTTTGAATGCAATTTCCTCAAAAATATCTAAATTAGAAAAAGAGTTCTTAACAATGTCTCAGCTATATTCTGTTGCAAAGCATCACCAGATCCATATTTCAGAAGAGCAAATTGCCATATTCCAAGTTCTTCTTCTTAAGTTTAGTCAACTAAAATCATCTATGAAGTTAAGTAAAATAAATAAAGACACTGCTATAACTAAATTCAGAGATAACTTGGAAGCATGTATCAGTGGTCTACATGTTGATGTTGGCAATTTAAAAGCCAAGGTAAGTTTTTAGGGTTTTTTTGGATTTTTTTTTTATTAAAAACTTGATCTTAGTCTCGTAAGTCCAGGCATTTGGGTATTTGCTTTCAGTGGAATTTTGGCTAAATAGTTTAATACAAGTATTCTTTTTTTTTTTTTTTTTTTGAGATGGAGTCTTGCTCTGTTGCCCAGGCTGGACTGCAGTGGCGCAATCTCGGCTCACTGCAAGCTCCGCCTCCCGGGTTCACGCCATTCTCCTGCCTCAGCCTCCCGAGTAGCTGGGACTACAGGCGCCTGCCACCACGCCCGGCTAATTTTTTGTATTTTTAGTAGAGACGAGGTTTCACCGTGTTAGCCAAGATGGTCTCGATCTCCTGACCTCGTGATCCACTCGCCTCAGCCCCCCAAAGTGCTGGCATTACAGGCTTGAGCCACCGTGACCGGCCAATACAAGTATTCTTCAACTGGAATTCACAGACAGAATTTTGGTGATTTGTGAACCTGAAAGGGAAGTAAAATTACATTTCTATTTTCACTAATTTCTAACTGGAACTTAGCATTTTCTCAACTATGAATGAATGTAGGCAACAAACAGCAGCATGGCTGGTGACTTTTACCATAGGCTTCAAGAGACTGCCAAATGGGCTCATGGCATAAAAGGGACTAAAACCCCCTGAAATCTTTCTGGGCCAATCTTTATCTTTGTCTGGGCCAAATGGTAATGATAGTTCCAGTTTCACTCACTTATCAGGTAAAAGCCTAGATTATATACTAAAATGCTTTCACTGCCAGTAAAACAGTACGTTCTAGACATACTGATTTCTCTTAGAAAGTCCTACTCTTATTTTTTAGATAAGAACTCCTCTTCTGTTATGTGCTGGTACTCAAGTGTCAACAGCAATGGAAATGATCCAGACTCTCTCAGGGGAAGCTGCAAGTTTAACTAACAAAGCTAAAGCATATTCACATTATCAGGATTGTTTCAGTGATTCTCAATCTCATATGCATTCTGTTAATGTGGAAGAAATTACACAGATTGTGCTTTCAGAGATCTCTGACATTGAAGGTGACTTGACTTTGAGGAAAAAACTATGGGAAGCACAAGAGGAGTGGAAGCGAGCCTCTTGGGAATGGAGGAATAGTTCTCTTCAAAGTATTGATGTAGAATCAGTACAGAGAAATGTTTCAAAACTGATGCACATAATCTCGGTACTAGAAAAAGGTAAAAATGTGTTTCTCAAATTTTCCCACCTAGGTCTATATACCAAATGGCCTTTGGACATCAAGAGCATTGTCCTTGGCTTGTTTCTTTACCCATTCTCAGGTTGACCATTATGGCTAGAGCTACAATACAGGAGTATAGGTAGGAATTTCACTCAGGCAAAAAAGAGATTAAGTCCTTGTCAAAAAAGTTTTGTTAAGAAATTAACAATTTTTATGTCCTTTAAAAGTTGGTTCCCTGCATAGAACCCCAGCTACCTCACCCTGAGTATGGCCCTTCTTAGGGCACTGGTCAGAGATGTTTTGATGATAAAGGACCATCTGCATAATCATTCATTATCTTTTGGGCAGTGGGTAAACAGCTTAAAGAGTAATTTTTAGAGGTTTATTTTATTTTAATTATCAAATTTGAAATCTTGCCAATGCAAAGATACTGTTTTTGTGAGAGCATTTCTATAAGATCAAATCCTTTCCAAAAGGGATATTTTGTTTCACCTGGCCAAGAGAATATCTTTGCTTTTTTTAAAGACTCCTCCCCTATCACTCAGCTATACCTTAAGCTAAAATTTCTTCTCCAGAAAAGCCAGACAAACACTTTATTTCACTTGTTTTAAAATTATTTAAGAAATATAACAGTAGCACAAAAGTTTAGAAAAGAGAACAATTGGGGGCAAATCATAGTCTCAAGGCTTTAACATAACACTGATTGTGTGCATCCCCTCTCAATATTTTGTTATATACGTGCTTCGGAGAACAGTAAAGTAACAACTAGACGACACCTTCTTTTACCCATGGTTCCCCAGATAAAATCTTGCTGTTTGCCAAAGTCTAGACTGGCAAAAACTAAAGTTACACTCTTGACCTTCTATTAATCAGGTCTTAAAAACATATTACTATTTAATATGGCTTTATAAAAGAAGCCCCATATATACAAATTGGTTTTTTGAGTGTATGGGTGAAGTTTTCAGTTCTCTTGAGTCCCTAACTTTGGCCCCTCCTCTTTATTTTATAAGTTGAGTAAAAAGGTTGTAAGAGTTGAACCTTCCACTCCATAGGTTTTGAATCCTGTACTTCAGTGGTTTGTCAATGCCAGAGGACAGACTAGTGCTGGTCTGTGGCAAAGCTGTCACCTACATTTCCTACATTTTGGTGTTAAAGTATTTTTTAATGAAATTGTAGTGATGGTATATTTTTTCCCTTGATGTTCTTCCATATTTACCAAAATTTAAAAAACCCAAACCAGCTGAGTACTGTGTCTCATGCCTGTAATCACAGCACTTGGGGAGGCTGAGGTGGGCGGATCATTCGAGGCCAGGAGTTTGAGACCAGCCTGGGCAACATAGCAAGACCTCATCTTGCTATGTTAAGATGTTAATTAAATAAATAAATACCCAGAATCTGTGACAGTCTTCTGAATGTTTGTGGTGTGTGTGTGTGTGTGTGTGTGTGTGCACATGCGCATGTACCCATTTGTCTGTATATTTATCATGTCAGTGAAAATCTGGGAAACCTGTGGTAGCTGGCCACTCCTGGTATCAAATTTTCTAAGATGATTTGGTTGTGATAGTTGGGTTTTAGTCACCTGTCCTTATAACTATTTCTCTTATTTTAATGTATAGTTGATTCTCATGGAAGGGTAATGTTAATAAAGCTCACTGCTTCATGTTATTTTAATGTAGTTTAATAATTGATAAAGTAGTTTTTAACAAATTTTAAAGAAAAAAATCTTATTTTCTCAATTTTTTTGGTTAAAAAATATAATGAACATATTATAAGCCTACTGACCCATTGTTATTTATAGGTTTACCTAAAAGCGATATGGTAACACATCTTAAGCAAGTGGTAACAGAGTTTAAACAAGAGCTGCCTATCATTATAGCTCTGGGAAATCCCTGTCTCAAGCCAAGGCATTGGGAGGCTCTCCAGGAGATTATTGGGAAGTCAGTTCCGCTTGATAAAAACTGTAAAGTAGAGAATCTTCTAGCTCTCAAGGTAAATAAAAATGGTTTTTTAAAAAAATAGGTTGAAATACCAGATGGGCCAATTTTAAATAGGCGAGTAAATATACAATGGATAGGAATTAGGAAAGGAAGTTTATAAGAGTGCCTGGGAAAATAATAGTACATTTGTAGAATAATAGGTGATAGGAAATTATTTAATTGGAGATATTGGGTAAGCTATTAATTATTCCATTATTATTTAGGTGATTAAACAGTAATACTGGTTTTCATGTATGACAGATAAAATTAGTGTTTCATTATTTAACAGTGCTATTTATACAGAATACATTTTATAGGAATGGAAATATCAAAACTATTGTATTCATTATATGTAAAATGAAAATATATTAAGAGCATGTAAGAATTGCCCTACCTTAACATATATATAACTTGACATTATATTTAAAATGCATAATAAACAACTATTTGACTTTCCATGTAAGTTTTATTATAAAAATATACTTTTTTCAATTTTTCCATGATTAAAAACTTTCTATTTTTATGTCTAACTTACAATAAGCTTCATTTATGTCTAATGTTTCATGGCTGACAACATATAATGTAATCAAAACATATTTTATACCTATAATTCTCTGCTAAATGATCTGTTGTAATGAGGAACATGAGCACCTTTTTTAAGAATTTAAAAAGAATTTTTTAAAAAACAACTTTTGTTTGTAAAACTTAGATTATTTTATATCGCCAGCCCTAATCTCAACTTTCTCGTGAACTCCAAATTCACATATGTAATCTCCTATTCAATATCTCTACTTATATGTCTAAGAAATACCTCAAAATTAACATGTCAAAAACATTCACCTTTCATTCTCCATCTCCCAAATTCTGCTCTTCCTCTGTGTTTCTTATCTCAGTTGATGGTAGCTCCATTCTTCCAATTGTTTACACTAAAAATCATGAAATAATTCTGAATCTTCTCTTTCATAATCCTCATCGTATCTAAATATCTCATCTTAGAGCCTCCTAACTGATATACATGCCCAACTGATATACATGCCCAAGAGGAATTCAGCAAGATAGCTAGGTGATGTCAGAGCATAAGAGCAAATACCAACAGATGAATTTATTTCAAATCAGCATGCATAAAATCTAGCACAATTTTAGTGATATTTTTATATCCAGTCTTGGGTTATTGGAACTATTCTTGGGTAAGTTAGATAAAGGGTGAGAATTTTGCAGACTAAATGTAGCAGCAAGCTATAAAAGTTAGGGTAGATAGGTACATATGATAGCAGCTGGTGGCCTACATGGGGTGGTGGCCTGTAATAACTCAAAGGGTTCCAATGAGCTATTACATGTCTAACATGAATAGATAGTTTAAAAAGGAAGTCCCATGCATTTTTTAGAGGTTCCCAATTAGGACAGTTTGACATGTGAACAAAAGTGAACAAGGTCTTCAGCCTTTGAAATACTGTAGTGAGGAGTTAGAGGAACCCCTTCTTCTTCTTGAAGATAATTATAATAATAGAAGGGATAAGGAGGCAATCAGCTGGTAATTTCAAGTGAACTCTAAGAGTTCCTGGATGATTTTGGCCATCCTGTAGAAATTTGACAATGTATCCAATATAATGTAGATGCCAAAATGGACAGGATTTGGCGCAGAAACTCAGCCTTCATTTATTAAAACTTGCATTTTGGAGGATTGACCCAGAGGTGGTGGTCATGCTGCAAAACTTTCCAAGATAGGTCATATTAGAAGTTCTATTAAATGAATAAAGTATGATGGCTTGCAGTTATATGACAACTATTTTGTCCAAGATGTTGTGCAGGCTCTGAAAAACCTACCACATGAAAAGCATTTCATGAAGTAAATTAAGAGCAAGAGCTCAATGGTATGCATATGATGAACACTATCATTTTATGGTTGATAATTTTCACTTTGGAAAGCCATATGCTTTATAATAAAGTTAGATAATTAACTACAATCATCAAGATTCAGCTGAAACCACCCAGCTATTATCAAGTCAGTTGGAAGATCTGACTATTTGTCAGTCAGGTCCCATACTTTAACCATAAAGACTTGACAAGGCTAGATTCACTTCACTGAAATTTTGCTTTACACATTATCAGTGTCTGCTGGATTGAATTTTTAGCAATCTCAGAATGTTAGCATTAGGCACGAACTTTGATGGTTCTATAGTTCCTTATCTGCCTTTGGCTGAATAATCTATGTCAAAAGGTAGGCTTCTTTCCCAAAGCTGTTGCTTAAGGCCATAAGAAGTAACTGATCCCACCATCCTTAATAATTCATCTTTGGCAAGCATATAAGAGAAATGATGAAAACTAGTCATATCTGTTCATAATCCCCACTGAGTTGCATTACTAAAACATAGGGATTGGGCATTATTCTTTAACACCATCGAGATGACATATAGGAATGGTGGTAGAGTCTTATCTACCAGGGATAAAACAATAAGTAAAAGCGTGTCACAAAGTAATTAAGCAGTTGGCATTAGGGCAGAGGAAAGAATGCTGAAGGAAATAATACCATCTACACATATACAGAAGGTGTATACTCTTTATAACTGGCTAGAATCAGAGGAAAGTTGGAAATTTTCACTGATTATGAAAAACGTGAAATAGGATGATTTTAAAGTGCAAAGGGATATGTCATGAAGGTTAGACCATGAAGTTGCTGGTAAGGATATAAACCTAACTGGAATTAGATCTTCAATATTTTTGATGTGCCTTTCAAAACTTGCATTTAAAATTTCCATTTTGGACATATCAGGAATTATTTGCTATACTGGATACTAAAGAATACTTTGTTCATTTTAGATGTTTCAGTATGAAAATGAAATAAATGATATGTCAACCTCAGCAACTAATGAAGCTGCTCTTGAAAAAATGCTATTTAAGATTATTGATTTTTGGAACACTACTCCTTTGCCTTTAATTCTTCACCACACAGAGATTTACTCTATCTTCATAATTCCATCTATAGATGACATATCAGCTCAGTTAGAAGAGTCTCAAGTCATACTTGCAACAATTAAAGGATCTCCCCACATTGGGCCCATTAAGGTAAGTATTATGGCAAAGGAAAAATGTTTTCTTTTTCTGTAGTTTTATTTATTATTTCAATCTTTTGCGGTCTACAGTTTGCCTTTGAATTGTATAAATCATTCATATACTTATATAAAAATTACAATGAATATTTACTAGTTTGAATACCAAAAATAACTTTTTGTAGAAGCCTTAATTGTTCATGAGAAAATGTCAAAGTTTAATTTTGGCAGAAAAGATAAATTTAGATCATAGAAAAATATGACCTTATAACCATGGCTTATCACCAGTGTACAGTGTTCCCTGATAGTCCCTCACTGAGCAACCCCACGTGTGGTAATACACCTAATAATAATAATAATTATTATTATTATTTTTTGAGACAGAGTCTTACTCCGTCACCCAGGCTGGAGTGCAGTGGTGCTGTCTCGGCTCACTGCAAGCTCCGCCTCCTGGGTTCACGCCATTCTCCTGCCTCAGCCTCCCGAGTAGCTGGGACTACAGGTGCCCGCCACGACGCCCGGCTAATTGTTTGTATTTTTTTAGTAGAGACGGGATTTCACTGTGTTAGCCAGGATGGTCTCGATCTCCTGACCTCATGATCTGCCCACCTCAGCCTCCCAAAGTACTGGGATTACAGGCATGAGCCACCGTGCCCGACCCCTAATAATTATTTTAAAATGTCAAGAAACTCAACATGACATGTGATAATATAGAGATAGTAAGTAGCAAAATTAACATAATCATATACACACACATATATATACATGCATCTATATAAATAGATGGGGAGAGAGAGAAAGTATATACACAACCAAGGGAACTCACATTATTTGTAATATTTAGGGAAAATGTCAGTTAATTGAAATTTTGAGGGAAAAAACTCAATAAATTACAGAAAAAAATAAACCAAATGGACTTTATTCTTTAATCACATGCAGTACAAAAAAAATGAACAGCAGAAAAACAGCAAAAAGGGCAGACAAAATAAAACACCCACAATAGAAATTTAAAAGCAACCATCAGAATATACAGGAAATGTAAGCTAATTTTTTAAAATTTAGAAGTAAGGAACAGGAGAAAATCACATTTCAAACCTGTCACAATTGGCTAAAGCCCTATGAAAATGAATATTTAAGCATTAAATGCCTTCATTAAAAATGAAAAGTGAATTTAATAAATGATAAATTAAGCACATTCAAGAAGCTGAAAAGAACACCACACACACACACACACACACACACACACACACACACACACACACAGCCTTCTACTTCTAAGCAAGATGGAGTTTGGGGACCAGATTTACCATCTGTCTTAGTCCACTTAGTGTTGCCTTAACAATACCACACACTGGATGACGTATAAATAAAAGAAATGTATTTGGCTTATGGTTCTGGAGGCTGGGAAGTCCAAGAGCATGGGGCTGGCATCTGGCCAGGGCCTTTGTGCTACATTATTATCCTATGGTGGAGGCAGAAGGGCAAGTGAAAGCACAAGATGGATAGAGAAAGGGGGCTGAATTCCCACAATAACTAATCCACCCCTGTGATCATGGCACTAATCTATTCATTAGGGCAGAGCCCTCATGATCTAATAACCTCTTAAAGGCCCCACATGTCACCATTGTTACAATGGCACTTGAGTTTCAATATGGGTTTTGGAGGGGACATTCAAACCACAGCACCGGCTTGCCTGAAGTAGCCAAATCAGACTAGACAAAATATATGGAACAATGGTTTTCGGGACACTGGACATCAGGTAATGAAGGACAAGGATCCCTGAGAGTTGAGAAACAAACAAGGTAAGCCCTGTGATTCTACCAACTTATTTCCTTGAGTTTCCAGACCTTGGAGAAGGAAGATGGGGAGGAGTACAGGCAGAGCCTGGCAGACTTCTGATATGAGGAGATGATGTTGAAGGTCTGGAGAACCAATGGAGGCTACAGTATTTAGGATAAACCACCAGGAAAGATAAAGCTGCGGAGACAGAGATCTTCATAGATTTGTGGCAGGCCCCTACACAAGCATTCAGCAGACCCAATCAATGACACGTGAAACTGCCAGAGGTCAGGGAAACAACCACTTGAGAAAATTAGAGGGAACAATGCCTGGTGCTCACACAGGGCTGGGAATAGTGCCTATATGCATGGTCAGAACAGAAAACCTCCTAATTCATAAGCACTCAGAGTCTTGCCACAGTAATATGGAATAACCAGTCCTGAATTAAATGTTGCTCCTGTCTTCCCTAACAGATCTTAAAAGCAAGACCTAAAATGATGAAACTGTAAGTGATTTAACTGCACCCAGAACAAAGCTCAAGACTATAGGAATATAATAATATCCAGTACACAATAAGGTAAAATGTACAATTTCTAGAATGCCATCAAAGATTAGTAGACATGCAAAAAAGAACCAAAAATAGAACTCATGATGAAAACTTAACCAATGGAAATTGAATCTGAACTGACACAGTTATTAAAATTAGAGAAAAGGACATTAAAATGGTTATAAATTTATTCCATATGTTAAAAAGTTAAGTAGAGAGGTAAAAATATAAAAAAGACCAAAATTAAACTTCTAGAGATGAAAACTACAATGTCTGAAGTGAAAAATACATTGGATGAAATTAACACAGATTAAACAGGGCAGAAGAAAAGATTGGTGAACTTAAAAATATAACATTGGAAATGATTCCATATGAAACATAGGTAGAAAGAGAAATGTTAAAAATGAAAAGAGCATCAGTGAGCTGTGGGAAAGCTTCAGACAACCTACTAGACAAATAATTGGAGTTCCCCAAGAGGAGGAGTGAGAGGGAGAAACAGAAAAAAATACTGAGAAAATAATGATCAGAAATTTTCCAAATGTTTTGAAAACCATAAAGACATAGATTTACACTCAATACATTCTAAGCCCAAGAAACATCATAATTTCTCAAAACCAGTGGGGAAAATAGACAAATGACCAATACTAGGAATAGAAGAGATGACATTACTACAGATTCTGTAGATATAAAATGTAAACTGGAATATTAAAAACAACTTTAAGTTAATTAAGTACTTAGATGAAATGGACAAATTCCTTAAAATACGCAAATTACTAAAGCTTACTCAAGAAGAAATGGATAACTGGAATAACCATTATATGTACTAAAGATATTTAACTGGTAGTTAAAAACAGTTTAAAACTTTCCTACAAGGAATAGTCTTGACCCAGATGGCTTGTGCTATTTCTTTTTAAGGAATTTAATTTCATTTAAGGAAGAAATAATACCAGTTATGCACCAACTTTTTCAGAAAAGTGTAGAGAAAGGAATCCTCCCTAACACATTCTATGAGGCCAGTATTACCCTGATACCAAAGCAAGACAAAGATATTATAAGAAAACAGGCTGGGTGCGACGGCTCATGCCTGTAATCCCAGCACTTTGGGAGGCTGAGGCAGGCGGATCACCTGAGGTCAGGAGTTTGAGACCAACCTGGCCAACATGGTGAAACCTTGTCTCTACTAAAAATACAAAAATTAGCTGGGTGTGGTGGCAGGTGCCTGTAATCCCAGCTACTTGGAAGGCTGAGGCAGGAGAATCGCTTGAAGCCGGGAGGCAGAGGTTGCAGTGAGCCAAGATCGTGTCTTTGCACTCCAGCCTGGGCAACAAGAGCAAAACTCCGTCAAAAAAAAAAAAAAAAAAAAAAAGAGAGCGAGAGAAAGAAAAGAAAAGAAAAAAGAAAACAGATTTAGAAAGGAGATATTTAAAAAATTTTTAAAAACTAGAAATCAATAGCCCTCTTAAATATAGATGCAAACATTCTAAAAAAATATTTCCAAATCAAGTCCGTCAATATACAGAGAATGTTGTATTATTACCAAGAGAGATTAATTTGAGAAATGCAAGGTTGGTTTAACATTCAAAAATCAATCTACAATTTGCCATATTAAACATAAACAGGAAAAACAGAAGATATTCTCAGTACATTTTAAAAAATTTTTTACAGAATTCAACATTCATTCCTGATTAAAATATGTCTCAACAAATTAAGAATAGAAGATAACATCCTGAATAAAGAACATCTATGAAAAACATTTTGTCCTTAATAGTGAAAGACTGAACGCTTTTCCCCTAAGATCAAGAATAAGGATGTTCTCCCTTACCAATTCTATTCTACATTTTACTGGAGTTTCCAGCCAGTGTACTGAAGTAAGAAAGAGAAATAAAAAATGTCCAGATTGAAAAAGAAGAAGTAAAATATCATTTGTATTCCGATGACATGATTACCTATGTAAAAAAATCAAACAAAATTTACAAACTAAATAAAACTTATTTTAGCAAGTTTGCAGGATACATGATTAGTATACAAAGTCAAATTCATTATATATACTGGCATTGAGAAATAGCATAAAAATAAGATATATAAACCTGAGAAAAATGTATAAGATCTGCACACAAAAAACTTCAAAACCCTGCAGAGAGAAAGAAGACTTAAAAAATGGAAGATACATTGTGTTCATCCATTGAAAGACCTAATAAAGATGTCAAATATCACCAAATGGATCTCTAGATTCAACACAATCCTAATCAGAATCCTAGCAGACTACTTGTAGAAATTGACAAGCTGATTCTACAATTCTTGTGGAAATGTAAAAGTCCTAGAATAGTGTAAACAATTTTACAAAAGAAGAACAAAGTTGGAGCATTAAAACTACCTATTCAGAGGCTCATTATAAGGCCACAGTTATCAAAACAGTATTTTTTGGTTTAAAGATAGACAAGAAAGAGAGAGTACAGAAATAGACCCACATACGTATGGACAACTGATTTTCAACAAATATGCAAAGATAATTCAGAGAAAAAACAGCCAATTTTTAAAGAAATTGTGCTAGCATAATTGAACAATCATATGCAAAACAAACAAAAAACTCTTAAGCCACATCTTACAACATACACAAACATTTAACACATAAAAGGATTATGGACCTAAATGCAAAACCTAAAACTATAAAACTTTGAGAAAAAACATAAGAGATATTTTTGTGACCTTGCTTTAGGCAGATTTCTTCAATATGGCACCAAAAGCACTATCCATAGAAGGAAAATTTATGTATTAGATTTCATCAAAATTAAAAATTCGTGCTCCTATAAAGACACTTTTAAGTGAATACAAATATAAACCAGAGACTGGGAGAAAATATTTGTAAAGCATACATCTGATAAAGGACTTGTATCCAGAATATATAAAGAACTCTCAAAATTCATTGATAAGAAAACAAAACAATCCTGTAAAGAGATGGGCAAAATATTAAAATAGAGACTTTACCAAAGTGGATATATGAATGGATCTATGATTCATTGGTTTTCCTGAAAGAGAGGGAGAGAAAGAAAACAACTTAGAAAACGTATTTCAGGATATTGTTCATGAAAATTTCTTCAACTTTACTAGAGGCCAACACTCAAATTCAGGAAACACAGAGAACCCCTGTGAGGTACACTACAAGATGACCATTTCCAAGACACATAATCGTCAGATTCTCCAAGTTGGAAAAAAGGAAAAATAAAGGCAGCTAGAGAGAAGGGGCAGCTCTACAAAGGAAACCCTATCAGGTTAAGAGCAGACCTTTCAGTAGAAACCCTACAAGCCAAAAGAGATTGGGGCCTATATTCAGAATTCTTACAAAATAGAAATTCCAACCAATATTTTCATATCCAGCCAAATTAGATTTCATAAGCAAAGGAGAAATAAGATCATTTTCGGACAAGCAAATGCTGAGGGAATTTGTTACCACCAAACCTGCCTTAAAAGAGATCCTGAAGGGAGTGCTAAATAAGAAAAGGAAAGACTACTACTGATCATTAAAATACACACTTAAATACATAGACCATTGACACTATAAAGCAACTACACAATCAAGTCTGAATAATACCCGGCCAACAACACAATGACAGAATCAAATATACACATATCACTACTAACCTTGAATGTAAACAGTCTACCCCTATTAAAAGGCAAAGAGTGGCAAGTTGGATAAATAAGACCCAATAACATACTGTCTTCAAGAGACCCATCTTAACTGCAAGGACATCATAGGGTCAAAGAAAAGGATGGAGAAAAATCTACCAAGAAAACAGGAAACAGAAAAAAGCAGGGGTTGCTATTCTAATTTCAGAAAAAAGCAACTTTAAAAACCAACAAAGATCAAAAAAGACAAAGAAGGGCTTTACATAATGGTAAAGGGTTCAATTCAACAAGAAGATCTAACTATTGTAAATATATACACACCCAACACAGGAGCACCCAGATTTATAAAGCAAGTTCTTAAAGACCTAGGAAGAGACTTAGATAATGACACAATAATAGTGAGAGAATTCAATGCCCTGCTGACAGTATTAGACTATTGAGGCAGAAAATAAACAAAGATATTCAGGACCTGAACTTTACACTTGATCAAATGGACCTAATAGAAATCTACAGAACTTTTCACCCCAAAACAACAGAATCTTCTCATATGAACATGGCACATAAAACAATTCTCAGCAAATTTAAAATAGTTAAATCATACCAACCACACTCAGTCCACAGTGCAATAAAAATAGAAATCAATACTAAGAAAATTTCTCAAAACCATACAATTACATGGAAATTGAATAACCTGATCCTGAATGACTATTGGGTAAATAATGAAATTAAGAGATAAATCAAGAAATTCTTTGAAACTAATGAGAACAAATATACAACATACCAGAATCTCTGGGATACAGCTAATGCAGTGTTAACAGGGAAGTTTATAGCACTAAACTCCCACATGAAAAAGAAAGAGCTCAAATTAACAACCTAACAACACAACTAGAGGAATTAGAGAAACAAGAGCAAACCAACCCCAAAGCGAGGAGAAGATAATAAATAACCAAAATCAGAGCTGAACTGAAGGAAATTGAGATGTGGAAAGCCATACAAAAGACTGAGTTGAGGAGTTGGTAATTTGAAAAAATTAAGATACATAGACTTCTAGCTACAATCATAAGAAAAAAAAATAGAGAAGATCCAAATAAACGCAATTATAAATGACAAAGGGGACATTGCCACTGATCTGACAGAAATACAAGAAACCTTCAGAGACTACTATGAACACCGCTATGCACACAGACTAGAAACACTAGAAGAAAGAGATGAATTTCTGAGTGCATACAACCTCCAAAGACTGATCTAGGAAGAAATTGAATAATTGAACAGACCAGTAATGAGTTCCAAAATTGAATCTGTAATAAAAAGCTCAAGAATAGATCACAGCCAAATTCTACCAGATGTATAAAGGAGCTGGTACCATTCCTACTGAAATGATTCCAAAAAGTTCAGGAGGAGGGACTCCTCCCTGACTCATTCTGTGATGCCAGAATCATCCTGATACCAAAACCTGGCAGAACACAATGAAGAAAAACTTCAGGCCAATATCCTTGACAAACATGCACATAAAAATACTAGCAAACTGAACCCAGCAGCACATCAAAAAATCTAAGCCACTCTGATGAAGCAGACTTTATCCTGGGATGCAAAGTTGGTTCAACATACACAAATGAATAAATGGGATTCATTACATAAACAGAACTAAAAACAAAAATCACATGATTATCTCAATAGATGCAGAAAAAGCTTTCAATAAAATTCAACATTGCTTTATGTTAAAAACCCTCAACAAACTAGGCTTTCAAGGAACATACTTCAAAATGATAAAAGCCATATATGACAAACCCGCAGCCAACATCATACTGTATAAGCAAAAGCTGGAAGAATTCCCCTTGAAGACCAGAAGAAGACAAGGATGCCATCTCTCATCACTCCTATTCAACATAGTGCTGGAAGTTCTAGCCAGAGTAATTAGGGAAGAGAAAGAAATGAAAGACATCCAAATAGGAAAAAAGGAAGTCAAACTGTCTCTGTTTGTAGACCATATGATTCTATACCTAGAAAATGCCACAATTTCTGCACAAAAGCTCCTAGATCTGATAAACAACTTCAGCAAAGTTTCAGGATACAAAATTAATGTACAAAAATCAGTAGCATTTCTATACACCAACAACATCCAACCTGAGAGCCAAATCAAGAATGCAGTCCCATTCACAATAGTCACAAAAAGAGTATGATACTAGGAATGCAGCAAACCAGGAAAGTGAAATATCTTTACAAGAATTACAAAGCATTGCTCAAAGAAATCAGAGATGACACAAACAAAAGAGAAAACCATTCCATGCTCATGGATAGGAAGAATCAATATTACTAAAACAGCCATACTGCCCAAAGCGTTTTACAGATTCAGTGCTGTTCTTATCATGCTACCAATGACATTCTTCACAGAATTAGAAAAATGTTTTAAAATTCATATGGAACCAAAAAAGAGCCCAAATAGCCAAGTCAATACTAAGCAAAAGAACAAAGCTGGAGGCATTACATCACCTAACTTCAAACTATACTTCAAGGCTACAGTAACCAAAACAGCATGGTACTGGTACAAAAGCAGACACATAGAACAGTGGAACAGAATAGAGAGCCCAGAAATAAAGCCGCATACCTACGACCATCTGATCTTTGACAAAGTTGACAAAAACAAGGCATAGGGGAAGAATTTTATATTCTATGGAATAACTGGAATAACTGGCTAGCCATATGCAGAAGATTGAAACTGGAACCCTTCCTTTCAACATATACAAAAATCAACTAAGCATGGATTAAAGACTTAACTGTAAAACCTAAACCTGTAAAAACCCTGGAAAATAACCTAGGAAATACCATTCTAGGGGCCAAGGCAAAGATTTCATAACAAAGTCACCAAAAGCAATTGTAATGTAAACAAAAATTGACAAATGGGACCTAATTAAACTAGAAAGCTTCTGCACAGCAAAAAAAAAAAAAAAAAAAAAACAACAAAACAAACAAACAAAAAAACGCTATCAACAGAGTAAACAGACAACCTATAGCATGGGAGAAAATTTTTGCAAACTATGCGTCTGATGAAGGTATAATATCCAGAATCTATAAGGAACTTAAACACATTTACAGGCAAAAAAAAAAAAAAAAACAACCCCATTAAAAAGTGGGTAAAGGACACAAACAGACACTTTTCAAAAGAAGACATACACATGGCCAACAAGCATATGAAAAATTTCTCATCACTAATCATGAGAGAAATACAAATCAAAACCACAATAAGATACCACCTCACACCAGTCAGAATGTCCATTATTAAAAGGTCAAAAAATAACAGATGCCAGTGAGGTTGCAGAGAAAAGGGAATACTTATACATTGCTGCTGGGGATGTAAATTAGTGTGGTGATTTCTCAAAGTACCTAAAACAGAACTACCATTCAACCTAGCAATCCCATTATTGAGTATATACCCAAAGGAATATAAAATTGTTCTATCATAAAGACACATGCACGCTTATGTTCATCACAGCACTATTCACAATAGCAAAGACGTGGAATTAACCTAAATGCCCATCAACAGTAGACTGGATAAAGAAAATGTGGTACATATACCCCAAGGGATATATGCAGCCATAAAAGAAGAATGAGATCATGTTCTTTGTAGCATCTTGGATGGAGATGGAGGTCATTTTCCTAAGCAAACTAAGACAGGAACAGTAAACCAAATATTGCATGTTCTCACTCATAAATGGGAGCTAAACATTGAGTACACATGGACACGAAGAATGGAACAACAGACACCGGGGCGTACTTGAAGGTGGAGGGTGGGAGAAGGGTGAGGATAAAAAAGCTACCTATTGTGTGCTATGTTATTACCTGGGTAACAAAATAATCTGTATACCAAATCCCTGTGACACGCAATTTACTTGTATAACCTGCACATGTACTCCTGAACCTAAAAGTTATACAGAAAAAGGGAATGAACTATTGATATATGTAACAATACGGATCAATCTCAAAATAATTATGCTAAGTGAAAGAAGTCAGAGCAAAGTGAATACATGTTGTATGATTCTGTTTATATAAAATTCTGGAAAATACAAACTATAGTTTCAGAAAGTAGATCAGTGGTTGCCTGGTGGTAGGGTAGGGAGGGATAGGAGGAAGTAATTCCAACAGGACACAAAGAACACTTTCAGGGTAATGGATATGTTTGTTATCTTGATTGTGGTGATGATTTCACAGGTAGAACATGTTAAAATTCATAAAATTGTATACTTTAATTAATTAATTTATTTTTGAGATGGTGTCTTGCTTTGTCACCCAGGCTGGAGTGCCGTGGTGCAGTCTCCACCCACTGCAAACTCCACCTCCTGGGTTCAGGCATTTCCCCTGCCTCTGCCTCCGGAGTATCTGGGATTACCGGCACCGCCACCATGCCTGACTAATTTGTTGTTGTTGTTGTTGTTGTGTTTTTAGTGGAGACGGGGTTTCACCATGTTGGCCAGGCTGGTCTCAAACTCCTGACCTCAAGTGACCTGCACGCCTCAGCCTCCCAAAGTGCTGGGATTACAGGTGTGAGCCACCGTGCCTGGCCAAAATTGTATAATTTAAATATGTGCAGTTTCTTGTGTATCAGTGATACCTTAATAAAGCTATTGAAATATAAAATAAAGTTAAGAAGTAAAAAATATGGAGGTAAGTACCAGAAGTCAAATATAAATGAGTTATAAATGGTTCCCCATGAGGAACCAGAGAGTTAGGGGATGGACAAGTCCACTGGTTTCCAAATAAGCCTTTTAGTATTAATTTATTTTTAACCATTTTCCTATTACTTTAATAAGCATAGCAGTTGGAAAAAGACATTATAGGCATACAATGGAATTTCCTGAAATCATTAAAATACTGAAGAAGACGTATAAGTACTGACATAAAACCTCTCTAGAAGACATTATTTGTTATGAAATGCAAGTTATAAAACAATGTATATAATATGGTTGTATTTATATTTATGTAATACATTAAGGATATTATATGTGCATCTATATGTGAAATTATGCTTAAAGAAAGGACTGAAATAATATGCATATCACATTTCTGGTTATGTTTCCTCTGTGATAAGAAGTAGGAAATAAGTGTTAAGTGCTAGACATTCATGTTAATTTCTACATATATATGTGTGTTACTCAAATCTTTTACAAAAAGATTTGCATGTTGTATAATAAATATGACAGAAAATGGATGAACAGGACATCTTAAACCTCTCCTAAAACTAAATACAATTAGATCTGTATTCATTTATGTGACTTTCTATTAATTATTTTCTGTATGTCAATGACTGATAATCACCTTTGATCTGTTTCTGTTATGTAACTCTTAAAGAATAATTTTATATATTTAGATTTGTATGTGTATATGTTTTTATCATTGTAGGATCTTGTGAATGAATGGGATCAAAACTTGACTCTCTTCTCTTACACCCTTGAGGAATGGATGAATTGTCAAAGAAATTGGCTTTATCTTGAACCAGTCTTTCATTCTTCAGAAATACGAAGGTAAAATACCTAAAATATACCATATACAGGTTCAAAATGCATTGTGAGTAATTTATTTTCTTTAATTCTTGAGAAATCATTTCTTCAATGAACAAACTATCTTATCCTACCTACAGACATAGGGGTATAATTTGCTGAATCATTATTTTTCTTTCATAAAAGATTATGAACATCATTTTTGTAAGCCTTATTACTTGACTATTGGTATAAAAATATAAAGAGCTAAGAAAGAAGTGTTAATACATCATTATTGGCTGGGCACGTTCACTCACGCCTGTAATCTCAGCATTTTGGGAGGCTGAGGCAGGTGGATCACTTGAGGTCAGGAGTTCAAGACCAGCCTGGCCAACATGGTGAAACCCTGTCTTTACTAAACATACAAAAATAAGGTGGGCGTGGTGGTGGGCATCTGCAATCCCAGCTACTCGGGAGGCTGAGGCAGGAGAATCACTTGAACCTGGGAGGTGGAGGATGCAGTGAGCCAAGATTGTGCCACTGCACTACAGCCTGGGCGACAGAGCGAGACTCTGTATAAAAAAAAAAAAGTGTCAGATACATCATTATAATCCCAAAACTACAATATTATGTGTTTCTTTCGTTCTGGAATATTAGTGTGGTTTTGATGTGAATAATAAACATGTTTTTAGTAGCATTCATACATTAATAAGAATTTCTTAGGCTGAGTGTGGTGGCTTATGCCTGTAATCCCAACACTTTGGGAGCCCAAGATCACCTGAGCACAGGAGTTTGAGGCCATCTTGGGCAACACAGGGAAACCTCATGTCTTAAAAACAAACAAACAAAACCGCCAGGTTTAGTAGCACATGCCTGTGGTCCCACCCAGCTACTTGGGAGGTTGAGGTGAGAGGACGGCTTGGATCCAGAAGGCCATGGCTGCAATAAGCCGTGACTGCACGATGGCACTCCAGCCTGAACCATACCACAGAGAGAGACTGTTTCAAGAAAAAAAAAAAACCAATTTATTACTATTACTTTGAGCCAGATGGAAGAATAGAGGGCCTGGGCAGTTGTTAAAAAATTCTACCTTTAAAAAACACCATACCATTCAAATTCATTGACCTCTAACTTTGTAAAGTGATTGGCCTTAAGGGTGCTCAAGTTGAGACAAATAAATTAGGCAGAATTTAAACTATTGACAGCAAATCATACAAGCTAGTTTAGGAGCCATTCTGAAATAAGGTAGGAAAACATTGGGTGTGTATTTGAAAGGCCTATTATAGCAATGGAAAATCTTGAATAATATGTCAAGTATTTTGTATTTTATTTTGGAGACAAAGGGAAGCCGTTAGATTACAAAAGGGAACTGTTTAAATTTAAGTATTGCTTTGTGGGGAACAATATCCATTTGTGTTATACATGTATATTTCTTATCATATGAATGCTTGGGTTTATTCTATTTGATTGATCGGTAGTTATTCTGAAAGTTCTCAAAGGTGAAACCACATACCTAAGGTGTATGTCCTTATGGATACAACAACTTTGAGCCTTAAGTTTAAACTTTAATACTACCTTTTACTAAAGATTAGAATTCTAGGCAAGAGAGTTCAAAGTGTCACTAAATTGTTCCTTTATAGGATTTTCTGAAGTTGAAAAAGATGTTTTCAACTATGGATTCTGAAGGCATCTATCTAATAGGTCTAAAGAAAAGAAAAAGTGGGTCTATAGTGGATCTGCCTTTGAGTAATGGAGCAGGATGATGAGCCCTGATACCAGGGAGAAAGCATGAAGGAGAAGAATGGGACAAGAGATTCATTAAAGGGGCAGACTCTCTAACGGGAATATATGAGAGTATAGAATGCAGTGCCATTTACCAGAGCTCCAAACTAACTATGAGGGCTGTGCTAGGACATCCCAGAGATATTGGAAGGGTGCTTAAGAGAAGGTGAGACTGAAGTCTCCTCCTTGACAGGATTTTTGCTGAGCTACAGAAAACTTTTAGGTCCATCACGCAAGATAGAGAATGAGATAATAGTGGAAGTGGTCTTGGGAAATCTTGACATGTATTTCCCTAGAGTGTAGGGACATTAGAAACTAGCGCTTGCCTCTTCTCTGGAGAATTCTAAAGCAGCCTTTAATAACAGGGCAAGGAAGAAGTGCAGGAATACATGGTTATCTTAGACCAGTGATTTTCAACCAGCGGTAATTTTTTTACCTCTGGGAGTCATTTCACAAAGTCTGGAAACATTTTTACTTGTCACAACTGAGGGGATACTACTGGCATCTAGTGGGTATAGGCCAGGATATTGTTAAACATTCTACAATGCACCAGAACTTCTCCCTACCCCCAGCCCCCACACCAACCAGAATTATGTAGTCCAAAATGTCAACAGTGCAGAAACTGAGAAATCCTGACAGACATAGTAGGGGTTTCCAAGCTAGAGCCATCTTGAAAGATCTCCACCCAAAAATGGCAGAACAAGGGAATCCCAGAAGTATACTACTTAGAGCAGGAGCTTAAGGAATGGTTGTAAGAGGTCAGCTGGCAAGAGCCAATGAATGGTGCAATATAGAGGTTCCTGTTGGGGTACTCTGAAATCTCCAGCAATATACTTTATGGATACCTGCCATGACAGAGGGCATGCAAGAGGCAAAAGAGGATTCAAAGTAACACTAGCTGAGTGAAGAAAAAAAGTCCCTCTAAATTCCTCCCCTCTTCAACTTCAGAGCCAAGAGGAGTTTGAATCAGGTTGAGGCTAGGGTGGGAGAGGGGTGGGAAATATAGGTGAACAGAAAAAAAAGAAATAATGCAACTGTATAATTATAGAAACTATTTCTCTCATTCAATTCCAACAACAACAGAAACAAAACTAAAATTAATATATTAATGGCTTATCACATCACATGTGGGTTTTGCTTCCCTTTTCCAAAGGGAGAAAATAATGATAATCTTCTGTAAAGGAAAATTTATACACCAAGGCTGACATGGCCCTTACATTTTCTTATCCTCTAAGATGAGATAACCGTTAATAGAACTTCAGTGTTTTTATACATACCTCTGTATTCTTGCTTCTAAGCTGAATGCCCCCTCTGTCTTCTATTCACATCAAAGCTCTACTCCTTTAAAACACAGATTAAATAACGTCTTCTCCAAGAAGCTCTTGACAGATCCCATTTCTGCTCTAGATCGTCAGTAACCCTTTGTTTTATTACATTTCTTAGGACACAGATTGTTTCTACTTACCTTATGCAGAATTTCTATACATCTGTCTTCCACTGTATACTAAGTATAATCTTGTTAAATGATGGTTGTTGTGTCTAATTTATCCATTTCTTACCATGTGCATCACTTGTACATAATAGGCACTTAAAAAGTATCTTTGATGATTTATCAAGAAAATTTAACATCAAATGTTTTATAACTCAAACAGTATTCCGTGGCAATGCATTACATTATAGATTTTAATCATAGTGCCTTAAAAAAAATAAAATGACATCTAATTTTTTTTCTAAAGGCAACTCCCAGCAGAAACAGAACTTTTCTCTCAAGTGATTTCCATGTGGAAAAAAATAATGTCAAAAATACAAAACAAACAGAATGCTTTGCAGATAACCACTTCTGCAGGAGTCCTTGAAATTCTGCAAAATTGTAATATACATCTTGAACATATAAAGAAAAGCCTTGAGGTAAAACTATAGCAATTCTAAAGCAGTGAATCATTTAACAAAAGTAAAGTAAAAGTGATATAATGTAATCTACTGCAGAAGCTAATTCCAGTGCAGATTTTCTTTATTCTAGCTGCCAACAATTTTTTAAACTCTCACTACCTATAGAGTTAATAAAAATATTGTCAAAAGGAAAAGTGTATGGACTAATCTAAATGACCATTGGTAAATTATCAAACTTTTGAGTGCCCAGGTTCCCTTACCTTTTATTTTTTAAAAGAGATATCCTATCTTTTTTTTTTAATATAAGAAATGACTTCTTTCAGGAGGTTAATACTTTTTTAAAATATTGTTAGTTTTTAATTTTTGTAGATAGATAGTAGATGTATATATTTATGGGGTACATGATATATTTTAAAGCAGGCATACAATATAAAATAATCACATCAAGGTAAACGTATCCGTAGCCTCAAGCACTTATCCTTTGTGTTAAAAATAATCCAATGATAATCTTTTAGTTATTTTTAAATGTAAAATTAAATTATTGTTAGGTATGGTCACCCCATTCAGCTATCAAATACTAGACCTTATTCATTCTGTTTTTTGTACCCATCAACCACTTTTTCTCTCTCCCCCATTCTCTCCACTACTCCTCCTATCCTCTGGTTATTATCCTTCTACTGTCTATCTCCATGATTTCACTTGCTTCAAATGTTACCTCCCACAAATAAATGAGAACATATGAACTTTGTGTTTTTGTGCCTGGTTTTTTTTACTTAACATAATGACCTGCAGTTCTATCCATGTTCTTGCAGATGACAAGATCTCATTCTCTTTTATGGCCGAATAGTACTCCATTTTGTATATATACCACATTTTCTTTATCCATTCATCTGTTTACAGACACTTGGGTTGCTTCCAAATTTTGGTTATTGTGAATAGTGCTTCAATAAACACAGAGTGCAGATATGTCTTCAGTATACTGATTTCCTTTCTTTTGGGTATATACCTAACAGTGGAATTGCTGAATCTTTTTTTTTTTTAATACTTTAAGTTTTAGGGTACATGTGCACAACGTGCAGGTTAGTTACATATGTATACATGTGCCGTGTTGGTGTGCTGCACCCATTAACTCGTCATTTAACATTAGGTATATCTCCTAATGCTATCCCTCCCCCTCCCCCCACCCCACAACAGGCCCGGTGTATGATGTTCCCCTTCCTGTGTCCATGTGTTCTCATTGTTCAATTCCCACCTATGAGTGAGAACATGCGGTGTTTGGTTTTTTCTCCTTGCGATAGTTTGCTGAGAATGATGGTTTCCAGCTTCATCCATGTCCCTACAAAGGACATGAACTCATCATTTTTTATGGCTGCATAGTATTCCATGGTATATATGTGCCACATTTTCTTAATCCAGTCTATCATTGTTGGACATTTGGCTTGGTTCCAAGTCTTTGCTATTGTGAATAGTGCCACAATAAACATACGTGTGCATGTGTCTTTATCGCAGCATGATTTATAATCCTTTGGGTATATACCCAGTAATGGGATGGCTGGGTCAAATGGTATTTCTAGTTCTAGATCCCTGAGGAATCACCACACTGACTTCTACAATGGCTGAACTAGTTTACAGTCCCACCAACAGTGTAAAAGTGTTCCTATTTCTCCACATCCTCTCCAGCACCTGTTGCTTCCTGACTTTTTAATGATCGCCATTCTAACTGGTGTGAGATGGTATCTCATTGTGGTTTAGATTTGCATTTCTCTGATGGCCAGTGATGATGAGCATTTTTTCATGTGTATTTGGCTGCATAAATGTCTTCTTTTGAGAAGTGTCTGTTCATATCCTTCGCCCACTTTTTGATGGGGTTGTTTGTTTTTTTCTTGTAAATCTGACTGAGTTCATTGTAGATTCTGGATATTAGCCCTTTGTTAGATGAGTAGATTGCAAAAATTTTCTGCCATCCTGTAGGTTGCCTGTTCACTCTGATGGTATTTCTTTTGCTGTGCAGAAGCTCTTTAGTTTAATTAGATCCCATTTGTCAATTTTGGCTTTTGTTGCCATTGCTTTTGTTGTTTTAGACATGAAGTCCTTGGCCATGCCTATGTCCTGAATGGTATTGCCTAGGTTTTCTTCTAGGGTTTTTATGGTTTTAGGTCTAACATTTAAGTCTTTAATCCATCTTGAATTAATTTTTGTATGAGGTGTAAGGAACAGATCCAGTTTCAGCTTTCTACATATGGCTAGCCAGTTTTCCCAGCACCATTTATTAAATAGGGAATACTTTCCACATTGCTTGTTTTTATCAGGTTTCTCAAAGATCAGATGGTTGTAGATATGGGACATTATTTCTGAGGGCTCTGTTCTGTTCCATTGATCTATATCTCTGTTTTGGTATCAGTACCATGCTGTTTTGGTTACTATAGCCTTGTAGTATAGTTTGAAGTCAGGTAGCGTGATGCCTCCAGCTTTGTTCTTTTGGCTTAGCATTGACTTGACAATGCGGGCTCTTTTTTGGTTCCATATGAACTTTAAAGTAGTTGTTTCCAATTCTGTGAAGAAAGTCATTGGTAGCTTGATGGGGATGGCATTGAATCTATAAATTACCTTGGGCAGTATGGCCATTTTCACGATATTGATTCTTTCTACCCATGAGCATGGAATGTTCTTCCATTTGTTTGTATCCTCTTTTATTTCATTGAGCAGTGGTTTGTAGTTCTCCTTGAAGAGGTCCTTCACGTCCCTTGTAAGTTGGATTCCTAGGTATTTTATTCTCTTTGAAGCAATTGTGAATGGGAGTTCACTCATGATATGGCTCTCTGTTTGTCTGTCATTGGTGTATAAGAACGCTTGTGATTTTTGCACATTGATTTTGTATCCTGAGACTTTAATGAAGTTGCCTATCAGCTTAAGGAGATTTTGGGCTGAGACGATGGGGTTTTCTAGATATACAATCATGTCATCTGCAAACAGGGACAATTTGACTTCCTCTTTTCCTAATTGAATACCCTTTATTTCCTTCCCCTGCCTGATTGCCCTGGCCAGAACTTCCAACACTATGTTGAATAGGAGTGGTGAGAGAGGGCATCCCTGTCTTGTGCCAGTTTTCAAAGGGAATGCTTCCAGTTTTTGCCCATTCAGTGTGATAGTGGCGTGGGTTTGTCATAGCTAGCTCTTATTATTTTGAGATACGTCCCCTCAATACCTAATTTATTGAGAGTTTTTGCATGAAGCGTTGTTGAATTTTGTCAAAGGCCTTTTCTGCATCTATTGAGATAATCATATGGTTTTTGTCGTTCTGTTTATATGCTGGATTATGTTTATTGATTTCCATATGTTAAACCAGCCTTGAATCCCAGGGATGAAGCCCACTTGATCATGGTGGAGAAGCTTTTTGATGTGCTGCTGGATTCGGTTTACCAGTATTTTATTGAGGATTTTTGCATTGATGTTCATCAGGGATATTGGTCTAAAATTCTCTTTTTTTGTTGTGTCTCTGTCAGGCTTTAGTATCAGGATGATACTGGCTTCATAAAATGAGTTAGGGAGGATTCCCTCTTTTTCTATTGTTTGGAATTGTTTCAGAAGGAATGGTACCAGCTCCTCCTTGTATCTCTGGTAGAATTCGGCTGTGAATCCATCTGGTCCTGGACTTTTTTTGGTTGGTAAGCTATTAATTATTGCCTCAATTTCAGAGCCTGTTATTGGTCTATTCAGAGATTCAACTTCTTCCTGGTTTAGTCTTGGGAGGGTGTATGTGTCAAGGAATTTATCCATTTCTTCTAGATTTTCTAGTTTATTTGCATAGAGGTGTTGATAGTATTCTCTGATGGTAGTTTGTATTTCTGTGGGATAGGTGGTGATGTCCCCTTTATCATTTTTTATTGTGTCTATTTGATTCTTCTCTCTTTTCTTCTCTATTAGTCTTGCTAGCGGTCTATCAATTTTGTTGATCTTTTCAAAAAACCAGCTCCTAGATTCATTGATTTTTTGAAGGGTTTTTTATGTCTCTATGTCCTTCAGTTCTGCTCTGGTCTTAGTTATTTCTTGCCTTCTGCAAGCTTTTGAATGTGTTTGCTCTTGCTTCTCTAGTTCTTTTAATTGTGATGTTAGGGTGTCAATTTTGGATCTTTCCTGCTTTCTCTTGTGGGCATTTAGTGCTATAAATTTCCCTCGACACACTGCTTTGAATGTGTCCCATAGATTCTGGTATGTTGTGTCTTAGTTCTCATTGGTTTCAAAGAACATCTTTATTTCTACCTTCATTTCCTTATGTATCCAGTAGTCATTCAGGAGCAGGTTGTTCCTTTTCCATGTGGTTGAGCGGTTTTGAGTGAGTTTCTTAATCCTGAGTTCTAGTTTGATTGCACTGTGGTCTGAGAGACAGTTTGTTATAATTTCTGATCTTTTACATTTGCTGAGGAGAGCTTTACTTCCAACTATGTGGTCAATTTTGGAATAAGTGCAGTGTGGTGCTGAGAAGAATGTATATTCTGTTGATTTGGGGTGGAGAGTTCTGTAGATGTCTATTAGGTCCGCTTGGTGCAGAGCTGAGTTCAATTCCTGGATATCCTTGTTAACTTTCTGTCTTGTTGATCTGTCTAATGTTGACAGTGGGGTATTAAAGTCTCCCATTATTATTGTGTGGGAGTCTAAGTCTCTTTCTAAGTCTCTAAGGACTTGCTTTATGAATCTGGGTGCTCCTGTATTGGGTGCATATATATTTAGGATAGTTAGCTCTTCTTGTTGAATTGATCCTTTTACCATTTTGTAATGGCCTTCTTTGTCTCCTTTGATCTTTGTTGGTTTAAAGTCTGTTTTATCAGAGACTAAGATTGCAACGCCTGCCCTTTTTTGTTTTCCATTTGCTTGGTAGATCTTCCTCCATCCCTTTATTTTGAGCCTATGTGTGTCTCTGCACGTGAGATGGGTTTCCTGAATACAGCACACTGATGGTTCTTGACTCTTTATCCAATTTGCCAGTCTGTGTCTTTTAATTGGAGCATTTAGCCCATTTACATTTCAGGTTAATATCGTTATGTGTGAATTCAATTCTGTTATTATGATGTTAGCTGGTTATTTTGCTCTTTAGTTGATGCAGTTTCTTCCTGCATGGTCTTTACAATTTGGCATGTTTTTGCAGTGGCTGGTACCAGTTGTTCCTTTCCATGTTTAGTGCTTCCTTCAGGAGCACTTTTAGGGCAGGCCTGGTGGTGACAAAATCTCTCAGCATTTGCTTGTCTGTAAAGGATTTTATTTCTCCTTCACTTATGGAGCTTAGTTTGGCTGGATATGAAATTCTAGGTTGAAAATTCTTTTCTTTAAGAATGTTGAATATTGGCCCCCACTCTCTTCTGGCTTGCAGAGTTTCTGCCGAGAGACCAGCTGTTAGTGTGATGGGCTTCCCTTTGTGGATAACCCGACCTTTCTCTCTGGCTGCCCTTAACATTTTTTCCTTCATTTCAACTTTGGTGAATCTGACAATTATGTGTCTTGGAGTTGCTCTTCTCGAGGAGTATCTTTGTGGCGTTCTCTGTATTTGCTGAAGTTGAATGTTGGCCTGCCTTGCTAGATTGGGAAGTTCTCCTGGATAATATCCTGCAGAGTGTTTTCCAACTTGGTTCCATTCTCCCTGTTACTTTCAGGTACACCAATCAGACGTAGATTTGGTCTTTTCACATAGTCCCATATTTCTTGGAGGCTTTGTCGTTTCTTTTTATTCTTTTTTCTCTAAACTTTTCTTCTCACTTCATTTCATTCATTTGATCTTCCATCACGGATACTCTTTCTTCCAGTTGATTGAATCGGCTACTGAGGCTTGTGCATTCGTCACATAGTTCTTGTGCCTTGGTTTTCAGCTCCATCAGGTCCTTTAAGGACTTCTCTGCATTGGTTATTCTAGTTAGCCATTCATCTAATTTTTTTTCAAGGTTTTTAACTTCTTTGCCATTGGTTCTACCTTCCTCCTTTAGCTCAGAATAGTTTGATCATCTGAAACCTTCTTCTCTCAACTCGTCAAAGTCATTCTCCATCCAGCATTGTTCCGTTGCTGGTGAGGAGCTGCGTTTCTTTGGAGGAGAGGCGCTCTGATTTTTAGAGTTTCCATTTTTTCTACTCTGTTTTTTCCCTATCTTTGTGGTTTTATCTACCTTTGGTCTTTGATGGTGGTGACGTACAGATGGGGTTTTGGTGTGGATGTCCTTTCTGTTTGTTAGTTTTCCTTCTAACAGTCAGGACCCTCAGCTGCAGGTCTGTTGGAGTTTGCCGGAGGTCCACTCCAGACCCTGTTTGCCTGGGTATCAGCAGCGGAGGCTGCAGAACAGCAGATATTGGTGAACAGCAAATGTTGCTGCCTGATCATTCCTCTGGAAGTTTTGTCTCAGAGGAGTACCTGGCCGTGTGAGGTGTCAGTCTGCCCCTACTGGGGGGTGCCTCTCAGGCTACTCGGGGATCAGGGACCCACTTGAGGAGGCAGTCTGTCCATTCTCAGATCTCCAGCTGCGTACTGCTTTAGTTTTTATGAACATGTGACTGAAACTGAGTTCCTTTTACCTAACATCTGGCTTTCAACAAAAACTTATTGATATGGCTCCGATGAGTGGAGGAACACCAGGGTTCTTTGTCCTCATGCCGGCTTAGACAAAACGACATGGACATACATGGAGTGTTTTTAAGGAACCCAGAGTTTAGTAGGCAAGATAGAAGTGGGAAGAAAAAAGGAAGAAGCTCCCCTGTACGGAGACAGAGGCAGGGGCTCTCCAAAGCACAGGACAGGAACCCCACCTGCCATGGATACCGGAATTGCTGAATCTTATGGTAGCTCTATTTTTAGTTTTTTGAGGAACTTCCAAACTGTTCTCCATAGTGGTTGTACTAATTTACATTCCCACAAACAGTGTACAAGGGTTCCCTTTTCTCCATATCCTTGCCAACATTTGTTATTGCCTGTCTTTTGGAAAAAAGCCATTTTAACTGAAGTGAGATGATATCTCATTGTCACTTTGATTTGCATTTCCCTGATGATCAGTGATAATAAACACTTTTTCATATACCTGTGTGATGGTTAGTATTGAGTGTCAACTTTACTGGATTAAAGGATGCAAAGTATTGTTCCTGGGTGTGTCTGTGAGGTTGTTGCCGAAGGAGATTAACATTTGAGTCAGTGGACTGGGAGAGCCAGTCCCACCCTCAATCTGGGTAGACACCATCTAATCAGCTACCAGTGCTGCTAGGATAAAAACTGGCAGAGGAACGTGGAAGGACTAGACTGGCTGAATCTTCCAGCCTTTATCTTTCTCCCTTGCTGGATGCTTCCTGCCCTTGAACATCAGACTCCAAGTTCTTCAGCTTTTGGACTCTTGGACTTACACCAGTGGTTTGCCAGGGTTTCTCAGGCCTTCAGCCACAGACTGAAGGCTGCATTGTTGGCTTCCCTACCTTTGAGTTTTTGGGACTCTAACTGGCTTCCTTGCTCCTCAGCTTGCAGAAGGCCTATTGTGGGACTTCACCTTGTGACCGTGTAAGTCAATACTCCTTAATAAACTCCCTTTCATATATACATCTATCCTATTAGTCCTGTCCCTCTAGAGAACCGTGACTAATACAACCTGGTTGCCATTTGTATGTCTTCTTTTGAGAAATGTCTATTCAGATCTTTTGCCCATTTTAAAATCAGATTATTAAATTTTTATTGCATTTTTTCCTATAGAGCTGTTTGAACTCCATGTATATTCTATTAATAGTTATTAATCCCTTGTCAGATGGATAGTTTAAAAGTATTTTCTCCCATTCTGTGGGTTGTCTCTTCATTATTTTGTTGATTCCTTTGTTGTGCAAAAGCTTTTTAACTTGATATGATCCCATTTGTCCATTTTTCCTGTGGTTGTCTGTGCTCATAAGGTACTACTCAAGAAATCTTTGCCCAGTCTAATAAAATAGAGAATTTCCACAGCGTTTTCTTTTAGTAGTTTAATAGTTTGAGGTCTCAGATTTAAGTGTGAAATCCATTTTAATTTGATTTTTGTATATGGCGAAAGATAGGAGTCTAGTTTTATTCTTCTGCATATAGATATCCAATTTTTCCTGCATCATTTGTTGAGGAACCTGCCCTTTTTCCAATGTATGTTCTTGGCACCTTGGTCAAAAATGAGTTCACTGTAGATGTACGGATTCGTTTCTGGATTTCTCATTCTGTTCCACTGGTCTATGTGTCTGTTTTTATGTGACTAGTTTGCTATTTTGGTTGCTGTAGTTCTGTGATACAGTTTAAAGTCAGGTAATGTGATTCTTCCAGCTTTGTTCTTTTTGCCCAGAATAGCTTTGGATATTCTGGGTCTTTTGTGGCTCAGTATAAATTTTAGGATAGTTTTTCTATTTCTGTGAAGAATGTCATTGGTACTCTGATAGGGACTGCATTGACTCTGTACATTGCTTTGAGTAGTGGGGACATTTTAACAATATTGATTCTTGCAATTCATGTAATATGGAATATCTTTCCATTTTTTGGTGTCCTCATCAATTTCTTGCATCAATGTTTTATATTTTTTATTATAGAGATCTTTCACTTCTTAGGTTGATTCCTAGATACTTAATTTTATGTGTAGCTGTTGTAAATGAGATTACTTTCTTGATTTTTTTTCATATTGTTCACTCTTGGCATATAGAAATGCTACTGATTTTTGTATGTTGATTTTGTATTCTGTAACTTTACTTGTTTATCAGTTCTAATAGTTTTTTGGTGGAGTCTTTAGGTTTTCCCCTATATAAGATCATATCATCTGCAAACAAGGAGAGTTTGACTTCTGCTTTTCCAACTTGGATGCCCTTTGTTTCTTTCTCTTTTCTGATTGCTCCAGCTAGGACTTCCAGTGTTACATTGAATAACAGTGGGGAAACTGGGCACCCTTGGCCTCTATGACCTTCCAGATCTTAGAGGAAAGGCTTTCATTTTCTCCCCATTTAGTGTGATACTAGCTGTGAGTCTGTAATATGTGGCTTTTATTTTGTTGGATATGTTTCTTCTATATTCAGTGTTGAATTTAATCAAATGCTTTATCAGCATCAATTGAAATGATCATATGGTTTTTGTTCTTTATTCTGTTGATATGATGTTTCACACTGATTTATTTGCATATTTTGAACCATCATTGCATCACTGGGATGAATCCCACTTGGTCATGATAAATCACCTTTTAAATGTGTTGTTGACTTTGGTTTGCATGCATTTTGTTGAGGATTTTTGCATCAATTTTCACCAGGGATATGGGCCTGTAGTTTTCTTTTTTAATGTGTCTTTGTCTGCTTTTAGTATCAGGGTAATACCGGCATCACAGAATGAGTTTGGAAGTATTCCTTTCTCTATTTTTTGGAAGACTTTATGAGGATTGGTATTAGTTCTTCTTTAAATATTTGGCAAAATTCAGCAGTGAAGCATCAGGTCCTAGGCTTTTCTTTGCTGGGGGACTTTATTACAGGTTTGATCTCATTACTTGTTATTAGTCTGTTCAGGTTTTATATTTCTTCATGATTCCTTCTTGGTAGGTTGTATGTGTTTAGGAATTTATCCATTCCTACTAGATCTTCCAATTTATTGGCATATAGTTGCTCATAGTAGTCTCTAGTGATCCTTTGAATTTCTGTGGTACTGGTTGTCATGTCTCCTTTTTTATCTCTGATTGTATTTATTTGGGTCTTCTTTCTTTTTTTTTCTTAGTCTGGCTAAAGGTTTGTCAGTTTTCTTTATGTTTTTTTCTAAAAACAACTTTTCATTTTATCTTTTCTATAGTGTAATTTCATTTATTTCAGTTCTGATCTTTATTTTCTTCTACTAATTTTGAGTTTAGTTTGCTCTTTTCTAATTCTTTAAGATGCGTTTTTAAGTTATTTGAAGTTTTTCTACTTTTTTGACATAGACACAGCTATAAACTCCCCTTTTGGTATATCCCATAAGTTTTGGTATGTTGTGTTTCTGTTATTATTTTCCAATTTTCTTCTTAATGTCTTCATTGACACTGACATGGTCATTCAGGAGCATATGGTTTAAATTCCATGTGTTTATATAATTTCCATAATTCCTCTTGTAATTGAATTCTAGTTTTATTCCATTGTGGTCAGAAAAGATACTTGGTATTATTTCAGTGTTTTTGAATGTTTTAAGACTTGTTTTGTGGCCTAACATATCATTCTTTGAAAATGATCCATGGGCTGAGTAGAATGTGCATCCTGCAACCATTGGATGAAATGTTCTGTAAATATCTATTAGGTCCATTTGGTCTATTGTGCAGATTAATTCCAATGTTTCTTTGTTGATTTTCTGTCTGGATGATCTGTCCAGTGCTGAAAGTGGAGTATTGAAGTCTCCAACTATTGGATTGTGGTCTATCTCTCTCTTTAGCTTGAATAATATTTGCTTTATATATCTGGGCCCTTCAGGGTTGGGTGCATTTATATTTATATGCACCTTGCTGAATTGACCCTTCTTATCCTCTTGCTGAATTGACCCTTTTATCATTATGTAATGACTTTCTTTGTCTTTTTATGGTTTTTGTCATGAAATCTAATTTGTGTGATATAAATAGAGCTATTCTTGCTCTTTTTTGGTTTCCATTTGCATGGAATATCTTTTTCCACCCTTTTAGTTTCAGTCTATGTGTGCCTTTATAGGTGAAGTGTGTTTCTTATTGGGAGCAGATTGTTGAGTCTTTTTTTTTAATCTATTCAGCCACTTTATGTCCTATTGGAGAGTTTGGTCCATTTACATTCAGTGTTATCATTCATAAGTAAGGACTTATGCTTGCCATTTTTAAAATTTGTTTTCTGGTTGTTTTGTGGTCTTCTCTTCCTTCTTTCCTTCCCTCCTGTCTTCTTTTTAGTAAAGGTGATTTTCTTTGGTGGCATTTTGTAATTTATTGCTTTTTCTTTTTTATGTATCTATTTTATCTTTTTGGATCTGAGGTTACCATGAGGCTTGCAAATAATATCATGTAACTGTTATTTTAAATTGGTGACAACTTAACACTGATTGCATAAACAAACAAATGAGCAAAAACAAAGCTAATAAAAACTCTGCAGTTTAACTTTGTCCCCCTTTTTAACTTTTTGGTTTTTTCTATTTATACCATATTGTATGATCTATGTCTTGAAAAGTTGTTCTAGTTTTTTTTATTACTTTGTCTTTTAGCCTTTCTACTTAAGATATGAGTAGTTTACACACCACAATTACAGCATTACAATATTTTGTGTTTTTCTGATTGATGGACTCTCTTCAACATTTCTTGTATAACATGTGTCATCTTGGTGAAATCCCTCAGCTTTTATTTGTTTTGAAAATCTGTATGTCCCCTTCCTATTCGAAGGATATTTTGGACAGATATACTATACTAGGGTAAAAGCTTTTTTTCCTTCTGCACTTCAAGTAAGTCATGCCACTCTCTTGGCCTATAAGGTTTCCACTGAAAAGTCTACTGCCAGATATATTGGAGTTCCATTGTGTTTTATTTGTTTCTTTCCTCTTGCTACTTTTAGGATCCTTTCTTTATCCTTGAATTTTGGAAGTTTGAATATTAAATGCCTTGAGGAAGTCTTCTTTGGGTTAAATCTGTTTGGTGTTCTATAACCTTCTTGTACTTCAATACTGATATCTTTCTCTAGGTTTGAGAAGTTTTCTGTTATTATTCATTTCAACCCCTGTCTTCATCTTTACCTTCTCTTTAAGGCCAGTAACTCTTAGCTTTTCTATTTTTAGGCTATGTTTTATTTTTCTAGCTGCTATTTTCTAGATCTTGTAGTCATGCTTTATTCTTTTTTATTCTTTTTTTCTGATGCCTCATCTGTATTTTCAAATAGCCTGTCTTCAAGCTCACTAATTCTCTCTTCTGCTTGATCAATTCTGCTGCTAAGACACTCTGATGCAGTCTTCAGTATGTCAATTGCATTTTTCAAATACAGAATTTCTGCTTGATTCTTTTCAGTTATATCAATTTCTTTGTTAAATTTTTCTGAAAGGATTCTGAATTCCTTTTCTTTGTTATCTTTAATTTCTTTGAGTTTTCTTAACATAGGTATTTTGAATTCTCTATCTGAAAAGTCACATATCTCTGTCACTTTGGGGTTGGTCCCTGGAGGCTTATTTAATTTATTTGGTAAGGTTTTGTTTTCCTGGGTGGTCTTGAGGCTTTGTTGGTGTTGGCATTGAAGAGTTATGTATTTATTGTAGTTTTGCAGTCTGGGCTTGTTTGAACTTATCGTTCTTGGGCAGGCCTTCCAGGTATTTTAAGAAACTTGGCTGTTACTATCTATGTTATTGCTCACTGCAGCTGTATTTTCATTAGGGAGTACCCAAAGCTCAGTAATGCTGTGGTTCTTGCAGACAAGGTACCACCTTGGTGGCCTTGGATAAGATTCAGAAGAATTCTCCAGATTACCAAGCAGAGATTCTTGTTCTCTTCCCTTACTTTTTCCCAAACAATTGAGTCATTCTCTGTGTGCTGAGCTGCCTGGAACTGGTGGAGGGGTGACACAAGCATGCATGTGGCCACCATCACTGGAGCCATGGTGGGTCAGACCTGAAGCCAGCACTGACTGAGGCTTGTGCAAGGTCCACTGTAATCACTACTTGGCTACCGCCTATGTTTGTTCAAGGCCCTAGGGCTGCATAATCAGCAGGTGGTGAAGCCAGCCAGGCTTGTGTTGTTCCCTTAAGAGTAGTGAGTTCCCCCTGGGCCCTGGGTGGTTCCAGAGATGCCATCTGGGAACCAGTATCTATAGTCAGAAACCTTAGAAATATACTTCTTTATTCTACTACACCTGAGCTGGCACTCAAACCACAAGACACAGTCCTTCTCACTCTTCCCTTCCCTTTCCACAGGCAGAGGAGTCTTTCTCCATGGCCCTCACCACCACAAGTCCATAGGGAGTACTGCCGGGGTACCGCTGATGTTCACTAAAGCCCAAGGGCTCTTTAGTTACTTTGTAGTAAATGCTGCCAGGCTTTGGACTCACCCTTGAGGGTAATGGACTCCATTCTAGCCCAGGGCAGGTGCAGAAATGCCATCCAAGAGGCAAGGCCTGGAATCAGAGACCCCAAGTGCCTGCTTGGTGCTCTACCCCATTGTAGCCAAGCTGGTACCTAAGCTGTAAGGCAAAGTCCACTTTACACTTTACACTGTGCTTTTCTCAAGCAAAAGAAGTCTTCCCTCATAGCCAAAACAGCTGGGAACATGTTGGGTCACATATGAAGCCAGAATGTCTCAGAGTCTCACCCAAGGCCCATGGCATGTACTACCTGGCTACTGTTGCTGATTATTCGGGGCCCAAGGGCTGTTTAGTTAGCAGGTGATGAATCCTGCTAGGACTGGATCCTTCTGTTCAAGGCAGCAGGTTCCCTTCTGACCCAGAGTGTGTCTAGAAATGTCATACAAGATCTAGGGCCTAGAATGGGAGCCTCATGACCCTGCCAGGTGCCCTATCCTACTATGGCTGAGCCAGTATCCAAGTTGGAAGAAAAAGTCCTCTTTAGTCTTCCCTCTCCTGTCCTGAAGTGGAGGTAACAAGTCTCTTTTGGAGCTGGGAGCTGTGCTGCCTGGGGTTGGGGGAGAGGTGATGCAAGCTCTCCTTTAGTTGCTTCAGCTGGTGTCTCAATAGATCATGTGTCCCCCCAGTCCACTGGCTCTGAGCCCAGCACGGCACTAGGACTTGCCTAGGACTTGCAGTCTTTATGGCCTATACTGCCTTTCAAGTTTGTTTAGAACCCTAGACCACTTTAGCCCACAGAAGCAAGGCTTACCAAAACTAAAGTTCTGACTGCTGGAATGGATGCTTACCCTCTGGCTAGGGCTGGTCTAAATGTTCCCTCTGTGGGCTTCAGCTGAGTTATGTCCAGTGTTGGCAGCACTGAGTTTCAATGCAAAATCCCACAGTCACTGTGCTCTCTCTCCCCCAAGCACACTCATTCTCTCTCTGTGCCACAAGTCCACCACAGGGGGTGGGGGAAGGGTGGCTTCAGCAATTCAAGACTGTTTTTCCTACTCTCTTAAGTGTCTCTTTCAGCAATATAAAGTTAAAACCAGGTACTATGAATGCTTACCTTTGTATGAAGATGCTTTTTTCATAGAGATAGTTGTTAAATTTGTTATATCTGTGGGGAGCACAATCAGTGGAGGAGTCTATTCAGCCATCTTGCCTTCCTTATCTTTAAGTTGAGAATAATGATAGTGCTACCTTGAGGGGTTTGTCACTGAGATGATGCATTTAAAGCATAAGTGCTGGCAAAAATAATTGCTTTTTCCCTAACAATGGAGTCTCTCTCTGTGTGCTAAGCTGCCTAGAGCTGGCGGAGGGGTGACACAAGCACCCTGTGGCCACCATCACTGGAGCTGTGGTGGGTCAGACGCGAAGCCAGCACAGCACTGAGTCTTGTGCAGGTTAACTATTTTTATTAGCACCATTAAGTTGATAAATTCTGCAAAAGTTGAAACAGAATGTTTTTATGAGTCTATAAATTACTGATTCCATATATTTATACATTCTCAGAACATTAAAGTATAAACTAGACATGTATCCTAAAATACTACATTTTAATTTTTGAGATTTGTGGTGTACATATTCACTTTACTTCATGAACCAAGATTTTTATTCAGGCATTAATTGCTTTTGCTTACTGAACACAAGTAACAGTGGTTGTGATGAGCCCTCCAAAACAACTATAGGCAATCACAGCCTATACAAAATTATCTGCCCATATAGGCCCTCTTCTATTGAAATCTGCACTCTGGAGCAAGCATAAGGGGCTGCAGCCAGATTGATTCTGGTTAATAATAGCCGGTTTACCAAGTCATCGTTGAGATAAGCCTTCCAAATATTTCCAGCACATCTTTAGACTATTACTGAGGATCATTACAAACCAATAGCTTTCCATTTATTCATGTATTGAGCACCATTTTGTATCAGGCACTGCTGCTATGTGTTGGTACTACAAAGATAAAAGACATATTCCCTGCTATTACAGAACTCAAAATCTATTTTAGGAGACAAAAAAAGTAAGGAGATATTACAATGTGATGTATGCTATGATGGGTTGGATGGTATGACCATATAAAAGAGGACAAATTAACCCAGCCTGTAGGCAATGATAACTGGTCTTGAAAGAAATGTAGGTGTTAAATAGATAAAAGAGTTAGATTAGAGAAGGATGGGTAGGTGGGAAGAGTATTTTAGGCAAAGGTAAAAAGTACAAAGACATGGAGCCATGAGCAGGTATGGCACATTCTGGATTTGTAAGCAAGATGGTACAGATAAAACAGGTTGCAGATGGGAAAGTGGTGAGAGATGAGATTCTCCAGTCAGGCAGAGGACAGAGGGTGAAGGGCCTTGAATATCACAATGAGTTTTTACTTTTATAAGTAGCCACTGAAGGATTTTAAATAAGAGAGTGAAATAATTAAATCAGAAATATCTGTCTGGAAAGAAGCATAGAGTGGATTGGGGGCAATGAGAATAGATATTTAAAAATCAGTTAAAAGACTAGAAATATTGGGGGCTAAAGTAAGGCCATGAGGAAGATGAAAGAAGGTAGAGCTTGGAGCATCCGATAGGAAGTAGAGAATAAAAGAAAGAGGTCCCGGGTTATGCCTAGATACGTTTGGTTCATATTGAAAATCTAATACCTACAGGACATTCAAGTGAACATCTTCAGTTAGCAATTGGGTATGTAGATCCAGGGCAGAGAGAAGTGATCTGAGCTGAAGAGCAAGTATGTCTGTATCAAATAGCTCAAGAAGAGCATAATGAGTAGGAAAAGTGATGAGGTTGGAACTTAACAGATGTCAGCATTAAGATGTATGGGTCCAAGAGGGACTTTTGATGGAAAATAATAAGACGTAGCTTAGGGATGGAAGAGAGTGAAACTTTAGAAGTCAAAATGAAGGGCAGAGTCAACAGTATCAAATGCTATGAAAATGTCATGTAACACAAAGACTGAAAAGCTCTCAGTAAATTTGGTAATAGTCAGGGCCAGGTGGCAGAGCACGAGACAACTGAGAGATACAAAGAATCTGACTTCACAAGTTCTTTTCAAGAACTTCGTGGAGAGAAGACAAGCAAGTAGACAGTAGCTAAAGGAGAACAAAGAGAGATGGAGGGCTTCTTATATTGTTATAATGAGAGAAATTTAGGGGGAGGCCTATTGCAAGGGAGAGATTGAAGTTACAAAAGAGTAATAAATAAATCAAGAGTATCTTAGTCTGGCATAAGTTAATGGGTATCTCTTCCTCTGAAAAGAAGGAAAGGATTGAGACTAGTGTTAATGCCTCTAAGTTATAGAAAGGAGTGAGAAATATAGAAATTCTCTATACAGTGAATGTAAAGTTATCTGTGATATGGTAACTTAGTCTATAAAGTGATAACCACACCTATAGGGAAATAAGAGCAGAAAGTCAGAAGTATGGGAAAGCAATGTTGATAATACCAAAATACAATACTTTATTATTTTGATCAATAATAATAATAATTATTATTATTATTGCCTGCTCCCAGGCAATAATGACAAACTAGAATAAAATGGTATATGTGTGTCTAAGGGTGGGGTTTTCTTGTTTATTTTGATTTTGGTTTCATTTGTTTTAGTTTAGCTTTATTAAACTTTTTTTTAGCAATTTAAGTATCACTTTCATTAAGCATGGAATGTTATTTTAACTGATACTACTATATATACCATAACTAATATTGTGGCTTTTGTTTGTAAGTATAGGTCAAAATGAGGATGTAATTCATATCATAATTAAGCATATATTCTGAATTGCATTTCTTTTGATTCTGGACAGGATTACCTTGAAGTTAAAAGATTAATTTTCCCAAGATTTTACTTTCTTAGCAATGCCGAGCTTCTTGATATTCTAGCTGATAGCAGAAATCCTGAGTCTGTACAGGTAATAACATCTTTCTCTGCTCAGCAATATTATATTAGCGATATTCAGATCACAATTCAATAATATTACTGACATTTGTTTCTGGTTCACAGCCTCATCTTGTGAAATGCTTTGAAAATATAAAACAATTATTGATATGGAAACAAGACATTGGCCCTCCTGCTGTAAAAATGCTAATATCTGCTGAAGGGGAAGGTCTCGTGCTGCCAAAGTATGATAAATGTTACAAACTGTTTAGATTCTGTACAACGTCATTATTTAAAATCTCTGCTTTGAAATTTTTGATATATTATAAAAGTGCGCTAAGCAAACTGTTTCTTCAAAGATTATATCCTTACGTAAATATACTTTTGCCTTTCCATATTCCCTACAATACATAATCTCACCTTTGCTCTAATTAAAAGTTGAGAAAGCAGTCTTCAAACTCCTGGGTGCATTCTAATTTGCACTTACATTTTGTTCTGTCATTAAATTCTGCCTTAAGTTTCCTACTCTCTTTTTAGTGCTTTTTCCCTTTTTGGTTTTAGTATATGAATATAGATAAGAAGAAAATTGGCTATTTGGAGTTGTTGATGCTACTCCCACTACTGCTTCTGCTGATCTCTGGTTTCACTGTGGTTTGCTCCCAGGCAATAATGACAAACTAGGTCCTTCCATTACACTGGTTCAATTTGCCAGCCCCAGCAAGGGCTCTCTAACCTTTGGCAAGTGGTCCTGATGTAAGTTGATTTTTAAAAAAATGCTGTGCCCAACCCTTCTTATCTACCAAAATCCCTATTCCAACCCTGCTGTTTAAAAGATCCAGTGAGGAAGGCCGGGTGCAGTGGCTCAAGCCTGTAATCCCGACACTTTGGGAGGCCGAGGCAGGTGAATTACCCAAGGTCAGGAGTTTGAGACCAGCCTGACTAACATGGTGAAACCCTATCTCTACTAAAAATACAAAAATTAGCTGATCGTGGTGGCAGGCACCTGTAATCCCAGCTACTTGGGGGGCTGGGACAGGAGAATCACTTGAACCCAGGAGGTGGAGGTTGCAGTGACCCAAGGTGGCACCATTGCACTCCAGCCTGGGTGACAGAACGAGACTCTCTCTGTCTCAAAAAAAAAAAAAAAAAAGAAAAGAAAAATTCCAGTGAGGAATCCAAAACTGTTTTATAACACAATTTGTTTATCTTGTAAATACCATTTTACATGAAACTTATTTATTGTGTAAATTCATGATTTTGATATCAGAATTTCCTAAAGCATGTTCATATGTTTTCTGCATAGTTTTCAAAATTAAGATTTAGAAAAACCAAAAGGCAGTAGTAGTCCTTTGGCCCATGAATATTATTAAAGTATGTAGAAAATTTAGTCTACAGGCTTGTCAAAGGACTGAAACATGAATTAAAAAATAATTCTTCATGATATTATTTTTGAAACTAATTTTAGGAAAATTCGTGTAAGAAGTGCTGTAGAACAGTGGCTGGTAAATGTAGAAAAAAGCATGTTCGATGTGCTAAAAAAGTAAGTACAATTTTCAAATCCTAAAATTATATATTTTATATATATACTTGCACATATATATATACACACACATTTTTTAAAACTCACTTATCTACTAATCTAAGTGAGAAATATCCAGAAAAGAATATGGAGTCAAATCTCTTATGAAATGGGTTTTAATGGAACATGATGACACATGATGACTAAATGGAAAATAATCACTTTTACAGTGTAACTGTCAGTTTGAGAGTGTTTACATGCACAACCTTCAGATGGCTTTTGTGTACGTTGAGATTCAGCTGTATCAGAAAACTGTTCAGGATCTGAACTCTGCTCAGTAGGGCTCCCGTTTGAGCACACCTCACTACTTTGCATTTTGGTTCTACTTTTACTTCCTAGGATTGTTTACTTGGCTTACTCTTTCTAACGTTCTCCTTTTCATATTTAAGTCTATCATTGCATCTGTTTAGAATGAAGAAAAAAACCTCAGAGCGTGAACTTTCAAAACTAACTTGACTAGAACTGTTATATTGTATTTCTAATTATTCATTGTTGGTAATAGAAAGGCTATTGACTTTTAGGTTTTTATATCTATAGTTGTTAATATTATTCTGAAGGCCAATACAAGGTTTCTAGAGCAGAGAAGATTATGATTTACTTACATAAATAACCATTCTGGCTCTCCTTTTCTTCAATTCTTGTAACCACCCAGTGGGTTCACCTTGCCTGCTGCCTAGACAGAGCCAATTTATCAAGACAGGGGAAATGCAGTGGAGAAAGAGTAATTCACACAAGCCAGCTGTATAGGAGACCAGTTTTATTATTACTCAACTCAGTCTCCTGGAGAATTCAGGGATCAGAGTTTTTAAGGATAATTTGGCAGGTAGGGGCTCCAGAAGTGGGGAGTACTGATTGGTCAGGTTGGAGATGGAATCATAGCGGGGGTCAAAGTGAGCTTTTCTTGCTGTCTTCTGTTCCTGGATGGGATCCCAGAACTGATTGAGCCAGATTACCAGACTGGGTGGTGTCAGCTGATCCATCAAGTGCAGGGCCAGCAAAATATCTCAAGCACTGATCTTAGGCTTCACAATAGTGATATTATTCCCAGGAAAAATTTTGGGAGGTTCAGACTTGCAGCAAGAGGCTGCATGACCCCTAAACCGTAATTTCTAATCTTGTAGATAATTTGTTAATCCTACAAAGGCAGACTGGTCCCCAGGCAAGACAGGAGTCTTTTCAGGAAAGGGCTGTTGCCGGTTTTGTTTGAGTCAAATTGTAAACTAAATTCCTTCCCAAGGTTGGTTCAGCCTATACCCAGGAATGAAAAAGGACAGTTTAAAGGTTAGAAGCAAGATGAAGTTAGTTGCGTCTGATCTCTTTCAGTGTCATAATGTCCTAAGTTACAATTTTTGCAAATGCAGTTTCAGTCTTACCCCTGGGGTGATATGATAAGAACCAGAGTTACCTTGTATGTAAAGAGAGACTTCTGTAGGCAAGAAACCCTGAAAAAATGAATCTGGGCATTTAAGCAAAAAAGACAAGCAGTTTTTCAATTGTTGTCCTGGGATTTTTCTGGTTAGACAATTATATCATTTGCTAACAATGATAGTCCTATCTCTTCCTTTGCAATTCTTTTTAAAATGCCATTTTTTCATGTTATTTTAGATGCAAATTTTATTTAACATCGAAAAGTACAACTGACAGCATCCTTTTTTTGTTCTTAATTTTATTGGAAAAGCTTCTAGTGTTTGACCATAATGCATAGGTTTCTGGAATATACGCCTTATCCAACTAAAGATATTTCATCCTATTCATAGTTTGCAGAGTTTTAAAGAGATTTAATTTATTTTTAATTTTTAATTGAGAAATAATAATTGTATCTATTATGGCATACATTGTGATGTTTTGATACATGTACACAATGTAAAATGATTGATTCAAGCTAATTAAAATACTCATCACCTCACATGCTTATTTTTTATGGTGAAAACATTTCAAGTTTACTTTTAGCTATTGCGAAACATACATTATTATTAACTATAGTGACCTGCTGTGCAGTAGATCGCTAAAATTTATTCCTAGTCTAACTGAAACTTTGTATCCTTAGACTAACTTCTCCCCTTTCCTCATCCCTCCCCACTTTCACCCTCTGGTTAACACCATTCTACTCTCTACTTCTGTGAATAGAGAATGTTTTTTAGATTCTCCATATAAATGAGATCATACAATATTCATCTTTCTTGGCCTGGCTTATTTCACTTAGCATACATAATGTCCTCCAGGGTTATTCATGTTGTCATAAGTGATAGAATTTACCTCTTTTTTGGGAGGCCGAGGTGGGTGGATCCCCTGAGATCAGGAGTTTGAGACCAGCCTGGCCAACATGGTGAAACCCTGTCTCTACTAAAAATACAAAATTTAGCCAGGCATGGTGATGCACACCTGTAGTCCCAGCTACTTGGGAGGCTGAGGCAGGAGAATCCCTTGAACCCGGGAGGCGGAGGTTGCAGTGAGCTGAGATTGTGCCACTGCACTCCAGCCTGGGTGACAGAGCGAGACTCCATCTCAAATTAAATAAATAAATAAATAAATAGAAATAAATAATAAATAAATAATTAAATAATTTTTTTCTAAAGAGAATGTACAAGTACATTCATCAAATGTAACAGATCGTTGGCAGTACTTTATCTTACCAGAAAACATCAATAGAAGATTTTTATACTCCTAAGTCATAGGTCTCACCTGGCTGAGTGATTGTCAGACATCATTAATTATAAGATGCTTTCTGATTCCAAAAAGATTAAAATGTAGAAAAAAAGTTCTGCCTTAGAATTGATGATGTAATTATTTTAAAGTTTTCTTCCCTCTCCTTTTATTTTAAAGTTAGTACCGCTTTATTTTAGTTTGGGGCTATGGACTTGTGTTCTTTTTGATGGTACTAGTTTTTCTAAAATAGCTGGTCATTCTTGGTTATCTTTTCATATTTATACTGGTGAGTCCCTCTTCTAAAAGCAAATACTAGTTTCTAACTACAACAACCTATATGCCGTGGTTGCAACTGACAAGCAGGGCATGTGGAAGGACCTAGTCTGTGAGTAACTTGCCTTTTAGTGCATGAAGTTCCTTCCCATTTCTCCTGGAGGTCACAAACTACTTGTGACACTCTACTGTGCCTCTAGGTCAGCACGTTTTAAGTATTCCATATACTTATAGTATATCAATGCGAGTGTGCAGTAAGATCTTCATTAAAAGATTTTGTCAAAAGAGAAATGTAACTATATGTTGTTTGAGAGATGTATAGCAATGTGACAAAAAAGTTATGAATAAAAGTCATAAGGACTTTTCATGGAACTGCCAACAAAAAGTGTTTAAAAATAAAATTAAGTTCCAAAGGTATTAAATAAAATAAAGAATCATTTGTAGTTGATGGAAGAGACATTTCACACTGATACTGCTTTGAAATGTATAAAAAGTTGTTATTGACATATTTCTCCTCATCAGCAATGATAAAAAAACAAAAATAGATACCATTTGCAAGCACAACAAAAATTAAAAGGTTCAGTACTTCATTTCAAATATTCAAATACATTCTAAATGAATTTTAGAGTGATACCTAAGAAAGAAAGCCAAATTAGAAGAAAATAAAATGAAATTTAGTGTTGAGAATTTCTAAGAGATATAGTATCAATGATTTAAAAAAATGTATCATTGACCGATTTGACTATAAGGAAACTTAAAACTCCATATGGAAAAAAATGACAACATTGAAACCTATACTGTTGGTGCACATTAACTGTTGTCTTAAATAAAATTGTCTGGATATTTTTCATGAATCCTATTCTGTCCATTATAATTAATTTTAAAAGCTACATGCAGGGCTTTACTGTTACTCATCTGGTAGTTTCAGCCCAGTATTCCATTTTGTAGAAATTATTTCAAATATAGATTTTGTCATAAATACTATTAGCAATTCAGAGCTAATATGCGTCATCTCTTTTTATATATTTTTACCATCTCAGAAACTCAATGGCCTTATTAGAAAAGTACAGATAATCTCAAAAAGGAATTTAAGGAGTATGCATTATGCTTCGATTAAGGCTCTGTTACCTTTATTTGGTCTGATTTCTACGTTAGAACAAAGAAATCAGAGATCTTAAAGGAAAACTCCCCTGTGACCTCGTCATGCTTGGTCATTAAATGGCCACAATCAATGATTAAGTATAAATAACATAAATAAATTTTTTAATTTGTAGATTTTTAAGTCAAGGGATTGAAGACTGGAACTGCCAGATGTTTTCCCAATGGGTGTTATCTCATCCAGGACAAGTGGTACTTACTGTGGTAAGTTAATGCTGCTTTGATGTATGTATACAGGGACACCTTGGAGATATTGCAGGTTCAATTTCAGACCACTGTAATAAAGAGGATATTCCAATAAAGTGAGTCACATGATTTTTTTTCCCCTAGGGCCTATAACAGTTATGTTTACACTATCCTGTAGTCTTTTTTTTTTCTGTCACCCAGGCTGGAGTGCAGTGGTACAATCTCAGCTCACTGCAGCCTCCGCCTCCCAGGTTCAAGTGATTCTGCTGCCTCAGCCTCCTGAGTAGCTGGGTCTACAGGTGTGCACCACCATGCCTGGCTAATTTTTGTATTTTTAGTAGAGATGGGGTTTTGTAATGTTGGCCAGGCTGGTCTTGAACTCCTGACCTCAGGTGATCTGCCCACCTCAGCCTCCCAAAGTGCTAGGATTACAGGAGTGAGCCACCATGCCTGGCCTCCTGTAGTCTGTTAACTGTACAATAGAGTTCTGTCTAAAAAATGTGCATGCCTTAATTAAAAATACTTTATTACTAAAAAATGCTAACAATCATCTGAGCCTTCAGCAAGTCATAATATTGTTGCTGGTGGAGGGTATTTCCTAGATTTTGATGGTTGCTGACCGATCAGGGTGGTGGTTGCTGAAGGTTAGGATGGCTGTGGCAATTTCTTAAAATTAGATAACAATGAAGTTTGCCACATGGCTTGACTCTTCCTTTCCCAAAAGATTTCTTTGTAGCGTGCGATGCTTTCTGCTAGCACTTTGCCCACAATGGAAATTCTTTCAAAATTGGAGTCAATTCTCTCAAACTCTGCCGCTGCTTTATCAACTAAGTTTATGTAATATACTAAATCCTTTTTTGTCATTTCAATAATGTTCACAGCAACTTCATCAGGAGTAGATTCCATCTCAAGAAACAACTTTCTTTGCTCATCCATAAGAGGCAACTTGTCTTCCATTCAAGTTTTTTCATGAGATTGCAGCAAATTCCGTCACATCTTCAGGCTCCACTTTTAATTCTAGTTCTCTTGCTATTTCCACCACATCTACAGTTACTTCCACTGAAGTCTTGAACCCCTTAAAGTCGTCCATGAGAGTTGAAATCAACTTCTTTCAAAGTCCCATTAATGTGGCTATTTTGACCTTCTTCCATGAATATGAATATTCTTAATGGCATCTAGGATGGTGAATCCTTTCCAGAAGGTTTTCTATTTACTTTGCCTAGATCCATCAGAGGAATCACTATCTATGGAAGCTATAGCCTTATGAAATGTATTTCTTAAATAATAAGCCTTGAAAGTCAAAAGTACTCATTGACCCATGGGCTACAGAATGGATGTTTTGTTATCAGGCATGAAAACAACATTAATCTCCTTGTACATCTCCATCAGAACTCTTGGGTGACTGGATGTGTTGTTAGTGAGCAGTAATATTTTGAAAGGAATCTTTTTTTCTTAACAGTAGGTCCCAACAGTGGGCTTAAAATATTCAGTAAACCATGCTGAAAACAGATGTGCTGTCATCCAGGCCTTGTTGTTCCATTTGTAGAGCAGGGGCAGAGTAGATTAAGCATACATAATTCTTAAGGGTCCTAGGATTTTCAAAACGGTAAGTGAGCATTGGCTTCAATTTAGAGTCACAGGTTGCATTAGCCTCTAACAAGAGAATCAGCCTGTCATTTGAAGCTTTGAAGCCAGGTATTGACTTCTCTCCAACTACAAAAGTCTTGGATGGCCTCTTCTTCCAATAGAAGGCTATCTCATCTACCTTGAAAATCTGTTGTTCAGTGTATCCACTTTCATCAATTATGTTAACCTAGTTCTTCTGGATAACTTACTGCAGCTTCCACATCAGCACTTGCTACTTACCTTTGCACTTTTACATTACTGAGACAGCTTCTTTCCTTAAATCTCATGAGCCAACTTCTGCTAGCTTTCAACTTTTCTTCTGCAGCATTCCTTATCTCTCTCAGTCTTCACAGAATTGAAAAGAGTTAGAGCCTTGCTCTGGATTAGTCTTTTTCTTAAGGAAATGTTATGGCTGGTTTGATCTTCTATCCAGACCACTAAAATTTTCTCCAAAACAGCAGTAAGGCTGTTTTGCTTTCTTACCATTAGTGTGTTCACAGGAGTAGCACTTTTAATTTTCTTCAAGAATTTTTTTCCTTTGCATCCACAACTTGACTGTTTGGCAGAAGAGGCCTAGCTTTCAGCCTGTTTTGGCTTTTGGCATGCCTTCCTTATTAAGCTTAATCATCTCTAGCTTTTAATTTTAAGAGAAGGATGTGCAACAGTTCTTTTTACTTGAACACTTAGAGACCATTGTAAGGTTATTGGTTGGCCTAAATTCAACATTATTGTGTCTCAGGGATTAGGGAGACCGAAGAAGAAGGAGAGAGATGGGGGAATGACTATTTGGTGAAGAAGATAAGACACAAACAGCATTTATCAATTAAGTTTGCTGTCTTACATGGGCATCATTTGTTGTCCTCCCAAACAATTACAATAGTAACATCCAAGATCATTAATTGCAGATCACCATAACAGATATAATAATGAAAAGGTTGGAAATATTCTGAGAATTACCAAAATGTGACGCAGAGACATGGAGTGAACACATACTATTGGAAAAAATGACACTGATAGACTTGCTCAATGCAGGGTTACCACAAATCTTCAATTTGAAAAAAATGCAGTTCCTCCTTGTACCTCTGGTAGAATTCGGCTGTGAATCCATCTGGTCCTGGACTCCTTTTGGTTGGAAGCTGTTGATTATTGCCACAATTTCAGATCCTGTTCTTGGTCTATTTAGAGATTCAACTTCTTCCTGGTTTAGTCTTGGAAGAGTGTATGTGTCGAGGAATTTATCCATTTCTTCTAGATTTTCTAGTTTATTTGCATAGAGCTGTTTGTAGTATTCTCTGATGGTAGTTTGTATTTCTGTGGGATTGGTGGTGATATCCCCTTTATCATTTTTTATTGCTTCTATTTGATTCTTCTCTCTTTTTTTCTTTATTAGTCTTGCTAGCGGTCTATCAATTTTGTTGATCCTTTCAAAAAACCAGCTCCTGGATTCATTAATTTTTTGAAGGGTTTTTTATGTCTCTCTTTACTACAGTTCTGCTCTGATTTTAGGTATTTCTTCCCTTCTGCAAGCTTTTGAATGTGTTTGCTCTTGCTTTTCTAGTTCTTTTAATTGTGATGTTAGGGTGTCAATTTTGGATCTTTCCTGCTTTCTCTTGTGGGCATTTAATGCTATAAATTTCCCTCTACACACTGCTTTGAATGTGTCCCAGAGATTCTGGTATGTTGTGTCTTAGTTCTCGTTGGTTTCAAAGAACATCTTTATTTCTGCCTTCATTTCGTTATGTACCCAGTAGTCATTCAGGAGCAGGTTGTTCAGTTTCCATGTAGTTGAGCGGTTTTGAGTGAGTTTCTTAATCCTGAGTTCTAGTTTGATTGCACTGTGGTCTGAGAGACAGTTTGTTATAATTTCTGTTCTTTTACATTTGCTGAGGAGAGCTTTACTTCCAACTATGTGGTCAATTTTGGAATAAGTGCAGTGTGGTGCTGAGAAGAATGTATATTCTGTTGATTTGGGGTGGAGAGTTCTGTAGATGTCTATTAGGTCCACTTGGTGCAGAGCTGAGTTCAATTCCTGGATATCCTTGTTAACTTTCTGTCTCGTTGATCTGTCTAATGTTGACAGTGGGGTGTTAAAGTCTCCCATTATTATTGTGTGGGAGTCTAAGTCTCTTTGTAGGTCACTCAGGACTTGCTTTATGAATCTGGGTGCTCCTGTATTGGGTGCATATATATTTAGGATAGTTAGCTCTTCTTGTTGAATTGATCCCTTTACCATTATGTAATGGCCTTCTTTGTCTCCTTTGATCTTTGTTGGTTTAAATTCTGTTTTATCAGAGACTAAGATTGCAACCCCTGCCTTTTTTTCTTTTCCATTTGCTTGGTATATCTTCCTCCATCCTTTTATTTTGAGCCTATGTGTGTCTCTGCACGTGAGATGGGTTTCCTGAATACAGCACACTGATGGTTCTTGACTCTTTATCCAATTTGCCAGTCTGTGTCTTTTAATGGGAGCGTTTAGTCCATTTACATTTAAAGTTAATATTGTTATGTGTGACTTTGATCCTGTCATTATGATGTTAGCTGGTTATTTTGCTCATTAGTTGATGCAGTTTCTTCCTAGTCTCGATGATCTTTACATTTTGGCATGATTTTGCAGCGGCTGGTAACAGTTGTTCCTTTCCATGTTTAGTGCTTCCTTCAGGAGCTCTTTTAGGGCAGGCCTGGTGGTGACAAAATCTCTCAGCATTTGCTTGTCTGTAAAGGATTTTATTTCTCTTTCACTTATGAAACTTAGTTTGGCTGGATATGAAATTCTAGGTTGAAAATTCTTTTCTTTAAGAATGTTGAATATTGGCCCCCACTCTCTTCTGGCTTGCAGAGTTTCTGCCGAGAACTCTGCTGTTAGTCTAATGGGCTTCCCTTTGTGGGTAACCCGACCGTTCTCTCTGGCTGTCCTTAACATTTTTTCCTTCATTTCAACTTTGGTGAATCTGACAATTGTGTCTTGGAGTTGCTTTTCTTGAGGAGTATCTTTGTGGTGTTCTCTGTGTTTCCTGAATCTGAATGTTGGCCTGCATTCCTTCTGAAACTATTCCAATCAATACAAAAAGAAGGAATCCTCCCTAACTCATTTTATGAGGCCAGCATCATCCTGATACCAAAGCTGGGCAGAGACACAACCAAAAAAGAGAATTTTAGACCAATATCCTTGATGAACATCGATGCAAAAATCCTCAATAAAATACTGGCAAACCGAATCCAGCAGCACATCAAAAAGCTTCTCCACCATGATCAAGTGGGCTTCATGCCTGGGATGCAAGGCTGGTTCAATATACGCAAATCAATAAATGTAATCCAGCATATAAACAGAACCAAAGACAAAAACCACATGATTATCTCAATAGATGCAGAAAAGGCCTTTGACAAAATTCAACAACACTTCATGCTAAAAACTCTCAATAAATTAGGTATTGATGGGACGTATCTCAAAATAATAAGAGCTATCTATGACAAACCCACAGCCAATATCGTACTGAATGGGCAAAACCTGGAAGCATTCCCTTTGAAAACTGGCACAAGACAGGGATGCCCTCTCTCACCACTCCTATTCAACACAGTGTTGGAAGTTCTGGCCAGGGCAATCAGGCAGGAGAATGAAATAAAGAGTATTCAATTAGGAAAAGAAGAAGTCAAATTGTCCCTGTTTGCAGATGACATGATTGTATATCTAGAAAACCCCATTGTCTCAGCCCAAAATCTCCTTAAGCTGATAAGCAACTTCAGCAAAGTCTCAGGATACAAAATCAATGCACAAAAATCACAAGCATTCTTATACACCAATAACAGACAAACAGAGAGCCAAATCATGAGTGAACTCCCATTCACAATTGCTTCAAAGAGAATAGAATACCTAGGAATCCAACTTACAAGGGATGTGAAGGACCTCTTCAAGGAGAACTACAAACCACTGCTCAATGAAATAAAAGAGGATACAAACAAATGGAAGAACATTCCATGCTCATGGATAGGAAGAATCAATATCATGAAAATGGCCATACTGCCCAAGGTAATTTATAGATTCAATGCCATCCCCATCAAGCTACCAATGACTTTCTTCACAGAATTGGAAAAAACTACTTTAAAGTTCTTATGGAACCAAAAAAGAGCCCGCATCACCAAGTCAATCCTAAGCCAAAAGAACAAAGCTGGAGGCATCACGCTACCTGACTTCAAACTATACTACAAGGCTACAGTAACCAAAACAGCATGGTACTGGTACCAAAACAGAGATATAGATCAATGGAACAGAACAGAGCCCTCAGAAATAATGCCGCATATCTACAACCATCTGATCTTTGAGAAACCTGATAAAAACAAGCAATGTGGAAAGGATTCCCTATTTAATAAATGGTGCTGGGAAAACTGGCTAGCCATATGTAGAAAGCTGAAACTGGATCCCTTCCTTACACCTTATACAAAAATTAATTCAAGATGGATTAAAGACTTAAACGTTAGACCTAAAACCATAAAAACCCTAGAAGAAAACCTAGGCATTACCATTCAGGACATAGGCATGGGCAAGGACTTCATGTCTAAAACACCAAAAGCAATGGCAACCAAAGCCAAAATTGACAAATGGAATCTAATTAAACTAAAGAGCTTCTGCACAGCAAAAGAAACTACCATCAGAGTGAATAGGCAATCCACAAAATGGGAGAAAATTTTTGCAACCTACTCATCAGACAAAGGGCTAATATCCAGAATCTACAATGAACTCAAACAAATTTACAAGAAAAAAACAAACAACCCCATCAAAAAGTGGGCAAGGGATATGAACAGACACTTCTCAAAAGAAGACATTTATGCAGCCAAAAGACACATGAAAAAATGCTCACCATCACTGACCATCAAAGAAATGCAAATCAAAACCACAATGAGATACCATCTCACACCAGTTAGAATGGCAATCATTAAAAAGTCAGGAAACAACAGGTGCTAGAGAGGATGTGGAGAAATAGGAACACTTTTACACTGTTGGTGGGACTGTAAACTAGTTCAATCATTGTGGAAGTCAGTGTGGCAATTCCTCAGAGATCTCGAACTAGAAATACCATTTGACCCAGCCATCCCATTACTGGGTATATACCCAAAGGACTATAAATCATGCTGCTATAAAGACACATACACACGTATGTTTATTGTGGCACTAGTCACAATAGCAAAGACTTGGAACCAACCCAAATGTCCAACAATGATAGACCGAATTAAGAAAATGTGGCACATATACACCATGGAATACTATGCAGGCATAAAAAATGATGAGTTCATGCCCTTTGTAGGGACATGGATGAAAATTGGAAATCATCATTCTCAGTAAAATATCGCAAGGATAAAAAACCAAACACTGCCTGTTCTCACTCATAGATGGGAATTGAACAATGAGAACACATGGACACAGGAAGGGGAGCATCACACTCTGGGGACTGTTGTGGGGTGGGGGGAGGGGGGAGGGATAGCATTAGGAGATATACCTAATGCTAAATGACGAGTTAATGGGTGCAGCACACCAGCATGGCACATGTATACATATGTAACTAACCTGCACATTGTGCACATGTACCCTAAAACTTAAAGTATAATAATAATAATAATAAAATAAAATAAAAAAAGGAAAAAATGCAATATCTGTGAAGTACAATAAAATGAAGCACAATACAACAAGGTATGCCTGTATAAGTATTTAGTTTGTGGCTACATTGCCAAGAAAGAAATGATTTGGAAAATAAATCATTATGAAGGGTACTGGTGTCTGTAGCTTACTTTGAAATGCATAAGATGGGTAGATGTATAGATTCATGGCAAATATAGCAAAAAGTTAATTGTAGAATGTAGGTGGTGAATATATAAGTATTCATTGTATAATTCCTTCAACTTCACTATAGTTTTGAAAATCTTTATAATTTTGAATGAAAGTAGAACTATTTTCTTAAAGATGTCACTATATTGTATTGCATTAGTTTTCTACTGCTGTTATTAAAAAGTTACTAAAAACTTGGTGCCTTAAAACAACACAGCTTTATTATTTTACAATTCAGTAGGTTAGAAGGCCAACCCACAGGTCTCTGTGGGCTAAGATCAAGGTGTCAGCAAAGCTGTGTTCCTTTCTAGAGGCTCTTGGGGAAAATCTGTTTCTTTGCCTTTTCAGCTTCTGGAGGCCATTGGCATTCCTTGGCTCACAGCCCATTCCTCCATTTTCAAAGTCAGCAATGTGCATCTTTCTGACTATTCTTCAGTAGTCCTAGCTCTCTCTGCTCACAGGCAGAAAAAGCTACCCAGTTTTATGATTACATGTGTTTTCTGGATACATTTGACCCACCCAGATAATCCAGAATAATCTCTCTAGCTCAATTTTCTTAATTCAATTCCATCTGAAAAGTCCTTTTTGCCATTTAAGGTGACATATTCACAGGTTCTGGGAATTAGGAAATGAATATCTTTGTAGAGAGCCATTATTCTGCCTACTACATGCATATTTGCTAGAGCTAATTATTGTTTTTCTGGGTCTCATAAGAGAGAGGGAAAACTAGGAAGTTGTGATGTCAATAAAACAAAAATTGGCAGTTCTTTTGAGAAGTGTGGTTGGAGCCAGGGGAGTGATAAAATTTCCCCTAACAGCATGTGTAGAATAAGAGAAGAGGGACAAGGAAAGACTCCAAGAAACATGAACAGCTAAGGAATAGGCAAAAGAAAAGGACTGAAAAAGAGTGGCCAAAACAGAAAAGAAATTTATAAGAGTTTCCATGGAAGAAGCTAAAGAGGAAGAAAGGTAGGTTTTTGTTTGTTTCTTTGATTTTTCTCCAGAAAAACTGAGTAATCATTTAAAAAAGTGAGTGGTCATCATTTTTAAAGACTCTACAGAGATCGGTAAACTATATTATATCTGTCAACAGTGGTTTTCTGGAGTGATGAAGATAGAAGCCATATTGCCAGGAGGTACCATTATCAAGTTGTTGTTTTTTTTTTCATCAACTTTTATTTTAAGTTCAGGGGTACATGTGCAGGATGTTCAGGTTTGTTACATAGGTAAAGGTGTGCCATGCTGGTTTGCTGCACAGATCATCCCGTCACCTAGGTATTAAGCCCAGCACCCATTAGCTGTTCTTCCTGATGCTTTCCCTCCCTCTGCCCCCACAACAGGCCCCAATGTGTGTTGTTCCTGCCACCCCCCACCCCATGTGTCTGTGTGTTCTCATCATTCAGCTCCCATTTATAAGTGAGAAAATATGGTGTTTGGTTTTCTGTTCCTGCATTAGTTTGCTGAGGATAACGACTCCCAGATCCATCCATGTCCCTGCAAAGGACATGATCTCATTCTTTTTATGGCTTTGTAGTATTCCATGATGTATATGTACCACATTTTCTTTATCCACTCTATTATTGATGAGCATTTTTGTTGATTCCATGTCTTTGCTATTGTGAATAGTGCTTCAATGAACATACATGTGTGCATGTATCTTTATAATAGAATGATTTATATTTTTTGAGTACGTACCCAGTAATGGGATTGCTGGATCAAATGGTATTTCTGCCTCTAGGTCTTTGAGGAATCGCCACACTATCTTCCATGATGTTAAACTGATTTACACTCCCACCAGCAGTGTAGCAGCATATAAATGTTCCCTTTTCTCCACAACCTCACCAGCATCTATTTTTTGACTTTTTAACAATAGCCATTCTGATTAGCGTGAGATGGTATCTCATTGTAGTTTTGATTTGCATTTCTCTAACAATTAGTAATGTTGAGGTTTTTTTCAAATGTTTGTTGGGCGCATGTATGTCTTTTTTTTGAGAAGTATCTGTTCATGTCCTTTGCCCACTTTTTAATGGAGTTTTTTTTCTCTTGTAAATGTGTTTAAGTTCCTTGTAAATTCTGGGTATTAGCCCTTTGTCAGATGGAGAGATTGCAAAAATTTTCTCCCATTCTGTAGGTTGTTTGTTCACTCTGATGATAGTTTCTTTTGCTGTGCTGTGCAGAAGCTCTTTAGTTCAGTTAGATCTCATTTGTCAATTTTTGCTTTTGTTGCAATTGCTTTTGGAATTTTTTTCATGAAGTCTTTGCCCATGCCTATATCCTGACTGGTATTGCCTAGATTTTCTTCTAGGGTTTTTATAGTTTTGGTTTTTAGATTTAAGCCTTTATTCCATCTTGAGTTAATTTTCGTATATGGTGTAAGGAAGGGTTCCACTTTCACTTTTCTAGATATGGCTAGCCATTCTCCCAGCACCATTTCTTAAATAGGAAATCCTTTCCCCGTTGCTTGTTTTGATCATGTTTGTGGAAAATCAAATGGCTGTAGGTGTGAGGTTCTATTTCTGGGTTCTCTGTTCTGTTACATTGGTCTATGTGTCTGTTTTTGTACCAGCACCATGCTGTTTTGGTCACTGTAGCCTTGTAGTATAGTTTGAAGTCAAGTAGTGTGATGCCTCCAGATTCGTTCTTTTTGCTTAGTATTGACTTGGCTATTTGGGCTCTTTTTTGGTTCCATATGAATTTTAAAGTAGTTTTTCTAATTCTATGGAGAATGTCAGTGGTAGTTTAATGGGAATAGCATTGAATCTATAAATTACTTTGGGCAGTATGGCCGTTTTTATGATACTGATTCTTCCTATCCATGAGCATGGAATGTTTCTCCATTTGTTTGTATCCTCTCTGATTTCCCTGAGCAGTGGTTTGTAGTTCTCCTTGAAGAGGTCCTTCATTTCCCTTGTTAGCTGTAATTCCTAGGTATTTTATTCTTTTTGTAGCAATTGTGAATGAGAGTTCATTCATGATTTGGCTCTCTGCTTGCTTGGTGGTATATATAGGAATGCTAGCAATTTGGGCACATTGATTTTATATCCTGAGACTTTGCTGAAGTTGCTTATCAGCTTAAGAAGCTTTTGGGCTAAGATGATGGGGTTTTCTAGATAGAGGATCATGCCATGTGCAAATAAAGATAATTTGACCTCCTTTCTTCCTATTTGAATACCCTTTATTTCTTCTTCTTGCCTGATTGCCCTGGCTGGAACTTCGAATACTATGTTGAATAGGAGTGGTGAGAGAGGGCATCCTTGTTTTATGCCAGTTTTCAAAGGGAATGCTTCCAGCTTTTTCCCATTTAGTATGATATTGGCTGTGGCTTTGTCATATATAACTCTTATTATTTTGAGGAATGTTCCTCTAATACCTAATTTATTGAGAGTTTTTAACATGAAGAGATGTTGAATTTTTGCAAAGGCCTTTTCTGTATCTATTGAGATAACGTGGTTTTTGTCTTTAGTTCTCTTTATGTGATGAATGACATTTATTGATTTGCATATGTTGAACCAACCTTGCATTCTGGGTATAAAGCCAACTTGTTTGTGGTGAATAAGGTTTTTGATGTGCTGCTGGATTTGGTTTGCCAGTATTTTATTGAGGATTTTTGCATCAGTGTTCTTCAGGGATATTGACCTGAAGTTTTCTTTTTTTGTTGTATCTCTGCCAGGTTTTGGTATCAGGATGATGCTGGCCTCATAGAATGAGTTAGGAAAGAGTCCTTCCTCTTCAATTTTTTGGAATGGTTTCAGTAGAAATAGTACCAGCTTCTCTTTGTACCTCTGATAGTATTCAGATGTGAATCCATCTGGTCTTGGGATTTTTTTGGTTGGTAGCCTATTTATTACTGCTTCAATTTCACAACTCATTATTGGTCTATTCAGGGATTTGATTTTTTCCTGGTTCAGTCTTGGGACGGTGTATTTGTCCAGGAAATTGTCTATTTCTTGTTTGTATTTCTGTGGGGTCAGTGATGATATCCCCCTTATCATTTCTTATTGTGTTTATTTGATTCTTCTGTCTTTTCATCTTTATTAGCCTAGCAAATGGTGTATCTATTTTTTTTTAACAGCTCCTGGATTTGCTAATTTTTTAAAGGGTTTCCCATGTCTCTATCTCCTTCAACTCTGATCTTGGTTATTTCTTCTCTTCTGCTAGCTTTGGGGTTTGTTTGCTCTTGGTTCTCTAGTCCTTTTAGTTGAGATGTTAGGTTGTTAACTTGAGGTCTCTCTAGCTTTCTGATGTGGGCATTTAGTGCTGTAAATTTCCCTCTTAACACTGCTTTAGCTGTGTCCCAGAGATTCTGGTATGTTGTCTCTTTGTTCTCATGAGTTTGAAAGAACTTCTTAATTTTTGCCTTTATTTTATTATTTACCCAAGAGTCATTCAGGAGCAGGTTGTTCAATTTCTATGTAGTTGTATGGTTTTGAGTGGATTTCTTAATCTTGAGTTCTAATTTGATTGTACTGTGGTCTGAGAGACCATTATGATTTCAGGTCTTCTGCATTTGCAGAGGAGTGTGATCACTTTCTATTATGTGATCCTATTATGTGACCAATTTTAAAGTAAGTGTTGTGTGGCTATGAGAAGAGTCTATATTCTGCTGTTTTGGGGTAAAGAGTTCTATATATGTCTATTAGGTCCATTTAGTCAAGTTCAGGTTCTAAATATCTTTGTTTATTTTCTGTCTCAGTGATCTGTCTAATATTGTCAGAGGGATGTTAAAGTCTCCCACTATTATTGTGTGGGAGACTAAATCTCTTTGTAGGTCTCTAAGAACTTGCTTTCTGAAGCTGGGTCCTCCTGTTTTGGGTGCATATATATTTAGGGTAGTTATCACTTGTTGAATTGAACCCCTCACCATTATGTAATGCCCTTCTTTGTCTTTTTTTATCTTTGTTGGTTTAAAGTCTGCTTTTTAGAAACTAGGGTTGCTACTCCTGCTTTTTTCTGTTTTCCATTTGCTTGGTAAATTTTCCCTTATCCCTTTATTTTGAGCCTATGTGTGTCTTTGCACGTGAGATGGGGCTCTTGAGGACAGTATACTGATGAGGCTTGACTCTTTATCCAGCTTGTCATTCTGTGTCTTTTAATTGGGGGCATTTAGCCTATTTACATTTAAGGTTAGTATTGTTATGTGTAAATTGTATCCTGACATCATGATGCTAGCTAGTTATTTTGCAGACTTGTTTGTGTGGTTGCTTCATAGTGTCACTAGTCTGTGTACATCAGTGTGTTTTGTAGCAGCTGATAATCGTTTTTTCTTTCAATATTTAGTGCTTCTTTCAGGAGCTCTTGCAAGGCGGACCTGGTGACGATGAATTCCCTGAGCATTTGCTTTTCTGAAAAGGATCTTCTTTCACCTTTGCTTATGAAGCTTAGTTTGGCCGGATATGAAATTCTGGACTGGAAATTCTTTTCTTTAAGAAGTTGAATATTGGCCCCCAATCTCTTCTGGCTTTCAGGGTTTCCAATGAGAGGTCCACTATTAGTCTGATGGGTTTTCCCTTGTAGGTGACCTAGCTTTTCTCTCTGGTTGCCTTAATTTTTTCTTTCATTTTGACCATGGAGAATCTCATGATTATGTGTCTCAGAGTTGATGTTCTCATGGAGTATCTTACTGGGGTTCTCTGCAGTTTCTGAATTTGAATGTTGGCCTGTCTTGCTAGGTTGGGGAAGTTCTCCTGGATGATATGCTGAAGTACGTTTTCCAACTTGGTTCCATTCTTCCCATCTGTTTCAGGTACCCCAGTCAGTCGTAGGTTCGTTCTCTTTCCATAATCCCATAATTCTCAGAGGTTTTGTTCATTCCTTATCATTCTTTTTTCATTATTATTTTCTACCTCTCTTATTTCAGAAAGATAGTCTTCAAGCTCTGAGATTCTTTCCTCCACTTGGTCTATTCTGCTATTGATACTTGTGATTGCATTGTGAATTTCTCTTGTGTTTTTCAGCTCCATTAGGTCAGTTATGTTCCTCTCTAAATTGGCTGTTCTGGCTATCAGCTCCTGCATTGTGTTGTTATGATTCTTAGCTTCTTTATATTGGGTTAGCACATGCTCATTTAACTCAGTAAAGTTAGTTATTACCCACCTTCTGAAGCCTTATTTCTGCCAATTCATGTATCTCAGCCTCAGCCCAGTTGTGTTGAAATCAATTGGAAGAGGAGAAGCACACTGGCTTTTTGAGTTTTCAGTGTTTTTGCATTTATTCCTTCTCATCTTTGTGGGCTTATCTACCTTTGATCTTTGAGGTTGCTGACCTTTGAGTGGGGTTTTTGTGGGGTCTTTTTTTGTTGATGTTGTTGTTGTTTTCTGTTTTGTTTTGTTTTGTTTTAAGATAGAGTCTTGCTCTGACACCCAGGCTTGAGTGCAGTGGTGCAATCTCAGCTCACTGCAAACTCCATCTCCCAGGTGCTAGTCATTCTCCTGCCTCAGCCTCCTGAGTAGCTGAGATTACGGGCATGCACCACTACACCCGGCTAATTTTTGTATTTTTAGTAGAGACAGCATTTCACCATGTTGGCCAGGCTGGTCTTGAACTCCTGACCTCAGGTGATCCACCCACCTCAGCCTCCCAGAGTGCTGGGATTACAGGCATGAACCACTGCCTAGCCTCTGTTTGTCTTTCTTTTAACAGGCCACTCTACCATAGGGCTGCTGTGGAGGCTAGGGCCCCCCAGTGGAAGATGTCACCCAGTCAGGAGAAAGAGGATCAGGAACCCACCCAATGAAGCAGTCTGGTTGCTTCTTGGTAGAGCAGGCGTGTTTCACTAGGGGGTGACCCTTCTTTGTAGACCGCCTGTATTTTCCACAGCCAGCCAGGTAGAATGGCTGAGTTTACAGAACCTCAGAGATAGCGCTGCCCCTCACCCGGGGATCTCCCTCCCGGGAAGAGATCTCTGTCCACAGAACTGGAGACCCCCCTAGTGAGGAGGAGTGAGTCGGGCCCCAGTTAAAGAAGCAGTCTGGCCATGATCTGGCAAGGCAGCTGTACTGCACTGTGGGAGGGCCCCTCTTCATCTCCACAGCTGAGACTAGGGAACTGTGGATATGGCAGCTGCCCCTCCCCCTGGGAGTTCTCTGCTAGGGAGAGATCAGAGCTCTGTGGAACCAAGGACCTGCCCAGTGAGAAGTAGTATGTCAGGGCCCTGGTTAAAGAAGCAGCCTGGCCCCAATCTGGCAAGGCCACAGCATTGCACTGTGGGGGGCCCCTCCTTGTCTGGACCATCTGCACTCTTCACAGCCTGCCAGCTGCAACAGCCGTTTCCCCCAAACCGCAGAGATTGCAGCCACTCTCCCCATTGGATCTCAGTCCTATCCCTGGTGGACTTCAGCCCTCTGCCATTGGCTGACTGGGATTCCAAGCCAGTGGGTCTTAACCTGTGAGGTGCCATGGAAGTGAGGCCTACAGAAGGACGCTGCTTGGCTCCCTATAGTCAGCCCCCTTCCTATGGATATGTATGGGCAGATTTTCCACCTTGGTGGGGAACCTGGGGCTGGAGCATGCAAAACTCCTGGGTCACTGTGTGCACCTGAGTGGCTCTTTTGCAGACTCCACACAGCTCTGTGTACTGGACCCACAGCCCTGGTGGCATGGGCTTACAAGGGGATCTCCTGCTCCACAGGTTGCAAAGATTCGTGGGAAAAGCATGGTTTCCCGGGTGGGGTTGCACAGTCACTCACCGCCTCCCCTGGCTGGGGGTGGGGGTTCCTTTGGCTCCATGCTATTCCCCGCTAAGCTGTTGTCCCCCCTCCCCAACCCCACTGCTTCTCCTCACTCTCCTTGAATCCGAGCTGCTTGCCTATTCATTCCCGATGCGAGAACCTGGATATTTCAGTTAAAGGTGTTGAATTCACTTGCCCCTTTTAATTCCTCTCCGTGAGTGTCGTGGACTGCAGCTGCTTCTAATCGGTCATCTTAACCCTCCATAATCAAGTATTTTTAAAGCATACTTGACTTGTAGTTCTCTATTCAATTTAAAATTAACATCATATCCTTTTACTTTGCCTTGACTCACAATTTTCAAGTCTTTGTTAAAATAACCTTGGATTGTGGACACAAGTTATTATTATCAAATCTTCTTTGTCCCTTTTGTTCTCCACTTGACTGAATATTGAAAATATCCACAGATCTTAAGCTGAGGAACTTACCCAAACTGTTCTTTACAAAGGTGACAAAATTATAATGAATCAATCTGCACACTTCTGTAGTTTAACAGGAATTCAAATAATCAAATCTGCTCTCCTAAGATAAGATGTTTCCTGGATCCCTGGTCTTCCAAACATGCTTAATGATAAGCAGCCTGTATTCTGTTTCTAGAAATACTTTATGATAGACTTCAGCTTCAATCATTGAATGTTCTTTTGCCAAAGTTTTTCACACATCTGCCTTACCTACTGCTCATTTTCCATTGATGCAGTTTACAACTCCCCTTTCTCTTGCACTTCTACGTATGTCACATGACTAGGAGTTGTCTCTGAATGGAAGTAAAAAGACACATGGGAGAATGCAGATAATTAGATGTCCGCATGCATTGGCCACTGAAGGAATTTGAACATGGAATTAATAAAGATATAGTAATTAAAAATTCCTTTATAAATAAATAACAAACAGTAATTAAAAACTGGTTCACAATCTCTCTCGCCAGAACCAAGTCCTCCTTTACCCTACACTGATGCAGCCTAGGGAGGGGTCTCCACCTGTTGGATGTTCTCTCCTGAGGCTGCAAATCTTGAATAAATGTCTCAAGGGCAGCAGTACTGGCATCTGACCAGACTCTGCCGTGACATGGCCTTGACTGTGATTCCTCTTGTCTTCCCAGACTCTTGGTCCTGCCCACTTTCTAACCCTCAGTCTCTAGCATCCTTTTGATCTGCTCATCATGAGCTTGCAACATCCTTTAGGAAAGCCAGTTCATTTCTGTTGCATGTAACCAAGAATGCTGTTGATATAACAAGTTTCTCATCCTGTATGCTCCTATCTCGATCTGGAAAAATCTCACTCTGTCTGTTAACTTTATGCTAATTATTCCCACATTCATATCTTGATAGCTCTTATGTTTCTTGAGCACTTCAAATTTAATATATCCCTGAATGAATTCACTGTGCCCCCTTGCCCACGGCATGCTTTTCCTGCAATAGGTACTATCTTAGTGAGTTACTGGAATCACAATTTACCCAATGTAAAGCCCAGAAACCTATAAGCTGTCCTGATGTATCCCCCTCTTTTAACTTCCAGAGTCAATCTGACCTTAATCCAGTAGACTTCTTAAAACATCTCCGTTATGTATGACAAGAGTGGGTGTCAAAAGATGGGCCAAATAACAGAAGTCTGTAAACTTTCTGAAAACTATGACTACATACTCACTGTGTTCTAGGTATATTACTTCTGAGTCCAGCAGAGAAAGCAGCACTAATATATCATCTTGGAGTTTTCCACCATTTTTACTGTCCCCAGGTTATTACTTAAGGTTGCTGGTGTAAGAGTTAGGAAGATTTAAGAATATAAGACTTAGGAAGTACAAATGGATAAGGCCCCCATAAGCATCAATCAGAATTCAATCTTTAGCCCTCAAATACACACAAATGTGTAAGGTCTCTTACACAAACACTTACATACACACCACATAAACTTTATGAAAACATCCATTTTAATTTGAATAAAATTTATGCTTCAATTATATATATATAGAGAGAGATATATATATAACATTATCTTACTTTTTCAGAGCCAGATCATGTTTTATAATGATTGTGTTAAAAGTTTTGTGAGTTCTTATTCAAGAGAAAAATTGGAAAAAGTCCACGCTGGTCTGATGTGTCATCTAGAAGAGGTTGCAGACCTGGTAGTGCTGGATACTAGTAACTCTCGAACAAAAGCTATACTAGGGGCATTGCTTATCCTTTATGTTCACTGCAGAGATATAGTGATAAATTTACTACTTAAAAATATCTTCAATGCAGAGGATTTTGAGTGGACAAGGTAGGTGGATCTAAATTATAACTACATACAATAACTTCTCCCAAATATATCTTTAGGTAAATTGATTCTCTACCTCACACTTTGTCAAACTTGAGTTTTAATTTTGGGGGCTTTACCAAAATTCTAAGCAAACTGTACCAATCTGAGTATATTAGTCCCCCTTTATCTGCAGTTTTGCTTTCCAGTTTCAGTTACTATGGTCAATTGTGGCCCAAAAATAAGTGAGTATATTACAATAAGATATTTAGAGAGACAGATCACATTCACATAACATGTGAATGTGAGTGTATTTTTCTACTGTTCTGTTTTATTATGTCATTGTTTTTCATCTCTTAATGTGCCTCATTTATAAATTAAGCTTTATTATAGTTATTTATGTATAGGAAAAGGCATAGTATGGTATATAGAGGGTCTGGAACTATATGTGGTTTGAACTATACGTATCCTCTGTTTGGGCGGGGGCGGGGGCGGTCCTGAAACATATTCCATGCAGATAAGGGGACATTACTGCACCCTACTACTGCTTTTCCTTCTTTCTCTTTTCTACTGTCCCTCCACCTCATTTTTACTTCTTTCTGCTTTGTCTTCCTGACCTGATTAGGCCCTTTTGATAGTTACATTCTCCCATTTCCATCTAGACAGAGGGCAGTATCTTTCCATGGGCATTCAGAGCTCTACCTCCAGCCTCTTCTTTCCGCTGTGCTGTTAATTCTGGAACAGACTGAGGGGAAACAAACTGAAGAACATTTCCAGCCAGCTCCCTAACTCAAAACTGCCTTCCTCCTACCTGGAGTCAATTAGTAAAATATGAAAGTATAGAAAATTAGGGCCATTCTCACCTTTAGTGAGAAGAGATTGAGTATCAAGCTCTGATAATAAATGTACGGTTAGCATAAATTCTGCAGTTAGCATAAAAGTCCTTATTTTAGGTATGACAGTTTCCTTTAAACTCTAGAAAAATGAAGCAGACAGAGGCTTAAGTATGTAACTGAGGCCACTGTTGACTATATTTTATCTGAATACTTTATATCTGATATATACTCACATGTTCATTAAAGCATAAATGTATACTTTCTTAATTGCCAAAGAGGATATATTGTATTAATGAACCATTACTCTGGAAAAAGTCTAGTGTGTCATTATTACTTTTTATTAACTCTTTTTAAAAATGAGAATGAAAAAGAGGAAGAGCATATATAGAAAGGTAAACTAGAAAAGAGAAGATTCTAATAAGACTCTGTAAGTGTCTATGAGTTTAGGGCTATAGTTCCCAAATTGTGTGTCAAGGTACCCTAAGCCACCATAGAGAATTCACAAGGGCACTGCAAGATATTTTAACCTTTTGAGGGAATCACAGCAATGTACAACATCTATCAGACACCAAACATACTAGCAGCTCAAAATAGTTCCGTTTTAACATCAGATCATGTTACATACCTTTCAGTGACTTCTTATCCTTGCAAAGCTAGGTTTTGGCAGTTGCTCTCATAAAAAGCAAGTATCCCATGAAAATCAATGTAGCAAACACGATTGCAAGTATCCAATCTGATCCCAAGGTTTGGTAAGTGGTGCAGTACACAATAGGCATATCTCATTAAGTAACTGGCTATTTAAAAATGAAATAAGGCCAGGCATGGTGGCTCACACCTGTAATCCCAGCTCTTTGGGAGGGAGGCCGGGTGGATCACTTGAGGTCCAGAGTTGGAGACCAGTCTGGCCAACATGGTGAAAACCCATCTCTACTAAAAATAAAAATTAGCTGGCCGTGATGGTGCACACCTGTAATCCCAGTTACTCAGGAGGCTAAGGCAGGAGAATCACTTGAACCCAGGAGGTGGAGATTGCAGTGAGCTGAGATTGTGCCACTGCACTCCAGCCTGGGTGACAGAGCAAGACTCCATCTCAAATAAATAAATTAATTTAATTTTTTAAAAAAATTAATGAAATAAATTTTTTTTTCTTTCAATTCATTTGTGTACCTTGTTTCAAGCAACCTACTAAATCATTAAGACAAAAATACTTTCTAAACTGCTTTGGACCTAAAACTAACAAAAGAAACTATTAGATATTCCTTTTGGTCTAGGGTCATCATGAAAAAATTACTGAGTTACTAAGGGTGCAGTGAACTGAGAAAATTTGAGAAGCTGTGTTCTAAGGGAACACTAATGGAAAGGGAAAGGCTCTGGAAATTGATTTTCTATCAAAATAATGATTTGGCACTCTACTTGAATCATAAAACAAATACAGGTTCTTAGGATAACAAAATTTCTTCTTTAAAAAAACATTTTCTTCCACAAGTGTTATACTTTTCTCTCTCTTGTGGATATATGCTCTCTCATCTGAGACTTTTGCAAGGTAGTAGCTTATAATTTTAAATTTTTCTTTTATTTTTAATTAAGTTTATTTTTAAAATTTACTCACTTTTCCAGATTTCTTTATAATATTCCCTGTTGTTCCAGAAAGGATTTAAAAGGGCTCACAAGGATATACACACTACTACATGATAGCATATGTTGAGAGTGAGTGGAATGAGTGAATAAAGGCAAACAAAGGCAAAAACTAGTGCCTGTGTAAGAGCTTTGATGACTAAATTCTGAGAAGATATTGTACCTGCCTCCACTTGTAATTCAAAATCAAAACAGCACTAAACAATTAAAAATGTGTAGGAATGAGTTTTTGCTTGACAATGTTTTAATATTTAAAAAAAAACATAAAATTCTTTACAAAATATTGTTTGATACTTTTTCATTGATAGTGCTCAAATGTGTTTATTTTGAGAATTGAGTTAGCACTAACTGGGATATAAAATAGAGTCAAGAATTCATACCACAAAGCTACAAATAGTTCATAAATGTAACTCAAAACCTTCTAGATGTGAACATTTATGGTTAGCTACACAATTCACAGTGCTCATGATATAAATACAAATCAATTTCTACAAAGTTCAATTTGTTTTGATACATAGAACAAATAGCATTTCTCTTAAGTACACTCATAATAAGGATCCAGATTATGATAAACATCATCTTCAATCACAGTCTTATTGGAAACCATAATAAACTTCAGAGGGATGATTCTTATATAAATCCTCCATTTGGGTTGACATCACACCAAAGCAGCATGATTCAGCAAGGCCATTAGCCTCAGAGGGAAGCATGTTCACATGTTTTTATTCTTCAGTTCTACTATTTCATACCTAATATGATCAGTCATTGATGAGTTTTATATCACACTTCTCATTTGATTTTAATTTTTTAACTTCTATTTGTTTTTTTAATCAATGCTCCATTTTTAATCTTGATTCTTTTTCTGCATGTGAAAATACATAAAAATAATTTAACCAAATAATATGAACATTTAAAATTTGGCTTTCAGACATTTGCAATATAAATGGAATGAAAAACAAAAGTTGTGCTATGTGTCTCAAGGAAATGCCAGCTTTACTTATGGCTATGAGTACTTGGGCTGTACCTCAAGATTGGTTATTACGCCTCTCACAGACCGATGCTGGCTGACTCTCATGGAAGCACTACACTTGAATCTAGGAGGCTGTCCTGCCGGTCCAGCTGGTACAGGAAAAACTGAGACTGTCAAAGATCTAGCAAAAGTAAGTGGTTTCTGTATCCAGAATAAAAACTTTTTTCTTTTTCTGTCACACAAACTTTGATGTTATCTTAAATTTACACCATTCCTGCTATTAAGATGTTCATTGCATTAACAAGCACATTCATTAACTCACATATAATTAATTCATCAATGATGTTTTGAATGCCTATTGTGTGCTGGAGCTTAGAATCTCAATAAGCCAACATATGCTTTTTATTTAGTTGGAATACTACTTTACTGACTAACATGTGAATGATTAATATCATTGTGTGTGTGTGTGTGTTTGTGTGTGTATGTGTGTGTGAAAGAGAGAGAGAGAGAAAGTGAGACCGAAAGAGAGGGACAGAGAGAGACAGAAAGAGACAGAGAGAGAGAAAGACAGAGAAAAGCAGTAGTAGTTACTGATGAAAGCAAAGGATATAGTTTGTGACCTAGAATTTTTTCATAGTTTTTTATTCATAGATTTATGTAAAAACATGACCTTAATGCTCTATAAACTAATCAACTGAACTGTAACAGTATATGTACATTTATACTATTATATTGAGTTTTGTGAATCTCTAAATTTGATTTTTAATTCATCTCCATATTGCAAAGTTTTCTCAAAAGCATAAAGACATTTTATTACTCTAGCAGTTTTAACATTAGTATTTTGTGTCATAATTCAAGAAAGATACTAAAATATTTTTGTTTCCCAGTCCTTAGGCAAACATTGTGTGGTCTTCAACTGTTTTGAGGATTTGGATTATAAGGTAAACCTTAAACATATGTGTCAGGAAGAAATATTGTACACATAAAACATAAAACAATTCATTGAAGAATAAAAGAACAAGAAAAATATTTATCTGAGACAAACATCAAGTATTAACAGAACTTTAAATGCTGTTACTTCTTTTAAACTAATGGACTAGAAACCTAGAATGTAATAGAAATTTTAAACATATACGATGCTTTTATTCAGGTGAACTACTCCTTAAGACAGTGGTTTTCAAACTTTTTTCAACAGTTGGATTCTTTTCAATAAAAAAACTTACATGGAACATGAATATATAAAACAATTAAAGAGTACTGCTTTATTAACATACATTTATTTTAAGTCCTAACCCCATACATTTATTTACTGAAAAGGTAATCATTAAGACAAGATTATGATTAACACAAATATTTGAGTGTTTATATAGATAATGATTACAAGTTTGTCAGTCTTGTTTCGTTTGCACATTATCTGACATAACATTCTGAAATATGTCTCTTACAAATCTACTCAAAGTTTCAAAATACTGCAATTTGTTTTGCATGTTAAGTCCAAACATTCTACATTTTATTGTTGTCATTTTATTTGTGTTCAAAGCATATTACCTCTGAGATCCTGCATTTCCAATTTGTGCTCACTTAGTACGTTAAAAATATCAACATAAATAAGTTGATCAATTATTATTTTTAAGATACTTACCAAATAAGACTCTCTTGCCTCCTTCCTGGAAACCACTAGTGGGGCCTATGAGGGCTCCACATGAGTGAGGCCAAAAAGCCTGCTAATTAAAATAAATAATATTTAATGCAATATTTTAAAAGTCAAAATTAATGCCCCCAAACGTCCCATGAACAAAATACCAAAATTTTAAATTAAGACAAGATCTGATTCCTGCTGCTCAGTGGAAGGAACAATCTTCTACATCCTTCTCGGTCTGAGGCTCTCACTTACTCATTCCGATTCCCACTTCCTTTCCTCCTTGCCATACCTAGCAATAGAGTTCAGGCACCCCTCAACTTGCATTCAGCCCACAGAAGTTAGGCCTGTCAATATTTTTGTTTGTTTTGTTGCTTTGTTTTAGTTGCTAACATTTACAAACCAATAGATTTCAATCCCAGACTTGCAGCCTCTCACAGAACACTGCTGCACCTGGCCAGCCTGGGCCTGCACTCTGGCAAGTGGCAGAAGCCCAGCAGCAGCTGCGTGCTTTAGCTGGGCCCACTGCAGTCTTGCCTTATCTGGGCCTGTGGTTCAGTCTTTTGCATTGCCCATCAGCTGCCCGCCACTAAGCCATAAGGCATCTTTGCCTGATCCAGAAAAGGCAGCCCCCAGATTCACACACTTTACGCCCATCTGCCAGAAAGTTGTCCTGAAGACTCTGCCCCAGGGTGCAGCTGTGTGAGGGAAATGGCTGTCCAGGGAGGGATCTGGTACATCTCTGTGCAATCCGTCAGAAGCTGTGGCCCTGTCTTCACGGTCCCTGTGAGCATCAGAGTTTGCTCTGCTGAGTGGGCTTTTAGAAGCAAAAGGCAGAGTAGTTGACTTGTCTAGCATCTAAGCAGCTGCTGCTTTCAACCCTATAAAAATGCCTAGGAGGGGGAAATGCAAAAGGCCTTTGCTTGGTTTGGGTAGCATGGGGAGAACACATACAAATTAATATCCCAGTAAATTTTCTCACCATTATAATAATTTTAGTAATCAATCTCTTTTTTTTTTTAAAAGATAGTGAGAAAATTTTTCTTTGGACTAGTTCAGTCAGGAGCATGGAGTTGTTTTGATGAATTCAATCTAATTGATTTGGAAGTTCTCTCTGTCATTGCCTCACAGATCCTAACAATTAAGGCTGCAAAAGACAACTATTCTGCCAGGTATTTGTCGAATGTGTTTATACCTTTTGAATTGAAATCTGATACACACTTAATGTTTAGTTAATTATTGTTAAATATTTTCCCCAATAAGTGTTTAGGTCTTTGGGGTGTTTTTTTTTTAAAGCACATACCAAAAGGAATGGCAGTTACCTTGAATGTTTCCATTACTTGGCAAATAATGTGAATATATTTATAACTCTAACTTTCAGGCCAACTTAGAAGTACCCAAATTCTTGCCCAAGCTTTGGAACAGTCTCCTGAGCTACCAGGACACTGATGCAAATATATTTTAATTTTTTTTCAGCTTAAATTTTCATATTATCTTTTTATCTTAGAATATTGCATTTGAAGAACCCAAACAAATGCTGCTTTTTTTATTTCCACATTTTTTAAACCTTTCTTTTAAGTTCAGGGGCACATGTGCAGATTTGTTATATAGGTAAACTGGTATTATGGGGATTTGATGTACAGATTATTTAATCACCCAGGTATGAACTAGTATCCATTAGTAAATTTTTCTGATTGTCTCCCTCCTCCCACCTTCCACCCTCCAGTAGGCCCTAGTATCAGTTGTTCCTCACTATAAGTCCATGTGTTCTCATCACTTAGCTCCCACATACAAGTGAGAACATGAGGTATTTGGTTTTCTACTGCATTAATTTGCTTTGGATAATGGCTTCCAGTTCCATCCATGTTCCTGCAAAGGACATGATCTCATTCTTTTTTATGGCTGCATAGTATTCCATGGTGTATATATACCACATTTTCTTTATCCAGTCTACCATGGGTGGGCATTTGTGTTGATTCCATGTCTTTGCTATTGTGAATAATGCTGCAATGAACATACCCAGGCATGTGTCATTATGATAGAACAATTTGTATTCCTTTGGGTATATAGCCAGTAATGGGATTGCTGGGTCAAATGGTAGTTCTGTTTTTAGGTCTTTGAGGAATCGCCACACTGTCTCTCACAATAATGGAACTAATTTACACTCCCACCAACAGTGTATAAGTGTTCCTTCTTCTCTACAACCTTGTGAGTACCTGTTATTTTTTGACTTTTTAGTGATAGCCATTCTGACTGATGTGAGATAGTATCTCATTGTGGTTTTGATTTGCTTTTCTCTAATGATCAGTAATGTTGAGCTTTTTTTTTTTTTTTTTTTTTTTGAGTCGGAGTCTCACTCTGTTGCCCAGGCTGGAGTGCAATGGCACAATCTCAGCTCACTGCAGCCTCCGCCTCCCGGGTTTAAGCAATTCTCCTGCCTCAGCCTCCTGAGTAGCTGGGATTACAGGCATGTGCCAGCATGCCCGGCTAATTTTTGTATTTTTAGTAGAGATGGGGTTTCACCATGTTGGTCAGGCTGGTCTCAAACTCCTGACCTTGTGATGTGCCCTCCTTGGCCTCTCAAAGTGCTGGGATTACAGGCATGAGTCACTGTGCCCAGCCTGAGCTTTCTTTTTTGTATGCTTGTTGCCTGCATATATGTCTTCTTTTGAAAAGTGTCCCTTCATGTCCTTTGCCCACTTTTTAATAGAGTTGTTTGTTTTTGCTTGTAAATTTGTTAAAGTTGCTTATAGATTCTGGATATTAGGCCTTTGTCAGATGCATAGTTTGCAAAAATTTTCTTCCGTTCTGTGGGTTGTCTGTTTACTCTGTTGATAGTTTCTTTTGCTTTGCAGAAACTCTTTAGTTTAACTAGATACCATTTGTCAATTTTTGCTTTTGTTGCAATTGCTTTTGTCAATTGAAAGTTTTCATCATGAAATCTTGGCCCATTCCTATGTCCAAAATGGTACTGCCTAGGTTGTCTTCCAGGGTTTTTATAGTTTTGGGTTTTACATTTAAGTCTTTAATCCATCTTGAGTTGATTTTTGTATATGGTGAAAGGAAGGGGCCCAGTTTCAATCTTCTGCATCATTTGTTGAATAGGGAGTGTTTTCTCCATTGAGTTTGTCATGTTTGTCAAAGATCAGATGGTTGTATGTGTGCAGCCTTATTTTGGGGCTCTCTATTCTGTTCCATTGGTCTATGTGCCTGTTTTTTGTACCAGTACCATGCTGTTTTGATAATAACTGTAGCATTGTAATATAGTTTGAAGTTGGGTAATGTGATGCTTCCAGCCTTATTCTTTTTGGTTAGGATTGCCTTGGCTTTTCAGACTCATTTTTGTTTCATATGAATTGTAAAATAGTTTTTTTCTAATTCTGTGAATTAAAATGTCACTGGTAATTTGATAGGAACAGCATTGAATCTATAAATTGCACTGGACAGTATGGTCATTTTAGCAATATTGATTCTTCCTATCCATAAGAATGGAATGTTTTTCCATTTTCCATTTGATCAGTGTTTTGTAGTTTTCCTTAGGAGAGATCTTTCATCTCCCTGGTTAGCTGTATTCCTAGGTATTTTATTGTTTTTGTGGCAACAGTGAATGGGATTGTGTTCCTGATTTGGCTCTTGGCATGGCTGTTGTTGGTGTGTAGGAATGCTAGTGATTTTTGTGCATTGATTTTGTATCCTGAGACTTCACTGAAAGAAGCTTTTGGGCCATGATGATGGGTTTTTCTAGATATAGAATCATGGCATCTGCAAACAGGGATAGTTCGACTTCCTCTCTTCCTATTTGGATGCCCTTAATTTCTTTCTCTTGCCTGATTGCTCTGGCCAGAACTTCCAAGACTATGTTGAATAGGAGTGGTGAGAGAGGGCATACTTGTCTTGTGTCAGTTTTCAAGGGAAATGCTTCCAGTTTTTGCCCATTCAGTATGATGTTGGCTGTGAGTTTGTCATAAATGACTCATTATTTTGAGGTATGTTCCTTCAATACCTAGTTTATTGAGAATTTTTAACATGAAGGATGTTGAATTATATCAAAAGCCTTTTCTGCATCTATTGAGATTATCATTTTTTTGTCTTTAGTTTTGTTTATGTAATGAATATATTTATTGATTTGCATATATTGAACCAACCTTGCACCCCAGGCATAAAGCCTAGTTGATCGTGGTAGATAAGGTTTTTGATGTGCTGCTAGATTCGATTTGCCAGTATTTTGTTGAGGATTCTTTCACTGATGTTCATGAAGGATATTGGCCTGAAGTTTCTTCTTGTTGTTGTGTCTTTGCCAGGTTTTAGTGTTAGGATGATGCTGTTCCCATAGAGTGGGTTACAGAGGAGTCTCTCCTCCTCAATTTTTGGAATATTTTCAGTAGGAATGGTACCAGCCAGCTCTTCTTTGTATATCTGGTAGAATTTGGCTGTGAATCTGTTCGATCCTGGGCCTTTTTTGGTTGGTAGGCTATTTATTACTGATTAAATTTTGGAGTCCATTATTGGTCTGTTCAGGGCTTCAACTTCTTTCTGGTTCAGCCTTGGGAGGGTGTGTGTGTTTAGGAATTTATCCATTTCTTCCAGATTTTCTAGTTTGTGTGCCTAGAGGTGTTCATAATATTATCTGATGGTTATTTGTATTTGTTTCCACATACATTTTTTTTTTAAGGCAGACATCTCACTCTGTTGCCCAAGCTGGAGTGCAGTGGCATGATCTCGGCTTACTGCAACCTCTGCCTCCCGGGTTCAAGCAATTCTCATGCTGGTATTACAGGTGGTGCCACCACACCTGGCTAATTTTTGTATTTTTAGTAGAGGTGGGGTTTTACCATGTTGGCCAGGCTGGTCTCAAAATCTTGACCTCAGTGTGATCTGCCCGCCTCAGCCTCCTGAAGTGCTGGAATTACAGGCATGAGCCACCACACCCAGTGAGATAAAAAGCAAAGTGGGTATACTGGCCACATACCTGAAGAGCCCTCTTGTCTTATTACTCTGAATTAATGTGCTTTTATTGAAAAGCTCTGTAATAACAGTATTTATTAGTATTACTAATGTTTAGCAATAAAAGCAAAAATTTTTTCTCTTTAGGTAATTTTAATACTCATATGATTTATGGACATATAAAATTGTATCATAATCTAATATTTCTAATGCAAGCTAATGGATACTAACTTGTGGCTTTCCTCTCATGGATTTTGTTCAAACTGTTAAAGCTAGTATTACAGGACTCATAAATCTGTGGATATAGTTGGGGGTGGGGGGGTCACAGTAACATTTCACTGACTCTTCTACACCTCATCCTCTGCAAAGTTTTCCCCATTTATGTCCAGAGAGTTCCCCAGGTTTTGTCCCAATTGTTTTCCTGTTTTCACCACCCTCTTTGGTATCAGCTGTCCAAGAAATCACTGTAGGATTTCTCCCATTGTCTCTACCACTGATGCTGATTGTAAGACACTGATGTTCATGCCAAGCATTCTATCTCATAGTGGTCCCAAAGTTTTTAAACTGGGGCTAGGGACACTTGGGAGACAGGCTGTGTTCCATGCTGAAGCAGGATATCTGTGCTGTGCCCCATTCTGTGTTCTACTATATCTTCCAGGCAGAGCTCTTTTATTCCCTAAGTGTCTCCCAGGTTCCTTTTACTATGTAAGTCAACTCATTCAGCTAGGTATCTTCCAGCCTCAGGTCCCAGAAACATCTTTGGACATAATCAAATACATCTGAATCCCAGCAGGGATGACAACTTTGGCTCAGCATGAGCCTCCTATTTCTTCTTTTTTCTCTCACCATTGTTTTTTCCAGTGTGCTCTGTTTGCATTTAAATGTAACACAGCCTTAATAAAGCTTCCAAACTCACTTATAGTTTTAACATGCTTTGGACTAGAGAAAACAGTGCTAGTGATGAATACTGTAATGTCTTTTAGGTTTGTACTGGAAGGAAAAGAAATTCGTATCAATATGTCTTGTGCGGTATTTATCACCATGAATCCCAGGTAAGTATCAGTAAATCTAGTGGGAATAGACACAGACAAAAATCATTTTCTTAAATCTTATCTACAGATGGAGTTGCTTGACATTTGCATCTATCCATATATCTGTCTCCACCATCCTCTGAACACTTCCACTCCCAACACCATTTATGAACAGCTGCACTCTGCACCTGTTCATATGGATAAGGATAATCTCACATTCATTAAGCTACTGACATATTTTTACTTCATGAATACCAGAGAGAAAGGAAAAAGGGTCAGAAGTTTTTCACAAAGAGGACCCAGGCAGAAAAGCTGATGAGAGTGGCAGGAGGAATAAGACAATAGTGATTGCAGGGAGTGGAGGTTGAGCAGATTCAAAAATATCTGATTGAATGCTGTAATAGTCCAAGGAATCAGAGGGAACTAATATGAGGTCAATTGTGGGAGGAGGAACAGGAAGAAAATATGATAAACCAGGAAGCTCTGTAAGATGAAAGGTACAATAAAAACTATCTTGTAAACTAATTTTCAGATAAAGGTCACACAGAACACCAATATAATTATTTTGGGGAAAAGTATGTGATTCCTTATTTGAAAAATTGAGAAGTGGTGTTTTTATTGTTTGTTTTTCTTTTCCTCTTCAGATACGGAGGTGGAGTAGAGCTCCCAGATAACTTAAAATCTCTGTTTCGCCCAGTGGCAATGATGGTGCCCCATTATCAAATGATTGCTGAAATAATATTGTTTTCATTTGGTTTCAAATCTGCAAATTCACTCTCTGGAAAGCTAACTAACCTTTATGAATTAGCGCGCAAACAGCTCTCACAACAGGTAAATAGCTACTTTTCTCAAAATATTTAAAGGTGATTATATAAAAATAACCTTAAGTAATACTTTTCTGGATTGGTCCAGGGATGACCTGGGACTGTACCAAATAATGGAGCTAGAATTCCTATCAAAATAATGGAGCTAGAATTTCCATCAACATATAAAGTCCATATGTGAGCTTCATATAAGGCAAACTGTAAAATCAGTCAAGGTTCTAAGTCTTTCCTCCAAGATCTGGAAAGAGTGATTGAGCATTCGTTATTTTAAATTACGGACTATTTTTTTCCATACAAGGAAGTTAACATCTAGAGCGATCATTCTCAAACTTTATTGTATACCAGAATCATTTGGAGGATTTATTAAAACACAAAGTGCTGGGCCTTACTCCTGAGTTTCTAATTCTGTACTTCTGGTGTGGGGTTGGAGAATTTGTGTTTCTAACAAGTTTTAAACTGTTACTGATGCTGCTGATCTGGGTTCTACACTTTAACAATTATTGTTCTAGCATATGCCAGAGTATTTGTTGCTAATGCAAAATGGTTTGGACAGCTAACCACATTTTCTCCAAAAGTCCTCCTCTTTTAATTTTCTTTCAATTTATCTCATTCTAGTTCAGAGAAAACTTAATTCAGATACCGATATTTCTTAACACCTTTAATATTTGTTAGTCTTTAAGAGTGAGACTTTAGGAGCATCACTTTGGGAGATGAATGAGAGCATTAGCAGTATAACCAAGGGTTTTTTGGATTCATGTCACTGTTTCCCTGCAGAGCATAGATTACCTGTAATTTACCTATATACTGTGTGCATTTGTTTTCATATTTTTTCTTTAGAAACTTTAATAATTCAAATATTTTAATGTTTGATAGGATCATTATAATTTTGGCTTGAGATCTCTGAAGATAGTTTTAATAATGGCTGGAACGAAGAAACGGGAGTTTAAATGGTCAGTTGAATTTTGAATTGTTAGGTCAAAGGGAGTTATATACTGCTGGGAAAATAATTTGTAGAATTACGGGTGATGATGCCAAGTTAAAACAGGGAGCCCCGCAGACTGTCATAGTAAAGTAAGGCAGAGATTATTTAAGAATATGAAAGAAGAGTAAGAAAAAATGCACAAAATCGGAGTACTTTTCCCCAATAGAGAGCCTATTCTTTAAAAAAAAGTGTTTTACATAATAAAAGATATAATGGAAAAAAAGACCTCATTTAGAAGAATAATAACTCAATGAGAAATGTAAAGACTATATGAATATACCTATGTGACAGATGTGTAAAACTCAAATGAGGAAAACTTAAAACAGGATTGAAAGAAATGAAAATGTATTTAAATGAAATAATATACCACATTAATAAAATCATAACATCTTAAAGGACTTAACATCATAATGATTTAAATACTCTAAACATTAATTTACGAATGGAAATGCAATCTCAGTAAAATATTAAAAGGATATTTAGTTTGTTAATTTGCTTATTTTTGGGCAAGCTGGTCCTAAAGTTCACATGGAAAAATGAGTCTAGCTAGAAAAATATTAAAAAGCAAGAGTAATGAAGGGGAGATATCCCTTTATGTATTAAGACATATAACAAAGCTTCAATAATTAAAACACTGTGGTACTGGCTCATGAGTAGAAAAGCAAACCATTGGAACAGTATAGAAAATAGAACTATATGCTTTGGGCATTTATTATATCAAAAATCCATGGGGAAGAATAGACTTTTTAATGAATGCTTTTGGGAAAACTAAACAGCCATCAGGATAAAGATCAAGTTGCAACCATTGTCCACATCATTTACTAGGATAAACTCTAAAAGGATAAAATAATTTAAATGTAAAAAATTTAAATGTACTTGAAGAAACATATGTCCTTTTTTCTTGGAGTACGGAAGATCTTTAAAACTAAGACTCTAAATCTAGAAGCCACAAAAAAAAAGATTTATAAATGGTCAAAAATACATTTTTTGAAGTCAAAAGACAATTGATAAACTAGGGAAAAAATTGTAACTCATATTACACATAGCTTATCCTCTTAATATATAAAGATTTTCTAGACATTTGGGGAAAAAATCAACAGGAAAATGGGCAAAGGACATCAACAGATAGTTCTTGGAAAAAGAAATATGAAAGTGCCTTAAATATATGAAAATACACTCAACCCCACACGTAATGAAAGAATGCAAATTAAAATGACACTGAAATTCTGTTTTTCACTTAACAGATGGACAAAAATATAAAGTTGGGCAAAACCTTGGTGAAACTATAGGGAAGCAGACATGCTTTTTCCTTTCTGGGTAGAAAGGAACAAGATATACCTTTTCATATTGGTATGATTGGGGCTATATTCATGTACTGCCTATTTAAAATTGAAAAAAAGATGAATATGTTGCAAAAGGATCTATCAACATGATAACTGTTTCCCTTTTAAAACATAATAATATGGATTGCTGACAGATACATACACATGTAATAAGTATAAAAAGGGAGCAAAGGATAGGGGATAAAGCTATAATTATTTATTTCTTAAAAATAAAAGAACTGAGGCATATATTGCAAAATGGCCTGTATAATATTGATGGCATGTAAATAGGCGTCTGTTGTTAAATGTTTTATGATTTTTTAACAAAGATAAATAGCACTCATATATGAAACCCAAGTATAGCTCCCTGATATCCTCAAGTCCTCTGGATTTTATAGTCCTGTAGTCACCTAGTTCTTTACGTAAGTATTTCAGTGAAAGTAGTACTGCTCTCCATTCAAAGCACTTGATTTTCTTCAAATGACAGGAAATCTAAAGTTTGCATGGGCACCCTTCAATTAGAGTTTCCATTTCCAGTATACAGGAAACTGTCTCCTGCCACTGAAAGCAGCTCCCTTCTCTCTAGTCTGTGCTGCCCTAAATGTGACAGCCCCATTTCTTTGATTCCTTTAAAGCACCACAGAAGCCATGTGATTGACTTCTGTGGTGCTTTATTTTAAGAGGATGAAGATGACTGTATTTTAAGAGGGTTGATGAATTTTTTGTTATCAGAGTAAAGCACAGTGAACAACCAAAAAATTAATATTAGACAATTTTGCTTTTTAAAAGTTTCTTTGACCTTCGTGACACCAAAATAATAATTATTGTTCTTTCCTGTTTCCTCTTCCCGTCCCTGTCCCTTCCTTTCCTTCTATCCCACCCTATTCTTCCTAAGGCCTCTGACCTTATTTCTTAGCCACCCAAGAATACTACAGATTTGTCTCATTTCCCTGGCATAGTAATTCATCCCTCCCTTTTTTTTCTACTTTCTCTTTATAAATCATGTTGGAAGAACCTAATGTTAATTCTCAAATATACTTTCAGGGTGTTTAAATTAAAATGGAAAGCAGTGTATTAATTTCCTTGGGCTGCCTTATAAAGTTATGACAAAGTTGTGTCTTAAAAAAACAGAAATGTATTTCCTCACAGGACCTGCGGCCAGAAGTCTGACATCCAGGTTGTGGGCAGGGTTGCTTACTCTCCAGAGACTCTTGGGCAGATTCCATTTCTTGCCTCCTCCAGCTTCTGGTGGTTGCCTGCATTTCCTGGCTTACGACCACAGCACTCTAATCTGTTATTGTTCCGTCAAATTACAGGAAATGTAACATTTTCAAATAGTCACTAAAGTAACATAACCTCAGCTCTAGTCAATCAGTGTATGGCAGTCACTTGGACACAATGACTCAAAGGTAGACACACTGTCACATCACCTACTCCTCTGTGTGTCCCTGCATCTCTCTGTCTCTTATTAGGATACATGTGATTTTATTTACATCTGGATACTCTAGGATAAACTCCTCTTAAAATTCTTTTTTTTTTTTTTTTTTTTTTTGAGACGGAGTCTCGCTCTGTCGCCCAGGCTGGAGTGCAGTGGCGGGATCTCGGCTCACTGCAAGCTCCGCCTCCCGGGTTCACGCCATTCTCCTGCCTCAGCCTCCCAAGTAGCTGGGACTACAGGCGCCCGCCACTACGCCCGGCTAATTTTTTTGTATTTTTAGTAGAGACGGGGTTTCACCGTTTTAGCCGGGATGGTCTCGATCTCTTGACCTCGTGATCCGCCCGCCTCGGCCTCCCGAAGTGCTGGGATTACAGGCGTGAGCCACCGCGCCCGGCCTTAAAATTCTTAATCACCTCTTTTGCCATATTAAATAATATTCAGATTCTGGGGATTAAAAAGTGAATATGTCTTTGTAGGGGGCATTTTTTTTCTTTTAAGGGAAAAAGGCAGTTTTCTCCCTCTTTCCTTTAAAATAATTTTCCAAATCTTTTTGTTTAGAAAACAAACTAATTATCCAACAGCTGAAGTCCTAGGACCCTTGTGGTAGGAAAGATTTTCTTGGCAACATCTAGAGAATTAACATCTCTCCAAGTATACACTTAAAAGATTTATAGTCCTTAACACAATATTGGGCCACAAAGTGGGTCTCAACTAATTCCAAAAAAGTGGTATGATGAAGACAATCATAATGGGTACAACAAGGTTACATTAGCTATCTTACGCTTAAATTTTAGTTAGATGTTGACATTAATCTAAAGCTTTCATTATTTATTCTTAAATTATGACAGATAGACCCATTGGTAATTTCGCATGCCATTTCCAAAATTACTCTTTTGTAATATTTTAATGAAGTGTTACCTTTGTCCAATAACAGAATATTGTAACAATATTATAATATTTTATTTAAGCTATTTTCTCTCCATATCTATATTTAACACTTGCCCTACTACCAGACATATTGGTCATCCCTGATTTTTTTCATTTTCCTTTAAGATAAAGCAAGATCTGTCTTGAAAAAAATATTAAAAGGCCATTGTCATTCCCTAGGACCCCAAAAATAAAGTCTGGAACCCTTTTTTGCTCTGATGTGGCCCCCTCCCTTTGACTTCAAGTGGACTCTTGCCCTCTCTTTGCCAAAATACATTCAGAAGAAAGACTCAGCGAGGTATTCTCAGGGAAATGTAAATGACTAAAGTCAATTCCAACCCGCTATAACTCTCCCATTGTAATAATGGAGTGGTTATAGGAATACAATGAGTACAAAATCACAGATAGGAGGAATTTTTTCAGTTGTATTGCAGTTTAAGGTGACTATATATAGTTAACAGTATTGTATATTTCAAAATAACCTGAAGAGAAGATTTTGAATATTCTCCTGACAAAGAAATGATAAATGTTTGGACACCTTTGCAGGAAACAGTTTTCTTCCTTTCTATCTCTAATATGGTATCATAGCATGTGTAGTTACTTTTTTTTCTTTTGATTACATGTTTAATATATACAATATATACTGTAGTGTTTAGTATATGAAATATTGTTATTATAGAGTAACATATGTAGTATAACTTATATTAGTATGCTTTTGTTAAAATTAACAGAAAACTCAATTTGGCTTAAATAGTAGAGGGAACTGTTGTTTTATCCAATCAGAAAATCCAGAGATGGGGCAGGGTGTGATTGCTTTGATTAAGGTTTCAGTTTAATTTGTCTGAGATATTCTCAGTACTGCAGTCCTCCATACACTGGCTTGATTTCAGGCTGGCTTCATTTTTGGTGGCAGGACACCTTCTAATAATAACTGGGGCTGTCCATATTACTGAACTAAAGGCCTGAACTTTACTCGAGTGGACTCGTCGCTTGTCTACCCTTGAGTCACCGTGTCCAAGTGACTGCCATACACTGATTGACTAGAGCTGAGGTTATGTTACTTTAGTGAATATTTGTTATGCCATATACTTGATTTTCCAAACTCTCTTGTAACTGTGGCTTTGACACACAACCTTGGCAAGTCAGACACAGCTGCATTAGAATCTGAACCTGAATCTAGTGAAAAAAGAATATTCACAGAGTCCATTTTGCTGAGGGTGACAGCAGTGGCAGTAGCTATAGCCATTTACCAGAAATAGCAGAGGCAGTGAGCAGTTCCAGTGCCAGCATCAGTCATGTATTGGTATGACAGTCACTGCTATCTGGATCCATTGATGATGGCAGACATGTTTTCATAAGACCAGTTCTGTAGATGATTTTGGCCATTGTTCCCAGCTGGATAGCTTGCAAGCCTAGTTCTGGCCCTCCTAGAGATTTTTAAATAAATCAGTATGTTATTTTTTATTTTACATTAGCCTAAATTCATTTCTTTTATTTGCAGCTAAAAACCTTTACTGATACAGTACCTTTCTCTGATTCAATGTCTGGGGATTGGTGTTGCTCTTATTGTTCTAGACCAGTCAGAGCCTATTTCTGGAGCTGGGGATCTGATTAATTCCACCCAAACCATATGGCTGCTATCCAGTGAGAGAGAGGAGGGAAGGACATTGGGATAGCCACCCCTAAAACAGAATGTTAATGGTCTTCAGTGTCTGCAGAGCAGACTCCCTAATTTGTTCTCTGTGTTTGTTTTCTTCTACCATTGAAGTGATACCAGTGACAGTCTTTCTGAAGCAGATGAAACCTTGATTGTTATCGAGGCTATAAGAGAAGCTAGTTTGCCAAAATGTCCTCCTGAAGATGTCCCACTTTTTGAAAATATTATAGGAGATATTTTTCCAGAAGTGACAGTTTTGAAAGTAAATCAACTTGCCTTGGAGGTAAAAAGACCTTTGAAAATCATCACCAATTATTTGGATGTGGAATATCAATTAAGAAACTAGATGTGGATTAAAAATATTACAGTTCTTCCTAAATTCTTTATTCATGTTATAATTGAGGGGATAAAAATACTTGGAGATATATAGTGCCCCTTGGGGAAAAAAAGAGCTTTCAGTATATTATGTCCTAATGGAAATAAGAATGAACCATGTACCTTTAGGCAAGGATGATCATTATATATTTTGTTTCTCAATTTTTTCATCTTTTGAAATGAGGATAATAGTGTCTGTTCTTCCCACTTTGAAAGGGTGCCTAGAGAATCAAATTAGATCAGCATTATGAAAAAACTTAAATTGTAAATATTCTGTAATTATTAAAATTACATATTATAATGACAAAGTCCTTTATTGTTTCTCTTATATCTATAGCCTCACAGTCATTGCCTTAATCTAGGTAAGAACTCAATGTCTCTTGTTAATATTTTTACATAGCTTCCTACCACACCCTGCATTCCAGTATTTTCCCATATGGCCACCAGAGTTGTTTTCCTAAAATATACATTTGACCACGTTAGCAAAGCAACTGTTGGCTTAATGTTGTCTGCAGTACAAAATTGAAATTAAGTATTTTAACATATAATGCCCTTCACAATCTGGCTGGACAGGTTGTCTTTTCAATATATCCTGTTCTTCCTTCCTCTGTCTCTTCCTTTCTTCCCTGTTCTTTCTACCTTGAGCTTCTGTTCTCTGACTTTTCCAGGATTTTATCAGGTGTCAGGCCATTAAACATGTTGATTCCTTTCCCTGAAATCCAACCTGTCTTCAAAAAAATACTTTTAAAATTTATTTAGAAAACAAACCACTTCATAATTATTTGTTCTTTAAATATAACTAATAGGCTATGTACATAACTTTATACACAACAAGCACAGAATTCATATTATTTCTGAGCACACATGAAAAACTTACACACACAGAAAGACCATTTATTAGGTGATGTAGGAAAGTTTGAAAATCTCCCTTGAAAACCATCTGGACCAGGAGTTATGAGAGGATGGCTCTTTCATGGTTCTAATCTGTGAAATTAAATCTAAAATTTATGAATTTAAAATTTATATCTCTTCTAGTATCAATTTTGTTAAACAAGATAGATACTCCCATTTCATTCAAGTTTTAAAATATAGAGTTCAACAAACCACTATCTTAAGATTCTTTCAGTTTCATGTTTCTGAGATTATTTGCTCAGTCATTTCTTATTTTCCTAATTTGTGTCTTCTTCCTTGATTGCATTGTCTGTTTATCTGATATATTATTTTTTTCTCAAAAAACTAGCCTTCTTTCTGTTCACTTAATATATCTTTTTCTGTTTCCAAACTCTTTGGTATCTGTTTTAAACTTTTAAAATATCCTTGTTCTTCTGGGTTTTGTTTCTATTCTGTTTCCAGCTTTTTTAGTAAGAAGTCTAATTCATTTGTTTTCTTCTTCCTTTTACTAATATAAGCTTATAAGATTTTCAAATTCCCTCTAAGTGCTGCTTTAGTTATATATACTGTAAGTTCAGATATGTAGGAATTTCATAGTCATTTTCATATTCGTATTCATCCTGTTGTGATGTCAAATACTAGGTCTTATTCATTCTATTTTTTTGTGCACATTAACCATCCCCACTTTCCTCCCACTCCCCCACTACCCTGCCCAGCCTCTGGTAACCGTCCTTCTACTCTGTGTCTCCGTAAGTTTAATTGTTTTTATGTTTAGGTTGCACAGATAAGTGAGAGCATGCAATGTTTGTGTTTCTGTGCCTGGCTTATTTCACTTAACATAATGACCGGTTCCATCTATGTTGTTGCAAATGACAGGATCTCATTGTTTTGTATGGGTGAATAGTGTTTTTGTGTGTAAGTACCACATTTTCTTTATCCAGTCATTTGTTGATGAACACTTCTGTTGCTTCCAAATCTTGGCTATTGTGAACAGTACTGCAGCAAACATGCAGATATGTCTTCGATATCTGATTTTCTTTCTTTGGGGTGTATACCCAGCAGTAGGATTGCTGGATAATATGGTAGCTCTGTTTTTAGTTTTTTGACCAACCTCCAAATTGTTCTCCATAGTGGTTGTACTAATTTACATTTTCAACCACAATGTATGAGTGTTCCCTTTTCTCCACATCCTCACCAGCATTTGTTATTGCCTCTCTTTGGATATAAGCCATCTAACTGGGGTGAGATGATATCTCATTGTAGTTTGATTTGTATTTCTCTGATGATCAATAATTTTGAGCACCTTTTCATTACCCATTTGCCATTTCTAAGTCTTCTTTTGAGGAATGTCTATTCAAATCTTTTGTCCACTTTTTATTGGATTATTAGATTTGCTCCTATAGAATTGTTTGAGCTCCTTATATATTCTGGTTACTAATTCCATGTCAGATGGGTAGTTTGTAAATATTTTCTCCCATTCTGTGGGTTGTCTCTTCACTTTGTTGATTGCATCCTTTGCTGTGCAGAAGCTTTTTAACTTCATGCGATTCCATTTACCCATTTTTGCTTTGGTTGCCTGTGCTTGTGGGGTATTACTCAAGAAATTTTTGCCCAGACCAATGTCCTAGACATTTTCCCCAATGTTTTCTTGTTAATAGTTTCATAATTTGAGGTCTTAGATTTAAGCCTTTAATCCATTTTTATTTGATTTTTATGTATGACAAGAGATAGGGGTCTAGTTTCATTCTTCTGCATATGGATATCCAGTTTTCCCAGCACCATTTATTGAAGTACGTTCCTGACACCTTTGTTGAAAATAAGTTCACCACAGGTGTGTGTATTTGTTTCTGGGTTTTCTGTTTTGTTCCGTTCGTCTGTATGGATATTGGTCTGTGTGTCTATTTTCTGGTCTTTTCCATTGGTCTGTGTGTCTATTTCTCTGCCAAGACCATTCTATTTGGGTTGCTATAGCTCTGAGGTATAATTTGAAGTCAGGTAATGTGATTCCTCCAGTTTGTTCTTTTTGTTCAGGATAGCTTTGGCTATTCTGGGTTGTTTGTGATACCATGTAAATTTTAGAATTGTTTTTTCTATTTCTGTGAAGAATGTCATTGGTATTTTGATAGGACTGCATTGAATCTGTAGATTGTTTTGGGTAATATGAACATTTTAACAATATTGATTCTTGGAATCCATGAACATGGAATAGCTTTCCATTTTTTGTTGTCTTCTTCAATTTCAGTGTTTTATAGTTTTCATTATAGAGATCTTTCACTTCTTGAGTTAATTCCTAGGTATTTAATTTTATGTGTAGCTACTATAAATGGGATTACTTTTATTTCTTTTTCAGGTCGTTCTCTGTTGGCATATAGAAATGCTACTGATTGGCCAGGCGTGGTGGCTCACACCTGTAATCCCAGCACTTTGGGAGGCCAAGCCAAATGGATCACTTGAGGTCAGGAGTTCGAGACAAGCCTGGTCAACATGGTGAAACCTTGTCTATACTAAAAATACAAAAAATTAGCGGGGCGTGGTGGCACATGCCTGTAATCCCAGCTACTGGGGAGGATGAGGTGGGAGAATCGCTTGAACCTGGGAGACAGAGGTTGCAGTGAGCCAAGATTGTGCCACTGCACTCTAGCCTGGGAGACAGCATAAGACCCTATCTCAAAAAAAAAAAAAAAAAAAAAAAAAGGAAAAAGAAATGCTACTGATTTTTTATTTTTGTGTGTTGCTTTTGTATCCTGCAACCTTACCGAATTTGTTTATCAGTTCCAATTGTTTTTTGGTAGCGTCTCCAAGTTTTTCCAAATATAAGATCATATCATCTGCAAGCAATGATAATTTGACTTCTTCCTTTCCAGTTTGGATGCCCTTTATTTCTTTCTCTTGTCTGATTGCTCCAGCTAAGACTTCCAGTGCTATGTTGAATAACAGTGGTGAAAATGGGCACACTTGTTGTGTGCCAGATCTCAGAGAAAAGGCTTTCTGTTTTTCCCAATTTAGTGTGATACTAGCTGTGGGTCTGTCATGTGGTTTTATTGTGTTGAGATATGTTCCTTCTATACACAGTTATTTGAGGATTTTTATCCAGAAGGATGATGAATTTTATCAAGTGCATTTTCAGCATCAATTGAAATGATTATATGGTTTTTGTCCTTCATTCTTTTGACGTCATGTATCCCATTGATTGATTTGTAATATGTTGAACTATTTTTGTATCCCTGGGATAAATCTGACTTGGTCATAATGAATAATTTTTAAATGTTTTGTTGAATTTGGTTTGCTAGTATTTCATTGAGAATTTTCATGTCAATGTCCATCTGGAATATTGGCCTATAGTCTTCTTTTTTTGATGTGTCTTTGTCTGGTTTGGGTATCAGGATAACACTGGCCTTGTGGAATTAGTTTGGAAGTATTACCTCCTCCTCTATATCCTGCAATTTATATATTTAGCCTTTTGCATGTATCAGGGTTTCCTATATTACCTAATAAATGGTCTTTTTTTAGTGTTTAATGTATGCTAAAAAATAATATGTTCTGTGCCTATTGGGTATAAAGTTATAAACAAGTATATATAGGCTATTAATTGTATTTTTCAGAGATTTGATGTCTCTAATTCTTTATTTATCCATCTGTTTCTGCAGGAGGTATGTTAAGATTTTAACTAAATCACTGAGATAGCTATTTCTTCTGCACATCTGTCAGTTGTTGTTGTTGTATATACTTTAAAGTTGTAAGTTATATATGTATTCCTATCTTCTCACTCTTTTATCAGCCTCCTATATCCCTCTTTGGCCCACTGGTGATTTCTTGTCTTAATATCTATTCAGTCAGATAATAAAATTTTATCCAATTTTTTGATGCTAGGTTTATCTTCAAAAGTTCTTTTTCCATCCTTTTGTTTTTCAAACTTTCTATATCTTTGTTTGAACTGTCTATCTTATAGGACATATATTGATGGCCTTTGTTTTCTTATAATCAAATCTGTGATTATCTGTCCTGTATTTACTGATTTTTAACTTTTTCTATACAATGTATCCTGTTGTCTTAAGATATATTACTGTTATTATTGAATTTATTTTTGCCTCAGTATTTTCTCTCTTTTCCTGCTCACTATGGGGTAGATCGAGTTTTCTTCTTTGTTTGTTATATTTATTCTCTTTTAGCTGAAGACTGACATTCATGCCTCTTTTAGCTGATGCCTCTTTTAGCTGAAGACTGACATTCATCATTATTTGCCCCTAGGATCAAAATGTTTTCATATCTATATTTGTCCCTTTCAAGATAAGTACTTTAGTACACTCTTTGGTCTTCCCCACACTTCCACTCTCATTATGTTGATGCTATGTAGAATTATAATTCCTGGTTGTTATAGAAATGTTTTATCTCTCTTTTTTCCTTGGACTTCTGCACACTCCTGCTTGTGCTCTCTCTCTCTCTTTTAGAAAATAGTAAACTCATAAGAAATTGTTTCAAACTTACTTTTTATATCTATTATAGGCTTATCTTCAATTTATTCCTCTGTTTGAGTACTTCTTCCAAGAGAGTTCTCAGAGTAGGTTTTTGTGTAGCAAACCTTCTGAGAACTTTAATATTTGAGACTGTTTTTGATATACCCTCATATCTGAATGGCAAATTCATTATAAAATTCTAACTTTAAAGTTATTTTCCTTTAATATATTAAAATCTCTAATTCTTTAAAAATATTATTCCATTTTCCTGTTGCTCCAGGGTCACTCTGAAGAAGGTCAATGTCACTTCAATATTTATTATTTTATAGTGTATCTACTCTTTCTCTTCGTATGCCCTTAAAATTTTCACTTTGCCTTTAATGTTCATAATATCACTATAAATTCTCTAGTTGTGAGTTTGGTACTCTTTTAGCCCTTTTAATATATACTCTTTTATTTTTAGTTCTCTAAATTAACAGGAGTCTTAAACTGTGAGATCCTTTGTTTCACATGATTGAATGAGTTGGACTTTTCTGTTTCAAGAGTTTGCAGCATCCAAGCTCCAATAAAACTAAGCTTAGTTATTTTCTTAGTACTTACATGTGTTCTGGATTTTATAGATTTTGTTTTTTTTTTTTACTTGTTTGTTTGGTTGGTTGGTTGGTTGGTTGGTTGGTTTTTGAGACAGGGTTTCAGTCTGTCACCCAGGCTTGAGTGCAGTGACCTGTTCTCATCTCACTGCAGCCTCGACCTCGGGCTCAAGCAATCCTCCTGCCTCAGTCCCCCAAGTAGCTAGGACTACAGGCACCCACCACCATTCCCAGCTAATTTTTTTTATTTTTTGTAGAGACAAGGTTTTGCCGTGTTGCTCAGGCTGATCTCGAACTCCTGGGCTCAAGCCGTCCGTCTGCCTCAGCCTCCCAAAGTGCTGGGGTTACAGTAGTGAGACACCGCGCATGGCCTCATATTTTTTTATTTTAATGAAAATGCGATTTGATGTTTTTTTCCTTGTTGCTCTGTGAGATTTTCAGAAGTACAATAGATACTTGTCTTTAAACTGATGCCCATATTTTGAAGATTTTGATTTATATTTATATTTTGAGAATTTTCATTTTTTTTTAAGAAAATAAAAATATCAGTTGGCAAGTTTTGCTTTCTCTCCCTTTTATAAGTATTCTTGCATCTCTCTCTGGCAGGGCCTACAAACTTTCCGCTCTTCTCCAGTTGTAAGTTTTGGGTGCCTCTTGTGCTAGTTTTAACATTTTTCAAGTATTTCCACATGCCCATCAATGGTTTTACTTTTGAGCCTTCTTATATATTCATCTTTTCATCAGCTTTACAAGTCAGTATATGTGGCAGTCTGAGCTTATGGAAAAGTTTTCTATATAAACACACCAGTTTATTCAGCTACCCCATTTGTATTATACCCACATTTGTATAATTTTTACATTAATAACTATGCCAGCTGTCAACTGTTTAATAAATTGTTACTCACCAAATTGTAATATATGATTAATAGAAATATAGAAATATCACAAAGATCGTAATTTAAAATTATGATGGTTTTAATATTAAATTTGGAGTGATCCAATTTTTTATTTAATGTTGCATTTTTGATGGCTTACACAGTGACCAGCCATGTGTAACATACCCACATAGGAATATATCTTATTTAAAAATATTCTGTAGTTGTGCTATTTATACTATTTGCTCACTTGAGATACAAGAATCTGAATCACATTTAATAGGCAATTGTGATCTGTCTGACTTATTTACATATCTGTCTCTAACACATCCAAAGTGTGTGTCATTATCGCCAAGTAACTAAAAGATTAACTGAGAATTGTTGAAACCGCATCATTGAATAAGAACTACATATAGTTTGCCATCCAGCTGATTCTAAGGAACATCATATACAGCCACGAATATTTTATAGTAGGATTATGATTTTATTTCAAAACATTCCAAAGTAAGAAATTTGTGAAACTCATTAGCCAGGTGGGATAACCTGTCTGAGTATCTCTTTAATTATCCCAACCCTACGATCTGTGCATACAATGCTATTCTTATTCTATACCTATGTGATTTCTTGCTTATATTCAGGTAGGTATCTAGGCTTATGTTATTAACTGCAGAGGATTCATAAGTTCAGGCCTGAAGTGGGCAGTCTCATCAATTCCACTTAAGAGAGCAATTCCATTTGATCTTTTAAAAAATTCTGTCAACTGATTGCCTACCTCCAGTTATTGCCATAGAAGCTGCCTTTTTCTCCATTGTACAGTCCTACTGAGTATTTCCTTCACCTGCTTTGTTCTGTCTCAATGTAGGGATGCAAGGAATGAAAAATGGAATGGAAGAGATCTGTGAGAAAGAAAAGATAAATCCCACTTTTTTCTGTAGACATAGTTACCAATTCTATCTACAGTGAAATAAACCCTCCTTTAGAAGGAAGCACAGTTTCCCTTATAATACCTTGGTTAAAATATTAAGTATCTTTCCAAGCTGCAGCTGCTCTTTGGACTATTTTAACTTATAACCACATCATGTCTTTAATCTTGTAAATTTTATTTACTGTCTTAAAATATTCTTAACATTGAAACACTAAAATAATCATTACAAAATTGAAAACCTGTCTTAATAATGATTAGAATTACAAAAAGGTCTACAACCTTTTATGTTTTCTTTTAGTGTAGGATAATTAGATGGTTATACACTGATAACCTCTCATAACCTCTGGTTTTTAAATGTTAAGCAATGGGTTCTTAATCTAGGGAAGGATCTATGAATTTGCTATCAGGTGTCTGTGAACATAAAATTTTGTGTTCACTGTATTTTTCTGCAGACAGTAGTAATAGTTTTTACTATTCTCAGAGACAGAGGTTGGTGAACTAAAAAATCAAGAATTACTATCTTAAAGAGCGGTAATTGGTACCTAGTTAAGAGAGATTTTGGAAGATAAAAATTTAAGAGTTTCATTTGCAATGCATTTTAAATTTATGTATTTATTTCCTTTTAGAAAGTAATATATACTGCAACTCAGCAATTGGGTTTACAAAACTGGTCATCTCAGAAAGAGAAGATTATACAGTTTTATAATCAACTTCAGGTAAGTATAAAATGGCATGTTAGCAATCCTTTGCCTGTATTTCAATAGGAATTAATAAAATAAAGGGCAAAAATAATAATAAAAGAGAGCTGTTACAGGTATAATTTTTTTTAATTAAAGTCATTTATTAATTGTTAGTCAAGGCTTTATTATTTGGGTTCCAAGATGGCCAAATAGGAACAGCTCCAGTCTACAGCTCCCAGCGTGAGCGACGCAGAAGACGAATGATTTCTGCATTTCCAACTGAGGTAACGGGTTCATCGCACTGGGGATTGTTGAACAGTGGGTGCAGTGCAGCGAGCGTGAGCCGAAGCAGGGCGAGGCATCGCCTCACCCAGGAAGCACAAGGGGTCAGGGAATTCCCTTTCCTAGCCAAGGAAAGGGGTGACAGACGGCACCTGGAAAATCAGGTCACTCCCACCCTAATACTGCACTTTTCCGAAGGTCTTAGCAAACAGCACACCAGGAGATTATATCCAGTGCCTGGCTTGGAGGGTCCTATACCCACGGAGCCTCACTCATGGCTAGCACAGCAGTCGGAGATCAAACTGCAAGGTGGCAGCGAGGCTGGAGGAGGGGCGCCTGCTATTGCTGAGGCTTGAGCAGGTAAACAAAGCGGCCTGGAATCTCAAACTGGGTGGAGCCCACCGCAGCTCAAGGAGGCCTGCCTGCCTCTGTAGACTGCACCTCTGGGGGCAGGGCACAGCCAAATAAAAAATAGCAGAAACCTCTGCAGACTTAAATGTCCCTGTCTGACAGCTTTGAAGAGAGTAGTGGTTCTCCCAGCATGCAACTTGAGATCTGAGAACAGACAGACTGCCTCCTCAAGTGGGTCTCTGACCCTCAAGTAGCCTAACTGGGAGGCATGCCCTAGTAGGGGCAGACTGACACCTCACACGGCCGGGTACTCCTCTGAGAAAAAACTTCCAGAGGAACGATCTGGCAGCAACATCTGCTGTTCCCCAATATTTACTGTTCTGCAGCCTTCACTGCTGATACCCAGACAAACAGGGTCTGGAATGGACCTCCAGCAAAATCCAACACACCTGCAGCTGAGGGTCCTCTTAGAAGGAAAACTAACAAACAGAAAGGACATCCACACCAAAACTCCATCTGTACATCACCATCATCAAAGACCAAAGGTAGATAAAACCACAAAGACGGGGAAAAAACAGAGAAGAAAAACTGAAAATTCTAAAAATCAGAGAGCCTCTCCTCCTCCAAAGGAACGCAGCTCCTCACCAGCAACGGAACAAAGCTGGACAGAGAATGACTTTGACGAGTTGAGAGAAGAAGACTTCAGATGATCAAACTTCTCCAAGCTAAAGGAGGAAGTTCAAACCCATGGCAAAGAAGTTAAAACCCTTGAAAAAAGATTAGGTGAATGGCTAACTACAATAACCAATGCAGAGAAGTCCTTAAAGGACCTGATGGAGCTGAAAACCACGGCACGAGAACGATGTGACGCATGCACAAGCTTCAGTAGCCGATATGATCAACTGCAAGAAAGGTTATAAATGAAGTGAGAAGAGAAGTTTAGAGAAAAAAGAATAAAAAGAAATGAACAAAGCCTCCAAGAAATATGGGACTATGTGAAAAGACCAAATCTACATCTGATTGGTGTACCTGAAAGTGATGGGGAGAATGGAACCAAGTAGGAAAACACTCTGCAGGATATTTTCCAGGAGAACTTCCCCAACCAAGGCAAGCCAACATTCAAATTCAGGAAATAATGGAGAACGCCACAAAGATACTCCTTGAGAAGAGTAACTCCAAGACACATAATTGTCAGATTCACCAAAGTTGAAATGAAGGAAAAAATGTTAAGGGCAGCCAGAGAGAAAGGTCGGGTTACCCACAAAGGGAAGCCCATCAGACTAACAGCAGATCTCTTGGCAGAAACTCTACAAGCCAGAAGAGAGTGGGGGCTAATATTCAACATTCCTAAAGAAAAGAATTTTCAACCCAGAATTTCATATCCAGCCAAACTAAGCTCCATAAGTGAAGGAGAAATAAAATCCTTTACAGACAAGCAAATGCTGAGAGATTTTGTCACCACCAGGCCTGCCCTACAAGAGCTCCTGAAGGAAGCACTAAACATGGAAAGGAACAACCAGTACCAGCCACTGCAAAAACATGCCAAATTGCAAAGACCGTTGAGGCTAGGAAGAAACTGCATCAACTAACAAGCAAAATAACCAGGTAACATCATAATAACAGCATCAAATTCACACATAACAATATTAACCTTAAATGTAAATGGGCTGAATGCTCCAATTAAAAGACACAGACTGGCAAATTGGATAAAGAGTCAAGACCCATCAGTGTGCTGTATTCAGGAGACCCATCTCACGTGCAGAGACACACATAGGCTAAAAATAAAGGGATGGAGGGAGATCTACCAAGCAAATGGAAAACAAAAAAGGCAGGGGTTGGAATCCTAGTCTCTGATAAAACAGACTTTAAACCAACAAAGATCAAAAGAGACAAAGAAGGCCATTACATAATGGTAAAGGGATCAATACAACAAGAAGACCTAACTATCCTAAATATATATGCAGCCAATACAGGAGCACCCAGATTCATAAAGCAAGTCCTTAGAGACCTACAAAGAGACTTAGACTCCCACACAATAATAATGGGAGACTTTAATACCCCACTGTCAACATTCGACAGATCAATGAGACAAAAAGTTAATAAGGATATCCACGAATTGAATTGAGCTCTGCACCAAGCGGACCTAATAGACATCTACAAAACCCTCCACCCCAAATCAACAGAATATACATTCTTCTCAGCACCACACCGCACTTATTCCAACATTGACCACTTAGTTGGAAGTAAAGCAGTCCTCAGCAAATGTAAAAGAACAGAAATTATAACAAACTGTCTCTCAGACCACAGTGCAATCAAACTAGAACTCAGGATTAAGAAACTCACTCAAAACTGCTCAACTACATGGAAACGGAACAACCTGCTCCTGAATGACTACTGGGTACATAACGAAATGAAGGCAGAAATAAAGATGTTCTTTGAAACCAATGAGAACAAAGACACAGCATACCAGAGTCTCTGGGACACATTCAAAGCAGTGTGTAGAGGGAAATTTATAGCACTAAATGCCCACAAGAGAAAGCAGGAAGGATCTAAAATTGACACCCTAACATCACAATTAAAAGAACTAGAGAAGCAAGAGCAATCACATTCAAAAGCTAGCAGAAGGCAAGAAATAACTAAGATCAGAGTGGAACTGAAGGGAATAGAGACACAAAACACCCTTCAAAAAATCAGTGAATCCAGGAGCTGGTTTTTTGAAAAGATCAACAAAATTGATAGACCGCTAGCAAAACTGATAAAGAAGAAAAGAGAGAAGAATGAAATAGATGCAATAAAAAATGATAAAGGGGATATCACCACCGATCCCGCAGAAATACAAACTACCATCAGAGAATACTATAAACACCTCTATGCAAATAACCTTGAAAATCTAGAAGAAATGGAAAAATTTCTCGACACATACACCCTCCCAAGACTAAAGCAGGAAGAAATAGAATCTCTGAATAGACCAATAACAGGCTCTGAAATTGAGGCAATAATTAATAGCTTACCAACCAAAAGAAGTCCAGGACCAGACAGATTCACAGCCGACTTCTGTCAGAGGTACAAGGAGGAGCTGGTACCATTCCTTCTGAAACTATTCCAATCAATAGAAAAAGAGGGAATCCTCCCTAACTCATTTTATGAGGCCAGCATCATCCTGATACCAAAGCCTGGCAGACACACAACAAAAAGAATTTTAGACCAGTATCCCTGATGAACATCGATGCAAAAATCCTCAATAAAATACTGGCAAACCGAATCCAGCAGCACATCAAAAAGCTTCTCCACTATGATCAAGTGGGCTTCATCCCTGGGATGCAAGGCTGGTTCATCATACACAAATCAATAAACATAATCCAGCATATAAACAGAACCAACGACAAAAACCACATGATTATCTCAATAGATGCAGAAAAGGCCTTTGACAAAATTCAACACCACTTCATGCTAAAAACTCTCAATAAGGTATTGATGGGACATATCTCAAAATAATAAGAGCTATCTATGACAAACCCACAGCCAATATCATACTGAATGGACAAAACCTGGAAGCATTCCCTTTGAAAACTGGCACAAGACAGGGATGCCCTCTCTCACCACTCCTATTCAACATAGTGTTGGCAGTTCTGGCCAGGATAATCAGGCAGGAGAAGGAAATAAAGGGCATTCAATTAGGAAAAGAGGAAGTCAAATTGTCCCTGTTTGCAGATGACATGATTGTATATCTAGAAAACCCCATCGTCTCAGCCCAAAATCTCCTTAAGCTGATAAGCAAATTCAGCAAAGTCTCAGGATACAAAATCAATGTGCAGAAATCACAAGCATTCTTATACACCAATAACAGACAAACAGAGAGCCAAATCATGAGTGAACTCCCATTCACAATTGCTTCAAAGAGAATAAAGTACCTAGGAATCCAACTTACAAGGGATATGAAGGACCTCTTCAAGGAGAATTACAAACCACTGCTCAATGAAATAAAAGAGGATACAAACAAATGGAAGAACATTCCATGCTCATGGGCAGAAAGAATCAATATCGTGCAAATGGCCATACTGCCCAAGGTAATTTATAGATTCAATGCCATCCTCTTCAAGCTACCAGTGACTTTCTTCACAGAATTGGAAAAAACTAAAATTCATATGGAACCAAAAAAGAGCCCGCATTGCCAAGTCAATCCTAAGCCAAAAGAACAAAGCTGGAGGCATCACACTACCTGACTTCAAACTATACTACAAGGCTACCATAACCAAAGCAGCATGGTACTGGTACCAAAACCAAGATATAGACCAATGGAACAGAACAGAGCCCTCAGAAATGATGCCACATATGTCCAACTATTGGATCTTTGACAAACCTGACAAAAACAAGAAATGGGGAAAGGATTCCTTATTTAATAAATGGTGCTGGGAAAACTGGCTAGCCATATGTAGAAAGCTGAAACTGAATCCCTTCCTTACACCTTATACAAAAATTAATTCAAGATGGATTAAAGACTTAAATGTTAGACCTAAAACCATAAAAACCCTAGAAGAAAACCTAGGCAATACCATTCAGGACATAGGCATGGCCAAGGACTTCATGTCTAAAACAACAAAAGCAATGGCAACAAAAGCCAAAATTGACAAATGGGATCTAATTAAACTAAAGAGCTTCTGCACAGCAAAAGAAACTACCATCAGAGTCAACAGGCAACCTACAGAATGGGGGAAAATTTTTGCAATCTACTCATCTGACAAAGGGCTAATATCCAGAATCTACAAAGAACTCAAACAAATCTACAAGAAAAGAACAAACAGCCCCATCAAAAAGTGGGTGAAGGATATGAACAGACACTTCTCAAAAGAAGACATTTTTGCAGCCAAAAGACACATGAGAAAATGCTCATCATCACTGGCCATCAGAGAAATGGAAATCAAAACCACAATGAGATACCATTTCACACCAGTTAGAATGGTGATCATCAAAAAGTCAGGAAACAACAGGTGCTGGAGAGGATGTGGAGAAATAGAAACACTTTTACACTGTTGGTGGGACTGTAAACTAGTTCAACCATTGTGGAAGTCAGTGTGGCGATTCTTCAGGGATCTTGAACTAGAAATACCATTTGACCCAGCCATCCCATTACTGGGTATATACCCAAAGGATTATAAATCATGCTAGTATAAAGACATATGCACATATATGTTAATTGTGGCACTATTCACAATAGCAAAGACTTGGAACCAATCCAAATGTCCAACAATGATAGACTGGATTAAGAAAATGTGGCACATATACACCATGGAATACTATGCAGGCATAAAAAAATGATGAGTTCATGTCCTTTGTAGGGACATAGATGAAGCTGGAAACCATCATTCTCAGCAAACTATCGCAAGGACAAAAAACCAAACACCGCATGTTCTCACTCATAGGTGGGAATTGAACAATGAGAACACATGGACACAGGAAGGGGAACATCACACACCAGGGCCTGTTGTGGGGTTGGGGGAGAGGGGAGGGATAGCATTAGGAGATATACCTAATATTAAATGACGAGTCGATGGGTACAGCACACCAACATGGCACATGTATACTTTTTTAACTAACCTGCACATTGTGCACATGTACCCTAAAACTTAAAGTATAATAAATTTTAAAAAAAGTTAAAAGAAAAACAATATGAATTCTTGCAATCCATGAACACAGGATATCTTTCCATTTATTTGTGTCCTGTTTACTTTCTTTAATAAGTGTTTTATAGATGATGATATATGTTTTGTAGAGATCTTTCACCTTCTAGGTATTTCATATTTTTGTAACTATTATAAATGGAATGCTTTCTTAATTTCTTTCTCAGTCAGTGTTGCTACTGGCATATAGAAATGCTACTGATTTTTGTATGTTTATTTTGTATTCTGCAACCTTATTAAATTCATTTATTAGTTTTAAAAGCTTTTTGGTGGAGTCGTTAGTACTTTCTGTATAGATGATCATGTCATCTGCAAACAGGACAGCTTAAATTTCTCCTTTCTAATTTGGATGTCTTTTATTCCTTTCTGGTGCCTAATTGCTCTGCCTAGAACTTCCAGTAACATATTGAGGAAATGTGGTGAAAGTGAGCATCTTCATCTTGTCCCAGATCTTAGAAGAAAGGCTTTCAACTTTTTCCTGTTCAGGATGATGTTAGCTGTGGGTTTGTCGTATATTCACTTTATTGTGTTGATGTATGTCCCTTCTATGCCCAGTTTGTTTAAGGTTTTTTTTATTATAAAGGTATGCTGATTTTTGTAAATGCTTTTTCAGCATCAATAGTAATGATAAGGTGGTATTTGTCCCAGATTTTGTTAATGAGATATATCGTGTTTACTGTTTTGCATATGTTGAACAATCCTTTCATTGCTGGGATGAATCCCTCTTGATCATGGTTAATGATCTTTTTAATGTCTTGTTAAATTCAGTTTGCTAGTATTACATTCAGAATTTTTGCATCTATGTTCATCAAGGATATTAGTCAGTGGTTTCCTTTTTTGTTGTGTTCTTATCTGGTGTTGATATCAGAGTAATGCCAGCTTCATAGAACACATTGGGAATCATTTTCTTGAAGAATCTGAGTAGAATTGGTATTAGTTCTTCTTTAAAAGTTTGGTAGAATTCAGCAGTGAAGCCATCACATCCTGGGCTTTTCTTTGATGGAAAACTCTTTATTACTCATTATTGACCTGCATAGGTTTTCTTTTCTTCGTAATTCAATCTTGATAAGTTGTATGTGTCCAGCAATATATCAGTTTCTTCTAGGTTTTCTAATTTGTTGGCATATAGTTGTTCATAGTAGTCTTTTATGATCCTTTATATTTCTGTGGTATCAGCTATAATGTCTCCTTTTTCTTCTCTGATTTTATTTATGTGAGTCTTTTATTGTTAGTCTAGTGAAAGATTTGTTGATTTTTAAAAATCTTTTCAATAAACAAGGTGTTTGTTTTATTGATCTTTTGTATTTTTTACTCCCTATTCTCTCATCTTTATTTTTTGGGTTTTGATTGTTCTTATTTTTCTAGTTTCTTGAGGTGTAAGTGTGTTTATTTTGGATCTTTTTTTTTTTTTTTTTTTTGAGATGGAGTATCACTCTGTCCCCCTAACTAGAGTGCACTGGTGCGATCTCAGCTCACTGCTGAGACTTAGTTAGTAAGTCTCACAGGACCTGATGGTTTTTATTTTCCTGCACAAGCTCTGCACCTCCAGGGTTCAAGCGATTCTCCTGCCTCAGCCTCCTGAGTAGCTGGGACTACAGGCACCCACCATGCCCGGCTAATTTTTGTATTTTTAGTAGAGACAGGGCTTCACTATGTTGCCCAGACTGGTCTTGAACTCTTGACCTCGTGATCCACCCACCTCGGACTCCCAAAGTGCTCGGATTACAGGCATGAGCCACCACACCCGGCCAAACTTCCTTCTTAAAGGAAAGAATGCATTATGTTTATCCAACTTCCTTCCTTCCTTGCTTTTGCTATATCCTATTGGTTTAGGTATGTGGTGTTTCCATTTTCATTTCTCTCAAGGAATTTTTTAAATTATTTTTTAATTTTTTTCATTGACCCATTGCTTGTACATGAGCACATTGTTTAATTTCCACATATTTGTACAATTTCCAAAGTTCCTTCTGTTACTGATACTTAGTTTTATTTCATTGTTCTCAGAAAAGATACTTGATTGGATTTCCATTTTTCAAAAATAGTGAAGAGTTGTTTTGTGGCTTAATATATGGTTTGTCTTTGAAAATGTTCCATGTGCTGTTAAAAATAATGTCTATGTTATATCTGTTGGGGGAAATATTCTATTAGGTTCACTTCGTCTAGATTGCAGTTTAACTCTTATGTTTCTTTATTTTCTGTCTATATGAGTTATCCATTGATGACAGTAGGGTGTTGAAATTTCCTACTATTATTGTATGATATGGTTTGGCTGTGTCCCCACCCAAATCTCATCTTGAATTCCGTGTTGTGGGAGGTAATTGAATTATGGGGCAGGTCTTTCCCATGCTGTTCTCATGATAGTTAGTAAGTCTCATGGGATCTGATGGTTATTATAAGGGAGAGTTTTCCTGCACAAGCTGTTTTTGCTTACTGCCATTCCATGTAAGAGGTAACTTGCTCTTCCTTGCCTTCTGCCATTATTGCAAGGCTTCCCCAGCCATGTGGAACTGTAAGTTCAATTAAACCTCTTTCTTTTATAAATTGCCCAGTCTTGGGTATGTCTCTATCAGCAGTATGAAAACAGACAAATGCAGTAAACTGGTACCAGTAGAGTGGGGTGTTGCTGAAAAGATACCCGAAAATGCAGAAGCGACTTTGGATCTGGGTAACAGGCAGAGGTTGGAACAGTTTGGAGGGCTCAGAAGAAGACAGGAAAATGTGGGAAAGTTTGAAACTTCCTAGAGACTTGTTGAATGGCTTTGATCAAAAGCCTGATAGCAATATGAAAAATAAGGTCCAGGCTGAGGTATTTTCAAACAGAGATGAGGAACTTGTTGGGAACTGGAGTAAAGGTGACTCTTGTTAAGTTTTAACAAAGAGACTGGTGGCATTTTGCCCCTGCCCTAGAGATTTGTGGAACTTTGAACTTGAGAGAAATGATTTAGGGTATCTGGTGGAAGAAATTTCTAAGCAGCAAAGCATTCAAGAGGTGATTTGGGTGCTGTTTAAAAGCATTCCATTTTATAAGGGAAGCAGAGCATAAAAGTTTGGAAAATTTGCAGCCTGACAATGCGATAGAAAAGAAAATCTCATTTTCTGAGGAGAAATCCAAGCCAGCTGCAGAAATTTGCATAAGTAATGAGGATCCAAATGTTAATCCCCAAGACACTGGGGAAAATGTCTCCAGGGCATGTCAGAGGTCTTCATCACAGCCGTTCCCATCACAGGCCTGGAGGCCTAGGAAGAAAAAATGGTTTCGTGGGCCAAACCCAGGGTCTCTGTGCTGTATGCAGCCTGAAAGGGGACAATGTAGAGCTCCGGCCATGGCTTCAGAGGGTGCAAGCCTCAAGCCTTGGCAGCTTCCATGTGATGTTGAGCCTGCAAGTGCACAGAAGTCCAGAACTGGGGTTTGGGAGCCTCTGCTTAGATTTCAGAAGATGTATGGAAATGCCTGGATGTCCAGGCAGAATTTACTGCAGTGGTGGAGCTCTCATGGAGAACCTCTGCTAGGGTAGTGCAGAAGGGAAATGTGGGGTTGAAGCCCCCACACAGAGTCTACTGGAGCACCATCTAGTGGAGCTGTTAGAAGAGGGCCACCATCCTCCAGAACCCAGGATGGTAGATCCACTGACAGCTTGCACTGTGCACCTGGAAAAGCCACAAACACTCAATGCCAGCCCTTGAAAACAGCCAGAAAAGAGGCTGTACCCTGCAAAGCCACAGGGGCAGAGCTGTCCAAGACCAGCGGAACCCACCTTTTGCATCAGCGTGATCTGGATGTGAGACATGAAGTCAAAGGAGATCATTTTGGAGCTTTAAGATTTGACTGCCCCACTGCATTTCGGACTTACATGAGGCCTGTAGCTCCTTTGTTTTGGCCAATGTCTCCATTTGGAATGGCTATGTATTAGTCTGTTTTCCTGCTGCTGGTAAAAGACATACCCAAGACTGGGAAGAAAAAGAGATTTAATTGGATTTACAGTTCCACATAGCTGCGGTGGCCTCAGAATCATGGGGAGAGGCAAAAGGCACTTCTTACATGGTGTCAGCAAGAGCAAAATGAGGAGGCAAAAGCAGAAACCTCTGATAAACCCATCAGATCTCATGAGACTTAATTCACTATCACAGGAATAGCAAGGGAAAGACGAGCCCCCATGGTTCAATTGCCTCCTCTGGGTCCCTCCCGTAACACATGGGACTTCTGGGAGATACAATTCAAGTTGAGATTTGGGTGCAGACACAGCCAAACTATATCAGGCTATGTTTATCCGATGCCTGTACCCCCATTTATATCTAGGGAGTAACTAACTTGCTTTTGATTTTACAAGCCCATAGGCAGATGAGACTTGCCTCTTCTCAGATGAGACTTTGGACTGTGGATTTTTGAGTTAATGCTGAAATGAGTTAAGACTTTGGGGGACTGTTGGGAAGGCATGACTGGTTTTGAAATTTGAGGACATGAGATTTGGGAGGGACCAGGGGTGGAATGATATGGTTTGGCTGTGTCCCCACCCGTATCTCATCTTGAATTCCCATGTGTTGTGGGAGGGACCCAGTAGGAGGTAATTGAATTATGGATCAAGTCTTTCCCATGCTGTTCTTATGATAGTAAGTCTCACGAGATCTGATGGTTATTTCAAGGGGAATTTTTCCTGCACAAACTCTTTTTGCTTGCTGCCATCCATATAAGGTGTGACTTGCTTCTCCTTGCCTTCTGCCATGATTGTGAGGCTTCCCCAGCCACGTGGAACTGTAACTCCAATTAAACCTCTTCCTTTTGTAAATTGCCCAGTCTTGGATATGTCCTTATTAGCAGTGTGAAAACTGACTAATACATCATATTGCAGTCAATCTCTCCCTTTAGATCTGTTAATATTTGCTTTAATTGGAGAATTTAGTTCATTTACATTTGAGGTTATTATTGATGTGTAAGAACTTGCTACTGCCATTTTGTTACTTATTTTCTGGTTGTTTTTGTAACTCCTCTTTTCCTTTCTTCTTTTCTTACTTTCTTCCTTTGTACTTAAGTGATTTTCTCAGGGAGTATGCTTTAGTTCCTTGCTTTTTATTTATAGTGTATCTATAATAGGTTTTTGCTTTGTGGTTCTGAAAAATCATAGTTATAATAAGTTAAACTCATGACAACATAACTTTAATCACAACGAAAAGAAACAAACTAAACTAAAAAACTCCACATTATAACTCCATCTTCCCCACCTTCCAACTTGTGGATATCTCTATTTACATCTTTTTATATTGTCTATCTCACAACAAATTGTTTTAGTTATTATTTTTGACATTTTTCTCTTTTAGTCTTCATGTTAAAGATATGAGTATTTTACACACCACAATTACAGTATTAGAGTAATCTGAATTTTGGTATACCTGCTTTTATCAGTGAGCTTTATACCTTCAAATATTTTCTTGTTACATGTTATCATAATTTTCCTTCAGATTGAAGAACTCCATTTAGCCTTTCTTGTAAGACAGGTCTGATGGTGATGAATCCCCTCAGCTGTTTCATGTCTGAGAAAGTTTTTAACTCTCCTTCATGTTAGAAGAGTGGGTTTTCTGGCTACAGTATTCTCAGTTGACAGTTTTTTTTTTCTGTCAGGACTTCAAATATATGATCCCACTGCCTCTGGCCTGTAAGGTTTCCAATGAAAAGTCTGCTGCCAGATGTATCAGAACCCCTTTAAGTGTTATTTGCTTCTTTCTCTTTCTGCTTTTAGGATCCTCTCCTGTCCTTGATCTTTCAGAGTTTATTATATGCCTTGGGGTAGTCTTATTTGAGTTAAATCTGCTTGGTGATCTTTGACCTTTCTGTACCTGGATATGTATATCATTCTCTACATTTGTAAAGTTTTCTGTTATTATTTCTTGATATAAGCATTCTACCCCTTTTTCTTTCTCACTCTCTCTCGAAGCCTAGTGACTTTTATATATGCTCTTTTGATGCTGTTCCACAGACGTCATGAGCATCCTTCATTCAATTTCATTCTTGTCTGTTATTCTACTTTCACTGTGTGTCTTGGTCTGTTTTGTGTTGCTATAAAGAAATATCTGAGGCTGAGTAAATTATAAAGAAAAGAGGTGTATTTGGTTCATAATTCTGATGGCTGAAAAGTTCAAGATTTGGCACCTGGTGAGGGCCTCTGGCTGCTTCCACACATGGCAGAAAGTGAAAGGGAGCTGCCATGTGTAGATGTAACACGGTAAGATAGGAAACGAGAGATGGGCAAGATGCCAGGCTTTTTTTAATAACCAGCTCTTGAAGGAACTATTAGAGTGAGAACACATTCACCCCTGAGGGAAGGCATTAATCTATTCATGAAGGATCCCCCACAAGATATAAACACTTCTCATTAGGCCCCATCTCCATCAGACATCAAGTTTCAACATGATTTATGAAGGTGACAAATATTCAAACTGTACCACTGTGTACTTTCAAATAGCCTGTCTTTGAGCTCACTGGTTGTTCTGATGGATCTGCTATTAAGACCCTCTAATGCATTATTTTAAATTAAGTTTTTATACTAGACTTACAGCGTACATGTACAGGTTTGTGACATGGTTATATTGTGTGATGCTGAGGTTTGGGCTTCTATTTATTCCATTATCCAGATAGTGAACATAGTACACAATAGGAATTTTTTCAACCCTTGCTCCCTTCCTTTCCTCCCTCCTTCTGGAGTCCCCAATGTCTGTTGTTCCCAAATTTCTGCCCATGTGTACTTAAGATTTACCTGTTACTTGTAAGTGAGAACTTGTGATATTTGATTTTCCGTTTCAGTGCTAATTTGTATAGGATAATAGCCTCCATCTGCATCCATGTTGCTATAAAGGACCTGATTTCATTCTTTTTTATGGATGCAGAGTATTTTATGGTGTATATTTGTGACATTTTCTTGATCCAGTCCACCGTTAATGGGCACCTAGGTTGATTTCATATCTTTGCTACTATGAATAGTGCTTCAATGAACATATGAATGTAGATACCTTTTTGGTATAATGATTAATTTTTCTTTGGGTACATACCCTGTAATAGGATTGCTGGGGCAAATGGTAGTTCTATTTTTAGTTCTTTGAGACATCTCCAAACTGCTTTCCACAGTGACTGAACTAATTTACATTCCCACCAACAGTGTATAAGTATGCCCTTTTCTCTACAGCATCACCAGCATATGTTTTTGTTTTACATTTTAGTAGCAGCCTTTCAAATTGATGTGAAACCAATTCATTGTGGTTTTCATTTCTTTTCTCTGATAATTAGTGATGTGAGCATTTTTTCATATGTTTATTGGCCTCTTATATGTCTTCTTTTGAGAAGTGTCTGTTCATCTCCTTTGCCCACTTTTTAATGGAGTTGTTTATTTATTTATTTGTTTGTTTGCTTGTTGAATTCTTTAAGTTGCTTATAGATTTTTGATACTGGACCTTTGTCAGATGCATGGTTTGCAAATATCTTCTCCCCGCTGTTTATTTTTGTCAGTTTTGTTGAAGATCAGATGGTTGTAGGTATGTGGCTTTATTTCTGGATTTTCTATTCTGTCCTGTCATTCAGATAAATAAACCAAAAGAATAAAATATAGAATAAATCAGGCTGGGTGCAGTGGCTCATGCCTGAAACCCCAGCACTTGGGGAGGCCGAGACAGGTGGATCACTTGAGGTCAGTAGTTTGAGACCAGCATGGCCAACATGGTGAAACCCTGTCTTTACTAAAAAATAAAAATACCAAAAAAAAATTAGCTGGGCATGATGGCATGCGCCTGTAATCCCAGCTATTTGAGAGCTGAGGTAGGAGAATCACTTGAACCCTGGAAGCAGAAGTTGCGGTGAACCCAGATCGCATCATTGCACTCCAGCCTGGGCAAGAGGGTGAGACTTCATCTCATAAAATAAAATAAAAAGGAATTAATTAAGAAATTAACCTTATTAAATGTGGACACCTCATATATGATAGAAGTAGCAAACCAGTAAGGAAAAGTCTTGGAAAAATGATTATTCACATAGGGAAAAATAGATCCTCAACTGGCACCTTAAAAAAATTCCAGACAGTTTAAAAATGGGAAATGTGAATATCTAAAACTTTTAGGGAGGATGAGGTAGAGCAAGATGGTGGAATAGAACCTTCAAAGAATCATACCCTTGAAAGAACATCAAATTGAACAACTATCCACACAAGAAAACACCTTCACGAGAGCTAAATAATTAGTTGAGAGATCAGAGTACCTAATTTTACCATAATAACAGAAAAGACACATTGAAAAAAGTAGAAAGAACAGTCTCACACTGCCTACACTAGCCCTACCCCAACCCCAGGCAGCACGGAGCCCAGGGAAAGATTCTGTCCACTTGAGAGAGGGAGAGGAAAGTGTGTGAGACTTTGCATTTAGTACTGGCCCTGCCACGATAAAAGACAACACCAGGCATAACACCATGGCCCCTCATTCCAGGCTGGTGAGCACAAAGAGAGTATTTAGACTCACTGTGGACCAGAAAGGAATCTGTCATCCCAGTAGGAGAAACTCAAGTCCTGACCCAATTCACCAATGGCTGACTAAAGTGGGCTCAGGTCCCAAATAAAATTCTGTGGTAGGCAGGCCATAGTACAACAGTCCTTGGGTGATGCCAATTCTGTGCTGATCTGGCAGGCTGGGGGATTTGGGTGTGGCCCTGCATGAGATCAGCTGCAGCAGCTATGCAGAGCCCATGTCACTCTTTTCCCAGCTCCAGGCAGTGCGGTGTGAAGAGACTCCTTCCACTTAGGAGAGGAAAGTATGCAGGGGACTTTGCCTTGGAACCTAGTACCAGCTCTGCCATTGTAAACTAGAGTACCAGAAGAGCCTTGTGGACCCTGATTCCAGGCAGATACTCCTGAACAGTACTTCTAGACCCAACCCAGGCAAGAAGGGAATCAGCTGCCTTGGCAGGATGGATCAAAGTCCTGGCCAGCATCATTACTGGCTAACTAAAGTGGCCTCAGGCCATGAATAAATATCAATGGCAGGTAGGTAGTGGTGGCTGCAGGCCTTGGGCAAGCCCCAGTGCTGCAAAGGTCTAGAGGCCATGGGCAGTGTGGTACCTGCTCTAGGATGTGACAAAAACAGTATTAAGAGGAAAGTTTATAGCACTGAATGCCTACATTAAGAAATTAGAAAGATCTCAAATTAGCAATCTAGCATTGCACCCAACTGTACTATAAAAACAAGAACAAACTAATCCCAAAGCTAGCAGAAGAAAAGAAATAACTAAAATCAGAGCAGAACTGAAGAAAATTGAGAGATTGAGACCCAAAAATCTATACAAAGGATCAATGAAACCAAAAGTTGGTTTTTTGAAAGGACAAACAAGATCAATAGACCACTAGGTAGATTAACAAAAAAAAAAAAAAGGAAGATCCAAGTAAGTACAATCAGAAACAACAAAGATGATGTTATAAACTACCCTACAGAAATACAAAAGATCCTCAAAGACTATTACGAACACATCTATTTACACAAAATAGAAAATCTAGAGGAAATGGTTGAATTCCTAGAAACAAACAAACCTCCCAAGATTCAATCAGGAGGAAACTGAAACCCTGAAAAGACCCACAACACGTTCCAAAATTGAGTCAGTAACAAAAACCTACCAAACAAAAAAAAACCCTGGACCAGAAAGATTCACAGTCAAATTCTACCAGATGTACAAAGAAGAGTTAATACCAATGGTAATCAAATTATTCAAATAAAAAATCAAGTAGGGATTACTCCCAAACTCATTATATAAAATCAGTATTATCCTAATATCAAAATCAGGCCAAAACATGCAATATCACAATGAAAAAAGAAAACTACAGACTAACATCTTTGATGGACATAGATGCAAAAATCCTCAACAAAATACTAGCAAACTAAATCCAGCAGGACATCAAAAAAAGTGAATTCACCATGATCAAGAAGCCTTGATTCCTGGGATGCAAAGTTGGTTCAACATATGCAAATTAATGAATGTGATTCACCACATAAACAGAATTAAAAACCATATGATTGGCTGGGCACAGTGGCTCACACCTGCAATTCCAAGACTTTGGGAGGCAGAGGTGAGTGGATCGCTTGAGACTAGGAGTTCAAGACCAACCTGGTCAACATGGAGAAACCCCATCTCTACTAAAAATAAAATAATTAGCCAGCTGTGATGGCACGCACCTGTAGTCCCACATACTCAGGAGGCTGAGGCACAAGAATCGCTTGAACCTGGGAGGCAGAGGTTGCAGTGAGTCCAGATTGTACCACTGCACACCAGCCTGGGCAACAGAGCAAGACTCTGTCTCAAAGAAAATAAAAACAAAAACAAAACATATGATTGTCTCAGTAGATGCAGAAAAAGCATTTTATAAAATCCAACATCCCTTTTTGATAAAAAGTCTCAACAAACTAGGCATCAAAGGAACATATCTTAAAAAAAAGAGAGAGAGAGAGAAAGAAAGAAAGAAAGAAAAATAAAGAAAGAAAGAAGCCATACTGAATAGGTGGAAGCTAAAAGCATTCCCCTTAAGAATTGGAATAAGACAAGGATGCCCACTCACACCACTCTTATGCATTATAGTACGGGAAGTCCTAGCCAGAACAACCAGGTAAAAGAAAGAAATAAAAGACATCCAAATAGGAAAAGAGGAAGTTAAATTATGCCTCTTTGCTGATGGTATGACTCTGTACCTGTTATTAAAATAAAAAATAAAAAATAAATTTTAAAAAACATAGCCAAGAGGCTCCTAAATCTGGTAAACAACTTCAGCAAAGTTTCAGGACACAAAATCAATGTAAAAAAAAAAAATCAGTAGCATTTCTATACACCAATAACATTCATGCTGAGAGCCAAATAAAGAACACAAACTCATTTATTATAGCCACAAAAAATAAAATAGTCAATGGATATAGAGATATATTGGTTAATAAACTTAAAATCATTAATGAATGAATAAATCTGTAAATTTTGTTTTAGGTTTGTGTTGGTGTGATGTTAGTGGGCCCAACAGGTGGAGGAAAGACAACAGTCAGAAGAATTTTGGAAAAAGCATTAACGCTATTACCAATTGCAGACTTCTTATCAGTTGCAGAAAGAAAATCTGCTTCAAAGGTAAATGTTCTGTTAAATAAAATGTTTCTCTATTTGTTCATATCTTATTTTACACTTTAATATTTTATGTTCTCTTTATATTGGTATTTTCATTACTTATTAAACTTATTGCTAGGAATTTTGTAGTTAAGAATCATAATGAGTGGGATTTTTAACTTAAATCTCAAACTGATCATTACTAGTTTAAAGAAACTATTGTATATTTATTTTGTATCTAGGCATCTTAATAAATGAACTTTTAATTTCTTATTGTTTTTAGGTATCAATTGAATCATCTTCACATGAAAATAATTTTGTCTTTTTTTGAATATTTATATAACTTCTCTTCTTAATGAATTAACTTTCCAAGTTAATTTTAATTAATTTCCAAGTTAACATTAATACAATGTTAACTGTAATATTTCTTCCTTACTTTATCTGGAATGTATTTAATATTTATGCATTTAATATGATATTTGATCTTGGTCACTGATAAATATTCCTTTTCACACTTTGGAATTTTCTATTCGCATTACACTTTGTTTTTTTTTTTTTTTTTGGCTGTTAGAATTTATTAAATTATTTTCAGCATCTATTTTTTAAATCTTTTAACTGATTAATGTAATAAACTATGTTGATTTATTAATGTTAACTTGTCTTTGAATTCCTTGCATAGTGCCTACTTAGTCATGATATATTTTTATTCAATATAAAGTCAGACTCCACTAAATAATATGTACTTCAATTACTTAGTTAATGATTTATTGTTGGTAACATATTCCAAAAATTTACAAATTCAGATTCTTGGTTATGTGGATTTTTTTTCTGTCAGTGGGAAATATCCTGCTTCGAGATTATACATGTAGTAGTTCATAATCTTTTCGCTTTTCCCTTCATGCAAATTTTCCTTCCTGAAAGATCTCAATTAGTTCTTACACAGTTATTATAACTAATAAGAGGTGAATTATCACAGCAATAATAATAATAACTAATATGTATGGACTACCTAAAAAGGTCCAAGCAGGGTGCCAAAACACTTTTGCTTGAATTATTTAATTCTCACAACAACTGTGAAGACAGTAATTTGCTTTATTAAAAACAGTTTTTTAAGTACAAAAGTAGTACATATAATTGTGAGAAATTTGGAAAATAAAATGTGAAGAAATAATAATCACCTAGAATAATAATACAGTAAAATGTGAAAACGTATTACTGTATTAGCTTTGATTATTTATTCTACACTAAATATATTTTGAAATAACCGAGATAGTACCATGTATAAGAAATCTTAGTTTTTCCAACCTTGGAATTTTCACATAATGTTATATGCTGAGAATTAACCTTATGACATTAAACATTTCTGACAAATATCCCAATTACTGTATTCTGTATATATGACTATACTATAATTTATTTAATGATTCTCACATGTTTAATAGTTTTAAATTTTTGTTTTTTAAAGATATAATTGTAATAAACATACTTAGGAATGGTAGTAGGACCTGAGGTGATGGAATTATTTTGGTCATCCTTAGTTTATGACTTTCTTCTTACTGGTCTGTTCAAGACCTTCTCTTTATTTTAGTTTAGTTTTGTTTAATTTATTTACCTTCTTTCCTTATCTTTCTTTTTCCTCTTCATCATAGGAACACTCCTTGCTATATGCCTTTAGATATATGTGTGTCCTTAAAAATTTTATACCCAATAATGTAATTGCTGGTTGGCATGGTATAACTTCACCATGTACTGCCAGGTAAAATTCACACACATGAGATAAACCATTTTAAAGTGTACATTCTGGTGACATTTAATATATTCACAATGTTATGCAATTACTACCTCCCTCTAATTTCCAAATATTTTTATCACCCCAGGAGAACACCCCTTTCTCATTAAGAAATCACCCCCTATTCTCCTATCTTCCCATTCCCTGGAAGCCACTAATTGGCTTTCTCTTTCTATAGATTCGCCTCTTTTGGCAGAGATGTATATAGATATATATCTGGGTTTTTTCTACCTTTTGGATGCAATGAATATTACTGTTGTAAACATTTGTGTACAAGTTGAGTAGACATATGATTTCATTTCTCTTGGATAAATACCTAGGAATAGAATTGTTGGGTCATATGGTAATTCTGTGTTTAGCTTTTTGAGGAAACACCAAAGTGTTTTACAGTAACTACATTATTTTAAATTGCCATTAGCAATGTATGAGGCTTTCTGTTTCTCCATATCCTCACCAACATTTATTATTTCCCATTCTAGCGGATGCGAAATACTATCTCATTGTAGTTTTGGTGTTGAATACCTTTTCATATGCTTATTGGCCATTTGTGTATCTTCTCTGGAGACATGTCTGTTCATGTCTTTGTCCATTTTTAAATTGTTATCTTTTTGTTGTTCAGTTGTGAGAGTTCTTTATATATTCTGGACACAAAACTCTCATCAGATTGTGATCTGCAAATTTTTTTTCCTGTTTTGTGAGTTCTCTTTTCCCTTTCTTGATGTGAAGTGTAGGGGTCCAACTTCGTTCTTTTACATAGGGATATCCAGCTCTTCCTGCACCATTTGTTAAAGTCTATTATTTTCCCCACTAAATGATCTTGGCATTTTTTGTTGAAAATCAGTTGGCCACAGATGTTTGGGTTTGTTTCTGGTCTCACAGTTCTATTTCATTGTTCTATATGTCTTTCCTTATACCACAATAGATATGTTGTGATTGCTATATAGTTTTATATAGTAGTCTCCCTGTATTCATGGTTTTTACTTTGCACAGTTTCAGTTACTCATGGTCAACTGTGGTCCAAAAACATTAAATGGAAAATTTCAGAAGCAAACAATTCATAAGCTTTAAACACTACATTACAATGCCTACATCATTCACCTTAGTTCATCTCTTTATATTGGCATTTTATCATATCATCATCACAAGAAGAGTGAGTACAGTACAATAAGGCATTTTGTGGGAAACAAAGATTACATTCATATCAGTTTTAAGTTATTACATCATATTGTTTTAATTGTTCTATTAATTATTGTTAACATCTTACTGTGCCTAATTTCTAAAACTTTATCACAAGTATGTATCTATAGGGAAAAATATAATATATAAAGGGTTCTGTAATATCTGTGGTTTCAGGCATCCACTAGGTGCCTTGGAATGTATCCCCTGGGGATAAAGGCGGATTATTGTAGTAAGTTTTGAAACTGGGAAGTGCAAGTTCTCCAACTTTGTTTTTTGTTTTTTGGACATTTGGTTATTTGGGGCTCTGTGCAATTCCATATGAATTTAAGGATTGGCTTTTCCATTTCTGCAGAAAAGGCCATTGGAATTTTGATAGGAATTGCGTTGATCCTGTAGATCATTTTGGTGAATACTACCATCTTAATAATAAAGTTTTCTGATTGATGAACACAGATGTCTTTCCATTTTTATATCTTTGATTTCTTCTGCCAAGTTTTCTAGTTTTCAATATACAAATCTTTCTCCTATCATTAAATTTATTCCTAGGCATTTTATTCTTTGGAATCCTTGTCTTATTCTTGATTTCAGTCTTTCTCCAATTGAGTATGGTGCTGAGTTTGATAAATACCCCTTATCATGTTAAGGAAGTTTACTTCTCTTCCTAGTTTTCTGAGCGTTTTTTACCATGAAAAGGTGTGAAATTTTGTCAAATGCTTTTTCTGTGCCTTTTGATATGATCGTGTGGTTTCTTTCCTTCATTTTACTATTGTAGTGGGTTACATTGATTGATTTTCTTATGTTGAACTACCCTTGCATTCCTGGTCATGGTGCATGACCAGGAATTGTGCTTGGTCATGGTGCATAATCCTTTAAATGTGCTGTTGGATTCAGTTTGTTAGCATCTTTTTGAGGATTTTTGCATATATATCCTTAAGGGTTATTGGTCTGTAGTTTCCTTTTCTTGTGCCATCTTTGGGTATGCTATCAGAGTAATGCTGACCTCATAGAATGTATTAGAAAGTGTTTCCTAGTTTTCTTTCTTTTCTTTTTTTTTTTTACAAGAGTTTGAGTAGGATTGGTGTTAATTCTTCTTTAAGTGTTTGGTGGAATTTATCTACCAGTTGTAGTTGGACTGTTCTTTGTTGGAAGTTTTTGATTATTGAGTCAAACTATTTGTTATGGGTCTTTTGAGATTTTCTATTTCTTCTTCAGTTGGTTTTGGTAATTTGTGTGTTTTTAGGAACTTGTCCATTTCATCTTGCTTGAAAAAATCTTTGTTTTACTTTCAAACTGTGTATTTGAACTATTGTCTTTGGGTCTAAAGTCAGTCTCTTGTATGCAACATATATTTGGATCATGTTTTTGTTTCTTCACTATGCCAATTTCTTCTTTTAATTGGCAAACTTAATCTATTTTATTTTGATTACTGATGATGGACTTTTGCCTTTTTGCGATTTTATTCTATGTCTTGTATCTTTTTTGTTTCTCAATTCCTCCAAAATTGCCTTTTGTGTTTGATTTTTTTCTAGTGTAACATTTGGATTCCTTCTTCATTTCCTTTTCATTTTTTACTCATTTTTAAAATAGTTACCTGGGAGATTGCAGTTAACAACTGTTAGGGTCTGAATTGTGTCCCCCCCACCCAAAATTCATGTGTTAAATCTCCAACCCACAGTACCTCAGCTTGTATCTCCCCTTATTCATGGGGAATACATTCCATGACCCCAAGTGGATGCCTGGGGCCACAGATAGTACTGAACCCTATATATACTATGTTTTTTCCCATACATACATATCTATGATGAAGTTTAATTTATAAATTTGACACAGTAAAAGATGAACAATGACAACTAATGAAATAGAACAATTATAAAAAATATGATGTAATAAAAATTATGTGAATGTGATCTCTATCTCTCAAAATATCTTATTATATATACTGTATTCACCCTTCTTCTTGTGTATGTCGATCTGATAACTGAGTTGTTACTGAGTGACTGATTAGCAGGTAGATTTATGTCCCAGGTGGGACAGAGCCAGATGGTGCAAGATTTCATGTAACTACTCAAAATAGCATGAAACTTAAAACTTACAAATTGTTTATTTCTAGAATTTTCCATTTAATATTTTTGGACTGCAGTTGACCACAGGTAAATGCAACTGCAGAACATGAAACTATAGAAAAGGGAGGATTACAGTATATTTGGAGATACAGCCTTTAAAGAGGTGATTAAGTTAAAATAAAGCTATTACAGCAGGCCCTAATCCAATTTGACTTGTGTACTTATAAGAAAAGGAAATTTACAAACACAAAGTGACATTAGAGGTGTGTGTATGCACAGAGAAAAGACCACATGAAGACACAGTGAGAAGGCAGTTATCAGCAAGTCAAGGATTGAGGTCTTGAAGAAATCAAAACTGCTAACAACTTCATCTTAGACTTTTACTCTTCAGAGTAAAAGAGAAAATAAATTTGTTGTTTAAGTTACCCAGACTGTGGTATTTTGTTGTGGCAGCCCTAGCAAACACATAACTACCAATCCAGTAGAACTGATACCAACTTCACTTCAATAGCAGACATTAATTCTACTCCTTCCCAGCTCTGTTGCCTGCTTTATGTTGTTAGTGTCACAAACTATATCTTTATATATTGTGTACCCATTAATATAGATTCATTATTATTGTTTATGCATTTATTTTTTTAATTATATAGGAAAAAAAGAGGAGTTACAAATCAAAAATAAAGTAATAGTGGCTTTTATATTTACCTTAACCAGAGATCTTTATTTCTTCAAATGGCTCTGAGTTACTATTTATTGTTTTTTTCATTTGAGCCTGAAGCATTTATCCCTTTATTCATACCTTCAGCATTTTCAGTAGGGTAGGTTTCCCAGGGATGAACTATTTAGCTTCTGTTTATCTGAGAATGCCTTAGTTTCTCCCTCACTTTCATAAGATGGTTTTGCTGCATATAGAATTCTTGGTTGACAGTTTTGGTTTTTAGTTTGTTTCAGCACTTTGTATCATCCCATGCCTTCTGGCCTTTGTGCTTTCTGATGAGAATTGACTTTTAATTTTGCTGAGGATCCCTTGTATTGCCTCTCTCCTGCTACTTTCAAGATTTTGCCTTTGGACATCAATAGTTTGATTATAATGTGTGGATCTCTTTGTGTTTATTTTTCTTTGTGTTTCATGAGTTCTTGGATTTGTATTTTATATCTTTCATTAATTGGAAAATTTGGGGCCAGTATTTCTACCAACATTTTTTTCTACTTTTTCTCTCTTTTCTTCTTCTGGAATTACCATAATGTATAGATTGATATGCTTTATGGTATTCCATAGGTCTCTTGGACTCTGTTTACTTATTTTATTCTTTTTTCTTTCTTCTCTTCAAATGGGTAATTTTGGCTTCCCTGTCTTCAGGTTTGCTCATTCTTTTTTTATCTGCTTAAATCTGCTATTGAATGCCACTGTTGATTTTTATTTCAACTATTTTATTTTTCAGCTCTATAAACTCTATTTTGTTCCCTTTTATAATTTCTGTATCTTTAATAATAGTTCCTACTTGTTCTTACACCATTTTCCAGTTTCCTCAGACTTGATCTTTGCTGGGGTAGTTTTTGACTGATTAGCTGGGCCTGCTCTGAGTCTAGTGATCAAGCTTAAGATGAAAGTTTCAATTCATCTCAGGTCTTTGTGCATACATCTTGATGCATATGGCTTTCAGAATTCCCCCATATGAATGTCTTAATTTCCCAAAGATTTTACCCAAACTTCTCCCTGAGGCCTTATATGGTCTGTCATATGTTTCTACCTGTAATCTCTTGCCCTAGGCTTCCACAGGTCTGTAATCTCTCTGAAGAAGTGCCTGCCAATTTTTCTGCCTGACATCTGAGATACATAAAACGAGACCAGATATTCTGGCAAGACAGGTTAAAATATTGCAAATCAGGTTAATTTCAGTGTCAATTCTGACCTTAAGCTTAAAAGTGTATTCTGTTGTCTCTCACTTCTATACTCAACCCTGTCCCCAGACACATTACATGCCAGTTTATATACTGTGTTCCTGGATTAGGCACAGATTTTTTTCCACTTTTTCTGGGGGTACTGTTTGTAGTATTACAATTTTTTAAAAGAATGATTTGTATATTATGGATAATTTTAAGAAGTCAATATTTACTGTTCCTTGCAACTTGCTACCTTTATATAAAATCTTTTTTTGGTGTGAAAGGTTTCTCCTATAACCTTTTAATAATAAGAATGCAAATAAACTAAATAATTGGTCTATAGTTAATGTCTTTAAAAACTACACTGGATTTTTCCCAGATTTCAGAAAGAAAAGGAAAAGTAGATATTTGTGTTTTAAATCCAAAGTGTGTCACTCTCAGTGAACTATATGGACAACTGGATCCTAATACTATGGAATGGACTGATGGATTATTATCAGCAACAATTCGAAGTTATGTATATTTTAACACACCAAAGAACACAAAGAAAGACATTGATCTCAGACTAAAGTCAAGAATCTCAGATTTATCCAATGTAAGTTTAGTATTGAATGAATGTTTTTATTTAACTAATGTGGATTATTTAATTGCTTATCCAAAGACTGATATTAAAACATCATTAGACATCTATTAGTGTAAAAGTAAATTTTAAAATCTTATGAATAGTTTTTAAAAAGAGAAAAATTATGTTATTAAAAAATGGAAAATCTCCCATTGAATTTTTAAATGATCAGTAAATGATAGAATGAAGTTAAAGATATTTGCTTTTAAAGGAGCACAAAGTGAATTAAGTTTGAATGGAAAATGATCTAGTGATTCCAGCACCACCAAAATACCTTGCAAATTAATGAGACTAAAAAACCCTTTGTTAGAAAAGTGAATAAAGTATTTGATACAAAATTCATCACAGAATAGATACAAGTGGCAAAAAGGAAAATTTTTATTCTCATTAGCAATAACTAGAGATTGCTGGTAAATATCATTAGATAAAACACATTAACAAAAAGATGATGTTTAAAACCAAACAGAGAAGCCAGGTGTGGTGGCATACACCTGTAATCCCAGCTCCTCTGGAGGCTGAGGCAGTAGGGTCACTTAAGCCTGGCAGTTCAAGACCAGCCTGGTCAATATCACAAGACTCTATCTCAAAGAATAAGAATAAATATTAAAACTAAATAGGTTAATAAAGATTTTTTAAATGGGAAAACAATACATCATACTGAGTGGGGAAAAGCTGGAAGCATTCCCCTTGAGAACCAGAACAACACAAGGATGCCCACTATCACTACTCCTATTCAGCGTAGTATTGCAATTCCTAGCCAGAGCAATCAGGCAATAGAAGGAAATAAATGACATCCAGATAAGAAGAGAGGAAGTTAAACTATCTCTGTTTGCAGACAATATGATTCTATACCTAGAAAACCCCATAGTCTCTGCCCAAAACCTCCAAATCTCGTAAACAACTCAGCAAAGTTTCAGGATATAAAATCAAGGCACAAAAATTAGTAGCACTTCTATACACCAATAATGTCCAAGCTGAGAGCCAAATTAAGAACACAATCTCATTCACCGTAGCCACAAAAAAGTAAAATACCCAGGAATACATCTAACCAAGGAGGTGAAAGATGTCTATAATGAGAATAACAAAACAGTACTGAAAGAAATCAGAGATGACACAAACAAATGGAAAAACATTCCATGGTCATGGATTGGAAGATTCGATACTGTTAAAATGGCCATACTGCGCAAAGCAATTACAGACTTAATGCTATTCCTATCAACTACCAGTGACATTTTTCACAGAATTAGAAAAAACTATTATAAAATTCTTAGGAAACAAAAAAGAGCCTGAATGAAGCTGAAGGCATCATGTTACCCAATTTCAAACTATACTACAAGGCTACAGTAACCAAAACAACATGATACTTATACAAATGCAGACACATAGACAAGTAGAGCAGAATAGCCCAGAAATAATACTGCACACTTACAACCATCTGATCTTTGACAAAGTTGACAAAAAGTTGCCAAAGTTTGAAAAAATAAGCAGTGGCAAAAGGACTTCCTGTTCAATACATGATGTTGGGATACCTGGCTAGATGTATGCAGAAGATTGAAACTGGACCCCTTCCTTTCACGATATACAAAAATCAACTCAAGATAGATTAATGATTTACATGTAAAACTTGAAACTATAGAAGAAACCTAGGAAAATCATTCTGTATATGTGCCTGGGCAAAGATTTCATGATGAAGACACCAAAAGCAATTGCAATGAAACAAAAATTGATAATTGGGACCTAATTAAAGAGCTGCTGCACAGAAAAAAAGGCTATCAACAGAATAAGCAGATAACCTATAGAATTGGAGAAAATATTTGCAAACTGTGTATCCGATAAAAATCTAATATCTGGAATCCATAAGAAACTTAAACAAATTGGCAAGAAAAAAACATCCCCACTAAAAAGTGGGCAAAGGATATGAACAGACACTTCTCCAAAGAAGATATACATTGAGCCAATAACCATATGAAAAAATACTCATCATCACTAATTATTAGAAAAATGCAAATGAAAATCACAATGAGATACCATCTCACACCAGTCAGAATGGCTATTACAAAAAGTTAAAAAATAACAGATGCTAGCAAGGGTATGGAGAAAAGGGGACACACTGCTTGTGGGAATGTAAATTAGTTCAGCCACTGTGGAAAGCACAGTGATTTGGTGATTTCTCAAAGAACTTAGAACTACCATTCAATCCAGCCATCCCATTATTGGGCATATATGCCCAAATTAACATAAATCATTCTACCATAAAGACACATGCATACATATGTTCATCACAGCACTACACAGAATAGCAAAGACATGGAATTAACCTAGATGCCCATCAATGGTAGACTGGATAAAGAAAATGTGGTACATATACAGCATAGAATACTACAAAGCCGTAAGAATGAGATCATGTCCTTTGCAGCAATATGGATGGAGCCGGAGGCCATTATCCTAAGCAAACTAACTCAGGAACAGAAAGTCAAATACTACATGTTTTTGCTTATAAATGAGAGCTAAACATTGACTACACATGGATACAAAGATGGGAACAATAGACACTGGGGCTTACTTGGTGGAGGATGGGAGGATGGAGAGGATCAAAAAACTACCTATTGGATACTAAGCTTATTACCTGGGTAAAAATCTGTATACCAAACCCCCGAGACACGCAATTTATCTATATAACAACCCTGCACATATACCCCTGAACCTAAAATAAAAGTTAGAAAAAATAAATAAGGAACTATCAACTAAGTAAATGAGGAAAAGCTATAAATAGAAAATCGATAGAAAAATTACAGTTGTCATTAAATATATGAATATATGAAAAGATGCTCAGCCCAGCTATTATTCAAAAAAAAGTTATAACAATGATAGGCACTTTTTTTTCTCATCAGGTTTTCAAACCTTAACAATATTGATAGTGAATATTTTCAGTGTTAGCAAGGATATGTAGAATGATGGTGGGAGTGTTATTGCCACAAACTTTTGTAAAGTAATCTAATGGAATTTATTAAAAAATAAAATATGTATAACTTTTAACCCACAGTCTCACATTTTTAAGAAATTTATTTATTTATTTATTTATTTATTTTTATTTCCATAGGTTATTGGGGAACGGGTGGTATTTGGATACATGAGTAAGTTCCTTAGTGGTGATTTGCGAGATTTTGCTGAACCCATCACCTGAGCAGTATACACTGCACACAATTTGTAGTCTTTTATCTCTCACCCCCTTCCTACCCATTCCCCCTGGATCCCCAAAGTCCACTGTGTCATTCTTATGCCTTTGCATCCTCATAGCTTAGCTCCCCCTTATAAGTGAGAGCGTATGATGTTTGGTTTTCCATTACTGAGTTACTTCACTTAGAATAATAGTCTCCAATCTCATGCAGAGCTCTGTGAATGCCATTAATTCATTTTTATGGCTGTAGTATTCCATAGTATACATATATATACAACAGTTTCATTATCCACTTGTTGATTGATGGGCATTTGGGTTGGTTTCATGTTTTTGCAATTGTGAATTGGGCTGCCATGAACATGTGTGTGCAAATACCTTTTTCATGTAATGAGTTCTTTTCCTCTGGGTAGATACCCAGTAGTGGGATTGCTGGATCAAATGGTAGCTCTACTTTAGTTCTTTAAGAAATCTCCACACTGTTTTCCACAGTGGTTGTACTAGTTTACATTCCCACCAGCAGTGTAGAAGTGTTCCCTGTTCACCACATCCACACCAACATCTTATTTTTGATTTTTTGATTATGGCCATTCTTGCAGGAATAAAGTGGTATTGTATTGTGGTTTTGATTTGCATTACCCTGATAATTAGTGATGTTGAGCATTTTTTCATGTTTGTTGGCCATTTGTATATCTTCTTTTGAGAATTGTCTATTCATATCTTTAGCCCACTTATTGATGGGATTGGTTGTTTTTTTTCTTGCTAATTTGATGGTATTGTTTAGTTTTTTTCTTGCTAATTCACTTGAGTTTGTTGTAGATTCTGGATATTAGTCCTTCATCAAATGTATAGATTGTGAAGATTTTCTCCCACTCTGTGGGTTGTCTGTTTACTCTGCTGACTGTACCTTTTGCTGTGCAAAACTCTTTAATTAAGTCCCAGCTATTTATCTTTGTTTTTGTTGCATTTGCTTTTGGGTTCTTGGTCATGAAATCCTTGCCTAAGCCAATGTCTAGAAGGGTTTTTTCAATGATATTTTGTAGAATTTTTATGGTTTCAGGTCTTAGATTTAAGCCCTTGATTCATCTTGAGTTGATTTTTATATAAGGTGAGAGATGAGGATCCAGTTTCATTCTCCTATATGTGGCTTGCCAATTATCCCAGCACCATTTGTTGAGTAGGGTGTCCTTTCCCCATTTTATGTTTCTATTTGCTTTGTCAAATATCAGTTGACTGTAAGTATTTGGCTTTATTTCTGGATTCTCTATATTTTTCCATTGGTCTATGTGCCTATTTTTATACCAGTACCATGCTGTTTTGGTGACTATGGCCTTATAGTATAGCCTGAAATCAAGTAATATGGTGCCTCCAAATTTGTTATTTTTGCTTAGTCTTGCTTTGGCTATATGGGCTCTTTTTTGGTTCCATATAAATTTTAGGATTGTTTTTTCTAGTTCTGTGAAGAATGATAGTGGTATTTTGACGGAAATTGTGTTGAATTTGTAGATTGCTTTTTTGGCAGTATGGTCATTTTTACAATATTGATTCTACCCATCCATGAGCATGGAATGTGTTTCCATTTGTTTGTGTTGTCTGTGATTTCTTTCTGCAGTGTTTTGTAGTTTTCCTTGTCTTTCACCTCCTTCATTAGGTATATTCCTAAGTATTTTATTTTTTTGCAGCTAGTGTAAAAGGTGTTGAGTTCTTGATTTGATTCTCAGCTTGGTTACTGTTGGTGTATAGAAGAGCTACTGATTTGCGTGCATTAATTCTGTATTTAGAAACTTTGCTGAATACTTTTATCATTTCTAGGAGCGTTCTGGAGGAGTCTTTAGGGTTTTCTAGGTAAACAATCCTGTCATCAGCAAACAGTGACAGTTTGACTTCCTCTTTATTGATTTGGATGCCTTTTATTTCTTTCTCTTGTCTGATTGCTCTGGCTAGGATTTCCAGTACTATGTTGAAGAGAAGTGGTAAGAGTGGGCATCCTTGTCTAGCTCCAGTTCTCAGAAGGAATGTTTTCAACTTTTTCCCACTCACTATTATATTGGTTGCGGGTTTTTCTTAGATGGCTTTTATTACATTGAGATATGTCCCTTGTATGCCAATTTTTTTTTTTTTTTAGATGGAGTCTCACTGTGTTGCCCGGGCTGGAGTGCAGTGGTGCGATCTTGGCTCACTGCAAGCTCTGCATTCTGGGTTCACACCATTCTCCTGCCTCAGCCTCCCAAGTAGCTGGGACTAAGGCACCCACCAACATGCCTGGCTAATTTTTTGTATTTTTTAGTAGAGATGGGGTTTCACCGTGTTAGCCAGGATGGTCTCAATCTCCTGACCTTGTGATCTGCCCACCTCAGCCTCCCAAAGTGCTGGGATTACAGGCATGAGCCACTGTGCCCAGCCCCTTCTATGCCAATTTTGCTGAGACTTTTAATCATAAAGCAATGCTGGATTTTGTTTAATGCTTTTTCTGCATCTATTGAGATGATCTTGTGATTTTTGTTTTTAATTCTGTTTATGTGGTGTATCACACTTATTGACTTGCATATGTTAAATCATCCCTGCATCCCTGAAACCCACTGATCATGGTGGATTACCTTTTTGATATGTTGTTGGATTCAGTTAGCTAGTATTTTGTTAAAGATTCTTGCATCTATGTTCATCAGGAATATTGGTCTGTAGTTTTCTTTTTTGGTTATGTCCTTTCCTGGTTTTGGTATTAGGGTGATACTGGCTTCATAGAATGATTTAGGGAGGATTCTCTCTTTCTCTATCTTGTGGAATAGGGTAATAAGATAGATTGCTACCAATTCTTCTTTGAACGTCTGGTAGAATTCTGCCACGAATCTGTCTAGTCCTGGACTTTTTTTGTTGGTAATTTTTTCTGTTACCATTTTATTCTCCATGTTTGTTATTGGTCTATACAGGGTATCTAATTCTTCCTTATTTAAGCTAAGAGGGTTGTGTCTTTCTAGGAATTTATCCATCTCCTCTAGGTTTTCTAGTTTATGCACATAAAAGTGTTCACAGTAACCTTAAATGATCTTTTGTGTTCCTGTGGTGTCAGTTGTAATATCTACTGTTTCATTTCCAGTTGAGCTTATTTGGATTTTCTGTCTTCTTTTCTTGGTTAATCTTTCTAATGGTCTATCAATTTTATTTTTTCAGAGAACCAGCTTTTTGTTTTATTTATCTTTTGTATATTTTTTGTTTCAATTTCATTTATTTTTGCTCTGATCTCGGTTATTTTCTTTCTTCTGCTAGATTTGGGTTTGGTTTGTTCTTGTTTCTCTAGTTCCTTGAAGTGTGACCTTAGAAAGTCAGTTTGTGCTCTTTCAGTCTTTTTGATATAAGTGTTTAGGGCTATGAACTTTCCTCTTAGCACTGCCTTTGCTGTATCCCAGAGGTTTCAATAGGTTGTGTCACTATTTCATTCAGTTCAAAGAATTTTTAAATTTCCATCTTGATTTCATTTTGACCCAGTTATCATTCAGGAGCAGGTTATTTAATTTCCATGTATTTGCATGGTTTTGAAGGTTCCTTTTGGACTTGATTTCCAATTTTATTTCCACTGAGGTCTGAGAGAGTGCTTGATATAATTTCAACTTTCTTAAATCTATTGAGACTTGTTTTGTGGCCTCTCATATTGTCTATCTTGGAGAAATTTCCATGCACTGATGAATAGAATGTATATTCTGCAGTTGTTGAGTAGAATGTGCTGTAAATATCTGTTAAGTCCATTTATTACAGGGTATAGTTTAAATTCATTGTTTGTTGACTTTCTGTCTGATGACCTGTCTAGCACTGTCAGTGGAGTATTGAAGTCCCCCATTATTATTGTGTTGCTGTCTATCTCATTTCTTAGGTCTATTTGTAATCATTTTATAAATTTGGGAGCTCCAGTGTTGGGCACATATATATTTAGGATTGTGATATTTTCCTGTTGGACAAGGCCTTTTATCATTATATAATGTCTCTCTGTCTTTTTTAACTGCTGTTGCTTTAAAGTTTGTTTTGTCTGATATAAGAATAGCTACTCCTGCTCATTTTGGGTGTCTATTTGCATGGAATGTCTTTTTCCACCCCTTTATCTTAAGTTTATGTGAGTCATTATGTGTTAGGTGAGTCTCTTGAAGGCAGCAGATGGTTGGTGAATTCTTATCCATTCTGCAATTCTGTGTCTTTTAAGTGGAGCATTTAGGCCATCTACATTCAATGTTAGTATTGAGTTATGAGGTACCATTCCAGTCATCATGCTATTTGTTGCCTGTATACTTGGTTTTTCATTTTTTTGGTTTTTTTAATTGTATTTTTTATAGGTCCTGTGAGATTTATGCTTTAAAGAGGTTCTGTTTTGATGTTTTTCCAGGATTTGTTTCAAGATTTAGAGCTCCTTTTAGCAGTTCTTGTAGTGCTGGCTTGGTAGTGGTGAATTCTCTCAGCGTTTGTTTGTCTGTATCTGCATTTGTTTGTTTGACTGTATCTGTCCTTCATTTATGAAGCTTAGTTTCACTGGATACAAAATTCTTGGCTGATAATTGTTTTGTTTAAGGAGGCTGAAACTAGGGCCCCAATTCCTTCTAGCTAGTAGGGTTTCTGCTGAGAAATCTGCTGTTAATCTGATAGGTTTTCCTTTATAGGTTACCTGGTTCTTTTGCCTCACAGCTCTTAAGATCCTTTCCTTTGTCTTAACTTTAGATATCCTGATGACAGTGTGCCTACGCGATGATCTTTTTGCAATGAATTTCCCAGGTGTTCATCGAGCTTCTTGTATTTAAATGTCTAGGTCTCTAGTAAGGCTGGTGAAGTTTTCCTCGATTATTCCCCCAAATATGTTATCCAAACTTTTAGATTTCTTTTCTTCCTTAAGAACACCAATTATTCTTAGGTTTGGTCATTTAACATAATCCCAGACTTCTTGGAGGCTTTGTTTATATTTTCTTCTTATTATTATTATTATTTTGTCTTTGTTGGATTGGGTTAATTTGAAAACCTTGTCTTCGAGGTCTGAAGTTCTCCCTTCTGCTTGTTCAATTCTATTGCTGAGATTTTCCAGAGAATTTTGCATTTCTATAAGTGCATCCACTGTTTCCTGAAGTTTCTATTGTTTTTTATTTATGCTATCTATTTCATTAAAAATGTATCCCCTCATTTCTTGTGTTATTTTTTGACTTCCTTAAATTGGGCTTCACCTTTCTCTGGTGCCTCCCTGATTAGCTAAACAACTAACCTTCTGAATTCTTTTTCAGGTAAATCAGGGATTTCGTCTTGGTTTAGATTCATTGCTGGTGAGCTAGTGTGGTTTTTGGGGGCTGCTAAAGAACCTTGTTTTCTCATACTAACAGAGTTGGTTTTCTGGTTCTTTCTCATTTGGGTAGGCTCTGTCAGAGGGAAGGTCTAGGACTCAAGACTGTTGTTCACATTCTTTTGTCCCACAGGGTATTCCCTTAATGTAGTACTCTCCCCCTTTTCCTAGGGATGTGGCTTGCTGAGAGCCAAGCTGTAGAGATTGTTATCTCTTTTCTGAGTCTAGCCAGCCAGGAAGTCTACCAGGCTCCAGGCTGGTACCGGGGGTTGTCTGCACAGAGTCCTGTGTTGTGAACCATCTATGGGTCTCTCAGCCACGGGTAGCAGCAGCTGCTTCAGTGGAAGTGGCAAGGGGATAAAATGGACTCTGTACGGGTCCTTACCTTTCATTGTTTAATGCACTATTTTTGTGCTTGTTGGCCTCCTGCCAGGAGGTAGCACTTTCTTTCTTCCTTTTTTTTTTTTTTTTTTTGAGACGAAGTCTTCCTCTTGTCCCCCAGGCTGGAGTGCAATGGTGCAATCTCAGCTCACTGCAACCTCTGCCTCCCAGGTTCAAGCGATTCTCCTGCCTCAGCCTCCCCAGTAGCTGGGATTACAGGTGCCTGCCATGATGCCTGGCTAATTTTTGTGTTTTTAGTAGAGATGGGGTTTCACCATGTTGGCCAGGCTGATCTCAAACTCCTGGCCTCAGGTGATCTGCCTGCCTTGGCCTCCCAAAGTGCTGGGATTACAGGCGTGAGCCACCTCACCTGGCCCAGGAGGTGGCACTTTCAAGAAAGCATCAGCTGTGGTAGTATGGGGAGGAACAGGCAGTGGGCAGGCCCTAGAACTCCCAAGAGTATATACCCTTCATCTTCAGCTACCAGGGTGGGTAGGGAAGGACCATTAGGTGGGGATGAGGCTAGGCGTGTCTGAGCTCAGACTCTCCTTGGGCGGGTCTTGCTGTGGCTGCTGTGGGGGATAGGAGTATGGTTCCCAGATCAATGGAGTTATGTTCCTAGGAGGATTATGGCTGCCTCTACTGTGTCATGCAGGTTGTCAGGGAAGTGGGGGAAAGCCAGCAGTCACAGGCCTCACCCAGCTCCCACACAACCCAAAGGGCTAGTCTCACTCCCACTGTGTCCCCGCAATAGCACCGGGTCTGTTTCCAGGCAGAGGGTGAGCAGGGCTGAGAACTTGCCCCGGCTACCCATCTCCCAGCTGCAAAAGCAAGTAGGGCTTTCATGCTTCCTCCGCCTATGGAGTCTGCACACTGGATTCACGCCCTTCCCTGAGTTCTGACCAGGAGACTTCTCAATCAGTTCAAATTGTTACAAAGTTGAGCTAGAGGTTTTCTTCTCCCTGTGGCCTTTTCTCAATGCCTCTGTCAGCCCCCAGCAAGGACCCCTGTGAGGCAAGGCAGAAATGGCTTGCTAGGGGACCCAGTGAGCCCACAGTGCTTTTCCTGCTGCTTCCTCTACCCCTGTATTTTGCTCAGCTATCTAAGTTGACTAAGCTCCAGGTAAGGTCACACAACTCATGCAGATCTTCTTTCATGATCTAGACCTTCAGGTTCCCTAGTGAGGGTGTGTGTTTGGGGGTGGATGATCCCCCTTTGCCACTTCCACAGTTTGGACACTCTCAGTATTTCGGCTGTCTCCCCAGTCCTGCAGGAGCAATCCACTTTCTTTAGAGGGTCTGTGGGTTCTCTCGGCTTTCCTGATTTATTCTTGCAGTCATTCTGGAGCAAAAGTTCATGATGTGAGCCTCCACATGCTTCTCTGTCCATCCAAGTAGGAGCTGCAATCTAGTCCTGCCTCCATCTGCCATGTTCTCTGCAAGTCAAAACAATCTATTTAGAGAAAGAAATGCACTAGAGCATAATGATGTATATCCAAGCATAATAATTACTTTTGTAATAGGAATAATAATTGGAAATAGCCTAGGACTTGCTTACTTTGTGATGAGGGTGGGAATTAGTAGGAATTGATTACTATTTGCTGGGACCTGGTTGAAACATGAGCACCTTTGTCTCTCTCTTTTAGAACCTACACTGTGCCCCCAGCATAGCTCTATTATTTGGTTTTCTCCCTGACTACTATTGATAGTTAAGGAAACCAGTGCCAATAAGCTGATGATATATTACTCAGCTCTTTTACAGAGATGAATAATTAAGCCTCCCCATCTCAAGATAATAAGGAGTTAATATGTTAATATACATACATCAGAATTTCTCAAAGGTTGGTGTAAAAATGACATGTATTAGAATAACTCAGGATAATTTAATTTTCATTAAAAGTGAAAAATTCTGGGCTTCATCCCAAACCTATTCAATTAGAATCTCCAAGGATGAGGTGTTACAATCTGTAATTTAACAAACTGCAGGTAATTCTATGTATTCTAAAACTTGAGAACTGATATGAAGGAAAGTCTAGAAAAAAAAATACACCAAAATATGTATGGTGATTGTCTGTGGGTAATGGAAATTCAAAGAACTTTTGCTTTCTTGTGTTTTTCTGTTTTATTTGACATCCTACAATAAGCATGTACTGTCTTTGCAGGGGGAAAAAAGAAACCAAAGTAAAATAGTTTTCCAAAGTAAATAAGCTATAGTCACAAGTCAGTTACATTAGACTATGCTGGTTATATGTTGGTCTTTTCAGTTACAGAACCCTCTGCCTTTTATATTTTTATCACTCAAGAAAGCATATTGACATATAATCCATTGTAGTTGAAAAGTGTTATTAAATAAAAATTTAAACATTATTGATTACATATTTTAGGTTTTCAAACTTGATTCCTCTGATACAACAGAGACTGATGATAATATTTTTGAGGAGATAGAGAAAGTTGTTAAAATTCCAGAAAATCACAGTAAGTGTTACTAAATTCAAGAAAGATTATTAATATAGAAGACAAACTCTCAACCAATATGAGCTATATTTATATGTTTAAACATGTTTTTTGACTGGTAATATTTTGTTCCTGTACCATTTATTTGTTCGTATGTTTATTTAAAATTTGTGTAGTGTTACCACATATTATATTACAATGTATACATATATATATAATTACATTATATAAGCACTATGGCTTAAATAGTCCTTCAGTTTATAAAAGAACCAAGTGGATATTAAAGGTAGAAATAAACAATGATGTGATAAGCACCAGCAGCAATCTACAATTTGCCACTGATATTGCCTCTGAAATGGGACTCCAAACAATTTGTACATTTCCAGGCCAAAGCATACAACCCAAGTAGATTTATCTAAAATGAACTGCACACCTGTAATATGCCAGACACTTTACTATGTGCCAGTGGGACAAAATATGTATATGACCTTGTCAGTCTACTGGAGGAGCACTGACCATTGCTTTCCCCACTCCAGGTTGCACCTCATGTCAACACATCCACCATTAGTACATATATGATCCAGACTTTAAAAGAGATTTCTACTTCTGCTTCTACTTTACTGAATATTTGTGTGTTATTTTGGGGAGAGTACAGTGATTAGGCACCATTGGTTTCCTTCATGGGACTTTGAGGCCATTCCTAGGGCAGGTATTTGTCAGAGCACCTCTTAGCAGTAGTGGCTATATGGATCCTAGCTCTACTCTTGGATTCTTCTGGGATATTTTAATATCTTTTCAGTGGTTATCTATTTTCTGTCTGCATAGTGACCTATTCATACCTCCCCTATCCTGACCAATGGATTTTCTAAAATTGTGGAGCACAGTGGTGGGTGTAGCATGTGTGCTATGGTCTAAAGGTTTGTGTCCCTCCAAAATCCATGTGTTGAAATTCTAACTCCCAAGGTGATGCTATTAGGAGGCAGGGGGCCTTGGGGAGTTGATTAGGTCATGAGGGTAGAGCCCTCATTAATGGCATTAGTGCCCTGAAAAAGGAGCTCAAGAGAAATTCCTCACCCCTTCCACCATGTGAGGACAAAGAATGTGCCCATCTGTCAACCACGAAGATAGCACCCCCAGACAAGGAATCTGCTAGTGCCATGATCTTGGACTTCCAAACCTCCAGAACTGTGAGAAATAAATGTCTATAGTTTATAAGCTACCCAGTCTAAGGCTTTTTGTTACAGCAGCCCAAATGGACTAACACCCTGTGGAAAGAGGAGTAAATGGGTTCCAAATATAGTATACTTTAAACTCTGTTTGATTATTTCTTCAAAGAACATCTGTTTCCCTTTGCTATTCCCCAAGGGCAATATATCTAAAAAATATTCTGGGGTAGAAGGGCAAACTTACAAATCATATTATTATGCAAAAGGTAAAATTATAGCTGTTTCTCCTAAGCAAATTGTAAGGGTTAATTATCTAATTCAACAATCTAAGAATGTCTAAACAATGCTTAAAGCATTATTAAGTATACTGTATAAATATTTATTCATATTCAGTTATACCAGGGACTACATATAAACACATTCACTCTAGTGTTTTCTAGGATATCTTTCCTCTTAGAAAATATGTCCTAAGTAAAATAGAAAATTAGCAAGATTGTAATGAAAGATGACGGACATTAGTCTCAGTTACATTAAAAATATTTTTCTCTCCAGATTTTGATTGGCAGTGGATTATCCTAGATGGCCCAGTGGACACCTTTTGGGTAGAAAATCTGAACTCTGTGCTAGATGATACTAGAACATTGTGCCTAGCAAACAGTGAGAGAATAGCTTTAACTAATAAAATAAGAGTGATTTTTGAAGTGGACAATCTCTCTCAGGCCAGTCCTGCTACTGTCAGCCGATGTGCCATGGTCTATATGGTAAGCTTTCAAAAACAAATGTTTTAACAAAGCAAAAATGTTGTTTATGATAGTAACTATTTATTATTTACAGCATTTTATGTTTATTTTATTTTTACCTTTGTATCCAGCAGCATGAACTCAATAGTTTCAAATCTTTGTGTCTCCCAAAGCCTCATAATCCACAATTGAATGTGAATTTAATTATTACTGTTTTAATACTACTCTTAGTAATTGGAGTGTCAGTATTTTCCACAACTGTGGGTAAACAAATAGACAGGTTAGACTGCTGATGTGAATTATTTTTTCAATAGAGGAAGATGGTCCTGAGGCCTTTTCATACTCACTCTGACTCTTAAGAACTTGGGAAACACACTATGAAGACAGTGGGAGGGAAGTACAAAATATAACATGAAGTTATTAGCTATAGTCTCTATTCTCTATACATGAAGTTATTAGCTATAATTAACCCTATGCTCTAATCTACTTAACTGAATGTTATGAATAAATCTAAGTATAGGGCTGACTTCTGGGTAAGCAGTACCCCTCACCACATACACATAGCCTCAATACACCTTCCTACACATAATACCCCAATTGTTTTCTTGTAAGACCATAGATAGAAGTCACAAATCATTCCAGAGAATGTTAATTCCTTAAGCTACTTTGATCATTTGCCCTTTAATGAATGACAATTCTAAGTCATATTTATGAGAGGGCAGTGGTGAAGTAAAAAGAGAGTAAGATAGTAGAAGGATACCATATTTTTATTTATTTACATAAGATTATATTTTGCTCCTTATTATTAGGATCCTGTTGATCTGGGATGGGAACCTTATGTTAAGTCATGGCTTCTGAAAACTTCTAAAATTATAAGTCAATCAGGAGTGGATTGTCTTGAATTCATGATTAAAAATAGTGTCACAGACGGACTACAATTTATAAGGAATCGTCAGAAATTTCAGCCATATCCTATGGAGGACATAACAGTCGTCATAACCCTCTGCAGAATTCTTGATGCTTTCTTTGACTTCATGGGTAAAAATGGAGGATTTGAACAAAGTGAGTTTTTTTCTCTAAGTCATATCAATGATATATCTTAGCTAGTCAATGCTAATTCATCACCGTCTATTAGATTTTAGAAAATTTTTCAAAGAGCAGGCATTTTTAGTCTATTTGGACCAACAGCAGATATGCACATGGAACAAATTAAAAACCATTTATAGAGGAACATATCAAAAGTAAATTAGTATCATACAAGTGTTGAAGGATCACAGGAAAAATGATTGTAAAGAACCACTAGAGGGTCTCTATTAAAGAAGAATGTTTTCGCGTATTTTAAAGATTCTCTGAGTTAGAAATAGTGAAAAAAGCCTGTTCAGAATTCCAGGTGTAAGTTGTAATCACACAAAGGCGTAATCATGAAAAGTAGTAAAACATATGTAAGGAGGGATAAACAGATTCAGAAAATCATGTAGTATTATAGATAAGATATTGGTATTGTCTCTGAAGTCAGAATCCCTACATTCAAATACTGGTTTTATGCAGTTTTTGGTAAGATGGCAGATTAGCACAGGCTCCCAATTCTCTCTCTGAAACCAGTTTTGGATTCATCAAACCAATATAGAAATCATTATAAATCCCTGAGGTGACGTAAGATGGTTAGATCCCAACAAGAGGAAGCAGCAACACTGAACAACCCTGGACGCCATGAATAGGAGATAAAGTGGAAGAAAATATTTAGGTGTGTACTTTCCCCATCAACTCAACTCTGAATGGGCTATTGTCCATCCTTTGCCAGTTAGTACACCACAGCACAGCTAGGGGCAACAACAAAATGTCCTATTGGCAGGGAAGCCTAACTGGGTTAGGGAGTAGGTAAAAACATATTTTCTCCTACTGCCACCCCCCTTCAAATCTTAAACCAAGATGATTAAAAAAGAGAGACCACACTTAGAACAGTGCCAGAGTGGATACAGATTGTTAACACACAAGTGACCTGCTTTGAAGAGTGACCACACACAAGTGACCTGCTTTGAAGAGTGACCACTCCCTCCCCAGATTCACACTTCTGAATTCATCAGAAGTGTAACCCAGGAAAGTTGCAGTACTGGAAACAAAGCAAAAAGAATCAGTTAAAAAAAAACAACAACTGGAGGTTAGAAGTAAAAAAAAATGTATTAGTTAAAATAACATAATAAATGGGTTGAATGCTGGATTGGTTAGCTGTATAACAGATTAGTGAGAGCCATAACAACAGTCAAGGAACTCTCAGAATGCATCAGGAAGAGCTAAAGAGGTTAAATATTATGTATTTTAAATATACAACAAATATGTTTCTATAATACAGAAATATGTGTATATAGTTGAAAGATGAATAAAAATTGAAAGGTTAACATTCATATAACAGAACCTCCAGAAAGATATAGTAAAAATAAATAGAGGGGAAGAAATGTTTCAGGAAATAATTGCCTAGGAGTTCAGAGAATTAGAGAAAATATGAGACCTAAGATTGAATAGGATCCTGGAGTATTTAAACATGACAAAAAGTAAAAACCCACACCTAGAAATGTTAGATAGATAAATTTTCCTACACCTCTTGGATGTTCTGTTCTTTTTTGTTTGTTTTCTTTATTCTCTTTGTGTTTCTGTTTGGTTGATTTCTATTGACTTGTCCTCCAATTTACTGATTCCTTGCTCTGCTACATGCAGTCTGCTGTAAGCCCATTGAAAGAATTCTCATATTTGATATTGTGGTTTTTATTTCCAGCATTTCCATTGACCTTCTTATAGTTTTCATCTCTCTTCTGGAATTCCCTCTCTGTCCATGAATGATTTCTTCCTTCAACATTAGATCTTTTACATTTTAATCATAGTTTTTTAAAAAAATTCCTGACTGATAATTTCAACATCTGGCCATCTCTGGGTCTGTTCTTTTGACTGCTTTATCTCTTGGCAACATGACTTTTCTTAATCTTTCTTATTTTTATGTCTCATAATTTTTAATTGAATACCAGATATTGTGTATAAAAGAAATTAGAGACTGAGGTATACAGTAGTTATACCTGGAAATGGGCATACTTTTTCTTCTGCCACATTGTTCAGGTAGTGGCACAGTGGGTTGAGTCAATATTGACCTAGATTTGGCTGTTAGTGTTACTATAGTTACCTTCAGTGCACCACAGACTTTAAATTTTCCATGCTCCTGTACCTTTCCTGGCAATAGATTGCTGTTGTTTGTTACTTGGTTCAAGGTTCATGGTGGGAACAGGGGAGATTTACAGGTTCTCATGTTATAGCCTCATTTTAAGGCAGGGTCTGTGCACCTGAGCCTCAGGCATGGTGTTTCTCAGCAAAGAAACAATTTATTGTGAATAGCTACATTCAATATCAATTTATGAATAATACCTAAGATTAAAGAACGATTCTAAGAAATTTCAGAGGATAAAGACAACAATAACAAGAGAAGATGAACGCAAGATTTGTTAATATCAATATGGTTCAAGAAGAAATGAAGTAGTATTTTTAAAGTGTTTTATATTTAGCTAATATATGATTTAAGCATGAGAAGTGCCAGTCTGCAGGTCCCAGCGAGATCAACGCAGAAGGTGGGTGATTTCTGCATTTCCAACTGAGGTACCCAGCTCATCTCAATAGGACTGGTTAGACAGTGAGTGTAGCCCACAAAGGGCGAGCAGAAGCAGGGTGGGGCATCACCTCACAAGGGAAGTACAATGGGTCAGGGAACTCCCTCCCCTAGCCAAGAGAAGTTGTGAGGGACAATGCCATGAGGAACAGTGCATTCTGGCCCAGATACTATGCTTTTCCCATGGTCTTCGCAACCTGCAGACCAGGAGATTCCCTTGGGTGCCTACACCACAAGGGCCTTGGGTTTCAAGCACGAAACTGGGTGGCTATTACGGCAGACACCGAGCTAGCTGCAGGAGTTTTTCTTCGTACCCCAGTGGGGTACTTACTGGCCTGTAATGCCAGTAAGACAGAATCATTCACTGCCCTGGAAAGGAGGCTGAAACCAGAAAGCCACGTGGTCTAGTTCAGCAGATCCCAACCCCAGGGAGCCCAGCAAGCTAAGATCCAATGGCTTGAAATTCTTGCTGCCAGCACAGCAGTATGAAGTTTACCTGGGACTCTCGAGCTTGGTATGGGGAAGGGCATCCACCATTACAGAGGCTTGAATAGGCAGTTTTCCCCTCACTGTGTAAACAAAGGAACTGGGAAGTTCAAACTAGGCAGAGCCCAACACAGCACCGCAAAGCCACTGTATCCAGACTGCCTCTCTAGATTCCTCCTCTCTGGGCAGGGCATTTCTGAAAGAAAGGCAGCAGCCCAAGTCAGGGGCTTATAGATAAAACTCCCATCTGCCTGGGACAGAGCACCTGGGGGAAGGGTTGGCTGCTGCTTCAGCAGACTTAAACATTCCTTCTGCTGTCTCAGAAGAGAGCAGTGGCTCTTCCAGCACAGTGCTCGAGCTCTGCTAAAGGACAGACTGCCTCAAGTGGGTCCCTGACCCCCGAGCCTCCTGACTGGGATAAACCTCCCAGCAGGGGCCAACAAACACCTCATACAGGAGAGCCCCAGCTGGCATCTGGTGGGTGCCCCTGTGGGATGAAGCTTACAGAGGAAGGAGCAGGCAGCAATCTTTGCTGTTCTGCAACCTCCGCTGCTGATACCCAGGCAAACAGGATCTGGAGTGGACCTCTAGCAAACTCCAACAGACCTGCAGCAAAGAGTCCTGACTATTAGAAGGAAAACTAACAAACAGAAAGGAAGAGCATCAACATCAACAGAAAGTAAGTCCACACAGAAGCCTCATCTGAAGGTCACCAGCATCAAAGACCAAAGGTAGATAAATCCATGAAGATGAGGAAAAACCAGCACACCAAGGCTGAAAATTCCAAAAACCAGAATGCCTCTTCTCCTCCAAAGGATTACAATTCCTCGCCAGGAAGGCAACAAAACTGAATGGAGAATGAGTTTGATGAACTGACAGAAGTAGGCTTCAGAAGGTGGGTAATAACAAACTCCTCTGAGCTACAGGAGCATGTTCCAACCCAATGCCAGTAAGCTAAGAACCTTGAAAAATGGTTAGAGGAATTGATAAGTAGACTAACCAGTTTAGAGAAGAAAATAAATGACCTGTTGGAGCTGAAAAACACAGCAAGAGAACTTCATGAAGCATACACATGTATCAATAACTGAATAGATCAATCAGAAGAAAGAATATCAGAGATTAAAGATCAATTTGATGAAATAATGCATTAGGATTAGAGAAAAAAGAATGAAAAGGAATGAACAAAGCCTCCAAGAAATATGGAACTATGTGAAAAGACCAAACCTACATTTGATTGGTGTACCTGAAAGTGGTGGGGAGAATAGAACCAAGCTGGAAAACACTCTTCAAGATATCCAGAAGAACTTCCCCAACCTAGCAAGCCAGGCCAAAATTCAAATTCAAGAAATACAGAGAACAATAAAAAGACTCCTCAAGAAGAGAAACCCCAAGACACATAATTGTCAGATTCACCAAGGTTGAAATGAAAAAAAATCTTAAGGGCAACCAGAGAGAAAGGTTGGGTTACCCACAAAGGGAAGCCCATCAGACTAACAGTATATCTCTCTGCAGAAACCCTACAAGCCAGAAGAGAGTGGGGGCCAATATTCAACATTCTTAAAGGAAAGAATTTTCAACCCAGAATTTATTTATTTATTTATTTATTTATTTATTTATTTATTTATTTTTATTATACTTTAAGTTCTAGGGTACATGTGCACAACGTGCAGGTTTGTTACGTATGTATACATGTGCCTTGTTGGTGTGCTGCACCTGTTAACTCATCATTTACATTAGGTATATCTCCTAATGCTATCCCTCCCCCCTCCCCCCACCCCAAGACAGGCCCCGGTGTGTAATGTTCCCCACCCTGTGTCAAGTGTTCTCATTGTTCAATTCCCACCTATGAGTGAGAACATGTGGTGTCTGGTTTTCTGTCCTTGTGAGAGTTTGCTGAGAATGATGGTTTCCAGCTTCATCCATGTCCCTACAAAGGACATGAACTCATCCTTTTTTATGGCTGCATAGTATTCCATAGTGTATATGTGCCATATTTTCTTAATCCAGTCTATCATTGATGGACATTTGGGTTGGTTCCAACTCTTTGAGATTGTGAATAGTGCCGCAATAAACATACGTGTGCATGTGTCTTTATAGCAACATGATTTATAATCCTTTGGGTATATACCCAGTAATGGGATGGCTGGGTCAAATGATATTTCTAGTTCTAGATCCCTGAGGAATCGCCACACTGTCTTCCACAATGATTGAACTAGTTTACAGTCCCACCAACAGTGTAAAAGTGTTCCTATTTCTCCACATCCTCTCCAGCACCTGTTGTTTCCTGACTTTTTAATGATCACCATTCTAACTGGTGTGAGGTGGTATCTCATTGTGGTTTTGATTTGCATTTCTCTGATGGCCAATGATGATGAGCATTTTTTCATGTGTTTTTTGGCTGCATAAATTTCTTCTTTTGAGAAGTGTCTGTTCATATCGTTTGCCCACTTTTTGACGGGGCTGTTTGATTTTTTTTCTTGTAAATTCGTTTAACTTCTTTGTAGATTCTGGATATCAGCCCTTTGTCAGAAGGGTAGATTGTAAAAATTGTTTCCCATTCTGTAGGTTGCATTTTCACTCTGATGGTAGTTTCTTTTGCTGTGCAGAAGCTCTTTAGTTTAATTAGATCCCATTTGTCAATTTTGGCTTTTGTTGCCATTACTTTTGGTGTTTTAGTCATGAAGTCCTTGCCCATGCCTATGTCCTGAATGGTATTGCCTAGATTTTCTTCTAGAGTTTTTATGGTTTTAGGTCTAACATTTAAGTCTTTGATCCATCTTGAATTAATTTATGTATAAGATGTAAGGAAGTGATCCAGTTTCAACTTTCTACATATGGCTAGCGAGTTTTCCCAGCACCATTTATTAAATAGGGAATCCTTTCCCCATTTCCTGTTTTTGTCAGGTTTGTCAAAGATCAGATGGTTGTAGATGTGTGGTATTATTTCTGGGGGCTCTATTCTGTTCCATTGGTCTATATCTCTGTTTTGGTACCCGTACCATGCTGTTTTGGTTACTGTAGCCTTGTAGTACAGTTTGAAGTCAGAAAGCATGATGCCTCCAGCTTTGTTCTTGGCTTAGGATTGACTTGGCAATGGGGGCTCTTTTTTGGTTCCATATGAACTTTGAAGTAGTTTTATCCAATTCTGTGAAGAAAGTGATTGGTAGCTTGAAGAGGATGGCATTGAATCTATAAATTACCTTGGGCAGTATGGCCATTTTCACAATGTTGATTCTTCCTTTCCATGAGCATGAGATGTTCTTCCATTTGTTTGTGTCCTCTTTTATTTCGTTGAGCAGTGGTTTCTAATTCTCCTTGAAGAGGTCCTTCACATCCCTTGTAAGTTGGATTCCTAGGTATTTTATTGTCTTTGAAGCAATTGTGAATGAGAGTTTACTCATGATTTGGCTCTCTGTTTGTCTGTTACTGGGGTATAGGAATGCTTGTGATTTTTGCATATTGATTTTGTATTGTGAGACTTTGCTGAAGTTGCATATCAGCTTAAGGAGATTTTGGGCTGAGACGATGGGGTTTTCTAGATATACACTCATGTCATCTGCAAACAGGGATAATTTGACTTCCTCTTTTCCTAATTGAATACCCTTTATTTCTTTCTCTTGCCTGATTGCCCTGGTCAGAACTTCCAACACTATGTTGAATAGGAGTGGTGACAGAGGGTATCCCTGTCTTGTGCCAGTTTTCAAAGGGAATGCTTCCAGTTTTTGCCCATTGAGTATGATATTGGCTATGGGTTTGTCATAAATAACTCTTATTATTTTGAGATACATCCCGTCAATACCTAGTTTATTGAGAGTGTTTAGCATGAAGAGCTGTTGAATTTTTTCGAAGGCCTTTTCTGTATCTATTGAGATAATCATGTGGTTTTTGTCTTTGGTTCTGTTTATATGATGGATTACGTTTGTTGATTTGCATATGTTGAACCAGCCTTGCATCCCAGGGATGAAGCCCACTTGATCATAGTGGATAAGCTTTTTGATGTGCTGCTGGATTCGGTTTGCCAGTATTTTATTGAGGATTTTTGCATCGATGTTCATCAAGGATATTGGTCTAAAATTCTCTTTTTTGGTTGTGTCTCTGCCCAGCTTTGGTATCAGGATGATGCTGGCCTCATAAAATGAATTAGGGAGGATTCCCTCTTTTTCTACTGATTGGAATAGTTCAGAAGGAATGGTACCAGCTCCTCCTTGTACCTCTGGTAGAATTCAGCTGTGAATCCATCTGCTGCTAGACTTTTTTTGGTTGGTAGGCTATTAACTATTGCCTCAATTTCAGAGTCTGTTATTGATGTATTCAGGGATTTTACTTCTTCCTGGTTTAGTCTTGGGAAGGTGTATGTGTCCAGGAATTTATTCATTTCTTCTAGATTTTCTAGTTTATTTGCATAGAGGTGTTTATAGTATTCTCTGATGGTAGTTTGTATTTCTGTGGGATTGGTGGTGATATCCCCTTTGTCATTTTTTATTGCATCTATTTTATTCTTATCTCTTTTATTCTTTATTAGTCTTGCTAGCAGTCTATCAATTTTGTTGATCTTTTCAAAAAACCAGCTCCTGGATTCATTGATTTTTTGAAGGGTTTTTTGTGTCTCTATCTCCTTCAGTTCTGCTCTGATCTTAGTTATTTCTTGCCTTCTGCTAGCTTTTGAATGTGATTGCTCTTGCTTCTCTAGTTCTTTTAATTGTGATGTTAGGGTGTCAATTTTAGATCCTTCCTGCTTTCTCTTGTGGTCATTTAGTACTATAAATTTCCCTCTACACACTGCTTTAAATGTGTTCCAGAGATTCTGGTATGTTGAGTCTTTGTTCTCATTGGTTTCAAAGAACATCTTTATTTCTGCCTTCATTTCGTTATATACCTAGTAGTCATTCAGGAGCAGGTTGTTCAGTTTCCATGTAGTTGAGCAGTTTTAGTGAGTTTGTTAATCCTGAGTTGTAATTTGATTTCACTGTGGTCTGAGAGGTAGTTCGTTATAATTTCTGTTCTTTTACATTTGCTGAGGACTGCTTTACTTCCAACTATGTGGTAAATTTTGGAATAAATGCGATGTGGTGCTGAGAAGAATGTATATTCTGTTGATTTGGGGTGGAGAGTTCTGTAGATTTCTATGAGGCCTGCTTGGTGCAGAGCTGAGTTCAATTCCTGGATATCTTTGTTAACTTTCTGTCTCGTTGATCTGTCTAATGTTGACAGTGGGGTGTTAAAGTTTCCCAGTATTATTCTATGGGAGTCTAAGTCTCTAAGAACTTGCTTTATGAATCTGGGTGCTCTTGTATTGGGTGCATATATATTTAGGATAGTTAGCTCTTCTTGTTGAATTGATCCCTTTACCATTATGTGATGGCCTTCTTTGTCTCTTTTGATCTTTGTTGATTTAAAGTCTGTTTTATTAGAGACTAGGATTGCAACCCTGCCTTTTTTTAACTTTCCGTTTGCTTGGTAGATCTTTCTCCATCCCTTTATTTTGAGCCTGTATGTGTCTCTGCACATGAGATGGGTATCCTGAATACAGCACTCTGATGGGTCTTGACTCTTTATCCAATTTGCCAGTCTCTGTCTTTTAATTCAAGCATTTAGCCCATTTGCATTTAAGATTAATATTGTTATGTGTGAATTTGATCCTGTCATTATGATGTTAGCTAGTTATTTTGCTCGTTAGTTGATGCAGTTTCTTCCTAGCCTCAATGGTCATTACAATTTGGCATGTTTTTGCAGTGGCTAGTACTGATTGTTCCTTTCCATGTTTAGTGCTTCCTTCAGGAGCTCTTGTAAGGCAGGCCTGACGGTGACAAAATGTCTCAGCATTTGCTTGTCTGTAAAGGATTTTATTTCTCCTTCACTTACGAAGCTTAGTTTGGCTGGATATGAAATTCTGGGTTGAAAATTCTTTCCTTTAAGAATGTTGAATATTGGCTCCCACTCTCTTCTGGCTTGTAGAGTTTCTGCCAAGAGATCCACTGTTAGTCTGATGGGCTTCCCTTTGTGGGTAACCCAACCTTTCTCTCTGGCTGCCCTTAATGTTTTTTCCTTCATTTCAACTTTGGTGAATCTGACAGTATGTGTCTTGGAGTTGCTCTTCTCGAGGAGTATCTTTGTGGCATTCTCTGTATTTCCTGAATTTGAATGTTGGCCTGCCTTGCTAGGTTGTGGAAGTTCTCCTGGATAATATCTTGCAGAGTGTTTTCCACCTTGGTTCCATTCTCCCAGTCACTTTCTGGTACACCAATCAGACGTAGATTTGGTCTTTTCACATAATCCCATATTTCGTGGAGGTTTTGTTCATTTCTTTTTACTCTTTTTTCTCTAAACTTCTCTTCTCACTTCATTTCATTCATTTGATCTTCAATCAGTTATACCCTTTCTTCCACTTGATCAAATTGGCTACTGAAGCTTGTGCATCTGTCATGTAGTTCTTGTGCCATGGTTTTCAGCTCCATCAGGTCATTTAATGACTTCTCTACACTGTTTATTCTAGTTAGCCATTCGTCTAATCTTTTTTCAAGGTTTTTAGCTTCTTTGCAATGGGTTCGAACATCCTCCAATAGCTCAGAGAAGTTTGTTATTACTGATCATCTGATGCCTTCTTCTATCAACTCATCAAAGTCATTCTCCATCCAGCTTTGTTCCGTTGCTGTAGAGGAGCTTCATTCCTTTGGAGGAGAAGAGGCGCTCTGATTTTTAGAATTTTCAGCTTTTCTGCTCTGGTTTCTCCCCTCGTTTGTGGTTTTATCTACCTTTGGTCTTTGATGATGGTGATGTACAGATGGGGTTTTGGTGTGGATGTCCTTTCTGTTTGTTAGTTTTCCTTCTAACAGTCAGGACCCTCAACTGCAGGTCTGTTGGAGTTTGCTGGAAGTCCACTCCAGACACTGTTTGCCTGGGTATCACCAGCGGAGGCTGCAGAACAGCAAATATTGCAGAACAGCAAATGTTGCTGTGTGATCCTTCTTCTGGCAGCTTCATCTCAGAGGTGCACTGCCCTGCGAGGTGTCAGTTGACCCCTACTGGGAGGTGTCTCCCAGTTAGGCTCCTCAGGCATCAGGGACTCACTTGAGGAGGCAGTCTGTCTGTTCTCAGATCTCAAACTCCATGCTGGGAGAAGCACTACTCTCTTCAAAGCTGTTAGACAGGGACGTTTAAGTCTGCAGAAGTTTCTGCTGCCTTTTTTTCAGCTATGCCCTGCCCCCAGAGGTGGAATCTGCAGAGGCAGGCAGGCCTCCTTGAGCTGCGGTGGGCTCCACCCAATTGGAGCTTCCAGGCCGCTTTGTTTACCTTTTCAAGCCTCAGCAATGGTGGACGCCCCTCCCCCAGCCTCACTGCCACCTTGCAGTTCGATCTCAGACTGCTGTGCTGGCATTGTGTGAGGCTCCATGGGTGTGGGACCCTCCGAGCCAGGCGCTGGATATAATCTCCTGGTGTGCCATTTGCTAAGGCCGTTGCAGAAGCGCAGTATTAGGGTAGGAGTGTCCCGATTTTCCAGGTACCGTCTGTCACGGCTTCCCTTTGCTAGGAAAGGGAATTCCCTGATCCCTTGGGCTTCCCGGGTGAGGCAATGCCCCACCCTGCTCCATGGGCTGCACCTACTGTCTGCCAAGCCCCAGTGAGATGAACCTGGTACCTCAGTTGGACTTGCAGAAATCACCCGTCTTCTGCATTGCTCACACTTGGAGCTGCAGACTATAGCTGTTCCTATTTGTCCATCTTGGAACCTCCTAGTCCCAACCCAGAATTTAATATCCAGCCAAACTAAGCTTCATAAGCAAAGGAGAAACAAAATCCTTTATAGACAAGCAAATGCTGAGAGATTTGGTCATCACCAGGCCTGCCTTACAAGAGCTCCTGAAGGAAGCACTAAATATGGAAAGGGAAAACTAGTACCAGCCACTCCAAAAACATACCAAATTGTAAAGATCATCAACACTATGAAGAAACTAATCAACTAGTGGGTAAAATAACCAGCTAGCATTATAATGACAGGGTCAAATTTACACATAACAATATTAACCTTAAATGTAAATGGGCTAAATGCCCCAGTTGAAAGACACAGACTGGCTCATTGGATAAAGAGTCAAGACCCATCAGTGTGCTGTATTCAGGAGACCCATCTCATGTACAAAGACACACATAGGCTCAAAATAAAGGGATAGAAGAAGATCTACCAAGCAAATGGAAACCAAAAAAAAAAAAAGCAGGGGTTGCAATCCTTGTCTCTGGTAAAACAGACTTTTAACCAACAAAGCTCCAAAGAGACAAAGAAGGGCATTACATAATGGTAAAGGGATCAATGCAACAAGAAGAGCTAACAATCCTAAATATGTATGCATCCAATACAGGAGAATACAAGATTCATAAAGCAAGTTCTTAGAGACCGACAAACAGACTTAGACTCCCACACAATAATAATGGGAGACTTTAACACCCCACAGTCAATATTAGATCAACAAGACAGAAAATTCACAAGGATATCCAGGACTTGAACTCAGCTCTGGACCAAGTAGGCCTAATACACATCTACAGAACTCTCCACCCTAAATCTACAGAATATACATTCTTCTCAGCACCACATCACACTTTTTCTAAAATTGACCACATAATTTGAAGTAATGCACTCCTCAGCAAATGCAAAAAATGGAAATCATAACAGTCTCTCAGACCACAGTGCAATCAAGTTAGAACTCAGGATTAACGAACTCACTCAAAACCACACAACTACATGGAAACTGAACAACCTGCTTCTGAACGACTACTGGGTAAATAACGAAATTATTAGCTAGGTAAATAACAGAAATGACTAAGTTTTTAAAATGAATGAGAACAAAGACACAGCCTACCAGAATCACTGGGACACAGCTAAAGCAGTGTTTAGAGGGAAATGTATATCACTAAATGCCCACGTCAGAAAGCAGGAAAGATCTAAAATCAACACCCTAACATTACAATTAAAAGAACTAGAGAAGCAAGAGCAAACAAATTCAAAGGCTATCAGAAGACAAGAAATAACTAAGATCAGAGCAGAACTGAAGGAAATAGAGACAGGAGAAACCCTTCAAAAAAATCAGTGAATCCAGGAGCTGGTTTAAAAAAAAAAAAATAGACAGCTAGCCAGAATAATATAGAAGAAAAGAGACAAGAATCAAATAGACACAATAAAAAATGATAAAGGAGAGATCACCACTGATCCCACAGTAATACAAGCTACCATCAGAGAATACTATAAACACCTCTATGCAAATAAACTAGAAAATCTAAAAGAAATGGATAAATTCCTGGAGACATACGCTCTTCCAAGACTAAACCAGGAAGAAGTTGAATCCCTGAATAGACCAATAAAAAGTTCTGAAATTGAGACAGTAATCCATAGCCTACCAACCAAAAAAAGCCCAGGACCAGACAGATTAACATCTGAATTCTACCAGAGGTACAAAGAGGAGCTAGAACCATTTTTTTCTGAAATTATTCCAAACAATAGAAAATAGGGACTCCTCTATAACTCATTTTATGAAGCCAGCATCATCCTGGTACCAAAACCTGGCAGAGATGCAGAAAAAAAGAAAATTTCAGGCCAGTATCCCTGATGAACATCAATGTGAAAATCCTCAATAAAATACTGGCAAACTGAATCCACCAGCACATCAGAAAGCTTATCTACAATGATCAAGTCAGCTTCATCTCTGGGATGCAAGGCTGGTTCAACATATGCAAATCAATAAACATAATACATCACATAAGCAGAACCAATGTCGAAAATCATGTGATTATCTCAATAGATGCAGAAAAGGCCTTCGATATAATTCAACACACCTTTATGCTAAAAACACTCAATAAACTAGATATTGATAGAACATATCTCAAAATAATAAGAGCTATTTATGACAAACCCACAGCCAATGTCATACTGAATGAGCAAAAGCTGGAAGCATTCCCCTTGAAAACTGGCACAAGACAAGAATGCCCAGTCTCACCACTCCTAATCAACATAGTATTGGAAGTTCTGGCCTGGGCAATCAGGCAAGAGAAAGAAATAAACTGTATTCAAATAGGAAGAGAGGATGTCAAATTGCCTCTGTTCGCAAATGACATGATTGTACATTTAGAAAACCCATTGTCTCAGCCCTAAAACTCTTAAGCTGATAAGCAACTTCAGCAAAGTCTCAGGATACAAAATCAACGTGCAAAAATCACAAGCATTCTTCTACACCAATAATAGACAAACAGCCAAATCATGAGTGAACTCTTATTGACAATTGCTACAAAGAAAATAAAATACCTAGGAATACAACTTACAAGGGATGTGATGGACCTCTTCAAGGAGAACTACACACCACTGCTCAAGGAAATAAGAGAGGATATAAACAAATGGAAAAATATTCCATGCTCATGGATAGGAAGAATCAATATCGTGAAAATGGCCATACTGCCCAAAATAATTTATAGATTCAATGCTATTCCCATCAAGCTACAATTGATTTTCTTCACAGAATTAGAAAAAAACTACTTTAAATTTCACATGAAACCAAAAATGAGCCTGTATAGCCAAGAGAGTCCTAAGCAAAAAGAGCAAAGCTGGAGGCATCACACTGCCTTACTTCAAACTGTACTACAAGGCTTACAGTAACAAAAACAGCATGGTACTGGTACCAAAACAGATATATAGACCAATGGGACAGAACAGAAGCCTCAGAAATAACACCACACATCTACAACCAGCTGATCTTCGAGAAACTTGACAAAAACAAGCAATGGGGAAAGGATTCTCTATTTAATAAATGATGTTGGGAAAACTGGCTACACATATGCAGAAAACTGAAACTGGACCCATACCTTACACCTTATACAAAAATTAACTCAAGATGGATTAAAAACTTAAACGTCAGACCTAAAAAACATAAAAAACCCTAGAAGAAAACCTAAGCAATACCATTCAGGACATAGGCATGGGCAAAGACTTCACAACTAAGACACCAAAAGCAATGGCAACAAAAGCCAAAATTGACAAATAGTATCTAATTAAACCAAAGACCTTCTGCACAGCAAAAGAAACTATCATCAGAGTCAACAGGCAACCTACAGATTGGGAGAAAACATTTGCAATCTGTGCCTCTGACAAAGGGCTAATATCCAGAATCCACAAGGAACTTAAACAAATTTACAAGAAAAAGAAAACCATCAAAAAGCAGGTAAAGGATATGAACAGACACTTTTGAAAAGAAGACATTTATGCAGCCAACAAACATGAAAAAAAGCTCATCTTCACTGGTCATTAGAAAAATGCAAATCAAAACCACAATGAGATACCATCTCATGCCAGTTAGAATAGTGACCACTAAAAAGTCAGGAAACAACAGATGCTGTGTAGGAGATCAGTCAGGGTGATGGGAGAAATTATAAGGAAAGATGCAAACCTTCTTGGAAGGCCAGGAGGTTTTGCAAAGCTTCAGGGAAGAATGAACTGAAGGCAGCTGTTCTTACCCAGGGTCAAAGGGCATAGGTATAAAGGAATGTAGAGGAGTTACTCTAAATAGGTTGTTTACTGATGTTGTCCTAAAACAGACCTTTGATCGTTTGCACACAGGACTGCTCTCAATTCAGGGGGTCAACTATGTTTATTACCCACAAATTGTGTTTGCTCCAAGCCTTTGTCATTAAATCTGTACTGAAAAAATGCAATTATTGCCAGCTTATCGGGGCTCACTCTCTCGGCTACTGGACTCTTTTTGGTGGTGCTGAGCTGTGTGGTCCCCTAGCCACGCTGTCAGGCAACCTGTGTCAGCATACTTCTTTCATCTGTCACTCAGCCAGAGTTTGCAGGACAGACTTGGCAGGTGGTGCCTCGTGTGAGGAACACTGCAATGGATCATGTTGGAACCCTCAAAAATGAAGGTAAAGAGACTGCGCTGTCAGTAAGTCAGTAAGTCATTGGTGCCCGCTTGGGATATCCAAGTTTGAGGGAATTGTTCAGGCTTTCATCATGGGACAACAGTTATCAGCTCAACAGCAACAGTATATAAATGTACTGAAACAGCTGTGTCTGGAGTTGGTTTCTTCCAGTGGGTTCATGGTCTCGCTGACTTCAAGAATGAAGCCGTGGACCTTCACAGTAAGTGTTACAGCCCTTAAAGGTGGCACGGACCCAAAGAGTGACCAGCAGCAAGATTTATTTTGAAGAGTGAAAGCTTCCACAACATGGAAGGGGACCCAAGAGGGTTGCCGCTGCTGGCTGGGGTTGCCAGCTTTTATTCCCTTATTTGTCCCTGCCCATGTCCTGCTGATTGGTCCATTTTACAGAGTGCTGATTGGTCCATGTTACAAACCTCTAGCTAGCCACAGAGCACTGATTGGTGCATTTTTACAGAACACTGGTGCATTTTACAAACCTCTAACTAGCCACAGAAAAGTTCTTCAAGCCCCCACCCGACCCAGAAATCCAGCTGGCTTTGCCTCTCACAGCCGCTTAAAGCTGGCGGATCCTCGGTTTTGCAGGCTCAATTAAGGGACCTAATGCAAACTGTTGTGTCCCATAACCCATGGTTCCCAGAAGAGGGTACACTAGACATAGAGCTCTGGGAACAAGTGGGGAGAAATTTTAAACAAGATCATGCACAAGGGCAATGGGTCCCAGTAACATCTCTGATATTATGGGCTTTACTTAGGGCTGCTTTGCTCAATTCTACACAGAAGAGCCTAAAAAGGGAAGGGAGGAGGAATCATCACCTACCTTACCACCTCCTCCTTCTCCTTCAGCCCAGCCATTACCAGGCAAAAATAACAAAGAGAAAACAGAGGTTTTGCCTGAGCCCCCTCCTCCTGTAAATTGGAAAAAAGAAAAGGGATACACTACAGCTATGGGACCCTGTCTTAGGCAAGCGACATTAGAAGGGGAGCTCTTAGCCTGCCCGGTAATGCAAGATCGACAAAACAATCAGGTATACAAACCCATTTCTTTTGACACTTATAAAGAGATAAGAAAAAGCATTAAAGAAAATGGAGCCACTAGCCCATTTACCAAAGGGTTAATTGAGGTCACTTTGCAGACCTCTTTCTAGTAATGGCCACTGTTATTCCTCCTCTACCCCTGATGTAGCTCTCTCAAAATCCTATTTGGGTAGACCAGTGACCTTTAAAGGGAGACAAGTTACAAAGAGCCCATGAATTAGTTGAGGAGTAATTAAAAGTCGGCCATATAGAACCATCAAACACCCCTTGGAATTCGCCCATTTTTGTCATTCCCAAAAGATCTGGCAAATGGAGACTTTTGCATGATTTACAGGCTATCAATGCTAATTTGCAACCTATGGGGCCTCTTTAACAGGGCCTCCCTTCCCCCATGGCGATTCCTGAAGATTGGCCTCTAGTCGTTATTGACTTAAAGGACGACTTCTATACTATTCCCCTTGCAGAACAAGACAGAGAAAAATTTGCATTTACCACACCAGCTGTCAATAATGCAAGGCCAGCTCACCAACTTCATTGGAAAGTGCTTTCTCAAGGGATGCTGAACAGTCCTACTATGTGTCAGTATCATGTAAATCAGGCTTTGCTCCCAAGTAGAAAAGAATTTCCTAATTGCAAGATTATTCATTTTATGGATGATATTTTACTAGCAGCCCCAACAGAGCCAGCACTTTTAAGTTTATATGCTTCCATTCTAAAGAATACACAGTTAAGAGGTTTAATCATAGCACCTGAAAAAGTACAATTTTCCTCCCCTTGGAAATATCTTGGATACATACTAACTTCCTGGTCAGTAAGATCTCAAAAGGTTAAATTAAATACTAGCAACTTACACACTTTAAATGATTATCAGACATTACTGGGTGATATTAATTGGCTTTACCCCACCTTGGGCATAACTACTGATAAGTTACGAATCCTGTTTCCTATCCTAAAGGGCAATACAGCCCTAGACTCTCCCACATATTTAACTCCTGCAGCAAAAAGGGAAATTGAGGAAATAGAGCAAGCTATTTCTCAGAGGCAACTAGATTGCATAGACCCGCAATATTCAGTTCAATTGTTTGTTTTCCCTACTAAGCATTCCCCACCAGGATTAGTAGGACAGATAGCCCCCAGGCTGCACTTTCTAAAATGGGTTTTTTTACTCACATACCAGGACTAAAACATTATCTCCCTATATCCAGCTAGTTAGTAAAGTCATCTATACAGGCCACAGATGATGCAGTCAGTTGCTAGGTTATGACCCTGATGTCATCAGAATTCTTTGAGTAAAAGACAATTCAAAGCATATTGCCCCTATCTCTAGATTTTCAGATAGCACTCTCTGATTATGCAGGCCATATAAAACATGCCCTTCCTGCTGAGAAACTAATTCAGTTCTTATCTCATACTCCTGTAGTTGTGCCTACAAAAGTAGTTCACTCCCCCATACCTAACGCTTCTGGTAAAAATAGAAAAGCAGCTATTTGGTGGAGACTGCATAATTTCCTCACTCATTCTGGATTTACTGGCACTCAGAGAGCCGAGGTTGGAGCCTTAATATTGGCCCTGGAGGCCTATTCTGCTTAGCCCATCAATATTGTTAGTGACTGTGCTTACTGTATTTATTGCAGAACCTTGAAACAGCCCTCATTAAGTCCACTCTCAAGCCCACTCTGTGTGCACTTTTTCTTTGACTTCAGCAATTGCTGGGTCAACGTACACGTCCTATTTTTATCACACATATTGGACCCCACAGCTCACTGCTTGGCCCATTGGCTTATGGCAATGATCAAGCAGACCTGCAAGTTACGACATCACTGCTTGACCAAACCACCCAATCACATCTATTTTTCCACCAAAATTGGAGAAATGTACCTAAACAATTTCAACTTACCCAGAGACTAGCTAAACAAATTATCCTGCAATTCCCAGATTGCCAGCTCACAGACACGTTCCCTCCTTCAACAGGTGTTAACCCTAGAGGACTAGAACCTAATTAGTTATGGCAAACAGATGTTAAACACATCCCTGAATTTGGAAAACTAACATATGTACATGTATTCATTGATACCAATTCTCACTTAATTAGTTATCATGCTCTTCCTGGAGAGTCCACCCAATATGTTATTAAACATCTTCTTTTAACTTTTGTGTTTATGGGGTGGCCCACAAAAATTAAAACTGATAATTGTCCAGCTTATGCCAGCTCACAATTTCAACAATTCTGTCCCACATAGAACATCCAACATTCCACAGGCATCCCATATAGTACCCAAGGACAGGCCATAGTAGAACGTGTCCATTCCATTCTTAAAAATATGCTCAGAAAAAAAAGGAGGGGAATATGAGTAAAAACCCTTCAACACTACTAGCACAAGTCTTGTTTACCCTTAATTTTTAAAATTTAGATGATAAATTTCAATCAACCATAAAAAAGCATTTTACTAAAGCCCCTCAAAACATAAAACTTGTGGTTTTATGGAAAGATGTAAATATTAATGTATGGTGTGGTCCAAATGAGTTGCTAACATGGGGAAGAGGATATGCTGTGTTCACACCCCCTCAGGTCCTCTTTGGATTCCAGCACAATGCATAAAACCATCCATGGCATGCTAGGACCCAACCCAGTACCAGAAATGAAGGAAATGTCCCTACAGGACCCGCAGTCCCAGACGATGCAGCTTCCTCAGACAACACAATCCCCAGACATTACCTGTGGGATGCTGAAGACAGCTCAGGAGGCTGAGTGAATCCTGCTCTGGACACAGACACCATTCACTCCAGATAATTTGTTCCTTGATATACTTTCTGTTGTACATTGCAACTCTCATAGGGTAATAAACCTTCTTATTCTCTCACTCTGCCTGCAACCCGCAACTGTTACTCTATGGGCTTATCTCTTAGATCTGCCTTTCTTCCCCTCTGTTACTTGGGCAGACACCTCCTTCCCAGCCTCTAATAACATAACTGCTTGGCTAGGAGGGATTGACTTACCCCCAGTGGGGTCTCTCATTAATGGCACACATTGGACTAAGGTGCCAGGTAACACTATATATCGCTCCACTATCCTCCCGCTGTGTGTAAGTTATAAAAGTTCTAACCTTTATTGTGTGCCCGCCCAAACACAATTATGGCTACATCATGGCAAAGGAAATGCCTTAACATTCTTGGTTGCAGGTAGCCTCAAACCAGGCAACACTACCAATGCCACCTTCCCAAACATTCCTCCCTGTGCTAAAGAACAAAGCCGGAAAAGTAATGGATTCCACTTTAGTTGGGAGGTCTGTCACGGAGGACAAGCCCGTAGCCTCCAGTTAGGCAATTATAACATCTTAGACTGGAGCCACCATGGCCATTTTGAAGGGGGCCTGCCCCTCCACACCTGTGGGTATTTCTTGCAAGGTGGAGATGAGAGACTGAGAAAAGAAATAAGACAGAGACAAAGTATAGAGGAAGAAAAGTGGGCCCAGGGGACCGGCGCTCAGCAAGTGAGGACCTGCACTGGCACTGGTCTCTGAGTTCCCTCAGTATTTATTGATCATTATCTCTACTATTCTGGCAAGGGGGATGTGGCAGAACTATAGGGTCATGGTGGGGAGAGGGTTAGCAGGAAAACATGTGAGCAAAGGACTCTTTGTCATAAATAAGTTTAAGGAAAGGTGCTGTGACTTGATGTGCATGTAGGCCAGATTTATGTTTGACTTTACACAAACATCTCAATGCAGTAAAGAGCAGTATTTCTGCCAGCATGTCTCACCTCCAGTCATAAGGTGGTTTTCTCCTATCTCAGTAAATAGAATGTACAATTGGGTTTTACACCGAGACATTTCATTCCCAGGGATGAGCAGGAGACAGATGCCTTCCTCTTATCTCAACTGCAAAGAGGCCTTCCTCTTTCACTAATCCTCCTCAGCACAGACCCTTTACGGGTGTCAGGCTGGGGGATGATCAGGTCTTTCCCTTCCCATGAGGCCATATCTCAGGCTGTCTCAGTAGGGGGAAACCTTGGACAATACCCAGGCTTTCTTGGGCAGAGGTCCCTGTGGCCTTCCGCAGTGCATTGTGTCCCTGGGTACTTGAGAATGGAGAATGGCGATGACTTTTACCAAGCATACTGCCTGCAAACACAATTTTAACAAAGCACATCCTGCACAGCCCTAAATCCATTAAACCTTGAGTCAATACAACACATGTTTCTGCGAGCACAGGGTTGGGGCTAGGTTTACAGATTAACAGCATCTCAAGGCAGAAAAATTTTTCTTAGTACAGATCAAAATGAAGTTTCTTATGCCTGTCTTTTTCTACATAGACACAGTAACAGTCTGATCTCTCTTTCTTTCCCCCACACATTTGCAGGGTTACCATACTGATGTCCACATCCATTGTGGCATCAATCAGTTTCATAGTCACATCCCATTCCCCTGTGATTTGGGCCAATGGGGAGAGGAGATATCCCAGACCCCAAGTAAAGTCCATGCCACCCCAAGACACTTTATGGTGCCTAGGACATCTTAGCACCTCCCTTAACACCTGGCATGGGACATATCGTAATTCCAGTAACAATTATATTACGAACGTTATTCATAATCACACAGATCAGTGCCTGATTTGCACTACCCATCCATATGTTTTCCTTATGGGAGCTAATATTTCCATTACACCCCAAAACTCCAAGTTTGTGACCTGAGTGCAGGGACAGGCTTGGTTCACCTCATGTATCACTAATTACAGTATATCTAGTTAAAATATTACTAGTGTCATGGTATTAAGGAGAAAATCTGAGGCATTCCTACCAGTCAATTTGACACATGATTGGCAAGGTTCCTCTGCCCTTGCCATCTTAGAATGTGCCCTGTCCTAGGTGAGACCCAAAAGATTCATGGGCACACTTATAGCCTTTAAAATCTCAGCCATAGTCATCTTGGCAACTGCTATTGTTGCTGTGGCCTGTATTACTGAATCAGTACAAATAGCTACCTTTATAGATAACTTGGCCAAAAATGTGTCTAATGAATTCTCTTACAGCAGGGTATAGATCAAAAGATTCTTGCATGCCTGCAAGCCCTTGAAGCTGCCTTGGAATATGTAGGGGAGCAACAAGATGCACTGGCATTCTGACAGCAACTAAACTGTGACTGGGAGCATAAGCATATCTGTGTCACCTCTCTATCTTGGAATCAATCAATATGTAGTTGGGATGAGGTGAAACAACACCTCTGGGGAAACTGATAATTTAACAGCAGACGTAAGGCAACTTAAACTAAAATTCTAGAATCCCTAATCGCCGTAGATCTACATGCCCAACAAACAGCCACATGGAATGATGTGCAAGGACATCTCTCCTGGATAGACCCCCCACTCCTGGGGGGGGTCACTTCTTGATTGGAAAAGAATGATACTGATTATACTCATTTTTGTCTTATGTTATTTACTAATTCTAGGATGCAAAGCTGGAATACGAGTTATAACCACTGCGCCTGACAAACCTGTTGCTGCATGCGTCTGTACTCTTCAATCAACAAAACCTGATGCAAAAAACAGAAAAGGGGGAGATGTAGGAGATTGGTCAGGATTGTGGGAGAAATTATAGGAAAAGATGCAAACCTTCTTGGAAGGCCGGGGGTTTTGCAAAGCTTCAGGGAAGAATGAGCTGAAGGCAGCTGTTCTTACCCAGGGGCAAAGGGCGTAGATACAAAGGAATGTAGAGGAGTTTATCTAAATAGCTTGTTTACTCATGTTGTCCTAAAACCGGCCTTTGATCTTTCGTGTGCAGGACTGCTCTCTACTCAGCGGGGTTGACAATGTTTATTATCACAAATTGTGTTTGCTCCAAGCCTTTGTCATTAAATCTGTACTAAATAAATATGAGTGTAGCCGGCTTATCAGGGCTGCACTCTCTTGGCTGCTGGACTCTCATCTGCAGTGCTGAGCCATGTGGTTCCCTAGCTGTGCAGTCAGGCAAAATACCCGTGTCCACATACTTCTTTCATCCGTCGCTCAACCAGAGTCTTTGGGACAGACTCAGCAATGCTGGAGAGGATGTGGAGAAATAGGAATGCTTTTACACTGTTGGTGGGAGTGTAAATTAGTTCAACCATTCTGGAAGACAGTGTGGTGACTCCTCAAGGATCTAGAACCAGAAATACCATTTGACTCAACAATCCCATTACTGGGTATATACCCAAAGGATTATAAATCATTCTACTATAAAGAAACATGCATATGTATGTTTATTGTAGCACTAGTCACAATAGCAAAGACTTGGAACCAACCCAAATGCCCATCAATGGTGGACTGGATAAAGAAAATATGGCACATATACACCATGGAATACTATGCAGCCATAAAAAAGAATGAGTTCATGTCCTTTGCAGGGACATGGATTAAGCTGGAAACCATCATTCTCAGCAAACTAACACAGGAACAGAAAACCAGACACCACATGTTCTCACTCATAAGCTGGAGTTGAACAATGAGAACATATGGGCACAAGGGGGGAACATCATACACTGGGGCCTGTCAGGGGTGGGGGTCAAGGGGAGGGATAGCACTAGGAGAAATACCTAATGTCAATGATGGGTTGATGGATGCAGCACACCACCATGGTACATGTATACCTATGTAACAAACCTGCACATTCTGCACATGTATCCCAGAACTTAAAGTATAATAAAAAATAAAAATGTATATATTTTTTCATCTTTGGTAGTAGCAGAAGGGGAAGAACACTTAAAGGATCTGCAGAATAAGGGATGCTGAAGTGGGTGATAAAAAATTGATTGAACTTATCTTGGTGAGCTATTTGACATTATATGCTAAAAATATCCATATACTCTGGTCTACTATCCTTTATTCTAGGAATTTATTATAAATAAATAATCAGAGAAGCATAGAAAGATTTATGCACAAGGAGGTGCATTCATAGCAGAATTACTTATAATCATAAAACAACAATTATTTGAATCCCAACAATGGATGAATGGCTTAATAAATTATGATGCAACAAAATCATTTTTCAAAAGATTATTAATAACAAAGAGACAGGCCTAAAAAGCAGAATCAGCACTCAACTCTGTTTTTAGTTTTCTATTTAGGTTCAAATTTTAAAATATTATGTTTTTATATAATCTATATCTTTATATAAAAACCCACAAAGAAATGCATCAACATATTACTAGTTGTTATATTTAGGTGGTGGAATTATGGGTGACTGTTTTCTTCTGTACACTAAAAGAAGCATTTTTTTAATATTAAGAAAACAAATATAAAAATAAGCTACAAGGAAGAATGAATAATTACTCTTTGTGTTTCTCTGTGGAATGAATTAGTTGGACAAAAAAGGTGGGTAATGGGAGTGAGAGGGGGATGACTACAATCTGCCTAACATGCCCCAGCTGAATGTTTGTTTTAATAAATTTGTTACTTGAAAGCATGCAGCTTCTTTTTTTATTGCCCCACTTTATGAGGGCCGATTTATTGTTTAGCTTGTAATGAGTACCATATTTGGTCGTAGTCACTTGAATGTTTCAAAGTTTACATTTTGGAACAATCAGTCTTATTTTAAAAAGGATAGAATAGAATAAAGAATGAATGTATGCAGCTTTATGCTTCAAATAAATAAAAATCAGTTCTGACAATGTAAGAACATTCTCTGCTCCTCTAATTCCCACTTTGTTTTGATAAGTTAATTCTCAGATACTGTATGTTAAATAAAGATATTCTATGATAATTCACTAACTAAACAATGTTAAAGGTTAAACCTCATTAGTTTACCAGATAAATTTTAGGTCTGTTGTTAATTATGGAAAAATACTCTTTCCTTTTTAAGGTGATGATTTGAATGACACGTCATCTAAGGAGGCAAATTCCCAAAGAGAGTCTGTCACATTCAAGGATATAGAAAAGAGGTCAGTTACATTCCTTCAGAAAACATGTTTTAATAACCATTAGGTGCCAGACCCTCAAATATGCACAGGATTACTTCTCAATAAATCAATACTTTTGTATTTTCATAGTATCAGAATCCACTTAAATTTATTTTATTCCAACTTAGAGTTCTTTGTATAGCTAATATAAGATCACCAGATTTATGCTGCATTTTGAAGTAATATGCATTATAGGAATACATTTGTCCAGCCTCTATACATACTTGAGAAAGGAATAAAATTGAAATGAATTTATTGCATGAATCTGCCATTTATGAACTGTGAGATGTTCAGTTAGTTGCTAAATGTTTTTAAGCTTTAATTTTTTTCATTTATAAAACTGGAATAATAATGTGATATGTTAGGTATCCAGAATAGAGCCTAGCACATAGTAAGAGCAATGTAAATTATTAGTTGTACATCTATTCAGCCATTTTGTAGGATAGAAGAGTCACTGTTGGGCATCTTATTATGAGTCCTTAAAACATTCATGTCACATTTGCTTTCGAATGATAAAACATTCACTTGTGGTTTCTACTCTGCCTGTCAGTTCTGCCTTAAAATCCACTCACTTATCTACGTCTTGATTATGGCATTCTAACCCAAACCTCCATCATTTCTTGCCTATACTGTTTGTAATAGCTTCCTAATTGGTTTCCCCAATTTTTTCCTGCTCATTCTCAATGTAACAACAAGAAATTAAATTTTTATTAAATAGTGAATAGCCAAAAAGAGCATTTATAAAATATGTATAAGATATAAATAACAATACCATAATCACTCATATATATACCAGTCAGCCATAGAAAAAGCATATTATTTTATTTTTGAAGTCCTCTGTATTCTCTCCTAGATCTCAGGGTATCCTATCATCTGAGATAACTACTATTCTGGATTTTGTACTTATTAATATGTTTCAAAATAATATTTTTTAGCTTTGTGTGTTTTTAACTTTAAATAAATGAAATCATCCTGTATGATCTTCTGCCACTTGCATCTTTTGTTCAACATTACATGTTTAGTTCATTGTGCATATAGCTATTCTTATTTCTTTTCACTGCTACCTACTAGTCCATTGTCATTATATATATAAACTGTGATATATATATATACACACACACACACACACACGTGTATCACAGGTTATTTATCGATTGGTAAACATTTAGATTTTCAATTTTGTTATTAACAATAGTAATATGATTAATGTGCTTGTACATGTCTCTTGGTACTTATATGCAATAGTCAATCTTTTTAAAACATAATTTAAAATATTTATTTTCTCTTTTGTAGTGATTTAAGACTTCCCATTACTCTCAAAGTGGAAGAAAAAAAATCTTGGTACAGCCTAAAAATGTCCTGCCTACCTTTCCAGATTCATCTCCTAATCTCTTGCTCTGATTGTGCTTCAGTGACACTTGCTTTTTCTTCAGTTTCTCAAACAAGCCATGATCCTTTGACCTTATGGTCTTGGCACACGTATTCCTTCTGCCCAAGATGTTCTTTCTCCTGTATTTTGCCAAATATCACCGATTCTTTGGTCTCAATTAAATGGTTACTTCTTCAAAGATACCTTCCCTGACTCCCACATCTAAACTAGTTATCCCTACTATTATTCTTCATGCAGTGCTTGATTCTTATTTTAAGTTCAGGGGTACATGCACAGGATGTGCAGGTTTGTTACATAGGTAAATGTGTGCCATGGTGGTTTGCTGCACAGATCATGCCATCACCTAGGTATTAAGCCCAGCATTCATTAGCTATTTTTCCTGATGCCCTTCCTCCCCTGACCACCACCCCAACAGTCCCCAGTGTGTGTTGTTCCCCTGCCCATGTGTCCATGTGTTCTCATCCTTCAGCTCCAACTTATAAGTGAGAACATGTAGTGTTTGGTTTTCTGTTCCTGCATTAGTTTGCTGAGGATAAGGGCTTCCAGCTCCAACCATGTCCCTGCAAAGGACATGATCTCATTCCTTTTTATGGCTGCATAGTATTCCATGGTGTATATGTACCACATTTTCTCTATCCAGTCTATCATTGATGGGCATTTAGGTTGATTCCATATCTTTGCTATTGTGAATTGTGCTGCAGTGAACATATGTGTGCGTGTACCTTTATAATAGAATGATTTATATTCTTCTGGGTATATACCCAGTAATGGGATTGCTGGGTCAAATGGTATTTCTGCCTCTAGGTCTTTGAGGAATCACTACACAGTCTTCCACAATGGTTGAACTAATTTACACTCCCACCAACAGTGTAAAAGCATTCCTTTTTCTTTGCAACCTTGACAGCATCTGTTGTTTTTTGACTTTTTAATAATCACCATTCTGACTGGCATGTGATGGTAGCTCGTTGTGGTTTTGATTTGCATGTCTCTAATGATCAGTGATGTTGAGCTTTCTTTCATGTTTGTTGGCCACTTTTAAGAAGTATCTGTTCATGTCTTTTGCCCATTTTTTAATGTTTTTTTTTCTCCTAAATCAGCCTAACTTCCTTGTAGACTCTGGATATTAGACCTTTGTCAGATGGATAGACTGCAAAAATTTTCTCCCATTCTGTAGGTTGTCTGTTCACTCTAATGATAGCTTATTTTGCTGTGCAGATGCTCTTTAGTTTGATTAGATCCCATTTGTCAATTTTTGCTTTAGTTGCAATTGCGTTTCAAATTTTTGTCATAAAATTTTTGCCCGTGCCTATATTCTGAATGGTATTTGCCTAGATTTTCTTCTAGGGTTTTTATAGTTTTTGGTTTTACATTTAAGTCTTTAATCTATCTTGAGTTAATTTTTGTATAACGTGTAAGGAAGGGGTCCAGTTTCAGTTTTCTGCATATGGCTAGCCAATTCTCCCAGCACCATTTATTAAATAGGGAATCCTTTCCCCATTGCTTGTTTTTGTCACATTTGTCAAAGATCAGATGGTTGTAGATGTACAATCTTATTTCTGAGTTCTCTATTCCATTCCATTGGTCTCTGTGTCTGTTTTTGTGCCAGTACCTTGTTGTTTTGGTTACTGTAGCCTTGTAGTATAGTTTGAAGTTGGGCAGTGTGATGCTACCCAGGCTGGAGTGCAGTGGCAGGATCTCGGCTCACTGCAAGCTCCACCTCCCAGGTTCACACCATTCTCCTGCCTCAGCCTCCCAAGTAGCTGGGATTACAGGCATCTGCCACCGCACCTGGCTAATTTTTTGTATTTTTAGTAGAGATGTGGTTTCACCATGTTAGCCAGGATGGTCTCCATCTCCTGACCTCATGATCCGCCCACCTCAGCCTCCCAAAGTGCTGGGATTACAGGCGTGAGCCACTGTGCCTGGCCAGCTTTGTTCTTTTTTCATAGGATTGGTTTGGCTATTCAGGCTCTTTTTTGGTTCCATATGAATTTTAAAGTATTTTTTTCTAGTTCTGTGAAGAATGTCGATGGTAGTTTAATAGGAATAGCATTGAATCTCTAAATTGCTTTGGGCAGTATGGTCCTTTTCACAATATTGATTCTTCTTATCCATGAGCATAGAATGTTGTTCCATTTGTTTGTGTCCTCTCTGATTTCCTTGAGCAGTGGTTTGTAGTTCTCCTTGAATAGGTCCTTCACTTCCCTTGTTAGCTGTATTCCTAGGTATTTTGTTCTTTTTGTAGCTATTGTGAACAGGAGTTTATTCATGATTTGGCTCTCTGCTTGCCTGTTGTTGGTGTATAAGAATGCTAGTGACTTTTGCACATTGATTTTGTATTCTCAGACTTTGCTGAAGTTACTTATCAACTTAAGAAGCTTTTGGGCTGAGATGATGGGGTTTTCTAGATATAGGATCATGTCATCTACAAAAAAGATAATTTGACTTCTTCTCTTCCTATATGAATACACTTTATTTCTTTCTCTTGCCTAATTGCCCTGGCCTGAACTTCCAATACTATGTTGAATAGGAGTGGTGAAAGACAGCATCCTTCTCTTGTGCCAGTTTTCAAGAAGAATCCCTCCAGCTTTTGCCCATTCAGTATGATATTGGCTGTGGGTTTGTTATATATGGTTCTTATTATTTTGAGGTTCCTTCAATACCTAGTTTATTGAGAGTTTTAAACATGAAAGGATGTTGAATTATATCAAAAGCCTTTTCTGCATCTATTGAGATAATCATGTGATTTTTGTCTTTAGTTCTGTTTATGCGATGAATTACATTTATTGATTTGCATATTTTGAACCAACCTTACATCCCAGGGATGAAGCCAGCTTGATTATGGTGGATAAGCTTTTTGATGTACTGCTGGATTTGGTTTGCCAGTATTTTTTTTTAAGGATTTTTGCCCTGATGTTCATTAGGGATGGCTTGAAGTTTTCTTTTTTGTTATATCTCTGCCAAGTTTTGGTATCAGAATAATGATGGCCTCAGGAAAGGAGTTAGGGAGGAGTCCCTCATTTTCAATTGTTTGTAATAGTTTCATTAGAAATGGTACCAGATCTTCTTTGTACCTCTAGTAGAATTCAGCTGTGAATCTGCCTGGTCCTGGGCTTTTTTGGTTGGTAGGCTATTTATTAATGCCTCGATTTCAGAACTCATTATTGGCCTATTCAAGGATTTGATTTCTTCCTTGTTCAGTCTTGGGAGGCTGTATGTGTCCAGGAATCTATCCATTTCTTCTAGATTTTCTAGTTTATGTTCATAGAGGTGTTTGTAGTATTCTCCAATGGTTGGTTGTATTTCTATGGAGTCATTGATGATATTCCCCTTATCATTTCTGATTGTGGCTATTTGATTCTTATGTTTTCTTTTTTATTAGTCTAAGCAGTCTATCTATTTTATTAATTTTTTTCAAAAAATCAGCTGCTGCATTCATTGATTTTTGAAGGATTTTTCATGTCTCTATCTCCTTCAGTTCAGCTCTGATCTTGGTTATTTCTTTTCTTCTAGCTTTGGGGTTTGTTTGCTCTTGATTCTCTAGTTCTTTTAGTTGTGATGGTAGTGTGTTGAGATCTTTCTAGCTTTTTGATGTGGGCATTTAGTGCTATAAACATCCCTCTTACCACCACTTTAGCTGCATCCCAGAGATTCTGGTACATTATCTGTTTGTTTGCATTAGTTTCAAAGACCTTCTTGATTTCTGCCTTAATTTCATTATTTACCCAAGAGTCATTGAGGAGCACGTTGTTCAATTTACAGGTAGTTGTGTGGTTTTGAGTGAATTTCTTAATCTTGAGCTCTAATTTGATTGTGCTGTCATCTGAGAGACTGTTATGATTTCAGTTCTCTCACATTGGCTGAGGAGTGTTTTACTTCTGATTATGTGATCAATTTTAGAGTAAGCACCATGTGGTAATGAGAAGAATGTATGTTGTGTTGTTTTTGGGTGAAGAGTTCTGTAGATATCTACCAGGTCCACTTAATCCAGAGCTGAGTTCACATCCTGAATATCTTTGTTAATTTTCTGTCTCAATGATCTGTCTAATATTGTCAGTGGGGGTGTTATCTGGGTGCTCCTGTATTGGGTGCACATATATTTAGGATAGTTAGCTCTTCTTGTCAAATTGAACCCTATACCTGTGAAGAATGTCAATGGTAGTTTAATAGGAATAGCATTGATCTATAAATTGCTTTGGGCAGCATGGTCATTTTCACAATATTGATTCTTCTTATCTATCAGCATAGAAGGTTTTTCCATTTGTTTGTGTCCACTCTGATTTCCTTGAGCAGTGGTTTGTAGTTCCCTTTGAAGAGGTCCTTCTTCACTTTCCTTTTGTGATTTCATAATCATATGTAATCATATACATAATCATATGTAATGCCCTTCTTTGTCTTTTTTTATCTTTGTTGGTTTAAAATCTGTTTTGTCAGAAACTAGGATTGCTACCCCACTTTTTTTGTTTGTTTGTTTTCCATTTGCTTGGTAAATTTTCTCCCATCCCTTTATTTTCAGCCTATGTGTGTCTTTGCACATGAGATGAGTTTCTTGAAGGCAGCATACCAATGGGTCTTGTGTGAATTTAATCCTGTCATCATAATGCTATCTGGTTATTTTGCAGACTTCTTTATGTGGTTGTTTCATAGTGTCACTGGCCTGTGTACTTCAGTGCATTTTTATGGAGGCTCATAAAGGATTTTTTTTTTCTAGATTTAGTGCTTCCTTCAGGAGTTCTTGCAAGGCAGGCCTGCTGGTGATGAATAACCTCAGCATTTGCTTGTCTGAAAAAGATATTATTTCTCCTTTGCCTATGAAGCTTAGTTTGACTGGATATGAAATTCTAGGTTGTAAACTCTAGGAATGTTGAATATTGGCCCCCAATGTCTTCTGGCTTATAGGGCTTTCTCTGAGAAGTCTACTGTTAGTCTGATGTGCTTCACTTTGTAGGTGACCTGGCCTTTCTCTCTGGCTGCCCTTAACATTTTTTCTTTCATTTCAACCTTGGAGAATCTGATGTTTATGTCTTGGGGTTGATTTTTTCGTGGAGCATCTTACTGGGTTTCTCTGCATTTCCTGAATTTGAAGGTTGGCCTGTCTTGCTAGGTTGGGGAACTTCTCCTGGATGATATCCTGAAGTATGTTTTCCAACTTGGTTCCATTCTCCCCATCTCTTTCAAGAACCCCAATCAGTCATAGGTTCGGTATCCTTACATAATCCCATAATTCTCAGTGGTTTTTGTTCATTTCATTTCATTCTTTTTCGCCTGTCTTATTCTTGTCTGCCTGTCTTATTTCAGAAAGATAGTCTTCAAGCTCTGAGATTCTCTCCTCCACTTGGTCTATTCTGCTATTGATACTTGTGATTGCATTGAGAAATTCTAGTATTGTGTTTTCTGGCTTTATCAGGTTGGTTATGTTCCTCTCTAAACTGGCTATTCTGGTTATCAGCTCCTGTATTTTTTTGTATGATTCTTAGCTTCTTTGCATTGGGTTACAACATGCTCCTTTAAGTCAGCAAAGTTCATTATTACCCACATTCTGAAGCTTACTTCTGTTAATTCAGCCATCTCATCCTCAGCCTAGTTTTGTGCCTTTGCTGGAGAGGTGTTTCAGTCAGTTGGAGAAGAGGCACTCTGGCTTTTGAGTTTTCAGCATTTTTGCATTGATTCTTTCTCATCTTTGTGGGCTTATCTATCTTAAATCTTTGATCTTGCTGACCTTCGAGTGGGGTTTTTGTGGGGTATTTTTGTTGATGTTATTCTTGTCGTTTTCTGTCTCTTTTTCTTTTAGAGTCAGACCACTTTTCCATAGGGCAGCTGCAGTTTATTGGAGGTCCACTTCAGACCCTACTTGCCTCAGTTTTTTCCTTACCTGGAGGTATTACCAGTGAAGGATTTGAAACAGCAAAGATGGTAGCCTACTCCTTCCTGTGGAAGCTCTGTCCCAAGGGGATACTGACCTGTTTCCGGCCTGAACGCTCCTATAGGAGGTGTCTGGAGACGCCTGTTGGGAGGTCTCACCCAGTCAAGAGGAACAGGATCAGGAACTCCCTTAAAGAAGCAGTCTGGCTGCTTCTTGGTAGAGCAGGTGTGCTGCATTGGGAGTGGCCCTTTCTTTCCCAGACCACCTGGACTCTCCATAGCTGGCAGGCTGGAACAGCTGAGTCAATCAAACCACAGAGACAGCAGCCAGCCCCACCTCCAGGAGCTCCATCCCAGGGAGAGATCAGAGTTCTGTCCAAATAACCCTGGGGGGAGGGGCTGAAACCTCTGCATGGAGGCCACACCCAGTGAAGACGAATGAATTGGGGGTCCCTCTTAAAGAAGCAGTCTGGCCACAATCTGGCAAAGCAGCTGTACTGTGTTGTGGGGAACCCCTCCTTGTCCTGACCACCTGGACTCTCCAGAGCCAGCAGGCTGGAACAACTGAGTCAACCAAGAGATGGAAGCTGCCCTGCCCCCTGGGAATTTGGTCCCATCTCACACAGCCTCCAGCCTATTGCCAGTGGCTGGCTGGAATTCCAAGTCAGTGGGTCTTAACTCGTGAGGTGCCTTGGAAGTGGGGCCCAGAGAACGATGCTGTTTGGCTCCCTGGATCCAGCCCTTTTCCTATCAGAAATTATGGATAGATCTCCTGTCTTTCTGAGATTCCTGGGGCCAGAGTACTTAAAACTCCTAGGTCTCTGTGTGTGCCTGAGTGGCTGCTCTGCCAAGATTCCCCACAGCTCTGTGTGTGGGACCCAAGCCCCTGGTGGCATGGGCTCACGGGGGATCTCCTGATCTGTGGGTTGCAAAGATCCATGGAAGAAGCAGTGAGGGAGTGTGCAACCCCACACTTGGCTGGGGTTCCCTTGGCTGGGGGTGGAAGGGGGTTCCTTTGGCTATGTGCCACTCGCAGGTGGACCATCACCCGACTCTGCTTTTCTTCATTCTCCATGGGTCGAGTTGTTTGCCTAGTCAGTCCCAGTGAGAGAAACTGGATATTTCAGTTGAAGGTGCTGACTTCTCTCGCTGCTTTCATTCCTCTTTGTGAGTGCCAAGGGTGGCCGCTGCTTCTAATCAGCCATCTTGGCCCCTTGACAGACTTTTTTCTTTACACTTATCATTGTTTAGCATTAATTTTCCTGTTCTGTAAAAAAGGGATCATATCTGTTTTGTTCAGAAAAATCAATACATAATAACCACTCAAATATTTGCTAAGTGAACTATTACATATAGCTAGAAATTTCAGATAGAATTGTACAAATGAACTGTACATTAATGATTGCTAATAAATTCCAGTTTAGTGACATATTTTAGGTTTTTCACAATTTATAAATAGTTTTATGGTAATACTAAATTCTGAACTATATGAAATGTCTTTAAATCAGGCTCAAATCTCATGTTCAGCCCCATCACCATCACCATAGAATTTCATGATCCTACCAACCATGGGTGATCTGGGTTAATCCAGAGTGGAGAAGACTCTCTCCAGATTCAGACTGCCTGGCTTTAGCCAGGTTAAACTAAATCAACCTCTACGACTTGGTTGAGACAAATACAGGGTGAATGACTATTCACTTATGTCTTTCCACATAAAATTAAGAATTATAATTTCCTTTTCCAAAATACAGATAAACTGTCAGCTAATGAACTGACCTAAAATAAAAATGAAACATTTTTATGTAAATTAAAATATATACATATATTAAGCATATATATGTATATTAAATAACATACTAAACATATATTAAAGTATATTATAAATAAAAGCATATATATGTTAAATAAAAACATATTAAAAGTATATTTGAAATAAAGTTTGACTACACAAGTTTTATACATATGGTACTTTAAAAAAATAGTAATTGTATCATTTACATGACAATTATCAAAGGAAAAAATTTACATAAACTCTGAAACTTTTATGTTAGTACCTAACTGCATTACAATTTTTAATAATGAAACTTTAACATTATATTAAAGTAAATTTCTATTCTTAAACTGCTTTCTAAAAATGTTAACCTTCATCCTTCCATACCTGTCTACCCCAGGGATGAAAATACATGGTATCCAGAGAAAAATCCTGATAAATTAACAAAAATTATTCAAAAGCTTTTTGTGTTTGCCTTTACTTGGGCATTTGGAGGAGCTTTAAACCGTGAAGATGAACACAGAGAAAATATACCATTTTGTCCCAGTCTTGAACCTGATTCTCTTGCAAAAGTAACATACGATTTTGACAAACTTGTTCATGAATTATTTGGAAACAGTTCACAAGTAGGTAAGTTCTGTGGGAAAAATCATAACTATACTTATTTTAAAATATTAATTTAAAGCAATGCTTGGCTTATAATGATTAGGTTCATCTTTTAAAATGTTAAGATTGAAGGAAAAAGAAGGTTTATAATATACCCAATACCCTCATTATAGTGAAAGAAGCTGAAGAAAATTACATTCCTGTTTGGTTTTAGGTGCTACGAAAACCTATAATGCCAGTAAGGCAGAAGATAAAGCCATAAAACTATCAATTCAGTTACTCTGAGCTCATCTGCTGTGTTTCTGGATCTGTATTATCCATATCGCCATGTAGCAAGAAGTTCTGTAGGATCATAATATTATAGTCTTATATTTCTTTTTTTTAAAAAAATCCAAATTATTTTATAAAGCCTTAGATTTCCTTAGTACTTGTGCTTTTTGAATCGGTTCTAACAAATGGAATCCATCCTATTACTTTGAAACAGTAAACATTTGCAATTAGCTGTTGTTGACTAAAAGAACTTTGAGTAGGTAAAGTGATTGTTGATGCAGGTACCAAAAAGAGACAAAATATTAAGCATAAATATATTTAGAAGAACTTTGTTAAATAAAGATGAATGCTAACAACATTATACCAAAAATACAAATCCTACTGATTTGTCTGATGTACTTGTTTGAGGTTACAGTCATACATTGCTGAACAACTGGGATGTGTTCTGAGAAATGTGCTGTTGGGGGATTTTTTTCATGGTGTGAATGTCAAAGAGTGAACTTACACAAATCTAGATAGTGTAGCCTACTACACACCTAGGCTATATGGCATAACCTATTGCTCTAAGGCTACAAATATGTACAGCATGTTACTCTACTGAATACTGTAGGCAATTGTAACAAACTAGTATTTGTGCATCTAAACATATCTAACCATAGAAAAGGTACAGTAAAAATTCAGTATAAAAGATTTAAAATATGGTACACCTGAATAGGGCACTTACCATGAATGGAACTTGCAGGACTGGAAGTTGTTCTGAGTTAGTGGAGAGTGACTGTGAAGGCCTCAGACATTACTGTACATTACTGTAGACTTTATAAATACTGTACACTTAGGCTACACTAAATTTATTTGTAAATTTTTCTTTCTTCAGGCTGTGTGCAGTAGCCCATGCCTGTAATCCCAGCACTTTGGGAGGCCAAGGCAGGAGGATTGCTTGAGCCAGGAGTTCAAGACTAGCTTGGGCAACATAGTGAGACCCATCCATCTCTAAAAACAAATGAGTGAATAAATAAAAAGCCAGGCATGGTTGTATGCTCCTGTAGTTTCAGCTACTTGGAAGGCTGAGGTGAGAGGATCGCTTGAGCCCAAGAGTTGGAGGCTGCAGTGAGCCATGATTGTGCTCCTGTACTCCAGCCTGGGAAACAGATTAAGACCCAGCCTCAAAAAAAAAATTTTTTTTCTTCAATAATAACCTTAGCTTACTATAATTTTTTTTACTTTATAAAATTTTAATTTTTTTCACTTTTGACTCCTTTGAAACAACACTTAGCTTAAAGCAAAAACACATTGTGTAAAAATATTTTCTTGATATCTTTATTCTGTTTTTATATTTTATTTTATTTCTTTACTTTTTGAACTTTTTTGTTAAAAACTAAGACACAAACACACACATTAGCCTAGGCCTACGTGGGGTCAAGTTCATCAATATCACTGTCTTCCACCTCCATATATTGTCCCACTGGAAGTTCTTCAGGGCAATAATACACACAGAGCTGTCATCTCCTAGGACAACAATGCCTTCTTCTGGAATACCACATGAAGGACCTGCCTGAAGCTGTTTTACAGTTAATTTTATATATAAATAGAAGGAGTGCACTCTAAAATAATGATAAAAAGTATATTGTAAATACATAAACCAGTAACGTAGTCATTTATCATCATTATCAAAGATTATGTACTGTAGATAATTGTATATGCAACTGGCACCCCAGTAGGTTTGTTTACACCAGCATCACCACAAAGATAATTAGTGCATTGTGCTATGACATTATGACAGCTACGATGTTACGATGACTATGATGTCACTAGGTGATAGGAATTTTTCAGCTCCATTATAATCTTATGGTAACATCATTATATATCCAGTCCATGATTGTTAAAACATCATTGTGTGGCACATTACTGTATTTGTTAAAAGTTCTATTTAAGACATCTGGATGGCAAAGATTCTATGTTATTTCCTGTGGAAATTAACCTTTAATCCAAAAGCATTGCGTGTTAATTTGTTGTTGAAATGAATGATTCAACTCCATCCTCTAACTCCTATAGATAAATAAATTGCCTTAATTTATTTGTTAGGCAGAAATACCTAGAACTGTGTTTGCTCTTCCTGTAAACTAAAAGGCAAGTTAATAAATTATTCATTATATTTGAATGCTTATCTTAAAACAATGAATATGAAATTTTGCTTTGTCATCTGAAATATCAGTATAAAACTAGGTTAGAATAGGAGGGTAAAAAGGGAAGGAAAGGCAAGTAGAAGCAATTATAGAACTATAAAACCACCAAAGTAGAAATGAGGAAAAAGAAAAAAAGGGGGAGAGCCAAAAAAAATTATAATTACATTGCAAGAAAAAATTGTAAAACACATAAAGAAAACCTAATCTGTTAAGGAAATATACCACCAAAATGGCCCATCATATGAATTCATCTCAGGGAAAATTATTATGACCTAACACAGATTTGAATGTAAGTGTTTAGGGTCCTAAAAAGATAAATGAATGGCATCCATTTTTAATAAATGATGAATTACGGAACAACATGTAGAAATTTTAAAAGAACATATAGCTATGAAAAAGAATGAAATAGACATCTGGAAATGAAAAATTTTGTTATTTACAAAGAGGAGCTGGTACTAAGACAAAGAAAGTCTTATCAGCTTAAGGAGTTTTTGGGCTGAGACGATGGGGTTTTCTAAATATACAATCATGTCATCTGCAAACAGGACAATTTGACATCTTCTCTTCCTATCTTCATACCCTTTATTTCTTTCTCCTGCCTGATTGCCCTGGCCAGAATTTCCAATATTATGTTAAATAGGAGTGGTGAAGAGGGCATTCTTGCATTGTGCCGGTTTTCAAAGGGAATGTTTCCAGCTTTTGCCCAGTCAGTATGATATTGGCTATGGGTTTGTCATAAATAGCTCTTATTATTTTGAGATGTGTTCAATCAATACCTAGTTTATTGAGTGTTTTTTAACATGAAAGAGTGTTGAATTTATCGAAGGCCTTTTCTGCATCTATTGAGATAATCATATGTTTTTTGTTACTGGTTCTGTTTATGTGATGGATTACGTTTATTGATTATTGATTTGTGTATGGTGAACCAGCCTTGCATCCCAGGGATGAAGCCAACTTGATTGTCATGGGTAAGATTTTTAATGTGCTGCTGGATTCATTTTGCCAGTATTTTATTGAGGATTTTTCATCGATGTTCATCAGGGATATTGGCCTGAAATTTTCTTTTTTTGTTGTGTCTCTGCCAGGTTTTGGCATCAGGATGATGCTGGCCTCATAAAATGAGCTAGCAAGGAGTCCCTCTTTTTCTAGTGTTTGGAATAGTTTCAGAAGGAATAGTACCAGCTCCTCTTTGTACCTCTGGTAGAATTTGGATGTGAATCCATCTGGTCCTGGGCTTTTTTTGGTTGGTAGGTTATTAATTATTGCCTCAATTTCAGAACTTGTTATTGGTCTATTCAGGGATTCATCTTCTTCCTGGTTTAGTCTTGGGAGGGTGTGTGTGTCTAGGAATTTATCCTTTTCTTCTAGATTTCTAGTTTATTTGCATAGAGGTTTTTATATTAATCTCTGATGGTAGTTTGTATTTCTGTGGGATCAGTGGTGATATCCCCTTCATCATTTTTTATTGTATCTATTTGATTCATCTATTGTCTTCTTTATTAGTCTGGCTAGTGGTCTATCTATTTTGTTAATCTTTTCAAAAAAACAGCTCTTGGATGGTTGATCTTATGAAGGGTTTTTCATGTCTCTATCTCCTTCAGTTCTGCTCTGATCTTAGTTATTTCTTGTCTTCTGCTAGCTTTTGAATTTGTTTGCTCTTGCTTCTCTAGTTCTTTTAATTGTGATGTTAGGGTGTCGATTTTAGATCTTTCCCGCTTTCTGATGTGGGCACTTAGTGCTATAAATTTCCCTCTTAACACTGCTTTAGCTCTGTCCCAGAGATTCTGGTACATGTGCCTTTGTTCTCATTGGTTTCAAAAAATTTATTTATTTCTGCCTTATTTGATTATTTACCCAGTAGTCATTCCAGAGCAGGTTGCTCAGTTTCCATGTAGTTTTGTGGTTTTGAGTGAGTTTCTTAATCCTGAGTTCTAATTTGATTGCAATGTGGTCTGAGAGACTGTTATGATTTCCTTTCTTTTGCATTTGCTGAGAGAGTGTTTTACTTCCACTTATGTGATCAATTTTAGAATAAGTGCTATGTGGTGCTGAGAAGAATGTATATTCTGTAGATTTGGGGTGGAGAGTTCTGTAGATGTCTATTAGGTTCATTTGGTCCAGAGCTGAGTTCAAGTCCTGAATATCCTTGTTAATTTTCTGTCTTGTTGATCTGTCTAATATTCACAGTGGGGTGTTACAGTTTCCCACCATTATTGTGTGGGAGTCTGAGTCTCTTCTGCAAAGTCTCAGGACACAAAATCAATGTGCAAAATCACAAGCATTCCTATACACCAATATAGGCAATATATTGACAATAATAGACAATAATATAATAGGACAAACAGCCAAATCATGAGTGAACTCACATTTACATTTGCTACAAAGAAAATAAAATACCTAGGAATACAACTTACAAGGTACGTGAAGGACCTCTTCAAGGAGAACTACAAACTGCTGCTCAAGGAAATAAGAGAGGACAAACAAATGGAAAAATATTTCATGCTCATGGATAGGAAGAATCAATATCGTGAAAATGGCCATACTGCTCCAAGTAATTTATAGATTCAATGCTATTCCCATCAAGCTACCATTTACTTTCTTCACAGAATTAGGAAAAACTACTTTAAATTTCATATGGAACCAAAAAAGAACCCATATAGCCAAGACAATCATAAGCAAAAAGAACAAAGCTAGAGGCATCACACTACCTGACTTCAAACTGTACTACAAGGCTACAGTAACCAAAACAGCATGATACTGGTACCAAAACAAATATATAGACTACTGAAACAGAACAGAGGCCTTAGAAATAACACCACACATCTACAACCATCTGATCTTCGACAAACCTGGCAAAAAAAAAAAAAAAAAAAGGATAAGGATTCCCTATTTAATAAATGGTGTTGGGAAAACTGGCTAGCCATATGCAGAAAACTGAAACTGGACCCCTTCCTTACACCTTATACAAAAATTAACTCAAGATGGATTAAAGATGTAAATGTAAGACCCAAAACCATAAAAACCCTAGAAGAAAACCGAGGCAATACCATTCAGGACATAGGCATAGGCAAAGACTTCATGACTGTGACACCAAAAGCAGTTGCAACAAAAGCCAAATTTGACAAATGGGATCTAATTAAACTAAAGAGCTTCTGCACAGCAAAAGAAACTATCATCAGAGTGAACAGGCAACCTACAGAACGGGAGAAAATTTTGCGATCTATCCATCTGATAAGGGGCTAACATCCAGAATCTACAAGGAACTTAAACAAATTTACCAGAAAAAAACAAACAACCCCATCAAAAAGTAGGTAAAAGATATGAACAGACACTTCTCAAAAGAAGACATTTATGTGGCCAACAAACATATGAAAAAAAGTTCTTCATCACTGGTCATTAGAGGAATACAAATCAAAACCACAATGAGATGCCATCTCACTCCAATTAGAATGGCAATCATTAAAAAGTCAGGAAACAACAGATGCTGGAGAGGATGTGGAGAAATAGGAACGCTTTTACACTGTTGGTGGGAGTGTAAATTAGCTCAATCGTTGTGGAAGACAATGTGGCAATTCCTCAAGGATCTAGAACCAGATACCATTTGACCCAGCAATCCCATTACTGGGTATATACCCAAAGGAATATAATCATTCTACTATAAAGAAACATGCACACGTATGTTTATTGCAACACTATTCACAATAGCAAAGACTTGGAATGAACCCAAATGCCCATTAATGATAGACTGGATAAGGAAAATGTGGCACATATACACCATGGAATACTATGCAGCCATAAAAAAGAATGAGTTCATGTGCTTTGCAGGGACATGGTTGAGGCTGGAAGCCATCATTCTCAGCAAACTAACACAGGAACAGAAAACCAAATACTGCATGTTCTCATTCATAAATGGGAGTTGAACAATGAGAACAAATGGACACAGAGAGGGGAACATCACACACTGGGGCCTGTTGCGGGGTGGGGGCAAGGGGAGGGAGAGCATTAGGACAAATACCTAATGCATGCGGGGCTGAAAACCCAGATGATGGTTTTGATGGAAGCAGCAAACCACCATGGCTCATGTATACTTATGTAACAAACCTGCACATTCTGCACATGTATTCCAGAACTTAAAGAATAATAAAAAAAATAAGTAAATAAAAAGAAATTCAATAGGATAAACTCCACTCTGGTCACCATCAAAGAAAGAATTAGTAAGTTGAAACCTAGAGAAGAAAAAGATATGGAAGAACAGTGATGAGCGAGAGGATCTGCCAAGAGATTTCAGAAGAATCTCTCATTCTGGAGGGGAATGTCAGAGAAGCAACATTTGACGATATAATATCAGAGAATTTGCCAGATTGACATAAATCCTGATATTAAACACATTTAAACAATTTATAGTGAAACTGCAAAATGTCAATAAAAAATATTTAAAGTTTTTATAGAGAAAAGACAATATCTACAAAGGAATAATAATTAGACAAATTTTTGACCAGGTGTGGTGGCTCACGCCTGTAATCCCAGCACTTTGGGAGGCCGAGGCAGGCGGATCACGAAGTCAGGAGACCTCCTGGCTAACACAGTGAAACCCCGTCTCTACTAAAAATACAAAAAACTAGCCAGGCACGGTGGCGGGCGCCTGTAGTCCCAGCTACTGGGGAGGCTGAGGCAGGAGAATGGCGTGAACCTGGGAGGTGGAGCTTACAGTGAGCCGAGATCGCGCCACTGCACTCCAGCCTGGGTGACAGAGCAAGACTCTGTCTCAAATAATAATAATAATAATTAGACAAATTTTTATTAGCAACAATAGAGATCAAAAGATAATGTAGTAATATCTTCAAATGGATGAAGGAACCTAAATTTTTATCCTCAGAAGCTATCATTTAAGATAACACCAAAATAAAGATCCATTCGGACATATGAAGACTGAAATCGTCAAACACCTGTAACTCATGTATAAAAGAAGTATTAAAGGATGTACTTCAGCAAGAAGACTAATATACACAGTGGGATGGTGACCAATATAAGAGTAATGATGAGCATAGAACTTGGTAATATAGATCAATAGACTGATAAAACTATTGATTATAAAGTAACTTTTTATTAAAAAGACAAAATCAAAATTATACACAAAATAAGATGGAAGAGGGGGGTGTTCAATAGGTAGTGGAAGTGTGCTAAGGTCTTTGTTGTGTTTGAGAATAGTGTAGAAATATCAGATAACTTTAGATTTGTTAGAAAAATGTATAAATCTAATAAATTAATTTGAAGCACACAGAAGTTTAGAATGAGGTAATTAATAATTACATGTAATGCAAATACAAACCAAAAGAAAACAGAGTATATACCCAGGTCAGTATATGTACATATATTTCTTAGCTCTGTCTGCTGAGAGAGCCTAGAAGAGTGACAACTAATAACAATGAGCTCCCTTAGCACTCAGATCTCGGGAAGGAAAGGCAGTTCAACTTGAGGAAGGATCTGCAATGACATAACAAATAGGAACCTAAAGTCATTTATTAGAGTTACTATAACTAGGGAAAAGGGGAACACCAGTTCTTTGAAGGATAGTTGAATACAGGATTTGAGCTAATAGTTACACCTGTAGAACCAAAAGAACATCATGGTCCCTCTATTAGAGTGGGGGCTTATAGAGGAAAGGTGATAAGGTCCTGGTACAACTCCATTGCAGTTTGTTCATGGACTCATCCAGTGCTCATTTCCCCAGCACCTGGGTGCATAATCAGAATGGATATACTTAGCACTGGCAAACACCTTCACCTTAATTTCCTGACCTGTAAAATAAGATTTATAATGGCATAAGAAGCCAAATGAAAGCCCCTCGTAGAGCCAATCCTCAGTCCACAGACCTCAAACCAATACTGCATCCTGGAAGAAATGGCAGATATCAATGACATCCTCAGGGCTTCAAAGATGCAGGTATGAGTTATCCATTATATTCCTACTTAATTCACTAACCTGATCTTTTGAAATAAAAAAGATGGATCAAGGTGGGTGATGGTGGACTATAATAATCTTAAACAAATAGTAATCCCAGTCACTTTGGCTACTCTTTTTACCAGTAGGGACAATCTCTAGCATTTGGTATGTGTTCTTGACCTGGTGAATACATTTTCAATCCCTATCAAGAAGGAAAATAAGAAGTATCCTCATTTATTTGGGATGGACAGTAATAAATCATGGCCTTGCCCCAGGGAGTAAATGAGATGAGCCCTATGATTGCCCCAGCCCTCTACCTGGAGGAGCTTTCCAGATGGTGGCCCAGGGAAGGGAACCTAAGAAGAACAAAATGGCCTTGCTGAACTGAGAAGACAGAGCTTGAATGAGGTATATTTTACACACCAAATTCACCCACTTCAAATATATGTATCAATGATTTTTTAGTAAGTTTACTGAGTGGTGCAACCATCACCATACATCAGTTTTAGAATATTTTCGTCTTTCCATTATGATCTCCGTTCCCATTTACAGTTAATCCTTATTCCCATCCCCAACCATCGGCAACAAATTTGCTTCTTAGTAAATTAAGCTTCAATAAGCATTTTAAGAAATCAACTACCATATATGGTCTGTTGGGTCTGGTTTATTTCATGTATCATAATGTTTTTGAGGCTCATCCATAATGTATCATTTATCAGTAGTTAATTTGCTGAATAGTATTCCATTCTATGAATATATCACATCTTGTCTATCCATTTACCAGTTGGTAGACATTTAGATTGTTTAAAGTTTGGGACTATTATGGATAATGCTTTTATGCATTATATGCAAGTCTTTCTGTGGACATATGTTTTCATTTCTCTTGGGTAGATGCCTAAGGCAAGAATTGCTGGGTCATATTGTGGTAGTTTTAGGTTTAACTTTTGAGCAACTGCCAAACTTTTTTCCAAAATGTCTACACTATTCTACATTCCTACCAACAATATATTAGGGTTCTTGTTCTCCAAATCCTCCCCAATATTTGGAGGCAATTTGTCATTGTCTTTCTCATTTATTATAGCCATTCCAGTGGGTATGAAATGTATCTCACTGTGGTTTTAATCTGCATTTCTCTAAAAACTAATGATGTATAATAAGGGACACTTAATTAAACCAGGGATTAGCATACTACAGCCTGCAAGGCAATTCCAGCTTGTAGCCTACTTCTGTACAGACTGTAAGCTAAGAATGATTTTTATATTTGTAAGGGATTTGTAAAGGAAAACAAAGAAGAATATACAACAGAGATCGTATGTGGCGTGCTGTTTTAACCATATTCCCTTGGGTGAGGTATGGTGAGGCCAGACTCAGATGAAGAAAAGGGAACTGGAAACGGTTTTACAGTTTTGTTATACTCACAGGTTCCTGAAGAGAAAGAACATGACACATTGGGCCACTCAGGATGGAAGCACTGGGGTCAGTCACAGGGCAGACGGAGAAAGGGGAACTGTGGGCAAGTACCTTTATTGTGGTTTCTGCAGGAAGGAATGGGCAAAGCAGTGTAAATGGGCTTGGGATTGGCTAGTTTGAATAATTTCAGCAAGTTCTGCTGAACAGGGCTGTCCCTGGCTATCTGGTACCTGGCTTTGGGGTGATTAGGGTAAGTATATCATTGCCAGGGAGTGTGAGAGCTCCATAAGGGAGATGCTTGGAAGTGTGGCCTTAATCCCATCTGACTGGCATCCTTAGAAGAAAAGGAAATTTGAACACACAAAAGACAACAGAAAATAAATTTCTGTTGTTCAAGCCACCCAGTCTATGGTATTTTGTTATGGCAGCCCAAGCTAACTAATAGAATAGTCTTTTCAGCAAATGGTACTGGACCAACTGAACATTTATATGTTTAAAAAAAGGAATTTGACAGACTAAGATTATACACTAAAATGGATGCTAGGCCTAAATATAAATTGTAAAACTATAAACTTTTTTTTTTTTTGAGATGGAGTCTTGCTCTTGTCACCCAGGCTATAGTGCAATAGCGTGATCTCAGCTCACTGCAGCCTCCGCCTCCCAGGTTCAAGTGATTTTCCTGCCTCAGCTTCCCAAATAGCTGGAATTACAGGCACCTGTCACCACGCTTGGCTAATTTTTGTATTTTTAGTAGAGACGGGGTTGCACCATGTTGGCCAGGCTGGTCTCAAACTCCTGACCTCAAGTGATCTGCCCACCTTGGCCTCCCAAAGTGCAGGGATTACAGGCATAAGCCACCACGCCTGGTCTAAATTATAAAATTCTTAAGAAGGACAAGAAAAAATCCTTTGTGTCCTTCAGTTAGACAAAGAGTTCTTATGTACAACACTAAAAGCATAATCCATAAGAGAAAAAAATTTAATTAAAACATTTGCTCTGAAGAACTTACCATTAAGAGAATAACAATAATAGTAAGACAAGCCACAGATTCAAAGAATATATATAAATTACGTATCAAACAAAGATATATCCAGAATAGATAAAGAACTCTTAAAACACAATAATAAGAAAACACAATTTTTCAAATGGTAAAAAAATTTGCACACACACTTTTCCAAAGATTTATTTACCATTCAAGTGGTAAATAAGAATATATGAAATACTAATACTGTTATTATCTTATAGTGAATCCATGGCTAAATTAGTTTACTTTTATTCTATATTTTCAGAATTTTGTGCTAAGAAAATGTATTACTTTTATAATAGAAAGATAAGTGTGATTTACAAATAACAAAGTTCTCTGATATATTGGTTTGACCACAATCAATATGTTACTGGCATTTAACTGCATCCAAACACATGGTAATAATCAAAACTTTGGGGTAAGATTTCAAGGAATATCAGATCATACTTCACCTTGCTTTCTGGATATAAAGAGGACAAGAAGTTAATAAAACTTCATTTTTACACATTGAAGATTGAGGGGAAAACAGGCCTATACACTTGGATATACCCTTGGTGAATACTTATTATTTCTTGTTCAACAATCAGATCTTTCAGAGAGAGTTTACATGGTTAGTGAAACATTCCATAACTGAACCCCTTTCTTAGTTGAATTTATTATTTTCGGTTGTAGGCATCAACCTACCAACTGGTGAATGTTCCATCTTTGGATATTTTGTGGATATAGAGCAATGTGAATTCATACCTTGGTCAGATTTAGTTCCTAATGATCAGACACTAATTCAAAGAGGTAAGAATAATTATAAGAATCATACTTGTAACGTTAGAATATTGGGTATACTCTATTCATAAAAGTAATTATATCTACTCTATTTATAAAAGTAATTATATCTGCAACTTTGAGGACTAATATGTTTGTGTAGAGACCAGTTTAGATCTATGTTTACAAAACATATCTTTAAAAACATAACCTTTGAATATTACTTTCTGAGAAATTTAGAGTATATTTTATTGAATTAAATGCACATTGTAAAACTGTAGCACATTGAAAGTCTTCCTAAGAGCACTATTTATTTCAATTAGCTGTAATTATTGGGACAAGAAAATGGAAAGGACTACTTGTAAAATGTGAAAAACATATATGTAAAAACTTACACTTAATTATAAATGAAAATGCTAATTAGAAAAGAATAATCATAGTTTCACAAATATACATATATGCTAAATTGTTTTTATTCCCAATCTTCTGCATCTACATATAGCAGAAAAAAGAAACTTGTTGCACTTTGAGAGCTTGGTAGAAATTTGAGGCAGAGGCAGGAATCTAATAATCAAGCTTCTTTAGAGTTCCTGCAAATATTAGAAATTTAATAAATACAAATTGAATTGCTTTGAAGTCAGATTTCTCTCATAAAAGAATTTCAGAGTTGGTTGTAAGAGCTTTTGACAGCAAACAACCAGAGCTATCAGAATGCTAAAGCATCCAGAGAGTTTTAACTCTACATTTGTTTTCGTTGGAAATGCCAAGACTATTTTATTCAATATTTTGTTACAATAAATATTAGCGGGCAATCATATTTGTTTACAAGCTCCGAACTGTATTTCATATGTTAGTGCTGATATTGACTGACAGCCTTAGCTTTTTACCACTATGTAGAAAAGTATAACTGAATATCATTTGCATGTGACTCCACATCTTAGTATACCACTCACACGGGAAACCAAAGCTGTTTTCTCCAAATCTAGAACATTACTTCCTCTGGCTGCCACTTCCTCTAATTGCAGGCAAAGAGCTTAGAAATAACTAAAACATTCCCTGACTTTCAAACCCAAACCTGTAACAAGAATTTAAATGTCACCATGTAATTTTTTTCATGGTAAACCGCAATATGATAAATTGTTTGGACATCCTAGATGTGCTTCAAAAGTCTCCTTTTATGGTTGAGTAGGATTTTTTTTCTTATACTTCTTTACTTAAAAAGAGTAATCCTAATCTGTTATCAGAAGATGTGTTTTGAAGGTCACCCAACATTCATTAATTTCTTTATTCATCCCACACGTATTAATCAAGCTATTTTCTAATGTGCTTACCCTGTTTCTTGTGTGGGATTATAGAGAAACATGTAAGTGGTTCTTTCTTTAATAGCATGGTGGGAAAATATAAAGGAAAATGATGAAAAAGTTAAATATTAATGTTACCTCTTGCATCAATACCCTGTGTGGCATTCACTGCCGCTTGTCACTCCCAACTCTATTCTTTCCTGTTTCTCTATCATTGGAAGATTCATCTAGGCACTTCATCATCCAGCTAAACCTCTCTTGTAGAGCAGTGTGGTTATGTGACCAGATTAGATCTAGACAGCGGGATATGACTAGAGGTGAATCATGCAAATTCTAGATTGTACAATTAAAAAGAAAGGAATGTACACATGTTCTCCTATTTTTTTCTCCCCTTTCTTGCTCCTGAGATGTGGTGGTGAAACCTAAAGCAACCACCAAGAACCTAGATATGGAAAGTGCAGGGTAAGGACGGCAGGAAAAAATAGAATCCTGGATTCCTAACACTGTGGAGCTGACATATAGACCATGGGCTGTTACATGAGAGAGGAATCAAATTCCACCTTTAAAAGCCATGGTTATATTTGGATCTTTGTTAAAGCAGATAGAACTTGTATCATAATTAATACACATTTCAGTAGCTAGAAATGACACAATCACAGAAAAAATCCTGAAATACCTGACATTGACTTAAAAGTCAGATGCTGGGCAATGAAGACACAATGTTGCAGGTGAATACAGGTGATCCTTTATATGCCATGGCCAAAAAATTGGCAACATTGTTAGCTGTGATATCTGGGAGACAGACCATGTGCTGTAACTCTAGGGAAAGTGGCTGGAAGATCAAAACGTTGGTGTGAATTGGCTACTTTTTGTCACTTTTACTGAAGTTCAATAAGAGAGGGATGAATTTAGATAAAAGTTAACTAGTTTTTAAGCAAAGATGAAAGATAATAGAGCTCAGGCAAGGGAGACTCTCTCTACCTGAAGCCTACAATCTAAAACTGAGAGTCCAGTATATTGGGCTCTCATAGTTTCAAAAATGTTAACTGTTTCTATCCCCCAAATATCAAAAGGAAGACTGTGGACCTAAGTTTTTCTCCAGAGCCTCACATTAGATGCTGTCTACTAGGTAGCAGCCAGCTCAACAGCAAAGGTCAAATTGAGGTATTGCCTACGCACCCAAACCTATTGTTTCAACTCACGTCATGGTAGCGACTACTGAGTATAAGAAAACAAAGAATAAAGTAGTCAGAACTGTGTTTAGACAAGATCTTTTGGTGTGGTTGTTTGCACAGGGAACTAACTGAAAGGGGAAAAAAAATGAGGCTCTCTCTTCTGGAATCCGTACTCTAAGGGTTTATAAGATATTGATATGTAAATCCCAATATTGAGTACTGATGTGACAGACCATGACACAGAATTCTCTTTCTTGTTATCATGGGCAGGGGGTAGTTATTGGAAGGAAACATTTGCTTGCAGATTAAGAGTTGTGTGTTTTATTTTGATTTCCACTAATGTTTGAGGAGTTTAAATGTGAATTTTGTAGTAATGTTCAATCCACAGCTAAGAGTGCTGAAAATTCTCCTTTATAGAAATTATTGAGGCTACAATATCCATTTAAAGAATTACATGTGATTTTGATTGAATCAATCAAGTCATTGTATCATTAGGTTGGCTATTCAAGGATTAAGGATGTCAGAAATCAAAGCTTCCTTCCCTCCACTCTTTCTCACATACACACACACGTATAATTTAATCTGGGCTAATGAAGAGCTACACTCTCTATGTGAAGGTGAACTGGATTAAACCAGCCCTTACATATCCAGGTACCCATAATCTGAGGCCAGATACATTATCCTACATCATCTAAGGAATCTCCAGTCTTGAATTGGGATTAAGGGAATCCCTGAGTAGTCTCCCAGCATCCAGTCAGAAGCCAATGGACATACTTTCTATAGAGTGGAACTATTATCCTACACTTTATATTATTCCTACAAATAATATTTTCAAATTTAATACCCCTTTAAAGATAATTAGCAGAAACAAGATTGCAGCCACAAATTAATGAGACTTGGATGACTAGAATAAAGGTATATATTCTCAGACAGCCATGCTTACCATTTATAAAGAAATAAAAAGAAAGATAGAAAATACCTGAAATGCAAGAGAAACTATTAAAAGCTGACACAATTTGAAAAAGAACCAAGTAGACCTTCTAGAAATGAAAAATACAACGGAAGTAAAAGTTCAATAAGAATAACAACAGAGTCTACTTAAGGGGAAATACTTGAAGCATTACCATTAAAATCCAATTTTTAACTCAATGCTGTTTTGTGTATACGAGCCAATGCAATTAAAAAGAGGAATTAGAGATAGAAATTTGGAAAATAAGTGATTAAATTTTAATTATTTGCAGAAGTTATAATAAAATATCTGGAAAACCAAAGGATCAACTTAAAACTACTATAAGCAATAAGAGAATTTAGTTTTAGTCTAATTACAAAACAATGTGTAAAAATAATCTTCCACACATATACAAACAACAACCAGTTACAAGGTAAATAATAAAAGAAAAGATCTTATTTAAAGTGGCAAAAACAGAGAGAATTAGTGCGCACGTGTTGGTCATCCAGAAGTTACCACAGTGGCGGCTGGAGTAGGGTAGAAAACCGGAAGTAAACATTGCAAGATTGGCTTTGCTTCTGTGGGATGGATTTGGGGTCAACTGCGGCAGGATTGGGTAAGAAAATAAATAAATAAAATAAAATAAAATGGCAAAAGCAAAATTTTTAAAAAGATGAAATACAGAAAACTAAGTTTAACGAGAAATATGCAAAAATCAATATGAAGAAAACTTGGAAACATTCTTGAGACATAGAAATAAAAAAGCATGCCATGTTCTTGGAGAAAAGCTATCATCCTAAATGGGTTAATTCTTCCTAAATTAATCCATGAAGTAAAGATAATTCCAATAAACATACCACATTATAGGTGTGGTGAGGACTATAGAAGCTGATTCCAAATTCCATACAGAAATGTTAAACAAGTAAGAGAGTAAGAGTAGCCAGGAAATAATGAGGACAGATTAGCTCAGTCAAATATAATAATCAGAGTACTTACATAAAACACCAAGCAGATTACAAGAGCTAATTTGCTTAATATATAAAGGGACTTTACAAATCAAAGTAAAAGACCAGGAGCCCATTTGCTATTTTAAAAAAAAAACAGATAAAGACAGAATCTCTGGCACACAACTAAAGCATTTTAAGAGGAAAATTGATAGCACTAACTGTCCACATCAAAGTCAGAAAGAGTGTGAGTGAGGGATAATTTCTGAGATCAGCAGAGACCCCCAGGCACTTGTAACAATTTTGGCTTATTTATGTATGTTTAAATTGTTTTGTAATGTGCAGACTTTTCCAGAAATTATTATGTATTGAGGACCTAAAAGTTAGGTGAATACATCCAGTCCACCATAGACTGCATCACTGCTTTGACCTCTCCGGGGTTAGGGCATCCACCACTGGAGAACTGCTATAATGTGGAAATGCATGAATTTCTGTTGAGCAGCTAAAAGTGCCTCTAGTGTCCTCTGTGGTAATGAAAGTGATGATGAAAGTGACTTGCAGAATGACTTTAATTTAGTGGAAATGATTGCTTCTCCAATACATGCGACATTTAGGAACTCCTGGACATAATCAATGGAGTTTTCTCAGGAATAGGAAGACTTTTAAGAGTAATGAACTAATAACTTTTATGATTGACTATATTGTGACATGATTACATTTTCCTGAAACAAATCTTAACATATTTTATTTCTGCATAGCCATGTACTTTTCTTTTCTTTTTTTTCTTTCTTTTTTTTTTTTGAGACGGAGTCTCTGTCGCCCAGGCTGGAGTGCAGTGGCGCAATCTCGGCTCACTGCAAGCTCCGCCTCCTGGGTTCAGGCCATTCTTCTGCCTCAGCCTCCCGAGTAGCTGGGACTGCAGGCGTCTGCCACCACACCCGGCTAATTTTTTGTATTTTTAGTAGAGATGGGGTTTCACCGCGTTAGCCAGGATGGTCTCGATCTCCTGAACTCCTGATCTGCCAGCCTTGGCCTCCCAAAGTGCTGGGATTACAGGCGTGAGCCACCGTGCCCAGCCAGCCATGTACTTTTCATATATACAATTAATGAAAATAAAATAATCCTAATGACAAAAAAAAAAAAAAGATGAGGTGAATAGTACTTTCTAGGTCATTTGAAACTTTTTTTAAAATGTTAACTTAGGAACTTCATTACTAACTAATCTTCAAAGATCTGGCGGAAACTTCTTGAAGATAACAGAATGTGGAGAATGCATTAATTATACCGCTACCAGAGACACAACATGCCTTTCTTTTCTCATGAGCCTTCTTTTAAAGAATTCCTGCCCTGTACTTCTCACAGGTATTACAAATATTTAATAGAAGGAGAATTTCAGAGTTAGAAAAAGATTTACAGATATTTGGTCTAACTATCTTATTTTGTAAGTGGGAAAAAAATATACACTGAAAAGTTTTGGTTACTATATTAATTTATTTTCTTACCAGCAGTTTATGAACACCCATTTTTCCACATATTTGCCAAAATAGGACATTATAAATCTTTTTCATCTTTTCATTACCTGCAGGAGAAATTCCAGAAGTAGAGCTATTATATTAATAATATATGTTTGGCCTCTGTAGCCTGTGGGCTGAGGTTCTTATTGGTAACATTGATTGGTTTACTTACATGTACACATTCAATGGGATTCCCCAATCCAATATTAAGATTTTTCTATCTTTTACCATTATCAAAATAGTAATTCAATACAGCTCCTACTCTCTTTTAATGCGTATTTCAACCCATCAGTTACCTTTTCCAATTATCTAACTTGTGTTGCATAGCACCAGAGGCAATAGTATCATTTTCCCAGTTCCATATGCAGAGAATTAAGGCAATGTAACTCTCAGATAACACATACCTTGCCTCTAATTTTGTCTAAGAAAATACTTATCTTTACTTTAATACTTAATGAATTGTAAAATCATTACAGAGTCCCTACTCTGATTGAACAAAAAGTTTATCATCAAATTTCTTCCTCAAATTGGGTTGGCAGAAATTTTTAAGGAATTATGTTTCATGTTGTAGTTCTGTGCTAAAGGATTAGCATGAACATTAGATAAAAATAATAGTTAACTCTTAATCTATTCTTTTGTAAGAGGTGTAAATAATTCAAACAATTTGAGAGGGTTTTATATTAACTTCCTCATTTAACCACTCTTAACCACATTTTTTTAAAAGGGAAGAACAAAAAAACACTTTTTATGCAATTTTCAATTGAGGGAGAATGTTATTGGTTCATTTTAATGTGTTAACATGTATCATTTTCTTGCATATACATCTAACCTTGTGTATTTTTTCCCTTAGGAGAATCTGGTGTTGGGAAAACTGCTGCCATTAATCAAATGCTTGAAAAGCTAGAGGGTCCAGGAGCATTTGACATAAAACATGGTTCAATTTTAGGAGACACCCTATTATATAGTGAAATAAAAAAATCAAGGTTGTATATACTAACTTCTAAATTTGATTTGTCTGATTTTAAAAAGTGTGCTTTAATATATAAATATGCCTGTTTTTAAAAAAAGCAAATCTGTTATGTAAAAATGCAGAATCATTCAAAAGAGGAGATAAGAAGAAAATCCTTTTTTTCCTGATTTCTCTTTTATTTTTTCCATTTAAACTTTTATTTTTAATTGACAAATGATAATTATATTTATGGTGTACAATGTGATGCTTTGATGTATATACATATTGAGGAATGATTATATCATGTAATTCACATACCATTACCTCACATACTTATGATTTTTTAGTGAGAACAATTAAAATCTATTTTTTAGGAATTTTGAAATATACAACACATTATTAACTGTGGTCACCATGCTGTGCAATAGATGTCGAATTCTTATTCTGCTTATCTAACTGAAACTTTGTACCCTTTGACCAACATCTCCCCATTCCTTCCCACCTTACCTGTTGCCCCTGGCAACCACTAGTCTACTTTCTGCTTCTATGAGTTAGACTTGTTTAGAATCCACATGTAAGTGAGATTATATAGTATTTGTCTTTCTGTGCCTGGCTTATTTCACTAGCATAATGTCCTCCAGGTTCATCCATGTTGTTACAAATGACAGAATTTCCTTCTTTTTAGAGACTGAATAGTACTTCATTGTATATATAATGGAATCTGTGTATATATGCACATTTAAAAAATCCATTTAAATGACAAGATTGCCTTCCTTTAAAAGACTAAATAGTATTCCATTATATATATATACACACACACACAGACACCACATTTTAAAAATCCATTCAGGCTGGGTGCAGTGTTTCACGCCTGTAATCCCAGCACTTTAGGAGGCAGAGGCAGGTGGATCACCTGAGGTCAGGAGTTTGAGACCAGCCTGACCAACATGGTGAAACCCTGTCTCCACTAAAAATACAAAAGATTAGCTGGATGTGGTGGCAGGTGCCTGTAATCCCAGCTACTCGGAAGACTGAGGCAGGAGAGTCGCTTGAACTCAGGAGGTGGAGGTTGCAGTGAGCCAAGATTGCGCCATTGTACTCCAGCCTGGGCAACAGAGCAAGACTCCATCTCAAAAAAAAAAAAAAAATCCATTCAGCCATTGAACACTTAGGGTGAGCCTATATCTTGTCTGTTGTGAATAATGCTGCAATGAACACAGGAGTGCAGAATAGCCAAAGCAATTGATTGTAAATGTGTGGGTTTATTTCTGGGCCCTTTATCCTGTTTCATTGGTCTATATGTTGGTTATTATGCTAATGCCATGTTGTTTTGATTACTATAGCTTTGTAGTATATTTTGAAATCAGGTAGGGTGATGCCACAAGCTTTTTTTTTTCCCCCCCTCAAGATTGCTTTGGCTATTCGGGATCTTTTGTGGTTCCACTGGCAAAATGAAAAATGATGTTGGAATTTTGGTAGAGATTGCATTGAATCTGTAGCTCACTTTGGGTAGTATAGATATTTTAACAATATTAATTCTTTCAATCCATGAACACAAGATATCTTTCCACTTATTTGTGTTTTCTTAAATTTATTTCATCAATGTTTTATAGTTTTCAATATACAGAATTTTCACCTTCTTGTTATATTTACCCTTAAGTACTCTTTTAATGGTCTTTTTTAACAGTATTGTAAATGGAATTGTTTTCTTTCTTTTTCAGGTAGTTCATTGTTGGCTTATAGAAATGTGACATTTTTGTATGTTGAGTTTGTATATCTTGCAACTTTATTGCATTCATTGATCAGTTCTAACAGTTTTTTGGTGGCATCTTTAGGGTCTCTATTAATAAGATCATGTAATCAGCAAGCGGACAATTTCACCTCTTCTTTTCCTATTTGTATGCCTTTTATTTCTTTCCTTGCCTAATTGCTCTGGCTAGGACTTCCAGTTCTATGTTGAAAAGAAGTAGTGAGAGTGGGTATCCTTGTCTGGTTCCTGATCACAGAGGAATAGCTTTCAGCTTTTGACCACTGAGTATGATGTTAGCTGTGATGTATCAGACTTGGCCCTTTATTGTGTTGAAGTACATTCCTTCTATACCTAAGTTGTTGAGAATTTTTTATGAAAAGGTATTCAATTTTGTCAAATGCTTCGTCTGTATTTATTAAGATGACCTTATAGTTTTTGTCTTTCATTCTGTTAATATGGGATATCACATTTATTGATTTGTGCATGTTGAATCATACATGAAATTATCTTAGGGATAAATCCCCACTTGATCATGGTGAATAATCCTTTTAATATACTATTGAATTTGGTTTTATTAGTCTTTTGAGGATTTTTGCATCTATGTTCATCAGGGATATTGGTCTGTAATTGTCTGTTCTTGTAATGTTCTTTTCTGGCTTTGGTATTAGGATAATGCTGGCCTTGTGAAATTAGTTTGGCAGTATTCCCTCCACTTCAATGTTTTGGAAGAGTTGGAGAAGGAGTGGTATTAGTTCCCCTTTAAATAATTGGTAGAATTCAGCATAAACCATCCAATTCTGGGCTTTTCTTTGATGGGTCACTTTATTACTGATTCAATTTCTTTACTATGATTGGCCATTCCTATTTTCTATTTAGAAGAAAATATTTACTTTTCAAAAGTATTAACAACTAGATTCATTTATTTAAATGAGAAATTCTACCCATGGCCATACCACCCTGAAAGTGCCCAATCTTGTCTAAATGAGAAATTCTTACATTTATTTTTAAAATAACCAAATTTTAAGTCGATTTTTTTTATATAAAGGGCAGCTATAAACTATTTTCCTTCAGGAAAAATGCACCTAAAACATACAAATAAAGCTTTCCATAATATTGGTTTTTGTTGGCTTAGAAATATATGTCCTTATTATCAAATGTAAAAATACTCTATTCTTCTTTTGAGAAGTGGCTGTTCATGTCATTTGCCTGCCTTTTAATGGGTTTTTTTTTTCTTGCTAATTTGTTTGAGTTTCTTGTAGATTCTGGATATTAGTCCTTTGTCAGATGCATAGTTTGCAAATATTTTCTCCCATTCTGTAGGTTGTCTGTGTACTCTGTTTATTATTTCTTTTGCTGTGCAGAAGCTTCTTAGTTTAATTAGGTTCCATTTATTTATTTCAGTTTTTGTTGCATTTGCCTTTGGTGTCTTAATCATAAATTCTTTGCCTAGGCCAATGTCCAGAAGAGTTTTTCTTAGGTTTTTTTCTAGAATTCTTATGGTTTCAGGTCTTACATTTAAGTCTTTAATCCATCTTGAGATCATTTTTGCACACAGTAAGAGATAAGAATCCAGTTTCATTCTTCTATATGATGTGGCTATCCAATTTTCCCAGCACCATTTTTGAATAGAGTGTATTTCCCCAGTGTATGTTTTTGTCTGATTTGTCGAAGATCAGTTGGTTGTAAGTATTTGGCTTTATTTCTGGGTTCTCTGTTTTGTTCCTTTGATCTATGTGTCTACTTTTATACCAGTACCATCCTGTTTTGATTACTATAGCCTTGTATTATAATCTGAAGTTGGGTAATGTGATGCCTCTAAGTTTGTTCTTTTTGCTTAGGATTGCTTTGGCTCTTCAGTCTGTCTTTGATTCCGTATAAATTTTAGTATTTTTTTAACCCTGTGAAAAATGACATTGATATTTTTTATAAGAATTGCATTAAATCTGTAGATTGCTTGGGCAGTATGGTCATCAAATGTTAAAATGCTCTTGACAAATAACTTTGTCTCTGTCATTCTATATGTTTCTTCCTGAAGAAAAAAAAAAGAACAAACAATAAATCTACCTTATGCAAATAAAACTAAAAATGTTTTAAGTTCCCAAGCCTGTTAAAATATTAGAGAAGCCTAGTATTGTTTGAATTACATAAGAAGATGGAATTGTGGAAATGCACATATCAGACTTTTCCTCTAATCATTAGACACATATATCCTACTATGCGAGATATATATATACACACACATATATATACATGTATATATACATATATATACACATATATATACATGTATATATATAATACTTGGATATCTTATAAACATTTCAATCTTAACATAACCAAAACATAACTCTTGATTTCTCTTCCAAACCTATCCTTCCTCTAGTGCTTCTTATCTCAATAAACGGGACGCAGTTATTCAAGCCTGAGACCTAGGAATCATCTTTGAATTTCCCCCTTTCCTCTCACCAATCTATCTCTTATAGCCCATCTGATTCCTCCCAATCCCTAGGTCCCCATTTTTGCCCTGCACTACATCTAATATTCTACTAGTCATGTCTGTTCTATCTTCACATATATCTTGATTTCCTCTGCTTCTTTTCCAATGCCTCTTTTAGTCCAAGCCACCATCATCTATGTCTTACACTAATGATTTTGGAATAGAATCCTACTACACTTAAATAAGGCCTTAAACATCTGAGAAATAATTTTGAAATATTTAATACAATGAAAATCATTCTTTATCTAAGTATCATAAATAATGGAGACTGGAAAAAAGTAAGTTTTACTGTATACTCAATATTTAAGCTGAAGTGAGTTTTAACAATAGAGAAAGACAACTATTTTCTATCAAACATGAGAAAAACAAACACCTAGAAACAAGACCAAAATAAGATGAATGGGTCTTTGCTGAGTGATCCGTAAGGCAAATCACATTTTATAAAGGGATAAGTAAGGTAATGGCTTACTATCCAGAGAAAATATCTAACTGTCTGGCATCCTGGGAATTTGCCCAGTTTGTTTTATAAAGTTAGCTTATGTTTTGTTCAGTTTGGTATAAGTTCTTATGGTGACACTAATTTCATCTGAAAAGGTGGAAACAGAAAAAAAATTTTTCTTGTAAGAGTTAGAAGTAAAATTCACAATATGCTGTTACTTTTTTGTTGTTGTTTAATATACCTATTATGGTAAACAAACTAATTTTGAATCCTTAAAATATTTCATTCCAGTAGCCTAAAACAGAATATCACCATCTTGATTCCTGAAACTCATAAGACAGCAACTGGAAGTTCAGGTATATATTATAGTACAGTTTCAAAGCTATGCTATGTTTCAAAACTTCACAACCATGTGTATATTATTTCTTACATTCATGGATCTCAGAATAATAATTTCAATTGGTAATTTAATATAAAAAGTCTCAAAAACTATCCCACACCCTCTCAAACTGTTCTGTCCTACTCAAAAGTTAGAATGGTTCTGGTAGAGGAGTATTACATCTGCTGATATAATAGGTATATTACCTGATACTTGGTGGATATATCAGTGGAAGAGTAGACTAAGTCTAGAAGTAACTAAAGGCAATATCTGTCTATTCTACTGTTTGATGCTTTTAGACATACTGCAATAGAAAAGGTATGATTCTGTAGGACTTCTCAAATCAGGCCATGCAATAGAAACATATGTGGAGTTTCAGGAGCCTCATCCTTGAAAATTCTGACTCTCTAGTTTTGGGAACAGCAACTCCGTTTCTCAAGAGGAAAAGATGGAATGGCCTAGAGATAGCTGTAGAAAGGGGAAGGATGCCACACCACCAAATCTTGCCAGAAGAGGTTTTGGTTTTGTTTTCACTTTTAAGTTGCTGTAGCTATAGCCTCTGGATGATCCTCACTCAGGGAATATACCCTAATTTTAATGCCATTAGTGCAGACAGCTGCATGCTGCTTTTAGATCTTAAAAAGTTATATGTGTCTGTCGTGCATAAATGTATGGAGGACTCTTTGAGCTTTTGTACTGTTGCACTTGGTTGCAGAGATGCTGTTTACCATAAAATAGCAAAGAAATATTCCAAAGTTCTATCGGAGTAATTTCTTGAAAATGACAACAAAATAGTAAAATTATGTAATTTTCAAATTTCATGACACATTAAAATAAGGCAAAAATGTTCTTAAAGTGTCCTAAATTTGTTTTTTCTTTCTATGTTTGGCATCACAGATAATCCCACTAAAAAGCCAGAAGTTAGAACTAATAAAAAGTTACTTAAAAATAATGATCATAAAGGAGTTGTAGTCTCTACAATAAATTTTAGCACCAATGTAACAGCTGCCAAAACCAAGGAGATGATTCTTAAGAAGTTAATAAGAAGAACTAAAGATACTCTTGGAGCACCAAAAAACAACCGGGTAAAACACCTCTCATACCTGTTCAATAATCTGCTTAGGCTAGTCAAGTGATAGTTTATTTTAATTAATACTAATCAGAAGAAAAATATTTGTGTAACACACATTTTTGAACATCATAGAAGATGCAATGTATAACAGAAACTTTGATTTTCAGATCAATATTATTTTATTTCCAATATGTTGAATTATACTGATTCAGAATTATTAAGGCCAAAAGAAGCTACTGAAATCTTGCTAAAGAGAAGTAGACTGGAAAATGGGTTAGATGCCAACTGTTTTGTTACTGTATATTCTACCACACTTTCTTCCTGTGACCATGGCTTGGGACTCTAAGAGTTTCAATTCAATTTCAGGAGCTTTTAAGGGTTTGCTTCAGATTTCCTTGATTTTAAATGAAGACACAGATAAACTTGGTCTTTGCCTACATAGGTAAACTTTAGGGATTTTGAAAAGGTGAATAACTGAGGAACCTAATCATACCAATAGAAAATGCAAGCAAGAGAAATTTCAGATAGTTTGTGATACAAAAGGGGAGAAACTGAGTGTCTTAATAAATATATATATATATATTGACAGTTACAAATTAGGTAATTACATAATTCCAAACATATGTCTATTTGTGGGTTTTTTACGTTGCTTCTTTTGCAAAAATAAATACAGTCTAAAGGAGCTAGTGCACACAGAGATTACAATCAGTACACTTCAATGCACAATATTTTCAAAGGTGGACATTAACACAGGTTTAAAATTTGGAAATGTGTCTGAATTTTCTGCTTGTTGTTCATAACAACAGCATTTGCAGCAGAATTTTTTAAGTCTAGTTCCAGATGATAGCCTTATTCCTAAACCAGGGTGCATATGGAATAAACAGCTAAATACTACAATAGTGCCTTGCCAATAGTAGGCACTCAGTAAGTAAATCTTGAATGAAAAATAGCCATGTTCCTGTGTAATAGCCATAAATATATTGCTTTATCCAGCATCAAATACATTTCTAACTATTGTCAGACATAATTATTATAGATCTATAGAAGGTGAATAGAGTGTCTGCTATTTTGAAAACTTACTGTTTTTAAAAATCATATCTTCCAAATAGAATTCATTCTGCTGTTTTTAAATAGGAAATCAGACATGTTATTACATATGATTTTGTGCTTACTCCATAGCATAATATTCCTAATTTGTGCTTACCCCAACCATAATATTCCTAATTCATAATTTAAAGAAAGGTGTACTAATATATATGTTTAAAACCTTTTGTCTTTCTTAAGATTCTAATATTTATTGATGATATGAATATGCCAGTATCAGATATGTATGGAGCACAGCCACCCCTGGAATTGATAAGACAATTGTTAGATTTGGGAGGAGTTTATGATACTGAAAAAAATACATGGAAGGTACAGTATATACTAAGATTTTGTTCACATTAAGTATTATTTCTCACACTAAATTAAATGTTTATAACAATGTTGAGTGAATTGCTTGAGAAAGTTAGAAATTCTGGCCATATGGACATGTTAAGCAAAGTTGAGACCCTAAACTAACTATATTAATCATATATTTGCAATGTAGGTCCATAGGTTTATAGAAATCCTACTTTTAATAGGTTTAAATCTTAGTAAAAATTGCATGTATGTCCTCAAGATTTGGTTTCTGAGTCAAATAATGCTCATTATTGTTAACTGCATCAGTAGTTAATCAAACTTTTCCATGCATCAAATTTTAGTTAGTTGTGAGAAAAGCCAGTGAAAATATGGCCCACCAGATGCATCCTTAATGTCTATATAAGATTACTCTACATCTTTATCTTAAGATCACAGATACAGCATTTTAAGGAATATCACAGTCAAAAAAAATTCCCAAGGTGGTATTTCTGTGCAATTATTTTTGTTACATTGAACCTAAATCAGAATGGCTTCCTTTTTTTTTTTTTTTTTTTTGAGATGGAATCTCGCTCTGTCACCAAGCTGGAGTGCAGTGGCACAATCACGGCTCACTGCAAACTCCGCCTCCCAGGTTCACACCATTCTCCTGCCTCAGCCTCCCTAGTAGCTGGGACTACAGGCGCCCACCACCACGCCCAGCTAGTTTTTTGTATTTTTAGTAGAAACAGGGTTTCACCATGTTAGCCAGGATGGTCTCGATCTGACCTCGTGATCCGCCTGCCTCGGCCTCCCAAAGTGCTGGGATTACAGGCGTGAGCCACCATGCCCGGCCAGAATGGCTTACTTTTTAAACAAATATAGAAATTCAAATGCACTTTTCTCTCTGTTCAGGTCCTTCTCTGGAAATCATAAGCCCTATATTTCAGAACTGACTGCCACTTAAACTTTCTAGGCCTCAGATTCCTCATCTATAAAATTAAGTGGTTGCATTACAAATGGTTTCATGTCTCAGACAAACTTGGGCCCAGGATCCTGAATAAGGCAAACTGGCATGTGAGCGCTATCAGGTCAGACGTCAGTCAGACTGAAACAACCCTCAAGCCAAGGCAGAGGGGAAGAATCCAGGTATGGCCCACCAGGGATAATCCAGGAGACTAGAAAAAAGAGAAGGCAGGAAATAGGGTCTGGAATGCCCAGCCTGGACAATTCCCTGAACTGACCAGAAAATAGGTCACAGTAGGTCTTTTATGGGATTGCTGTGGCCTTGAGCCTGGGTATAAGCAGGAACAAAGGCTGGCCATTCTAGAGACACACTCAATTGGCTCTTCTGATTTCTCACTTATAACCAGAAGCCTCTTTGCTAACCTCAATAACATATTGCTTATTTTTTAATGATTGCTCTTTTTGTTTCGTTTTGTTTTTAAATCAATAAACGTAATCCATCATATAAACAGAGCCAAAGACAAAAACCACATGATTATCTCAATAGATACAGAAAAGGCCTTTGACAAAATTCAACAACCCTTCATGCTAAACACTCTCAATAAATTAGGTATTGCTGGGACATATCTCAAAATAATAAGAGCTATTTATGACAAACTCACAGCCAATATCATACTGAATGGGCAAAAACTGGAAGCATTCCCTTTGAAAACTGGCACAAGACAGGGATGCCCTCTCTAACCACTCCTATTCAACATAGTTTTGGAAGTTCTGGCCAGGGCAATCAGGCAAGAGAAGTAAATAAAGCGTATTAAATTAGGAAAAGCAGAAGTCAAATTGTCCTTGTTTGCAGATGCATGATTGTATATTTAGAAAACCCCATCGTCTCAGCCCAAAATCTCCTTAAGCTGATAAGCAACTTCAGCAAAGTCTCAGGATACAAAATCACTGTGCAAAAATCACAAACATTCCTATACACCAATAACAGACAAACAGAGAGCCAAATCATGAGTGAACTCCCATTCACAATTGCTTCAAAGAGAATAAAATACCTAGGAATCCAACTTACAAGGGATGTGAAGGACCTCTTCAAGGAGAACTACAAACCACTGCTCAACGAAATAAAAGAGGACACAAACAAATGGAAGAACATTCCATGCTCATGGATAGGAAGAATCAATATTGTGAAAATGGTCATACTGCCCAAGGTAACTTATAGATTCAATGCCATCCCCATCAAGCTACCAATGACTTTCTTCACAGAATTGGAAAAAACTACTTTAAAATTCATATGGAACCAAAAAAGAGCCTGCATTGCCAAGACAATCCTAAGCCAAAAGAACAAAGCTGGAGGCATCACGCTACCTGACTTCAAACTATACTACAAGGCTACCGTAACCAAAACAGCATCGTGCTGGTACCACAACAGAGATATAGACCAATGGAACAGAACAGAGCCCTCAGAAATAATGCCACACGTCTACAACCATCTGATCTTTGACAAACCTGACAAAAACAAGAAATGGGGTAAGGATTCCCTATTTAATAAATGGTGCTGGGAAAACTGGCTAGCCATATGTAGAAAGCTGAAACTGGATCCCTTCCTTACACCTTATATAAAAATTAATTCAAGATGGATTAAAGACTTAAATGTTAGACCTAAAACCATAAAAACCCTAGAAGAAAACCTAGGCAATACCATTCAGGACATAGGCATGGCCAAGGACTTCATGTCTAAAACACCAAAAGCAATGGCAACAAAAGCCAAAATTGACAAATGGGATCTAATTAAACGAAAGAGCTTCTGCACAGCAAAAGAAACTACCATCAGAGTGAACAGGCAACCTACAGAATGGGAGGAAATTTTTACAATCTGCCCATCTGACAAAGGGCTAATATCCAGAATCTACAAAGAACTCAAACAAATTTACAAGAAAAAATCAAACAACTCCATCAAAAAGTGGGCAAAGGATATGAACAGACACTTCACAAAAGAAGACATTTATGCAGCCAAAGACACATGAAAAAATGCTCATCATCACTGGCCATCAGAGAAATGCAAACCGCAAGGAGATACCATCTCACACCAGTTAGAATGGCGATCATTAAAAAGTCAGGAAACAACAGGTGCTGGAGAGGATGTGGACAAATAGGAACATTTTTACACTGTTGGTGGGACGTAAACTAGTTCAGCCATTGTGGAAGACAGTGTGGTGATTCCTCAAGGATCTAGAACTAGAAATACCATTTGACTCAGCCATCCCATTACTGGGTATATACTCAAAGGATTATAAATCATGCTGCTATAAAGACACATGCACACGTATGTTTATTGCAGCACTATTCACAATAGCAAAGACTTGGAACCAACCCAAATGTCCATCAATGATAGACTGGATTAAGAAAATATGGCACATATACACCATGGAATACTATGCAGCCATAAAAAAGGATGAGCTCATGTCCTTTGTAGGGATATGGATGAAGCTGGAAACCATCATTCTGAGCAAACTATCGCAAGGACAGAAAACCAAACACCGCATGTTCTCACTCATAGGTGGGAACTGAACAATGAGAACACTTGGACACAGAATGGGGAACCTCACACACCGGGGCCTGTTGTGGGGTGGGGGGAGGGGGGAGGGATAGCATTAGGAGATATACCTAATGTAAATGACGAGTTAATGGGTGCAGCACACCAACATGGCATATGTATACATATATAACAAACCTGCACATTGTGCACATGTACCCTAGAATTTAAAGTATAATAATTTTAAAAAACAGGACCATTTCCTGATGACATTTAGAAAGCCTTCAAGAAATAATGTATCTTGAAATTATATTTTAGGATGGGTTATTTCTAAGATAGATTTCTATTACCACTGTAATCTTTGTTTTTGCAATAAATAGTAATTAAATCTTTTTGTCTAAATGTTTTTAAATGTTTTGTCCAATTTGGGACAGAGACGTAGGTACATACTTCACTTCCTACAGATACATTCAGTTACTCTTCCTTTTTATCCTTATCACAGAATATTCAAGATCTGTCTATAGTTGCAGCTTGTGTTCCAGTTGTGAATGATATCAGCCCACGTCTTCTCAAACACTTTTCCATGCTGGTATTACCTCATCCTTCACAAGACATCTTATGTACTATTTTCCAGGTAACACATCTAGTTCATTTTCTACTGAAAAAAATTAATTCCCTAGAATAAGGAAAAATACGAGAACTTAAATCCACTAATATTGAAAGAAAATTACTTTAAGGGGATAGATTTTATTTCCCCGTATGTTTTCTGGCCTATTATAATTTGGTTCTACATATCAAAAGCATAAGTTATTGTGTGTAAAATAAACACTTGTGGTGCATGTCCAATGCACGTTAAAATGTAGATTTTAGGACTTTATCCTCAGAGATTCTGATCCAGTATATCTGGCCTGGCATGTAGGAATCTGCATTTTTAACACACATACCCTGATTTTTGCCAGAATTGATTTGCTCTTTTCATTTTCTTATGGAATAAAAAAATGCTACACAAACTATTACCTTGGTCCCAGTTGGCATACAGGTAGACTTTCTTCTAAAACAGGATTTTTTTTCAGGTGCGAACTATTTACCAACTGTATCAGAATTACCAAGTGCTTTTTGAAAACTTGAGTTTAAAAATGAATCTTTAAATTTTATATTAAAGAAGAAAACAAGATTCATGTTGATGAATTTCCTAATCTTGCTTAAGATTTATTTTTCTAGTCACACTAGATTTCAAGTTGAGTCATCTTTCCAGTAAGATACTTCAGAATTTTTCGAAGAATGTATACCTGTATCGTCAGTCCAGACTGAGGTAATAGTTTTGTCAGTTTACACTTCCCATAACATCTCCTGGAGAGCAAGGAGATGAAAGAATTCCCAGCACACCTGGTATATACAGAGGTGAAGCATAAATTGTCCCCAGAAAAAATGTATCACATCCTTTTAGACCATTCAAGAGACTAGCACCAAGTGGAATTTTCTCCAGTTTGCAACCCCTAGAGTGTTTTGTTTTTACTAATCTACCATCCTATGTTAAATGGATTTTAATTTTAACATTTAATGAAATTAATCCTCCATTATAGTACACAAGTCCGCTTTTTAGTGGAAGGTAGCCAGAAGTAGTCTATACCTCAAATTTTTGGCAAGCTAAATTATAACATTTCTTTTTAAAGGCTCATTTGGGAATTTATTTCTCCATCAATAACTTCACACCTGAAGTTCAGAAAAGTAAGGATCAGATAATATCTTGTTCCCTAGCTATATACCATCAAGTACGTCAGAATATGTTACCAACTCCAACAAAATGTCACTACATGTTTAATCTTCGAGATATGTTTAAGGTTTGTTTTAATGTTCATTCTCTAGTTTATTTTTTAAATATAAGTTGCTCTCTCTCATACTGTCAACATTAGATTGTTAGAAGGGGAAAAAAGGGAAATGAATGTTGGTTAGTTTTGCTATTAGCAGCTTATCTCATGAGTTAGTTGAAGAAAAAATTGTTAAAATAATTCCGTGCAAATAATTCAATGATGAAATCCCTAAGAGTGTTAGAATATTGGCTAAGATCCTCAGCAGAGAAATAAGTGACAAGGTTATAACATAGATTTGGTGTTTGCTTTATTTCTGAGATTTTATTGTGGCTGTCAGAAAATGAAAGCATGTATGCATTTCATAAACATGCTTGAATTTTAACAGATTTTGCCAACAGTGCTGACTTAGTTATCAGCCATGGCCAAATAATTTTCAAAATTGAAATGTTAAGAAAATCAATTCTTGAATTTGATACCTTTCTCCCCTAACTGTGGGACTTTAGCCCTAAATAGCACATGTAATCTGTGAAATGGGCTATAACATTTTTAATCCAAATTTAGAATGTTAAAACATATAAACATTAGGAAGTACCTCAGTATCACGTGCAACACCCTGCCTCCATGTTAGCACTGTAGTCGAGACTCCCATCCTAGCAAGGCCTCCATTAGATGTGGCTGAGGAGTCCCCAAGTCCCCCTCCCTCTAAGAGTGATTCCATACCAATTTTCCCTATCTTATCACTTTCCCATCTCATCAAAGCTTCAGATTATCACTTGTAGAAATTCACAATTCTTACCTTGGATAATTGCTTCTATTTTTATGGATCATAAACCTGCAAAAATTGAGCCTTCGCTTCACATACTACCCTGCTAATTTTTTTTAAAAAAACGTTATTTTTAAATCCCTAACAGCTTCTCCTAGGATTGCTGCAAGCTGACAGGACTGTTGTTAACTCCAAAGAGATGGCTGCTCTGCTCTTTGTTCATGAAGCCACCCGAGTATTTCACGATCGCTTAATTGATTTCACTGATAAAAGCCTTTTCTATCGGTTGCTTTCAAGGGAACTTGAGAACTGTTTTCAGGTAAATTTATATTTTAAAAATTATTGGCCGGGTGTGGTGGCTTACGCCTGTAATCCCAGCACTTTGGGAGGCCGAAGCGGGCAGATCACGAGGTCAGGAGATTGAGACCATCCTGGCTAACACGTGAAACCCCGTGTCTACTAAAAATACAAAAAAATTAGCCGGGCGTGGTGATGGGCGCCTGTAGTCCCAGCTACTCGGGAGGCTGAGGCGGAGAATGGCGTGAACCCGGGAGGCGGAGCTTGCAGTGAGCCGATGAGCCGAGATCGCACCAGTGCAGTCCAGCCTGGGCGACAGAGCGAGACTCCGTCTCAAAACAAAACAAAACAAAATTGTTTTAAGTGGATTATTGGGCAAAAAATGTTGTTTCATGAAAGTCCTCAAAAATTTATATAATACTGAAAGAAATGTAATTTTATTAACAATTCCATTTCCACTTGAAAATGTCTAAAACTATAGATATGCTGGAGAGGATAAAATCATCATTGATGCCTTTGCCCATGCTTTTGGCCCCTTAGCAACCTCAAAACTGTTCATTTTTCTCCAGGACTCACAGAACTGTCCACTGTCTTGATACCTCAACAAGACTCCTCATCCTTCTCCGTCTCTTTGAACTTTAGTTTTCTTACTGCCTGTCTTTTAATCTAGGTCACAAAGGAAAGTGTTTCAATAAACTGATCACACTAAAAGAATGTGACTGAATGGAGCAGTGATCTAGGCTCCATTACTAGAATTTTTTGCCGTCTCCTTTCAAGAGAATTAAGGAGAACATTTCCTTCCCAAAGGTGGACTCTTTTCTTTTTCTGTCTTCTCTGGTGGTGCCAACTTCATTCTTCTCATTAACAGAAGCCCAGGAAATATGAACATGTGTGCGAGTGTGTCTTTATGATAAAACGATTTATATTCCTTTGGATATATACCCACTAATGGGATTGCTGGGTCAAATGGTAGTTCTGTTTCTAGAACTTTGAGGAATCACCACACTGTCTTCCACAACAGTTGAACTAATTTAAGTTCCCACCAACAGTGTGTAAGTGTTCCTTTTTCTCTGCATCCTCACCAGCATCTGTTATTTTTTTTTTTTTTTTTTTTTTTTTGAGACGGAGTCTCGTTCTGTCGCCCAGGCGGGAGTGCTGTGGCGCGATCTCTGCTCACTGCAAGCTCCGCCTTCCGGGTTCACGCCATTCTCCTGCCTCAGCCTCCCGAGTAGCTGGGACTACAGGCGCCCGCCACTGCGCCCGGCTAATTTTTTTTGTATTTTTAGTAGAGACGGGGTTTCACCGTGGTCTCGATCTCCTGACCTCGTGATCCGCCCGCCTCGGCCTCCCAAAGTGCTGGGATTACAGGCGTGAGCCACCGCGCCCGGCCGCATCTGTTATTTTTTGACTTTTTAGTATTAGCCATTCTGACTGGTGTTAGATGGTATCTAATTGTGGTTTTGATTTGCATTTCTTAAAGAGAGCTTATTACTATCTTGGGAGAAGTTCCCAAACTCCCTATAAATGCCAACCATAATTCAGTTTTGAGACTTAACCAGACTAAGAAATAGATATAGAGGCAGTAGAAAATGAGCAAGCAAATACTTACGGAATTGGGTCCTGCCCTAGCAGGGGTCAGTCCTATGGACAGCAAAGGCAACTACAGTACCCCAAATTCAAGACCATATGGACCAAATCTTTCTTAAGGATGTAAGGATTTAAATTATTCCTGTGAGAATTTCAGTTTATACAATATCACTTAATCGGTCAGTTGATTGACTTAAAAAAAATAAAACTCTAATAGTTAATACAATGTGCCAAGCACAGTGTTAAGACATATCATTACTCACTTTACATATCATTATTCACTTTAATCTTAATTCATAACACCCTATGATATAGGTCCTGTTATTATCCTGATTTTACAGATGAAGAAACCGAGCAGAGTAAGATTAAGATCTCACCTAAGGTCACCCTGCTAGTTAAGTGGTGGAGTCATTATTCAAACCTAGGATATCTAATGACATATATTTTCGAATTATCATACCATACCACCCCTCAATCTTCATTTAGCCATTTGCGAAACAAACATCTTCTAAATGCCTATCAGGAATTCCCAGTGCCAGACAGCAAGTGGGATAAGTGCTGAGGACTACCTAGGACTAGTATGGACCCTGCCTCCAAGCACATTACAACCTAAGAAGTGCAATGCATTTCTGTCAGTGCTATAACGTCAGTGCTGTGACAGACCTATGCACACAATATAGTGGTGGAACAAAGGAGGAAGGAGTAATTTATTCTACCTGATTTTAGGGGAGAGGGAGATGGTCAGACTTCAAATAAGAGGTAGCCCATGACCTTGGTGTGAAAGATAAGCAAGAATTTGCCAAGTAAACCAGGAAAGGACATGTGGAAACTTGCAGAACTGTAGTGGTAAACTAAGGGAAGATTCTTTTTCTCAGACTGTTGCTGGAACTACAAGATATTTCTAGCAACAGGAGTTCTTAACCTGGGATCCACAGACCCTCAAAGCGTTCTTAAATAAAACCATATTCTAATATATTTGGGGGTTTTTGGTAACCCTTATATTTTGATATATGCATTTTAAAATATTATTTTGAGAAAGAGTCCACAGGCTTTCTAAACCTTTATAAACCAAGAGGAGTTTATAGCACAAAAAAAGTTAAGAACACATTAGTCCTAGATCCACTGTGCCAGGAGCTTCTCCAACACAGATATATGCTGTGAGTTTTGATAACAAGTAGAATTGTGCTATTAATGGATAGTGTTAAATTCTTATCTTACAATAGATTCAGTGGACCCAAGAAAACCTGATGAATCACTCAACTGTATTTTTGGACTTCTTGGATATAAACAAGACTCATAGAAAAAAGATTTATCAGAATACCAGTGACTATAATAAACTTGCCAGTGTACTTGATGAATTCCAAATGAAGTTGGGTTCAATTTCTTTGGAGGTAAACATATATACTATATAAAAATCTGAGGAGTGCTATATATGTATATATTTATTTATTTTTACATACAAACATCTATGTATATCAAATCAGTATTTTTAAGGGGTGTGTGTGTTTGTGTGTGAGAGAGAGCAAGAGAGAAAAAGAGAGAGAGAGGGAGAGATCAGGGGAAAATGCTTACCTTCATATTTTAAAGCAGAACATTAGAAGTACAGTTTTATGTTATTTCATCTTATTTGTCTCATTTGATAGGGTATAATTTTAAAGACAAGGTACACAACTGAGGTTATAGGAAGTTGAATGAATAGAGTTCATGAAGATAAATGCAAAACAGAGTGTAGCAACAGGGTCCAAAGTAGCAACAAAGGACAGCAAAGTGGTTGTGGCTCTTTACATCTTTCCCATTGTTGTGGGCAAAGATGTGTTGGAACAGAGACACCAACAAAACCACATACACTGTAAACCAATTTTCTGCATCTCTTTCTCCTACCACTTATCCTACTTGCCAAGACAGAACAATAGAAAAGCAACCTGGGCCAGGTGTGGTGGCTTGTGCCTATAATCCTAGCCCTTTGGGAGGCTGAGGCAGGAGGATCACTTGAGCCCAGGAGTTTGAGACCAGTCTGGTCAACATAATGAAACCCTATCTCCACACACACACACATGCACACACACAAAAATTTAATTAATCAGGCATTGTGGTGCCAGTGCCTGCTTGTAAGTCCCAGCTACACAGGGCTGAGGCAAGAGGATTGCTTGAGCCCAGGAGGTCGAGGCTGCAGTGAGCCGTGATTGTGAAACTGCACTCCAGCCTGGATAACAGAGCAAGACCCTGTCTAAAAGAAAAATAAGAAGAAGAAAAAGGAAGGAAGGAAGGAAGGAAGGAAGGAAGGAAGGAAGGAAGGGAGGGAGGAAGGAAGGGAGGGAGGGAGGGAGGGAGGGAGGGAGGAAGGGGAAAGGAAGGGAAGGAAAGGAAAGGAAAGAAGGAAGAGAAGGGGGAAATGGCAAGGGGGGAGGGGGAAAGGGGGAGGGGGGGAGGGGGACGGGGAAGGGGGAAGGGAGCCTAAATACTATTGTTTGCCTCTTCATTCTCTTCTCTCAATTCTACCACCACCCTTCTAATCTACTCACAAGAACATTAGCATAGGGACAATCCTTATTGCACAAATTTACTTTCCCTAAATGTTAATGATAACCAGCTTACTAGATCTAGAGCTCTGGATTACTAGTTATTCTCCTTTCTGTAAGTAAATTGTATGTAAAACCACAATGCACGTTTGATTTTTCTGTACCTATAATCCATTTATTTGTCACATTTGATCTGCTAGCTTTCTCATTCCATGGTGTTCTTCAAGGAAGCCATAGAACACATCATAAGAGCAACAAGGGTTCTTCGACAACCAGGGAGTCACATGTTACTGGTAGGAATTTAAATTTTTCAAGTGGTTTTAAGTTTACAAAATAAAATAAATCCCAATAAAATCTACTGTACTTACAGAAGTTTTATTTAGCCACACTTTGTGAAAAATCACAATAACTGAGTCATAGGGCAGGACTCTTGTCCTCTCTGCAGTTTGCATATGAAATCTGTCAGCAAATAAAAATGGTATTTGTTTTTGGAAGGCACTTGATGTGAATAAAACTGCACCATTTCTAGTGTTCGCAGCATTAATACAGTAGCTGTGCAGATGGATCCTGACTTCAAAAATAGTGCGCTTACTTGATTATTGATTTAGAAATGTGAGCTTTTGCACAATGTTTTGCTTCTCATGAGAACAAGCGGGAGTTAAAATCTTGGAAAATTCCCCAATATACTTTGAATAGAGAAAATCTTTTGGAAAATTAGCTAAAATTCAACATATTTAGCCAATTACATAAAGCATATTAATTATTTTTATTTAATTTATTATTTATGACTAGTTGTTTATTTTATACTTTATTTATAACTGTTTGGTTAATTTGTGCACTTTTCTCAAAAAGAATTTTTTTTATTCAGAACAGCTAGAGCTTTATTTAAACACTTATTTAAACTTGTGTTTAAATAAAACACAAGTTTTATTTAAACAGACATATGCAACAAGATTAATTAAAAGGAACTAAAAACTGGAAAATAGAATCAAGAAAAAAATATGAAGCAAATCTTTCTAACACCAAAACTATTCTTTTACTAACCTAACTCATAAATGGTATCACCATATATCCACTGGTCTAGTCAGAAACCTGGGAGTCACTCAGTTTTGTCACTTTTTCATCACTTGTCACATTCAATTCATCAAGAAGCCCTGGTGATACAACTTGAAAAATGTATTTCAAACCTGCATATTTCTCTGCATCTCCACAGCCACCACGCTATTTAAGCCACTGTTATCATCACCTGGACCACTGTGGTTTTCTCTGTTCCCTAACGCACCTCTTTTCTTCCCCTCAGTCCCTATTAGTCTGTCTCCTTATTCTGCTTTATTTTTCTTTCTGGTCCTTAGCCTTATCTTATATAATATTACACATTAATTTTTCATTTATAATCATCTGTCTCCACATTTAGAACATAAGCTCTACAAGGGCTATGATTTTTGTCTGTCTTATTTCAATTATTAACAGATTATTTTTCTATTCCTAAAGTGTATATGCTCTGTTTAGTTATTTTACCACAGTGACTCTTTTCTTTAGCATGTCTTTTCTAGCAAGAGGTACATTTACCTATTGCTCAATTCTAAAATGCCTGAGAATGTATTCAGAGCAGTTTTCAAAAGCCTACACTCAACTGGAATCTGGCCTTAATAGTTTCTCTGTAGATGTGTTATCACAAACCTATCTTCCCTCTCAGAGCCCCTATTAAAAATAGAAGGTAAAACATGGCAAATTCCTGATTCCTCTGATCCTATTACTGTTGGGGTTTTTTTGTTTGTTTGTTTGTTTGTTGTTTTTGTTTTTTTAGATGAAATTTCACTCTTGTTACTCAGGCTAGAGTGCAGTGGCACAATCTCAGCTCACTGCAACCTCTGCCTCCTGGGTTCAAGCAATTCTCCTACTTCAGCCTCCTGAGTAGCCTCCCAAGTAGGGATTACAGGTGCCTGCCACCACACCCACCTAATATTTTGTATTTTTAGTAGAGACGGGGTTTCACCATGTTGGGCAGGCTGGTCTTGAACTCCTGACCTCAGGTGATCCTCCCACCTTGGCCTCCCAAAGTGCTGGGATTACAGGTGTGAGCCACCACACCTGGCCCCCTATTACTATGTTTGCCCAATTAAACATTATAAATAGATCTTTTTCATGGGTCAAGGTGACACTAGGGTTTAATTTTGCATAACAGTAATTTAACTGAAGGCTAGTCTAGCATGTGGAGCTTCTGCAGGGAGAAGCAACTGGAGGGAGTGTAATGACTTAATTAAGAATATTTAAGACAGAGAATAAATAATAAAATAATGGTTATCTAGATTGGACAGTTCAAATGAGATCAGTTTAATTCAGTAAAAAAGTAAAAGAAGAAATTGTACATGAATTTTAAAAGTAAATATTACATAGTTCAATTGGATTACATTGTTGAACTACCAGAACTACCAGAGGAAAACAAGAAAACTAATATTAATTAGTATTTCAATTTAAGGCATTGGTTTAAAAGATTATTGCATACAATCTGTCACATAAATGTTCAGTTTTTAACAAAAATTACAAGACATGAAAACAGATAGGGAAGTGTGAGCTATACATGGGGAGAAAAAGTAGTTAATAGGAACTGTCTTGAAGGGGATCCAGATGTTGGGCTTGGCAGATATCCGAAATACAGCTCTTGTAAATATACTCAAAAAGCCTAAAGGAAAATATATATTATTATTTATATTAATATATAAATTAAAGGAAAGCATACAAAAATGACTCTTCAAATAGAGAATACCAATAAAGGGATATAAATTATTTTACAAATTGGAATGTCTGGGATTCAAAATTAAAATAAATGAGATGAAAACTTCACTAGAGGAGCTCAACAGCAGATTTAACATGGCAGAAAAGAGAATCCACAAACTTAAAAATAGATCTATAAAATTTATCTACACTGAACAAGAGAAAGAAAAAAAATGAAGAAAAAGAACATCAAAGACCTAAAAGACACTATCAAGTGTATCAAAATATGCTTAATGGGGCTCCCAGAAAGAGAAGAAATAGAAGGGGGCAGAAAAGATTTCATAGAAATAATGCCCCAATACATTAATCTTCACATCCAAGAAGTTCAATCACAGCTGGGTGCGGTGGCTTACACCTGTAATCCCAGCACTTTGGAAGGCCAAGGCAGGTGGATCATGAGGTCAGGAGATCAAGACCATCCTGGCTAACATGGTGAAACCCCATCTCTACTAAAAATACAAAAAATTAGCCGGGCATGGTGGTGGGTGCCTGTAGTCCCAGCTACTCGGGAGGCTGAGGCAGGAGAATGATGTGAACCTGGGAGGCAGAGCTTGCAGTGAGCCGAGATAGCGCCACTGAACTCCAGCCTGGGTGACAAAGTGAGAGTCCATCTCAAAAAAAAAAAGAAAGAAAAAAAGAAGTTCAATCACAGCTCAAGAAAGTCTAAGAAGAGTAAGCACAAGTAGATTAAAGTAGATTAACACCTAGACACATCATAGTCAACCATTCAAAGACAAAGAGAAAATCATGAAGGCAGCAAGAGAAAAACAACTTCTTATGTACTAGGAATTCTCAATAAGATTTACAGCTGACTTCTTATCAGACACAATGGAGAACAGAAGGCATTGGAGCAGCATATTCAAAGATAAAAGGAGGAAAAACCTCAAAAATTTTATGTTCAAGAAAACTATTTTAAAAATGAAATAAAGATATTTCCAGATAAACAGCTCTGATAATTTGTTACAGAAAATACTAAAGTAAATTTTTAGGGTGAGGGTGAAAGACACTGATGGTAACTTAAATCCTTGTGAAGAATAATGAGCACCAATAAGAGCAATTACATAGGTAAATATAGGGCCATGTGTTCATTTTTTACTGCCTATGAAACACATTGCAAATATGGCAACTTAAATTTATTATCTTACAGTTTTGCAGGTCAGAAGTATGACATGAACCCACTGGGCCAAAATTAAGGTATAGGTATGACTGCATTACTTTCTGGAGGCTCTAAGGGAGAATCTGTTCCTTTTCTTTTACTAGCTTCTAGAGTCTTTCTGGATCCCTTGGCTCATAACTGCCTTTATCCATCTGTAAAGCCAGCAACATCACATCTCTTTGACCCTTCATCAGTCATAACATCTCTCTCTCTCTCTCTGATCAAAGCCAGGAAAGATTCTCTGCTTTCAAGGACTGATGTGATTTAGACTGGGCCCAGCCAGATAATCTAGGATGATCTCACCATTTTAAGGTCTTTAATCTTAATCATGTCTGCAAAGTCTCTTGCCATGTAATATAACATATTCATTGGTTCCAGAGATCATAATGGGGACATATTTGTGGGGAATGGGGGTGGCAGATGCATTATTCTGCCTACCACAGACTATGTAAATATATTTTTCTTCTTTACTCTTAACTACTTTAAAAGATAATCAGATGAAATGATAATTCTAAAACTATTGTCAGGCTTATAATATATAAAGATGTAATATATGTAACAATGAATAGCACAAAAGAGGAGGGAGGAAATGGAGTTATGTTGAAGAAAACTGTCTATATTTTACTGGAATTATTAGTATTAATCTAAAATAGATTGTGATTAAAAATAAAAATAAAATAAAATAGATGTGATAAGATACATAATGTAATTCTGTTATGCAAGGTGAACAAGTTCTGGAGAACTCATGTACAGTATGATAATGATAGTTAACAACACTGTATTATATACTTGAAATTTGTTAAGAGGGTAGATCTTAATATTCATACACACACACACACGACGGTAACTATGTAAAGATAGTGGATATTTTAAGTAGTGTGATTGTGATGATCATTTAACAATGTACACATATATCAAAACATCAAGATGTACACGCTAAATATATGTGTAGTTTTTATGTCACTATCATCTAAATAAAAATGCTAAAAATGCTCAAGGAAAAGGGATAGTTTAACTGTGAACCCAAGCAAGTCAGGGCCAAACACACCGATGGCAGACAAGTTTCAAAGAGAACTGAAGGAAAGCAGACCTGCAGGAGGTCCATGAGCCAGAGTTCCAGGCTTGGGACAGCTATGAAGTTTTGGGCCTGGCTGTGGTCTGGGCCCCCAGCCATCAGGCCTGATTCAAAGCCATCAGGCCCCTTCTTCTATACGCATTTTAAGGGAATCTTTAGCTTCTTTTCTGTGGAAAGTTCCCATAGAGTTATCAGAGCTTAGACCCTGTCCAATGCTGGAAAGGAAGCTTGAACAATTTTATCTTAGTTTAGGTTCCCCCATAAGAAGGCCCCGAGGCAAGTATTCAATGTTAACTTGAGACATGGTCCCAGAAAGCAGGTAGAGGAGTGAGAAAGTGAGACACAGAAGAGATGGTAATCAATACAGGGTGCATGATCAGGCCAGTTACTATTGTTAGCAACTGGAAGTTAATTACATAAGGGAATCTCAGGAAATGCTCTAGGAAATGTGCCTCAGAAAGATGAGAGGGCTGAAGTATTTGGCCCATCTATGCAGCAATTTCAGTCAGCCATTACTGAGGGTTGCTAAGGGAGAGTTTGATAGTTACTGCAGGGGCAAACATAGAGATGCAGATACTGGTTGATCAACTTTTCATTTGTTTATTGATCATTCGGGTCTTCTCTTCAGTGAATCATCCATTCGTGTGCTTTGCCCATTTTTCTATTAGGTTATCTTTTTCTTATTGATTGGTAGGAGTTATTTATATATTCAGATACTAATATTTTCTTCATTATATGTGTGGCAAATGTAATTTTCCAGATTATGGTTCATCTTTTTACCTTATGATATCATTCAATAAATAGTTATTATTTTTAATGTAAAAAAATTAGAAGAGAACTAAAAATATATATAATAAAAAAGCCAAGAAAACGAAGATAGAGCTCTGGAAAATATTTATTTAACACAAAAGAATGGAGAAACAAAGGGAAAAAAAATGAGACATATGGAAAATAACAGTGTGGCAGACAAGCCCCAAATACAAATGCATTAAAAACTCCAATAAAAATACAGAGATTATAAAACTAGATTTTTTAAAGAACAAAATCCAACTATATGCTATCAACAAAAGCCACACGTTAGATTCAAAGATCCAAAATGGCTGAAAATGAAAGGATGGAGAAAAATAATCCATGCAAACAATTACCACAAGAAAGTTGGAGTGGGTATACTAATATCAGGCAAAGTAGACTTTCAGGAAAAAATTAAGTGTTCTGAGACCAAAAAGAAAAAAAAAAAAGACATGCTATAATGATGAAAAGATCATACATAAGAGTTATAAACATATACACACCTAAAAACTTAGTGCCAAATACATGGAACCAAAACCGACAGAATTTAAGGGAGAAATAATCAATTTAACAATAATAGTTGGACACTTCAATACCTTCACTCTTAATAATTGATAGAGAAACTAGACATAAAATCAGCAAGGTTACAAAGACTTCAACAGTATAGTAAAACAACTTGAACTAATTGACATGATAGAAGACTCCACTAACAACAGCAAAACACATATTCTTTTGAAGCAAACATGTAACATTCTTGAGGAGAGACCGAATGCCAAGCCATAAAACAAGCCTCAGTAAATTTCAAAGGATTGAAATCATACGAAGTATGTTCTTTGACCACAGTAGAACTAAATTAGAAAGTTTCCAACAAAAGGAAAGTTGGGATATTAATAACTATGTGGAACTTTTACAACGTACTCCTAAATGGGTGAAAGAAGAAACTGCAGAGAAATTAGAAAATACTTTGAGATACATGGAAACAAACAAAAACATAATATAAAGATGTTCTTTAAGAGAAATCTATAGCTATAAATACTTATATTTAAAAAGAGCAACCTCAAATCAATAACCTAACCTTCCACCTTAGGAAAATACCAAAAGGAAAGAAAACCAAACCCAAAGCATGCAGATGGAAGAAAATAATAAAGATTAGAGAAGAAAGTAGAGAATATAAAACCAGTAGGGAATACCAATAAAACCAAAAGTTGGTTCTTTGAAAAGATCAACAAAATTGACAAGTTCTTTGCTAGACTGACCAAGAAAAAATGAAGAAAAGACTCAAATTATTAAAATCAGGAATTAAAGAGGGAATATTACTATCAATATTACAGAAATTAAAAAAAGATTATAAGAGAATACTATGAACAATTGTATGCCAACATAGTAGATCACTTAGATAAAATGTCTTTCCTAGAAATATATAAATTACTGAAACTGAAGAATTAGAAAATCTAATAGAGCAGTAACAAATAAGGAGATTTAATTAGGAATTTAAAAACTTCCCACAACAAAAGCCCAGAGCCAAATGGCTTCACCAGAGATTTCTACCAAACATCTAAGGAAGAATTAACACCATTCCTTCACAAACCGTCCCAGAAAATAGAAGAGGGAATACTTCCCAATTCATCTATAAGGTCAGTAACATCCTAATACCAAAACTAGACAAAGTCATCATGAGAAAAGAAAACTACAGGCTAATATCCCTTATGAATATAGTGGAAAAAAATCTGAACAAAATCTTAACAAACCAAAACCAGCAACATATAGCAAGTATTATACATCATAAACAAGTGAGATTTACTGCAGGAATGCACATTTGGTTTAATATTTTCTAAAAATCATTAATGCAATATATCTATTAATGGAATTAAAAGCAAAAACCACACAATAATCTCAGGAGATGCAGAGAAGCACGACAAAATCCAACACCATTTTTTTTTACTCTCAGCAAAAAGGAAAAGAAGGAAGCTTCAGCAACCTAATAAAGAGCTTCTGTGAAAAACTTACAGCTAGCCTTATGCTTAACAGTGAAAGACAAAATGCTTTTCCCCTAAGATTGAGAACAAAGCAAGAATGTTTTGCCTTACAATTTCTATTCAACACTATACTAGAAGTTCTAGCCAGTGCAATTAGGTAAGAAAAAGTGGGGAAAGGGCATCCAGATTGGAAAAAATAAAGGGAGCAAGCCCATCCTTATTCACATTCCACATGATCCTGTTTGTGGAAAATCCTAAGGACAAGCAACCCAATTAAAAATAAACAGGCCAGGCATGGTGGCTCATGCCTGTAATCCCAGAACTTTGGGAGGCCAAAGTGAGTGGATCACTCGAGGCCAGGAGTTTGAGACCAGCCTGGCCAACAGGGTGAAACTCCATCTCTACAAAAATACAAAAATTAGCTGGGCATGGTGGCACACACCTGTAATCTCAGCTACTCAGGGTGACGCAGGAGAATTGCTTGAACCCAGGAGGTGGAAGTTACAGTGAGCCAAGATAGCGCCACTGCACTCCAGCCTGGGTGATAGAGCGAGACTCTGTCTCAAAAAAGAAAAAGAAAAATAAACAGATGCTGGCCCAGTGTGGTGGCTCATGCCTATAATCCCAGCACTTTGGGAGGGCAACACAGGAGGATTGCCTGAGGCCAGGAGTTCAAGACCAGCCTGGGCCACATAATGAGACCCCCTTCTTACAAAAAAATAAAAATTTAGCCAGGTATGGTGGCATGTACCTGTAGTCCCAGCTACTCAGGAGGCTGAGGCAGGGGGATCACTTAAGCCCAGGAATTCACGGCTGCAGTAAGCTGTGATAGCACCACTGCACTCCAGCCTGGGTGACAAAGTGAGACCCTGTCTCAAAAAAATAGAAATAAATGAAGAAACAGTTACCTTGTTATGGCTGAATTTTATTGTACATATATACCACATTTCCTCTATCTGTTCTTCTGTTGATGGACATTTGGCTTATTAGCTCTTGTGAATAGTGCTGCAATAAGTGGCAACATGGAAGAGCCTGGAAGGCCTCATGTTAAGCAAAATAAGTTAGGCAAGGAAAGAGAACTACTGCATGTTCTCACTCATGTGAAAACTGAGAAACAAAATTCGAACTCACAGAAGTAGAGAGTAGAATTATGGGTATTAGAGGCCAGGAAGGGGAGAGGAGGGGAGAAAGGGAGAGTTTAGTTAATTAATACAAAATTATAGCTACATAGGAGGAATGAGTTCTGGTGTTTTGCAGCACTGTAGGCTGAATATGGTTTACTATAATTTATTGAATGTTTTCAAAATGCTAGAGGAGAGGATTTTCAATGTTCACAACACAAAGGACAATGTTTGAGGTGATTAATGTATTTACTCCAATTTGATTATTATACATTATATGTTCATATGGAATTATCACTCTGTATCCCATAAATATGTACAATTATCACATCAACTAAAAAATAAAAGGAAAAAATAAATACCTTACAAAAGCATATGAAAAGGTGCTCAATATCAGTTGTCATTAGGGGAAACAATAACGAGATACCACAACATCCCTATTAAAATGACCAAAACCCAAAGAACTGATAATAGCAATTACTGACAAGGATACAGAGCAATAGGAACTCTCATTCATAGCTGGTGGGAATTGAAAATAGCACAGCCACTTTGGAAGACAGTTTAGCAGTTTCCTACAAAGCTAAACATAGTCTTGCCATATGAGCCAGTAATCATGCTCCTACACATTTACCTAACTGATGTGAAAACTTACGCCCACATAAAAACCTGCACAGGAATGATTATAGCAACTTTATTCATAATCACCAAAAACTGGAAGCAACCAAGATTCCTTCAATAAAGCAAATGAATAAACACACTGTAGTAGTACATTGATACAATGGAATATTATTAAGAGATAAAAAGAAATGAGCTCTCAAGCCACAAAAAGACATGGGTGAATTTCAAAGGTATATTGCTAAGTGAAAGAAGTCGGTCTGGAAAGGCAACATATTATATGATTCCACTTATATGACATTCTGGAAAAGGCAAAACTATGGAAATGGTAAAAATATTTGTTGTCTAAGGGTTTGGTGGAAAGAAAGTGAAACACAAGATATTTTAGGATGGTAAAAATTCTGTATACTATAATGGTGAACACATGACACTATATATTTGTCAAAGCCCATAGAACTTGATGACACAAAGAATGAGCCTTAATGTTTACAAATTTAGAAAAAAAAGTCATTTTGGAGGTCTGGTAATCCCAGGATGAAATGCAGAATGTGAAAGAAAAATCAAACCATGTTGCAAGTGTGTGACACAAACTCACTGAAGAGGATTAGGGGAAAAGGAGCCAATATAAAAAGTGGTTTGGGGGTAAAGTTAACCATTCCAATACCACAATACACATATACTGGAGTTGAATAATGAAGTAAATGGATGGCAGATGTTGGAAACCAGTTTTCTCACTATTGGAGGGCAGAGCTAAACAAGGGAAAGAGACTAAAATGATCATGTAGTAACAGAGTTGGAGACATAAGTTAAACTTATTTTTAGCTTAAAATAGGTGATTGGATATAGAAATTTTATAGGAATGTGTGTCTATAAGGGTTAGTATACAAACATTTATTTATTTGCTGTGTCAGCTGGGAGGGCTTACAGGCAGTGATCTCCAGTAGCAATGAGTACACCTAGCTCCCAGATCTTGGTTTCTAATACCATTCTCCAATAAAAGGAACCAGGACTCCTTGGGAAAATTGCTGATTATAGGACTGGGACAGGAAATATACAATATGAGCCTGGAGAATCCTGTAGTGCTACAAGTGAAGTGCTAAAATAATCATGGGGTTATGTCAGAGGGACACAAGAGCCAACTAAAAGAGTTCACAGTGGCCAAAGCTGGAGCAAGAAAACAAAGAAATAAAGTGGTATTAAATAATAATCCAAAGTGTATAATAAATATCCATGGGCCCATACTTATATAAATAAATGACTAAATAAATAAGTAAATGAGGGAGAATAGACAAATCTCCCATTCAGAAGATATCCACATAATGTACGTAGGTAGTCTACCCTCAAGAAGCTGGGCATAACTCCTCACTCCTTCACTGAGGGCTGCACATAGTGACGTTCTCCCAAAGAGTACCATACAGGAAGGGGGAAAAAAGAGTAACTTCACAGTGGAGAAACCTGACAAACACCGCCTTATCTAGGTGATCAAGTTCACCAACAAAAATGATAAATCATGGTGAGTATAATCATGAGAAAAACAGCAGGAAAATCCTAGTTAAGTGACATTCCATAAAATACCTGATCAGAACCCCTTGAAACTCTTAAGGCCATCAAAAATAAGGAAAGTGTGAAAAACTGTCACAGTCAAGAGTAGCTTAAGGAGATTTGGCTGCTAAATGTAATATAGTATCCTGGAAGAAATTCCGAAGGAGAGAAAAATTATTAGGTTAAAAACTAACAAGATCTGAAAAAAGTATGGACTTCAGTTAATAATAATATATCAATTTTGGTTCATTAATGGTAACAAATGTAATATACTAATGTTAGATGCTAATAGGGGAAATTGGATGTGGATATATGACAGTTCCCCATACTATCTTGGCAATTTTTCTGTGAGTCTAAAACTCTTCTAAAATAAGTTTATTTTTAAAAATAGACAAAAGATTTGAATAGATGTTTCACAAAAGACGATACCTGAATGGTTAATCAGCCCATGAAAAGATGTTCGGCTTCATTAGTCATTAGGGAAATGCAAATTAAAACCACAATAACACTAAACACCCACTTGAATGGCTATAATCAAAAAGATAGTTAATAGCAATCATTGACAAGATTGTGTATAAACTGAACTTTCATACAGTGCTTGTGGGAATGTAAAATAGTACAACTACTTTGGAAAATGGTTTGGCTATTTCTTATAAAGTTTAACATAGATTTACCACATAATTGAGCAATTCCATTTCTCTGTCTCTACACAAGGGAAAATAAAACAAGTATCCACTCAAAGACTTGTATGGAAATGTTCATAGCAGCATTATTCATAATCAAGAAGTAGAAACCATTCAAATGTTCATCAATGGATAAACAAAATGTGATATGTCCATACAATAGAATACCATTCAGCAATAAAAAGGAACAAACTACTGATACACATACAACATGAAAGAACTTATTATGCTAAGTAAAATAAATCAGATACATTAGACTTCATGGTATATAATTTCATTTATATGAAATGCCAAAAATAGGCAAATCAATAGAGATGAAAACATATTAGTGATTGGGCCTGAGAGTTGGATGGTGATTGACTGCCAGTGGGCTTGAAAGATCTTTTTGGGGTGAAGGCAATTGTTCCAAAACTGAATTGTGACAAGGGTTGCATAAGTCTGTAAATGTACTAAAAAGCATTGAATTATCCACTTAAAACAGGTATAAGCTGTAAATTACACCTAAATAAAGCTGTTTTTAAAACAATACTTACTTTGCCATTATTCCCCAAAAGCATTTATTAAGTACCTATTGCTCAAAATAAAAAGGAAAAGATCTATCTAGTTACTTATAAATGAAGAATCAAATATTGACAGTGACATGAAGATGGTTTATAAGCCTATCTGTGCTTTTTTCAAGATTATGTTCTCTTTCCAGTGAAATTTTCTCATATATTTAAAGAGGCTATGGAAAGATGAAAATATTGAAAGTGGATGAGTGCCTTATAAAAATTTTGATAAAATATTTAAATTATGTTTAATATGACTCCCAAAAGGTTATAAATAAAAATAGTCTGGGGTATTTTTACATCAAAATTTCTAGCACAAATAATAAACAGAAAACTATACGTTGAAAGATTCCCAGAAAATGTATGTCATGTGTTGTATTTCTTTTCTCCCAAAGATTGGAATAGATGGATGTGGGAAAAAAACATGTGCAACCTTGGCCTGTTATTTGACAGATAATAAACTATACCGAGTGCCTATATCTCACAAATGTGCCTACATCGAATTCAAAGAAGTCTTTAAAAAGGTGTTTATTCACGCAGGATTAAAAGGGAAACCCACTGTTCTGATGGTTCCCAATTTAAACATAGAACAAGTAAGTACTTTTTGTCTTTGCTATTTGCTGAAGTTTGATATCTATGTGGCTACCCCCTCCCCAAAAATTTAATATTTGAAAAGAAAACAAGAAAATATTTATCAATGGTTCTATTACCCTACAATATCAGTTTTCTTGCAGTATTCTCTGTTCTTATCTAGTCATAGCCCACACAGTTTATATATTTGTAATGACGCCATAGGTAGTTATGAATAAATATTTCAATAAAGGTATTTTCTATGTCATTATCTTGTTCATTTTAATTGACAGATTGGAAGTAATTTATCTGTGTAGCTGAGGTCATCTGTCTTATATCAGAACTAGCTTTATAATCTGTATTTTAAAAACCCTTTCATCTATATCCAGTATCTGTAATCTACAGTTAGATATGTAATCTACAATCTGCTCTTACAGCATCCAGGCTTCTGTTTCTCTCCATTACTCTTCTGCTCTATTTTCACTGTCAGATGCAGGACTTTCCTTACAGAATATGTTATTTTTGTCATATATATATGTGTGTGTGTGTGTGTATGTGTGTGTATAGATATATGTGTGTGTGTGTGTGTATATATATATATATATATATATATATATATATATATATATATATATTTCCTCCAAGTCTGTGGCTTGTCTATTTTCTTTTCAAATTAAATTCAATTAAATGTTTTAAATTGACATGATAATTGTACATGTGTTTATGGGGTATAGTGATGTTTCAATACATGTAAGAGCAGATTACCATAACTAGCATATTCATTATCTCAAACATTTATCATTTTTGTGTTAGGAGCATTCAATATCCTCCTTCTAGCCATTTGACACTATATAATATATTATTGTTATGTATAGTTATCCTACAATGCTATAGGTTAGTAGAACTTATTCCTCCTCTCTAGCTGTAATTTTGTATCCCTTAAAAAATCCCTCCCTATCCTTCTCTCCCTTTCCCCTACCTTTCTCAGCCTCTAGTATCTTCTGTTCCACTTTTTACTCCTGTGAGATCCACTTGTTTTTAACTTTTATATATGAGTGAGAGGATGTGGTGTTTAACTTTCTGTTCCTGGCTTACTACACTTAGCATAATCATGTTGCCACAGTGACAGGATTTCATTCTCTTTTATGGCTGAATTGTATTTTATGAAGTATATATACCATATTTTCTTTAGTCATTCATTCACTGGTGGACACTTAGGTAGATTCTGTATCTTGGCTATTGTGAAAAGAGCTGTTATAAACATGAGGGTGCAGATGTTTTCTTGATATACTGATTTCCTTTTCTTTGGATAAATGCCCAGAAGTGGGATTGCTGGATCTTATGATCATTTTATTTGCAGTTTTTGTTTTGTTTTGAGACAGAGTATTCCTCTGTCACCCAGGCTGGAGTGCAGTGGTGCAATCATGGCTCACTGAAGCCCCGACCTCCGAGGCTCAAGTGATCCTCCCACCTTAGCCTCCCAAGTAGCTGAGACTACAAGACTGCACAACCACACCCAGCTAATTTTTTTGTAGAGGCGGGGTCTCACTGTGTTGCCCAGACTCATATGTAGTTTTTTGAGGAACCTCCATACTATTTGCCATAATGGCTGTACTAGATTACATTCCCACCGACAGTGTACAAGAGTTCCCTTTCTCCACATCTTCACCATCATTTGCTATTTTTTGTCTATTTGATGATAGCCATCCTGACTGGGGAGAGGTGATAGCTTATCATGGTTTTGATTTGCATTTCCCTGTAATTAGTGATATTGAGCATTTATTCATTTTTTTGGCCATTTGTATGTCTTCTTTTGAGAAATATCTGTTCACATCATTTGCCCATTTTTTAATCAGGTTTTGTTTTGTTTTTCGTTCTTTATTTTTTGTTTTTGCTGTTAAGTTTGAGTTCCTTGTATATTCTAGATATGAATCCTCTATTGGATGAATCATTTGCAAATATTTTCTCCTATTCTGTAGTTTGTCTTTTCATTCTATTGTTTCCTTTGCTGTACAGAAGGAAATTTACCATGCTTTTTAGTTTGATATAATTCCATTTGTTTATATTTGCTTTTGTTGCCTGTGCTTTTGAGGTCTTATTTATAAATTCTTTTCCAAGACCAATGTCCTGAAGCATTTCCCTTATGTTTTCTTCCAGTAGTTTTATAGTTTCAGGTCTTACATTTAGCTCTTTAATTAATTTTGAGTTGATTCTTGGATGGGGTGAGAGGTGGGGGTCTATTTTCATTCTTCTATATATGGATATTCAACTTTCCCAGCACCATTTATTGAAGACTGACTTTTTTCCATTGTATGTTCTCAGTGCATTTGTCAAAAATGAGTTGGCCATTGATACATGGATTAATTTCTGGGTACTCTATTCTATTCCATTGGTCTATGTGTCTGTTTTTGTTCCCATACCATGCTGTTTTGGTTACTATAGCTTTGTAATGTATTTTGAAGTCTGGTAGTGTGATGCCTCCAATTTTGTTCTTTTTGCTCAGAATTGCTTTGGATTTTTGAGATATTTTGTGGTTCTATTTGAATTTTAGGAATTTTTTTCTATTTCTGTGAAGAATATCATTAGCATTTTTCAGAGATTGCAACAAATCTATAGATTGCTTTAGGTAGTATGGTCATCTTAACAATATTAGTTTTTTTGATTCATGAACATGGGATGTCTTTCCATTTGTTTGTACCCTGTTCAGTTTCTTCTATCAGCGTTTTGCAGTTTTCCTTGTAGAGTTCTTTCATCTTCTTTGTTCAAATTTATTCCCAGGTATTTTATTTTATTTATTGTAGCTATTCTAAATGGGATTGCCTTTTTAATTTTTTTCACCTAGTTTGCTGTTCATATATAGAAACATTACTGATTTTTGTATCCTGCTACTTTGCTGCATTCATTTTTCAGTTCTAAGAGATTTTCATCAACCCCATAAAAAAGTGGGCAAAAGACATGAACAGACACTTTTCAAAAGAAGACATACATGTAGCCAACAATTATATGTTAAAAAGCTCAACATCACTGATAGTTAGAGAAATGCAAATCAAAACGACAATAAGATACCATCTAACACCAGTCAGAATGGCTACTATTAAAAAGTCAAAAAATAACAAATGCTGATGAGGTCATAGAGAAAAAGGAATGCTTATACATGGTTGGTGGGTGTGTAAATTGGTTCAGCCACTGTGGAAGACATTGTGTCAGTTCCTCAGAGACCTAAAGACAGAAATACCATTCAACCCAGCAATCCCATTAGTGGGTATATACCAAGAGGAATATAAATCATCCTATTATAAAGATACATGCATGTGTATGTCACTGCAGCACTATTCACAATAGCAAAGACATGAAATCAACCTAAATGTTCATCAGTGACAGGCTGGATAAAGAATATGTAGACATATATACCATGGAATACTATGCAGCCATAAAAAAAGACCATATCCTTTGCTGTGACATGGATGGAGCTGGAGGTCATTATCCTTAGCAAACTAACACAGGAACAGAAAACCATATACTAAATGTTTTCACTTATAAGTGGGAGTTAAATGATGAGAACAGATGGACACAGAGGGGAACCATACACACTGGGGCCTTTCAGAGTGTGAAGGGTGGGAGGAGGGAGAGAATCAGGAAAAAAACTAATGAGTACTAGGCTTTATACCTGGCTGATGAAATAATCTGTACAACAAACCCCCATGACACAAGTTTACCTATGTAAAAAATTTGCACTTGTACTTCTGAACTTAAAATAAAAGTTTTTTTTTTAAAAAAAGAGTTTTTTGGTAGTCTTTATGTATTTATAAGACCATGTCATCTGGAAATGGGCAATTTGACTTCCTCCTTTTTAACTTGGAGGCCCTTAATTTCTTTCCTTTATCTAATTGCTTTGGCTAGAATTTCCAATGCTATGTTGAATAAGAGTGGTGATAGTGGGCATTATTTTCTTGTTTTAGCTCTCAGAGGAAAAGCTTTGAGCTTTTCCCTATTCAGTATGATGTTAGCTGTGGGTTTGTCACATATGGCCTTTATTGTGTTGAGGTACTTTCCTTCAATAGCTAATTTATTGAGAGTTTTTATCATGAAAGGATGTTGGATTTTATTTAATGCCTTTTCAGCATCTATTGAGATGATTGTGGTTTTTTTTCTATATTCTGTTTATGCAGTGTATCATGTTTATTGATTTGCATATCTGGAACCATCCTTGCATTCCTGACATAAATACCAGTTGATAATGGTGTATTATCTTTTTGATGTGTTGTTGGATTCAGTTTGCTAGTATTTTGTTGAGGATTTTTGTATCTAGATTCATCAGGAATATTGGCCTATAGTTTTCCTTTTTCATCACATCCTTACCTGGTTTTGGTATCAGTGTTATGCTGACCTCATAGAATGAGTAAGGAATAATTTCCTCTTTAATATTCTGGAATATCTTGAGAATAATTAATATTAATTTGTCTTTAATAGTTTGGTAGAGACCAGGAGCAGTGGCTCATGCCTGTAATCCCAGCACTTTGGGAGGCCAAGGCAGGCAGATCACCTGAGGTCAAAAGTTCAAGACCAGCCTGGCCAACATGGTGAAACCCAATATCTACTAAAAGTACAAAAAAAATTAGCCTGGTGTGGTGGCAGGTGCCTGTAATCCCAGCTACTTAGGATACTGAGGCAGGAGAATTGCTTGAACCCAGGAGACAGAGGTTGCCATGAGCCGAGATGGTACCACTGCACTCCAGCCTGGGTGACAGAGTGAGACTCCATCTTAAAAAAAAAAAAAAGTTGGTAGAATTCAGCAGTGAGGCCATCCAGTAGTGGATTTTTTGTTGTTGTTGTTGTTTGTTTGTTTGTTTTTGGGAGAGTTTTTATTACTGATCAATCTTGTTACTTATTATTAGTCTGCTCAGGTTTTCTATTTCTTCTTGGCTCAATCTTGATAGACTATATGTGAATTTAATCATTCCCTCTAGGTTTTTGAATTTATTGATGTGTTGCTGTTCATAATAGTCTCTAGTAATCCTGGGTATTTCTATGGTATCCATTGTGATGTATTCTTTTTCACTTCTGATTTTATTTATTTGGATCTTTTCCGTTTTTAGTTTGTCTAACTAATAGTTGTTCAGTTTTGTTTTTCTTTGCAAAAAAACTTTTGGTTGTGTTGATCTTTGATATTGTTTTTTATTATCAATTTCATTTATTTTGCTGTGATTTTTATTATTTATTTCCTTCTACTAATTTTGGGTTCGTTTGTTCTTGCTTTTTGTAGTTCCCTGAGATGGATTGTTGGGTTATTTATTTGAAATCTTTCTTTTTTATGTAGGCATTTATTGTTATAAACTTGCCTCTTAATACTGCTTTTCCTGCACCCCTAGGTTTTGTTATGTTGTGTTTGCATTATCATTTGTTTCAAGGAATTCTTAAATTTCATTCTTAATTTCTTCCTTCATCCATTTGTTGTTCAGGAGCATACTGTTTAATGTCCATGAATGTTACAGTTTTGAATGTTGCTCTTGTTATTGATTTCTAGTCATATTCCATTGTACTCAGATAAGATACTTGATATGATTTTGATTTTTAAAAATTTGTTATTGAGACTTGTTTGTGTTCTAACATGTAGTCAGTCATGCAGAATGTTCCGTGTGCTAATGAAAAGAATGTGTATTCTGTTGCTGTTGAGTGAAATGTTCTTTAAGTGTCTGTTAGGTCCACTTGGTCTATGGTGCAATTTAAATCTGATGTTTGCTGATTTTCTGTCTAGATGAACTATTTAATGCTGAGAATGGGGTGTTGAAATCCCCAACTATTATTGTATTGGGGTCCCTCTCTTCCTTTAGATATAATATTTGATTTATATATCTGGGTGCTCCAGTGTTGGGTACATATATATTTACAATAGTTATATTCTCTTGCAGAATTGATTCCTTTATTATTATATAATGTCCTTTGTCTCTTTTTACAGCTTGACTAGAAATCTGTTTTACCTGATATAAATATAGCTACTCCTGCTTGTGTTTGGTTTCTGTTTGCATGGAATATCTTTTTCTATCCCTTCACTGTCACTCTATGTCTGTCTTTACAAGTGTGGTGAATTTCTTATAGGCAGCTTATAGTTGGGTCTTGTTTTTCATCCATTCAGCCAGTCTTGTTTTTTATCAATTCAGCCAGTCTATATCTTTTCTTAAAAATAGAGACGAGGTCTCACTATGTTGCCCAGGCTGGTCTGGAACTCCTGGGCTCAAGAGATCCTCCTGCCTTGGCCTCCCAAAGTGCTGAGATTATCGGGGTCAAACACCGTGCCTGGCCAAATCTTTATCTTTTAAAATGGGGAATTTAATCCATTTAAATTCAAAGTTATAATAGATTGGTGAGGAACTATTTATCTCATTTTGTTGATTGTTTTCTGGTTGTTTTGTGTATCCTTCCTCTCTTATCGTTTATGTTTGTGGTGGGTGGTTTTTTTTTTTTTGCAGTGATAGGGTTTGATTCCTTTCTTTTTTCCCCTTTGTGTATTGGCTCTACCAGTGAGTGTTATAGTTTTGCATGTTTTCATAATGGTGGTTATCATCTTTTCACTTCCACTTGTAAGACTCCCTTGAGCATTTCTTGTAAGGCTACGCTAGGGGTGATGAATTCCCTCAGGTTTTGCTTGTCTTGGGAAGATTTTATTTCTCATTCATTTCTGAAGGATAGCTTTGTTGGATATAATTTTCTTGGCTGGCAGTTTCCTTCAGTTCTTTGACTATCTCATCCTATTCTCTCCTGTCCTTTAAGGTTTCTGCTGAGAAATCTGCTGTTGTTCTGCTGGGGTTTCCCATTTATATGATGACATTTTTCTCTTGCCATTTTTAGAATCTTCTCTTTGTCTTTGAATTTTGACAGTTTGACTGTAATGTTCCTCAGATAGGCTTTTTTGGGGTTGAATCTACTTGGGGACATTGGAGCTTCCTGGATCTGTATGACTAACACTCTCTGAAGACTTGGGATTGTTTTCAGTTATTATTTAATTAAATGCTTTCTACATCTTTTCCCTTCTCTTCTCCTTCTGGAATGCCTTTAAGTTCAGAAATTCTTTCTTCTGCTTGGTCTTATCTATTGTAGAAGCTCTCAATTGTATATATTTTTTCATTGAAATCTGTAGCTCTGAGATGTGTTTTTGATCCTTTTTGTGATATATATCTCCCTATTGAATTTCTCATTCAAACCATAAACTATCTTCCTGATTTTGTTGAGTTGTCTATCTTTATCTTGTATCTTACTGCATTTCTTTAAGATTATTCTTTTACATTTTTTTTCTGTCATTTTGTATATTTCTGTATGATTGCAACCTGTTACTGGTGAGCTATTGTGTTCCTTTGGAGATTTCATGTTTCCTTGCTTGTTCATGTTTGATGTGTCCCTTCATTGATTTCTATGCATCTGGAAAAGCAATCACCTTTCCAACTTTATGGAGTAGCTTTCATAAGGAGAGACTTATTCATAGGTATGGGTTTTACAGTGTCAGTCATTGGGTGCATGGCCTTGATTCTAGATGGATACAGTAGTGTAGTCTCCATGTAGTTTCTTCAGTTGTAATCCATGCTGGTGACATTTGCAAATGTCTCAGCAGCCTAGGCTGTGAGGGTTTGTGGAGGCAATGGTGCAACTTTGCTGGAGGTGGGCTCACCAGGCTGTTTCTCATGTCAAGGGCATGTGCATGCATGCAGTGAATCAGCCAATTTGGGATCTGGCTCACTTGGTTTGGGGCCATAGGGCTATTGCTCTAGCTGGGGGCATGGGCATACAGTTTCTTGGCTGGCCTGGTTGTGTGTCTGCCAGAGTTGCCCACTGGGTTGTTTCTTAGGCCCTTAGTACAAGCACAGAGTCATGAGGCAGGCCAGGGACATGTCTGCAGCACGGGGGATGTACCACAGGGCTGTTTCTTAGGTCCAAGAAGTAAGCACAATATTTCTTGGCCAGCCTGGGAGTGTGCCCACCTCCCACCACCAGGGGTGACCCATAAGGCTATTTCTCAAGCCTGAGATATGGGTTCATGGCTGCTCAGCTGACCTGAAGGGGGTGTGTCTGCCAGGGGCAACCCATGTAGCTATTTTTCAGGCCTAGGATGCAGGCAAAGGTTTGCTTGGCTAGCCTGGGGGTATGTCTTCCAGGGGTGACCTGTAAGGCTCTTTCTCAGGACCTGACTGTGGGCACAGAGCTGTTGGGCAGGCCAGGGGCATGTCCTTAGTGGAGGCACTTGTGGGGCTATTTCTCAGGTCCTGGGCATGGGCATGTAGCACTCTGCCAGCCCAAGAATGTGTCAGCTGTTCAATGGCTCTGGGACCCCTCCTGCTTCAAGAAGGGTACACAGCAGTTTGGCCAGCTCAAGGGTAGGGTCACCCTAAATGGGACTGCCAGATTATTCCCCTGACTAAAAGTGCAGGCATTGGGGATTGGTTTCCCTGCTGGCAGGACCACAATCACAGCCAATCCTGGGTCCAGGCTCTGCACAGCTGGGGTTGTGGCATATAGACACCCATGTGGACTTGGTGGAAGAATGAAGATGAAGTCCCAGTGCTGGAGAGGTGCATGGCTACTGGCCCCTAGAGCAGGGCACACTCCAGAGGTACCTCTGGTCTCAAGATGGTGCCATGCTGCTGTAGCTTGGCTCACAGCAGGAGTGAGGGTGGGTGGGAAGTACACACCTTGTTCTCCCAATCCAGAGCAATGCAGCTGCATGAATTTCCAGCAGCTCCCTAAAATGGGCCCAGGGCTAGAAAGGACTCTGGGATTGTCCTGTATAATGACTGTAGGTGTTTCAGTGGCAGCGGGGCTGGGGGATTCTTCTGCTTACCTTTTCTCCACAAGGAGAAGTCCCTCTTGACTCCCAGCTGATCTGGACAGGGGAGACAGGGCTGCAGAGGCAGGATGCCTCCACATTGCCCTCCTGGGCTTCCAGTCACCACAGGTACCTCTCCATCCTGTCACTGTACTCATGCAGTCTCCCATTGACACTCTAGTCAAATCTTAGCTGTTTGTTACATTGGTCCTTTCTTATGGGGAAGACTACTTCCAAGTACTTCTAGCCAGCCATCTGGCCAGTCGCCAGGCCCAGAATATACTATATTTACGTACAAGCAAAAATTGCTAATCACTCACTTTTTTTTGTTCTGTTATTTTTCACAAAGTATACTCTTCCATGTCCAAGACAAAATTAGGAATGCCACCTCAGATTGTATTTACTCTTTTGTGACAAAATTTCAAGGGAACATTGTTTATTGTTTATGATCCAGACATATATAGTTATTGAGTATTGTTTCAACCCCTCATCCTGTTTTTTCTCTTAATGCTGGGCCTTTCTCCATTGAGTTATTTTTTTCATGTCATATTTTTGAGAGCAAATCCAAGTGCCATATCATATCTACGAAACTCCATAATATCCAGGGTTTCTGCTATATCTATATATTCTCCCTTCACCAAACTTAAATATCCAGCTCTGTTGATCCAGTTGAGGTTTCTGCCACACACTTTCTTTCTGGATTTTAGAAGATGTAGTTTCTCCCATGCCAGGAGCCCATTGTTCTAATTTAATAAATCAGTTTCAGAAAATCATTTCAGGCCAAAGCTGAAATGGACATGGCTCCTCTGCTCTCATGTTACTCAGGACTTCGAGATCATTGGATCTGTTTCCCACACTTTCCAGGCTTCTTCTGGCCATATCATTGCTTTTCATGTGACTCAAAAAGAGTGGGTAACTATCAGTGTGTAACAAGCTTTGGCAGTTCTCCATCACATATGAGGTGAGACAGGAAATACGTTAGCCCTGTGTCACCTCTGTTGGCCTCTACTGGAGAGCTCCCCACAAGCTCTCTGCCCTTCCCCACCTGAACTGAAATACCATGAACCTATCAGTGTCTGAGTCTCCTGAAGAGAGTCACTAATGCTACCTACTTTTTTAAATGCTTTTTTTAAAAAGAAATCTTGGATTTATTCTCAAAAGCAAAATGTCCTTACATTTATAATAACTCTTCTGGAAGAGTTTGTTTCCCTACTTTTTCTCATCTGTTACCTTTTCCATTGAATTTGAGGCCCTATATAGATATGAATTCAGTTAAATTAAAATAATCCTTCAGCAATGTTATTTCTAGTTTGTCTACTACTATTCAAACGCAAATGTAAATGTATTGAGGGCTTCTGTGAACTGCCTGAGCAGTGTTCCTGCCCAATTCATTATTGTACCCACTCCTCCATACCTCTTTTCTCAGTGCCTGTCACAGCTATTTGGCATACTCTCCATACCAAGTATATGTTTCTCTAATGTTTAAATGAATGAATGGATGAATGAAGCTTATTTTGACTCAGAAAAAAATATTCTGATGGGTTTGAATGAAAACGTTAGTTTTAGGACAGCCACAGTGGCTCATGCCTGTAATCCCAGCACTTTGAGAGACCAAAGTGGGAAGATGGACCAGCCCAGACAACATAGAGAGGCCCAGTCACTACAAGAATATTTTAAAAATTAGCCAAGCATGGTGGCATGCACCTTTCATCCTAGCTATTTGGGAGGGTGAGGTGGGAGGATGGCTTAAGCCCAGTAGTTCAAGGCTGCATGCAGTGAGCCATGACTATGCCACTGTACTCCAGACTGGGCAACAGGGTGAGACTTTGTCTCAAAAAAAAAGGTGGGGGGTGGGGGAGATTAGCTTTAAAAAAAAAAATCACTTAGCCTCAGTTCTCCTTAATCACTGTTGCTTTCTTGCTTCCTCAAATTGATGTGGTTAGGGTAGAATATATGAATAATTTACTCTTCCTCATTAAATATGTGTTTTGCCTAAGGACTCATTTTTAGAAGATTTGAACTACATCATCAGTTCAGGAAGAATACCTGACCTGTTTGAAAATGTTGAGCTGGATTCTATTGCAATGAAAATCAGATATCTTACTGAACAATCTGGTCATATGGATAATAGGCAATCTTTACTTTCATTCTTTCAAAAGGTACTTTTTTGTGACTTGGCTTTATCAAATTGTCATGTTAAAAGTAGACCGTGTTTATAATTCTGTACATGATTTTCAAGTTGGATATAATTTCTTTAGATCTTTATATGAGTTTTTAAGGTAAAATAATGGGTACCCTACCTACAGACAACACCATACCCTTCGGTAGGTCAAAAACTAACATGAATCTGAGCCTGTCTGGCTATCAATGGTTTTAAAAAATAATACCAGCTGGAGGCAATAAAATGAAAAATAAAATCCCAAGATTTTATTTTTGTGTAAGTATTTGTGTAAGTATTTCTTACACAAAGATTCTTTCCTAGATAATGATGTTCTTATTTCGTCTTTTTGGTAACAAGTCTGGAAAGGCAAGAAACAAGAATCATTTCATCCTTTTGAATAGTCCTAGAATTGACCAGGAGGTGATGGATAAAAAAAGAAATTGACTGGATAGAGCGGGTGCTATTCAGAATGAACTCAGCAGCAGAGGAGCTGTGAACAAACTGGTTTGATGAGAGATATAGATTAGTCAAAATGAACTCAACTTTCTGTGTCTTTGAGACATGATGACCGACCAGTGGCTTAGCAAATATATGGACATGATTACCCAAACTAGAATATTCACTGGGGGAGGACCACAGGTGGATTTATTTCTGGTACTAGTTTTTGTCTATCATAGGGCAATTTAAAAATTGAATCTGGCCATCCACCATTTCTCAACTTAGTAACAACATTACTAAGTATCAAACAGATACTTAGTAATCTGTCACAAGGAGATGTTTTAAAAATTCCAAAAATGACTCCACAGTTGATAGAGAACAAGATAATATGAGTGGATATCCTTAGATTTAGTTATATTTTTTAATACCGTGGTAGGAAGAAGGATAGCATTTATCCTGACAATTGTGGCACTCTTGTGCCTTGTTACTATATTTGGTTTATTCATTAGATTTGAATAATAAAGAAGAAAAAAGAAATTTCAATTTGGAGTGCAGAGAATAGTACTCCAGAAAATAAATAAATAAACCAAGAATCTCAGTTAGAAGTCAATTTAATTGTATATATTATATATGTTTTATATATATAATATATATTATATATTCTGCATATATAATATATATAATGCTATGCTTCTAAAAGTAATTTGACATGTCCTACAATAATAACAAATAATAAAGGCACACTTTAAACTGCTAACATTTGATATATCTAGGTAGAAGTTTTGGGAATGCGTAAAACAAAGATAGATATTTTCATTTTTACTTTAAACATTTCCACATTGTATGAATTTTGCACTGAGCAGTTTTATTTGCCTTTATAAATTTGTTAAAGACAAAAAAAAGGAAAAAAAATCTTGCCTTTTAGTCTTCTTTCAGCTTTACTATATTTATTTGACAAAATAAGTTGCTTGATGCTTATTATCATTTTGTACAATTAGACTCTGACTTAAAGGGAACACTAAGTCACTGAGGCTGTTTTCAGTAATGCGGACTTATTGCAAAGTGATATCTGGAAATAAGGAAGAAGGAATCTGTGCCCTGTTGCCAGTCTTGCCAAGAACCCAGCAACAGCAGCAGCACAGCCAGGTCTTATGAGGAAAAGGGCTGAAGGCAAATTGCAAAGAAACTAGCACTTAGCCTAGGGCCTGTAAAATTGTGTAGGTCTCATGTTGCTTAGCTGTAATCCCTTAGCTGTAGGAGTTTTATTACTACCTCTGGTGCTCTACTCTTATTGTCAGTCTGTTTCTTTCAGCTCTAATTCATCTGACCATCTTCTCACTTTGAGTTTCTGTGGGTCTTAAATCCACACCACCCCAGAGGAAAGAGTTAAACAGTCAGACCCAGCACCATCTGACATAAAGTCCCCTACTGAACAGAACTCTAGCACCAGCCCCCATCATAAGAGTTGGTTTACGCAAGGGGTGTTCTGGGTCCAGTGCCTCCCCTACTGTTAGTTTCCCTTGGAAGGGCTCTGTTTATGGCAGGCACTCCATGCACAAATGATCAGTCCCTGATCTACCCACTAAGGAAAGATCTGAAATATGTTTTCCATGGAATTTTTAATATAATATTTTTTCAAAACAGTGGATTACATTTTAACAATTTATATTTTCATTAATTTTCAGAGAATATATAAAAATCTTCATATTTTTGTGATCATGAGTCCTGAAGGACCTAGCTTCCGCCAAAATTGTAGAGTGTATCCTTCTATGATTAGCTCCTGCACGATCGATTGGTATGAGAGGTGGCCAGAAGAAGCTCTCCTTATTGTAGCTAACTCATTCTTAAAAGAAAAGGTCAATTTTGAGAACAGAGAGGTAAATATCTAATGCAAGTGAAGGTTTCAGTTTATTGACAGCATCTGATGGTATTATGCCTCTGAAGAGCAACAAACCCTAGATGGACAAAAATAGGCAGTTCTAAGCTAATTTACAATAAAATGGATCAAGTGTTTACAATGACTCCCTATTAATTCCCCATCTGTTGTACCCCTGAATTCACCCTATTTCAAAGATGCCCAGATTCAGATTCTGCAATGCCTGTGTCTCTTCACTATGCTGTCCACATGGTGGAACAGCAGATTTCCGTGAAGGAAAACAGTCTCCATTCTGCATACCAGATTCTATGGTAAGGATGCTGCAACCTTCTGTGTATTCCTTGTAAATTGCTCTGGCTTGGCTACAAATAGCAAGTCAGCAAAGCAGTGAGAGCACAAGCCACAACACAAAATTAACTCAGAATTTATGAGCCAACAGTAAGAAAGAACCTATTCTGGAGTGACTAAACTGAACATCCCATAGGACCTAGCTGACAGCAAAGGGGGTAAGAAGTGTTGACCAAAGGAGCTGTAAATGCATAGAGAACTGAAACTCAACGTAGGACATTTCTAGGTCCTACGGGACCAATGGGATTGCATCCTTACTTGTCTAAGTGATCAAGGAAAGCAAAGGCCAAGGAGGACAGAGACAGAGTAGAACCAGAAGAAAAAAAAATGCCGCTGAGTTAAAAGTGACCAGTGACTGGTTAGACTTGGTGGACTGGAGATGAATCATCAGGACTAGGTTATGTCTAAATCAGAATTATCTCCCAATCCAGGCAAAGAGAATATTCTTCGCAGTCTGGTTTTGCTCATCTGCACATCCTTTGGGTCCTTACATTTTTGTAGCTTTATTTTACTCAAAGAAATTTCCTTGAGTATCTTGCTATTGATGACCACTTTAAGAAAAAAATATAAAAGATAAAGAAGTCTGGGCATGGTGGCTCACACCTATAATCCCAGCAGTTTGGGAGGCAAGGCAGGAGGATTGCTTGAGGCCAGGAGTTCAAGACCAGCCTGGGCAACATAGTGAGACCCTGTCTCTACAAAAAATTTAGAAAATTAGCCAGGTGTGGTGGCACACATCTGTAGTCCCAGCTACATGGGAGGCTGAGGCAGGAGGATCTCTTGAGCCCAAGAGTTTGAGGCTACGTGAGCTACTACTGCACCACTGCACTTTGGCCTGGACAAAAGAACAAGATCCAGTCTCAAAATAAAAAATAAATAAAAAATTTAAAGATAAAGAAAACATTATAACCCTTGGCCATTGATACTGATGCCCAAATCTTTGGATGACTATAGCAAAAGTGAGAGTAACATACGGGTAAAGCCTAGAAGAATGAGTGTGGCATGCCATTCATAGTTAGCTCTGCTGTTGCCCCACCACCATCCCAACCATCAAAACTCATATTTTCTTTGTCCTGCTCATCCGGGAGCTCTCTCTACATCTCCACATCTCAGAAATAATAAGCTATTTTAATTAATTCTAAGTGTTCAACTTTCTCTTTTTATGTATATTTGGATTGCTTTCTCTTAATTCTTAAAAATTATTATTCTTCAGAACTTGAAAGAAAAACTTGCCCCAACATGTGTCCAAATCCACAAAAGCATGAAAGACTTGAACAGAAAATACTTTGAAGAAACTGGAAGATTTTATTATACCACTCCCAATAGCTACTTGCAATTTATGGAAACATTTGCACACATTTTGAGGGCACGAGAGGAAGAGATGCAAACAAAGAGGTAAGACTTTGAGAACAAATCATAAATATATTTTATATTGGTGTTTTTGTTTGCGAAAAGAGACACAAATGCAAAATGGTGAGCCAAATCTGCCTTTTTGGTGGGACAAAAAGCCAGAAGCTGCAGAAGATCTTAAAAGAGATAAGGTTGACATTCCCCCTGTGTGCCTTCAAAGGCCGCCCCTGTCAAGGCAAGGCTGACAGACTTGGCCAGTAAATAAACAATTAGTCCCTGTTGGATTCCGACAGTTTATTTCTTACATGGGCAATGAAAGCAAGAGTAACGAAGAGTGCCACTCCCCATGTCCTTTGTCTCATGGGATGACACCAAAATAAAAGGCTTCAGATGACTACAACGCAGATAGTGGAACACCTACTAAGCAGTTTTATAGCCAGCAGTGGTACCTGAGGAGGCACGGGAAGAAACATGAAGCAGAAGGCCTCACCCCTAATCAGAATACAGGAGACATTGAGAAACTATCTTATGACAATCTTCCAGGAAGATGGGGAAATGAGTGGGAAATGGCCTGGTAGCATCTACTCACAAGTGCCCCACATTTTCATGTTCTAGAAAGATCAGGGGTGTCCTGCCAACACTTAGATCAGCTGCAGCCAAGCCTTGTCTATATAACCTATATGGAGACATGAAGGGCTGCCGAGGCACCATGGTGGAACTATTCTTCTCCAAGTCCATCTCCTAAACCTGTCACGTATCCAGCTAATAATTGTTTTTTAAAAATAGCCCACTCCATCAGATACTGTAACTAATTACACTGACTGGGGCCTGGGCCAGATCCATTCCATTTGCCATAGGGAACACTGCATGAGAGTGATCATGACTATGACTCCCACTTGGAGGATAGACCACAGCCAAGCTCCGTGTCTGGAGCCAAGCCAGTTAAAAATGTTATTAATCCAAGTGCATCAAGAGGTATTGGCCATTGCACCTTCTCTGTCTCAACTGGCCAGCAGGAAGTCCAGGGCAATGTGATATTTCATCAGCACTCATGCTGGAGAGTGTGAACTAATTTGTGTGCTGCAGGCAAGTATAGGCCTGACATTTACATAAGCAGCAACCTCAATAGCAGCATTTTGCTAATGTGGGGTCAGGGTCTAATTTTATTAAGTTTTCGTTAACAAGGTCAGGTGGGGCATGATAGATCCAATAACAGTTCATTTTAGAGCAGTTGAGGTAGTCTGTGAATATAATAATGAGGCTAAAGAGAATCATATCAGTGCTCAGAAAGCTAATCTTGTTCTGTTTCAAGGAGAGGCTGTTCACTCCTGGGGTCAGCAGATCCTAGGAGGTTTCTGAGAGTCCTTAGATTGAGATTTTTGTTGGTCAGCAGTTAAATTAAGGATGATGTCAACAGTCTGAGAAAATTGGCCAGATGCCCTACAGGCAAGCGTCAAGAGAGTTTAATGAATCTTCCTCTCACTCCTAACCTCCTGGGATCTAAGGTGTCCCCTCCCCATCATCCAGGGTTGTTGCTCTCCATTCACAGCCATGTAATCAGTATGACCAGTCCCTATCACAGTCATTCACCCCTTTTCCATTCCTCCTCATGTCTTACCCACAACACAGCTCTAGATCACTCAGTAGTTTCTTCCTTACATACCTTGTACTATCCTAGAACATCTCCCACCCCCTAATGCGTGGGCCATGCCAGGACAATCTTAAGAGCTATCACCTTATATGCATAATCATTATTATCAACATCCATAACTGCTTATATCCAGCAAGCATATCTCGGTGGCAAAAGACAGGTTACAGTCCACCACTGCCCGGCTCTTCTTTGCTACTTGGAAATTTCAGTAGTCCAGTTTCCCAGGGGTAGATATGGGGGGAGAAAAAGCAAGAAGGGTTAATTATATGGTTTGGGTCTCTTACAGCCTATCTGGTTCTCTTTCCCACCCCGAAACTTATAATTAAATATTCTGTTTAAATGAGAGGTACCCTTATGGGGAATTAGTACATTTAAAGCCCAATTTGCCTGTCTTAAGTGTGCTCCAGTGGGAGCTGAACCTCAGATGCCCAGTTCTCATTATTAGTTTTTCCTTTGAGTCCATTTTATTTTAACAGCATCTGTTCTTCAAGTTGAGAAATTTCCCCTCTATTCCTAGTTATCATGAATTTTATCAAATGTTTTTTCTGCATCAATGGATACTGATGCAGCAGTGAATTTTCTTCTTTATACCTTGTTAATATAGTGGATTATATTGATTGACTTTCAAATAGTGAGCCAGTCTTGCATCTCTAGAATAAAATCCATTTGGCCATAATTTGGTGTAATTCTTTTTATATATTATCAAATTATATTTGCTAAATTGTGTTATATCTTACACCTTCTTAATACTTTTTCTTCCTTCAGGGATCGCTTCCATATGGGTCTATCCACAATCCTGGAAGCAACCACTCTAGTTACAGAAATGCAAGAAGAGCTCTTGATTCTTGGCCCTCAAGTAGAACAAAAAACAAAGGTATGTTTGCTTTGAAATCTCTTTTAAAGATTTTATAGTCTAATATAGAACAGTGTTTGAAAGCAAAGGCTCTGATACCTGACAAAGACAGGCTAGAATTCCAGCTTTGTTACCCTATAGTTGTGTACACATGAAAAAAATAGCTTGTTTTTTTAGTCTTAGTTTATCTGTAAAATGAGAAGAACAAAAAAGCAGTAACAGCAAAACAGTAACATTATTACATTTTGATAATTAAGTGTAATAGTAGGTATATAGCTAACTGTAGAAGCTTATGTAGAAAGATTCCCTAGTCAATTAGTTAAATCCATCTGAAATATGCTGTGGTAACTTGCAGTCTATCAACTATTCTAAAAACCATCATTCATCATCACTCTTTGTGTGTAACGCATGAAATATTTACTGTAGTCATCCTAGGCAATATCCCAGTGGCAGACCAATGGCAGAGAGCACCAGTGGCGGAGAGCTACCATCAAGGATAGTGGATGACAGAGCTTATAAGAGGAGGCGCAGCTGAGAGCTGGCCAAATGGTGAGAGCTCTTGCTCTCTCCATTTTATTCATCTCTTGCTGTCTCTCATTTTATGAATCTATTAAATATATTTCAGGCTGATTTTAGTAAACTTTACCATAGTGAAATGAGATATTTGAATTGCTCTTTTAGAAAAGAGATCATGTCTCTTAAAATTCATTCTAAGAACAATTATGTGCTTCATTAGGAAACAGAAACTCTAATGGAAAAACTACGGAAAGATTCACAAGTAGTTGAGAAAGTTCAGATGCTTGTTAAACAGGATGAAGAAATTGTGGCAGAAGAAGTAAGAATTGTGGAAGATTATGCTCAGGTAAAATTAAAATATTGTCAATAAAAATAATTTGGAGATTTGAAAAAGTATTCCCTAACCTTCAAATTTAAAAGTCAGACTGACTAGTCTTAAATACATAGTGCCCCAACTATGGTTACTTTTCATTGTAATTCCAACAACTATTTATTGAGTCCCTACTACACACAGGATAACATTAAATGAAAGTATGAAGTCCAAACATGCATGGTCCCTGTCCTTGAGAAACCCACAATCCTAGGAAGCTTTTCTGATTACAATGAACAGAAACTCATGCAGGCCATACCAAAAGCACGTTTGGCCTTCAAGAGTAACATCTGCAAGAAACGAGGCAGCTCAAGGGACTGTGTATTTGGTGTGTGTCACTTCTGTTGCTGACTGAATAATCCTCTTTTTAAATTGACCATTCTCCTCCATACATTCCAGTCGGGTTCTTAGCAAGAGCCAGTGTGGTTTAGCAAATCACTGCATGCTCAACTCTGGTCTGATCAGTAGCTATTCCTGCTCAGAGCAAGTCAAGAGGAGAGCTTGTCTTCCATGTACAAAGGTTTTTAATCAAGCAACTCCATCAATTAAAATACATATGTAAACCTATACTCTAGTATGTGTGTAAATTATTTATAGATAAATTATATCCGTGGGCTGCTGCCATTAGCTAATAGCCCAAAGCTCAACAAATACCTAGGACAAGGTTTATTATGAATAACAGTGAATATAAATACAGATTGCAAATAGTCCTTTCAGTTATTTCAAAATTTTCTTGTTGGCCTCTTGTCATACCTAATTAGCTCATCATTGTTTTTTACCTTATAACATGGTTGAAGAAAAATTTATATCAAGAATAAAAGAAGTGTCAGCCTGCCTTTTGCTTGTTATTCACTTGTGCTTCCATTATTAGCATTGCTTTCAATCCAGTGTTTCTTTCAGACATCTTTTTAAGCTACCTGCCCATGTTTTAGGAGCTGACATTTCAAACTAGGTAACAGAAGAGGCAAATCCCTCACTTGGATACGAGTAAGCTGCAAGGCTTCCTCGTGTCCTCAGTGTTAAGCAAATAGGGGAGGCCCCATTCCTGAGCCTTCTCAGATGGGGAGCTTCCCCTCTTCCATTAAGGTGCCACCTATCTCACTGAGTGACCCAGAACTTCTGCAATGCCAACCACCTGAAGGTGCCACTGTTGATCAATATATTAAATATGAGTAAGGGGCCGAGCGGGGTGGCTTATGCCTGTAATCCCAGCACTTTGGGAGGCCGAGGCGGGTAGATTACGAGGTGAGGAAACCATGACCATCCTGGCCAACATGGTGAAACCCCGTCTCTACTAAAAATACAAAAATTAGCTGAATGTGGTGGTGCAGGCCTGTAATCCCAGCTACTTAGGAGGCTGAGGCAGGACAATCACTTGAACCTAGGAGGCGGAGATTGCAGTGAGCCAAGATGGCGCCACTGCACTCCAGCCTGGTGAGAGAGCAAGACTCGGAGGGGGGAGGGATAGCATTAGGAGATATACCTAATGCTAAATGGCGAGTTAATGGGTGCAGCACACCAGCATGGCACATGTATACATATGTAACTAACCTGCACATTGTGCACATGTACCCTAAAACTTAAAGTATAATAATAATAAATAAATAAATAAAAATAAAAAAAGAAAAATAAATAAATAAATAAATAAGAGTACGGCTTAATTTCAGTATTTAATATTTTAAGCCAATTAAAAATTGATACAGAGAAATTCATGGCGTTTGTTTTTGCTTTTTGTTTTGCATGGTTTTGTTTTGTTTTGTTTTGTTTTTTGCCATACCACAAAGGATAATCTTTTTTTCTCCCTGGCTTCAGCACAAAGCCAGATACATTAGGGCCTGGGGCCATATTTTTAAAAAAGAATACAAAATTACAGTACACAATTAGATATGAAACTAAATATGTACTTAGAATAAGTAAAGAAATCACAACAAAATATAAAATTTTTAAAGCTGACAATTATCACAAACATCACAAAATCTAGAAAATTACCTCACACACTCCTATAATACTCTTTTTAAATATTTTTTATTTTACTTTAAGTTCTGGGATACGTGTGCAGAATGTGCAAGTTTGTTACATAGGTATATACGTGCCATGGTAGTTTGCTGCACCCATTAACCCGTCATCCACATTATGCATTTCTCCTAATGTTATCTCTCCCCTAGACCCTCACCCCCCGACAGGCCCCAGTGTGTGATGTCTCCTCCCTGTGCCCATATGTTCTCATTGTTCAACTCCCATTTATGAGTGAGAATATGCAGTGTTTGGTTTTCTGTTCTTGTGTTAGTTTGCTGAGAGTGATGGTTTCCAGGCATATCCATGTCCCTGCAAAGGACATGAGCTCATCCTTTTTTATGGCTGCATAGTATTCCATGGTGTATATGTGCCACATTTTCTTAATCCAGTCTATCACTGATGGGCATTTGGGTTGGTTCCAAGTCTTTACTATTGTGAATACTCCCACAATAAACATACGTGTGCATGTGTCTTTATAGTAGAATGATTTATAATCCTTTTGGTATATACTCAGTAATGGGATTGCTGGGTCAAATGGTATTTCTGGTTCTAGATCCTTAAGGAATTCCCACACTGTCTTCCACAATGGTTGAACTAATTTGCACTCCCACCAACAGGGTAAAAGCGTTCCTGTTTCTCCACATCCTCTCCAGCATCTATTATTTCCTAACTTATTAATGATCACCATTCTAACTGGCATGAGATGGTATCTCATTGTGGTTTTGATTTGTATTTCTCTAATGACCAGTAATGATAAGCTTTTTTTTCATATGTTTGTTGGCCACATAAATGTCTTCTTTTGAAAAGTGTCTGTTCATATCCTTTGCCCACTTTTTGATGAGGTCGTTTGTTTTTTTCTTGTAAATTTCTTTAAGTTCCTTCCAGATTCTGGATATTAGCTCTTTGTCAAACAGATAGATTGCAAAAATTTTCTCCCATTCTGTAGGCTGCCTGTTCACTCTGATGATAGTTTCTTTTGCTGTGCGGAAGCTCTTTAGTTTAATTAGATCCCATTTGTCAATTTTGGCTTTTGTTGCAATTGCTTTTGGTGTTTTAGTCATGAAGTCTTTGCCCATGCCTATGTCCTGAATGGTAATGCCTAGGTTTTCTTCTAGGGTTTTTATGGTTTGGGGTCTTACATTTAAATCTTTAATCCACCTTGAGTTAATTTTTGTATAAGGTGTAAGGAAGGGGTCCAGTTTCAGTTTTCTGCATATAGCTAGCCAATTTTCCCAACACTATTAAATAGGGAATCCTTTCCCCATTGCTGGTTGTGTCCAGTTTGTCAAAGATCAGATGGTTGTAGATGTGTAGGGTTATTTCTGAGGCCTCTGTTCTGTTCCATTGGTCTATATATCTGTTTTAGTACCAGTAGCATGCTGTTTTGGTTACTGTAGCCTTGTAGTATACTTTGAAGTCAGGTAGCGTGATGCCTCCAGCTTTGTTCTTTTTGCTTAGGATTGTCTTGGATATACAGGCTGTTTTTTGGTTCCATATGAAATTTAGAGTAGTTTTTTCTAATTCTGTGAAAAAAAGTCAATGGTAACTTGATGGGAATAGCATTGAATCTATAAATTACTTTGAGCAGTATGGCCATTTTCCTGATATTGATTCTTCCTATCCATGAGCATGGAATGTTTTTCCGTTTGTTTGTGTCCTCTCTTATTTCCTTGAGCTGTGGTTAGTAGTCCTCCCTGAAGAGGCCCTTCATATCCCTTGTAAGTTGTATTCCTAGGTATTTTATTCTTTTTGTAGCAATGGTGAATGGGAGTTTGCTCATGATTTGGCTCTCTGTTTGTCTATTATTAGTATATATGAATGCTTGTGATTTTTGCACATCGATTTTGTATCCTGAGACTGCTGAAGTTGCTTATCAGCTTAAGGAGTTTTGGGGTTGAGACGATGGGGTATTCTAAATATACAATCATGTCATCTGCAAACAGAGACAATTTGACTCCCTCTCTTCCTATTTGAATACAATTTATTTCTTTCTCTCGCCTGATTGTCCTGGGCAGATCTTCCAATATTATATTGAATAGGAGTGGTGAGAGAAGGCATCCTTGTCTTGTGCTGGTTTTCAAAGGGAATGCTTCCAGCTTTTGCCCATTCGGTATGATATTGGCTGTAGGTTTGTCATAAATAGCTCTTATTATTTTAAGATATATTCCATCAATACCTAGTTTATTGAGTGTTTTTAACATGAAAGGGTGTTGAATTTTATCAAAGGCCTTTTCTGCATCTATTGAGATAATCATATGGTTTTTGTTATTAGTTCTGTTAATGTGATGGATTATGTTTATTGATTTGCATATGTTCAACCAACCTTGCGTCCAGGGATGAAGCCAACTTGATCGTGGTGGATAAGCTTTTTAATGTGCTGCTGGATTTGGTTTGCCAGTATTTTTTGACGATTTTCACATCAATGTTCATCAGGGATATTGGCCTGAGATTTTCTTTTTTCATGGTGTCTCTGCCAGGTTTTGGTATCAGGATGATGCTGGCCTCATAAAATGAGTTGGGGAGGAATCCCTCTTTTTCATTGTTCAAAATAGTTTCAGAAGAAATGGTACCAGCTCCTGTTTGTACCTCTGGTAGAATTCGGCTGTTAATCCATCTGGTCCTGGGCTGTTTTTTCAGTTGGTAGGCTATTAATTACTCCCTCAATTTCAGAACTTGTTATTGTTCTATTCAGGTATTTGACTTCTTCCTGGTTTAGTCTTGGGAGGGTGTATGTGTCCAGGAATGTATCCATTTCTTCTAGATTTTCTAGTTTATTTGTGTAGAGGTGTTTATAGTATTCTCTGATGGTAGTTTGTATTTCTGTGAGATCAGTGGTGAGATCCCCTTTATCATTTTTTATTGTGTCTCTTTGATTCTTCTGTCTTTTCTTCTTTATTAGTCTGGCTAGTGGTCTATTTTGTTAATCTTTTCAAAAACTCAGCTCATGGATTCATAGATGTTTTGAAGGTTTTCTTGCGTCTCTATCTCCTTCAGTTCTGCTCTGATCTTAGTTATTCCTTGTCTTCTGCTAGCTTTTGAATTTGTTTGCTCTTGCTTCTCTAGTTCTTTTAATTGTGATGTTAGGGTGTTGATTTTAGATCTTTCTCGCTTTCTCCTGTGGGCATTTAGTGCCATAACTTTCCCTCTAAACACTGCTATAGCTGTGTCCCAGAGATTCCGGTACGTTGTGTCTTTGTTCTCATTGGTTTCAAATAACTTATTTATTTCTGCCTTCATTTCATTATTTACCCAGTAGTCATTCAGGAGCAGGTTGTTCAGTTTCCATGTAGTTGTGCAGTTTTGAGTGAGTTTCTTAATCTTGAGTTCTAGTTTGATGGCACTGTGGTCTGAGAGACTGTTTGTTATGATTTCCATTCTTTTGAATTTGCTGAGTGTTTTACTTCCAATTATGTGATCGATTTTAGAATAAGTGCTATATGGTGCTGAGAAGAATGTATATTCTGTTGATTTGGGGTGGAGAGTTCTGTAGATGTCTGTTAGGTCTGCTTGGTCCTGAGCTGAGTTCAATTCCTGAATATCCTTGTTAATTTTCTGTTTCATTGATCTGTCTAATATTGACAGTGGTATGTTAAAATCTTCCACTATTATTGTGTGGGAGTCTAAGTCTCTCTGTAGGTCTCTAAGAATTTGCTTTATGAATCTGGGTGCTCCTGTATTGGGTGCATATGTATTTAGGATAGTTAGCTCTTCTTGCTGCATTGATTCCTTTACCATTATGTAATGCCCTTTTTTGTCTCTTTCGATCTTTGTTGGTTTAAAGTCTGTTTTATCAGAGACGAGGATTGCAATCGCTGCTTTTTTTGCTTTCCATTTGCTTGGTAAATCTTCCTCCAGCCCTTTATTTTGACCTATGTGTGTCTTTGCACGTGAGATGGGTCTCCTGAATACAGCACACCAGTGGGTCTTGACTTTATCCAATTTACCAGTCTGTGTCTTTTAATTGGGGCATTTAGCCCATTTACATTTAAAGTTAATATAGTTATGCGTGAATTTGATCCTGTCATTATGATGCTAGCTGCAGTTTTTTTGCCCGTTAGTTGATGCAGTTTCTTCATAGTGTTAATGGTCTTTACATTTTGGTATGTTTTTGCAGTGGCTGGTACCAGTTTTTCCCTTCCATATTTAGTGCTTCCCTCAGGAGCTCTTATAAGGTAGGCCTGATGGTGACAAAATCCCTCAGCATTTGCTTGTCTGTAAAGGATTTTATTTCTCCTTCACTTACAAAGCTTAGCTTGGCTGGATATGAAATTCTTGGTTGAAAATTATTTTCTTTAAGAAGGCTGAATATTGGCCCTTACTCTCTTCTGGTTTGTAGGGATTCTGCAGAGAGATCCACTGTTAGTCTGATGGGCTTCCCTCTGTGGGTAACCCGACCTTTCTCTCTGGCTGCCTTTAACATTTTTTCCTTCATTTCAACCTTGGTGAATCTGAGGATTATGCATCTTAGGGTTGCTCTTCTCGAGGAGTATCTTTGTAGTGTTCTCTGTATTTCCTGGATTTGAATGTTGGCCTGTCTTGCTAGGTTGGGTAAGTTCTCCTGGATAATATCCTGAAGTGTGTTTTCCAACTTGGTTCCATTCTCTCCATCACTTTCAAGTACACCAATCAAATGTTGGTTTAGTCTTTTCACATGGTCACATATTTCTTGGAGGCTTTGTTCATTCTTTTTCATTCTTTTTTCTCTAGTCTTGCCTTCATGCTTTATTTCATTAAGCTGATTTTCAATCTCTGATAGCCTTTCTTCTGCTTGATTGATTCGGCTACTGATATTTGGGTATGCTTCACGAAGTTTTCGTGCTGGGTTTTTCAGCTCCATCAGGTCATTTATGTTCTTCTCTAAACTAGTTATTCTAGTTAGCAATTCCTCTAATCTTTTATCAAGGTTCTTAGCTTCCTCGCATTGGGTTAGAACATGCTCCTTTAGCTCAGAGGAGTTTCTTATTACCCACCTTCTGAAGCCTACTTTTGTCAACTCATCAAACTCATTCTCCGTCCAGTTTTGTTCCCTTGCTAGCAAGGAGTTGTGATCCTTTGGAGGAGAAGAGGCATTCTGTGTTTTGGAATTTTCAGCATTTTTGTGCTGGTTTTTCCTTATCTTTGTGGATTTATCTACCTGTGGTCTTTGTTCTTGGTGACCTTCGGATGGAGTTTTTGTGTGGTTGTCCTTTTTGTTGATGTTGATGCTATTGCTTTCTGTTTGTTAGTTTTACAGTCAGGCCCCTCTTCTGCAGGTCTGCTGGAATTTGCTGGGGATCCACTCCAGATCCTGTTTGTCTAGGTATCACCAGCGAAGGCTGCAGAACAGCAAAGATTGCTGCCTGCTCCTTCCGCTGGAAGCTTCATCCAAGAGGGGCACCTGCCAGATGCCAGCTGGAGCTCTCCTGTCTGTCAATCCCTGCTGGGAAGTGTCTCCCCATCAGGAGGCATGCAGATCAGGGACCCACTTGAGGCAGTCTGTCCCTTTGCAGAGCTGCGGCCACAGCTGCCCCTTCCTTCAGGTGCTCTGTCCCAGGCAGATGGGAGTTTTATCTATAAGCCCCTGACGGGGCTGCTGCCTTTCTTTCAGAGATGCCCTGCCCAGACAGGAGGTATCTAGAGAGAGAGTCTGGCTACAGCGGCTTTGCAGCACTGAGGTCGGCTCTGCCCAGTCCAAAATTTGGGGCAGCTTTGTTTACACTGTGAGGGGAAAACTGCCTACTCAAGCCTCAGTAATGGTGGATGCCCCTCCCCCGACCAAGCTCAGGAGTCCCAGGTCTTCTTCAGACTGCTGTGCTGGCAGTGAGAATTTCAAGCGAGTGGATCTTAGCTTGCTGGGCTCCACTGGGGTGGGATCCACTGAGCAAGACCACTTGGATTTCTGGCTTCAGCTCCCTTTCCAGGGGAGTGAATGGTTCTGTCTTGCTGGCATTCCAGGCACCACTGGGGTATGAAAAAAAACTCCTGCAGCTAGTTTGGTGTCTGCCCAAACAGCCGCCCAGTTTTGTGCTTGAAATCCAGGGCTCTTGTGGTGTAGGCACCTGAGGGAATCTCCTGGTCTGCGGGTTGTGAAGACTGTGGGAAAAGTGTAGTATCTGGGCCAGAATGCACCGTCCTTCATGGCACAGTCCCTCATGGCTTTCCTTGGCTACTGGAGGGAGTTCCCTGACCCCTTGTGCTTCCTGGGTGAGGTGATGCCCCACCCTGCTTCAGTTCTCCCTCCATGGGCTGCACCCACTGTCTAACCAGTCCCAATGAGATGAACCAGGTACCTCAGTTGGAAATGCAGAAATCACCCACCTTCTGCGTTGATCTCGCTGGGAGCTGCAGACCAGAGCTGTTCCTATTTGGCCATCTTGGCCCAATCATGCCACACTCCTATAATACTTTTTTCTACGTTTTCTCACCGCATACTCTGTGATCATTTCTTCATATTATAGTGATTTTATAATATCATTTCCTAAAAAATCTTTGGCAGAATTGATCAAATGTGTTTTTCATTTTTGATAGTTTAGAAGTTTCTTTCAACTTTCTAAGTTATTATTGACAATGACATGAATATTTTATAGGACTGCTATTACATTTGGTATAAGCAGCAATGGCTTTTCGAGGTTCTTATGCAGTGATTAATTTCAAATACTGTTTGAATCAATGACATTCATTAACCAGTTTTCCATCAATGTCCTCATTATAACAGTGTTTTCTGATATTTATGTTATTTTCATTAATGTCAATATTTCTTGAAAATGCAGAAAGAAATTTAAATTCTTCCAATGTGATCATATGATTCATTCTTCTTTATTACTTGGATAATTAGACAAAACAAGAGCCACTTCATTACTTATGTTCTAAATTTATTTTTTCATTTTAATAAAGTTTTGCTTTTGGTATGACCTAAAATTTTTCATTATGATTTGCTCCTCAATATCAGAATAACCTCTACTGATTTTAGCACTCACCTTTATTTCATATTTCACGTTTTTATCTTAATTATATATATGTAAATAAAATTTTTAAATTCTAAAATAAGGCACCTCTCACATATCTACATAAGAAATCTGTAATTTCTCACTTACTTCATTGAAACACTCCAAAACATCTTGCCAAATGCAGTAAGTATTTCTTTAAAACCCAGGAATTCTGATGAATTTGATTTTATACAACTCCCAGTAAAAAAGAAAAAAAAAGTATAGCAGGTTTAGAATAGTATATACTGCTTATCAAGTATACTCAGAATGAAGTTTCATTTTGCAAAGGTGTCAATGAAAATCTAACCCTCCATTTACAATTTTATACATCTAATAAGTGGAAATATTTATACAGAGTAGCTTCTAGATGCATACATTATAAACCTCGTCTCTCCTATACTAACCCACATACTTCTGGTGCCAGATCCTATAGGACAAGTTTCTATTACAATATGACCTCTGGGCTTAATGTCACCCCACCGGGAAAGTTAGACCAGCAGAAAACAGAAGTATTTCTGGAAGTCATTTCTATTTCAGACAGTTTACAGTAGTTTTACTATATAGGGAAGTAACTGTGAGCAATATAAATATAATTCCCAAGTCAACTTTTTAGCCAGATCTCAAAATATCCACAGCCACTGCAACACCTGATGTGATAGGAAACCTGACAAACAATGGGGCAAAATGCAAAGAGAAATCATTCCTAATTGATTGCAGTTCAAATGTCTTACTTTTGCAAAATGAAAACATATGACCCTGCAAACATAATGGCAGGGCTGCTTGCACAGCCTTGGAAGGGGTGTGTGCAAGTGAGAGGCTGAAGTTTAAGCTTCGTAGCTTCACAGTAATTCTACCCTTAACTGGACCATTCCTCAAAAGGGCATTGTTAATTCTACACTGAGTCTAAGAGGTAAGGCAGAAATCACTCAGTGTTTTTGCTTCCCATGTATACCTTCTCATCAAGGATTGAATCATACACATTTTAGGACTATGATACACCTTTCCAACAGTACAAGCATGTGTGCACATATCTAAGTCATAAAAGATGCATAACTTATGGGCATTGTAAAAATATCAAATTATATTTTCCAAGTTCAGCATACAAAAATTTTAAATATGCAACTATATTGATTCATATGTGTTTGGGGACCTATATTTTTATTGCAGAAAACTGCCAATGAACTAAAAAGTGTGCTGCCAGCCTTTGACAAGGCAATTGTGGCTCTGAATGCCCTGGATAAAGCTGATGTCGCTGAATTAAGGTAACTCTCCTAAGTTTCGTTTGAGTTGGAAAAGCTCAGAAAAAAACATAAATTCATGTTTACTAAGCCTATATTCCATTTTTAGCCTATATACTAAGCCTATATTCCATTTCTTAATCTTGGTTTAAGATTTTTTACCCATCTTGGTTACTTTAAGTGTTCATTCTGTATGGTATATACTGTATCTTATCAATTTTATGATGCCTTCAATTGTAAGGCATACCAGTATTTTTTGTATCCTGAAGAAAAAATGCTGCCAGTTACACTGTGATGTGCTGTTTGTTATAAACTGAATCTCAGTCTCTTTGATGTAAAAATGTGCATCTTAAAATTGACAAAATACAATATTACCTGGCCTGCAGTTCCAAAAATAAAAGGACAATGTTTACACATTGTAAACGGCTGCTTGTACCAGTTTAGCTACAGCTTTTGGGACTGTACTAACACATATCTGAGACTGCAAAGTTGGACATTACCACAAGGTGTCACTACAGGAAGTGCGGGAAGTGCTTCCCCTTGCTGTGCCCTGTCCCAAACTTGATCCAGGTTAGGGCTAGGGGTTAATGATTGAAGAGAATACATAAGAAAATACAGGAAGAAATGAAACATTTTAGGCTACAAAGATCTGAGCCTATTAGTGCTAATTTGAATCTTTGGGTGAGATAATTTTTAGCTTGAGCTCCCCAACTCAACAAACAATGGGAACCTACCTATAACGTCTTGGAATGTGTTGAGTTTTCTGCTATTTGTAGAAAATAGTATTTTAATGAAAGATGTGGAAATTTGGAGCAAACCTACCGTGATATTTATAACATATTATTAGCTTTTGTGATAAGAAGAATTTTTTTGATCAATATATTTTTATGATGAAGAGATCATATTACAATGCTGAAGTTAATGCCCGTGAAACTGAAAAAATGCAAAAGAGAAACAAGCAAGAGAAGGAGGGAGAATTCTTGACTTCTTTTTCTTTCATTCGTATGCCCTCATTCTTATGCACTCAATTCAGCAAATATCTTGAGCACACATTAAGTGCCAGGCCCTGTTCTGGGCACTGAGGTTGTAGCAGTTAACGGTTGTGGAAACTGTTTCTGATGAGGTGACATTGGAGCAGAGAACTGAATGAAATTTGGAAGTAAGCTAGGCAGGTATCCAGTGGAAGAGTGTTCCAAGCAGAGGAAATGGAAAGCACAAAAGTCTGAAGACAGAAATGTGCTTCTTGGGTTTCAGGAACTGCAAAAGACCAAGATGACTAAAGTTCAGTGAGCAAGAGGGAATGTCAGGAGATGACATTAGAGAAGTAACAGGGGCCAGTTCTTCCCCAACACAGCCCCTCATGTACCTCATGACTTTGTTCCAGAAGGTTCTATCCTCTTAGCTTTTTTTTCTAGCAGATATTCCCTAGAGAGTGATCAGTTCAAATTCCCTTTAGCCTAATTTCTGAGGGGTGGTGTGTCATAGTGGTTAAGCACATGGGCTCTGATACCAAGCTTCCTGGCTGGGGATCCTGGCACTGCCACTTTCTAGCTGTATAAGCTCTCTGTGCCTGAGCTTCCCTTTTGTGCAACAGTGATTGCAGATGTTGAAAGGACTGAATGAGTTAATACAGGTAAAATGCTTGTAACAGAGGCTGGCATAAGGCAAATGCTCAATAAAGGTTACTTTCATGATAAGAGATTTCCTCTGATCAAGTAGGCCCTTTTCCCTGCCCTAGTAGTACTACAAAAGCTAAGAAAACCAGCCTTGTCTTTGAACTCCTTGAGTATGTCTTGTTTGTTGTTTGTTTGTTTTTAAAGATCCTCCTTTGTTATATTGCTAATGTGTATTTTACTTTGCTCACTCCAAAATGCCACACAAATGAGGATGCCTTATAACCTGATCTCCATTGCTATTCTTGGACATGCAGCAGAGACATCTAGCAGATGCACAGCTTAGTCCATTCTCTTCCCAAGCTGCTATTTCTATCATCAAAATGCCAACAATTGCCCCATGATACTTTCATCCTTTGCCATTTTGCAACATGAACCACTAGAAGCAGAAAGCAGATAGTAGAAAATGCAGATTGGAGAAAATGAGGAAAGATCCAAGACAGACTAATTCTGTGAAGTAATAAAGAATTTTAAAGCAAATTTCCAGTAGACACGTGTCACTTTGAATCAAATATTTATTCCTGGAAAGTGGCACAGAGATTGAACTACAGTCAGTTTAATCCTGTTTCCCCTTTAATTTAAATTAAATTTCCTAGATAATATATTTTATCCTAGTATTATATTCACATCGTATTTGTTTTAAATAGAGTTAAACCTGGGTAAAATTGAGGAAAGGTTCCTTACTGGAGCTCTCACTTCTCCTTTGTGGACCTTTTCTCTTTTTCTAGTTCCTCTGTTATCTTTCCCATTATTTCAAAAAGGCCAAGCTGATAATCTCAGAAAAGCAACCTGAAAAAATTATTTCAGAATAAAGTGCTAATGATTGAGCTATTCAAATGTGAAGATGATCTTCATTTTAAAATTAGACTGTTAATGAGACTAAAGATTAAATCAAATGAACACATAGGTTAGAATTTCTAGTTGTACAGACACTGGGGCCTACCTGAGACTGAAGGATGGGAGGAGGGAGACAGTCAGAAAAAATAACTATTGCCTACTGGGCTTAGTACCTGGGTGATGAAATAACCTGTACAACAAACTCCCATGACACAAGTTTACCTATATAACCAACCTGCACATGTACTCCTGAAACTAAAATAAAAGTTGAAAAAAAATTCTAGTTGTGAAATTCAAGGCAGAGGACCTTCTTGGTAAGCCCTGTGGATAATGTCATGCATATAAAGTTGGCTTGGTTGCCTTCCTTCTTTGGGAAGTCTGTGCGATTTTCACTTGGTGAGGCTCATTACCCATGTGTGGACCTACCCTGCCTTGTTCCAAGTTCCAAATGCTGGTGCACAGCAACCATCACCCCCTTGTGATTTCTCTTTGAAACTTGCTTCTTATAAATGTTATTCTGACCCTGACTTTCCAAAGCATCAACTTCTTACCTAACAGTCCAGTGGCACGTCAACTGATTAAGACATAGTGAAGAGACCGCCTCCAATGTTCCAATAATAAATACATTATTAATGACTTGAAAGACAAATTCCCATCCACCCTTCCTCCCCTGACTCTGTTTTATCTGTGATTTTTATGGTGGGAATTTTAGATCAGGAAGAAGAAATGAGAGCATGTGTTTAAGGGGAGTTGGCTGTTATACCACTTCTTAAGTCACGAGAATAGGGCTGACTCCCAACGCATACACATGTACAGTGTCTCTGTGAAGCAGTCATCAGTAAATCAACCCTGGACTGAAACAAGAGAGGGGTTTCTATTTTTAAATAACTCTACAGTGAAGACTTTTCTTTTTTTTTCTTTCTTTTTTTTTTTTTTTTTTTTTTTGAGACAGTGTCTCACTTTGTCGCCCAGGCTGGAGAACAGTGGCGTGATCTTGGCTCAGTCCAGCCTCTGCCTCCTGGGTTCAAGCAATTCTCCTGCTTCAGTCTCCAAGTAGCTGGGACTACAGGCACCCGCCACCATACCCAGCTAATTTTTTTATTTTTGTAGAGACCGGGTTTCGCCATGTTGGCCAGGCTGGTCTCGAACTCCTGACCCCAAGTGATCCGCCCGCCTCAGCCTCCCAAAGTGCAGGGATTACAGGCATGAGCCACCATGCCCAGCCCAAGACTTTTTATAATAAAACTAATTAGCCTTTAACTCAGATGTAGTACTTATTTAAGTTTTATGCATTTCATCTTCCTAAAACTATAATATCCTTATATTTAAGATACCCAATTTTTAAAAGATACCTAAGTAATTAAATAGCTATATGTTGACAAATAGTTTTCCTTATCCAAATGTGTGTTAAAAATCTGTGTATATTGTCTTCTGAGATATTTACAGGGTGCATTTCATTTTTAATTGTGAAGTTGATGAGATTTTCATCATCTATTACAGAGTATACACACGGCCTCCCTTCCTTGTACTGACTGTCATGAATGCAGTGTGTATTCTTCTGCAAAAGAAACCTAACTGGGCAACGGCAAAGTTACTTCTTTCAGAAACTGGTTTCCTGAAAAAATTGATTAACCTTGACAAGGACAGCATACCTGATAAGGTAAAAAGTTGATCTCTAATTGATGCATCTCATATTTACAGTCTGTGGGATCAAACAGACCACCTGCCATCTAAATTGTTCTATTCTTAGATGGAGAGACTATTTTCTAGGAAAATAGCTCTATTCTTCCAGGCAAGAGAGGAGTTGCCTAGTTGGATAGGGAAAAGAAATCCCAGTCTGAGAAAAATTTCATTCTGATTATGGCTCCCAAAAGTAGATGAGAAATACTGTATATCTAACTCCAAACTGTGTGATACCGTTTAGAAATAGAGATGGACCTGTGGGCATGTGACACAGCTAAGGTAGAGAACATCCTCAGTGAGCCCCAGCATGCCCCAGGCCATACCACCATTACTGACCAGACAGACCTTTGAATAGGGACTGTGCCTTGCCAATATGCCGCCTGGGGGACAGAAGGAAGAGGATGGTATTCCTAGTCACCTCACACCTGAAGTGCACAAGGAGACTTCAGAATTTTTAGATATCAAATTCTTAAAGCTGGAGAAAGTTAACCTGTTTTGTTTTTGTTTTAAAAGTTTCTTTTTAAAAAGTATAGCAAAGCTACTGCAACAACAGTAGCAATAGCAGGATGTTAACAAAGGCTTTTTCTCTCCTGATACTAGGTTTTGTTGTTGTTTTGTTTTGTTTTTTGTTTTTTGTTTTTTGTTTTGAGACGGAGTCTCACTCTGTCACCCAGGCTGGAGATCTCAGCTCACTGCAACCTCCACCTCCTGGGTTCAAGCGATTCTCCTGCCTCAGCCTCCCGAGTAGCTGGGGCTACAGGTGCCTGCCACCATGCCCAGCTAATTTTGTATTTTTAGTAGAGACATGGTTTCACCATGTTGGTCAGGCTGGTCTTGAACTCCTGACCTTGTGATCTGCCCCCCTGGGCGTCCCAAAGTGCTGGGATTACAGGCGGGAGCCACCTTGCCCAGCCACTAGCGTCATTTTTGTACCCAGGCATGTGTCTTTGATTCTACTATTAAAGATAAGTTAATTTTTGTTTTTTTTTAGACAGAGTCTCACTCTGTGCACTCGCTGGAGTGCAGCGGCATGATCTTGGCTCACTGCAACCTCTCACTCCTGGGTTCAAGTGATTCTCGTGCCTCAGCTTCCCTGGTAGCTAGGATTACAGGCGTGTGCCACCATGCACAGCTAATTTTTGTATTTTTAGTAGAGACAGGATTTCACCATGTTGGCTAGGCTGGTCTCGAACTCCTGACCTCTGGTGACCCACCCACCTCGACCTCCCAAAGTGCTGGGTTTATAGGCATGAGCCGCCGCCCCCGGCCTGAATATTTTAATATGAAATAAAATTTCAATCTAGTGTAGACTGGGGAAAACTTCAGGTGAATAATATTTCTTTCTCATGTAATACATTAACTGTGTTCTCTCTAGGTTTTCGTGAAGCTAAAAAAAATTGTAACCTTACCTGATTTCAACCCACACAAGATTTCGCTGGTTTCTGTTGCTTGTTGCTCCCTGTGCCAGTGGGTTATAGCTTTGAATAACTACCATGAAGTACAGAAGGTATGCTTTTCCTCCTAAACATCTGTCATGATTTGGAAGTGGCACATCAATGTCCCAGAAATAATTTTTATTTACCAATACTCAAATGAACTTGAGTGGAAAGGATACCTAAGGAGAAACACTTTAATCAAATGTTATTCTAACTCACACAGATGTCAAGTGCTCCCATTAAATTTGTTATTTATTGACAACTATGCTAGTATTTGTGTATTTCATTTTATTGTTTCACCATAATAGGCAACTTTGTACCCCACATATACATATAGTTCTAGGAAAGTTTAATTGTAACAATTGACTCTGTAAATGTCTTTCAAATATAAATGGCATTTTTAACAGTAAACCCGACGTTTTTGACACTTAAATGTTCTGACATTCTCTTTAAGGTTGTGGGCCCTAAACAAATCCAAGTAGCTGAAGCTCAAAACGTCCTTAAAATTGCGCGACAAAGACTTGCTGAGAAACAAAGAGGTTTACAGCTGGTAAGAAATACAGTTCAGTTCTCAAAATAAGACAAAACACCAGGACAATGTAATTATCTCAGGAGAGCTTATCAGTTTCAGATAAGATGGAAATAATAATATAGGTAGTGAAAAGATTAATTGTGAGGATTAAGTAAATAATATTATTGGTAATATTATTAATAATATATATAAAACTTTTAGTGCCTACCACATAATAAAACACTCTATAGAGTTCATTATTATTGTCTTTATAATATTTTAATTTACTATTTCACCAAATTTCTCTCGGAAGATCTTTACAACTTCAGTTTACCAAAGCCTTAAACAGTATCAATCTGTGCTCTTTTTTTTTTTTTCCAGTCTGTGTTCTTTAAAAAAAACTGTACTTTATTGGGCACAGTGTCTCATGCCTGTAATCCCAGCACTTTGGGAGGCTGAGGCAGGTGGATCACCTGAGGTCAGGAGTTCGAAACCAGCCTGGCCAACATGGTGAAACCCCATCTCTACTAAAAATACAAAAATTAGCTGGGCGTGGTGGCAGGCGTCTGTAATACCAGCTACTTGGGAGGCTGAGGCAGGAGAATCTCTTGAACCCGGGAGAAGGAGATTGCAGTGTGCCGAGATTGAACCATTACACTCCAGCCTGGGCAACAAGAGCAAAACTCCATCTCAAAAAAAAAAAAAATATCCAACTGTACTTAACCTGTTTATATCATTACCCTGTTGATTTGTAAAGGCATGATTATTCCTTAAATGTCTTGATTTTAAATTAAAATACAGTATCATTATCATTATGAGAACTGGAACTAGAATTCATATCCCTGTTACCTATTTAGCTCACGTACATTTTGAGAGTGAGCAAAGTAATACATTTCAGAGACGCAAACAGGCAAATTCAGTCCATTGATATCTTTTGACCTATTACAGTCTTCCCACCCCTCACCTCATTTTGATATAATCAACATTTTAAAATTTCGGGATTTTACTTAATATCTGATTTTCTGTCTTTTCCTGAAAACTCAGATAGCTGGCAACTCTGGGCTAGCGTTCCCACTTGGCTGTAGGCAGCCCCCACTCACTTCAAGCATTTCTGCTACCTGTTTGGCCCCATAGGCATTTCTGGCAAACTGAGATATATTAAAAAGGACTGGATATTTTTGAAAGAAAAAAACAAATTTGAACCGAATTTACTTTATATAGATATATCATTTCTTGCTAATATTTTGTTGTAGCTTATAGTCTATAGAGTTTTGTTTTGATGGATGCTGATAATAGTTAATGTTTATTTAGCACTTACTGTGTTCCAAGCACAGTGGTCATTTAATCCTCATGTAATCCTCACAACAACATTTCAAAGTAGATGTTTATAAATGAGAAAACTAAATTTTAAAGATTTAGTAAATTTGTTCAAGATCTTAAGCTAATAAGTGATGGTGCCCATGTTCTAACCTAGGTCTGTCTAACTCTAAAGCCCACGCACTTAACAGGCTTTTAAACTGCTACATTTTAAAATATTTATATCCAGAAGTGATATCCAAAATATTTAGCAACCAGTGTGGCATAGGCACCAAACTGATCAGAATGGACATTTGTCGTGCGGGTAGAAGCAGAGTCTTGGAGGCCTACAGCTGAGTTTGAAGAGAAGGTATGGGGCCAGGTTAGGCAATGTGTGGCTGTAGAGGTGCTTCCTGGGACATGGAGCAGGACCCTTTAGCAATCACTACAGAAATACGTCAACATTTTCACAGTTGTTGTGCCTGTGTAGTATATACCACTGAATATCAGCCCTATTTCTGTCTCAGAATGGAAGAAACCCAAGAAAGAAAAAAAAATTCTTCAAAACTTTAAGAATAATACATTTAAACATTATACAATTTGGAAAAACAGGGCATTCAAGAAGAAATAATTTTTAGTTTAATGAAAGTGTTTGTTCCTTTTTTTGCAACAATTACTAGAAACTCTATGTAAACAAATTTAAAAACCTGAAGGATATGCCCTGTTTTCTAGGACATTTTTAGTCACTGAAAGTCCATTTTAAAAAAAAAACTTGAAAGCTTAAACAATCCAAAAATCATGGATTTAAAAAAGAAATCATAGAACAACCAGAAAGAAGACAAGGAAACAGAGAACCTGAACAACTCAGTAAACCAACTAGACCTAACAGACATATTCAGAATACTCCACCCCGCAACAACACAATACACATTCTTCTCAGTTGCACCTGAGATATTCTCCAGGGTAGACCATATGTTTGGCCACAAAATAAGTTCTCAATAGATTTTAAAAGACATATACCATAAAAGCATCTTGTCTGGCAATAATAACATGAAGGTTGAAATTAGTAACTTTTTTTTTTTTTTTGAGACGGAGTCTTGCACTCTCGCCCAGGCTGAAGTGCAGAGGCGCGATCTCGGCTCACTGCAAGCTCCGCCTCCCGGGTTCACGCCATTCTCCTGCCTCAGCCTCCCGAGTAGCTGGGACTACAGGCACCCACCACCACGCCCGGCTAATTTATTTTTTTTATTTTTAGTAGAGACGGGGTTTCACCGTGTTAGCCAGGATGGTCTCGATTTCCTGACCTTGTGATCCACCCGCCTCGGCCTACCAAAGTGCTGGGATTACAGGTGTCAGCCACCGCACCTGGCCGACTAACTCATTCTTAAACAGCCAGTGGGTCACAGAAGAAATCACAAGAGAAATCAGAAAATACTTAGAGACAAATCAAATGCAACAACCAAAACAAATGGGATACAGCAAAAGAAATGCTCAGAGAAATTTATAGTTGTAAATGCCTGCATTTAAAAAGAAAAATATAAAATCAGTAACCTAACTTCACACCTGAAGGAACTAAACAACAAAGAACGAACCAAACCCAAAGCTAGCAGAAGAAAAGAAATAATAAAGATTAGAGTAGAGATAAACAAAATAGAGAATAGAAAAAAAAATAGCGAAAATCAATGAAACCAAAAGTTGGTTACTTGAAGAGATCATCAAAATGAACAAACCTCTAGGGGAAACAAAAAGAGAGAGAGAGAGAAGAAAGAATTTCTAGACTTCAAGACAGGTCTTTTTAAATGACCCAGTCAGATAAAAAAGAAAAAGAAGAAATAATTTAAAAGAATGAATAAAGCCTTCCTCATATATGGGACACTATCAAGTGAAAAAATATTCAGATTTTGGGAGTTCCAAGAGAAGAGATGAGAAACGGCATCAAAACCTATTTAATAAAATAGTTTCTGAAAACTTCCCAAGTCTTGAGAGAGAGATAGACATTCAGATCAGGAAGCTCATAAATCCCCAGAGAGATTTAACCCAAACAGTTTCTCTCTGAGATACATTATAGTCAAACTGTCAAAAGTCAAAGACAAAGAGAAAATGCCAAAAACAGCAAAAGCATTATGTTACATATAAGGGAATCTCCATCAGACCAACAGCAGATTTCTCAGCAGAAATTTTACAGGCCAGTGGAGAATGTGTATTTATAACACTGTCATTTGTTTTTAATTACAATATTTTTAAATGGTAGGGAGAAAAAGACAAGCTGTACATTCCAGCCAGAGCCACATTACCTTCCATCTCTCAACCACAGGCTTCATGAGAAGTTTCTAGTATTTGAACTCATTAAAATCCAATTAATATACTTAAAATGTATATTTTTTACGCTTAATATTTTAAAATTTAGCTTACTAGTTAACTCCATCAGTTTTAAGCCCTTCGTGGAAATTTTCTCCTCACTCAGCTACATACTTCCTTCCAGTTAAAAATAGGTCTTTTATTTGCCTGGACCCTAATATAAAAAATATTTCTGGAAAATCTAAGGAACTTTGGGGAAAAAACAATGCCAGAACTTATCAAATCACATGAACATTCATCAAAAACATTACCTTTGGGGACTGCAATGCTCATCATATAATAGACACTTCATATGTTTAAGTTAATCAATAGGCCCCATGCGTTAATATGTAAGTAACTCACTAGGTCGTAAGTAACAGGAGTTTTCTCAAAGGAATCAAAATGGGTGAATGAGCAAGCAGACAAAAACAACATAACACATGAAAGTGCAAACAACCCATAATTGTTATGGGTGATCCAGGAATAAATTCTAAATCATTAAACATGCCAAAAGTAACATATATATACACATATAAATTAGGTATATATTTTCACCAGGATAGCATCTTAAAAAAAGAGAAATTACCAATCATAATAAGCACAATTTTGTCTTTATAATTGTGTTGTACATACCATGTTCAAGTCTCCATGCTAAACTCTCAACTTAAAGGTTAATAAGACTGTAAGACCACAATCCAAGAGATGATATCAGGAAACTTAAAATTACTTCTCAAACAACTGTTATAAACAAACATCAGTGTAGATTTGACAAGGCTGAGACTTCATGACAGCTGGAAGTTGATCAGTATATTACACAATGCCTAGGATTTATACCCTTTTAAGGGAAGGGCCAAGGTACAAAGGATGTGAGTCAAATCCCAGAGACAAGAAGCTTAAGGAATGTTGGGGAGATAAGGAATAAACCAATTTGGATAAAGAGTAATATAATTGGAAAGGAGTAATAAAGGAGATGAAGTTGGGAAGGAAGGTTGGGGTCAGGTTGTGGAGGCATTAGTTGATAGCCAAAACTCTGGACTATATCCTTAATCCATTACTTCTGTAAGAATTCACCAAATGCTTTTGAGCAGGGGTGTAATCAAGATAAGTGATAATTTAAGAAAATTATTTTGGGGAAAAGACCATCTCTTCAATAAATGGTGCTGGATATCTATATCCAGAAGAATGAAACTAGACCCCTATCTCTCACCATACACAAAAATCACATCAAAATGAATTACAGACTTAAATCTAAGACCTCAAACTATGAAACTTCTTGAGAAAACATTGGGGAAAATCTCCAGGACATTGGTCTGGGCAAAAATGTCTTGAATGACACCCCACAACCACAGGTAACCAAAGCAAACACGGGCTAATGGGATCACATCAAGTTAAAAAGCTTCTGCACAGTAAAGGAAACACTCAACAAAGTGAAGAGATGGCCCACAGAATAGGAGAAATTATTTGCAAACTACCCATCTGACAAGGGATGAATAACCAGAATATATACAGAGCTCAAACATCTCTATAGAAAAAAATCTAATAATCCAATTTGAAAATGAGTAAAAGGCTTGAATGGATACTTATCAAAAGAAGACATACCAATGGCAAAAAGACATATAAAAAGGTGCTCAATATCATTGATCATCAGACAAATGCAAATAAAAACTACAGTGAGATATCATCTTACCCTAATTAAAATGGCTTTTATCCAAAAGACAGGCAATAACAAAATGCTGACAGGGATGTGGAGAAAAGGGAACCCTTATACACTGCTCGTGGGAACATAAATTAGTACAACCACTATGGAGAACAGTTTGGAGGTTCCTCAAAAAACTAAAAATAGAGCTACCATATGATCCAGCAATTCTACTGCTGGGTATATACCCAAAAGAAAGGAACTCAGTATATTAAATAGATAACTGCACTTCCATGTTTGTTGCAGCACTGTTCACAATAGCCAGAATTTGGAAGTAACCTAAGTGTCCATCAACAGATGAATGGATAACGAAAATGTTGTACTTATACACAGTGGAGTATTATTCAACCATTAAAAAGAATGAGGTCTTGTCATTTGCAACAACACTGATGGAAGTGGAGGTCATTATGCTAAGTGAAATAAGCCAGGTGCAGAAAGACAAACATGGCATGTTCTCACTTATTTGTGGGATCGAAAAATCAAAACAATTGAACTCATGGAGATAGAGGGCAGAAAGATGGTTACCAGAGGCTGGGAAGGGTAGTGGGAAGGTATGAGGAAGGTAAGAATGGTTAATGGATACGAAAAATAGAAAGAATGAATAAGACCTAGTACGTGATAGCACAACAGGGTGATTGTAGTCAATAATAATTTAACTGTACACTTAAAATAAAGAGTATAATTTGATTGTTTGTAACACAAAGGATAAATGCTCGAGAGGATGGATACCCCATTCTCCATGATGTGATGATTACACATTGCATGCCTGTATCAAAACATCTCATGTGCCCCCTAAATATATATATATACCTACTGTGTACCCAAAAATAAAAATAAAAAATAATTTTTTCAGCTATTTATGAAAATATGTTTTCCACTAACACTGTAAGGAAGGTTTAACAGTTGATTCATCATACAGCTTAAATTTAAAAATTCATTCGGTCCTCTGGTCTGTTCAGTACATCTGAAGTGAAAAGAAGTTCAACCATTTTCTTAGAAAAAGAATCTAAATAAGATATAAAATTTTATTTGCAAAAAATAAATCAGAAATTGATGAATCTACAAACGCTAGGATTGTAAAAAAAAAGCCTATTAAAGAAGCAAGATGGCATTTAAAAATATACAAATTTCAATATCAATGAATCATTTCATTTCTACAATGTCCATTTTCATTGGTAATATAATCCCTCCAGAAAGATTTTCCAGGATGTGAAAATGAAATGGTAACACTATATTTATATAAATGACAGCTAAAGTCTTGAAGCAAAATGAGAGTAAGATATTTTTCTCAATAATGAATTAATTATCTTTCAGGTTGAAGAACATTTGCTGTTTTTACAGGCAGCTTACAAAGATACCGTTGCTGAAAAACAACTATTAGCAAATCGGAAAACAATGGCCAGCAGGCGCTTTCAGTGTGCGTCAGTCTTACTAACTGTCCTGGAAGATGAGAAGGCATGACTTACTTTGGTCTTATATCTCGTCCATAATTCCTACTGGGCCCAACAACCCCCAAGATGTTATTTTCACTGCAGGCTGTATCATATACCTTCTAAAACTATCTAACTATCCAGTTTCTTATTGGGATCAGTAGACATCCTATTCACATAAAGAAATCCTGTTTGAGTCGTCTCAAAACAGAAGTAACAGACTACAAGTATCTGACGTTATCTCCTGTTCTGAAGACATCAGCACGCTTTTCTCTGATGAGGCCCAAAGTAAACCTTTCAATGAAAATGTCATTAGTTTTCCTTTTCTAGCACTGGGAGAACCCAAGCTGAACATATAAAACATGGGTGGAACCACAAAGGAGAGATGTCATTAGTAAAGAAAAAGAAAATTCTCCCTTTTTTTTTAAGTGAAAGTAAGTTTATTAAGAAAGTAAAGGAATAAAGAATGGCTACTCCATAGGCAGAGCAGCCAATAAAGAACATTTTATTTTGTTCTGTCAGCCTTCTGAACCCTTTTAGCTCACCTTTTTATTTCTCCTCTGGTTCATCTGGCTTCTCCATGGTTGAATCTCTAGTAAGCTAACTAGAATCTCAGTTTAGTTACACCTCAGCTATCTCAAGGGATGTTATAAAATTCTCAAGATAATTATAATTTAGTTTAATTTTTTAAATACATATCATAGAAGGTCAAGAGGAAGGATTTTATGAAAACAGACCAATCAAAGGGAGATGATAGCTCTCAAAAGCAGATGGATGTCCCTGAGAGTCAAGTGTATAGACTGAGAGGCAGTGGAACATCAGCATATCCCAGATGGTGAGCACCAAAACAGAGGGCTCTTGCTTAACATGCTTTATTTATCGACCAATCAAGCACATACGTGATCAAAGAGGCCATATACAGCCAGAGAATATGGGTTCAGATCCCAGCTACACCCCTTAGAAGCTTAGTGATCTTGACCAAGTTGTTTAACTTCTCTAAACTCCAAAGGCGGTGTCAAATGAAGTTTTCAAAGTAAAATGTCTGGCAGATAAGTAAAGATTCAGTAAATATGGGTTGTTGTTGCTGTTATTATTGTTGTTGTTGAATACTATTAATAGTATATTATAATAAATGGATACTTTATAAACTGTCCTGCTTTGGCTGGGCATGGTGGCTCATGTCTGTAATCCCAGCTCTTTGGGAGGCCAAGGCTGGAGGATTGCTTGAGGTCAAGAGTTTAAGACCAACCGGGCAATGTAGCAAGATCCTGTCTCTACAAAAAAAAAAAAAAAAAAAATTAGCTGAGCATGGTGGCACATGCCTGTCATTGTAAGCCACTCAGAAGGCTGAGGTGGGAGGAGGATCACATGAGCCCAAGAGATCAAGGCTGCAGTGAGCTGTGATTGTGCCACTGCACTCCAGCCTAGGCTACTAAGAGAAGACCCTGTCTCTAAAAGAAAAAAAAATTGTCCTGCTTTATTACACAAAGGATTTTAAATGGCTGTGTATCTATCTTAGCAAAGATGACACTATTAGCAAACCCAAGAATAAGACTAATTTTCCCCTCAGAAAACAGTTTATTTTTCAATATTATCCATTATTAACTTTGATACAGCCACAGCTTGAGAACAGCAGTAGTAATTGCAATGATAGATCCAACTTGGAAATCATTAATTTTAAAATATCTCATGATAATATATTTTATATAGAATAACTCATTTCTATTTTAACATTTAGACTCGATGGCAAGAAACAATCAATCAAATAGATAACAAATTAGAAGGAATTTTGGGTGACATACTTCTTTCAGCAGCGTGCATTGTCTACAGTGGAATTTTAACACCAGAATTTCGCCAGTTGATTGTGAATAAATGGGAGACATTCTGCATTGAAAATGGCATTTCTTTGTCTTCCAAATTCTCTTTAATTAAAGTTATGGCACAAAAATATGAGGTAATAACATATTTCTATTATCCAGTTAAGTGGCTATTATTGTTTATTTGGATTTTAGCTGTATGTGTAGTTTCGGCCTTGGATGTTGTCCCAAAATTATTTTGATAAATGAAAATATTTTGTTAATAGTTTGTTGCAGGCCTCGATTTTTTAATTTATAGCCCTAATGCCTCAATAAGTTATATCTCTCCTGTTTCTCATACTGAGCAAAAGTCACAAAATATCCCTTTTCCCATTGTAATCCTACTACCCTGTCTCAATGAATATAGGCAATTTCTCTCCCTGAAACCTCTTTCATTTAATACAATTGATGAACTTATTGAATCACAGGGAGTATTCTTAGACACAGCCAAAAATATAGAACTACATTTATTAACTTAGATACTTATTGTCTGTTTTTGTAAATCCTATGCTGATGTTTAAAGGATAAAAGAGAAATGCACCTAGCTTTTGTTAATCCTCCGAGAATAATTTTAGATTGGATCCCCACTGATAATTTCACTTAAATTGACCATGCAACCTACAAAATCTTAGAAACAAATACTGTCTTCACATTTTCATAATGCTACTAACCAATTTAAACTCAAATATAACAGTTATTACATTAGGTGTAAATGGACTAAATGTTCCAGTAACAAGTCTAAGATTGTAGCCAGGGGCAGTGGCTCATGCCTGTAATGCCAGAACTTTGGGATGCCCAGGTAGGAGGAACCCTTGAGCCTAGGAATTCAAGACCAGCCTGGGCAACATAGTGAGGCTCTGTCTCTACAAAAAATAAAAAATTAGCCAACCTGGACAATGTAGCAAGACCGTGTCTAAAAAAAAATTAAAAAATTACTGAGCATGATGCTACATGCCTGTCATCCTAAGCCTAAGCCACTTGGAAGGCTGAGGTGGGAGGATCACATGAGCCCAAGAGATCAAGGCTGCAGTGAGCTATGATGGTGCCACTACATTCCAGCCTAGGCTACTGAGAGAAGACCCTGTCTCTAAAAGAAAAAAAAAATTGTCTTGCTTTGTTACACGAAGGATTTTAAATGGCTATGTATCTATCTTAGCAAAGATGACACTATTAGCAAACCCAAGAGTAAGATTAATTTTCCTCTCAGAAAAGTTTATTTTTCAATATTATCCATTATTAACTTTTATACAGCCACAGTTTGAGAACAGCAGTAGTAATTGCAATGACAGATCACAATCATTGCAATGATTGCACATGCACAATGGTGACACGTGCCTATAGTCCTAACTACTTAGGAGGCTGAGGTGGGAGGATCGCTTGAGCCCAGGAGGTCAAGGCTGCAGTGAGGTGTCATCATGCCATTGCACTCCAGCATGGGAGACAAGCCAAGTCTCTGTCTCTCTCTCTACATATATATGTGTGTGTGTGTGTGTGTGTGTGTATATGTATATGTATAGCATATATCTATACGATATATGTAGAGACCTCAAGCAATCCTCAAGTTATAAGACTATACATATATACTATATATACGCATATATACTTATATGTATATATACATACATATATACACATATATACATATGTACATATATGTATATATAACGTACATATGTACATATATACATATATGTATATATACATATATACATGTGTACATATGTGCATGTGCACATGTGTACATGTGTGCATGTGTGCATGTGTACATGTGCGCATGTGTGTATATATGCACACACGTACATGTGTGTATATATGCACATATACACATGTGTACATTGTGTGTATATGCACATATACACGTGTACATTGTGTGTATATGCACATATACACATGTGTACACGTGTGTATATGCACATATACACGTGTGTACATGTGTGTGTATATGCATATACACGTGTACATGTGTGTGTATATGCACATATACACATGTGTACATGTGTGTGTATGCACATATGCACGTGTGTACATGTGTGTGTATGCACATATGCACGTGTGTACATGTGTGTGTATGCACATATACACGTGTGTACATGTACACATATACATATGTACATATATACATATGTACATATATACGTATATACATATGTACATCTATGTATATACGCATATGTGCATATATGTATATACGCATACGTATATGTGTATATACGCATATATACATATGTGCATATATGTATATACGCATATATACATATGTGCATATATGTATATACGCATATATACATATGTGCATATATGTATATACGCATATATACATATGTGCATATATGTATATACGCATATATACATACATGTGCATATGTGCATATATTCATAAGTACATCTATGTATATGTACATATATGTACATACACATATGTACATATATGTACATACACATATGTACATATATGTACATACACATATACATATATGTACATATACATACATATATGCATGTATGTATATATGCACATATACCTATATATACATATATGTATATATACACATATACATATATGTACATATGTGTATATACACACATATGCATATATGTATACGCATATATGCATATATGTATATACACACATATATGCATATATACATATATGTATACATACATACTTATATATACATATATGCTTATACATATATGTATAAGACTACACATATGTATGTGTATATGTAGACAGACCTCAAGCAACCTCATATATATATATAAAGTTATAAGACTATGCAACAGTATAAACCAAAGCACAAAACAGAAAACATATATTATTTATAAAATAAAACATACGTTATTTCTAAAAGACACATCTAAAACATAAAGAAAAGTTGAGAGTCAGAAATGGGAGAGAATTTACCATAGATTACAAAAGCAAAAAGACAAAATAGATGTTAAGGCATAAAAGGATTACTAGACTTAAGCTCATTTTACAATAGGAATTGGTTTAATTCTCCAAGCAACTGTTAACAATTCTAAATTTGTACCTAATAACATGATCTCAAATAATATAAAGCAAATATTAAAAGAACTATAGGGAAAAAATAGACAAATCTACAATCATAGTGAAAGATTTTAACACCTTTCTGTAACTCAGAACAAGCACACAAAAATCAGTAAGAATAGAGAAGCTTTGAACAACATGAGCAACAAATGGACTTAATGAGAATATATAGAGCACTGTAGCCTATACCTGCAGCTGACACGTTATATGCAAACACATATAGAACATTGCCAAAATTGGCCATATAACAGGCCACAAATCAAGTTTCACCAAATGGTAGCTCTGCTTCTTATTCTGATAGTATAACCTTAGTCAAGTATCTAACGTCTTTTAGCCTCAGTTCCTCCATCCAAGAAATAAGGGTTATTATAGTAATTTCACTATGTGGTATATATGTATGTGTGGTTGGCAGTTGGTAGGTGCGAAATAGACTATAGCTGTTATTATATTTGTATATTTTGTATATTTGTATATTCTATTTGTATAATTCTATATTGTATGCGTTAGAGTCTACGAGCCTTGGAAGCAGGTGCTGTATCTTATTTCCTTTGTGTCCCCTATGGCATCTTTGTTGTGATGGGCATCATAATGCCCTTATTGTTGAACACAAAAGTGTAATTTAGTGAATAATTACCTTCCCAAAAATTTCATATCTAAGTTGCTTTAAACTGTTCATTTCCTTAGCATTTTTAAACAGTATTTCTTTTTCTAAAGGCAGTGATTCTGTAGGATCTTTTAGTACCCTGTAGGATACTAAAGATGTGAAGACATTTACAAAATAGTGAAAGTACTAATAATTTCATTGCAGATCAGCCGATGGCATAATCAGGGACTGCCTCATGGTCAGTATTCAGTAGAGAATGCCATCTTGATCAAGAATGGCCAGCAGTGGCCACTGCTGATTGACCCACATAGGCAAGCTCACAAATGGATCCGTCAGATGGAAGGATCCAGGCTGCAGAAGCTCTCCATTGAAGACAGCAATTATACCAAAAAAATTGAAAATGCTATGAAGACAGGAGGGAGTGTCCTCCTGCAGGTAAGTGGGCAGTATGGCCTAATTTCCCTTGCAGCTGATACATATGTTGTATGCACTGAGCATAAAGGCTAAAAGTTTTCAGTGACAGATAACTGTCAGGGAAAAAATAATAACAGACATACACACATATATACTTACAGACAGAGAGTGAGTTTTCAATGCTCAGTTCTCTTACAGCTGTCTTTCACTGGAGTCCAGATATTTAATAAAACTTAAATTTATTTAAATTTTAATTTTTGTGGGTACATAGTAGGTGTATATAGTTATGGGGTACATAAGATGTTTTTGAAACAGGCATACAATGTGTAATAATCACATCATGGAGAATGGGGTATCCATCCCCTCGAGCATTATCTTTTGTTACAAACAATCGAATTATACTCTTAGTTATTTTTAAATGTACAATTAAATTATGATTGACTATAGTCACCCTGTTGTACTATGAAATACTAGGTCTTATTCATTCTTTCTAACTCAACCTTTAAATGTTTTATTGCTGCTTTTTTTTTTCAACCAATTTGTTTTAAGATGATTTTTCTTATTTTTGTCTATTGGGTTTTTCAGAATCTCCTTGAGACATTAGCTCCAGGCTTAAAGGCAATTCTGAAAAAGGATATCTATCAGAAAAAAGGACACTATTTCATAAGGGTTGGTGATGCTGAGTTCGAATACAATTCAAATTTTAGGTAATGTGCCACAGCTAAATTGAGTCAAATGTCTATGCTTTTTAAGATAAATAATATTGAATGCCTTGTATTTCAGTCCTGTCAAGCTTCTACATGGAGGAAAAAGTAAGATTGTCTTTGGAATATTCTTTTTGTTTTTGTGTTGGCAGTAGTATTCATCAGTATACAGAAGAGATAACCGATTTTTATCAAGTCACTCCAAACCAACACTTTTCAAACTGTGCATGATAAAATCTGTGGGTTTTATGAGGAGTCTTCAGAAGCTATGCAGAGGGGAGCAAGCGAGAAGCCTGGCTCTGCTTGTTTGTTCTGTTTGCCTAACCTTTTATTTGGGCGAGAAAAGTTTCTGCCTCTTTAAAAAACACACACACACAAAATCCATATTTAATATCTAGAGCAAAAAGAGATTTTTGCCTAGGAAGATAAAAAGCTTTATATCCATGTTCCCAGCAGTAAAGGGACTCCAGGAAATCCACTTGTACTAGCCAATTTCACACAGCACTGTTACATAGATTTGATTACCACAAAAATGTGATTCCCAAGAAATAAGATGTTTGAATTGTTAATGTGCATTCTCTCCTTGTATGCAAAGCTACAGGAAAGGCCACTTATAATAAGAGCCTTCTGGGTAAGCAAGTAATTGGCAAAGGAAACTAGAAGACTTTAGCCATCCTTAGGCTGGTGCTTTTAACTTCTTCCCAGGAATTCTGACGGACTGACTCCTTACCAAGCGGTGCTGACTCTTAAACCTGTTGGTCGCTGTGTCCTCCCCACTGTGCAGGGCTGCAGAGTCTCTCATCAAATTATTACTCCTTAGAATTCTCTCTTCTGTGGCCGGGCGTGGTGGCGCACGCCTGTAATCCCAGCACTTTGGGAAGCTGAGGTGGGTGGATCACCTGAGGTCAGGAGTTCGAGACAAGCCTGACCAACATGGTGAAACTCCTGTCTCAATGAAATACAAAAAAAAAAAAAAAAAAAATTAGCCAGGTGTGGTGGTGCATGCCTGTAATCCCAGCTACATGGGAGGCTGAGGCAGGAGAATCGCTTGAACCTGGGAGGCAGAGGTTGCAGTGAGCTGAGATCGCACCATTGCACTCCAGCCTGGGCGACAAGAGTGAAACTCTGTCTGAAAAAATAATAATAATAATTCTCTCTTCCATTAATAAAACAGTTTCCAAAGTATGTTCCTCAAAACATTTCCATGGTTTAATAGGTATCACTCAAAAAAGGGATCCCATGGCTTTTTAAAGTGGGCTAAAGGTAACAGTCCTACGGGACTTTAAAACCCCTTTATTCACCAAACCCTCTTCAGAAAATAGTGTTGTATAGACTACACTTTGGAAAACACTGCATTAACCCATTCTTTTTTCTTGCTAGATATAATTTGCTTGATTAAGTAACAGTGCTAAAAATGCTAATGAAGTTACATTTTCCTGAATAGACAACATGGTCCCCATGTTAGGAATGTGTGTTGAGAAGCTGCTGGAGGGCACTGTTGTAGAGGGCAGGCTTCAGTGATAGACCTCACTCTGTCATTTTCTGGCCATGTGATATGGGCAATTTGTTTAATATCATTAAGCTTCAATTTCACCCTTCATAAAGTGGAATGAAGTATTGTCTCTGCTTTATTAATCTGCCCACTCTTCACTATGACTGCTGCTGACACCACCCTGCTCCACGCCACCATCATTTCTCACATGTAACCCAGTCTGCCAGCTTCCCTCTTCCTCCTCTGCCTCTCCTCCCAGGCTATTCTCAAGATGGCTGCTACATGTTGGGTACAATGTACACTGCTCAGGTTATGGGTGCACGGAAATTTCAGACTTCACCACCATACAATTAATCCATGTAGCTTTACTTCTAAAGCTATTGAAATTTTTTTTTAAATGATAGCTGCTAGAGAAGTCTGATTTAAAAAGACCATGTCACTCCTCAAATCCCTCCATTGGCTTCTCACTCACTCAGGTAAAAACCATGGTTTTCACAATGATCTAGTGGCAAGTCAAAACTTCTACTATTTAACATTTTTCTGTACTCCATCCTTATGTGTAAACTAAACATAGTATGTACACAGTCTGTGGTTGTATTTTTTTAAGACTTCAATGCAAATGTATTCATATAATATAAATTGAAAGTGTACTTTGTATACAAAGCTGAAAAACACTAAAAATCTTGTGTACTTCCAGGAAAAATGCTTTATGTATTTTTAAATAAATTGGTTCATTTTTTTCTTCTACATGTTCTTTGAATAACTGGTGCCTTTCTCATGTTCAGGTTATACTTATCTACAGAAATAGACAACCCCCATTTTCTTCCATCAGTTTATAACTTTGTTACTATGATCAACTTCACTGTAACATTCCAAGGTTTGCAAGATCAACTCTTGTCTACTGTGGTAACTCATGAAGTTCCTCATTTAGAAGATCAACGTTCCAAGTTACTGGAGAGTATTTCCCTTGATGCCATAACTCTTGAAGAACTAGAGGAAAAAACATTAAATTTACTGCAGAAAGCACTAGGTAAGTCAAGATATTTAGTGATAGTAAGAGATCTTTGCAAAGGATAGAATAAAAAGTTATAAGAACCAAATTTTGAATTTGAGCCAAAAATACCAAATCTCCATTTCCACCAGGTAACTGATAAAGGTAGGTGAATCACCCCATTTCTAAACTTAAATATTGTGAATTTTGGTGTCCCTCAGTTCCACTTTTGCTTCAGCTCATTGTGTTGTAGAACATTTGCCACCCTGTAACTGGTATAAGTTCTAAGACAAATCTTACGGAATCTAGTTAGTTCCCTCCAAGGCTCTATGCCTGTACTTCAGGTACAGACATCTGTTATATGTCTCAAGTTAGATTACAGAGACTCAATGATTGGGTTTTCCCCAAGTATTAATAATGAAAAGATATTTTATTTTATTTTTCTTTATTTTTTATTTTTTTTAGACAGTCTTACTCCATCACCCAGTCTGGAGTGCAGTGGCGCAATCTCGGCTCACTGCAACCTCCGCCTCCTGGATTCCAGCAATTCTCCAGCCTCAACTTCCTGAGTACCTGGGATTACCAGCGCATGCCACCACACCCGACTTAATAACTAAAAGATATTTTTAAAGAAAATAATCCAGTGACTTTTATGTATCCCATTAAAACATGCTGTTGGCCGGGCACGGTGGCTCACGCCTGTAATCCCAACACTTTGGGAGGCCGAAGCAGGTGGATCACCCGAGGTCAGGAGTTCGAGACCAGCCTGACCAACATGGAGAAACCCCATCTCTACTAAAAATACACCAGCCTGACCAACATGGAGAAACCCCGTCTCTACTAAAAATACAAAATTAGCCAGACTTGGTGGCGCATGCCTGTAATCCCAGCTACTTGGGAGGTTGAGACAGGAGAATTGCTTGAACCCAGGAGATGGAGGTTGCGGTGAGTCAAGATGGTGCCATTGCACTCCAGCTTGGGTTAGAAGAGCAAAACTCCTTCAAACAAACAAACAAAAAAAGCTTTTAATTAAAGTAGCAGTAGAAATTATTTTCTTCTTCAGCACAAAAAATATCTAAGAAACCACAATCTTTACTGCATCTAAACTTAAAGAAACATAAATTCCTGAGTCACACTGATGTATGCCCCTAAGTCAACTGTGATAAAATACAGTTTATCTAACAATGGACTGCCTTTCTATTTTAACTTGTGACTCACTGGAACTTGAAGGTTTCTCAAACACTTTAGTCCTCAAGAGTATGTATAGAAATCATCTGTAGAGTTTATTACCTTTCTTTCTTTTTAAAAAATACAAATGCCCAGTGGGTACCGCCACAGACTTACTGAATCTGAACTTCCGCACATCGGGCCCTGGCTTATATTTATTTTCGAAGCTCTCTACACAATTATAATGTCCACTTCTGATTACATATTATTTGTCTAATCTAAAGCCCATGGTCTGAAAGGCAAGTCCATTTGTTACCAGATACTGTAGTAAAACAAATTAAAAGCTAGTTTTTTTAAAAAGGCAAAATTTTACCAATAGTAATAATAAGAATATAATTTTTGAAAGGGGAGGAAACCAAGTTTGATAGGGCATGAAGCACCCATATCCTGGGAGCAATATTGACCATTTCAAACATAAAAGAACCCAGGGAATTAAAAACAAAACAAATAAAAACTACTTGCTGATGAGGTCTCACTGAATGAGCAATCAAAATCAGAAAGTGGAAGGAAACCTGAGTACAGTCACCTCACAGTTCATGCAGAGAAGTCAATCCATCCTGTTTAAAATTAAATATATATTTTTATTTTTTAAAGTAAAGGTTGAATTCTTTAATTGCTTTCATCATCTTTTCTTATAACCTTAGAAGAATGTTTTAGAAACTAATATATATTATATTCAAGAAATGTTTATCTGAGATTCATCAATTCCATTGATTCTTTTTCTTAATGCCAGTAAAGGTAAATTTACTAGTCACTTAAAACACAGTATTTATAGTAAGATCCATTTCTCATAAACACACACACACACACACACACACACACACACACACATTCTATTTATCAATCTATTCACTTACCCTTCTATCTGCACATATGTATAGAGAGAGATACTTTGGATGATGTTACCTATGTGTTAACACTGGAACTTTTGGGGCGGGGATGCCATGGGTCCCACCCCCACCCCTCACAGCCTGGGTCCACACTTGCCCTCTTGCCCCTCCTCTTGGCCGGCGCTCACAGGTGCTACTAGGTGGTAGCCCATTCCTTATCATCCAGAGCTGGAACCACATTCACCACGCTGCCTTGGACTTCCCGGAAGCAAGACAGATCTGCCTGTCTTGTATCAGTGCAATGTCTTGTATCAGTGCAGTGATGAATTTAAGCCGTTCCCACATTGTAGTTACAAACTTTTCCCCACCGGAAGGATGTAGGTCCCCACTGTTAGACATTTACCTTAATGTTGATATTTCTTCCCTAACAAATTGCTGCAAGTAACAGCACTTTGCTGAGACCTGTGGCCAAAACAAGAATAACTGTGATGGGGAGTTCCAGTATTGCCTCTTTAAGGTCTGCTAAGATGTGCAGAAAACACTGACTTGTTCAGCATGTTCTTAACCTTTGACAAAGAACTTACGTTTTTATGGCATACAACTGCCTTAGTTTGGGGAAATGATTAAGACCTTACGAGACTTTACATTTTGTTTAAAGCCTCAAACAAACAAAAACTTAAGTAGGGAAAGTAGTGGGGAGGGCATGCCTTTCCTCCTAGGATCCTCCTGAGTGTTGTTGCCTTAACGTGCCATTGTCTTGACCCAATTCCAAAAAGAGATATGTGTTAAATGGAGAATTTTTAAGAGAAATAAAGTCTGTAACTCAATTTTTGCAACCATGTTTACAAAAAAAAGAGCTTAATTATATTTTATATTAGAAATACAGGCAAATCCTCACTTAGAAGCATATTTTTTATTATGAAATTTTAAATACACATTTATGCCTAGAGGACCTGACTTTATTCCTTTTCAATGTTAATTATACCTAATAAACTGTTTCTTTATAACACATGAATAAATTGTGTTTCTAGTAATAAGGCTAATTACATGGACAAGGCTTCTGTATCTGTTTTTTTTGTAAGACTGGAGCCATCTGCTGGTAACTTCTTAGGGAGCAAAATATCTAAGTATTATATAATATACATAGAAGGTGACAATCAAGATTCAGAAGCACAGCCACTCCCATTTTATGAACCACTCTTATAACAAGTCATATTTTGCTATAACCTTCACCTGAATTGAACAAAAGATGGATTTGATGAGATAAGTGAAAAGGGGTTTAAGATAACACACATTAGGGCACTATATGCTTTTATTGTGCCTTTGCTGTTTATTCTCTACCATTTGTTCCTTGTAGTAGAGTCTGGGGTATTTTTTAAAGACTGTGATCTTTGAGTAATAGTGGTTTTAGTAAAAATTGTTCTTGAAAAAAACTAAATTAAGAGATGCCTTGATTATATACATAATTTTTCCTCCTCCTTTCTAGGATTTGGTAAAACTGGGCTTTTTTTTTTTTTTAACTTTTAAGTTCAAGGCTACAAGTGCAGGTTTGTTACATAGGTAAACTTGTGTCATGGGGGTTTGTTGTACAGATTATGTCATCACTCAGGTATTAAGCCCAGTACCCATTAGTTATTTTCCTGATTCTCTCCCTTCTCCTACTCACTACCCTCTAATCGGTTCCTGTATCTGTTGTTCCCCTCTATGTGTCCATGTGTTCTCATCATTTAGTTCCCACTTATAAATGAAAATATGCAGTGTTTAGTTTTGTGTTTCTGTGTTAGTTTGCTAAGGATAATGGCCTCCAGCTCAGTCCATGTCCCTGCAAAGGACATGATCTTGTTCTTTTTTATGACTGCATCGTATTCCATGGTGTGTATGTACCACATTTTCTTCATCCAGTCTATCATTGATGGGCATTTAGGTTGATTACATGCCTTAGCTATTGTGAATAGTGAAAACTAGCCATTCTTTTATTTATTTATTTATTTATTTATTTATTTATTTATTTATTGAGACAGTGTTTCACTCCATTGCCACACTAGAGTGCAGTGGCACAATCTCAGCTCACTGCAACCTCCACCTCCCAGGTTCAAGTGATTCTCCTGCCTCAGCCTCCCAAGTAGCTGGGACTACAGGTGTGCACCATCACACCCAGCTAATTTTTGTATTTTTAGTAAAGAAGGGTTTTCACCATGTTGGCCAGGATGGTCTCGATCTCTTGACCTCATGATCCGCCTGCCTGGGCCTCCCAAAGTGCTGAGATTACAGGTGTGAGCCACCACACCTGGCCAGAAACTAGCCATTCTTGTTGCCTCTTGTTTTCTCTTTGGTTGATTGCCCAAACTCGGTGGGAAATGGTGTGGTAGGGTGAGTACTGTGAGAGATGGTCCATGACTTAGGTCCAGACATTACTGCAAAAGCTTCACCTGCATCAGTAAGAATATGGTACACAGACTGTGGTATATACTAATTTCATTATTCCCAGCAATGGTCATATCAAGCTGAAATACTGTGTTTAGTTCTAGATGCCACATTTTTAAAAGGCTTGTTTCAAACTAAAATGTGTCCAAGGGCAAGAATCAAAGATAGTGAGGGCTCTAAAAATCATATCATAAGAAAAAAGCAGTTGAGGAAAATGGGAATGTTTAGCCCACAAAACAGAAGAGTTTATAATGGAAACCTGAGAGCTCCCTTAAATATTTGAAGGGAATAGATTTATTATCTATACTTTCTAGAGAAGTGCTTTTTCAAAAGGTGAGTTGCAATCTATTAGTGGGTTGAGAAATAAATGTCATTGGTCATGATCAGTTTCATATGTTTAATAAAATAGAATACAATACAAAATATCAGAATAAATCACGTAAAATAATGGCACACTTGTTATTTTTTGAAAATTGATTTTAATATTCTATGTGTATAGTGGGTCATACTGTAAATGTATTCCTTATCATGGAATGGTTGCTTATCATATGCCTGTAAAAAAAATAGGATCCACCAATACTAAAGTAATATAAAGAAGAGATGACGGAGTGGGAAGTGAGGTGTACGTACTATTAATCAAATTTATTAATCAAATTCTTATTAGAAATATTACCTAACTTCATTTAAGAGCCCGTCTCTGACATAAAGCCAATAAGAAGCCAACAGTACAAACCCTTACACAAAGAGTGCAGAGTGAGGAAATAGCCATTTACTGTTACAATAGTCTTTATTTAACTTCACTTTTTGTTTGTCTTTAGGATCCATATTAGATGATGACAAAATTGTAGATACCTTAAGAAAATCCAAAATGACATCAAACGAAATTTCAAAGCGCATCGAAGCAACAAAAAAAGCTGAAAGTGAAATCCAAGCAATACGTAAAAACTATCTCCCCATTGCGACCCGAGGCGCCCTGCTCTACTTCCTAGTAGCTGATCTCACACAAATCAACTACATGTACCAGTTCTCCCTAGACTGGTTTCATCAGGTTTTTGTTTCATCAGTAGTTTCCAAAAGCAAAGAACAAGAACATAGTTTTAAAAGGGAGAAAGTGTCTCCAAAAGAAGTTCATGAGTTTATAAGTATTTCAAAAGAACCCAACCTGGAAAATGAGAAAAATCTCTTAGATAAGCATATTAAAAGTGCAATAGACATGTTGACAAAAAGTATTTTTAAGGTGAGATATTCTTTAGTGTGAATTTTACATGCTTATTTAATCTCACTGGATTAATATGTTATATTTTCCCTATAGGTGGTTTCTTCAGCTCTATTTAATGAAGATAAACTTTGCTTCTCTTTTCGGCTTTGCACTGTAATCATGCAAAACAATGCTAATGGAAATCTAATACAGGATGACATTGGATTCCTACCAGAAGAAGAATGGAACATCTTTTTATATTCTGGCATATTGATAAATATTAAAAGTGCATTATCCCAGTCTAGACTTACTAGTAAGTAAAAGTTACTATTCCGGATTCAGTAAAAGTCCATTAAAAGTGTGTTTCCTTCCTCTAAGGTGCTCCAAGTCAATGCCTCTATAATTGATTAAAGTAAAAGTAGCTTGAGGTCAAGCACCTCCACTGTTACTCAATAATTTTTTAATGAATGAATGAATACATAAATGATAATTACTATGATTATTATAATCCTAACCTACAAAGCAGAATATCTAATGGTAGTCAACAGGAACACACCCAAACATAAACATTGATTGGATACCTTCAGGAGTTAAACCTTCCCCCACACCCCAATTAGAGTTGCCCTCACTTTCTTACGAAAACCTGGTTGAAAATTTGAAACACAAAAAGCATGTTTATCCAAAAAGGTTAGACACAATTATTTAATTATTGAATCTTCTAAATGTTTCTATGTTGTATTTTTAATATGTTTATTGTCTAAACTGTGGTCAAATACATATAACAGAATTTATCATCTCAATTTTTAAGTGACATTAAATACAGTCACGTTGTTATGCTGTGTTGTAAGTTTTAAGTCTGCAAGATGGCAGACTAGGATGCTATAGGCTCCCTTCCTTCACAGAGATACCAAGTTAACAACAATATACAGATCAGAATACCTCTGTGAGAACTCTAGAGATCAGTTGAGAAGCTACAGCATCCAGGCTATTGTAAAACCGAGAAGAGATTCCAGTGAAAGGGGTAGGAAATTTTGCATCATTTGACACATGCCTATTCATGCCTCCCCCTCTTTGTGGTATAATGTGGAACAACTGACAGGAAATCCCCCCATTACAGAGTTCCTCCCTCGGATAGAAACAAAAGAGTAGACAGTGCATCCAGTGTTCTGGCTTGTCTAGGGGCCTCCCAAGGGACTAGTTTTTGTCTTGCCTGACTCAGAATATTGATAAGACTGGCATCAGAGTTTGGAAGCCACTAAAATCCAGATGCAAGCAGCACATTAGACCTGCAGTTTCACAGGGAGAACTTAGGAGGAGCAAGGGATTAGAAAAGGTTAAAAAGGTCTTAGAACCTCCAACTAGGCTGATTGGTGAGGGTTTTCCCCTGCACGAAGCCAATACCAAAGACTGGGAAAAGTGGTCAATTTTTCAAATGCCAATCCTGGAAAAAAAGATACATAAGGCAAACAAAGACACAGGGGGAAATGGCCCAATCAGAGGAACAAAATGAAACTCCAGAAACGAGTCCCACAGAAATGCAGATCTATGGGCTGCCTGACAAGGAATTTTAAATAACTGTCATAAAGTTGCTCAATGAGCTAAAATAAATAAATAAATAACAGAGAACTAAATAAAGTCAGTTAAATGATGCATGAACAAAATGAGAATATCAGCAAAGACATAAAAACTATAAAAAAGAATGAAACAAATTCTGAAGCTGAAAAATGCAAAAACTGAACTGAAAAATTATTACAGGGGTTCAACAGCAGACTTAATCAGACAGAACAAAGAATCAGCAAACTTGAAGACAGGTCATTTGAAATTATCGAGTCAGAAGAGCAAAGAAAATAAAAAATTAAAAAGCAAAGAGATCCTAAGAGACTTATAGGATGCTGTTAAGTTGACCAATATATGCAATATGGCACTCCCAGAAGAAGAAAAAAAGAGAGAAAAGGGTAGAGAAATTCTTTGAAGAAACAATCGCTAAATACTTCCCAAATCTAAGGAAAGAAAAAAACATACAGGTTCAAGAGTTCAAAGAACTCCACTAGGATAAATCCAAAAAGAAACACACCAAGACACATTATAATCAAACTGTCTAAAGTCAAAGACAATGACAGAATCTTGAAAGCAGCAAGAGAAAAGTTATTTGTACATACAAGGGAGCTTCTGTATGATTACCAGTGATTTCTCAGGAAAAACTTTGCAAACTAGAGGGAGTGAGATATATATTCAAAGTGCTAAAAGAAAAAACTCTCAACCAATAATACTGTATGTGTCAAAACTGCCCTTCAAAAATGAAACAAAAATTAAGGTTTCTCAGATAAACAAACATGAGGGAGTTTATTACCACTAGAACTGCTCTACAAGGAATGCTAAAGAAACTCCTTTAAGTTGAAGCAAAAGGATAATACACAGTAACATGAAACCATGTGAAAAATGTAAGGTTCTTCAGAAAAGGTAAATATGTGGATAAAGATAGTAACCTGTACTATTGTAATTTTGGTGAATGTAACTTAAGTTACAAAAACATTTTTTAATCTATAATTATGTTAATGGATATGCAATATATAAAAATGTAACTTGTGACATCAATAACATAAGGGGTGGTGCTAAAGCCCTAAATTAGTAGATTTTGATTTCTTTTTTTGAGACATAGTCTCACTGTCACCCAGGCTAGAATACAGTGATGGGATCATAGCTCACTGTAGCCTCCAACTTCTGGGCTTAAGTGATCCTCTCACCTCACCTCCCAAGTAGCTGGGACTGCAGGCACATGCCACCATACCCAGCTAATTTTTTTAAATTTTTGGTAGAGACGAGGTCTCACTATGTTGCCCAGGCTGGCAGTAGAATTTTTGTATGGGACTGAAGTTAAGTTGTTGTCAGTTTAAAATAGAATGCTATAAAATTAAGATTAAATTATGTAATTGCAATAGTAACCACAAAGAAAATATCTATAGAATATGCACAAAACAAACTGAGAAGGGAATCAAAGTATATCACCACAAAGATCAATAAAATACCGAAAAAGGCAATAAAAGAGGACAGGAAGGGAGAAAGTTACAAGACATACAGAAAACAACAAATGGCAATAGTAATTCCTTCCCTGTGAGTAATTACTTTAAATTTAAATGGATTAAAATCTTCAATAAAAAGGCATAGATTGGCTGAATTAATTTAAAAAACAGTATCCAACTATATGCTGTCTACAGGAGACTCACATCTAAAGAAACATATAGGCTGACAATGCAAGAATGGAGAAAAATATTCCATGCAAGTGGTAACCAAAGAGAGTAGGAGTGGTTGTACTAATATCAGATGAAGTAAACGTGAAATCAAAACTGTTACAAAAGACAAAGACAGACATGAGATAATGATAAAAGGGTCAATTCACCAAGAAGATATGTAGTAATAAATGCTTATTCACTAAACCTCAGAGCTCCCAAATACGTGAAGCAAACTTTGACAAATTGAAGGGAGAAATAAGACAGCGACCCAATAATAGTAGGAGACTTCAGTACCCCATTTTCAATAGCGAATAAAACAATGAAACAGAAGGTCATAAGGAAATAGAGGACTTGCACAACACTATAGATCAACTGGATCAAACAGACATACACAGAACTGTCTTCCCAATAACAGCAGGATATACATTCTTCTTAAGTGCACAAAAACATTCCCCAGATAGACCACATGTTAGACCATAAAACAAGTCTTAACAAATTCAAGAAGTCATACCAAGTGTATTTGCCAAACACAGTGGAATGATACTAGAAATCAACAGAATGAAAACTGAAAAATCCACAAACATGTAGAAATTAACACACTCTTAAACACCCAATAGGTCAAAGACTAAATCACAAGGGAAATTAGAAAATACTTAGAGACAAATGAAAATGTGACATATTAAAACTTAGGGGATACATTGAAAGCAGTGCTAAGATGAAAGTTTATAACTGTAAATACCTACATTAAAAAAGAAGAAAGTGTACTTAAATTTTACCTCAAGAAACTAGAAAAACAACATATTAAACCCAAAGCTAGCAAAAGGATTGAAATAATAAAGACTAAAGCAGTGATAAACAAAATAGAGAATAGAAAAAAAATAAACAAAACTAAAGGTTGGTGTTTTGAAAAGATCAATAAAATTTGCAAACCTTGAGCTCAGTTAACTAAGAAAAAAGAGAGAAGATGCAAAAAATAAAAATCAGGAAAGAAAGGGACGACATTAAAGTAGATGCAGAGAAATAAAAAGATTTCTAAAAGACTACCATGAACAATTGTATGCCAATGAATTGGATAACCTAGAAGTAATGGATAAATTCCTTGTAGTCTACCGAGACTGAATCATGAACAAATAGAAAATCTGAACACACCAATAACAAGGAGATTGAACTGGTAATCAAACACTGCCAAAAAAAAAAGAAAATTTTAGGACCAGATGGCTTCATTGAATTCTACCAAATATTTAAAAATTAACATAAATTTTCCTGAAGCTCTTTCAAAAAATTGAAGAGACAGAAACACTTCCTAACTCATTCTGTGAGGCCAGCATTATTCTGATACTAAAGCCAGACAAAGATACTACAAGTAAACTACAGACCAATATTTCTGAATAACATTGATGCAAAAATCCTCAGCAAAATACTAACAAACCAAATTCAACAGCACATTAAGAGGACTGTACACCATAACCAACTAGAGTTTATTCTCAGTTTCACAACAGTATGAATATATTTAACACTACTGAACTGTACACTTAAGAATGGTTAAGATTGGCTGGGTGCAGTGGCTCATGCCTGTAATCCCAACACTTTGGGAGGTCAAGATTGGGGGCAGATCACTTTAGGCCAGGAGTTTGAGACCAGCCTGGCCAACATGGCAAAAAACACAAAAATTAGCTGGGCATTGTGGCACACACCTATAATCCCAGCTACTTGTGAGGCTGAGGCACAATAATCACTTGGAACCGGGAAGCAAATGTTGCAGTGAGCAGTGATCGTGCCACTGCATTCCATCCTGGGTGACAGAATGAGACTCTGTCTCAAAAAACAAAAACAAAAAAGGTTTACATGATAAATTTACTTATATTTTTACCACAATAAAAACAATTACCTCTTACGTAATTTTTATATAAAGTAGCTTTTTATATTTTATGTAAAATATATTTTTATTTCTATGAAGTAATTTTTATATGAAATAGCCTTAACAGTACATCTTTGTCAAGTATCTACTTTGTAATGAATAACTAAAAGGTAAAGGTTTATCTCTTCTAATGTGATCATCTTTCTTTTTTTATCAGGCACATTTGAAATAGGTGAAAGTCAACATCTTCAGTGGCTGTCAGATTCCAGGTGGAGGCAGTGCCAATATGTCAGCACTCACCTGGAACCATTTTCACTTCTGTGCAAATCCCTTTTATCAAACGTATCACAATGGGATACTTTTAAGAACAGTAAAGCAGTTTATTCTCTGATCAGCACACCTTTCTCTTCAGAAAATGCTTCATTGGAGGAAAATACAAAACCACCAGAGGAAAGTAAGAAAGCATTCAGTGTTTTAACCTAACTTAAGTATGTGTGTATGTGTATGGATTTTCAATTTGTAAATGTCGTACATTATCTTACATTATGAAAAAATTGAAGGGAGGACTATAACTACATTTTCAGCATGCACATGTTATTCATTATAATCCTCATAACAATCCCTGAAAGGATTATAATGAACTTCACGAGAAAATCTGATTAGAAATCAGAATTTCAGAGAGATTAAATACACCACACTAGTTTCATTACACCAGGCTAGTTTTGAACCTTGAATCTGAACAAACCTACATATTTCATTCATTTTAACAAATGTGTGTTTTTAAAATTACATGGGAAAGGATCTTACCTTAAATTCAAATGACTTACTATTTTTAGCACATCTTTTGCTTTTTCTTTTTCCACTTCGAACTCTCCTCCGTTTTTCGCTACTACCTTCACTCATAACACCCCCACTCAGAATACAACCTAATTTGTTTCCTTCCACATTTTTCTCTACTTCACTTCCTGATTTTTGCCAAAATAGACAATTATATTATGCAATAACATAAACATCCTTATACATTTTTCCTTTGCTTTTATTTCTGTAAGATAAATAATCAGAAGTGGAATTGCTGGAACAAAAGGAAATTATTTTTATGTTAACAGTTGCTGCCAAGTTGCTTTCTTGAAAAGTCTATGATAACTTATATTTCCACCAGCAATATGAATGCCCATTTTCCATAGGAGTATTGATTTTTTTTAAATTTTGCCCATCTGTAAAGTTTAAACTCCCATTAGTGTTATAAATAATTTGCTTTTGTCTTATTATATGTATTAACATCTATATTCAAATATTTTTCTGAATTTTTTATTGTCTATTGAATTTGTTTTTATAGTACCTATGCTATATGCGTTTAAATGTTTGTATAGTCAATTATGTCTATTTTCTTCCTTTAAACATTCTTGATTTCAAGTTCTTATTAAGAAGGTCTCCTCCTCCCACAGTTTTCTCTCTTTGAGTCATTATCTTTTTATTTTGTTGCGTTTATCACTAATATATTTGGGACCCATAATTTATTATACTGTAAGAGTCAGTTACTTTTATTTAAAAGAATTCTTTATTGACCCTTTTTGTAAAGTGAAGATCTTTTTATTTTGCAAATAACCCCAAATTATCCATTTATAACTATACCTTCATGTATCATGAACTTTTTTTAAGATCAACACATCAATATTATCTGCATTCAAAAAAGCCGTTTCTATAACCTAATTTGTATTTAAAGTTAGACATTGGGAAAATACCATAGAAATAAGAGGTAAGTAGAAATGATAAGTGTATCTGGGAGAGCTGGAAATGAAGACTAGAAGGCTTCCCACCTTGCAAAAAATTGTAATCCAGTAGGACTCTATTGTGGTGGTAAGAGGGGTCAGTATTAAATATATGTAGGTAGATATAATATTTAATTTTTCAAAAATTTGATAATCTGGTTGCATTTTCATTTGATTCTCATTTCCCATATCGTTATAGCTGGATTATGAATAGAAACCTCCAACCTCTACACTTACTAGTTTACATTCATCAGAAAAACACCACATATACAGGAACAGGTTATGATGTGTTGGCTGGCTATGCCTTTGGCTTCTCATTTTATTTCTTCATCTGTCCATCATCTTGTTATATTACTATTCATTCACCACTTCAGTTGGTCCAAGTTGAAACTTAAATCTATCTTAACATCTCCCTCTTTTGAGGTGTGAAGCATAGCTAGTGATGCCTCAAAGCTTATAGAAATAAAGCTCACTTTAAAAGTCAGCCATGTTTAGAAAAAAAAAAAAGTCACAATTTTATGACAGAAATTTTCATTGTGATATGTTTTAATGATAAAAAGTATTTGACTGTTAATGCCAGTTTCTTTCTCTAAATTATATCTAGCTGAACTTTTGAATGAAAATAAAGAAACGTGTAATCCTATAAATTTTCCCTGGGAGAAACTCACTTCATTTCAAAGACTTATTTTGGTAAGATATCTTATGAGGAAATATTAATATTCTAAATATTTTGAGTGCTTTATTAGTAACTTAAACCCTTCAAAATTAAAATTTTACAAGCAAAGTGTATTTTTAAAGTACATTTCGTGAACGTTAATAGGAGAGGGAAGCACCTACGCCTCCCCTTAATGCTTCTTTCATGTGGAGAGTCCAATGTGAGTAACATTCCTGGAGTCCCTCTGTCCCCTCATTTATTCTCCCCCAGAAAGGAGGACTCATAGCCCTGTCCCTTTTGGGATTTGTCTGCCTATAAAGAACATACTTTCTGCCTGCTTCTCCGTGCCATAAACCATACAGGAACAGACCTTGGTCCTGTAGGGAGAGGCCAATGGCTGACCAGCACTGCTTGTGACAGGTAAGTCTGTCTAATTCTAGGTTCTGTATGAGGAAGCACATTTTTGCCTCATACCTAAACCACATCCACCAACATGACCTTTATTATTAATAAAAGGATATTTTTGCCCAGCACCTCTATTTCTCAATTGTTTCAGAAACTGGCTGAGGGTAGAGGTTGGTGGATTATGGGTATGCATGGGTGTCATTTATGAGCACCCCTAACACATGAAAAGTTTAGTATGTGTTAAGCACTTTACATATATTATTCTATTTAATACTTATAATAGTCTTGGAAGGTAGGCACAATTATTTCCCTCATTTTACAGATTAGGAAACCAAGGCTTATAAATTGCCTAATAAACCAAGGCTTATAAATCTCAGACAGCATGGCTCTCATATCTGTGTTCTTGGTAGTCATACTATATTATACTTTCCAGGCTAGATCATCCTAAATTCATCCTTATTGCCTTAAAAAAATCTTTATTTTGACATTTACTCCCTAATTTAGTGAAGGGAAAATCTCTCATCTCATTTAAATTCCTTAAATTCTTCATTTCCTGAAATTCTTGAAAATGCTAACCTGGACAACCAGTAATCCTTTTGATTTCTGCCTTAAACTTTATTCTTGCAACACTTTAAAAATTCTCTCTATGTAGAGATTGCAAAATATGACTGCATCTGGCTTACAAACATGTTTTATTTGGCCTGAAGTTTTGTTTGGTTTTTTACAACTTTTCAGGTGCAATTTATTACTAATCAAATGGATTTGAACCTATGATCTTGCTTAGAAGACTTCTGTCTTAATTCATTTGGCTTGCTGTAACAAAATAGATTGCTAAAACCCAATAGATTGGGTAATTTATAAACAACGGAAATGTACTGCTCACCACTCTGGAGGCTGGGAGTCTAACATCAAGGACCCAGCAGATTCAGTGGCTGGTGAGGGCTTGCTTCATGGGTGGCATCGTCTTGCTGTGTCCTCACAACAAGAAAGTCTTTCTCTTTTCTTTCTTTTTTTATTTTATTTTTTTAATTAGGTCTCACTCGTCTCACTCTGTCATCCAGGCTGTAGTGCAGTGGTGTGATCACAGCTCACTGCAGCCTGAAACTCCTGCCTCAGCCACCTGAGTAGCTGAGACTACAGGTGTGCATCACCATGACAGGCTAATTTTTTAAGAGATGAAATCTCACTATGTTGCCCAGGTTCCTCAAGACTTCTTTATAAGGGACCTAATCTCACCCCGAGGGCAGAGCCCCCATGACCTAATCCTCTCCTAAGGCTCCACCTCTTAATACTAACACATTGGAGATTAGGTTTCACCATATAAATTTAGAGGAGACACCAGCATTCAGACCATAGCAACTTCCAAGTTTTTAAGCAAAAATAACTAAAATAAATATCAGATTTTTTAAAAAAATATATGTATACATATCTTGAAGTGAGTTGTTTTCTGGGTTTTATTGTGATAAAATATAGATACATTATTTCATTTAATCTTCATAATAATCCCTTTTAACCCTTTAAGCATGCAGTTCAGTGATATTTAGTATATCCACAATGTTGTGTAACTATCATCCCCATCCATTTCCAAAACTTTGTCATCATCTTAAATAGAAATTCTGTACCTGTTAAATAATAACTCCCCAGTCTCTCCTCCTGACGGTTGCTGGCAACCACAATTCTACCTTCTGCCTCCCATCATGCTTATGTCTGGCTTATTTCACATAGCATGATGTTTTCAAAGTTCATCCATGTTGTAGCATGTGTCAGAATTTCCTCCCATTTTAAGGCTGAGTAATATCCCATTGTGTGTATATATCATGTTTCATTTAGCCATTAATCCATTGAGAGACAACAAAGGTTTGTTTCTGCCTTTTGGCTATTGTGAACAATGCTGCTATGATACACACATTTGTTTTTTGTTTTGGTTTGAGTTTGGGTTATTTTTTATTTTTGAGCCAAGATTTGAAAATTGAGAGATTTCAAATAAAAATCCAGATTTCTGGCCTTAGGCAACACTGAGCCCACATTCCTCAATGGCAGCAATAGCTAGAGCTGAGTAGTGTCTGTCCCTTTGGCCCAGTGCACTACAGTCTTCACTGCTCCCTGCTACTTCCTGACACTGAAGTTGAATGTTAGTTGCCATTTGTCATCATATTTGCATCTTTATTTTTCTTTTAGAAGAGGATTTTCTTCTTCTATCCAACCCACTTCTCTAATTTTTGTTATCTATCTGACAACTTCAGACAGATTGATACCTCAACTCTACATGTGGATTATTGACATAGTAGTGACATGAAAATATATTTAAGCTATATTAATTGACAAATACAAAATACTGAATAATCTGTATAGAACAACTTCATTTGTGGAGAAAGGGAGGGACGTGGAGATATGCCTGTATATGTGTTGAAAATATCTAGAAGGAGCCACAAGAAACAATATATCTGGGGAGTAACAATATAAGAAACAACGTATCTAGGGAGTAAGACCTTCACTTTTTCATTTTTACCTTTTTGCATTGCTTGAATTTTATGTAGCAAGGATGAATTACCTGAAAAACAAAAATAACTAGACTTTAAACCCATGCCACATTACCTTCCCCCAATAAGTTCCCAGTGATTTTAGTTTATGAACTAGAAATTTTATGAGTATAGTGATCCTATCTTCCAAACCAGAAGTTGGAAGACATGGTCTGATCAAGTGTTGAGTGTACATATAGGAAAACTAAGTTAGTTATTTAAAACTGAGCCTGACCTGTAAGAGTTAGAAATTGAGATTGTCACATAAAAGATTAAGTTAAAATATATTAGAAAGAAGCTTGCCCTAGAGAAGGAGAATTTCTCAGAGTTCCATGAAGGCAAGGACTTTGCCTAGCTTTTTCACCCCTTGCCACTGCTATAGCCTATTGGACTGAAAAGAGGGGATGAAAGAGGACAATGAAGGAATATAGACATGCAGAAAATTATCAGAATGATTTGTGGTTGCTTAGAAAGGAGCTAGTGAAATTGAATTCAACAGAACTCTGTTTCTTCTACCTTCCCTTTCTCTCCTACCTCTAAAAAAAAAAAATAGTCCTCAAGGTTAAAATTTACAACAGTGGAGAAATGTAACAAAATCTTGATTGATCAATAGAATAAAAGAGGAGCTAATGGCACATTGGTGACAAAAAAATTATGTTGACCATTTGGGAGCATAGATTGTCTGCAGTGATGGTATCGGGGAAACACCTAATCATTTGTTTCACTCAACGATTCTAACACTGTCTCACTAACTGGGTATTCTAAGTGAACTCTGCTATTAGACCTAGAGTCTTTGTGTGCTGCCTCTTTTCATTTTTAAAAATATAATTAAAAGAAAATTTTAAGAATAATTTTTCCAAAACATAACAGAAAAGAGCAGAATTCAGCATAATGATTAAATGTGCTGTGTTAAACATATTGCCAATATTTGACAGTTTTTGAAAGGTAAAAATGGCAACTTCCCATGGTCCAACCTGGTACATCAAACAGGCACACTGACGTGTGTAGCTTCAGTTTTGCTTTAAATGATGGAGTCCCAGATGTTGAACATGTTCAGGACATATTTTATGGTCATTGTGTAGACAAATATCATGTAAGTGATTTGTATAAAACAGTTTTTATGGGAAAGGTCTTTCCTCTGAAATTTTCAATGATTTCCAGTATACCCTGAACCTCTGTTTACTATGCATTTATACTGTTTCCAAAATCTTTTAGTCCATCTAGCATTCTTTTCAGATTTGTATTCTAATTGCTTAAACATATAAAGATTGTGCCATTTGTTTTCATTTTATTAATGGAAGAATTAATACTTTTCCAGTTGTGTCATCCTGTATTTTCATCCCTCCAACACCATGGGGTTTTCTTGCTCTAGACATGTATAGCAGAGCAGGAAGAAAACCGAGGGGAAAAAATTTCTTTTTGCAGAATTAGGGAGTATAACTTGGATCTTTACAAACAAAGCAAGAGCTCACTCAGAGTGTGAAAGACATAGAGGCACAGGTAGCGCTGGTATCTAAGAAGGGCCACATGATGGCCACAGGAACATGGTGGCGGTTTCTCCTCCATGCATAGTCTGTCCCATTAAGCTTCCTCAACAGGAAAACTCTGGCTGAAAAGCTAAAAAATGAATACTTCTTATTTTTGTTTCATTTTACCATAGGGAATATCTCTCTGGGTGGCTTTTAATTTTACCTTATCTTCCATGTTTTCTTTTTTAGGTAAAAGTTCTTAGACCAGAAAGTTTAAACAATTCAGTGAGAAAGTTTATAACTGAAAAAATGGGAAATAAGTATCTTCAAAGAACTGGAGTTAATTTGAAAGATGCATATAAAGGATCCAATGCCAGAACTCCGCTGATACTTATTCAAACTCATGGTAAGCTATTTGTGAATAGTTAAGATGATCGATATGGTTTGGCTCTGTGTCCCCACCCAAATCTTACCTTGAATTGTAATCCCCATAATCCCCACATGTCAAGGGCGAGACCAGGTAGAGGTAATTGGATCATGGGGATGGTTCCCCCCATGCTGTTCTCATGATAGTGAGTGAGTCTCTTGAGATCTGATGATTTTATAAGCACCTGGCATTTCCCCTCCTGGCACTCACTACGTCCTGCCACCCTGCAAAGAAGGTGCCTGCTTCTCCTTTGCCTTCTGCCATGATTGTAAGTTTCCTAAAGTTTGTAAAGATCCATGCAGAACTGCGAGCGAATTAAACCTACTTACTTTTTAAATTACTCAGTCTCAGGTATTTCTTCATAGCAGTGTGAGAACAGACTAATACAATGATGATACAATATCAGCCAAGAGATATGGAGAAGTAGGTTCTGTGTCAGATTATTCTGTGTTTAAAATATTTTCCTAGTCCTATTTAAAATTTTTGGAAAAGGAGCTAATTACAACTTTATACTAAGAATAAATCTCTCTAAAGATACAACAAAGAGGAATAAAACCTCTCAGATTCACAAATGAAAAATTTATCAATGGTGATTTTCTGCACAGAAAATACCTTGCAAACACATACTGTTGCTCTGGAAGTTGGACTCGCCCTTATGTCTATGTCTATGCACGTGTTTAATAAACACTGACTTGTGCAAAAATATGTTACAAAATAAACTATCAAAAATTGTCCCTGCTCTCCAGCCCTTGTATTCCTCAAAACTCCAAATGCTTTTTTTTGTTTTTCTTGTCTTTGCACTACAGATCCGAAGTAAAATATTTTCTCCCAAGCAAAATATTTTCTTCATTTATCTTCTGTTCCAAAAATCAAATGTGTCTTTAGAATTCATCATTTCAAACTTTGATTTTATTACATAAAACCTTATCTGGAGTGCCTCCACCTGGAGGCTTCTCACCTGGAATGTTTCCATGCAAAGCACTTGGCTAGATGCCTGACACACTCATAGTAGGTACTATCCATTTCTTGAAGACTTAGCCCATGATGGTGGCTAGGGCTCTAGCCATCATATTCACGTTCCAAACAACAGAATGGAAGCAAGGAAGAAAGGCACACATCCTCCCTTTAAGGAGATATCCAAAGTATTATACAACACTTTTATTTTAGTTTAATTTTGTTTCATTTTAAGTTCCAGGATACATGTGCAGGATGTGCAGGTTTGTTACATAGGGTAAACATGTGTCATGGTGATTTGCTGCAACTATCAACCCATCACCTAGGTATTAAGCCCCACATGCGTTAGCATTTATCCTGATGCTCTCCCTCCCTACAACCTCCAACAGGCCCCAGTATGTGTTGTTCCCCCCACGTTTGTCCATGTGTTCTCATTGCTCAGTTCCCACTTATAGGTGAGAACACGTAGTGTTTGGTTTTCTGTTCCTGTGTTAGTTTGCTGAGATAGTGGCTTCCATCTCCACCCATGTCTCTGCAAAGGAAATTATCTCATTCCTTTCTATGATTGCATAGTGTTCAATGGTATATATGCACCACATTTTCTTTATCTAGTCTATCATTGATGGGCATTTGGGTTGATTCCATTTCTTTGCTATTGAGTATTACACAACACTTTTGCTAACAAAATTTTGCTGCCAAAATCTATCACAAAACCTAGATGCCCACAGAAGTTAAAAATGTAGTATTTTAGCTGAGTATACAGCCATCTCGAACAACACTGGGGTACAGCTACAGAGGAGGAAAGGACAGGTAGATGTCGGAGAAGACAACCAGCAGGTGCTGCTGTCGTTAGATATTGTTATCATCCTCGTGTGTTAGGCTAGTAAGTGGCAGGACCAAAATTTAAACTCTGGGCTCTAATTTCAAAACCTGTAGTCTTTCCGCTATGACTATACCTTTTCCCAACACTACTCAATAAATGCTGGATTGTGATTTTTAAAAGGGAATTAAATGAGCTTACAGTTTTATATACCTCTCCACGTTGTTATACAGGGATCGACCTTACCAATATCCTCCTGAGATTTGCACAAGAGTTAAAAGGAACAACACATCATGTGACCATAATTTCTCTGGGCCGTGACCAAGCAGCTAAAGCTGAAGACCTCATTTTAAAGGCACTAACAAAAACACAACAATGGGTCTTCCTCCAGAACTGCCATCTTGCAACATCATTTATGCCAAGGCTTTGCACAATTGTAGAATCGTAAGAGTTTTACATTTATCTGTAAGGGATCAGATTGGTTACCAAAACTATAAAGTAAAACTGGAAATGTCAATGTATACTGTGTGTAAACAATAGCAAAATAATGTGCTGAGCCACTCAGATGAAACTTAACCTATCTTATATTGGTTTTCTTTTCTCCAGGAACTTGAAAACTACACTAAGAATACATCAGTTTTTATCTTTTTAAGGCCTCTTCAGTTTTTGTTCTCTGTCTTGTTTATCACTTTCTTTCCTCAAACTCTTACTCTCAATAGATATATAAGCATACACACACATTATATGCACTGATGGATACATAGTTTTTAATATTCGATGTGATTCCAAACAGCAGAGCATAATACCTCATATCTATCCTTTTGGTGATGATTCATTTTATGGCCTTTGCTTAGTATCTATTCTGACTTTCTCTAGCTCAAAATACTTTTCTAGGCTGTACCTCCCAAAGCACTTAGTCACTCATGCAGAAATTTTTATACATTCAGCTTTCTTGTTTGCAGTGGAAGCATTTGAAAGTTTATTGCTGTAATTTGAGTGAAGAATTAGCAATGTGTTGAATCAATGATGTTTCAACCAATTACATTCTATAGTTTTTCTCCAGCCTTGGTTTTCTTTCTTCTTTACTTTTCATGGCCAATATCCTGTGGTAAAATTGTTTAAATGAGAGTCTGTCTCTTCATGCTGTTATTTTTATTTTTATGCTTTGAGCATGCACAAGGAAATTATAAAACCAAAATGCAACTGCATGACTTAAATTTCTAAAAACTTTCCTGATGTCACTCATGAGTTATCAGATTGTTATTATTTTAGCAGTTTAAAAACTATACCAGCGGGGCACAGTGGCTCACGCCTATAGTCCCAATGCTTTGGGGAGCCAAGGCAAGATAACTGTTTGGGGCCAGGAGTTCGAGACCAGCCTGGGCAACAGAGTGAACCCCATCTCTACAACAATCAATCAATCAATCAATCAATACTATTATATAATTTCTCTTTTTCACATTTATTTCATGACTTAAGAGAATCAGAAGACAAAGATTGCTTAGTTACATGACTTTAATAGATATAAACTTTCAAATTATTATTTCTGCCATGTCTTTCATTCATTATTCATCCAAAAACTATTTATAGGGCATCTGCTATTTGTCAAGTATTGTGCTAGGCACAGGGGACACACCACGGACCAGGCAAACACTGTAGCAGCTTTCCAGAGGATACTAAGGTGAAAAGAGCCAATAGTATGGCAGGTTAACACTGTGCTAATAAAAAAAAGAAATTAGAGAAACATTCCTTAGAACAGAATTTCAGTCTTAATAAGAGTAATTAATGATACATTAAAAATATTCAACATAATCAGAGTATTATTAAAAGAAATTCGTACTTCCGGGCCGGGCGCGGTGGCTCACACCTGTAATCCCAGCACTTTGGGAGGCCAAGGCAGGCAGATCACCTGAAGTCAGGCGTCTGAGACCAGCCTGGCCAACATGGTGAAACCCCGTCTCTACTAAAAATACAAAAATTAGCCGGGCGTGGTGGCACACGCCTGTAGTCCCAGCTACTCAGGAGGCTGAGGCAGGAGAATCGCTTGATCCCGGGAGGTGGAGGTTGCAGTGAGCTGAGATTGTGCCACTGCACTCCAGCCTGGGCAACTGAGGAAGACTCAGTCTCAAAAAAAAAAAAAAATGCTCAGCATCACTAATCATTAGGGAAATGCAAACTAAAACCATAGTGATCTAGCCAAAGTCCAGCCTATTAAAAAACAAAATGAAATATCACCTCCAAAAGGCTACTATCAAAAAAAAGAAAAAGAAATTCATACTTCTTTATTAAATCAAGCCTTTAGATATTTAAGATGACCACTCTACCAGTCCACAGTAGGAGAGGAAAATGTGAAGAAAAAAACATTTCTTAAGAGTTAGTGATATATGTTCACAACATATTGCTAGGAGAAAAAATAAAAAGCTACAAACAAAATATGCAGCATAATTATTTTTAAAATGAGAGACAGAGAGAGGCAGAAGGAGGAAAAAACAAAAGAGAAAAGTGTACCTAAACTCATTTAGTGGGATTACAGGCCATATTTGCTTTCTGTTTCATTTTGTATTGTGTTTTTTTTTCCTTGTAATGATTTGGTTTGTTTTGCAAATTTTTTAAAAATAATTTCACACTTGCAGAGAAGTTGCAAGAACAGTACAAAAACTCCCTTATACCCTTCATCTCTATCTCCAAATTCTTAACATTTACCCTATCATTTCTCTCATATATATGTAATATTTTTCTGAATCATTTGGAAGTAAATTGCAGACATGTTGCCACTTGACCCCTAAATAGTTCAGTGTTCATTGTTGATTATTTACTCATGTTTAGTTTATTGTCCCAATAATATCTTTTATATCAAAATAGAATAAAAGTTTTGGCCAAAGTTTCAATTCAAGATTTCTCATTGTATTAAGTTTTCATGTCTCTTAAGTCTCCTGATAAGTATTTTATTTGTTTGTTGTCTGTTTATTTAGAGGTGAGGTCTCGCTATGTTGCCCTAGCTGAACTTGAATTCCTGGGCTCAAGTGATCCCCTTGCCCTAACCACCCAGGTAGCTGGAACTATGGGTGCATGCCACCATACCCTAAATCTCCTTTAATCTATAATAGTTCCTCAGTCTGCCTTTGTCTTTCGTAACTTTGATATTTTTGAAAAGTACAAGCTAGTTACAGTGGTCCCTGACTATCCACAGGGGATTGGTTCCAGGACCCCCTGTGGATACTGGAATTCTTGGATATTCGATTCCCTTATATCAAGTGGTGCAGTATTTGCCTATAATCTACACACATCCTGCTGTATAATTTAACTCATGTCTAGATTACTTATAATACCTAATACATAGTAAATGCTGTGTAAATTGTTATTAATCTGTATTGTTTAGGAAATAATTACAAAGAAAAAAGTCTGTATAGGTTCAGTACAGATGCAGACATTGTAGGCCTAACTACCTAGTACGAGTCAGCAATACCTTAACATTTTCTGAAATTTTTTTTCCTGAATATTTTCAATGTGAGGCTGGTTGAATCCATGGATGTGGAACCTATGGATATAGAGGGCTGACTGTATTTTGTAAAGTGTCCCTCAATTGGGTTTTAGCTGATATTTTCTTACGGTTAGATTAAGGCTATGCAGTATTGTAGTAATATCATTGAAGTAATGTTATCTCATTCTTGGTACATCATATCAAGAGGCCTGTGATATCAATCTGTCTCATTACTGGTGATATTAACTTTGGTCACTTGGTTAAAGTGGTTTCTGCCACTTGTGGGAACTTTCAGACCATGTACAGACATTAAACTTTCACCTACTGGTTTTTAAAGTTCATTGATAATTTTTGACTGAATTACTACTATATTGTTTACCAAAAGGTAGCTTTCTAACTCCACAACTTCTTCTAAATTTATTTAATGATGTTCTCCTATACAGGAAGAGCTTTTCTTTCTCTTCCCTCTATTTATTTATTTATATCAGTATGGTCTCATGGATTTCTATTTTATTCAAGGATTATAATTGTTTACCGTCATCATTTATTTTGACATTCAATTGTCCCAAATTCAATCAGTAGAACTCTTCATTTTGTTCTTAATTTGTAATTATTTCCAGATTTTTTGCAATGAGTATATGATCACTTTTTGTACTTAGGGGAAAGAAAGCTACTCTTAAAATGTAACTGATGGGTCGTGTGCAAATTCTTGCGCAACATGGAAGCTCTTCTGATAATACAGTAAGATCTTCAGTATTAAAATGATTCGTAAGGCCACTTCAAACAGTGAAATGCTATGATTCTAAAAACATGTTGGTTTACATTTTTCACATTAAAATATTTATAAATTTTTTATTTTGCAGTTTTAATAGTCCAAACGTGACAATAGACCCTGAGTTTCGGCTATGGTTAAGCTCAAAATCATACAGTTCTTTTCCAATTCCTGTTCTTAAAAAGGGTTTAAAGGTAAGAACAAAGTATAACAGATTTAATGTTGACTGAGGAGCCCTGTTTGAATGCAAGTCATCTTACATTCAAAACTCTGAGTTTAAAAGAGAAAGCTAATTCTGATAAATTCTGAAATGCTAAATTTCTGCTTTGTGCTCAACCCTATACTGGGGATGAGGAAGAACACTAAAGTAGATTCCTACTTACAAGGAATTCACAATTTATATGTTATTTGCTCAAACAAGGATGTTAGACCTCCAATTATTATAAAGCAAAATTTACAATTTGTGTTGTTTTCCTGCCCTTCACTTCTCTAGCATTTCTTATTTCTGCCCTACTTAACCGTTTTATTATTAATTCTCTAGAAAGGGTCTGACAGAAAGCAGGCTAAAACTGTTTACTAAAAAGTCCTCATTAAAGATTATCTGGGACTTCTCATATCCACTATTGAGGCTGAATAAATAGTAAGACAGTCAATTCTATTAGACCAGGGTCCAGTTGACCAAAAGGTGGGGTCCTAACAGCAGAGAAAACTGACCGATGGCATAGGCAGAAGGGGGTACCCAGACTCCCGATCACGTGCACACTACCAGCTTTCACAGAAGTGGGTGGGCATGGAGAAAATCAGGTGGATGAGGCACTTTCCAGATACAGCCCCAATCCAGCCTAAGAAACTTCCTGCCACACTGCTTCTCAGCTCTGCCCGTCTCCTGTATGTATCTACCCAAACTGACAGTACTGAGCCATTTCCCAACATCCCGGTTCCTGGGGCAGACAGAACAGGGACTGGAGAAACCCACAACTCTTAGTCTGAGACTCGAAAGATTCCACTTGTCTCCCAGAGAGCAGCAGACCATGCTCTCAGACAGCCTTTAATCTTTGGTCAGGAGAGGGGAATTGGGGGGTGGAGGTACTGGGGGTAGGGGAATGAAGGGTGTCAGAGAGGGACAGAAATAGCGCTTCAGGGAATATTTCATCTTAAGTAGTCCATCGCTCCACCTCCACTTTAAGTCTCCATCAGCATTTTAAATGTGGCTATAATTAGTGCATACATAAAACTTTATGGGAGTTTTTCATATGCCATTATTTATACAGACAGAGATGATAATTTTCTTGATATATTAAAAGAGCACCTACACATAAGTCAGAAAAACATTAACATTCCATACAAAATGGGCAAAGGACACAAGAGGTCAATAAACACATTTTAAAAATAAAAGTTCAGCCTCTAGATATCAGAAAAATACAAATCAAAAACTGCATTAAATTGGCTAAGACTATAACTATGATATAGTTAGTGCTATTAAGGATATAATGAAATAACTACTCTCACATAATGCTGACAAGGTAATATCAGGGAGATATTAATCCAGAAAGGAAGGTAATTTCACAGTATAGAGATAGTGTTTATAAATTTCATACAATTTGATCATGGCCCACTTCTAGGAAAAGGCCAAATAAATTATGATGTATTTGTGTGATAAAATAGTATGCTATCACTAAAAATCAAAATTAACACACACTCTCTCTTCTCTCTCTCTCTGCCCTCCTTCCACTCACTTTCCCCTTCAGATATAGTTCTGAAGGCGGACAGACACCTACTTTTAGAGATATGAGAATGAGTTCTTTAAAGAATCAGTCATAGCAGTCGGGAAACAGTGCTCGATAAATATTTTCTCATTTCTCCACAATTAGGGCTAAGCAACAATTGCTGGCAACCTGAATTAAAGGATGTTTGAAAGGCAGACATGCCTTGGAAAATAGAGAATATGTCCTCTACTGTGCACAGAGCCATTTGCTCACATTCTAAGGGTGACAGAGTCAGAGAAGCTTGTCTTCCATCTCCTGGAGCCACTTACCTTCTCAGGGTGATAAAACTTAGAGCCATTTGCTTACACTCCAGGGGTTGTAAAAACCTAGAGACCTCCTCTTTTCCCCGAGAAGATTTGTTTACATTCCAAAGCAAAAGTCTGTCTCTCTTTCTCTATCTCTGAAAAGAGGAAAGGCTGCTTTGCCAGCCATTCTGTAAGCTCCAAGTTTCATAATTTGAGTCCTCCTCTTATGGTACAAATCCCACTATACACACACAGGACATGGGAATCTGATCCCTGATCCAAAAGTCTCATGTTCATACACACACACACACACACACACACACACACACACACAGCTCTATGCCATATATACATATATACATACATTTATATATCATATATAGATACCCACACAACTTATGTAAGTGTGTGTGTTTATATATATAAACTGTGCAAGGAGGGTAATATTTCAGACCCTTCACAATTTCAGACTTAACAGCCACACTCTCAAAAAAGCCCTCCAGTTGATTCCCTCCCCACCTCACCCTCAGTCTCGCATCATTTCCATTATTCTAGTTAAGAAGTCAACCAAATGGACTTTCAATGCAATCAAAGAAATTTTGTAACACACCCAGTTAATTGTTCTCCTTCTGATGGTTCAGTTAGTGCTGAAGCTGCTGTTGATTCAGTTTGTGCTGTTTCCCATGATGTGGGACCCTCTGTATCTGCTACCTCGCAGAGGCCATGCAGCCTGGGTCCTGTTACAGCCTCATAACTGCCATTGACACTAAGTTTAGGCTCTCATAACTCTTCATTGTCAAAGTTCCTAAAATCCCAAGCCCTATGCTCTGAGCAAATAAGAGTGCTTTTAATCACAACATTATACTTCCCATTTCAAAATATGAATCGGAACAATAGAAAATCTGGGACAATCCTTTTAGAGACGTTTTTACATGGCAAAAGAATAACATGAGATTTTGGATTTGCCAGTGAATCTTGAAAATAGTTACATTCTTGCCCAGTTCTTTTACCAGTGTTGTAGAAAGACAAGTGCCCTGAAGACCAGTGCCTGCATCTGTCCTCACATGCCATTTTACTCACATCTGTTTTCAAGATTGCCGTGGAATCTCCCCAGGGATTGAAAAGTAACTTACTTCAGACATTTGGATGTACTGGGAGTGGAGAGGTAACAGAAGAGATATTTGAAAATCCTGACTGTGGACAATGGTGGAAAAAACTTTTATTTAGCCTATGTTTTTTCAATGCTGTAATCAATGAAAGAAAAAATTACGGAATATTGGGCTGGAATATTGCTTATAAATTTAATTCTTCAGACTTGGGGGTAAGTGTAGTCTCTTCAAACAAACAACAAATAAGTAACAATAAGATACAAATTGAGAGCCTACTATGTGCCTACACAAATGTGAGTGTTTTACATGGTGGTAAGAAAATGAACTCTATAACTAGGCAATAAGGGCTAACGTTTAGAAACATGGTCTTTGATGCCAGCTTTTCTGGAATCAATTTGCAGCTCCACCACTTATAGCTGTATAAGTACGTAATCTATTGGGCAAACTAACCTCTCAGAGTCTTAGTTTCCTTGGCCAAAGAAAGCAAACTGAGGGAGACCAAATGTCAGTACTGACTCCAGAGGATCATTATGTAATTATAGGCAAACTTGTTAATGTAAGTAAACCACTTAGAAGAGTGCCTGACAGACATAACTTAGTATAAAAATGTTTGTTTGTTGGTACGACTTATTCATTAAAAGCAAGAGAGATTCCATTGACCCATTGTGTGGGGAAAAGTTTAGCTCAGTGGTCTTCCTTTACTATTCTCTATATAGAACCTTCTATTTGTGCTTTATTGCAGGGTGTTTTCTTTATTGCTAAATTAAACACGTGGTAGCATCTGCTTAAGTTTTTCCCGGGTTAATTTTCTTGCAATTGTGCTTCCAGCGTACAACATTACACCCTTGATTACCCATTCATTTATATAATACAACAATTTAAAAAAAAAACTTTCTGAGGAAAATCTTGATTCTGCCTCTGGGTATCTATAACCTAGACCCACTCTAGATGGGTAGCCTTCTATGTCTTCTATATGTTTCCATTAGGCTTTTCAGTTTTGAAAAGAGGCTGTCATACTTACTGCAAGCTCAACTGCCTATCAGATGTAATACTTCTGTACCTAACCAGGAACATAACATAAAACACTGCATTTGGGATATTTATTTAAAAGTATAAGCTCAAGTACGCTTCTGTCAAGGCCTTATTCAAAGCTCAATCAAAAGGCAGATAATATATTAGGGGGAAATATTTGAACCATATATTAGACATGTTGGTGTCTAATGTAAATAATTGATATTTTTATTTAAATCAGAAAATGAATTCAAAGAAAATAAAAGTCACCTTTAATAGAAACAGTATAATGTCTAAATTAACAAAGAAAAAAAGAAAATAAATAACAATTTGATCAAGATATCAAAATAAAAGGGAGAGAAAAAACAAAGCAAAATAAATAATAACGTAAAGCAATATGGAAGGAATGTTATCAGTCATTTATTAAGTGTAAATGGATGCATTCTCTCAATAAAAGGCAAGACTATTAAATTGGGTTACAAAACAAAACCCAGAAATGTGCAATTTATACGAAAAAGTGAAATTAATGAAGAAATTTTGAAATTATCAAGAAAATAAAAAAGAAGAAAGCAGAAATGGCAATATTAATATTAGTCAGAATGTAATGACTGAGAGTGCTATATTCTTCAGACAACAGCATATTGTAGCATATATATATATATATATACACACATGTATATATACACTGGTATACATGTACATATATATGTATATATGTATATGCAATTATTGTGGGAAATTTCAAAAAACCTCCATCAGGATTGGACAGCTCTAATAAACAAATATAAGATGAATAGAATAATGTAGTCAACAAATTTGATTAACAGATAGATCGAGAGACTAACATCCCTCTAATAAAAAGTACATATTTTTTCAGGTATCCAAGGAACTGTTACACAACTCAGTCATGAGCATGGCCACAAAGAAAAACCTTTAATGATTTTATGGGCCACGTTATCTGAACACAATTTAATATAATAAAAATTTGACCCCTAAAAATCTAAACAACTTGGATATTAAGAAACATAACTCTAGATAACCTTTTATCAAATAGGATATTAAAAGGGAAATCAGCCAGGCTCGGTGGCTCACAGCTGTAATCTCAGCACTTTGGGAGGGTAAGGTGGGCGGATCACCTGAGGTCAGGAGTTCAAGACCAGCCTGGCCAACATGATGAAACCTGCACGGTGGCTCACGCCCATAATCCCAGCACTTTGGGAGGCCGAGGCAGTTGGATCACCTAAGGTCGGGAGTTAGAGACCAGCCTGACCAACGAGGAGTAACCCCATCTCTACTGAAAACAAAAATTAGCCTGGCGTGGTGGCACATGCCTATAATCCCAGCTACTCAGGAGGCAGGAGAGTTGCTTGAACCCGGGAGGTGGAGGTTGCAGTGAGCTGAGATCACAGCACTTCACTCCAGCCTGGGTGACAGAATGAAACTCCATCTCAAAAACAAAAAACAAACAAACAAAAAAAACACGGGAAATCACAGCCTGTGCAATATAGAAAGCCCTGTCTGTATAAAAAGTAAAATATATATATATATAGCCAGGTGGCACGCCTGTACTCCCAGCCACTCGGGAGGCTGAGGCAGGAGGATCACTTGACCCCAGGAGGTTGAGGCTGCAGTAAGCTGTGCTTGGGCCACTGCACTCCAGCCTGGGTGACAGAGTGACACCCTGTCTCAAAAAATAAAAATAAATAAAATCACAAATATCTCAAAAACAATGGAAATGAGACTACTTCATACCAAAAATTACAAGACAGAACAAAAGCTATACTTAGGAAATAAAAGACTGGCCTTAAATGTCTCCAGTATTAAAGAAAACATACAGGAAATAAATATCCATCTTAAGAAATTAGAAAACAAAAGAAAATAAAAGCTAATAAAGGAATTCTTTATTAGCTGGAGTAATAATACAAAAGCTAATATTAATGAAATATACAAAAAACCGTAAAAGGAAAAATACATTTTAAAATTGGATTTTTAAAATTCTTTTCATATATTTTTTAAAGCTTACAGCTATAAAAAATTGGATTTTGATAAGACAAATAAAATTTGAAAATCTAGATGAAGCCAATGATTACTTAGAAAATATGAATTATCAAAATTGACTCAAAGAGACATGGAAATTTTGGGTAGGCCAATTGCCACAAAAGGCATTGCAAATGACACCAGAATGAGATGGTTTTACAGCTTAATTCACTCTGAACGTTAAGAAACAGATAGTATTAATATTATATATTCTAGACCTTAGTAAAAGATCACAATCTCCCTAGTGTATTTTATGAAACCAGCATAGTTTTAATATGAATACCTGAATAATATACATAAGAACTGTAGATTAATTTCACTCAGGATTTGAGATGTAAAAATTCTACATAAAATATAAATGGATCTCAGCAATGAAACAAAAGAATAATACACTGTAACCAAGTTGGGTTTATTCCAGTAATGCAAGAATGACCCAGTAACTGGAAATTTATAATCCTAATTTATATGATCATCTCAATAGATGTAGAAGAGGCATTTGTTATGAATTTTGGAGCCATTTCTAGTAAAAACCTAAAGTAATAGGATTAAAAGGAACCACTTAAATATGAAAAAGACTATCTAAAAATAACAATGAATGTTATTCCACATAGTCAAACACTGAAATTGTTTCAAATAAAATCAAGAATTAGATAAGGATGCCCATTATCACCACTGTCATTCAACAGTGTCTTAGAATTTCTAGTAAATTCAATGAGATAAAATTATAATAATTCATATTAACATTGTAAAAAGAGAAAAAACTTTTTGTTGATTATATAATTGTACGTCTAGAAAACCTGAGATACTAGTAAAACAAAATCTAGTAATTAGAGAATTTTGTAAAGTAACTGGATAAAAATGTAAAGATGTAAAGAGCAATAAAGCCTCCCTGGTAGTAAACACCCGGGAATGGAAGTAGGCAAAACCGTACTTTCACAGCAGTGATGAAAAAATTTAAATACTCAGGAACAAATTTAACAAGAAACATATGGGTCCTAAATAAAGAATAGCATAAATTAGGGAGAAAAGAGTCATAACATTTGTTGAGAGCTTAAAATATTTGGATTGCTTTATCTAAATTATTTAATTCCCACAACAACATTATGAGGTAAGGACACTAATTATCCTCATTTTACAGATAGGGAAATAGAGGCACAGTACACCTAAGAAACTTGCCCAGGTTACATAGGTAATAAGTGGAGGTCCGATTCCACAGTTCGTTTTTTTAATCCTGCCTCCCCTAAATAAATGCATCCATGTTCTTTATGGGAAGGCTTCCCATATCATAACTATCAATTCTTCCAAAATTAATAATCAGATATAATGCAGTTCCAATTAAAATCCTATTAGAGAAGTTTCAGAATTAATAAAATTCATATGGAAGAACAGATGCTGAAGAATAAGCTAGGAATGTACAAAAAAGAAAAATCCTGAAAGGGTCCTCCTTCACCAGATATCAAAACATGGTAAAAATCCACTATACTAAAATCAATATTGTTTGGCAGAGAAGTAGACAATAAATCGGTGGGACATAGTTGAGGGTGCAAAAATCTAAGTTTTTATGAGATTTTAATATTTGACACAGGTAATATTTCAACTGAGGAAAAAGGGATTTTCAAAAAGTAAATGATACTGGCACAACTGGCCATCCAGCTGGAAGAAAAGTACTAGTTCCTTTATCTTATATCCTATATAAAAATAAATTCCCGAATGGAATAAAATTTAAATGTATAACAATACAAATAACCAAAATAAATCTAGGAGATTACATGTACAATCTTGGAGTTGGGAACAAGTAACCCGAATTGAAAACCCAGAACCATAAAAGAAAAGATAGGCATATTTGATTACAAAAAACTTTTATATGGTAAATGGTGGCAAAATAAAGTCAATGGACAAATGCCAGATTTAGGATAATGCAAATGACTGACAGAGAGTTAATATCTGTGACATACAAAGAGCTCTTATCTATTAACAAGAAAAAGACCAACAAGCCAAAGGAAAAACAGGCGGTGTATAGAGGATTGTACTTAAATGACCAACGGACATAAGAAAAGATGCTCAAAATAACCAGTACTAGTAGGTGAAATACAAATTAAACTAACAGCAAATGTACCGCCCATGAGACTGGCAAAAATTAAATAAACCAACATTTCCTGTTAGTGGCAGGGATGAGAGAATAGTAACAAAAAAATTCCTTCACACACTGTTAGTGTAAATATGAATTCTTACAGCCACTGAACATTGATAGCCGATGTATTGTCCAATTGCGGCACAGTGTGTATGCTAAACTAGCATTTGTGGAAAAAAAAAAAAAGACAGGAAAACAGAAAGAAAGGGGGAGAGGAGGGCCGGGCGCGGTGGGTAATCCCAGCACTTTGGGAGGCCGAGGCCGCCAGATCACGAGGTCAGGAGATCGAGACCATGCTGGTTAACACAGTGAAACCCTGTCCGAGCGTGGTGGTGCGCGCCTGTAGTCCCAGCTACGCGGGAGGCTGAGGCAGGAGAATCGCTTGAACCCGGGAGGTGGAGGTTGCAGTGAGCCGAGGTCGCGCCACTGCACTCCAGCTGGGCGACAGAGCAAGACTCCGTCAAGAAAGGAAGGGAGGAAGGGAGGGAGGGAGGGGGATAGGAAGAGGGAGGCGGAGGTGATAAATAGTTGAAGAGCACAGGGAGGATAGAAAGAAGGGAGAGGAGAAGCGAAGGAAGGAGAGAGAAGAAAAGAAGTCAACCTATGTGCAAATAGAATGTCTGTGTAAGGATACACAAGAATTCTGTCAATGGTGGCCTCAAGGGAGAGGATCTGACGGCTAAAGTCGGGAGTGGAAGAAAACTTACTTTCTCTTGTTTGTTTTTGCGCTTTTTGAATTCAGTACCACGTGCCTGCTTTGCCTATTCAAACAACAGCAATTAAACAGCTCAATGCCTGTTCAACAACAACAAAAAAGAACTAGTGGATAAAAGTGTATGTCCCAGGGCAGGCACGGTGCCTCATGCCTGTAATCTCAGCACTTTGGGAGGCCAAGGCAGGCGGATCGCTTGAGCGCAGGAGTTCCAGACCAGCCTGGGCAACATGAGGAAAGCCCATCTCTACAAAAAAATACAAAAATTAGCCAGACAGGGAGGCTGAGGAAAAAAGCTGAGGTGGGAGAATCGCCTTAGCTGGAGAGGTCAAGGATGTAGTTAGCCAAGATCACACCACTGCACTCCAGCCTGGGCAACAGAGTGAGACCCTGTCTCAAAAAAAAAGGTGTATGTCCCAATATTTGTGTCTTACTATATATATATATATATATATATATATATATATATATACTATTCTAGTAAATATAAACTATTCTAGTAAGACAAATGAAATATATATAATATATATATTTGTCTATATATATATATATATATATATTTTTTTTTGAGATAGAGTCTCACTCTGTCGCCCAGGCTGGAGTACAGCGGCCTGATCTCAGCTCACTGTGATCCCCGCACCCTGGGTTCAAGTTATTCTCCTGCCTCAGCCTCCCAGTAGCTGAGATTACAGGCACATGCCACCATGCCCGGCTAATTTTTGTATTTTTAGTAGAGATAGGGTTTCACCATGTTGGTCAGGCTGGTCTCGAACTCCTGACCTCAAATGATCCGCCTGCCTTGGCCTCCCAAAGTGCTGGGATTACAGGCGTGAGCCACTGCACCTGGCCTATTTCTATATATTTTTTAAAGAGAAAATATATGTAGCTGTTTGAGAGTTGATTTTATGTTAAAAAGTCAGAGTGAGTAAGCTGGAAACACATACTGAAATAATAAAGACTCATGGGTTTTCCAAAGGTTGCCATTAAGGTGTTGGAAAATTCCCTGAGAGGACAGCCCAGCATTTCGTGGCAAGCACTGCGCTACCTGATTGGAGAAGTGATTTACGGTGGCCGGGTGATTGATAATTGGGACAAGCGATGCTTGAAGACCCTACTCTACAAATTTTGTAATCCTGAAGTGCTGAAAGATGACTTCAGTTTCTCCAGTGATGGGGTAGGAAAAGAATCAATCTTCTTGCATTTCTCGATAATTTTAAAGTAAACATTGTTGCTTTATTTAAAATACATATTTAAATAAATTTTGATGTTCATTTTTAAAGGCTTTTAGTAGCTTTCAGTAGTATGGAAGTAATTTACCCATGACTCTATTAAACACAACATTATGCAGGGCAGTAAACAAAAAGAATGATTTAAAAATCGTTCATGTCCTCCGAGAACGTAGAGTGTAAGATGCAAAGCACAAGGAAGCTAACATTTATAAATCAACGATTCCATGCCAGTCACTTGATATATGTTTCTCATTTAATGCTCAAAATAACCATGGGGAATAGATGCTGTTATGTTTCCAGAAATCCCACATCTCTTGTTTATCCCCTCTTCTCCCCCTCAGTTTCTATCCTCTATCCAAGCCTTCACATTTGTGGAGCAGAAAACTCCATATTAGACACCAGCAGCTGTGTGTGCCTGTTGAGTGGCTGCTAGCAGAGGAAAGAATCCTACAGACCTCTGACCTTAGACTGTAGAGGGTTGGACTTGACATAAACTTTGATGGGTGGGAATTTGGATAAGAGAGGTGAATGGAAGATGAAAAGGAAGACGACAGCTGTGGGTGATCATTGTGAGCTGGGAGTGGGCCTGGTATCATCAAGAGAAAGAGAGGTCATATCCAGGTTGTCTGTCTGAGGTCTTGAGGATATGGATAGATAAACAAAATAGTAAAAATATTTTAGGGAGATTCATTTGTAAGGCATCTATAGAATGGATAGCAATGGTCTATGTTGATGACCCTGAGTCAATAAGAAGGCATTAAATTATATCCTTTATGCACTATTTGCTAAGGCAGAAAAAGCTATGAGGGCTTTTTTTTTTTTAAGATTTCCATCAAAAAACAACAACAACAACAAGTGTCTTAAGGCCGGGTGCGGTGGCTCATGCCTGTAATCCCAGCACTTTGGGAAACCGAGGCAGGTGGACCACTTGAAGCCAAGAGTTGGAGAGCAGCCTGGCCAACATGATGAAACCCTCATCTCTACTAAAAATACAAAAATTAGCCAGGCATGATGGTGTGCACTTGTAGTCCCAGCTACTCAAGAGGCTGAGGCCCGAGAATCACCCGAACCCAGGAGGTGGAGATTTCAGTGAGCCGAGATCACACCACTGCATTCCATCCTGGGCATCAGAGCAAGATCCTATCTGAAAAAGAAGGAAAAAAAACTGTTTAAAATAACATTTTAGTTAAATTTAGGATTCTTTGGCCAAATGTGGTGGCTCATGCCTATAATCCTAGCACTTTGGGAGGCCGAGGAGAGTAGATCACTTGAAGTCAGGAGTTCGAGACCAGCCTGGCCAACATGATGAGACCTTATCTGTACTAAGAATACAAAAATTAGCCAGCCATGGTGGATCATGCCTGTAGTCCTAGCTACATGGGAGGCTGAGGCATGAGAATCACTTGAACCCGGGAAGCAGAGGTTGAAGTGAACCGAGATCATGCCAGTGCACTCCAGCCTGGGCGACAGAGCAAGACTCCATCTCAAAAAAGAAAAAAAAGTTTAGGGTATTTTAAATTGCCCAAAGAATACAATGTGCATGGTTTTGTACAGAGTATTACATTAAGTATGCACTAAGAGAATAAGGTATACTGTAACATACAGCATACAATTGCATTGGCAGAATTATATCAGATGACAGAAGGGTATTCTGAAATTTGTATTTCAATTGTTCAGTTGCTTTAAAACACTAGGAATTTTATGACAGTTCCAGCTTGCCAGCTCTTCCTGTTTTTTGTTATAATCTTGCTTCTTCTGCAGGTAATTTTTTTAATCAGTGACTGTTATTTGATTTTTCCCTCTGACCTTCATTAATTCTTCAACATTTTCCTTAATGATATCAAGAAAGCCACCATCACCCACTTTCCTGACCATATGAACAATGCATTTCTCTTCTTGGTCAGTGGTCAATTATTCTTAAGATCATTCTCACATTCCTTCTATAGGTTTCACTAAAGTAAAATGATTTGTTCAAGCCTTATTGCATTCATTATCTATGGGTGGTCAGAATCACCCTCACCTTTAAAGCGTTTTTTTTTTCTTTCTCTCTTTTCCCAAAAAGAAAGTTATACATGCATATCATATGCACATTACAATACAGTAGTCCCAAATGTTGCTTTTGACAGTGTCTATAATATACCACATGCAAATAAGAAAGCCTTCGGTATAAAATTTCATGGGAAAATATTGTCTTCAAGCATTACTGAAAGTAGGTATCTTACTCTGGCAAAAACCAACAAAGTGTTCAGAAGTAGCAGGATTGAAGAAAAAAGCTAACAAAATGTTAAATTTTCAGATATGTCTGCCAGTTCCAGGATCTGCAAGCATAAAGGACTACATACACATTATCCAGTCCTTACCTGATGATGACCTTCCCGAGGTCTTAGGAATACACCCAGAGGCCATCAGGAGCTGCTGGGAGACCCAGGGCGAAAAGTTTATTGAAAATCTGATTGCCATGCAACCAAAAACTACCACTGCCAACCTCATGATCAGGTAAGAACTCGCTAGGAAAAATTGTTGGTCAAAAATTATCAGGCTGGGTCTGGCAGCTCATGCCTGTAATCCCAGCACCTTGGGAGGCTGAGGTGGACAGATTGCTTGAGCTCAGGAGTTCGAGACCACTCTGAGCAACATGGTGAAACCCTGTCTCTACAAATAATACAAAAATTAGCTGAGTGTAGTGGTGAGCACCTGTAGTCCCAGTAACTTGCGAGGCTGAGACCCTGTCTAAAAAAAAAATTCATTTGAAGAGATATATAGAAAAGTATAGTCTACATGGTAAAGAAACTAAATTCTACTTCAATGAGTTCCTTATGTATTTAAGTTCTAATTTTTCAATTTGTACGTCTAACAAATTTTAACACTTTTAAAAGATATTTGAATGTTTGACCCCATTTATAAGCTTAAACATTTTCAAATATATTAATATTCATTATAAAGTTAATGTACTTCAATTTGTCTTCCAGACCTTCTCAAATCTTTGAGTAACTTTTATAAATCTAATAATCAAATAAATATGGTGAATCTTAAATTTTCTTGTTCCCTAATATTTTATATCAATCTAACAAGATTTCAACCTAAAATCATAAATCAGTTTCTCAATTATCTCTTTTAATTGGGGTCACAAGACTGACCCCAATCTAACACAAGGTATTACGAGGCCCAATTCTCTTAAACATTACAAATATTTAAGATACCAACATATTATAAGGAAATGCTTTTAATAAACATACTAGATATGCTTATTAATGTCCCTTTGGTCACTTTGAGAGGCTATAATTATCCCAGTCTTGCTGCCTTTGCTTATTAGAGACTTGTCTGTGGGACTTAATCCAAACATCTATCATATTCAATGTAATTTCCTTAGTGGTAGCAAATCTTTGCCCTCTGAAGGTAAGCTTGATTTTTGACACCTTTTGACCTTTTGAATTATTTGAAGCTACCTGGGTTGAATTCTAAGGAGAAAATCAACTTTACAGTCAAAACAGTGTGATGACAAAGTAAGGAGCCATGTGACCTCAGGCGATCTGTAAACTGGTTTGGAAGCAGCACTGTTGGACTAAATACTTCTTGGCAGCTTTAAGGTTATTGCTTACCTTGAAGGATAATATTCATTTGACTGTGAAACCTGGAGTGTTTGTTGAAAAATCAGTCCTGGCCGGGCGCGGTGGGCTCACGCCTGTGATGCCAGCACTTTGGGAGGCCGAGGCGGGTGGGTCACGAGGTCAGGAGTTCAAGATCAGCCTGGCCAAGATGGTGAAACCCCGTCTCTACTAAAAATACAAAAAATTAGCCAGCATGGTGGTGAGCACCTGTAATCCCAGCTACTCGGGAGGCTGAGGCAGAGAATTGCTTGAACCCGGGAGGGGGAGGTTGCAGTGAGCCAAGATAGCAACACTGCACTCCAGCTGGGGTGACAGTGCAAAACTCCGTCCCAAAAAAAAAAAAAGAAAAGAAAAAGAAAAATCAGTCCCGGCTAGTAAATAGAGCAGCAGAACTCAAAAGAGATGTGCCCCATTTCCTACTCATCCACTAACTGTCTAAGGAGGTCCTCCCACCTCCCGGGGCCCTGGTTTCATCATCTTTAAAAGGATTCCAAAGAGCTCTTCCAGCTCTAGTGTTTAGTGGTTTTGCATAGTATCGCAGCCTCACCTAGGCCTGGACACGCGCTCCTCCTGTCACCACCCGCGGAGTGTGTGATTAAGAAGCCCTTCGTGTCAACACAGGAATGAGGCAAGCAGTGGAATGTTCCATGCGGCTGCTTCAGCGTGCTCTGTTTAGTTGCCTCCTCTTTTTCATTGTCTTGCAGATGCATGCAGATGATTATTTTACAAAGAAATCCTAAAAAAGCTTTTATAATACATATTTCCTTGCAAATGTCTAAAGTACATTGGACAGTTTCTCATCTACAAAATGAAATGAATTCCATGGTCTCTGTAAGATCATCCATAGCATAATTTTGTGGTTCTGTGAAGATACATTTATCTTCAGACGGAACTTAAGCAGAGGACCCTCTAACATTAGATAGATCTGTAGCTTGTTTTTCTCTTGATTTCTTTTATTTTATTTTCCTTTCCTTTTCTTTTTTTAAATTTTTTTTTTGAGATAGAGTCTCGCTCTGTCACCCAGGCTGGAGTGCAGTGGCATAATCTTGGCTCACTGCAACCTCTGCCTCCCGGGTTCAAGTGATTCTCGTGCCTCAGCCTCCTGAGTAGCTCAGACTACAGGCGCCCACCATGCCTGGCTAACTTTTGTATTTTTAGTAGAGACAGGGTTTTACCATGTTGGCCAGGCTGGTCTCAAACTCCTGACCTCAAGTGATCTGTCTGCCTCGGCCTCCCAAATTGCAGGGATTACAGGCATGAGCCACTGTGCCCAGCCAATTTTTATTTTTTTAATTGACATAATAATTGTACATATTTCTGAGGTACATAGTAATGTTTCAATACATACAATGTATAGTGATCAGATCAGGGCAATTCATATGTCCATCATCTCAAACATTTATCCTTTGTGTTGGGAACTTTCAGTATCCTCTCTTCTAGCTATTTGAAGATGTATAATCTATTTTTGTTACCTATACTCATCCTACAGTGGTATAGAACACTAAACATATTCCTCCTGTCTACCAGTAATCTTGAATCCTTTAACAAATCTCTCCCCATCTCCCCACTTCCTGTTCTGTGTCTCATTCTTCTCTTGGTTTTTTTTGCAGACCTGAGCAGAGTAAGGATGAACTGGTGATGGAAATTCTATCCGACTTGCTAAAGCGGCTGCCACTGACAGTGGAGAAAGAAGAAATTGCTGTTGGAACTCCAAGCACATTGAAGAGCATGATGTCAAGCTCCATTTGGGAGTCTCTTTCTAAAAATCTCAAAGGTGAGCATGGGACAGGAGCTTTTTCCCCTTACCTCACTCTCCTCAAGAAAGGACTCTGGTGTCAGGAGTAAGGTAAAGATAAGACAAAAATTCTGTAGAAGTGAAAATACTGAGATAAGATGGAAAACTCAGTCTCTGCCTCCTCTCTCCAAGTTGAAAGACAGAGAGCACAGAAGAAAATCACGCTTTAGTTTGGGGGTGGGTAGCGTGTGGCACTGAAATCAAAAGTGAAGAAATAACAAGTGTAGCAAACTAGAAAGCAGCAACTCTGCTTTGGAGATTGTCAAGAGTTCTAGGTGCCTGTTCTCTCTGCCTCTCTGCCTTCTGGAACAGCGGAAGTTTAGATGGACCTTCTGCTGAAAGACCACTTGACTCCAAGAAGCTAAGGGGAATCAGGGCAGGCCCAGGAAGACAGAGGAAGCCTGATTGCCCAGAGATGACTCCAAACCCAGCTCTAAGTGGCTAAATTGCTAGACTATGATAATTTTCCCAGTTAAATTTTAATACCCATATTTTATCCCTTTGCAGAAGTTTATTTGGGAACCAAATATTGAGCAATAGTTTATCAAAACAGTGTCATTGTTGAGTCTCAATCAAAGGTCAGCAAATTAGGGCTCGCAGGCCAAATCCAGCCCACCATTTGTTTTTGTACAGCCTGTGAACTAAAATGGCTTTTGCATTTTTTAATGGTTAAAAAAAATCAAAAGAAGGAATATAGTTTGTGACACATAAATGTTATATGAAACTCCAATTTGAGTGCCATAAGTAAAGCTTTACTGGAACACAGCCACACTTACTCATGACATATTGTCTATGCATCCACACATAGTAGATAGTGTGGCCGCACCCACACTACAAGGGGAGAGCTGAGTAGCTTTCACAGAGGTGGTGTGGTCCCCATACCCTAAAATGTTTGCTATCTGACCTTCTACAGAAAATGTTTATCAACCCCTGGTCAAGACACACAAAATTCCCTTAACTTTCAAAGCCTAAGTCCCTCCATGTAAAGCCTCTTTTTAATCTGTAAAATATCAAAATTTTATTTCTTTTTAAAATCCAGATCACGACCCCCTTATCCATTGTGTCTTGCTAACCTTTTTGAAGCAAGAAATTAAACGATTTGATAAGTTATTATTTGTCATACATAAATCCTTAAAAGATCTTCAGCTTGCTATAAAAGGAGAGATCATCCTCACCCAAGAATTGGAGGAAATATTTAACTCTTTTCTTAATATGAGAGTGCCTACATTGTGGCAGGTAAGCAATTATTATTATTTCCTATTTTCTTGCTTGCTTGAAATAAATGTCCAAGTTCAAGGGAATGGTGAAGGTAAATGGTGCATCTGTGTGATGAAATATGTAACTCTTAAAAGATGCTGACGTACTTTTTCATATTTTCACATCTCTGAAGTTGGAATGCCTCTTAACAGTCACTGTTAGCCAGGCAGCACCATCACTTAGTTCTCACTATCTGTGTATGTGAACTATGTATCATGGCAGTTCATGTCAAAGTAGGTGCACTCTTGGTATTACTATAAGTGTTGAGTTTAATTGCTTTTAAAATAAAAACAAAGCTAAACAAGATGATGAAGAAATTACTGGGTCATGGTCTTAAACAGAAGACCAAATTGTAAAAACACAAAATGTATTAGACCAGGAATAAAATAAGCCATGGAAGATCTGGCAGCACAGAGTAGGAAATTAACAAGCTTGATGTTGGACACAAACACTATTTCTCCAGAAATGAACTTCTCCCCTTAGGATTAGCACTGGCCTTTTCCAGAACCCTGAATCCTATACCAGATTGAAAACCTGTGTAGACATGTGAAAAGATGTTCAACAGCATTTGCTTTGAGGGAAATGCAAATCAAAACCACAATGAGATACAACTTCACACCTACTAAGATGGAAAGAATTAAAAATACATAAAAACAAGCATTGGGAGAAATTGGAACCCAAATGCACCACTCATGGGAATGAAAAATGGTGCAGCTACTTTGGAAATAGTCCAGTAGTTCCTCAAAAAGTTAAACAGATTTACCATTTGACCCAGCAATTTCACTCCTAGGAATATATCCAACAGAAATTAAAGCATAAATCCAGGCCGGGCACAGGGCCTCATGCTTGTAATCTCAGCACTTTTGGAGGCCAAGGTGGCGGATCACCTGAGGTTAGGAGTTTGAGACCAGCCTGGCAAACATGGTGAAACCCCGTCTCTACTAAAAATAATAATAATAATAAAATGGCCAGGCATGGTGGTGGGTACCTGAAATCCCAGCTACTTGTGAGGCTAAGGGAGGAGAATTGCTTGAACCCAGAAGGCAGAGGTTGCAGTGAACTGAGATCATGCCATTGCACTCCAGCCTGGGCAACAGAGGGACACTCTGTCTCAAAAAAAAAAAAAGTCCACCCAAAAACTTGCACATGAATGTTCATGGCAGCATTATTTGTAATACCCAAAAGGTGAAAACAACTCAAATGTCCATTGACTGATGAATGGATAAAATATGGTATGTCCCTGTAATGAAATATTATTCAGCCAGCAAAATGAATGAAGTACTGATACAGGCTATCACATGGATAAACCTTGAAAACAGTAGTTCTTCTGTGCTAAGTGTAGGAAGGCCATCACAAAAGACCATATATTGTATGATTCCATTTACAAGAAATGTCCAGAATAGTGACAGAAAATAGATTATTGGTTGCCTCAGTTTGTGGGTGACAGAGAACTGGAGAATGGATGCTGAGAGGGTTTTCTTTTGGACTCATGAAAACGTTCTACAATTGACTACAGTGGTAGTTGCACAACTCAGTGATTATACGAAAAACCATTCATTTGTACACTTTAAATAAGTAAGTTGTATGGCATATGAGTTATATCTCAATGAAGTTATTTTTAAAACCTAGGTAGAAAACATGAAGACAGACGAGAGGAAATAATAACAATTATAATTCCTTAAAATTGAATACAAGCTGTGATGAAAAATTGAGATGTGGAGACACATCCGAATCACAGGACTTCAGAGCTCGAAAGGATCTTAGGGAACCCCCACTCCAATGACCTTATTTTACAGATATGGAAACTAAAAAGCAGAGAGGCCTTATTACATTCTTAGCAAGCCCCGTGGTGAAACAGCTAGGACTCCACACGTGCAAAGTTAGGCTGAAAGAACAATGATGAGTTGGTACACTGTAAGTACAGTCACATGTGGCTGAGACCATTGCTCACTTGACAGAGTGACAAGAGGTGAGATGAGTCAGGTAGAAATGTCCGGCTTGGACAAATGGGTAGGAACTAGCACATTCAGAGACGAGGTGAGCAGAAAGACGTGCTGTGTGAGAAACAGATGAAGACATCCTGTTTTGGACATGGAAAGTGTGAGAAGCTAGAGGGGCTCTCAGGTGGAGCTACTGAAAGGCAATGGGACTGATCTTAGTTATTTCTTGCCTTCTGCTAGCTTTTGAATGTGTCTGCTCTTGCTTCTCTAGTTCTTTTAATTGTAATATTACAGTGTCAATTTTAGATCTTTCCTGCTTTCTCTTGTGGGCATTTAGTGCTATAAATTTCCCCTACACATTGCTTTAAATTTGTCCCAGAGATTCTGGTATGTTGTGTCTTTGTTTTCATTGGTTTCAAAGAACATCTTTATTTCGGCCTTCATTTCGTCATGTACCCAGTAGTCATTCAGGAGCAGGATGTTCAGTTTCCATGTAGTTGAGCGGTTTTAGTGAGTTTCTTAATCATGAGCTCTAGTTTGATTGCACTGTGGTCTAAGAAACAGTTTGTTACAATTTCTGTTCTTTTACATTTGCTGAGGAGTGCTTTACTTCCAACTATGTTGTCAATTTTGGAATAAGTGCGATGTGGTGCTGAGAAGAATGTATATTCTGCTGATTTGGGGTGGAGAGTTCTGTAGATGTCTATTAGGTCCGCTTGGTGCAGAGCTGAGTTCAAGTCCTGGATATCCTTGTTAACTTTCTGACTTGTTGATCTGTCTAATGTTGACAGTGGGGTGTTAAAGTCTCCCATTATTATTGTGTGGGACACTAAGAACAGAGCAGAACTGAAAGAGATAGAGACACAAAAAAACCTTCAAAAAATCAATGAATCCAGAAGCTGGTTTTCTGAAAAGATCAACAAAATTGATAGACTGCTATCAAGACTAATAAAAAAGAAAAGAGAGAAGAATCAAATAGATGCAATAAAAAATGATAAAGGGGATATCACCACCGATCCCACAGAAATACAAACTACCATCAGAGAATACCATAAACACCTCTACGCAAATAAACTAAAAAATCTAGAAGAAATGGATAAATTCCTGGACAGGTACACCCTCCCAAGACTAAACCAGGAAGAAGTTAAATCCCTGAATAGACAAATAACAGGTTCTGAAATTGAGGCAATAATTAATAGCCTACCAACCAAAAAAAGTCCAGGACCAGACAGATTCACAGCCAAATTCTACCAGAGGTACAAAGAGGAGCTGGTACCATTCCTTCTGAAACTATTCCAATCAATAGAAAAAGAGGGAATCCTCCCTAATTCATTTTATGAGGCCAACATCATCCTGATACCAAAGCCTGGCAGAGACACAACAAAAAAAGAGAATTTTAGACCAATATCCCCAATGAACATAGATGCAAAAATCCTCAATAAAATACTGGCAAACCGAATCCAGTAGCACATCAAAAAGCTTATCCACTATGATCAAGTTGGCTTCCTCCATGGGATGCAGGGGTGGTTCAACATACACAAATCAATAAACGTAATCCATCATGTAAACAGAACCAAAGACAAAAACAACATGATTATCTCAATAGATGCAGAAAAGGCCTTCGACAAAATTCAACAACCCTTCATGCTAAAAACTCTCAATAAACTAGGTATTGATAGGATGTATCTCAAAATAATAAGAGCTATTTATGACAAACCCACAGCCAATATCATACTGAATGGGCAAAAACTGGAAGCATTCCCTTTGAAAACTGGCACAAGACAGGGATGCCCTCTCTCACCACTCCTATTCAACATAGTTTTGGAAGTTTTGGCCAGCGCAGTCAGGCAAGAGAAAGAAATAAAGGGTATTCAATTAGGAAAAGAGGAAGTCAAATTGTCCCTGTTTGCAGATGACATGATTGTATATCTAGAAAACCCCATCGTCTCAGCCCAAAATCTCCTTAAGCTGATAAGCAACTTCAGCAAAGTCTCAGGATACCAAATCAATGTGCAAAAATCACAAGCATTCCTATACACCAATAACAGACAAACAGAGAGCCAAATCATGAGTGAACTCCCATTCACAATTGCTTCAAAAAGAATAAAATACTTAGGAATCCAACTTACAAGGGATGTGAAGGACCTCTTCAAGGAGAACTACAAACCACTGCTCAACAACATAAAAGAGGACACAAACAAATGCAGGAACATTCCATGCTCATGGATACGAAGAATCAATATTGTGAAAATGGCCATACTACCCAAGGTAATTTATAGATTCAATACCATCCCCATCAAGCTACCAATGACTTTCTTCACAGAATTGGAAAAAACTACTTTAAAGTTCATATGGAACCAAAAAAGAGCCCACATTGCCAAGACAATCCTAAGCCAAAAGAACAAAGCTGGAGGCATCACGCTACCTGACTTCAAACTATGCTACAAGGCTACAGTAACCAAAACAGCGTGGTACTGGTACCAAAACAGAGATATAGACCAATGGAACAGAACAGAGCCCTCAGAAATAGTGCCACATATCTACAACCATCTGATCTTTGAGAAACCGGACAAAAACAAGCAATGGGGAAACGATTCCCTATTTAATAAATGGTGCTGGGAAAACTGGCTAGCCATATGTAGAAAGCTGAAACTGGATCCCTTCCTTACACCTGGTATAAAAATTAATTCAAGATGGATTAAAGACTTAAATGTTAGACCTAAAACCATGAAAACTCTAGAAGAAAACCTAGGCAATACTATTCAGGACATAGGCATGGGCAAGGACTTCATGACTAAAACACCAAAAGCAATGGCAACAAAAGCCAAAATTGACAAATGGGATCTAATTAAACTAAAGAGCTTCTGCACAGCAAAAGAAACTACCATCAGATTGAACAGGCAACCTACGGAATGGGAGAAAATTTTTGCAATCTACCCATCTGACAAAGGGCTAATATCCAGAATCTACAAAGAACGTAAATAAATTTACAAGAAAAAAATCAAATAACCCTATTAAAAAGTGGGCAAAGGATATGAACAGACACTTCTCAAAAGAAGACATTTATGCAGCCAACAGACACATGAAAAAATGCTCATCATCACTGGCCATCAGAGAAATGCAAATCAAAACCACAATGGGATACCATCTCACACCAGTTAGAATGGCAATCATTAAAAAGTCAGGAAACAACAGGTGCTGGAGAGGATGTGGAGAAATAGGAACGCTTTTACACTGTTGGTGGGACTGTAAACTAGTTCAATCATTGTGGAAGACAGTGTGGCAATTCCTCAGGTATCTAGAACTAGAAATACCATTTGACCCAGCCATCCCATTACTGGGCATATATCCAAAGGATTATAAAGCATGCTGCTATAATATAAAGACACATGCACACGTATGTTTATTGCGGCACTATTCACAATAGCAAAGACTTGGAACCAACCCAAATGTCCATCAATGATAGACTGGATTAAGAAAATGTGGCACATATACATCATGGAATACTATGCAGCCATAAAAAAGGATGAGTTCATGTCCTTTGTAGGGACATGGATGAAGCTGGAAACCATCATTCTGAGCAAACTATTGCAAGGACAGAAAACCAAACACCGCATATTCTCACTCATAGGTGGGAACTGAACAATGAGAACACTTGGACACATGGTGGGGAACATCACACACTGGGGCCTGTCATGTGTGGGGGGGAGGGGGAGGGATAGCATTAGGAGATATACATAATGTAAATGACGAGTTAACGGGTGCAGCTCACCAACATGGCACATGTATACATATGTACCAAACCTGCACGTTGTGCACATGTACCCTAGAACTTAAAGTATAATAATAAATAAATAAATAAATAAATAAGAAAAGCAATGGGACAAGAGCACGGGCTGCAAAGCGAGCGCTTGGTGTCATCAGCCTAGACAGAGCCATGGATTAAATCTGGGAGAGGGAATATAAAGTAGCAAGAGAAGAGGGCTGAAGGGATTCCAGGCAACACCAGCCTCAAGGGAGGGAAGAAGAGGTGCCAATGAATGAGACCTAAAAACAAGTAGTTGGAGAATTCAAGAGAAAGCCAGGATGGAGTCTAGTCACAGAAGCCTAGGGGAGAAAGCAGGAGGAAGTAATGAGCGCCGTCAAAAGCTGCAGAGGATACAGGTGCAGGGAGTGAGGCTTGAGTATGGAAAATAGAAGGTCGCTTGTGATTTCTAATGAAGACTCCAGAAGAGGGGACAGTAAACAAAAGGAGAAAGGGGCTAGAGGGCTGCAAGGGTCTCCTCCTCCCCACTTGCAACAAACAGGTAGGATTGAGTGTTGGGTGGTTTGTGCAGTTAAGATGCAAGGGAGCGTTAATAAACAGGGCTGGAGAATGGAAAGCTGAATCCACAAGGGGCAGGGGCAGGGGCAGCTGGGCTCAGAACTGGAAGGCAAAGGTAGGTAAGGGAGTAGACAGTGGGTGGCATTTATAGAACTTTGTATAGGGGAAGGTCAGGAAGCTGAAATTGCTCACACCTAATAGCATGTGAAGGTAATCTCCCCAGAGAGGAGGAAAGGAGGTGAGGAAATGAAAAGATTTGAGAAGAGTGATAAAAGCCTTCAGCCAGGATGGAAGCTTCCAAGCGTTTTATCCAAAGCACTGTTAAGATAATGTTGTTTTGCCCTGGTAATAAGGTTTAGACTTTTCATTATATGCTTTCAGTTGGAAAAGGACATCCTCCTGCCAAGTTATTTCTCCCTGGCAATTGAGTCTATTACCAAGGTTTGCAGAAATGTTCCTAATGACCCCAAAGACAAAGAAAAAAAATGATGTGACTGTCTTTAAATCCCAACAGAAACACGCCTACAGATCTTGTAAGCCACTGAGTTCCTGGATTGATGATCTCATCCAGCGACTGAATTTCTTCAATACTTGGGCCAAAGTGGCTTATACTGCAATACAGCGTCGGTATGGATAAAAGATGCTTTACATTTCTTCCTCATTTTTGCTTAAAGCCCAAAGGTTTATGACATCATTTCCCATGCTTGGTCTCCTTGGGTTCTCACAGTAATGTGTGAATTAAGCAAGGGAGGGATTCTTATCTTCTGTTTGAGCTGAGAAAGTGGGGACCTAAGATGCTGAGTCCTGAGTAAGCTCCCTCCACTCCAAGAGACAGTTATGACTACAACATAGTACATTTCTCTTTCCTAAGAAATGCACAGGGTGAAATGTGAAAGGAAATAATTAGTTACATGTAATTTTTTTTTTTTGAGCCAAGAGTCTCCCTCTGTCACCCAGGCTGGAGTGCAGTGGCACGATCTCTGTTCACTGCAACCTCCACCTTCTGGGTTCAAGCAATTCTCCTGCCTCAGGGATTATGGGCACCTGCCACCATGCCCAGCTCATTGTTTGTATTTTTAGTAGAGAAGGGGTTTCACCATATTGGCTGGTTTTGAACTCCTGACCTCAAGTGATCCATCTGCCTTGGCCTCCCAAAGTGCAGGGATTACAGGCATGAGCCACCGCGCCCAGCCACATGTAATTTTTAAATGTGTTTTTAGTTATAATAAAAATAGCTGGAGAAGCGTTAGAGTAGCAACATCTAGCAAGTGCCTCACAGGATGTGGAGCATTTCTCTAGGAGCTTTACTCACAGAAGCCCACTCAGTTCTCACAGCAGCCCTGTGATGTGAAGTAGGTGCTATCATTATCATCATCCCCATTTTAGAGATGAGGAAACTGAGTCCAAGGACATGAAGTGCCCAAGGCTTCACAACTAGAATATGGAAGTATTGAGATTCAAACCCAGAACTGGTTCCAAAGTCTGTGCCAGGCTGCTTCCTATACCATTTAACTATAAGTGTAGCAACAGCACTGCAGACATCTGACCCACATTTCTTTATATCCTTTGGGAGAAGTCTGTGCCTCAAAAACAACGGACAAGATTCTGCGAGGCGCAGGCAGGATTCCCACTATAATAATGACATCTGTTGTTACCCAAATCTGTTACCTTCCAGCCTTTGTGGTCCCCTTTTCCCTCATGAGCTTAAAACCATAGCTGGCTTCCATTCAAGGGCCTGATAAGAGTCCTGCATTGGGGGAATCGAAATGAAAAGTAAAAGAAGGGCCCTGGGAGGAAATGGCCCACATCACCCAAAGGTGTGCAATTATTATGCCCTTAACCCCCAACCTGTGGTCTGCCTTCCACTAGGTATATGAGATTTGTCACAGTTTGGAAGCAGTCTATTCCATCAACTAGCCAAAAATGCAAACACCCTGAGGATTCAGAGAACAATTTCTTTGAAGGGTTTCCTTCAAGATACTGGCTCCCAGCTTTCTTCTTTCCACAAGGTGAGCATTAGAACCAAGGTCAGCTCCAGACCTGGCCCAGGCAAGTTTGCACTCAGTCCTTCTGTCACTCACCCTTTCCTCCTCCCCTTTAGGATGACAACACCTGCGCCTCCACAGGTGCCTGGGTCTCTAGTGTGCACCAGAGCAGTCTCTTCTCCCTCCCAACCCACTTCCTTCCCTCACCCCAACCTCCTCACATGCCAAATCCACCCACCCCTATCAGATTTCACCTGCGCCTTGGCAGGTCACTGTATCATCTCTCTGCCATTGCTTCTATGATGTCAAAGGTCAACATTAGCACCCAGCTCCTCCAAAGGCCGTGACAAAGGGGTGGAGACGGGCAACTTCACAAGATTGACTCTGAGCTTCAGCCATTCATTCATTTATTTCTGTAACAAGACTTGATGACTGAATGCTGGAACCTAGGCCTTACCTGCTCAACATAAACGTCCAGCAGCGAAGGCAGACATGAACCGGAGTGCATTCCAACGATGCGTGGTCGTGGGGTGGAAAGAGAGTTGTAAAGGGGTGACGCTGGGCTGTGAGCTCTATGAAGGCAAGAACCAGGTCTGTTTTAACTTCTGTGGTGTCCCTAGCACCTGATACAGGCCCCAGCACACACACACAAAAAGCTCTCAATAAATATTTGAAGAATGAATGAATGGCATTCTGAATAGAATATATGAATGGATCAGTACTTGTGGAGCATAAAACAGGGGGACCTTCACTAAGAACCAGGCAAGCCCGCTAAGGAAATAACATCTAGGATGTCTTGAAGCTTGCTACCAATTAAGTATTATCCAGGTGCGGACAGGGGAAGAAGAGAATAATTCGTGGAGCTTACATGGTACTTACTGGGTGCCATGCAGTGTTCTGAGGATTTTATATAAATTAAGTCATTTAAGTCTCATGACAATCTTATGAGGTTGTTCCTGTAACTATCCCTGTTTGCAGAGAGAAAACCTTAGCACAGAGAAGTTAAGAAATTTGCCCCAAGTCATATCACTAGCAAAAAGTTGAGAGTCTCATCCAAGGTCACTTCACTACTAAGTGGAATGATTCTGGGGGTGGGGGGAAACTAATAGGTGACTGAGTCAAGATTTGAACTCAGCCTGACTTAAAAAGTTGAGTGTTTCAATGACTGGACTAAGCGGGGACAGCATTCTTACTAGAGAAAACACCTTTCACACTAGGAGAAACCAAATGTTCATTATGGCCAAAACAAAAGACCCCAAAAGGGAGAATGATGCCGCTGCAAAGTTGGGCACGGCTGGCCCCCAGGGCTGTGTAAGACACACTGAGGGAGCTGACTCCATCCTGTGGCAGCAGAAACCACTGAAGTGTTCCAGGCCAGAGAGGTCATGATCCAGCAGCTATAGGAAGGAAGAAGGGCAGGGGTACATTGGAGAAGAACAAGACTGGGTCCTGGTCATATAAGGAGTCTGCAAATTAGCCAGGTGTGGTGGTGCACACCTGTAGTCCCAGCTACTCAGGAGGCTGAGGCAGGAGGATTGCTTGAGCCCAGGAGGTCGAGGCTGCAGTGAGCCATGATCATGCCACTGTACTCCAGCCTGGGCAACAGAGCAAGACCCTGTCTTATCAATAAATAAATAAAATAAGGAGTCTGCTTTATTCTCCAGGCAAGAGCTGCTGGTGATCAGAGTAGAGCAGTGGTAGTGGGCAGAAGCAGGGAGTAGGGGGCATTTAGGAAGCAGAAGCAACTGGACTCCGTGTTTGGAAGGACAGGGGTGGGGGGAGAAGGAGGTTAAGCATGACTCCTGGGTCTCTGGCTTGGAAAGCTGGGTGGCTGCTGGCGTCATTCACTGAAATACGGAGCACAGGGAGAGGAGCAGGCTGATGGGGATCATAATGACAGGCATGGTGAGTTCGAGATGTTCTCATTTTTTTCCTACTGCACATAGCCTTTCTCCATGCACCCAGGGGGAAACATGGCCACAAGCACCTCAGCAACCCTAGAGGCAACAGAGCCTTCCTTTTCTCAGTGTCCATATGTCATTTCTTGAGGAAGACTCTGACACACTTGGTCTTGTACTTGCCCCTGGGTCCCATCTTTGTTGCCGAGAGGATGAGGCATGATCATCGGCCAAGATTGGCTCAGAAATGGAGAGGGTCTCAGAATTGACAGCCCCTCTATCCCCACAACGAATACAGGAGGGGTGCTGGCCTTGAAAAACAACCCACATTCACCAGGAGGCTCCTGCAGCTGGCCAGACCAAAGTCACCAAGGCCTGAGAGGGTGGGTGAACTGGTCCTCTGCTCCCGCCCAGCCCATCTCTTTTGTTCTCTCTTTTTCCTCCACTCTTCCCTTTCTTCTCCATGAGACATCATTGTTGCTAACCCCAGCAGGAGGCCCTGAGACTCACAAGGAACTTGATGGTGTGTGTTCTTCTCCAAAGCCTTTCTTGCTGCTGTGCTTCAAGACTATGGGAGGTCCCGAGGAATCGCTGTGGATGCCCTCACCTTCACCCACCATGTGATTTCCAACACCACTGACAAGGATGAGAAGTTCTCCGTATTTATGCCAAAGAAACTCAACATAGTCAGGAGAGCGTTTAAGGTACTGGAATACTTCAAGGATTAGAAACGGTGATCATTCATTCATTCATTTATTCATTCAATCAATTGTGCCCTTTACAAACCTTTACTCAGCACTTACCACATGCCAGGCACTAGACAGGCAGATCAACAAGCCCTGCTTCAAGTCCAAATGCCCTCAGACTTCATGTCTTCCACTCTCTTTCTGGGGGGGATAAAAGATCATAAATCATGAATAAAAGATTTAAGTCAATGTAATCAACAGACTTTCTAAGTATCCCCTATTATAAATGAAGACAGAATGCTGCTGAGGTCAGCATCAAAAGGTGATATTTTAAATCAGTGGGCAAACCTGTCCTAGCTGCTCATGGCCGAAATTCCTGCCCCCAGCAACCGACTTATTCCAGAGCTCAGCCAGGTGCTAAGTGGAAACCTACACCTACCCAGACCTCAGCGGTGCAGTGAGGGGGACCCATGGAGGCAGCTTGGGCTGAAGCAGAGCACAGAGCACCAGCCAGCCAGGTGCACCGTGCACCCCAGCCCTGCCACTCCCACGCCACTGTCCCCACTGATTTGAAGGGCCACAGCTGTCATTTTCTAAATTCCAATTTGTTCTGGGAATCTATTTTTCTGCTCCAGGACTAATGCTGGGGAGGAAGGGGAGACAGGGTTGGGAGACATTGGTTTAAAGATTTGAAAAAACAAAAAGAATGTGAAAGGATGCTCAATATCTTTAGTCAGAGAAATGCAAATCAAAATGATAATGAAATACCATTTTACACCCACTAGGTTGGCTATAACCAAAAGAATTGAAAAAATAGTAATAAATAAATAAGTACAATCATGTACCACTTAACGATGGGGATACATTCTGAGAAATGCATCGTTAAGAGTGTACTTCCACAAACCTACACGGCATAGCCTACTGCTTACCTAGGCTAAATGGGATAGCCTATTGCTGCCAGGCTACAGACCTGTACAGCATGTTACTGTATTGAACACTGCAGGCAGTGTAACACAATGGTAATTTGTGTACCCAAACACATCTATACATAGAAATGCATGGATGCATTCCTCTACATCATCGCTAGGTGATAGGAATTTTTCAGCTCCATCATAATCTTATAGGACCAGCTTGGTATATGTGGTCTGTCATTGGCACAAATGTTGTTATGGAGCTCATGATTAAATACACTGAGGGTCATACATGGCCATATGTTTAGTTTTGGTGTAGATACTGCCAAATGGTTTTTCAATGTGGTTGTACCAATCCACAGGCCCACCAGTAATGTAGAAGATTGCTCCACATCCCTGCCAACACTCGGTATTTTTAGTGTTTTAGTTTTAGTCATTCTAGTGGACGTGCAGTGATATATCTTTTTTTGTTTTTTTTTTGTTTTTTTTTTTGAGACGGAGTCTTGCTCTGTCACCCAGGCTGGAGTGCAGTGGCACGATCTCAGCTCACTGCAAGCTCCGCCTCCCGGGTTCACACCATTCTCCTGCCTCAGCCTCCCAAGCAGCTGGGACTACAGGCGCCCACCACCACACCCGGCTAATATTTTTTGTATTTTTAGTAGAGACGGGGTTTCACCATGTTAGCCAGGATGGTCTCGATCTTCTGACCTCGTGATCCCCCTGCTCCGCCTCCCAAAGTGCTGGGATTACAGGCATGAGCCACCGCGCCCGGCCACAGCGATGTTATCTTTATGATTTTAAATTGCATTTCCTTGATGATTAATTAAGGTGGGCACCTTTTAAAATGATTATTGATATTTGGATTTCCTCTTTTGTGAAGATTCTGTTCAAGACTGTGGACTGTTTTTGTCGTATTGATTTATAGAAGTTCTTGTGTATTCTGAATATAAGCTGTCAGGTACATGTATTGAAAGCATCTTCTCCCAGTGTGTGACTTTCCAAATCACTTTCTTAATGGTGTCTTTTGATGAACAAAAATTTTTTTGTTTTAACAAAGTCCAGTGTATCCATCTTTTATTTAGGGTTAATGCTTTTTTATGTTCTGTTTAAGAAATCTTTGCCTACCCTAAACTAAGTTCATGAAAATATTCTCCTGTTATCTTCTAGAAACTATATTGCTTTACCTTTCATTTTCTATGATCTATATATAATTGAAGGCCAGGCACGGTGGCTCACACCTGTAATCCCAGCACTTTGAGAGGTCAAGGTGGGCAGCTCACCTGAGATCAGGAGTTCCAGACTAGCCTGGCCAACATGGCAAAACCCCATCTCTACTAAAAATACAAAAAATTAGCCAGGTTGGGTGGTGCGCATGTGTAATCCCAGCTACTTGGGAGGCTGAGGCAGGAGTATTGCTTGAACTTGGGAGGCAGAGGTTGCAGTGAGCAGAGATCGTGCTACTGCACTCCAGCCTGGGTGACAGAGAGAGACTCTGTCTAAAAAAAAAAAAAAAAAGGAGAATTGAGTTGTGTATGGCATGAGGTGAGATCAAAGTTCTTTTGGTTCCATATGGGTACCCACCTGACTCAGCACCATTTTTTCATTGAAATGGCCCTTTCCCTACTTCAACTTTGTCATAGATCAAATAATTCTACATGCCTGGGCCTGTTTCTATTGAAATAATCAGATAGTTTTTATCCTTTATCTCATTAACATGGTGGAGTACATAGAACTATCTGGAGTGTAGTTGGTTATAAGGTATGATTCCTATATTAGGAATTTTTTAATGAAGAATGGAAGCTAAATGTGATGAGAGAGCTTTTCAGGGTTTATGGAGATTATCACATAATTTATCACTTTTATCAATATGATTTATTAAAAGATCCTAAGGTTGAATCATCTTAATTGTAATATTTTATTCAAGATTTTTGTATCAATATTTTATTTGATATTATTCTGTAGGATTAGGCCGGGCGCGGTGTCTCACACCTGTAATCCCAGCACTTTGTGAGGCTGAGGCGGGCAGATCACGAGGTCAGGAGATCGAGACCATCCTGGCTAACACGGTGAAACCCCGTCTCTACTGAAAATACAAAAATTAGCCGGGCGTAGTGGCGGGCGCCTGTAGTCCCAGCTACTCGAGAGGCTGAGGCAGGAGAATGGCGTGAACCCAGGAGGCGGAGCTTGCAGTGAGCAGAGATCGCGCCACTGCGCTCCAGCCTGCGCGACAGAGTGAGACTCCCGTCTCAAAAAAAAAAAAAAAAATTATTCTGTAGGATGGGGCGGGGGGCTTGGAGAGGGTGATGTTTTTAGTTTTTATTGTGCATATTATTGACGGTGGTTTCCTTATTCTAATCCTATCTGCCTTCTGTCTTTAGGGTTCTCACAGTTTCTGGTCCACTGGGGATACTTCTTGTTTTCCGGTGCTTTCATAGTTGCATTCTGGGATTTGGAGTGGGAGGAGGTGGTGGACACTCATGCTGTTTGGCCTCTGGGTCCTGGTCTTCCTCTCCTCAGCACTCATCAGACTGCACTAAGATGATTCCGAGACTACCCAGAATTAGTGAACGTTAGGAACATGTCAGAAGAAGGATGGAACTGGGAGAGTTTGTCCTACAAGGCAAAAGACTCTGAGGAGAAAAAGAAATATTGAAAAGGGTGATACATGAAGAACTAGACTCTAATTCTGCTAGAACTCCAACCAGGGGGACCTCCAAGGGGAAGACACATGCAGTTGATCTAAATTGATGATGATGGTGGCGTGTCCTTTTATAGACAGGGAGTTCCCTGTCACTGGAGCTTTAGGAGAAATCAGGTGACTGCTTGGCAAGAGTATTGACGTGGAAGAAAGCTCAGGTTCAGATGTGTTTTCGACTGGAGGTTTATCCAACTGTTTATTTAAAATATGGGTCCAAAACTGCTCTGGCTGTTGGAAATATCGAGATGAACAACGTAAGGCCTCTGCCCTCTAGAAGATCCCAATCTACCTGATAATGATGGCACTGATGCTTGCTAGCCAACACTGACTAAGTACTATGTGCTAAGCTCTTTACCTGCATTATTTAATCCTCACAAATTAGCCTCATTCTGTAGGTCAGGAAACTAAGGTTCAAAGAGGCAGATCATAAGCTTTGAACCCACCAAGTCTAGCTGACTCTACACCCATAGCCTAACCTCTTCCTACATAACCCATTAGACATGAAAAGGCTACCGAGAGGCAGATGTGCACCAGGGCCTTTTCTTATGACTCACAGAGGGAGCACAGGGGTATGGACTGCCCGCCTAAGTTTGCTTTTTGCCTCTATTCATCTAATCAGATGTTCTCACTTATTTCTGCTTTATACAAACAACCAGCTTCCACTGAGTTGAAGTAAGATTACTTCCATTTATTCTGAGTGGCTCTTTGAAGAGTTAAATCACTCCAAAAGGGGCTGTTTACAAATTACCTACAGTTTAGATTTTTCAGAGGAAAAACCCATGTAAGCTATGACCAAGTTACACAAGTATAAATGGAAGTGACATTGTCAAATGCGTTAGATTAACTTCTTCCAAGATTGTTAGGAAAGGACAACACTAGAACAAATGCAGTATAGGAAAATTTGCATTTATATAAGTTAAGGGGAAGAGAAGTAAAAAGCATTATACAAAGCAATTCCCAGTAAAATTCTTTTTTTTTTTTTTGAGATGGAGTCTTGCTCTGTTGCCCAGGCTGGAGTGCAGTGGCGTGATCTCAGCTCACTGCAACCTCCGCCTCCTGGGTTCACGCCATTCCCCTGCCTCAGCCTCCCGAGCCCGGCTAATTTTTTGTATTTTTAGTAGAGACGGGGTTTCACCGTGTTAGCCAGGATGGTCTCGATCTCCTGACCTCGTGATCCGCCCGCCTCAGCCTCCCAAAGTGCTGGGATTACAGGCGTGAGCCACTGCGCCCGGCCAAAATTCTTTTATAGAATAAGCCAAAATAGGAAGTGCTTAATATGAGTTCAGCTTGCACCTCCAGGTAGTCACATTCCAGAGTGGACAACACAGAAGGCATCACCAGGCACAGCACAGGCTGTTCCACACTGCCTCCCCTGTGTCAACAAGCTGGCCCAGGCTGCATCAAGGGAGAGCTCAGGACAGCGGTGCCCACCCCTTCTCTTCAGAGACCTGCCCCATCAGAGGAGATGGCAGAGCCCTCCAGGGTGGCCTGGTACTTGGCCACCAGCTCCTCCAGGCTGGGCATCCCTCCAGCACACCTGCAGGAGAGCATGTGGCTTCACAGGCCTACCTCAGGCACACCTGGAGTCACCTGGAATTGGAGCTGCAGGCAACTAAATTTTCTACTTCACAGACCTCATCAGAAACTCATTTTACTTAACCCTTTATCATTAAAATGTAATCCTCTATTTAACCTATATCATTCAAAAATATATGGAACCCGGCCGGGCATGGTGGCTCACACCTGTAGTCCCAGCACTTTGGGAGGCGAAGAGAGACGGATCACTTGAGGTCAGGAGTTCGAGACCAGCCTGGCCAACGTGATGAAACCCGATCTCTACTAAAAATACAAAAAATTAGGCGGGCGTGGTGGTGTGCTCCTGTAATCCCAGCTACTCAGGAGGCTGAAGTGGGAGAACCGATGGAACCCAGGCGGTGGAGGTTGCAGTGAGCCAAGATCATGCCACTGCACTCCAGCCTAGGCAACAGAGCGAGACCCCATGTCAAAAAAAAAAAAAAAAAAAAAAACCCCTCCTCTGCCTTTTTTACATTTCTAGAGCCTAAAACAGTAGTTATGGCCACTATGGTAAAGGTAGGTGACAATGTTTGAGCACAGTGTACTCTGTCACCTTTTGTAACTGTTCTTGTTCTGTCCTAAAAAGCTCGGCTACACGATTACAATTGTAGAAATTTGCATATTTATTGTGTTTGAAGGTCTTTGTCTTCATGCTGAGGAAGGGTGTCATGGAAAAAATACATATATTTCAGTTCAGGATGATTATATAGATACACCTAAGCCTATGTCGTTTTTAAAGCACTCAGAATAGGAAAAAAAATAAGTATTCACCTTAGAACTTGGGGCAACATGCCTTAGGCAGGATGAGCCCCTCTGGATCGGTCGGCTCAATTCCGGACGGAGCCTCCAGTTGGTCGCTGCTTCTCCTGGGGATCCCTGACACCACCTCTCTTCCATCTTAGGGCTCAGCTTCCTCTCACACTGGAGTTTACATTTTTGGTTTATTCATCGAGGGGGCAAGATGGAATCGTGAACAGAAAATACTGGAAGACTCGCTGCCTCTGGAGATGTGCTGTGATTTTCCCGACATATACTTTTTGCCAACAAAGGTAATCACCCTGCTATTATCCTGAAGTCCTAAACCTCTGAGCGTTGCTTCAGTAATATACAAACCACTCTTATTCCCATTCCCTACAATTTTGCAAGGGAGATGTGATAATATACTCAGACAACAAAGATTTTAAATCTCCCAAAATATTACTAAAATCTAAAGTAGATGCTATACTTACATCCCATGTTCTCAATAATATGTACTATAAAGCCATAATACTCTTTAAATTCTCCAGGTATAATTTCCACATGCTGTTACATTAACCATTTAACCTTAAATGTATCTAATTCATAACAAATCCCTCAAGCCTAGCATACAGAAAATGTGAGCTACTGATTCACTTGAACTATGCAATTTGACTACTGGATTTTTTTTTTTTTTAAAGATTTCTACCAAAACACCAAATGCTTCCAACCAGACAGATTCAGAACTCTATGCTTTTGAATGCCCAGTTTACCAGACACCTGAGAGGTCAAGAATTTTGGCAACTACCGGTTTACCAACAAACTTTTTAACATCAGTGTATTTATCAACGAAGAAACCTCCTAGTCACTGGATCACAATGCGGGTTGCATTGCTTTGTGAGAAGAATGAAAAATAAATGTCCATATCAAACCATTTTAATTTTTGACTCTAATCAGACTTACATGTTTCAAGACATTCACATGTAGTCAACACCCTTTATAAAATATTTGTGTGTTCAGCCAGACTGGGCAGGTGCAGTCTATTTCATTTGTACATGAAAACTTCAACACAGAGGGGAATCTTGCAGCTGCTTTTTATTCTAAGTACATGAGACCTGACTGTGCAATGTCCCTGTGGTTGGGCTCTAGTACAGGTCAGCACAACCCGGAATACAGCAAATTTGACTCTCCTAACAGTAAAAACCACAGCACCTGGCAGGATATCAGGGCATGCCTTTATGAACTTTTTGGTAAAAGTGGTTTATAAAATTATATACAATAAACTAAATATACACATGTAGAATAGATCTTTGGAATACTTCCCCTGGCTTCTCTAAGTAAACACAGAATACTACACTGCTGACCTAGCTGCAGACTTCTGAAACAAAAGAGAAGGGCCTTCCTCTTTAAAGAAGTGCAGTCTGGGCCGGGCGTGGTGGCTCACACCTGTAATCCCAGCACTTTGGGAGGCCAAGGCGGGCGGATCACCTGAGGTCAGGACTTCGAAACCAGCCTAGACAACACGACGAAACCCATCTCTACTAAAAATACACAAATTGGCTGGGCGTGGTGGCGCAGGTCTGTAATCCCAGCTCAGGAGGCTGAGGCATGAGAATCACTTGAGCCTGGGAGGCAGAGGTTGCTGTCAGCTGAGACTGTGCCACTGCACTCTAGCCTAGGTGACAGAGCAAGACTCTGTCTTGAAAAAAAATTGCGGTCTGGCTGGGTACAGTGGCTCATGTCTGTAATCCCGGCACTTGGGGAGGCCAAGGCAAGAGGATCACTTGAGGCCAGGAATTCAAGACCAGCCTTGACAACATAATGAGACCCTGTCTTTACAAAAAATTGTTTAAAAAATTAGCCAGGCATGATGAGGCACCTTTAGTCCCAGCTACTCAGAGTCTGAGGTAGGAGGATGGCTTGAGCCCAGGAGGTTGAGGCTGCATTGAGCTATGATCACGCCACTGCACCCCAGCCTGGGCAACAAAGCAAGACCCCATCTCTTTAAAAAAAAAAAAAAAAAAAGTGCAATATGGTTCTGACTTCACTAGACCTCTCTGACCACTAAAAGCCAAATCCTGAGAATTTGGTAAATTCAATGTTCCTATAGGAAGAATGTTATTCTACTAATAATGGCTAACATAACTGAGCACTATGTTGAACACTAATAATTCCTATATCATCCTCAGGCCCCTCTATACTCTGTGGACGTATCAGCCAGATTTTATACATGAGGAAACCAGTGCTCAAAGAGATTAATTGCCCACACACACATTGCTAAGAGGGAGCACAGCTAGCATTTGAAGCCACATCTCACTGTCTCTTTATCATGGCAATGGTCCATGGGCAGAAAGCATAACCCACGTGTACACAAATGAAGATCCCAACAGTCCCCTCTCTCCATAGTAAGGGGGGTAGAAAAGGTGGGACTTGTACCCAGCACTAGACTCTTTTAACAGCCATGAACAAAACATGTATTTAATTGTCTAGGAAACTGTACCATCTATATTTAAGTAAATTGCACCTAGAAACACTCCACCTTGTATCTTTTGTTAAAATCCTATATTTCATCATTTGCTCCAAACAGTGCAAAACTAAACACCAAAATATAAATCGTATACTTGGTATTGGTGCATATTCTGACACACCCACATTTTGCAATGTAATGTCACAATGTAACGTCGCAGCAGGAAGAATTGAGAGGTGAAGCTGTCTGATCTCATCTCACAATTCAGGCTTAGAGTCAACTGGAAATCCAAACAAGCACTAAAGCACGGTCAGCAGGCACAGTACATGTGTGTGTCTCGTGTGTCTCTCACACACGTACTGTCTTTCAAATGCACAGATGCTTCTGTGATTCATACAAATGCATTTGAAAGTATGACTGGATCTACAATAGTTTTAGCATTTCTGTATTTTCTCAAACAGCAAATACTAAACACATGACCATTTTCTGGGAGTTAGGATTCCCAACTAACCCCTTTGAGTTCCAACATTCTGAGAGTTTTAAACAGCAGTTGGCCAGGGGTCCCAAACAGATGATCCTAGGAAAACAGGAGGCTGGGCAGGGGTGGGAATCTAAGGGCTCCTGTCTTGGTCCCAAAAATCTCAGTTTCAAGCAAGAAAGGGAAAAAAAAAAGGCTCCAAAGTGATCAAAATGTTGCTACATTTTATTTTCAACTTAAAACTTCATTATAAAATTTGCCAAATAAACATGTCAAAAACAAACTTAAAAACAAAGTGTAGCTGATATCCAGAAATTGCAGCACTGTATTGATAAAGGGCTCTTTTCATTACCAGGGAAAGAATTTAATGTCCTTCCTTCCTCCCCAAAAGCTTCCTTGGTGCAATCCAGTACAGAAAACGCCACCACTTTCTGATGCCAGGAGAAAAGCAAAATAAAAAAACTGCTTGCACACATTAGCACTGATAAAACAATGACAATTTCACTAAAAGAATGTTTAAAGACTACCGGATGCTGGAGCAAACCAACTTCATGACTGCATTAACATAAGCTAAGTTACATACACTTCAAATGCAGTATAGAATTAACACTGCATATCTAAATGGCTCATATATAAAATGTGTAATTAAAACCCAAACATACACACTATGTTTATTACATTCCCCTACATTGAAAGTACTGAGAACAATTTAACTCTGAACACAAAAGTTTAGTGAATTTGCTACTGTTCCATTACAGGACAATTAAAAATGAGACTATATCAACTTCACTAGAATTTAATTGCTAAAGCTACCTTATGCACATCTATTAAACTAAAAGAAACGACTTTAACCCCTTCAGTTGTTTTTAAGACAGCACTCCTTTACAGGGAGTCAGGTTTGGTAAATATAAAGGATACATAAAAAATACAGTATAAACTGCATAAGCTTAACAGTAGCAAAAACACTGATGAACTTTTAAAAAGTCAAAAATATATAAAAATATTAGCCTGAAATGGCAAATTTTCAAACACCGATCTGTGTAAAAATGTTTAAATATTGATGTTACTCCAAAAATATATACTTATTCTATTTTTTTTCTATTTGCAACAGTTTATAAAGGCAAACAAACACCTGCAATTGAGGTAGCAAAGCCAAATTCACAAACTTTGGATCAAGAAAAATACCCTTCCTATGTTTTAACAGCATCTTCTATACAATAGTGAATGAATTCTAATTGTTCCAAAATTTTTAATTCACATTACTTTACAAAATTTTATTTAAAATACTGAAAATGTTTTGTTAAAAAGACAGTTAGTCCTGACAATCATCTCACATTCAAAATACTGTACAAAAAAATCTGAAGTCACCATATATTACAAAAAACTAAGCTATGTATTTACATTTTCAATGTAGTTTTAGAAGTTGAGGTTAAGCCAACTGCTACAAATGGTCTCCTTTAAGCAGTGTCTGCTAATAATGTCATCACTTTTCACTTTCAGCATTTAATATAGGCCCTTCTTTTTGCTTTCAAATTATATAATTAGTAAAGGATTTAAAGAAAAACAAATGAAAATTCTATTCTCTTACTGAATAAAACATAAATGTACTTTAAATGGAACAGTGTTTTCATTTAAGAAAAGCCAACTGGCAAAAAAACATCAAAATTTGAAAAGTAATCAGAAACCATAAACATCAATAGCATTCTTCACAGTACATTTATATTAAGACTGTCTTCTGTTTTCAGATTAAGGGTTGAAAATTTCCCATTAAAATGCAAATTCTCACATCCTTACTTGTATTTTTCCTATGTTAACTGTAAGTTAATACAAGTAAACACGGCTATATTAAAAGATCAACTACTCGGCTCCATAGTCCTGACTCAAAAAGAAAAAAAAAAGTACAGACCCTGTCAGTGCAACAAAAGAAAGTTTCGGATTTTTTTCCTTGTTTTTGCAAATGGCAGCTGGAATTGCAGGAGTATTTTGTAGAAAAGCCAGAAGAGCATTAGTAGATGTATGGAAATATACGGTAGGGCACACGCTGACAGTACTTTTCCCAAGCCACGCCGTATTTCTTCTTACAGTGGTACTCGTCACGAGCTTCTCGGTGGACAAGCAACATGGTGAAATAAATTATGTAGAAATAAGGCAGAATGTGGTTAAAACCTGTGGATAATAATAGTACACAGTATTAGATATTTTTATTATCACTACAATGTATTTTTTCCTGCTTTCCCCCAAATTCTCTAAAAATGGAACCACAAGGTACTTCATTTTCTCTAATAATGATGAGAATAATTAAACAAGTCTGTAAAATCCCACTGGAAAGTGGCAGAAGGTCGTATCTAAATTAGAAGCTACTCAAAGACTGATGAATCCATTCTAACAATCCATCACAATCAAAACATCTGTCCTCATAGTTAATACACATCTCTTCATTTCTCGCCCTTCTTCCCCCAGCAAAGAAGAAAAACTGCTGTCTTCCACCACAGGCTGGGCCACCAAACAGGCAGCAGGCACGGGCCAGCTCCTCCACCTCCACCAGCTCCCCTGGATCCCCCTGCTCCCCCAGTTCCCCCAGCTCCCCCAGCTTCCCAAGATCCCCCTGCTCCCCCAGTTCCCCCAGCTCCCCTGGCTCCACCAGTACCTCCAGCTCCCCCTGACACCCCAGCTCCCCAAGCACCTCCAGCTCCCACAGCTCTCCCTGCTCCCCTGCTTTCCCAGCTCCCCACGAGGCCAGACACACAAAAAGAAAAACAGAATCTCTTTCTCTTCTTAAAAACCAAAGTTTTTCCCAATCTATGTACACTGAATCATGAATTAAGAAGCTGAATTAATTTCTATATATTCTACTTAGAAAAAAGCTATCAGGCACAGCTGAAAACTTAAAATAGTGCTTTTAGGCTTAAAGTAAAACTTCAGGCTCTGTGAATTCCCAATTCCCCTCAGAAGCCAGAGGAGCTTCTACAGAGGCCAACCTCACAGTAGAAAAGGGCGACAAAAAGACTCACACCCACCTTGGCCACACTGTCCCACACAAAGGACACACACACACATCTTTCTGGCGGCTAAAAGGGTCAAACTAGCACTCTTCTGAAATGCTTACCACATGGGAGGGACCACGCCAAGGCCATGATGAGATCACCCAAGTAATTGGGGTGGCGAACAAAGCCCCACCATCCAGAAACTAGAAGATTTTTTCCCGTTGAAGTATGAATGGTTTTTAAATCTATATAAAAATAAAAGTACATTTTTAATGATGTCGAGACAAAAAGAAAAATAAAACCTTCATGTAATATATATAATATAAACATAAATCAATACTTACGTGCAAGCTTTGGATCACTGGGATTTTTCCGGAATGCATTTTTCTGAGAATTTGCACCTCGGAAGATTACATAACCACAAACTGCAATTTTAAAATATTTTCCTATGTTAATAACTTAGTTATACTCTAATGCTTAATAGCATCTGTAATTTCTCTTAAAAATGATTTCTATGCTCTGAGGAAATTTCCAAAGCAGACTCCTAGGCTCAAGAGATCCTCCTGCTTCAGCCTCCCAAAGTGCTGGGATTACAGGCATGAGCCACCGCACCTGGCCTGATTCTTAAGAACAACTCAAAACCTCTAAATCCCACTATGTAAAAAGATGGTAACCCGTCCGAAATCTATCACACTACTTTAATCATCCACCTAGGAAACGCTCTGAAGGCAAAACAAATATAGTTACATCCATGAAAGAGATAAAATCTAAGATAGCCTACATTACAATAAAATCAATACTAGAGTTCAGTGTAATCAAAATTACAAGCTATATCATCTGTTAGTTATACCTACTGGCCATGGCACAAACATTTTATTATCAAACACTAGCTTAGAATCAGCACCAAAACATCCTGCACTTTAAATACATGCTGAATCCCACTTTAAGTCTATAAGTTCCTAATTTTATCCAAATTTCAGAATGTCAAAAATCAATCTATCACTGACATTTAACTATTATATAGTCGATCCTCAATAAACTAGTAAGAGAATAACTTTACTTCCTGCTTTGGTTTGAATGTGTTCTCCAAAGTTCACGTGTTGGAAACGTAATCCTCAATGCAACAGTGTGGAGAGGTAGCACCTTTAAGAGATGATTAGGTCATGAGGGTTCTGCCCTCATGGACAGATTAATGTGGCTATCACAGGAGTGGGCTCAGTATCTCGAGTGGGTTTGTTATAAAAGTATGTTCAGCCCCTCTTGCTCTTCCTCACTCTCTCTTGCCCTCCCTCACTCTCTCTTGTCCTTCCACCTTCCACCCTGGGATGCTGCAGCAGAAGGGGTCTTGCCAGATTCCAGCACCATGCTCTTTGACTTCCTGGCCTCCAGAACCATGAGCCAAATAAATTTCATGACAAATTACCTAGTCTCAGCTATTCTGTTCGAGCAGCACAAAACAAACTAAGACATTCCCCATTTTTAGCTGAACTATAAAATACACTGTCTTGAATAATAAAATGGATGACATGGACATCCAAACCACTGGTGAAACTAAATCTTAATTTTAACCAATGGTTTGAACTTCTTCTACCACAGATACTAACTTGTGTAGCAAAACTATCTGTATTTGCAGTTCACTGCTAATTTTCCCTGCCCAACCTCTAGTATAAGTGTTTAGTGAACAGTGTAAGAACAATGAAAATTCATCCTGAAGTAAAATCCATGACTGACCCTGGTGGACCGCAGCTGCAGCCAAACTGGACTTCTCAGTCTTTCCCAACCTCATCTCACACTTCCCCACCACACACCCTTGCTGAGCTGTTCCCAGTGCCTGACTTTTCGATCTCCCCATCCCATTTTCCCCTCTAAAACTCCAATCGAACACCATATCCTCCGATAAGTTCACACTAACGCTCCCCAGAGAGAAGTTCTCTCTATCTTTAACACCCGTCATCTAAGCCCCTCTTAGTGCTCACTCACACACCTCACAGCAAGGCAGGAATGTCTTATTTCTCCTGTTAGAATGTGAGCTCTATGAAGGCAAGACAAATCTTCTTACTTTATAAGATGCCTACCAGAAAAAGCAGGCACTCAAGAGAAAAGACGTATGGTTACCAAAACGAATTAAAACAACTTAAATTTATTAAATTTAAAAGCAAGATGGTTTAAAATAATCTGTTTCAAGTACTACTGAGAACCCAAGTACGAACCATCCATTCTCTTTGCAAAATGCAGATTTTTTATTACTCATGATAAATGGCTTCAAACTGAGCTAATGCTGGCCATTCAAAATGGCATGTTTCAAGTATGTAGACAGCAGGGCATAAAAGCCTCAGTACATAATATTTAATAAATTAAACTGAGACTAAAATTAATACTCACGTTTCAGAACAATAATTAGAGAAGCCATTGGCCAAGACACTTCATTTGGATGACTGACTAAATAAAAGGCTTGGAAGCTGTAAATAAAGGGAACCCACACCAAGTCTCCAAAAGCCAGCATGAATCCAAATCCATCGTGGATGATGTCCATGGTCGTCAACAACGCTTCCTATAAGGATACAGACGGGGAAAGGGAGAAGGAGCTTCTGTGTTTAAAGTATTCAAATAAAGTACTAGTTTACAGGCAAATGTAAAAAGTGCTATGGGCGGGTCCACAATCAACATTTTTTTGTTAAAGGGGAGAGAGATCTGGTTCCCCTGGCCTGCTAGGTCTTTCTGCTGTCACATTCTCCCGTCACGCCAGCCTCTCGCTCATGCTCTGGAGATAACAGATCTCTAAAGCATCTCCCATGCCCCCATGCCCAGGCCCTCCCCTCTGCTGACAACCCCTCCTCCAACCTCCACATAGGCCCTACACCCTCTGCTGCCCTCCTGACCTGCTGCTCAGACCTGGGCACTTCTCAGATATCACCACCCACCAGTAGGCTGCAGTAATTGGGTTACTGTACTTGTCTAGTCACTCTTCACTACACTAAAAGCCTCTAAAAGACAGAGGCTGTGTGTTTTCACCTTTGCCACCCCAGTACCTAGCACAGTGCCCGCCATGGAGAGAAGTGTTCAAAATATGCTTGCTGAAGGAATAAGATCACCAACTCTTTTTGTTTCAATTCCACATGGACCAATCTAATTTCTGTTCATAATCTGGCATTTCATGTGCATTTTCCACAGAAGAAATTAAGCTGCCTGGCAACATGGTGAACTGACAGCTTCGCTTCTCATGTAAATTAATAAAAGTGCATTACTCCCTGGTGATTTGGTTAGCATGAGCCAGATCGCCTCTGGCCCAGGATACGGGCAGGCCAGACTCTAGAATACGGAACCACCACCAAGGTCAACACTCTGAAGGTCTGGCCTAAGGGAATCTCTAAACTACCCAGAACCTCAGTACAGACCACTGATGTAGAAATATTAGCCAGTATAAGCTCTGTTGGAGAATCAAAGTTCTAGGTTAAAGAAAAAGAGTGGTACCTCTAAATAGCATTTTTTTCCAGAAAAGAAAGCAAATAGGCCATGGAACAGAAAAACAGATGTCACATGAAACAGAAAAACCAATCTCACAAAATCTAGCTCCTTAGGCTTATACTCTTTAGTTAACCAGAGTACTTTATTCTCTTTAAAAAAAAAAATTGACATGTAATAATCGTACATATTTATGGGGTACACAGTGATGTTGCAATACATGTAATATATAGTAATCCAATCAAGGTAATTAGCATATCCATCATCTCAAACACATTCTTTCTTTGTGTTAGGAATATTCAATATCCTTCTAGCTATTTGAAACTATGTATCACTGTTAACTATAGTCATCCTACAGTGGTATAGAATACTAGAACTTAGAACTTACTCCTCCTATCGAGTGGTAATTTTGTATCCTTTAACAAACCTCTCCCTATCCTTCCCTTCCCCCTACCCTTCCCACCTTCCCATATCCTCTGTTCTACTTTATACTTCTATGACATCAACTTTTTTAGCGCCCACATATAAGTGAGGACACACGGTGTTTTAACTTTCTGTCCCCAAGAGTGTCTTATTCTTCTCTCTCAAGGCCTGTGATCTGATTCCTGGTCCAAAAGAGGATAAAGGTGACAAATTGGTGGGAGCAGATAAAAGCAGGTGTGGTGAGTGGCAGTGAGAGGGCAAAGGGTAAGCACCCAATGCCGGGTAGGGGGAGGACCTTAGCCCCACCAGCTCCTGAGCCCCAAGGCTTTCACAGGACGGCTCAGAGGAAGGGTCATGCATATTTAAACAGGTAGTCTCAGTTTTCTTAAGGTATAGCACATTCTTGAATACAGAGGGATTTCTATCAAGTGACCTGACAGAAGTTATTAAGCATCTGCTAATTGCCCAGTGGCATGCCAGAATGCTGAAGAAATCATAAAATACAATCTTTCCTCAAGAAGCTTATTATCATCTGGCTGAGATACTGAGAACAGACAGAAAACAATTTCCTAACTCTAGTTCTCTACCCCTGGGGCTATGTTAATATTGCATTAAGCGTTTTGCCTTAAGATGCAAAAAATTTTCTTTTAACACAAGTCAATGTTTGGCTAAATCTATAGAAAATATCAACTTCTAAGCCAATTAAAAAGTGACAACCACAACATGGCAGAAAGCTAGTAATAGAAGAAACCAGAAGAAATAATCACTGATCAGTGGAAAGCTACTAGAAAGGAAGGTTTAAAGAAGCCTCTGAGGTGAGCACAACTGTGAAATATCATTTGATTTGCAAACTGTAACCTATATGCTCTTTTGGCGATTCATTCTATAACAGCAAACAAAGCTACACTGGTAACAGTAAGTGCATTTACAAAACAGTTGTTTTTTAATTTCAAAAACATGTTTAATTTTGGGTCGACGTGGAATTTTTAAAGTCAATTTGAAGTGTTATCACCACCTTCACAGCTTCCCAAGCTCTGAGCCAGGGTCTGTGAAGTGGTAGGAGCGCAACAGGAACCCGTAATTAGCGGATAGCACTAATCCCACCGCTTGTAATTGAGGTTTACCTCAAAGTGGCCCTAATCTTCCTAAATAACAAGGAGATCATCGAAACACCAATATCAAACTTGCGAAGTTGTTCTGACTAAATGTTCTCTGCAATTTTGCATAGAAGGCCAAAATTAAAGACCAGCCAGCAGGGGTGGGGGAGATACATAGTATTGATGACCAAATAATATAATTTTTTTTAATGTTCCAGGCTCAAAGAGAAAAGGTCTTCTCTCAAAATGTCAGCAGATTGTCTCAACAGACTGTCACTAAAACTTGTTTTGGAACATTATGATGTACAGCTGCCAGATTTGTTTTTAATATGGAAAGAAAACTAGAGTTGGAATTTGGAGATAATTACAAAGATAACAGTAAATACGATAAAATACTTGTAAAATAAGCCTGAGGAAGACAAAATTTTTAAAAGGAATATGCTGGCTGAGACAGAGAAAACAAACAAAACATTTACCAGTCTTCAACTAGTAGAAAGACTAATCAATGTATGAAAAAAGACACAAGATGGAAACTTAGCCTTATTTCAACTGGTTTCCTCAATGCATCTTGATTTCTGATTTTACATTCATCTAATTAGAGCTAGTCTTTGTATTTTAAAACATTAACAATAAAACATCTCCCCCATTATTTAAAAACTAGGTGACTCTTGACAGTCCAAGAAACACCATTCTAATTTAGTAATAATCCATCCATTTTCATGTGATACCATAATTACCACCACCCACAAAAACAAAACCAAGATCCACCAATCTTAAATATTTAGAATATTACTTTTAAACACAAGAACAGCTGATAAACACTGAAGCACTCCCAAATGCCTAGAAACTTCCCACCTGTCAGTGCTCCCTCGTCAGCTTCACATGGATGGCCTCGTCCTCCTCTCAAGCAGCCTTGGAGGCAGGCCATGCTCCCCTCACTTTGTGTGCAAGAAGCCGAGGCTCTGACAGGTCACTCACCCACTCAAAGCCATCTGACTCCAAGGCCTCGGCTCTTAAAATTAATTACCTCATTCCAGAGAGCATCCACCACATAGAGAAGCTGGAAACTATTAACTAAAATCATGGCCAAGGATGGAACAGCGCGGTCCTGTATTTTCATTTCAGCCAAAAGCATCACCAAGTTAATAACCACCTGAAACAAAAGGGGAAAGTATATAGCCTCAAAGCACCTCCCCAGAGACCTTAGCACTACAAAGGCATGAGTGAGCTTCACAGCTGAGACACCTGGCAGACGCCACCGTAACTCCTACCCGCCACCAGGAATAAGACATCTCAGCACCATGGGCCCCTGGACCCAATGCACTGAGAAGGACACAGCTATCATTTCTGTGTTCCTGTCACAGTGGGTAACTTTACCGCAATCAAAGAGAACACTGGAATGACCCAAACTGAGGGACACTTACAAAATAACCAACCAGTACCTTCCAAAAAGTATCAAGGTCATGAGAGACAAGGAAAGCCTAAACAACTATTAGACTAGAGAAGACTAAGAAGGAATAACAACTAAATGTATTGTGGAGTCCTGTCGAGGTTCCTGGAACAGAAAAAGGACAACAGCGGAAAAACTGGTGAACTCGACTGAGGCCTGTGGACTTGGTAACCAATGCTGTCACTATGTTAATCTGCTGTTCTTCATCACTACACTACGGTTTCCTCCAAGGTTAATGTTGTGAGAAACAGAATGAAGGGTGGAAGGGAACTCTTTGCTCTCTATCTGCAACTCCAAGCCTAAAACTAGGTAAAATTTAAAAAGGAGGAAAATGCATTTTTTCTTACATTAATTCATCCACACTATCACTTTCCTACATAAATATAAACTGATATAATAAAAATAAAGCAAAGAAAAGTTATTTAATTTGTCATAACCTGTAACAGGGCATCTTAAACCTCTGGAAAATACTTACAAGAAAGTATTTTGATAGATTTATGGAAAGCCATAATTATCCCTAAAAATATACCACCCACTGCTTATTTTTGAATGGTCTACATTTCTTTCTAGCAGTTAATTAGACCTATTGAATTGAAATTTAGAAGAAAAAAAACCAGACATACCCATCCAATCAATCCGGGGCGCAATTCACAAAAGTATTTGAGATCAAAAGTACCAATTCGAGGGTTTAATTCACGGCCAATGAAGAAATCATAGACAGCATTTCCTGAGAAAGGAAAAGTGTTTACCCAAACAGCATTCCAAACCCAGTCAGGAGGCTTTACAACGGCACTGCCGCCCACTATCCAGGCTCACAATTCCACTGCCTGCAAGACCCTGAGCAGGGCTCTGGTGGTGAGAGGCAGACAGGACGGCACAGACGAGCGGAACCAGGAGATGCCTGCCCGACTGAAAAGGCAGTTGCTCCAGCCTTTGGGGGAGCCGGGGGCCCAGGTTTCTTAAAAAAGTTAACCAAAATCATGGGGGCCCCCCCAAAGGACTTTACACTCCATTTTTTTTAGATAGGCGACATTTTTTTATATTGAAATACTTCAGGTCAGCATCAACCAATTTGTAACCTCTCGTTTCTCTTGTTTTTTGTTTGTTTTGTTTTGAGATGGAGCCTCGCTCTGTGGCCCAGGCTACAGTGCAGTGGCACAGTCTCGGCTCACTGCAACCTCCGCCTCCCACGCTCAAGCGATTCTCTTGCCTCAGCCTCCCGAGTAGATGGGATTATAGGTGTGCACCACCACGCCCAGCTGATTTTTGTATTTTTAGTAGAGATGGGGTTTCACCATATTGGCCAGGCTGGTCTCAAACTCCTGACCTCAGGTGATCCACCCGCCTTGGCCTCCCGAAGTGCTGGGATTACAGGCATGAGCCACCTCACCCGGCCAGTAACCTCTGTTGTTTTTTGTTTTTTAAAGAGTGTTTACTATTTTGGACAAAGAAATAATATTTGTCATAAGTCAAAATGCCTGTAAGTTTACTAAACGTCTTACTGTCATCAAGCAACTGCAAAAAAAAGAAATGAGTAAGAAAGTATGAAGGTAAAACAAAAATATTTTCTTCCTTTAAATTCATATCTCTTTAACGTTTTTCTTCATCTTTTCATTTTTTCTTACTTCTCTTCATTTCCCAAAAATGAAGTTAGAAAAAAAGCAATCTATTCAAATCTGGAAATGGCTGCTGGAGGGCTCTGGGACGCATTCATCCAACATGCAATTCATCACTGCTCACCAGAGCTGGCAGGCGACAGGTCATTCCGGGGCGCTTTCAAAGAGCGCATGTAGAGATACACACTCAAGACCACACAAAAAACAGTGGCCGCAAGTGCAAACTGAAGAAAATGACTGTACACGTAATGAAACTCTACGCCCTGGAAGAGAGATGTTCCGATGACTGCAGATGTCAGGATAAAAGCATAGAATCCTTTAAAAAAAAAAAAAAAAGGAAGTGGAAAATTAATATTAACCCAAGGCTCACATGAAACTTACGCCACTATGAAACAATGCAATGTTCATTTTTAAAGTCTTAATTTCATTATTCAGACTAAATACACACAAATATGCAAATAAGCAATGTCTGAGGTATAATTTTCAATATACATACCATTATCTCTTGTAGAACTTTCCAAATAGTTTAACATATTGATTCTTTTTCAGTTCAAATGGTCATTATTTGCTTTTAATTAAGGGAAAACAGACAAGAAGTGCAACCTGAAAATTCCCACAATCCAAACTCTCAGGCACAAAGTCAAATGGCTAATTATTAACAGAGCTGGGCCAAACACATATTTTAAAGTCTAATGCCATTACCTAAGGGGAGGGTATTATGCACCTACCAGGGGTCAGGCACCGAGCCAGGTTGGTAGTTACAAAATTATAAATATTTATACTTAACCAAGTTGCCAATAATGGTTTCAAAAGATTCTAGTAAAACTCTATCATCCAGAACAGAGATCTTAACATGCCACCCGCAGAAAAGATGCCACAACACAAATGCCCGAGGCTAGGCAGGGGACTGCGAGTACCTGGGGGGTAGGGACAGCAGGCGGGGACATTCACGTGCAATGCCAAGTTAAAAAGCACCCGCCCTGTGACGCTCCACAGAACTCTCGTTCCGGGCTAGTCCTGCAGCCACACAGAAAGGCTCACTGGAAGATCCAATTTTTTTCTTTTGGCTAAAGAAATAGTTTTGCTTTCAAAGGAGCTGAGTGCCTCAAAGAGCTGTGATCCTAAAAAGTCATCAAATCCATTTGGATAAACGGTCAAAAGCAAAAAAGAGGTAGCTGTTATTTATATGAGAATTCTAAAACCAAACCTTTTGTAAAGTAAAATAGTTGTCTCAAATTATCTGAATCCACATTTTCCACAAATACTCCAAACAATAACTTCTAAATTCTGACTTTTGAAAATATTCATTTACCTTTCATAAAATGTAATTTTAAAAAAGAATGGTTAGATAAAGCAGTCTTTTGCTCTCTAGCCTATGTGGATTAAAAATAATCATCCAAAATGTCTTAGGAACCTCCTTAGTTAATAATCGTAAAATCTCGAAAAGAAATCTCAATACTTGAACCAGAGTAATTAGATGAGGAAATTTTTAAAAAGGATCAAGCAACTTGGCCAGCCACTCCCCCACTGGCTCCAAGAGCTCCATGTCCAAGTGCTGTGCTCAGTCTCTGAATGTACCACACCCCTCAGAGGGAAGTGAAAATATAACACAAGACTACTTAGAAAAGAATTGGTACCTACAGAGAAACACACAAAACACTGAAATCAAAGGACCTGGCGGCAAAGTCAACAACCCACCTCACCCCAGACTCACCTTCCCTGGTGTGGTAAGTGAACCACCAGAGGGAGGGAGGGTGCCAAAGGTTCTAAAACTTGCTCCATCAGCAAAGAATTTGGTAAAAGCAACAAAAAGTCTAACAATACCAATGATAAGTATTAAGCACCCACCAGGGGTCAGACTCTGGAGCTGGGGGAGACGTTTTATCACATGACTGGCACTAAAAGGCAGAAGGTGTCTAAACTATCTTTGGCTTCCCCTTTAGAACCCAGTGGAGTGACTGCAGACAGAGTAGATGCTGCGTAAGTCTCTAAACAAAGTATCCAAAGTTAAAAAATGAAGAATTGAAAGGATAAAAAGTTCAACCATTACAATACATAATGTAATTCTCAAGAAAAGGAAAACACTCTACTCCGTCTTGTCAAATGGAAAATCATTCAAGGATGACTACAAAATAGATCTGTACTTTGCCAAAGTCTTCAAATGACAAAGCTGGACTGAAGCACTCAGCACATGCTCTTACAGTGCGAGATGCCGGACCCACAGGGAGCAAGGTCTATCCATTTATTGAGCTGCCCAGCAAGCTCACAACTCATCCATCCAGCACTCACATATGAATGAGCACCCACTACATGCCCATCTTCCTAGCACCAAGAGTGTCACAATGAACATAGCCAAGTCCTAGCCCATGAAGCCACATTCTAGTGGAGAGACCCTAATGAAGAGACAAATACACTGATGTGTGGAGGCACAAATGTCAGACAGAAAAACAAAACAGAGCAGGGGAGAGAAAGGGACCTGAAGGCTTCTCTCAGCAGAAGACAGATGGAGGTGAAGATGCAGGTGTCAGACGTTTGGGGGTAAGTTCTCCAGGCAAAGGCCCAGGAAGTGTGTGTGACGAATATTCAAGGGACAACCCAGAGGACATGAGCAAGGACAAGAGCAGCTCACGCAGCAGGAGTGGCCTGGATGCCCACATCCGTGTAACACCTCAGGTGATAAAATCCTAGACAAGTGCAATGATTTCTAACAGTGATGAGCACTATTAAGAAAATAAAACTGGAGAGTGGACAAGAGTGACTAAGAGGCTATGTTACTTTAATGGCATAATTTATACAAGTTGGCTACAGGTATAAACAGTTGCTCTTCCAACTACTAAGAAATAATTTATCACTTACTACTCTGGTCTAATCAGCTTTAACAAAGAGTTTAACACTTAGAAGTTTAAGCTATCAAATCATCAATTTGAGTCTTAAAAAAAGAAAATCACCATTTAATCTATACTTGAGTCTTCTTCCATCAATAAGAGGCGTTCCTTCTACAACCTTAAAAGAAAAAAAATTTACAAATTTACTAAGCACATCACCATCATATATACATATATACACACACACATATATATATTCTAGTATCACTTAATTTTCAACACGCCCAAGAAGGAAGATATCTTGTAACATGGAAATTTAGTAATATGTTTCAAAAACCCTAGTGGCAAGCCCTTTAATGACGCAATTCCACCTTCAGGAATTTATCTTAAATACAAATTCAGTAATGACTTCCTAGTGTAGGACCAAGCAACTGCAACAGCCACGCTCCCTGCCACACTCCTGTGTACCACCACCTCAAGACTAAATGTGCTTAAATACCTTTATATCTAGTGGATCCCTAGCTCAAACATCTACCAATGGCTACCATACTCTTACAAAGTAACAGTATGATTCCATTGTCTTCCATTTGTGGGGTCCTTTTCAATTGGGCTCTACCCTGTTTATCCACTCTACTATGACCCAAGTGCTATTTGATGACGCATACTCATATGCTTACTTGCTCTGCTATATATTATATATATATTGCCCATCCAGTTATTTAACCATTTCATGTGATTCTTTTATCTGCAATAAGAGACTGTGAGAAACCAGGTGTGGTGACTCATGCCTGTAATCCCAGCACTTTGAGAGGTCAAGGTGGGAGGATCACTTGAGTCCAGGAGTTGGAGACCAGCCTGGGCAACATGGTGAAATCCCCTCTCTACAAAAATACAAAATACAAAAACTAGCCAAGCCTGGTGGCACGCGCCTGTGGTCCCAGCTACTCGGGAGGCTGAAGTGGGAAGATGACTTCAGCCCAGGAGGAGGTTGCAGATTGCACCACTGCACTCCAGCCTGGGCAACAGAGCAAGACCCTGTCTCAAGAAAAAAAAAAAAAAAGAGAGAGAGAGAGAGAGACTGTGAGCACGCATCATGCATCAGAACCATCTCCTCTCTTCATTCGGCATCACTCACAGCATTCAGCACAGAGATACCCACAGGCATGGTACCCAATAGAACTGGCTCAGTAAAAAGTCCACTTGCTCAATGCAGCCACGTTTTACCCCACAAAATAACTATTCAGAAATGTAGCAATTCATTTCAAACTGTAAAATATAAATATAGTATCATTTGCTCTGGGCTAAACTACTTTATCTTATCATTAGCTACAGATTTCATTAGCTAGCATTCCTCCTCTCCCAAGAGAAACGTAAAAGCTGTTTGAGATCACAGGATTAGTAAAATGCCACATGCTAATTTCAGATGATCCTTATCTATTAAAGGAGTCTAGTAAATGCTGTGTTAGGCTTTAATCTGTGAATATATAGATCCAAATATACAGTCAGCCCTCCGTATCGACGGGATCCACATCCATGGATTCAACCAACCAGATCCAAAATATTTCGGAAAAAATTGCATCTGAGCTGAATATGTACAGACTTCTTTTTCTTGTCCTTATTCCCTAATACAGTATGATAACTATTTACATGGCACTTACGTTGTATTAGGTATTATAAGCAACCTAAAGGCAACAAAGTATACAAGGAAGATGCACACAGGTTATATGCAAATACTATACTATTTCTTATCAGGGCCTTCAGCATCCTCAGATTTTGGTATGTACAGGAGGTCCTGGAACCACTCCCCAAGGATATCAAGGGATGACTGCATAATATTAATATATATTTTAATATATATGCTTTTAGTCACTTTAGTCTATGAGTATATACATATATGACTTTAAACACCAAAACTGCTTTCCTTGATACTCTGAAATCACCTTACCCTAAATGAATCTGAATTTAACTGTAGAGGCTTACTGTAGAAATGACTGAAGGTCTTTATCACAAAAATCCTTGCTAGAGCCACTAAAGTTATGGTCTCACTCCACAGTATTAAGCCTGCAGCTCTACCCTCCTATCACTGGCATTCACCAGTAAAACCGATCCTTTGGTTTACAGACAGTTGGCAAACTTGCAAAGCCCTAAGAATAAGATCTTTAAATAAATTATTTATTACTTAGGGAATCTCATGTTTCTTTAAATATATCCAAGTAAAGGATTCTACTGAAAGAAGAAAAAACTACACTTAGCAATGGAGAGACAAATTTTAAAGATATTGCAGGAATCTGAAAACAACGTAAAATGTTCTTGACAACAAGCTTCTGAAAGAGATGAAAATTAGAAACTTTTCATACTTTTTTAAAGTAAAAGATGTAGACTAAAGTCCATCGAGCCCAGTAGCCTATCAATTAATCATTTAAAATGCTGCATCTGAAATGACACATACTAAGAGTGAATTTTTTTTCCATAGCAACCTCCACTGAGAGTCGGCTACTTTGCAAAATAGCCTATTCTTTTCTATTTGGTTTGAAAAGTTACACAAGAAATCTCAATCAGATTTTTTTTTAAGTTCCTCCTAATAAGCAAGTGTTATACAGACAGCACAAGAGAAATGGCTTCATGAACTAAGTTTTGGGAATTATGACCAACAACAGCCTTTAACCTTTAAACTACTCTAAGGCTGGGCAGCATGGCACAGGCCTGTGGTCCCAGCGACTCAGGAGGCTGCGGCAAGAGGATCACTTGATCCCAGAAATTGGAGACCCGCCTGGACAATATAGTGAGACCTCATCTTATTAAAACAAAACAGAATTACCATAAACGTACCTTTCCAATTGGCAGTAGGTAGAACAGGACTTGAATCAAAAACCACAGGAGGTAGACCCCAAATACTCTGGTTTCCCATAACTCATACAAAGCTGGCAAAGGAGGAGGGAAATTCAGAAGACTGGGATCTTTCTGTTTACACATCAACAGCAACAGGAAGAGGAACACAGGCAGGCCAAACATGATGAGAAACACACCTGCAAACAATTCATGAACATTCGAGGCTCAAATTTCAATCTGGTTTATTTATTTAAGAATCATGTTAGATTTGTTAAGATCAGAACTCGTTATCTGGCTAACTGTCTGAAACCAATTTCTAATGTACCATCAAAAACTCCCATCTCTACCTGTCACCTCTGGTGGCCTGGCAACCATGGGCATCAAAGTAGTAAAAAAAATAAATAAATAAAAATAAAAAAAAAAAGAAAGAGGTCCAACATTGAATAGCTACACCCACCTCAGAAACCAAGCTCTAAAACATTTGACCTCCAACCACTAAGGAGCGAATGTGTTGAAACTCCAGCAAACTGAAGATCAGAACATCTAAAAATTATCAGCCTAATCTTAACAAAAAACTTTATATTCCTCAGTTTCTAACAATTAAAATAGTGTCACGTTCATGTAATGTGTGCAGATTTTAAGTGATGCTGGACAGCATCTGTAACAGGCCAGCTAGCCAAAGGTTATAACAAAATACAAAGCAATTAAGCCATGCAGGATTTTGAGCCATTTAGACAAGAAGTCTTTTCTTTTACTAGCTCATAAAATTTCATCAGTTCCACCCACTTAGTAACTCCAAAACTCTGCACACTTCAGATCTTTGACCCTCACAATCAACCCGCCTAGCAGGTAGGGCAGCCTCCGGGATCCCATTTTATGCAGGCAGCTGAGGCCCACTGCTGGCCCCTGCCGCCTCAGGTCTGACTATTAGCAGAGCTCTCTGTCCCTGATAAGTAACCATCTATGCTATACAAACTCCCAGATCAACCTTCCTTTATCACTTCTTTGTACTTCTGTGCTCAAAACCTCTGAACAGACTGCTAAAAGTTTTAAACACAGCTACAATGGCATCCTTTCTACTCCATAATCCCTCAAAATGCTCCCACCTCAAGCCTTTGCACCCACTGTTCCTTCTCTGGAAGGCTCTTCCACAGGTTCCCACCAGGCTCATTACCTTGCCTGCCTCAGATGTCTTCAGAGAGGCCTTTCCAGTTCACCTTGTGGCAACCACCCCTAGCTCACCCCACCTGCCCTCTCTGGGCCCAGCTCTGAGGCCTACCAGGTACTCCTCCAAACTCCAAGTCCTTTGCCCGGATGGGGGTCACTTCAAAGGTTCTCACTGCCAGTTCTTTTGCAACGTATTTTTCTTCCTTAGAATCTATTTCTTTTAATTTGACTTCTTCTCTTCTTGGACGAAGGCTATACTGTGTTGCTATGTAACTGCTTTCTTGTGACAAACTGAATTTTTCCTAAATGAAAAATTTAAAAATTAAATATCTGCAGTGAACAATTACCATTAATGCTACTGCATTAACTATTTCAGCATCTCAATACAGCTATACACTAGTAAGAATAAATTTGTGAAATTATATTCAGTCTTAATTTAAGGACAGAATTTTAGAACAGGTTATAAAATATTACAATTTTCAATGTGCTTCTCAAGGGAGAGTCACTTTTAACCAAAAAAAAGAAAAAAAAAAACAACCAAGATGAAAGGGAACACTTTCCCACCTGTGTATTTTTATGAGGTGCGTCATTTCTCTCAATATGCTCAGGCTCCCCATTATATCTGCTGATGCTATTTCCAAATGGCTTCTAAATTGAAGAATATAAACATTTAATCAAAAGAACTGTAACTTATTAAAAAGAAACATGATGGTAAAAACTTACTGTTTTGGAATCAAGCAATAAAACAGATTTTTCACAGCCTTAATTCTGACGAATTTAACCCTCATTTTGTTAAAAATGAAAAGGAATAAAACTGACTAGAATTTCCCAGTCTCTGAAATATTGGATAGATTTCTACATAAAATCTTTCATCTGGCCAGGCACGGTGGCTCACACCTGTAATCCCAGCACTTTGGGAGGCCAAGGCGGGTGGATCACCTGAGGTCAGGAGTTCAAGACCAGCCTGGCCAACATGGTGAAACCCTGTCTCTACTAAAAATACAAAAAAATTAGCCACGCACGGTAGCGGGCACCTGTAATTCCAGCTACTTCGGAAGCTGAGGCAGGAAAATCTCTTGAACCCGGAGACGGAGGTTGCATTGAGCCAAGACCGCGCCATTGCACTCCAGCCTGGGCAACAAGAATGAAACTCCGCCTCAAAAAAAAAAAAAACAACTTTGATCTTTCACGTAATCAGACTGAATGTCATAATTTCATTGATAGATTTTAGGGGTATTTACTATGAAAGGCAGAGAAAGTAAAAATTGGTAAATTAGTTCATTAACTGGATAAAAAACAAAAGACATTCAAAAAGACATTCACTGCTCCAAAATAGCCCATAATGGAAAACTAAGAAATAGTGGGTACTTATGCAACACACAGTAGGCCCAAGGCACTACCAGGTAAGAGGCAAAGCTTCTGTGGTTCTTGTGACACCAGGACTGTAAGATTACACTGTAAAAATATAGCAGTCACTAAATATTAAAAATGAAAGGATAACAAAGTATCACACAGCATCTGTTCCTGGAGTCCCGGGGTGGTAAAGAGAGCCACTAATAGTTAAAATGTTCTAATTCAAAATATAAGTTAGAACAGTAAGTTGAAAATGTCTGACAGCCACATTCTCCAAAAAAAAAAAAAAAAATTATAATACTCAGAATGAGAAACTGAGCATTCATACACTGATACTACTATAAACTTTCTTGATGCAATCTGGCAATATGTATTAAAAGCCTCAAATCTGCACCATACAGCTGACCTAGCAGTTCCACTTGTAAGAATCCATCCTAAGGAAATAATCAGATGTTACATAAAAATACTTGTTTGTAATAGTGAAAATATGGAAGGAAAAACACTAAATGTCTATCATTGACAGAGCTGACTTTAACGATTAAGTTACATGTATACAATTTACCATATATCCATACTATAGAATACAACAACAAAAATGATGTAGAAAAATACACTCTGAAAGGTTATCCCAATATTTTAAAATGTCTTAAAGCTGACTACTGAGCAGTATGTATATAATCCAGTTTTTAAAGTTTATTAAAAGTCTGTTGCCGGGCGCAGTGGCTCACGCCTGTAATCCCAGCACTTTGGGAGGCCGAGGCGGGTGGATCACGAGGTCAGGAAATCGAGACCATCCTGGCTAACACGGTGAAACCCTGTCTCTACTAAAAATACAAAAAATCAGCCAGGCATGGTGGTGGGCGCCTGTAGTCCCAGCTACTCGGTAGGCTGAGGCAGGAGAATGGCGTGAACCCAGGAGGCGGAGCTTGCAGTGAGCTGAGATTGCGCCACTGCGCTCCAGCCTGGGTGACAGAGCAAGACTCTGTCTCAAAGTCTGTGTGCCTTCTATCCAGAAAAGAGGTTAACATTAAGTGAATAGAAGATTACTTTTATTCTTTTTACTTAACATACTTTGTCTTTGGTCTACTATCTAAAATACTATTTGTACAAGATCTACAGGCTCCATGCACCCTGATATTTCAAAGCTTACATCTTGAAAGTAATTCCACTAAAATCATCTTTGAATAGGTAAAGTGATAAAGTATAATGATGCTAAGAGTAAGAATGTTTCCGTAATACAGGTTTGTCTTACCATTTCATACATGATATGAACTTTTATACACTGTAAAAACCTTACGCAGTTCAATCTACAAGCTACATCTATTTCAAATTTGAACGCTGCTTTTTTAAAAACTAAAATATTAAATAGCATTTCTGGTAACTGAAGGACATTCTTTTCCATTGATATTTAAAACTTTCTATTCCAAACATTTGTTTTATATGAAAACTCCCAAAGTCATCAACTTAGATTTGATGTTTCAGTGACATTTTAATATTATTAACTGCAAGTAACTTGAGTAAATATATACATAAAGCGGAAGACAAAAGGCTGTATAAGGATAAACACAAGTACCAGAATCAGCGGAGTCAATTTAACTTCCACTTCCCTCCTTGCTTCCTTAATGTCGGCCTGGTGGGAAGCAGAAGCAGATCGGCGGGCACTTTTAGGTGGTCGACCAGGGGATCGGGAGCGTGACCTTGATCGACTCCCTCGGCGTCTGGAAGGGGAACTGGAAGTTGAGCCACCTTTCCTTTGCCTAAAGGAAGTTAAAGGCTAGAAAGGGGGAAGAAGGCAAAGAGCTTTACCACAAATCATAACACATACAGACAGACCCACACTAGAAGAGGATAACAAAGGCAGGAACTGCTACCATTAACTCTAAAATCAGCACGGGAAATGTTAGGATCTGAGAATGGATCAGATGAAGCCAATGGAAAATGCTTTCATAATGATCCATCTTTCATGAGACAAATGCAGCCTTTCCATTCCTGTTCTTTGAAGGTATTTCCATGAAACGAATGTATCTAAACCAATTAGCTGTACTTATTTCCAACACCATATGCAAGAAGGGTAATAATTAACATGGATTAAAACTGAGACGACAGGACAAAATAAATAAGCACACAGACCAAAAAAAAAAAAACAGTACCACAGTTTCACTCTGAACAAAACACATAAGCAGATCTTGAAAATAAAACATGAGCTTGGATGACTGGGAACTGTTTCACTGTGTCCCCACCTACTCCGAATCTCCTTATGTTGCTTCTAGGGATGTAGACAAATTACGCCCCAGGCCAAGTCCCTCACCCCAATTTTTGTGTGGCCTTCCTACTAAGAATGGCTTTTACATTCTTAAATGATTACAAACAAAATCAAAAGAACAGTATTTCCTGAAGTGTGAAAATTATCCAAAATTCAAATTTCACTGTCCATAAAGTTGTACTGGAACACTGCCATGTCTGCTCCCTTCCATACTGCCTGGAGCCGCTCCCATAAAGTCTAAAATATTTACTTTCTGTGCTTTATTCCTGGTCTAGAGCACTCGAAGTGTCATCCTCAGCCATGGGTCCTAGAAATGCTCGTTACTAATCTGTGCAAGTACCAAAATTGAGAAATAGGTGTATGGAAATGTTTATAGCATTTTGACAAAGTAATCTCATATCTATCGAATCTGATAGTAAAACTGTGAGTCGTCTATTGTGTATGTCTTTATTTTTCTAGTAACTCATTTTTATGGCATTTTATATAAATGTTTGTATACTACGGATCAGATATCTTAAAACCCAGGCCCTCACCAGACAGGTTGAAAAGCCCTGGGCTAGACTCGAATCTAATTAATGTCACTCTCCTGATTAAATCCTTGGTGTTCAGGATGAAGCCCAAACCCTTGGGCATGGAATATAAAAGCCCCCCCAGCCTGGCTCCTGCTTAGCCCTCCCCTACCACCCCCTTCCAGCACTTGGCTGACTGTGTCCCCCAGACCCCTGACTTTGGCATACTGCCCTCTCTGCAGAAACAGCCCCATCAACTGCTGTTTTTCCTGTTTGTTCTCAGCACTTGGCTAGGTGTCACTGCCTCTGAAAGCCTCCCCTGAAGCCCAGGGCTCTTCTCTACCCTTGATACACTCAACACCACCCACAGCAAACTCCAGACACAGAACGTAGTAAACCCAGGGGACCAACAGATGCAAATGGCTGTCTTTCCCAGTAAGTGTGAGCTTCTTGGGAACAAGGACTATGCCTCATTCATACATTCCCAGAGCCAAAAACAGTATGTGACCCAAAGCAAGAGCTCAATCCTCTGCCTTCAAACCGAGCTGAACTGACTATCCTGAGCTTAGAAACCATACTTAGAGTTATTTCCCACTTACTGTAAACACACTCTGATAAACCAAAGGAGCTCTTACCTTAATATCATTCTCTTTCAATTCAAGCTCTGTTCCATCTTTATACTTCACAGTGTAAAGCTGGGAGGTGCTGTCGTGGCTCAGAATTTCTACTTCATAATAAAGTGAACTCCCAGGCCATCGACCTCTTACCACTTCACCATCGGCAAATTTCCTACTTGGCATTTTCTATAATTAACCTGAATAGTTTTAAAGAAAAAAATTTGAGTCAATACATACACATTTATGTATTCGTCTTTTTCCACAGGCTGATCACTAAAATACAACTTTCCAGAATTGACTGGTCAGGATTTTAGGGCCAGAAAGGCTACATTCAATCTCATTTGGAATCATTTGAGAGGATGATTTAGCCACTGCGTTATCTATGTGACACTAAAGATTAATTATAACAATGTATATAGGCGCCATAAGTTCACACTATGTAAAATGTTACCCACCTACCGTGATCACAGTTCTCGCTAATCAAAAAATGAGGCACAATCTCACAAAGAACACATTTTCTCATTTGTAAATTTGCGTATCAATTTACAATGGCTTTAAAAATGCATTTAATTGTATTTTTAACAAATTGCCTTTATTAAAAACAGCAAACTATAAACCAGACTGGGAAAATCAAGGATGTACAATTAACATGACTATAACCCAACAATAGGAAGAAAAATAATTCCAAGTCTGTAATGAATAAATTTGGGGGTTATTTAGCTTTCAACTCTTACAGCTAAAGTACAAATGCATACCAAGTAACTCTGCCAACCACCCACCTAAGCCAGGGTGGTTGCCTTCATCCAAGCTCACTTCTCTCAAGCCTACAGCAGCCATCAACCCCCAATTATAACATTCTTTTCCTCTGATTCAAAACATGGCCCACAAGCCCCACAATACTCTAGGAATCCACAAGCAATCTGCAAGAACTGCCACTTACGTGAGGCCTGTCTGCCACCCTTTTTGAAATATCAATTGATAGCTGGGTACTTCCAGCTGCCAGACAGTAATGCCGCTCCATCGGCTGACCAGCGGAATCACATTTCCACACAACAAAACCAGGGCTGCCGACCTTCCCCAGTACCACATGAACTAGCTGGGGCCACGTCCAAGGGGCAGCCAGTAGGACAGATATGAGCTGTCTCCCAAATCACCTTCATTTCACCAACTAAGCACTTCTTGATGTATTGTCCAAGCCTATCAATGTACATTCCTCACTGGCTCCTGTTAAGAGCTGATGATACAATAAAAGCAACATTTAGGAACCTTTGAAGACTCTGGAATTAAGGAGAAAGTTGAATTACCTACCCCAAGGGAGTAGTGGGAGAGTGGGGGGGGAGGCGGGGTGAGGGAGGCCTTTCTTAACCACCACATTTTTTCACTGTTAATCGTCTGTGAAAAAACTTAACAAGCTCTACTAGTTTACAGAGATGGCAGCTAGGTTGGTAGATGAAAGAAAACACAAGTACTTATCTGGTGATTAGAGGATGTCAGTCAATTAACACATTAGGTAAGAGAGGCAGCTTTCTTCCCTACACCTACCTGAGATTGGGCATCACTGGGGTAATGAATGGGTTTGGGCTTGGAGTAGTGGGGAGGAGCCCACAAGTTTTCGGGATGAAGTCAGGCCTGGCTGAGTCACCCGAGGGGCACTTAGGGAGCAGGGGGGCAGTGAACACCTCTGCATGAGCAGGGGCATAAAAACGGAAGGTGACAACATCCAGCTTTGCCTATTTCAACATTTAGCTCAGAGCCTCCAAGTACAAAGAAAGAGGAAGGAAATGTACCCTCCTTCTCTCTTCTCTTGAGCCCCCTCCTCCTCCCTAGGCCCCCCAAAATCAAACCACTCTTACTAGTACTAGCTCTCCTACACTGGTCAGCCAGAGTTAAAAGAAGGCAATTATGTCTTCCTACAGGAAGATGCTCAAGTTGCAAAAAACTCTTTATAAACTTTTGAAACACAAGCCCTTCAGGACGCAGGGGCTACTTGAGGTTTTAAAAGACCCTTGAACAGTTTCTGCGTGTTCTTAAAAACTTATTTACTGGCATCTTTCCATTGCACTTACACACCACATACACAGTATCTGTGTAATATAAACGCAGGCCAGTGCCAAAAAGATTCTTATCAATTATTCTGGGTTAAACAAGTTAACACATATGGTGGATACCTGTTAGGTCTCTAAAGCTTACTTTTTAAAAGAAGAATTAAGATTTGCTTGAAAAACAAACAAAATGAACCGGCATTCTTCTTAGAAGACCATTATCTTATACACAAATGTTCCAAAAGATGAAGCCAACAACATGATGTGCACCCCCACTTTACACAAGATCCACACACAATTGTCAAACGTGAGGATACAGTGCAATCACATCCTAATATATTCCCCCACAGGAGTGAAATAGCCAGGATGGCACACAAAAGCCCCACATTTGTTCGTGTCACTCACTATGCACTCACCTACAGGAGTCAAGATACACACAGGATTTTCTTACAAGAGATGTTTTAGGCAAGTGTGTTTGTAAAGAAAAATTTTGTTCACTGCACCCAATGTCCTCATTCGCCATAAACAGGAAAAACACGGAGACCCTCAGGTTTTTCTCTATTAAGCCAGATGCCCGCTAACTTCAGAGTCAACTGGCACTGCAATCCTCACACATTCCAGCTCCGGTATGTTACTGTTTGTGAACACAACAATTCTCTGCTCATTAACATTACAGGGGTCTCCAGCCATCTTTCCTTCACTTCTCCAAATTCATCTAAACGTGGCATAGAGCAAGACGCTCGAATGACGTTGGACAGCTTCCTTTTCACACCTGAGCCCCGGTAGCCCCACTAGGCAAAATGCAAACAGGAACCCCGGGCCTTGCTCCGCGCCCTTTGCTTCATGAAGCAACAGAAAGGCCACCTTCCTGGCTGTAAAGGCAGAAGCGCCTTCTTCCCCATAAACATCCTTGGGCAGCTCATCATTCCCCTCCTGCTCGTTCTTCTCCCTCTTCCCAGGCAGCCTGAGAAACAAAACTTAAACTGGACTTGTTGCCTAATCTAAATTAGGATCCCTCTGCTCTTCTCCGTAGCTCCATCTTCTCCCACACACCAGTTACTACAATGCGTAACTACAGATCTACACGTGTTTACGTGCAAGGTCCCCGGGGGCCTGTTCACCCTGGCACTGCCCAGGCGCCGCGCCTCGCGCTGCAGGTGTCCACGCGCGGACCACGGTATCTACCGCGCCCTCGTGTGAACACCCGACCGGGCCCCGTAATCACTCTGGGAAAGCGCCTTCAACAAAGCCCTCCGAAAGCAAGTGCTTTACTAAGTGCCCCTTGAGGCTACTGGCAGTGCGAGGCTGGCTGTCATTAGAACATTTTTCTGAACCCTCAAAAAGGTGAAAAAGCAGGACCGTGCTTTAGCAGGAACACGCACACCCGCCTAAATACCCGATTTTTGAGACTGTCCGGGCGAAGGAATTCAACGCATAGGAGCGAGCAGCCATGCAGTGTGCCTGGAGAATCACCAAACCGCGACGACCACGACCCTCAAAGCCAGTGACAAGCAGCGCGAATCTAAGCCCACCTCGGCCGCAGACCCTTCCCCGTCCCGCCAGGCCGCCGCGCCCTGTCAGCCTCCTACTGCAGGACCGCGGGGCCGCCTGCTCATCTGTCAGACGGGCGCTCGGAGGGGCCGGGAGCCAGGCTGCGGTGGGGCAGGACAAAGGCGCCCACGAACCCTCCCTGCCGCCGCCGCTCCACAGCCGCGCCGCGCCGCCAACATGGAGGGAAACGTCCGCAGTTTAAAACCCCCAGCTCCATTTCCGCAGCGGGCCCGGCTCGGGCGAGCTCCAGCCTCGCCCGCCGCCGCCCCGACCACCCGACTGGGCCAGAAAAGGCGAGGAGGGGAGGAGACGAGGAGGCGAGGAGAGGAGGGGAAGGCCGCCGCGCCAGGCCCCGCGCCCAGGGTCCCCGGCCCGGCCGCTGCGCCGGCCTCGGGCTTCCTCCCCCAGCGGCCCCTCGAAGAACGCGCCGCGGGGAGCTGGGAGCAGGGCGGGGGTGGAAGCACTCACCTGCGCCAGGTTCCGGCGGTGACACGGACGGCTCCCGGAGAATAGTCGCACAGCAACCCGGCGGCAGATCCACGCGCGCGACGCTACCCGGCCGCGCTCTCGCGCCCCGCAGTCCCGCAAGCCGGGCGCGCGCCTCCCCGGCCCCGCCTCGCGGCGCTTCTCCCCTCCCCTCGCCTCCCCTCCCCACCGGCGAGGCCGCCCGGGGCTCCCATTGGCTCCTCGACCTTTTGAATCATCCCCGGCGCTGTCGATTGGTCGCGCGCCGTGGCGCGTCCGCCCCGCCCCACCCTGCCTGGGGGCGGGGAGGCCGGTGAGCGGGGGAAACCGAGTCTGGCGGGGCGGCCCGGAGCGCGACGTTTGCCACCGCCTTATCTCAGCCGCCCAGGCGCCCTCGCAGCACACGGAGCCCGCGCGCTCCCGCCCTTTCCCTCCCAGCGCTCGCAGCAGTGTTTGGGGTGCCAGGTGGCTTGGCGAACGAGATTTTTTTTTAAGCTACAAAGAAAACTAATACATTCTTGAAGTGATCACCAAAGATCCGAGCTCGAAAGCGTTTCTCGGTAAAACACTATGAGTGCCCTCCTTAGCGTGTTAAAATCCCACAGAAGCCCCTGGACCAAGCAGCGGCATCGAAGGCGAGCAGGGGCGCTTTTGTGTCCGCGGCCGCTGAACCTGCGTAGAAGCGAACCCGGACCGATGCTGGGACCGGCGGCGGGAGGGAGGGGGAAGAATGGCCGAGGGCTCCTACGACTTACGCTGCGAGGAGGGGCTCGGTTGTTACCCGAGATGCTGTCGAGATGCAGTAGAAAATCCCCAACACCGCGGAGCGTGGAACAAGAAGTTTTATGCGTTACACACCGAAACACAACTTGACCTGCAACCTACAAGCCTGGTTTTAATTGAACCCCAAAATGCTGAGTCATGTCATTGTTGACTCCGAATCTGTTACGGATCCTAAGCTTTTTTTTTTCTGCTAGTTTTCATTATCGGTTAGTTGATTTCCTTCCTTTGAGGTCGAGAGTTTAAAGCAGTCCATTGAAGTTCCCTATTTTGCAGTGTGGTTTTAATCAAAGTATTTCTTAACACCCTAACTAGGTATATTTAAGTGAATTGCTATTTTGGAAGCATTATTAAATTGTAATAATGAATAGAACTTTTCATCTATAGCCTAGCTTCAGCTTTCATTTTCTCATAGAACTACAAAACACCCAGGTTTACTTCTTAAAAAAAAAAAAGTGAAAATACATCGAGTTTTCTCAGTCATTCACATGCAGTGTGAATGAGTTCATCAGAGCCTTTCCTGAGAAGTTCTGACATCAAATTGTCATTGCCATCGAATTTGCCCTTGGTGGAGATCTGTGCAACAGAAATGCACATCGCACTCCAAAGTCAGAAAATCTTTTATTTTTGACAAACCCCCAAGTCTCAATTGTCTTAACCCTTGACATAAGATAATATTAGTCCTACCTCATAGAGTTTTGCAGTAAATTACACAGAAATAAAAGCGCTTATGGGGACCTAAGACAGATCCTATCCCAAATAGCCAAGCAGTGAGTGCTACACTATTCTTTTCTCATATGTTCTACCCAGAATCAAGATTTCACTGGATTTCCCTTGAGGTGCACATTTCCTGGATGATTTCCACTTGTGAAATAGAAGAAGATTCGTTTCAAAAAAAAAAAAAAAAACACCTGGCCAGGCGCCGTGGCTCACGCCTATAATCCCAGCACTTTGGGAAGCCGAGGCGGTTGGATCACCTGAGCAGGAGTTCGAGACCAACTTGGCCAACATGGTGAAACCCCATCTCTACTAAAAAAATACAAAAATTAGCTGGGCACGGTGGCGAGCACCTGTAGTCCCAGCTACTCGGGAGGCTGAAGCAGAAGAATCGCTTGAACCTGGGAGGTGAAGGTTGCAATGAGCTGAGATCATGCCACTGCCACTCAGCCTGGGCAAGAAGAGCGAAACTCTGTCTCAAAAAATAAATAAAATAAATTTTTAAAAATTTTAAGAACCTTATTTTAAAGATCAGGTTTATAAAGTCTCATCATAACAAAATGAAGCCAAAACTTTGTAAATTAACTAGAGTTAGCTTAGCTAACATTTTACCTAATAAATTACTAATGACATTTTTAAAACAAAACTGATTTGACATCAGGAAAACTAAGCAATAATTTTTGTTCATTTCTACTTCGTGGACTCAAACATACCATGAACAATCAGATCTATATGTAGGCTGCTTTCTCAACAAAGGAACTGTTTGGTATTTTTCTCTTCTTTTTTAAGTCTACTAAAGGCTGTGTAAACTTGGAAGTGGGGAATTTTCAGAAAGTTCTCAGAAAGATGCTTGTCACTCACAACTAGCAAGTTGTGGGTTTTCAGAATCTATAAAGTAAAAGTCACTTAAAAGTCCGCATCTTGGCACCATTGTTGTTAATGAGGCCATGAGTGGCAAAGCCCCTTTCCCCATTCACATAACAAAAGCAAAGCAAAACCCTTCAGTCCTGCCACTAAAGCCAACCAAAACACACATGCGGCCAGGAAGCTTTCATATATAAAATACAGGAACCCCCAGCGGAATGCATTCCAATGTGGCAGTTATTTGGCTCTGGTCTCCAGAGGATCTCGGTTCCCAGGATTGAAACATCTCTTTCAGGAAAGACGTGTAGGTAAAGTTTCACGTGGCGTGAGATCCAGTTGGATTCTTTTGGTACTGTTACATAAGGAACAAACTTCTGTATGCTGCAAACTGCAGAAAGCCTTTATTCATAAGGTAGAGGTACCTCAAAAGCTGTCCGATAAAAACACATTTCTACTGATGATGTTTGATATGGTTTCTATTCACACAGAAATGGAGCTCACAATTAACATGATGCATTATGTCCATCTCAATAGCAATTTAAAAATTATTTGAAACTTCTTCTACATACTATATGTATGTTTGCAGCACTTATCCTCTTTTTTTTTTTTTTTTTTTTTTTTGAGATGGTGTCTCCCTCTGTCACCCAGGCTGGAGCGCAATGACACGATCTTGGGTCACTACTGCCTGTGCCTCCTGGGTTCAAGCAATCTTCTCACCTCAGCCCCGAGTAGCTGGGATTACAGGTGCACGCCACCATGCCCAGCTAATTTTTGTATTTTTAGAAGAGATGGGGTTTGGCCGTGTTGGCCAGGCTAGTCTCCAACTCCTGACTGCAAGTGATCTACCCACCTCGGCCTCCCAAAGTGCTGGTGAGAGGTGACAGCGTGCTGGCAGCCCTAGCAGCCCTCGCTCACTCTCTGCACCTCCTCGGCCTCGGCGCCCACTCTGGCCGCTCTTGAGGAGCCCTTCAGCCTGCCACTGCACTGTGGGAGCCCCTCTCTGGGCTGGCCGAGGCCGGAGCGGGCTCCCTCACCTTGCGGGGAGGTGTGGAGGGACAGGCGTGGGTGGGAACCAGGGCTGAGCACTGGGCTTGCAGGCCAGTGCAAGTTCCAGGTGGGCGTGGGCTCGGCAGGCCCCGCACTCGGAGCGGCTGGCCGGTTCCGCAGGCCCCAGGCAGTGAGGGGCTTAGTACCCAGGCCAGCAGCTGCGGAGGATGCGCTGGGTCTCCCAGCAGTGCCGGCCTGGCCCACCAGCGCTGTGCTGGAATTCTCGCTGGACCTCAGCTGCCTCCCCGCAGGGAAAGGCTGGGGACCTGCAGCCTGCCATGCCTGAGCCTCCCCCACACCATGGGCTCCTGAGCGGCCTGAGCCTCCCAGATGAGCGCTGCCCCCTGCTCCACGCGCCCGGTCCCATTCCGACCGCCCAAGGGCTGAGGAGTAGTGTGGGCACAGGTCGTGGGACTGGCGGGCTCCCTGATGCAGGATCCACTAGGTGAAGCCAGCTGGGCTCCTGGGTCTAGCGGGGACTTGGAGAACCTTTATGTCTAGCTAAGGGATTGTAAATACACCAATCAGCACTCTGTGTCTAGCTCAAGGTTTGTAAATGCACCAATCAGCACTGTGTATCTAGCTAATCTGGTGGGGACTTGGAGAAACTTTATGTCTAGCTAAGGGATTGTAAATACACCAGTCAGCACTCTGTGTCTTGCTCAGGGTTTGTGAACACACCAATCAGCCCCCTGTGTCTAGCTCAAGGTTTGTAAGTGCACCAATCAGTGCTCTGTGTCTAGCTAATCTAGCAGGGACTTGGAGAACCTTTATGTCTAGCTAAGGGATTGTAAATACACCAATCAGCACTCTGTGTCCAGCTCAAGGTTTGTAAATGCACCAATCAGCACCCTGTGTCTAGCTCAGGGTTTGTGAATGCACCAATCAGTGCTCTGTGTCTAGTTAATCTAGTGGGGACTTTGAGAACTTTTGTGTCTAGCTCAGGGATTGTAAACATACCAATCAGCACCCTGTCAAAACAGACCAATCAGCTCTCTGTAAAATGGACCAATCAGCAGGATGTGGGTGGGGCCAGATAAGGGAATAAAAGCAGGCTGCCCAAGCCAGCAGTGGCAAGATGCTCAGGTGTCTTTCCACTTTGTGGAAACTTTGTTCTTTTGCTGTTTGCAGTAAGTCTTGCTGCTGCTCACTCTGCATCTGCATTGCGTTTATGAGTTGTGACACTCACTGTGAAGGTCTGCAGCTTCACTCCTGAGCCAGTGAGACCACAAACCCACCAGAAGGAAGAAAAGTCTGAACACATCTGAACATCCGAAGGAACAAATTCTGGACACGCCACCTTTAAGAACTGTAACACTCACCGTGAGGGTCCGCGGCTTCATTCTTGAAGTCAGTGAGACCAAGAACCCACCAATTCTGGACACACTGGGCTTACAGGCATGAGCCACGATGCCCAAGCCTATTTAAACATTCTCAATATTAAACATTTATTTGTTAATACATAAATTAGAAGGGGAAACTATTTGAATAGATGGAGCAAGTATACTGCTTCAGTGGAGGAACTTAGAAGATGTGGGATATGTGTGCTTTAATGACTTGTTGATAGAGGGAAAACAGCAGCAGGATATGAGGTAATAATAATGATAAATAATCTTTGTTCAGTTTTTACTTCGCCCCCAGCTGTTGCTCAAAGTGCTCCCTGTGTTCTAACTGATTTACCCTCATAAAAGCTGTCCCAGGTAGGTGATCTTATAGCTGAAGAAACTGAGGAGGTATGGGGAGGTTAATACTTCCCCAGACTTATCCAAGGCAGTGTGATTCCATTGTCTCCCAAACCAACTAGCAAAGTGCAGGAGTTCTCAAGGTATGGTCCCTGCTCAGCAGCAGAGCTTCTCCTGGGGGCTTGTTAGAAATGCAGCTTCTGGCTGGGTGCGGTGCGTCATGCCTGTAATCCCAGCACTTTGGGAGGCCGAAGTGGGCGGATCACTTAAGGTCAGAAGTTCAAGACCAGCCTGGCCAACATGACAAAACCCCATCTCTAATAAAAATACAAAAATTAGCTGGGCATGGTGGTGCATGCCTGTAATCCCAGCTACTCAGGAGGCTGAGGCAGAAGAATCACCTAAACCCAGGAGGCGGAGGTTGCAGTGAGCCGAGATTGTGCTGCTGCACTCCAGCCTAGGCGATAGAGCAAAACTCCATCTGAAAGAAAGGAAGAAAAAGAAAGAAAGAAATGCAGCTTCTCAGGTCCGCTCCTGAAGCTTGAAGCTTGGGGTGGGCTCAGCCATCCAGCTCTCCAGAGGATTCTGATAGAAGCAGGCTCCAGTTGGAGAACCTCTGGCGAAAAGATAGGTCATGGTGACCGTAATGATTTATTTTCCTTCACGGTTTCCTATCTGAGGCTTTAAACCACTTACTTGATTTATAGAAAGGAATACTAGAAAGCTGTTCTGAAGCTTGTGCAGCACCCGAGTGTCTTCCCAAAGGACTGATGATATGTTGAGCCTTAGATTAATAAGAGTCCATACCTGCTGGCCAGGCTGAAGAGACTGGCCAAGAGGTAGGGGGGTAGGGAGAGGGGGCTGTCAGGGATGGGAGTGGCTGCCACCATACAGCCTTCTCCTCCTCTCTGGCCAGAGCATCATGAGATTAACTGCTCTGGCAAAGTGTGCTCTCTTGTTTTGGAAAACTATTTCTTTACTGGCTGTAGAATTAATGTATTCTGAAAACTTCTAAGGAAATTTACTTTTTAAAAAATAATAATAAAGAATTAAAACTAAGGGTAAAGGACATTTAAACTGAATGAGGACACTGAGAATCAGAAAGATCACACAGTGTGTGGCAAGCTGTGCTTCAAACCAAGTTTTTCCGGACTCCAAAGCATATGTTCTCATCATAGGTTCTAGAGCAGGCACCTGCGTTAGCAAGACGGTCAGATGCATAAGCACATGCAACCTTGATTTACGTTACTTATTGCCAGCCAGAAAGAGGAACAGAATTCAGTACCAGAATTTACTAGATTATAATTCTAGTGAAACCAGGTCTATGTTGCTTTTGTTGATAGTTCTTGGCACATAATAGGTGACTATTTGTTGAATTAATTGATTGATTTGGTGATCGATTGATTAGGTGGAGAGAAGGAGGGAGACAATTCTAAGATTGATCCAACACTCAGTACAAGGAGAAATTAGTGAAGACCAGCCTGGCTGGGGTGGAGTAACAGCTCATAATAGGAAAAAACTATGAGAATGATGTCAATATCATTCGATCTATCAAAAGATCCTCCTACCTCAACTAAAGGGCATAGAGTGACCATGGAAGTGACACTGGGCCAGGAATGCAGTGTCTGAAGCTCCAGGGCTGCCACTCAGCCCTTATCCAGCAAGTTATCCAGGTCCTGATTTCCTCATCTGTAAAATGGGGATAAAAAGTACCCATTCTGGCCAGGTGCGGTGGCTCACACCTGTAATCCCAGCACTTTGGGAGGCCAAAGCAGGCAGATCACTTGAGGTCAGGAGTTTGGCCAGCCTGGCTAACATGGCGAAACCCCGTCTCTACTAAAAATACAAAAATTAGCCAGGCGTGGTGGTACATGCCTGTAATCCCAGCTACTTGGGAGACTGAAGCAGGAGAATTGCTTGAACCCGGGAAGCAGAGGTTGCAGTGAGCCAAGATCCCTCCACTGCACTCCAGTCTGGACGACAAGAGTGAAACTCTGTCTCAAAAAAAAAAAAACAAAAAAGTGTACCCATTCTGCACAAGGTACACTAGGTAATTGTGAGGATTAAATGCTATATACCTGTTAGAACATATCAGGCAATCATAACCCTTAGTGTAATCATTTTATTTCAAGTTCGTTAAGTCACCATTTTTAGTCAACTATAAATAGATGAAAGAGTGTTTTCAGTAGCAGATGTGTCAATAATGTTTTAATGCGTTTGTTGTTTTTTCTCTAACCGCCTAAATCCTTTGAATCATCCTGTAGTGCACACTTCAACATAAAAGACGTAACTTCGTCTTTTCTTCCATGCTACTCTAACTGAAAAATCTAACCCGCTGGATTAATCTTAAAACTTAAAGGTCCTTGGACTGTTCAGGAAGTGATTATTATTCACATTTATTTTAATGTTTGCTAATTAATAACTGTTTTTTAAAATTCGCCTAAAATGCGTTTGGATAGGTAGAGAGTCCTGAAATATTTATCTGCAGGAAAAAAAAATCAAACTTAGTAACATGACACAGACAAGGCCTTCAAAAACTCACCCTAATGGATTTCTGGTAGGCTCAACATCCTCTTCTCTTTCCAGCACCTGCCTTCTCTTTCCCACCCCCTCCACCCTCAGTTCTACCAAATTTCTGATGAGTCCTCAGATAAGCCTTTTCCTCTCTTGTTGCTTGGAATGCCTCCCCCTTCTTTTGAGAGTGGCCTGTTCTTGCTCATCCCCAGCAAAACTTCCTAGGGCAGTCCCCACATACATCTGTCACTGCCTTCCCATGTTATGGGCATCTGCACTCCTCCCAGGCAGGAAGTATATTTAATTTCTCCTTGTATCTCTCCCCATTAAGTAAATGAATGTGTTCATCATGAAACTGTGTCATATATGTTCTCCTAAAGGTCAGAAGGTAGTAAACGCTCTTGTTCCAGTTACTGAGCTGCCACAGGCTGGACTGAGGCAAGAAGAGATAAAGCCTCCGCTGGCACTGACTGTTCCCACCGGCTGGAGAGGTGCGGAAGCCTATCTTCGGTGTCTCTCTTGCTGTCTGCCACAGGCTCACAGCCCCATGGTGGGGACTCTGCTGTGCTTAAATACCCTTTTCTCCACCTGGGTTGCCACCATCTCTCTTAATTCAGAATATGTAACTAAATGTTTCTTTTTAAAACCTACAGGGAACACAGGTGCATGGCTTGTTTTGGCATGGTTGCTAAAACTGCGAGTCCCAGAGGGCAGCCTTCTTCCCCACCTCCCACCCAAAGTCTACATTCAGAGGCAGACGGGGGCTCAATTGTGGAACAGAAAGTACCATCTAGGTAACATGTAATTACCATGTTGCTTCCCTTCTGGACAAGATAAGGCTCAGCCCATCAGTGTTAATGTTTAGCACTTCATGTCTGTTCAGCAATTGCTCCCACTCTATCAACAAAACTACACCATACCCTTTAGGAAAAGTGTGTAGCAACTACAGTTGGCATCAGAACAATGGAGAAAGAGAAGGAGAGGGAAGGGGACTCATTTCTAATGAGGCCCTGTTCTGTGTCACTTACCAGTCCTTACCTTATTTATGGCTCAAATCAACTCAACAAAATAGGCATCACCCCCTCTTTCAGGACGAGGAAACTGAGACTCAGGTCAGCAAAGTTGCAATACAGCGCACCCACCAAATTGGGGCTGGAAAAGAAATTCTAACCCAGTTCTCTGGATTCCAAAGCATATGTTCTTTCTACCCTCCAAACCCATTAGGGTCCCCAAGCAGCCTCTTAGCTCCCTTAGCCATTGACTTCCGGTCGCCACACACAATTCATATTACATGATCCCACTGTCAATGTCAGCTGGAGACATCCCAGGCTAATGAGAATATAGCTTGTGGGCGTTTTGTCTACATTTCTGGAGCAAAGAACACTCATCCCTGCTCTCTCAAAGAGCACCATGCATGTGAACTTGTCCTTGTCTCTCACCCTTTGATTCTTTCTTCCATGGCTGGTCTATTTTAATTCTGATACCTATTCTGGATTCTGTAGGACTGTCTTTATGTCTTCCTTTCCAGGGACTATCTTAGAATATTCACTTGTAGGTATGATATCAAGGGCAGGATCACTGTAATCTTTGTAGTACACTTAGTACAGTACCCAATGTGATTAAATCTGTTTAAAACACATTTAAGGGGAATAAAATATAAAATATTTGAGATGAATATTTAAAACCAAATTTGCATAATTGTTTTAAATTTTTTCATTTTACTTGAGCAAGAGGTACAACATAAAACCTATTTGGAGCACAGTAGTGTATTGAATCATTTTAGTCATAACACACACCTACATAAATGACTAAAAATATCAATATTTTATCCTTTTAAACAGATGACATATAATTGCAACGTAGATTTATTTGAAAGTTGTACAGAGTTGGCTTGATAGTTATTCAACAACTGTAAGTATTAATTGGCATGAGTATTTCAGCAGAAAAAAACTATATATTCATACTAAGTTGCTGATGATATTTTGCTTGCTTACTTTAGATACAAGAGGCTAGGATCCCAGAAATTTCACTGCTGTAGCAAAGCAAGTCATGTTACTCTGAATTGACAGTTCCCAGTCATTCTCCACGGTAAGTCATATTGCCAAACACAATGCCATTTTTAGGTCTACTTTAATCCTATTTGACTATACAGATATGGTTTTTATTTACTTAGTCCTATGGTTTGAATGTTTGTCTTCGCCAAAATTCATTTGAAATTTAGTTGGCATCGTAACAATGTTGAGAGGTGGGACCTTTAAGAGGTGATCAGGCCATGAGGGCTGCACCCTCATGGGCGGCATTACTGCCATTATAAAAGGGCAGGGTCAGCCCCCTTTCATCTCTTGGCCCTTCCACCTTCTGGCCATGGAGTGACACAGCAAGAAGGCCCTCACCAGAGGCAGGCATTTAGTGCTGTTCATTATAAATTACCTGGTCTGTGTTATTCTGTTATTCAAAAATGTCATTTCTGCAAATATATAGTTCCTCCCTTTTTAAAAAAAAGTTCTACTTCTTTTTTCTATTTTACTTTTACTGATGTTTTGTGTATTCATCTTCCTGGTCCTATAGAGAACTCCTATTGCTCCGTAAGTCAAGGCCAGAACTCCCATCCTGACCAGAAGGAAAGATGCCCAGTTCCCACATCTCCTTTGCTAGGCCTGCCAGAAGGGGGCTCCTCCTCCTGGCCAAGGCAGGCTAGTCAGATCCCTTTGTGTTCATTTTTAAAAAGAAGTGCCATATCCTTAAACATACTTCAGCTGTCCTTGTGCCTGCTGGATAATGTATGAGCTTCTGGAAAAAATTCTTCAGCACTGAACATGAATTTAACAGGATATCGCTCCCTTCTTAAGGTTTTCAAATCATAAAGTCAGATTAGGGATTCCCATTAATAATTAGTCCTCTTTATTACACTCAAAAGGACAACATAAATTCCTGTCAGTTACTTTGAAAATACTTTGCTCATTAATACCTACTCAAACCAACGATAAATACTACTTACAAAAATTCTCTCCTTAACAAAACTCCACCCAGGCTCCTCTCAGCCCTCTTCTCAACTAAGTGCTATCCTTGGACTATAAAGACTTGATCAGGCCGGGTGTGGTGGCTCACGCCCTAATCCCAGCACTTTGGGAGGCCAAGGTAGGTGGATCACCTGAGGTCAGGAGTTTGAGAGCGGCCTGGCCAACATGGTGAAACCCCGTCTCTACTAAAAATACAGAAATTAGCCAGGCGTGGTGGAGCATGCCTGTATTCCCAACTACTTGGAGGCTAAGGCATGAGAATTGCTTGAACCTGGGAGGCGGAGGTTGTAGTGAGCTGAGATCATGCCACTGCACTCCAGCCTGGGCAACTGCCAGAGCGAGACTCTGTCTCAAAAAAAAGACTTGATCAAATGCTAGCATAGTTTCTAACAGCTCAAGGGCCTTCCCTAGGATGGCCCTAGCCCCTCTTAGAATGCCTGCCTGAGAAAACTCGAGGCTGCCCAGGGAATTTACTGTTGGTTCCAGCCAACACCTGAAGACAAGGCCCCCATCTCCCTGCCTCTGTGGGAGGGTAGGAGCCTAACTTCCATAAGCACCAGTAAGTAAACAGATGGGTTGCACATGGACCAACCCCCACTTCCTGCATTTTATAATTTTTTTCACAGACCCTCTTGAGCCCCTGCTCACCCACTCCCTATTCCCTCATCCTCCCTTTTTTTTTCTGAGACAGAGTCTTGCTCTGTCACCCAGGCTGGAGTGCAATAGCGCCGTCTCAGCTCACTGCAACCTCTGCCTCCCGGGTTCAAGCGATTCTCCTGCCTCAGCCTCCCAAGTAGCTGGGACCACAGGTGCATGCCACCATACCCGGCTAATTTTTGTATTTTTAGTAGAGACAGGGTTTCACTATGTTGGCCAGGCTGGTCTCGAACTCCTGAACTCGTGATCTGCCTGCCTCAGCCTCCCAAAGTGCTGGGATTACAGGTATGAGCCACTGCACTCAGCCCATCCTCCCTTTAAAATGCCATCATCTCTGTACACATTGAAGTTGAGTTTGGAGCACACTGGACTTTTTTCCCTATTGCAATAATAATAGTATATTACTGATGAAAGTCTGTCCTTACCGAGTATCCAGGCTTGTTTATCTTTGATACTACCAATCTTCTTTTACTAAAATAAATATTATGATTTCTAAATTTTTTAATCAACTGAGTTATATCAGATATGCTTAGCCAAAGCATGTAGAACCCCATTGAAATTTTGATTTAGCATGCATCCACTAGATTAAGAATTATTGCTCTAAGAGTCTAAATGTATTTGCATCATGCATTTTTTTCAGTACAACATAAAATGGCTTCATATATAATATAGTTCAAAATGTTGTTAATTTCTTCAGGCCAAGGAACATGCAAACAAATGAAGAACTCTTCCGATTTCCTAGGGAAAATACGGTTTGAGGATGGCTTAAACATAAAATATTAACAGGAGTTAATTAACATAGAAGCAAGCTGTTACCTCAAGTTGCTTTCATCTCAGCATAATTCAAGGTGGAAGAGAACTGAGCTTCAGAGTCTTCTCTTCCATGGATTGTCCTTTGCAAAGCAAGAAAACATTTTTCCAATGGTGAATGTGTTAGTAAATGCCAGTGAAGCTATAATTAAGTGATCTGGGTTTCCAAGGAGGAAAGTGAAGTTTCAAACCATGTTTACTGTACACAGTTTTTCAGGGCAAGTACTTTGGACACATAAGACACATAAGCTTTTTTTTTTTTTTTTTTAGGGGTCTTGCTGTGTTACTCAGGCTGGAGTGCAGTGGCAATCATAGCTCACTGCAGCCTTGAACTCCTGGGCTCAGGGGATGCTCCTGCCTCAGCCTCCGGAGTAGCTGGGACTGCATTTTTAAAAAGTATAATGCTACATCTACCAGGAAAATAACTCAGGTGGAGGATGGCTTTTTTCCAATGAGAGTCCATGATTGAAAGAGTTAGAGGAATCCTAACTAGCAGAACTGAGTAACAGAAAGCACATGGACTTTGGAGTCAGAAACACCTGCCTTTGAATCCTGGCTTCTGCGCCTGCACTTGAGATCTTAGGCAAGGTACTTACATTTTATTTTCAGACTGTTTCCTTATCTGTAAAATGAGAAAACTAATAATACCTGCCTTTCACAGAGCTATTGTGGGGCTTAAATTTAACAATAAGCAATCAATAAATAGTTCTGATTCATTGCTTTAACCATTCATTCATTCAGCAAATATGTGTCAAACTCTGACAGTGGAAGAAATTTAAAACAAATTCCAGGACTGCCTGGGATTTTTATGTCTATCAAATGGGATTCAGGTTAGTGAGGGAGAGTGAAGAAATGAAGTGCACTGTTCTTGAGGAATTATTTAAAAGGCTTTTCCAAGAGGATCTACGTGGCTGTAGGACATTTAGATGCCTGGAAAGGCCAGTAAGCCAGCTGGGTGTTGCTCAGAACACGGCCTCCCACAGCAGGAGACAATTTCCCAGTTCTCTGAATTAGTACTTTGGCTGGAAAATCAGCACACTATGCCTGATCCCTGGAGCAATGGACTGAGTATATAGTTATAGCTAGATGAGTTCTTTGACATCCCTAAATTGGAAAAATGTCTTTCCTAGAGTTTGGAAATAGCTCAAAACCAAAACCACCATTTTCCCTAAATCTATTTGTAGTGCTTGAGCCACACGTTATTGTAAAATACAAGGGACCAGTTGGCAGGAAGTCTCTTAGACTACTTGAACATGCTCTTTGCCCCTCCATGTACACACCCTGGCCTCCTCTCCGTCCCAGCTTTTAAATACAGTTAGCAGTAAGAACTCCCTGAATTCACACCAGGGCCTTTAAGACCTCACCCACAGGTCAGTAACAACTAAGGATGGATCTGAGGCTATGGGAACAAAGTGCTCACCTCAGATGGCGAGGGGGTGGGAGATGGGTGCATCTACGTTCAGCAATTGGACTTATGGCTCCTGAGGATCACATTGCCACCCACGCCCATGTTGAAATCAACTTGCTTTGTCAGGCCATTGGCTCAGGCATGTTTCATGACAATTTCATTCCCTCTTGGTAAGACCTGGGTCATTTTTGAATGTTTGCAAACGTTAGAAACTCTGAATACCATGGATTAATAATTGATGACGCCCCTGAGCTCCCTCTACTGGCTCTGCCTCAGCCAGCTACAGCAGGGGGTATTTCTGTTTATATTTCTTTCAAGAAAAGAGTAATTTATAATCCACAAGCAGGGATGATAAGGCAAAGACATAAAAAATGGAGGATTTTTTTAAGTAGTTGGAAGTTGGTGGACACTCCCGGGCAGGCTTTACACTTCCAAGGCAGAAGTCTGAGTTGCGTGTCCTGCTCTTGGCCTGGGCAGATGGTGCACAGCTCAGGAACCCTTCTAGAATGTCATTACTGTGTGCAGATAAAACTGAAAGCAAAGGGGCTGGAACCCTTTCCGTTTGTTCTGCACCTGAAGGAGTTCAGAGAGAATAAAACAATATCTGGGCCATTTTTTTTTTCTGTTTCAAGTCTCTAAACAGAAAGAACAACAACAACAAAAAAAAAAACTGATTTGTACGGGAATCACTCCAGGCATGACAGGATCAGGAGGTACTTTATCCTGAGGTTCCTCTGAGCCATTAATTGCCATGCTGAAGGTGAAGAAACTGAAAGAATGGTTGAATGACCTGCTCCGGTTGACACAGGGAATGAGTGCCTTCTCCTCTGCAGAAGGAGGAACACCCTCCACCATGATGCTCTCCAAAACACCTGCACAGAGCACCCTGCTGGATGCCAGAGCCCTGTGAGGGCTTCCTGGTGCAGGTGAGGCCCGGCACAGCCAGCAGAAGGACTTATCCTGGCTAACAAAGACTTGTGTTACATGTCCCCCTTCAAAACTGGTGCCACATGTCTGTGTGACCTACCTGCTGGCCTCTCACTGCTAACTGAAGACAGGCACTATTTCCCCACCATAGTGGTCTTTTTGTCCTTCTCATGATTTATTGGATGCATAAAACAAACACATGAGCTGGCTCACACCTGTAATTCCAGGACTTTGGGAGGCCGAGACGGGCAGATCACGAGGTCAGGAGTTCAAGACCCATCTGGCCAACATAGTAAAACCCCATCTCTACTAAAAATACAAAAAATTAGCTGGGCATGGTAGCAGGCACCTGTAATCCCAGCTACTCAGGAGGCTGAGGCAGGAGAATCCTGTGAACCCGGGAGGCAGATGTTGCAGTGAGCTGAGATCACGCCACTGCACTCCAGCCTGGGCAACAGAGCAAGACTCTATCTCAAAACACACACACACACACACACACACACACACACACACACACACACACACGGAGGGCCAAAAAAAAATGGTAAGGAAGAAGAAGAATGGAGGCAGAAAAGATGCCACCCTGGAGAGGTGACCTGGCTGCTGTGGTAACGTGGACATGCTCAGCGCGTTTCAGGACTGTTAGGTTTCAGGGTCTGCCCACCTGCCTCTCCTGAGAGGGGGGCGACAGAGAGCTGGCTGCGTGCAGGGCTCTCCTGGGAATCTGGGCTCTCAGCCAGGCCACCCCACAGAAGTGTTCAGGGGCAGGGAGTTGTATATCCTGGAATGACTATTTAGAAAGGATATAACAGAGGGGAGAGAAAAATAAGGAAATGTGAGGAGTTAGGTCAATGCTTGCCCCTTCCCACGGGCCCACCCATGGTAACGCTGTGGCTCGCTGCAGGCCAGCCAGTATCTGGGAATACAGAGACGCATGATAGTGTCTTTCTACTCTGATTACAACTCCACTAGGTGCCAGCATTTTGCATGCAATCGCTCTATTAATCCTTTCAATGTCCTTGTGAGATAGGTCCATTTATCCCCATTCCACAGGTGAAGAAACTGAAAGAATGGTTGAATGACCTGCTCCGGCTGACACACGGAGTGAGTGGCTGAGCTGGGAAGAGAGACCAGTGGCGTGTAACTCAGAGTCCACGGTGTGTGATGTATGAAGGACTAAGAGAGACCAGTCAGGAGCAGCCGGAATCCCATCTGGAGCCTAAAGAGTTGTCTTTGGTGTAGAAAGTGTCTACCCCACCCCTAATTATATATCCAGTGAAGGCTGTTGCTTAACGTGGCTGTTGGCTCATAAACTGTAAGCACTATGAGAGCAAGTCTTTTCATCTGTGACCTCGATGTCCCCCTTGGTGCCATGGGCTGTGCCCATGTGCGCTAAATACACATGATCAGCCTATTGCTGTTTGGCCAGCTGTCTTTTTTTTTTTTTTTTTTTTTTTTTTTTTTGAGATGGAGTTTCGCTCTTTTTGGCCAGGTTGGAGTGCCATGGTGCAATCTCAGCTTACTGCAACCTCCACCTCCTGGGTTCAAATGATTCTCCTGCCTCAGCCTCCCAAGTAGCTGGGATTACAGGCATGCACCACCATGCCAAGCTAATTCTGTATTTTTAGTAGAGATAGGGTTTCACCATGTTGGCCAGTCTGGTCTCGAACTCCTGACCTCAGGTGATCCGCCTACCTCTGCTCCCGAAGTGCTGGGATTACAGATGTGAGCCACCATGCCCAGCCACCCAGCTGTCCTTTTAGGACACTTTCTGTACTCTCTGTAATAACAGAAGTCCCACACCAGGGCTGACTTTATAGAACCCTAGTTCCAAACTCTCTTAGTTCTGTCAGGAAAGCATTTGCATTTTTTTTTCTCCCCCGAGACAGGGTCTTGCTCTGTCACCCATGCTGGAGTGCAGTGGTGTGATAGCTCACTGCAGCCTCAAACTCCCCCAGCTCAAGCAATCCTCCCACCTCAGCCTCCCAAGTAGCTGAGACTACAGGCATAAGCCACCACACCTAGCCAGAAAAACTCTTTCTTTCTTTCTTTCTTTTTTTTTGAGATGGAGTCTTGCTCTGTCACCCAGGCTGGAGTGCAGTGGCTCGATCTTGGCTCACTGCAATCTCTGCCTCTCAGGTTCAAGCAATTCTCCTGCCTCAGCCTCCCAAGTAGCTGGGATTACAGGCATGCGCCATCACGCCCAACTAATTTTTGTATTTTTAGTAGAGATGGGGTTTCACCATGTTGGCCAGGCTGGCCTCGAACTCCTGACCTCAGGTGATCTACCAGCCTTGGCCTCCCAAAGTGCTGGGATTACAGGCGTGAGCCACCGCACCCGTGCCAGAAAAGCTTTTTTCTTAATAGCTCCCCTGGGAACCTCAGTTCTACCACCGAAGGTATACAATCACTCCAACAGATAACAAATCGACATTGTCGTGCATAAATGTAGAGCTGATCCGTATTTCATGTCAAAGGCCTGGACTGTGTGAAATTGGCTGGTATTTGTTCCAGAAGCACTTGTTCATGTTGAAGATGGGGCAGTTCTGAGTGGGTTAGCAGGCTGACGAGCTTGGCTCAGAAGCCGCTCACTATTGTTTGGGCTTTGCTTTTGACTTCACATCCTGAAATAAATGGTCGTTGCAGACCAGGCACGTGAGCAGGAAGTGGGCAGGGCTTAAAACACAGAGAAGTCATAACCTCTGCGGTTTGGTTCATGTTGTAATATGAAAACCAGGAAGCTTATCTTGCAGGAGGCTGATGTGTAAAAGTTCAGAATGGAGTGGAGCCCTCCCTCTTGGCACCCTATGCGCGGAGTCACCCTTTGTCTGCCACAGGAAGCACCCAGGTCCTGGCAGCTAGAAAACTGTAACAACTTGGAAACATTTCCCAAAATGTCATCATGGCATCAAAATGAGACAATCAATTTCTTGCAAAATTGTTTGCAAGAATACAATTTGATCAAAAGTAGAGTTAGACTTTTTTTTTTTTAAGACAGTTTCGATCTTGTTACCTAGGCTAGAGTGCAATGGTGATCTCTGCTTACTGCAACCTCTGCCTGCCAGGTTCAAGCGATTCTCTGCCTCAGCCTCCTGAATAGCTGGGACTACAGGTGTGCGCCACCATGCCCAGCTAATTTTTGTATTTTTAGTAGAGACGGGGTTTCACCATGTTGGCCAGGCTGGTCTGAAACTCCTGACCTCAGATGACCTGCCTGCCTCGGCCTCCCAAAGTGCTGGATTGTAAGCGTGAGCCACTACGCCCAGCCGAGTTAGACTTTCTCTAAGAACAGCCCCTCTGTGTGTTTTAACTTAAGTGAGAAACAACATGGGTGAGTCAGTGGTTGAAGGCAAGAGAGACACGGGAGAGACACTGATGCCCTGTCCATCCCTTCTCTGGGCCTCAGGGCATTCCAGCAGGTAGAGAACTCCACCCTCCTGCCTGCCTATCAGTCTGCTTGGTCTTGAAAGTCTGCTGCACAGAGTGGGTAGTGGCCATCTGAATCAGTGCTAACACAAAAGCTAGACAGCAATGCTTACAGGCTAGCCAGGAAAATGTTTTTACCAGAAAATTGCTTGAGAAGAGAACACAGAGTTTCAGTAGGGACATGACGATTGAGGATGGAAATGCTTGGTGAAGCAGAACATCCTGGCGTAGCCACAAGAAAACACAATAACCTTAAGGCAGTCACTCGAAGGCATCCTGGAGCCCCAGGCAGGGAGCATTTCACTTCACCAAGGCGTCTGGGGCCATCAAGTGGGAGAAAAAACTGAAGCCTAAAGCTCCTGCTACTGCTCTCTGAGCTCCCAGATCCCTGTACCTGACACCTGCCACACCTGGCTCGGCAGGTAACTAAGACTGGAAGAACCAGATGAGGAGTGGCTCTGCCACACTTATTTGAGAAAATGTCTGAGTAGTATCTGTCCAGCTAGGTCTTCCTGAGTTTCCCATGGCTCTTAAAGATTAGACATCATTAACTGAGTTTCCCAGCAGCACACCTGCCTGAGGTAGATTACAGTGTGGACTATTCCCTGTGAGAAGCTTCCTGCAGCATAGCGCCAGGGAAGGGCTAACCAAGATCGTGTCTTTGCAAAACACCTTTCAGACTGCAGCACCCCCAGGGTGAACTTCAGAGTCACTTTGATCTCAATTAGCATTCTTGGATATTATAAACAAACACCTAGACTCCCAGGGAGGGGAAAATCAGTACCCCAGGAAAATCACAGGAGATGGAGTTCTCAGGGCTTTATCACAGGCTGGCCATCGAAAGCCACAGGGAGCCCTCAGGCTAGCCAGGGTCACATCTCACCTCTGCCCAGCCACCCCAGGTGTTTCCTAGAAGCCCCCCCTTTTCCCGCTTTGGCCTGCCTGGCTCTTTTTGGCTTCTGAAAACAAAGAGAGGAGCTGTGTGCAGTCAGCCTGAGACACGTGGGAAGATGGTTGCTGCCCCTGCTGGCCCTAAAGCTCCAGAAAGCCAATGCCACCGTGCAGGCGGTGGAGAGCATATTCTGATATGGGAGGAGGAGGCGTCCGCAGACCCCTAGTTCCTAACTTTGGGTCATGGCCAAGGGACCTCCTGGGGAAAACTGCGTGCTAGAGAGCCGGTGAGCATATCTTAAGTTAGGCCCAAAGGGGACTGGGTGGGTTTCTTCCTCCAGCACCCCTGCTCTTCCCAAGAGGAGCCCCTTTCCTTCCCTGAGCTTCCCCTTCCCAGGCTCCTGTTTTGACAGGATGCCTGGGTCTGATCACAGCCACAGGCCCGTTTTGGGCTGTGTTCCCCCTGGAGTGTATTGGCCAAGGAATTCCTGGAGCATTTGAAGAAAGGCCCCTTCCCAGGGGCAGTATTCCTCCTGTAATTAAAAGGTTGCATTTCAAAGACACTTTTAATGACCCCAACCGTTGTTGCCAGAAAGAAAATGCTACAGAAGACGTGACTGACAGATTGCAGGGAGAGTGTTCAGCCCAGTGCTGGTGCAGATCCCCGTGAGGACACAGGAGCAGGGGGTTTTGTCATCTTGAGGACCCATAGCTGACCGATGTTCATGCACGCAGGAGCATGTGTACCAGGCACCGGTCTAGTGGGAGAGTCAGAGGAGGTTGCAGCGGGCACAGAGTGGGCATGCTGTGATGGAGGCCAGGCGCCTGCAGGGGAGGACATCCTTATCTATGGGACCTGGCAGGTAGAGGGGAAGGCACTCCCTAGGGAAGGGCCAGAACAGACCTTAGAAGGGTGTATACTTGGGATTTAGATGAAGGAGAAACCTCCTTTCCTCTCACTTCCCTCTCTCCTTGTTCTTCCCTCCCCGAGGGCCCCTCCTAACCCACTCCACTGCACAGCCTGCAGCTTGGCCAGAGTTCCTTCCCTACCAGGACTCACTGTCTCGCTGGGGCCTTGAACCCTCTCCCCCCACCAAATAAGGTGCTGGTCTGGAGCTGAGCACACACCACAGTGGCCAGTTATGGTCAGTCTGTCACTCTGTTCCTTCTCATCCGAGAACTCAGAAAGCATTCACTGTCACTGGGCTGCGATCCCAGAACAGCCGCTATTCAAAACATCTTTATAAGGTCTGATTCTGCCTCTGCCTCACCCCAGCCCAGCAGAAGTCGACTTGGCTCTGGAAACATGATGGATTTTTATTCAGTGTTTTATTGGCCAAACACATATCTTCGGGATAAGATCTTCGGAAACTCACAGGGTTTGATGGAAATGCTCACAGCCTTCTTCCACACACATCTCTGTCATCGCTGGCTTCTGGACTTTTCGTTACTTTAGCCTGGGATAATATTCATCCTTCACTTCATCTGACCGAGACACAAGGAAAGTTTATACCTCAAACTATGCACGAAGCAGAGGAAGCTCAGTTTCAGGGATCTTTGTGAGGTTGTCCTGGATAAGGGTCCCGTGAGTCTCTCAGAAATTTGTCCTCCCAGAGTCAATTCAACCTGGGGACTTGTCATAGCTCTGTGGCCTCAAAAGCCTCTCATTCCCAGGCACTGTGACGGGAACACTGGGCTATTGTGTGACAGGGCTAGCTAGCGTGTGCACAGCTCTCGGCTGGGATCAGAGAGAAGTTTGCAGGCAGACCCAAGGTTTTAGAATCACAGAAATCTTCACATCTCTTCCCTTCCCAGGACCCTCCATCGTGGCTTCTGGCTGAGATTTTAGGAGAAGGATGCTCAGTCCAGTTGGTTTTCAGGTTGTGTCCACTCTGGTGAGAAAAGAGTCCGGCTTGGTGGGGGTGGGCAAAAGTTAACCCTCTCAGGGTCTGAACTTTGGGGTGGCCTCTGGGTTTCAGCGCCTCCCTCTCATTGAGTCCCAGGCTGCTGACCCCCCTGTCTGGATGTCCTCATGGTGCCTGGGGCATCCTGCCTTGGGTACCCACTATTTCTGCACCCCAAGGGCAAATTCTGTGTCTTACTTGGTGACCCAGGCGCCACCTTCAGAGTAGGAATTCTATAAAGACTCCCATAAAGCTGAATGAGGGAAGGACCCAGCAAAGGGTGGAAAGCTGAGATTGAGGAGCTGTGCTTGGGGAAAACCCCACATAACTGTGTTCTTTTCAGCCTCTCTATTTGCTTGGATCTCAGCTTAACACAATTTTGGGTTTCTTTTTTTTGTTTTGTTTTGTTTTTCTGAGACGGAGTCTTGCTCTGTCGCCCAGGCTGAAGGTCAGTGGCGCCATCTCAGCTCACTGCAACCTCCGCCTTCCAAGTTCAAGTGATTCTCCTGCCTCAGCCTCCCAAGTAGTTGGGACTACAGACGTGTGCCACCACAACTAGCTAATTTTTGTATTTTTAGGAGAGATGGGGTTTCGCCGTGTTGGTCAGGCTGGTCTCGAACTCCTGATCTCAAGTGATCCACCCACCTCGGCCTCCTAAAGTGCTGGGATTACAGGCATGAGCCATTGCACCCAGCCACAATTTGTTATTGAAAAAAAAAAAATTCCCACTCTTCACTACCTCAATTCAATCATAGGGCCACCTGTATCCTCTATGCCACCTCCTAGGCTGGGCATTCACCCGTCGAGCTTACAGGATGAGTCAGAACCCATCCTTGCTCTCCCGGAGCCTGAACTCTAGAGTGGGTTGGGAACAAGGAAAGGCAGGCGCCGACTGCCAACTATACGGGTGCATATCTCAGCGCGGTCACACCCTTCTTGCCCAGACCTGCCTCTGCTCTGTCCTCCTGGCCCCTGAGGAGCACCTGGGGCAGAGGAGGAGCCCCTAGGAACCTTCCATGATAGAGCACAGGAGTCTGCAAGCGGTTGATTTGGTCTCCTCTACCCGGCCCCTCCCTCTCTCTGGACCCTGCAATGTCGAGGTAGAGAGTGTTATTCCCATTTTACAGATGAGGACAATCAGATTCAAATAGGTCAGGTGACATGCCCACAGTCGCACAGTGGGAAGATGGCAGAGCCAGGTCTCTGCCGCCTGGAAGGGAAGCCTGTGCTCTGCTCATTGGAGAGCACTGCCTCCCTCGACCACTGCCAAGCTTTGATGGCAAAGGAGCAACAGAGGTCACGTGTCAGGGATTAGCAAGCAAGGGTGACAGGAGGAGGTGGCATTCCAGAAGGGCCTTGGAGTATGGGCAGGATTTTAGAAGACAGTAGAAAAGATGGGAAGGTTGACGTGGCAGGGGACACAGAGAGAGCCAAGTTGGGGAGGCAGGATGGTGCAGGCCATGCCCCGCAGCAGCTGATGATCCAGGTTACCCAGGGGCAGCCCCTATGCCTCACACCTCCAGACCCCCTCCAAGGCAGAACAAGCTCCTGACACATTTCTCATGATTCTCCAGAATTCCAGGGGGCGTCTTTTCCAGTTATCTAGGGCTATGACATTGTACCACACTGTGAGATAAATAAAATATGTATAAGCATCAGCCACTGTTTCTTCTTCTTTTTTTTTTTTTTTTTTTTTTTGAGACAGAGTCTCGCTCTGTTGCCCAGGCTGGAGTGCAATTGCGCGATCACAGCTCATTGCAACCTCCACCTCCCAGGTTCAAGCAGTCCTCCTGCCTCAGCCTCCCGAGTAGCTGGGACTACAGGCGAGCACCACCACACCCGGCTAATTTTTTTGTATTTTTAGTAAAGATGGGGTTTCACCATGTTGGCCAGGCTGGTCTTGAACTCCTGACTTCAAGTGATCTGCCGGCCTCGGCCTCCCAAAGGGTTGGGATTACAGGCGTGAGCCACCACACCCGGCTGCAACTGTTTCTTCTGATGAATGCAGCTGTGCCAGTTTCCAGGCAGCCTGTGCGAAGCTCTGCCAGCTCATCGTCCTGCTGTCGCAGCCCTGGGGCTTCCTGTCAAGGGGAAGGTCACAGTGGCCCGTGTAAACCCTCACTCTGCTTACACAGTTGTGAGCAGGGGCACTCTCTGAACTGCAATGTATATAACAATAAGTAAACTGCAAAGAGAAAAGGGAAAAAAGGAAATTGTTTTCCTGGCACATAACCAAAAAGTCTAGGGACAGATCTGGTGCTTCCGGCTCAACTTGACCAAGGGACTCATATGATATCACTGGAGCCACAGTCTCCTAGCCCTTGCCTCCACTTCTGCTGGAAGCTTGGTTTCATTGTCAGGCCGCAGCAGCTCGAGGACACAGCCAAACCATATCACCATCTTTTACCAAGGTGCACACAGCCCTTCAGAATCCTCCTCCCCTTCACTGGCCTCCTCCTCTGACCCTCTTCCTTCTGCTCACTCAGCTCTAGCCACAGTGGCCTCCGTGCTGTTGGATTCCACCTCAGGGCCTTTGCACATGCTGCCCTCATGACTGGAACACTTCCCCAACACTCCTGAGGCTCTCTCCCTCTCTTCTTCAGGTCTTGCCTTTGCAGTGAGGCCTTTCCTCACCACTCTGCTGAAAACTGCAACCCATTACCTGACCCAGTCCCTTTCCTTCCCTGCAGAGCACTTTCCACCACACACATATGTCACTCCTTGTACACCCATCAGTCTGTCTGGGCTAGAAGAATAGCTCCTGCGGGACAGGGGTTTGTGTCTGTTTTGTTCGCAGCTGCATTCCCAGTCCTAGAGCAATGCTTGTGGGGCCTAGCAGGTGCTCGCTAAGTGCTCATGGATTGGCTGAGAGCTGAGTTGACTCCATAGGCTATGCCACAGAGTGGCCCTGGGCAGCTTGCTGTCCTTCCTTCACACGGACAGAGGCAGTTGTGGTTTGGTAAGATACCCTCTGAACAGCTAATGTGGGTAAAGAAGCATCTCCCTGTGGGCAATGGTAGCCATCTGCAGGCCCCTGTGGTTCAGCTCCCTGCTATGGAGGGCTGAGTCATTGACGTGGTGGCCTTTTAGAGACACACCTTGCGAGACTCCTTTGTTAGGACAGAACAGTATCTCCTGGAATCTTTATTTAAATTAAAAAAATAAAAGTTTCTAAGAACCAGGCCTTCAGAAAACTTCAGACTGCCCTTCACTTTGTCCCCACTTGTCAGAGATGGTTTGGAAAGAAGACAAAAAAAGACACTGGGAAAGGAAACAGGGTCAGGCTACGGGGGCAGCGCGGGAGCCTGCCTGGATTCCTGCGTGTCAGCGCCATAGCGCCTTCTGAGAGTGGCACCCAGCTGGGTTAGGGACACTCGGTCCAGCCATTCTGGGGTCCAAGAGCAGCAGCGCCCCCTAAAGCAGCCTGGGAGTGGGTGCTTCCCAGTGCCAAGCGGGCTGCAAGTATCTGCCCGCTGCCCACGCCCGCGCCCACCCCGCTTCAGGGTGCTCTCCCCAAATCTTGGCACTATTTACCTGTGCTGGGCTCCGTTCGGCAGTAGTGCAGAGGCCCCTCTCCTGGGGAACTCGTGCACCACAAGAATTGGCGCTTGCAGGGGCCAGCAGCGGGGGCGGTGAAGCAGCAACAAAAAACCCCAGTCTCTGTCCTGGGGCCTCACCGTCTGGTGGGAAAGGCAGTGGTGTAGATATGGCTAAGGGCTGTGGTGGGTGAGGAGGGCACAGGACATGAAAATTATGGCGCCTTCTCCCGACCAGCTCGGGGGCCACGGGCAGACAGGTCACCCTCAGGACCCCAACTGCCCTTCCAGCCCCAGGACACATTCTGGGTGAGGCCTTGATTTCCTTAATTAATACATAGAACATGCTTCTTACACCCATGTTCATAGCAGAATTATTCACAATAGCCAAAAGGGGGAAGCCACCCATGTGTCCCTCAGTGGGTGAATGGATGAACAAAACGTTGTATTTACATACAATGGAATATCACTCAGCCATTAAAGGAAGACCATGCCCCCACCTGCCACAACATGCACAAACTTTGAGAGCATAATTAAGTAAAAGAAACCAGACACAAAAGACAAATACTGTAGAATTCCACTTAAACGAGGTTCCTAGACTGGTCAAAATCATCAAGACAGAAAGTAAAATGGGAGTTACCAGGGCTTGGGGGAAGGGAATGGGGCGTTACTATTTAACAGATACAGAGTTTCTGTTTGTGAAGATGAAAACGTTCTGGAGCTGGACGCGGTGGCTCACGCCTGTAATCCCAGCACTTTGGGAGGCCGAGGCGGGCAGATCATGAGGTCAGAAGATGGAGACCATCCTGGCTAACACAGTGAAACCCCATCTCTACTAAAAATACAAAAAAATAGCCGGGCATGGCGGCGGGCGCCTGTAGTCCCAGCTACTCGGGAGGCTGAGGCAGGAGAATCGCTTGAACCCAGGAGGTGGAGCTTGTAGTGAGTGGAGATCACGCCACTCACTCCAGCCTGGGTGACAGAATAAGACTCCATCTCAAAAAAAAAAAAAAGAAAGAGAAAAAGAAAACATTCTGGAGAGGGATGGTGGTGATGGTTACACAACAGTGTGAATGTACTTAATGCCGCTGAACTGTACACTTAAAAATTGTTAAAGTAATAAATTTTGTGTATATTTACCACAATAAAAATGAAAAAAACTCATTTCAGGTGCTTAGGAAAATATGTGTTTGGGTGCATCTTATCTGCAGAATAATCCACTGGGCTGGACACTTCTAGATATTCATTTGGAGGAAGGGGCATAGCATCATGATCAAGAGCATCAGTTTTGGAGACTGTATTAATCTGTTCTCATGCTGCTAACAAAGACATACCTGAGACTGGATAATTTATAAAGGAAAGAGGTTTAATTGACTCACAGTTCCACATGGCTGGGGAGGCCTCACAATCATGGCGGAAGGTGAATGAGGAGCAAAGTCACGTCTTACATGGTGGCAGGCAAGAGAGATCTTGTGTAGGGGAACTCCCATTTATAAAACCATCAGATCTCATGAGCCTTGTTCACTACCATGAGAACAGTATGGGGGAAATTGCCCCTATGATTCAATTATCTCCACCTGGCCCTGCCCTTGACAGGAGGGGATTATTACAATTCAAGGTGAGATTTGGGTGGGGACACAGCCAAACCATATCAGAGACATATTTCCTGGATTGAGAATCCCAGATTCTCATCTGGCAGCAGTGCAACTTTGGGCAAGTGAGTGCTTCTAGCTGCCACAGTGTCTTCATCCATAAAATGAGAATAATGATAGCACCTTCATGAATATGACTTGTTAGAGGTAAATAGGAATAATGCATTAAGCACTGGGCATGGCTTCTGACATGTAGCAAATCTCACAACAAATGTTAATGCTCACTAACTATTACATATTATGCACAAAAGAACACAGCACTCTACAGGAAGAGCAGTTACTAAAACCTGCACTCTTGAAAATGTGCCTCACAGTCTAACATTTGGATTAAACAGAACACCCATCAGAAGTTGGCAATGCTCCATCACACACAGTCGTGTTTATTTGTTATAACAGGTGCCAGGATCAGTAGCTAAATTTGGTAGCAGTTGATGCTGCATCATTAGTTGATTCAACATATATTTACTGAGAACCTGTGCTGGGTATGAGAACACAGATGCAACAAGACAGAGCACCCCTGCCCTCCGGGAATGTGTGTCCTCGTGGGAGAAAACAGAGATCAAACAAAAAGTGAACAACTCCTCACCTCTCTCCACTAGTGAGTAATAAGCAAACAAGGTTGCATCACAAAAATATCCACAAACGGGAGAGAATGTGACAAGAACACAGCTAAAACATAAAGATGGTCATTCCTGGAAGAGAATGTGGCTCAAGTCAGCTTAGCACAGATACCCTTAGCAGCCATCCTGAGGTTGGCTGGGCAGGGCACTCTCATAGCCACAAAAGCCTTCTCAGTGGAGGCTCACTCTGGTCATTCAGATCTGAGCTGAAATGTCATCTCCTAAGAGATCTTCCCTCGGCACCTGATCTGAAGTAGACCTCCTGGTACTCTCTGGACATTATCGTTGTTTTCTGCAATTAACATTGGTATCTGATGTTTGCTTGTTTATTACTGGCCTTTTCTCCACTAGAGTGAAAACTCTACAGAGAGAGGACTTAGCATCTCTTAGGAGCTCAGGATGCCTGAATCATGAGCTCCAGGAATCTGCATTTAATAAATGCCCGCAGAGATTCAGAAAGGCACTTGCGTTCAGGCTCCACTGCCTTCAAAGACCAGTCTGTCAACTGCCTGACATTTCTCCACTTGTGATTCACACACTGGTGACTCAGCCACCCATTCGACCAGGGTGATAGAGAAGTCAGAGAAACGCCAGAACTGTTGTTCAACACAGGCTGGCTGCTCCTGTCACCTCTCCCACGCCACCCACCCCTTATGTCTAGTCTCAGAAAACCAGAACCAGGGTGACAATTGCCCCCAGAGTCCACAGTGAATCAGAAGAGCTCTTTAAACAAAAGAATCACTCAGAACGATTGTTAATTTTGAGTGTTGTTCTAAAACACAAGAAAGGGGAGACGTGTGTTTCCCCATTAAAGCTAATCAATCCATTTGTAGATGGATGATGACAGGGAAAGGGAGGAGGAGTTAAAGTATGTTAAAAGGGTCAGGAGCAGTGGCTCACACCTGTAATCCCAGCAATTTGGGAGGCTGAGATGGGAGAATGGCTTAAGCCCAGGAGTTCAAGACCAGCCTAGGTAACATAGTGAGACCTCATATGTACGAAAAAATAGAAAAATAAAAATTAGTACATCTATAGTCCTAGCTACTCAGAAGGCTGAGGTGGGAGGATCACTTGAGCCTGGAAGGTTGAGGCTGCAGTGAGCCATGGTCACACCAGTGCACTCCAGCCTAGGTGACAGAGCAAGACTCTATCCAAAAAAAAAAAAAATAAATAAAGCATCTTAAAAGGAATTGCCCATTCATGTAGATGTTCAAGGGACGCAGGATAGCCAGAACAATCCTGAAAAAGAACGAAGTTGGAGGACTCACACTTTCTGATTTCAAACCTTACTGCAAAGCTGCAGTAATCAAGACTGTGTGATCCTAGCATTAGAATAGAGATATAGGCCGGGCGTGGTGGCTCACGCCTGTAATCCCAGCACTTTGGGAGGCCGAGGCGGGTGGATCACGAGGTCAGCAGATCGCGACCATCGTGGCTAACACGATGAAACCCGGTCTCTACTAAAAATACAAAAAATTAGCCAGGCGAAGTAGCGGGTGCCTGTAGTCCCAGCTACTCCGGAGGCTGAGGCAGGAGAATGGCGTGAACCCCGGGGGGCGGAGCCTGCAGTGAGCCGAGATCGCGCCACTGCACTCCAACCTGGGCAACAGCAAGACTCCGTCTCAAAAAAAAAAAAAAAAGAATAGAGATATATAGATAAATGGAATGGAATTGAGAGTTCAGAAGCACATTCTCACATTTACAGCCAATTAATTCTTGACAAGGATGCCAAGACAATTTTCAATAAATGGGGCTGGGACAACTTAGACATCCACGCATAAAAGAATGAAGTTAGAACACTGCCTCACCTCATACACAAAAATTAACTTAAAATGGATCAAAGACTTAAATATAAGAAGTAAAATTATACACTTCTGTGATGGTTAATATTGAGTGTCAACTTGATTGGATTAAAGGATGCAAAGTATTGATCCTGGGTGTGTCTGTGAGGGTGCTGCCAAAGGAGATTAACATTTGAGTCAGTGGGCTGGGAAAGGCAGACCCACCCTCAATCTGAGTGCGCACCATCTAGTCAGCTGCCAGTGTGGCTAGGATACAAAGCGGGCAGAAAAACGTGAAAAGACTAGACAGGCCTAGCCTCCCAGCCTACATCTTTCTCCCATGCTGGATGCTTCCTGCCCTCGAACATTGGACTCCAAGTTCTTCAGTTTTGGGACTTGGACCAGCTCTCCTTGCTCCTCAGCTTGCAGATGGCCTATTGTGGGACCTTATGATCATGTGAGTTAATGCTTAATAAGCTCCTATAGATATAGATATATATATATATATCTCCTATTAGTTCTGTCCCTGTAGAGAACTCCGACTAATACAACTTCTTTGCAGAAAATATAGTCATGCTTTTTTTACTGATACATAATAATTGTACATATTTATGGGGTACATGTGATATTTTGACACATGCCTACAATGTGTAATGATCAAATCAGAGTAACTGGAATATCCATCACCTCAAAGGTTCATCGATTCTTTGTGTTGGGAACTTTTCACATATCCCTGTCTATTTTGAAATGTATAATAAATTATTAACTATAGTCACCCTGCTGTGCTATCGAACACTAGAACGTATTCCTTCTGTCTAACTGTATGTTTGTACCCAGCAGCTCAACCTCTCTTCATCCCACCCGTTTCTCAGCCTCTGGTAACTATCATTCTACTCTCTACCTGCACGAGACATGAGATCAACTTCTTTAGCTCCCACATATGACTGAGAGGACATTTGTAGTTCTGTGTCTGGTTTATTTCACTAACACAATGATCTCTAGGTCCCTCCATGTTGCTGCAAATAACAGAATTTTATTCTTTTTATGGCTAATACTCCATTGTGTATATATATACCACAGTTTTTAATTCATTCATCTGTTGATGGACTTTCAGCTTGATTCCGTATCTTGGCTATTGTGAATAGACAAGGGTGGTGCAGGTATTCCTTTAATATATTGATTTCCTTTTCTTTGAATAAATACCCAGTGGTGGGATTGCTGGATTGTACGGTAATTCTATTTTTAGTTGTTAAGAAACTCCCATACTGTTTTCCACAATGGCTAAACTAATTTATTTCCCCACCAATAGCATCTAAGAGTTCTCTTTTCTCAACATTATAGACGTAAATTTTGACATCAAGGTAGGCAATGGTTTTTAAAACATGACACCAAAAGTACAAGCAACCAAAGGAAAAACATGGATAAATTGGGCTTCGTTCAAATTAAAAACTTTGGTGTTTTAAAAGACACTATTAAGCCAGTGAAAAAACAACCCACAGAATGGAGAAAAGTTTTGTAAATCATACGCCTAAGAGACTTGTCTCTAGCATATATGAAGAACTCTCACAAACCAATAATAAAAATATAAATATTCTGGCTGGGCGTGGTGGCTCACGCCTGTAATCCCAGCACTTTGGGAGGCAGAGGCGGGCGGATCACGAGGTCAGGAGATCGAGACCATCCTGGCTAACACAGTGAAACCCCGTCTCTACTAAAAATACAAAAAATTAGCCAGGCGTGGTGGCGGGCGCCTGTAGTCCCAGCTATTCGGGAGGCTGAGGCAGGAGAACGGCGTGAACCCAGGAGGCGGAGCTTGCAGTGAGCCTAGGTTGCGCCACTGTACTCCAGCCTGGGCAACAAAGCGAGACTCCGTCTCAAAAATAATAATAATAAAAATAAATAAATATTCTAATTTAAAACGGGCAAGGGATCTGAATAGACGTTTCTTAAGGAAGATACACAAATGGTCAATGAGTACATGAAAAGCTGCTGAACACCGTTAGCCATCAGGCAAATGCAAATCAAAACCATGAGATACCACTTCACAGGCATTAGGATGGCCACAGTAAAAAAGACAGATAGTAATGAGTGTGGGTGAGGACGTGGAGAAAGTGCAACCCTCACACTTTACAGGGAAGATTGTGAAATAGCACAGCCACTTTGGAAAACAGCTTGCCAGTTCCTCCAAAAGTGACATAGAGTTACCATATGACTAATATGACTGCTAGGTATATAGAGCAACAAAAACATATGTCCACACAGAAACCTGTATAGGAATTTCATAGCAGCATTTTGTATGGACTGTGTAATAGTCAAGAAATGAAAACAACCCATGTATTATTCAGTTGAGCAGCTGGTGAATGGATACACAAAATGTGGCCTAGTATATCCACACAATGGAATGTTATCTGACCGTAAGAAGGAATGCTACTTGTTACAAGGATGAGCCTTGAAATATGCTAAGTAAAAGAAGCTAGCCACAAAAGACCGCATAGTATAGGGTTCCCTTAATATGAAACGTCCAGAATAGGCAAATCTATAGAGGCAGACAGTAGATTAGTGGCTGCCTAGGGGTGGGAGAGGGTCAGGAGGCAGGAATGAGGAGTGAGTGGTAATGCACACAGGGTTTCTTTTTGGAGTGATGAAAATTTGCTACAAAATCAGTTGTAAGGCTGGGCATGGTGGCTCACACCTGTAATCCCAGCACTTTGGGAGGTCGAGGTGGGCGGATCACAAGGTCAAGAGATTGAGACCATCCTGACCAACATGGTGAAACCCCATCTCTACTAAAAATACAAAAATTAGCTGGGCATGGTGGTGGGTGCCTGTAGTCCCAGCTACTCCGGAGGCTGAGGCAGGAGAATGGCATGAACCTGGGAGGCGGAGCGTGCAGTGAGCCGAGATCGCGCCACTGCACCCCAGGCTGGGCAACAGAGCAAGACTCTGTCTCAAAAAAAAAAAAAAAAAAGAAAAATAATCGGTTGTGGAGGTGGTCACATAACCCAATGAATGTGCTAAAAGCCATTGAATTCTACATTTTAAATGATCGACTTGTATGATATGTGAATTATATCTCAAAAAGGTTTTTGTTGTTGTTGTTAAAAAGGAATTATTCACCAAGATGGGAGTAGGGAGACCATGCAGGAAGAAAGACCAATAAGGAGGTGACTGCAGCTGCTGAGGGTGGGAATGGGGAAGGTCGGAGCCACCACTGTGGCAGTGAATGGGACCTGGATCTGGAGATGAGGTGGAGCCCACAAGACTGAGTCACTGGCTGAGTGAGTGAGTGTGTGTGTGTGTGTGTGTGTGTGTGTGTGTGTGTTGGGGGAAGGGGATTAATAACAGCTCATTTTTACTGAGCGCTATCTGTATGGCCACTTCTAATGGAATATCTCATTGTTTCCTCACTAGAAGTCTATAAGAGGAGCGCTGATGCTATCTGGGAAACTAAGGCACAGAGAGGCTCAGGAACTTGCTAGGATCACACAGGAGGTGGTAGAGCCAGGATTTGAGTCTGGTGGTTGACTCCAAAGCCTGCATTCCTCTGACCCCAGGGCTTCTGGGCTGGGTGTTTAGGAGGTGACATTACTCTCCGAGTAGAGGATACTGAAGGAGGGACAGGGATGTGGGGGAAAGGGGACCAGTTCAGTTTGGGACACAATGGAGTTGAGATGCCTCTGGATGTCCAGTCACAATTCCTACAATGAGTTATATGAATCAGGAACTTTACAGAGAGGAAGCCTAGAAACAACAGATTTCCGAGGCCTGGGCACATGTCTGTTCTCCTCGGGAGTGGACAAGCTCAGGTACAAGGGTCTGTTTGGGAGAGAAGAGGCTCAAGGATGAGGACCTAAGGTCCTTGCTACTGAAGAAGGGAGCCCGAGGACAGGACCCAGCCACGGAGGCGGAGAGCAGTCCCGGGGTAAAGGCAAGGCGGGTGGGAGCCCCGGAGCTGAGCATGGCCAAGCGAAAGGTGCAGGACCTCAGCGATCCGTAGGGTGAGGACTGACAGGATCCACTCTGTTTAGCCACAGAGCTGAACAGGCACAGTCAGATTATCCCAGGGGGAGGAACGAATGAGGGTGAAGAAGAGGTGACAGGGAGGCCGATCTGGATTTTCCCACGGAAGGAAATCCTTTTTCAGGCCCCTGGTGGCAAAAGGAGGAGCAGAGGGAGCATCTCCAAGAGTCCTCGGCAGCTGCCTCTGGTACCGCCCACCCCACCCCGGGCCTCTGTTGGTGTCTGTGGTCTGGGGGCTCCCGGGGCCATCCTCCCTGCAGCCTAGGGTGCAGACAGCCACCACCTGCCACCCAGATCAGCAGTCATGTAAGGGCTTCTGTTGAACTGGTTTAGGAGCATAACTATAGTTGGCTGAGGTCTGGGGATTTTTTTTAAGCTACAGAGTATTTTATGGGGTTTTGCCAAAGGTTGCATTCTGCTCAGAAACCTAGCCTGTCCCAACTATTCTTTCTTGCCATGCTTCAGGAAAATCTAATCTACCGTAAAAGCAGCAACCACAGCTATGAGAGCTAAGCCAGGTGCCACCTCGGGTTAAGGTCCCTCAGCTGCCTTAACCCCTGCAAGCTCCTCTCCTTTGCAGCCACCTCCTGACACCTCATATGACACTGCCCACCCCACAGGGCCTTTGCCCATCATTTCCTCTAGATAAACAATTACTGAATGAATGAATCATCCACCAGCCAGCTCCCCCTGCCAAGAGCAAGGAAGCATCAAGGCCCCTCCCCTCTGTCACCCACACCTCTCACTGTTACCCCAACAAGGGTGCCACCCAAGGTTTCTAGTTCGAGAAAAAAACTTCCCAGACTCGCATTGCTAATCACACCTACTGAGTATAAGTAAAAGCAAGTGTGGCTCTCCCCGACCAGCGGGGGATGGTGGGGAAGGGGTCTTTCCTGCACAGCTGGCAGATAGGCACCCCTGGCTGCTGTCTTGCCTGGGCTGTGGAGGTAATTTCATTTCTCCTGCAGCCTCTTCTCTCCGTGTCCAGCTGTCCTTGCCTGTTTGATGCAGGACAGCACAGGGAGCTTGCTGCTCCTGCCTGGAGCTAGCTGGAAGGATGAGGTGGCTTTGGAAGGATTTGGAGGACCTACTCCCCACTTCATCCTCATCCACGGTTCCTCTCCATCCAGGTTTGCTGATGTTTACCAGAGTCTGGAGGGCAGGCAAGGGGCAGAGCGGCAGCTGGCCAAGGCCCAGAGGGGTTGCAAGGTCACATAGAGGACCTTGGGCTTCACTGCACAGCTTCAAACATATTAAAACCCTGAAGGTCCGAAGATATATGAAACAATCCCCTAAAAATGAAACTGCCCAGGGGAGCCCTCTTTGTAGCTCACCTGCCCCTGCCGCCTTTCTCGTATTTCTTGAGGCTGTGTGCTCTGCTCTCTGGGACCAGATGGCCCGTTGGAGACTTCTGGCAAACGCCCCAGCTCCTCTGCCCAGACGATGCCGCAACCTCCACTCCCTGCCTGCCCACGGCCAGGCCAGGTTGCAGTGTCTCGAGCCTGCTGGGCTCTCAGACCAGGCTAGAAGAGTCCACCGGGTAAATTGTTTTGTCCCAAAGCCAGAGATGTCAGGAGGAGTCTGTGCCCCCTCTGCCCCGCCCCATCGCCTGAAGGAGCAGCACAGCTTCGTTTTATAAAACCAGGATACAGAACGGCCTGGCCCCAAGCCACCCTGGACCCAGCAGACCAGTCCTGCCCCTGTCCCCTCAGCCCCTTTGTCAGGACTGGTGAGGGCCAGGGAGGGGGCTGGCAACTCTTCAGGAGCAGCCAGGGAGCACAGCTGCTGGGATGTGGGGGTCTAGTCACCTAAAGCATGACAGAATATCTGGTGACTTGGGGACCTACCTACTTGTCGGGAGCAGCAGCTCAAGGGCAAGAGAAGGTGTTGAGGGAAGGAGGGTCAAGGTGGCTGGGGCTGGAAAGTCTGGATGACTGGCCATGGGGCCACATCACTCATCTCCCAGGACCTCCTTCAACATCCAGACAACAGGAGCACTGCCCCTACCCTGCCACCCCATGGCCTGCCTCAGGGGGCCTGGAGCCCGGGGCCACCTCCCTCTTTTGACCCTGCCTGCGCAGCTTGCCTTCCCCGCTCTCTCCAACCCACAGCCGCTGCTGTCCCAGGGCCCATGGTGGTGGGAACAGCCTCTCCCATATCCCCCTCACGCAATAAAAGCCCATTTACCTGCAGACCAGCTCAATCCAGCTCCAGATTCCCAGGGAAGAAACTGAACAGCCCACCCTGGCTGGGCTCATGCTCATCTGGGTGGAGGGTCTCATTGAACCTGGAGCAGTGACACAGACCAGTGAGGGAGGGTCTCACTGGGCAACGGTGGAGGACTGCTCTGGCTAAGGGGTTTGCTGTGGACTAGAAAGATGCTCCCAAAATGTGTTCACCTCAGATGCTGCGACCATCCCTATAAGCTTTATAAAATGAACCCGGGAAGTAGGGAGGGGGGAAGGAAAATAAACCCAGCTGGCAGCACATCCAGCGTTTGGCACGAGGCCAGCCCGCTCCCAGACCCGCTTCCTCAGAGGTGTTTGCCTATTGCCCTAAAATCACGTAGACCCCGTGACAAGATTAAGGTTCCCCGTCACTGTTCTATAGATAACAACTTGAACACTATAAAATGGTAAGTTTTCCATTTGAGATATTCTTTTAGGTCCTTGCACACCAGTGACACTACTGATGTCAGCTGGTCTCAAGGACCCCACGGGAACAGACTCACAAAGAATGGAGTTTCCACCTCCTGGTGGCTTCATTCCCCTCACTCCAACCAATCAAAGACCCCAGTCTCCCAACCCCTCACCCTCCATGATCCCCTTAAAAATCCCAGCCCAGAACTCCTCAGGGAGATGAATTTCAGGGCTTCCTCCCATCTCCTGGCTTGGTGCCCTGCTATTATTTCCCTGCTGTCTCGATGTAATTGGCCTGTTACTGCACAGCGGGCGTGCAAACCTGTCAGTCCTAGAGCAATGCCATCTTACAGAGGGGGATTTCAGGAGGAAGCACAGGCGTGGGGAGAAAAGCAGTGAGTCTGAACAGCCCCTGCCGCGTGGAGTGTCTGGTGGGATCATGCTCTGCAGAGGCCCAGCTGGAGGCGTGGATCTGGGAGCCATCAGTAACCAGGTGGGGAGTGAGGTCATGGGGGTGCAGGTCACCCCGAGGAAGAGAGATGAAGGGGCTGAAGAAGAGGCAGAAAGAAGCATCAGCAGCTGAGAACACAGTGGAAGGGGGTGGAGCAGGAGCAGTCAGGGAGGCGGGAGGAAAACAGGCAAAACAGCCTCCCAAGGAAGAGGAGGGAGGGGAGGGGAGAGGTGCACAGGGCCTGGTGCTGCTCAGAGGCCAAGCAGGATAAAGCCTGTGAGGGGACAGGGCTGAAGGAGCAGTTCTTGGCAAGGCCCCTGAGAGGGGTGGGCTGAATCTGTAGAAGCAAGTGGGAGATTTTCAGGTGGAGAATCAGGCAGCCAGGTCTGCAGGATGAGAACACATCCTGTGCAAAGACCCCAAGGAAGCAGAAGGCCTCTGGGCAACTTCCAGGGACAAGGAGTTGGCACAGGGTGTGGCGGTGGGGAGTGGTAGTGGGTGTGGCAGGTGAGACACTGAAGAGGTAAAAAAGAACCACACCCAAAATGCTCACTGCACTGCTGAGCTGAGCACACCTTATTCTGTAGACTGGAACTGCAGCCCCAGGGCCAAATCTGACCTGACACCTGTTTTTGTGAATAAAGTTTTATTGGAACACAGCCCTGCCTGTTCATTTGCATACTGCCTGTGGCTCTTTTCACCCCATGATGACCTTATGGCCTGAAAACATTTATAAGTGGCCCTTTAAAGAGAAGGTTTGCCCACCCCTGCTGCAGACAACGTTTCACCACTGAGCCACTCTGAGAGGTGAACGAGAAGATCAGACCTCACTGGCTGCAGTGGAGGCAGTGCTGGAGGGCAGGAGGCTGGAGGCAGGGGGCCAGGGACCCGGCATTGCTGTCATCCTGACGACAGCTGATGCCAACCTGAATTCAGCCAGTCAGGATTGAGGGCACTTCACGTTCCAGGGAGAGCAAATAAAATCCTTTGGTTAGGCCAGGTGTGGTGGCTCATGCCTGTAATCCCAGCACTTTGGGAGGCCGAGGCGGGCAGATTACCTGAGGTCAGAAGTTCGAGACCAGCCTGGCCAACATGGTGAAACCCTGTCTCTACTAAAAATACAAAAATTAGCCAGGCATGGTGGCAGACACCTGTAATTCCAGCTACTCAGGAGGCTGAGGCAGGAGAATAGCTTGAACCTGGGGGGCGGAGGTTATAGTAAGCCAAGATCACGCCATTCCACTTCAGCCTAGGCAACAAGAGCAAGACTCTGTCTCAATAAATAAATAAACTTTGGTTAGCGCTGGCTACCTGAAGTACTGGGTTGAGAAAAACCCCGAGCATGCAGCTTGGCTCAGCAACAGTTCACTGCATCATTAACGTCACATGGAAAAGGGACCGGGAGCGGGTAGCACAAGACCACGAAATTTTTCCCCAATTTAAAATATCTATTTCCGTTTTGTTGAAAACTAAAGCTTGGCCACTGGGATTTCTCCTCTGCTGAAAGATACTTTAAAAATTCATCTTGGGATTTGCTCACGTCTGAAATCTCTAGAATCCCCTGGAGACTCTTAATGGCAGGACCTGGGAGGCTTGTCTGGGCTTATACACAGACAAAGCCTCTGCCTGCAAGTCAGTCCTGCATTCCAAAGAAGGAAATGAGGGGCGCTGGGGTCTGACCTCACACAAGGGCTGCAGGGTTCAGCTGCAGAGGGAGGCTGGGCTTCTGAGGCCACTTGCACTGCAGACTCCAGGAGCCAGGGCTGGGCTTTGACTGGCAGAGTCCGAGCAGAGGAAGCTTGCCGGACACCAGGAGAGCTGCCACCCGGACAGAGCTGGCCAGAGGCCTGTGCATGGGCCACAAGGAAAGAAGGCACAGCCTAACGTAACCTGGCAAGCACCTGTGTAGCCTCTGTAAGTGCTTACCCAGAGAAGCAGGAGCACGGCGATCTGGGTGTTTGGTGACACTTCCATCTGAGAGCAGGGCCCAGGTGGAAGAGGCAGCTGGATGCAGGTTAGTGGGGCCGGTTCCACGGACATTTGGGGCTGGGTGGGACAGGAAGTGGGATCTGAAAAAACAGTGTGACCATGTGCAGTTAGCCAGGGCTAGGGAAGGAAATACAAAGCCTTTTACAAAGTTTTTTTCTGGGTAAGCAAAATGGGCACAGCAGGGTGCTCCTGTCCCATTGACAGCCTGGTGACGCAGGCAGGGCTACGGGCTGGGGCCTGAGGCTATGAACCACGTAGGACTCCAGCATCAGATGTCTTTTCCTGATCCACAGTGCCATGAGACGTCTTTGGTTGAGCACCTGCCAGATGGCTATGAAATGAGCTGTCTGTGCACAAGAAACGAGGTGAGAGGAATGCGCCTTCCCCCAACCTGGAAGGACAGACAGGACTTTGTGCTCCTCCACCAGGCTCCCAGAGTAGGAAGGAAGGATGGGCTTGGGAGCTGATTCTCTGTGCTTCAGGGGCTGCCCAGGCAAGAAGGAACCAACTCCCACAGCCAGACCAGAGAGGAATCACTTGAGTTGCCCGAGGCCCAGCAGGAAGGGGGCCTTGGGCTTGGGGTCCTCCGATAGGAAACGCCTGCCTCCTGCGCAGGCAGCCAGACTGCCCACAGCCCGTGGCGTGGGCCCTGGAAGAGCCACAGAGCTCCCCCATCTCAAGAGCCCTGAAGGGGTCCCTGGGCACAGTCTGGCCACCCAGGAGGACCCCATGGGGACATCTCTGAGCCCCTGGACGGGGGGGACACTGTTCAGGGAACAGAGGAGCCGCAGTGAGTGCCCAGGATTAAGCCAAGGCCGACGCAGTGCTCCTGTTCCCCCAAAAGCCTCGGGACTCCCACATGAGCCCATGCGTTACCGGAAAGGGGTCCGGATCCACACCCTAAGAGAGGATTCTAGGATCTCGCGCAAGAAAGAATTCAGGGTGAGTCCGCAGAGTAAAGTGAAAGCAAGTTTATTAAGGAAGTGAAGGGGCCGGGCGCGGTGGCTCACGCCTGGAATCCCAGCACCTTGGGAGGCTGAAGCGGGTGGATCACCTGAGGTCAGGAGTTCGAGACCAGCTTGCCCAACATGGTGAAACCCCATCTCTACCAAAAATACAAAAAATTAGCCAGGCATGGTGATGGGCACCTGTAATCCCAGCTACTCAGGAGGCTGAGGCAGGAGAATCGCTTAAACCCAGGAGGAGGAGGTTGCAGTGAGCCGAGATCGCACCACTGCACTCCAGCCTGGGCAACAAGAGCGAAACTCTATCAAAAAAAAAAAAAAAAAAGAAAGAAAGAAAAAAGAAAGGAAGGAAGAAAAGAATGGCTACCCCACAGACAGGGCAGCCCTGAGGGCTGCTGGTTGCCCACTTTTATGGTTATTTCTTGATGATATGCTAAACCAGGGGTGGATTATTCGTGCCTCCCCTTTTTAGACCATATAGGGTAACTTCCTGACATTGCTATGGCATTTGTAAACTGTCACGGTGCTGGTGGGAGTGTAGCAGTGAGGATGACCAGCGGTCACTCTCATGGCCATCTTGGTTTTGGTGGGTTTTGGCCAGTTTCTTTACTGCAACCTGTTTTATCAGCAAGGTCTTTATGACCTGTATCTTGTGCCGACCTCCTATCTCATCCTGTGACTTCCTTAACCATCTAGGAATGCAGCCCAGTAGGTCTCAGCCTCATTTTCCCCAGCCCCTATACAAGATGGAGTTGCTCTGGTTCACACGCCTCTGACACATGCAGTGAGGACCCCTCCCCGCCCAGGAACCCAGTGGATGATTCCTCTCAGGAGGTGCGGCTGGGAATTAATTTAATTTAATCTAGAGAAATGATGTTTGTTTCATGTTCAAATGTTCTGGAGAGGTTACACCAGTGACAGAGGCCCTCTGAACTTACACACACAAAAGGCAACTCATTAGCAGGAAGATGAGAAAGCAGAAAGCGTCTCAAGACAGGAAGCTCGGCTTGGTGTCACCCAAATGTGTCTCCCCTTGACAAATCATCTCCCATGATCTGCCGGTCCCCGGGGAGGACAGGCAAGAGGCGGTGATGGGCTGTCAATGTGCATCTCGGCGTGTGGCAGTTGACAGGGCACCTTCATAGGTTTCTTCTCTGCAACTTCACTGCCACCCCCTCAGAAACTGAGACCCATCGGCGGCCGGCCTGAGGCACCCACAGCTGCAGAGAGCCGGGCACATCCAGGGCCTTGGGTGTGTCTCTCCTCCACTGTGGTGGAGGCTCCCCTCCACTGTGCCAAGCCCAGGGGGGCTGGCAGTCCCCGTGGGTGTGGCCCAGAAAGACTGGCAGTGTCTGTCCCAGACCTCAGGGCCACAGTCACCAGATAAGCACCCACTGCACTCAAGGCCTCTCTGATCAAGTCCCACGACCAGGCTCTCCAAGTCCTGACACCGCGGAGACCCCCAAAAGAGGAGGATGGAGCAGAGGGCAAGGCTCTCAGCTCCGCGGACTCACACCCAGCTGCAGAGGCAGGGGGAGCCGCCCTTTCTGTGGCCGGGGAAATTGAGGTCACTTCCTGTCTCGCTTCCCTCTCTCTGTGCTGGCTGCATCCTTCAGAAGGGGGGTGGGTGGCTGCAGGGCAGCGCCAGGCAAGGCTGCGGAGAAGCCGGTGCTCCCTGTGTCTAGGATGAAGAACAGAGCAGGGGGCTCCTCGGCGGTGTCGCTTCACCTCTCTTCCTGCTCCTTGATTCTCTCCACCCCCACCACCAGCCCAGGTGGAGGCTCTCGGTGATGAAGGTGCTGGCAGTGAGGGGCCTGCAGAGTCCGCATCTCTCTGCAGCTCAAGGGGCTCTCGGAGGCCACTGGGAGCTGGAGAGGGAGGAGGTCAGAGGCCTACAATTGGTTTTCCTGCTTGGAGAAAGAACAGATAGGAGCTTTCTAGGGCTGCGGCTCCATAAATAGCTCTAACTGTCCCTTCTCTCTCTTTTATGTTCTTTCAAACATGAAGAAAGAAACAAGCTCTAGCAAGGAACTCAAGTTAGACCGGCAAGTATTTGCCAAAGGTTAAGGGGCCAGAAAGCCAGAAGGTGGACACAACCTTAGGGACCCTGGGCCATGAGCCGTGAGACCTCTAGGATCAGCAGGGCCCAACAGGGCCATGCAGGAAGCCCTAGCTTCAAAGCCACAGGCACTGGGGAGTGGGTGGGGGCTCCCCAAAAACCACACGCTGCTCCCCAAACTCCTTTTAGAAGTGCCCCGGAAGACCTGGACCTGGCTGTGCACAAAAGCACCATGCTCTCCTCTGACCAGATCCCTTGGATGAGGTCCTTAAAGACCCCCTGGAGCTCAGTTTCCTCATCAGTAACTGGAGAGGTTTGCACCAGGTGGTCCTTGAGGGGCTCCCCCCAGCTCTGAGCCCACGATGGTGCATTTCATACCCTGGACTGTGTCTGAAAACTTGAGAAGGAGTAGGGAATAGGATAGATGCGAACTGAGCTTCTTGATGGGGTCCCGTACCTACCCCATATTTACTGCACTAGAAGCAGGGCCTGGAATCCACACTTCAACAAGCTCACACTAAAATGGGAGACCGTGCCACGCTGGCCTTTCTGGGGCTCCTCAGCCACGTTTTTGCACCTGCTGTTCTCTCTGTCTCCATTATTTCCCCTAGATCTGCACTGCTGTGTCCCTGATTTCACTCAGATCACTGCCCAATGTCCTCTTCAGAGAGGTCTTTCCTAACTGCCTCCTCTAACAGGTAAACAAGTAATTTTTTAATGTAGGTATGTCCCATGCAATGTTTGGAAAATACCGATACTAAAACATTATTTGTAATTGATCTGAAATTGAAATGTAACTGGACATCTGGTATTATTATTTGCTAAATCCAGCAACCCTAAGCAACAAGGACTCTGCAACCCAGCCCCCAGACTATAGGCCATTTGTGAGCTTGAGTCTCCAGGGGCGGCAGACAGGGCTGCAGCTGCTACGCCTGCCCAGCCCTTCCCCTCTGCTCCCCTCCCAGAAAGATGCATAAATGCCCGGGGTGGCCTAGGCAATTAAGGCGAATTGTCTTCTGGGCAGTCCTGCATACCTGCAGAGGACTGTAACTACAGAGGTGTGCACAGGAGTTTCTGGGCCAAGAACAAGACCTCAGGGCTTTCTCCTCCCATTCTCCCCTCCCCACCTCCTACCCCACATGTTTAAGGTGCCTTGAGTCCCCAGATGATCACACACTCTAGCCAGCTATACATATCGGTACACACTACAATCAGGCAACTGCTGCATGTGAGAGCCCCTGCCATAGGTAACAGGCACCATGGTCCAGACATATAAATAGAAGGTGAAGCTCCTGCCAGTAAGCATGGCAACCTGGAATTGGGGTGTGTTATAGGTTAAATGGTGTGTCCCCTCAAACTTCATATGCTGAAGTCCTAACCCCCAGGACCTCAAAATATAACCCTATTGGGAGATAGGGTCTTTACAAAGGTAAATCAAGAGGGCATGAGGTCATTAGAGTGGGCCCTAATCCAATATGACTGGTGTTCTTTACAGAAAGTAACCTGGGGCCAGGCATGGTGGCTCACGCCTGTAATCCCGGCACTTTGGGAGGCCAAGGCAGGTGGATCACCTGAGGTCAGGAGTTCAAGACCAGTCTGACCAATATGGCGAAACCCCGTCTCCACTAAATACAAAAAATTCACCTGGCGTGGTGGTGTGCACCTGTAATCCCAGCTACTCGGGAGGCTGAGGCAGGAGAATCGCTTGAACCCGGGAGGTGGAGGTTGCAGTGAGCTGAGATTGTGCCACTGCACTCCAGCCTGGGCAACAGAGCGAGACTCCATCCCAAATAAAAAAGAGAAAAAAGAAAGAAACTTGGACACAAACGCATGCCATTGGAAGACCGTGGGAAGACACGGGCAGAAGGTGGCCATCTCCATGCCAGACAGGGACCTCAGAAGGAGGCCATCCTGCCAACGCCTTGGTCTTGGACTCCAGCATCCAGAACTTCGAGATGATAAGTGGGGGTTGTTGAAGCTGCCCAGTCTGGGGAACTTTGTGACAGCTGCCCCAGAAATCTGATCCACTGCACCTGGCCTCAGAGTTCAGGCTGGCTCCACTCTCTCTCTCCCGACACCTCCCATCAGGTGGGGACCTGCAGCCCATTCCCAGGTGGGGGTCTGCACAAGGACAAGTTTGGGATGAAGCCTCAGGTCACCTGGCTTCCTGGATCTATAAACTGTCATCTAAGTGACAGGCTTGGCTCAGGAAAGCCGCTCGGTGCCAACCAGCTTGAGAGCCTAGCTCCCGGGGGCAGGCCACCGCACAGAGAACACACACGCTTTCCTAACAGCCTTGCTGGGGAAATTTGGCCACTGGCTGCAAAACCTCACTGGAAGTAAAAAATAGGAGTGTCAGATCCTGTAGCTGAATGAAAGAAATTTGGACCAGCCAGGGTTAAGGAAGACAGACTTTCTGCTCTCCAGAGTCTGCCTGTGCTCTCAGGACAGGCCTCGGTGTGGCAGCACGTGAACCAGTGGCAGGCTGTTTTTCTTTCTTTCCATGTTCCCAGCCCCTGGCACATGGTAGGTGCTCAGAAAGTGCTAAGGACTTCCTAAATGCAAACCTACACAGCCTAGCCCGTGCAGCAGGGAACGGAGATCACCGGGCACTCGGGAGCCATCCACTCGGTGGTGGGCGATTTGAGCCGCTGTCTTCAGGACCGAGACCAGGCATCAGGGACCCCAGATTGTGGAGCAGACAACAACGCCGGCTGACCTCGGACGACGTCTCGTCCCGTATTCTATGTCTCATGTCCTCTGTGAAATGGAAGAGCCTCCATCCCTAAGGGGACAGAGTTTCGGGCTTGGTGAATGGAGCCTGGTGCGAAGCAGGAAGGAAGCCCCTTGGCTCCCACCTGCCAGCTACTCCGGGGCACTCCCCCGACCTTCTGGCCATCTCCATTGCTCAGAGCCCCACTGTGGGAGGTCTGAGCTCTCAGAGGCTGCAGTGAAGAGTGACAAGGATGACGCCCCCACCAACCCCATCAGGGTTCCTGGGGGTGCGGATGACATGTGGGCCACCTGGGCTTGTCTTTAGCGTTTTGGGGAGATGAATAGTTTGAGTGACTGTCTGCTTGCACCTGCCTCAGGACAGAGTAGTGAGAGGTAGGAGGAAGGCGTAGAGGGGAAGGGAGCTTCAGAGGTAACCCCCGACTGAACCGAGAGTGCACAGGTGGTCATCCTGCACCCAGTCCTCCTGTCAACACCAGTAAGTGGGCGGTCCCCTCCCTGGGCAGGGCAAGACCCCTGGGCCTGAGGGAGGTGGGAACGAGTGCAGGTGGCGGGGGTAAACATCTCTGCAGGAGGCAGAGCCTGTGAGCCAGTGCCTCCGGCCAGCCCCTACTGCCGGGTGTAACGGGTGTGAAGGGAGACATGTGGACCGGCACCTTGTTCCGGTCACTTCCACTCTGAGCTTTTCCCGCCCATCACACCAAACTGCTGGTGGTGCCCCCGCCCTGCACTGCCGCCGCCTGAGGCCCTATCCAAGCCATCTCTGATAGAGCTGAGCCTCGAGGGGCAGGACTCCCCTAAAAACATCCCCTGTCTTCAGCAGGGGTCCAGGGACCTAGACAGGTGGGGGACCACCCGTTGTTACGGAGTGACTGGGAGGGCCACCCGAGGAGAGCCAAGCAGGGGACCACCCCTCCCGGCATGGGCAGACCTAGCAGGGCAGCCCCGGGACTTGGGGCGTGAGATCCGACTTCCTGAGGCTCCACTCCTGGCGGGGGGCAGGCCAGGCCACCGTGGCTCTCCAAGGAAGGCGCACTGCCTAGCTGCGTGGAGCGTGGTTGGCCTCCAGCCGTTGGCTTCCTCAGGGTCAGCATCCTCTCTGCCTCTCCAGGAGTCTGAGCTAGGTGAGGATACAAGGGCCTGACTATTCCACCCCTCAAGGGCTCCTCTGATGGGCAGCACTGGCTCTGCATGCCCACTGGGCTGCCAGAGATGAGTGTGGCAGATCCACATCGCAGCTTACCCACCCCTCCTGCACTCTCTTGCAGCCTCTCTTTTCTTCATGGGTGTTGCTCCCTCATAAATAAATAAATATATATATATACACACACACACACACACATAGTTGCTGTTGTTGTTGTTGTTGTTGTTTTTGAGGCAGGGTCTTGCTCTGTCGCCCAGGCTGGAGTTCAGTGGCACAATCACAGCTCACTGCAGCCTCTGCCTCCTGGGCTCAGGTGATCCTCCTCCCGAGTAACTGGTGAGAGGTGACAGCGTGCTGGCAGTCCTCAGAGCCCTCGCTTGCTCGTGGCACCTCCTCTGCCTGGGCTCCCACTTTGGCGGCATTTGAGGAGCCCTTCAGCCCACCTCTGCACTGTGGGAGCCCCTTTCTGGGCTGGCCAAGTCTGGAGCCCACTCCCTCAGTTTGCAGGGAGGTGTGGAGGGAGAGGCGCAAGCGGGAACCGGGGCTGCGTGCGGCGCTTGCGGGCCAGCTGGAGTTCCGGGTGGGCGTGGGCTTGGCGAGCCCCGCACTCGGAGCAGCCGGCCAGCCCTGCCGGCCCCGGGCAATGAAGGACTTAGCACCCGAGCCAGTGGCTGCGGAGGGTGTACTGGGTCCCCCAGCAGTGCCAGCCCACCAGCGCTGCGCTCGATTTCTCGCCAGGCCTTAGCTGCCTTCCCGCGGGGCAGGGCTTGGGACCTGCAGCCCGCCATGCCTGAGCCTCCCACCCCCTCCATGGGCTCCTATGCGGCCCGAGCCTCCCCGAGGAGCACCACCCCCTGCTCCACGGCACCCAGTCCCATCGACCACCCAAGGGCTGAGGAGTGCGAGCGCACGGCGAGGGACTGGCAGGCAGCTCCACCTGCAGCCCCGGTGCGGGATCCACTAGGTGAAGCCAGCTGGGCTCCTGAGTCTGGTGGGGATGTGGAGAGTCTTTATGTCTAGCTCAGGGATTGTAAATACACCAATCATCACCCTGTGTTTAGCTCAGGGGGCACCAATCAACACTCTGTATCTAGCTGCTCTGGTGGGGCCTTGGAGAACCTTTGTGTGGATACTCTGTATCTAACTAAGGGGACGTGGAGAACCTTTGTATCTAGCTCAGGGATTATAAATGCACCAGTCAGCACCCTGTCAAAACAGGCCACTAGGCTCTACCAATCAGCAGGATGTAGGTGGGGCCAGATAAGAGAATAAAAGCAGGCTGCCAGAACCAGCAGTAGCAACCCGCTCGGGTCTCCTTCCACACTGTGGAAGCTTTGTTCTTTGGCTCTTTGCAATAAATCTTGCTACTGCACACTCTTTAGGTCCACGCTGCTTTTATGAGCTGTAACACTCACCGGGAAGATCTGCAGCTTCACTCCTCAGCCCAGCAAGACCACGAGCCCACCGGGAGGAACGAACAACTCCAGAGGCGCTGCCTTAAGAGCTGTAACACTCACCGCGAAGGTCTGCAGCTTCACTCCTGAGCCAGCGAGACCACGAACCCATCAGAAGGAAGAAACTCCGAACGCATCTTAACATCAGAAAGGACAGACTCCAGACGCACCACCTTAAGAGCTGTTAACACTCACCGCGAGAGTCCGCGGCTTCATTCTTGAAGTCAGTGAGACCAAGAACCCACCAATTCCGGACACACTGGGACAACAGGTGTGCACCACCACACCTGGCTAATTTTTGTATTTTTTGTAGAGACAAGGTCTTGCCATGTTGCCCAGGCTGGTCTCAAATTTTCCTGGACTTAAGCGATTTGCTTGCCTTGGCCTCTCCAAGTGCTGGGATTACAAGTGCGAGCCACCATGCCCAGCTAATTTTTGTATTTTTTGTAGAGACAAGGTCTTGCCACATTGCCCAGGCCGGTCTCAAACTCCTGGTCTTAAGCAATCCACTCACCCTGGCCTCCCCAAGTGCCGGGATTACAGGCGTGAGCCACCGTGCCTGGCTCCCAATAAATCTTTTGCTCTCCTAACTCTGACTCAGGGTTGGCCTCCTGGAGAATCCCGCCTGTGGCACTGTCTTCTACACTCCTGTCCATCCGTTTCCACCTCACAGGTGGTATCCATGCCTCTGACCCAACACTGCAGCAGGGCTGAGCCAGAACCCTGTGCCGCGCCCACCTTCCCGAAGCGCTCTGACCTCATGATTCCCCTCCTGCCCAGTGAAGAGACGAGACAGCCTCGTGCCCACTCCACAGCACTGGCCATGCATGCCTCCTGCCTCGTTCCTAATGATTAGTACCTGTGTCTCCTAAAGAGGCTTGTGAGCACCTTAAAGGGCCTTCCCATAATTATTCTAATTCTTCCAGACCAGTCAGCAAGTGGCCAGCCCGGCACTCTCTAGGCCCCTGGTGAGTAGGATGTCCACTTCATGAGGATGCTTCCTCCTCCGGAGGACAGCCCTGGCCAGTGGAATGTTCTGGATTGAAGAAACCTGCCACCCCATTCTTTCCATTGTTCCTCATACGACTGGATTTGGAGTCCCCCACCACTCTCACCACGCAACCTGAACATGTTGTAGTTTGCTGATGAACTTCAAAAGTGGGGTACCCAGGGCTCAACACAGCTCCGTGGAACCAGCCGACCAGCTGAGCGGAGAAAAAAGGCTCTGTGGACACATTTGTTGACATAACCAAAGGTCATATTCGTTACCCTGGACTTCATGCAGACTCTTCAGTCAGAATACCTGCATTCGTGTATTTTCTCAGTCAGCTTCGCCTCGGATGCATTACTTCACTTCTGTGCCTCCGTCTCTCAGCTGTGAAATAGGATCCTACCAGTACCCTCCAATCCCAAACTGAGAGGCCGGGAAAAGGCAAGGACGCCCGTCGGCCGGCAGAGGGCGCTGCGCACCCGCGTTGGACGGGGCGCGCTGCCGAGCATGACCGCCAGGGGTCGCTCGAGCGCCACCGTCCAGGCCCTGGGCCCCGGCAGAACCCGGCTGGCCTTAGGCGCCCAGCGGACCTGCACGCCTGCGGCCTTGGGACGTGCCGCCTTTCCCTGCTCCACACTCTCCCCGCTCCCTTGGGAGGATCCGAGTGGTTGCCTGCAAATCCCCACACCAGCCCGGCTGCGGTGGACGAGGGCAGGTGGGCAGGCTGGGTGAGATTGGTGGGATGGTGTAAGCAGTGATGCCAGCCTTGGAAAGGATGGAAATGACACCGCACAGAGTACAGCAGACCCACCACCTCCAAGGACTCGATGGGGTCGAGGCCAGCTCCTCTCCCCAGCAGTGTCTTCTCATCAGCTGCTCCTGAGGCCTGTCCTGGCCCAGGACCTCATGTGCTCCTCCTGGCCAGGTGCCTGTACCATCCACCCTGCCCGGGGCGCCCTCTGCTCCATTAAATGCCCCGCCCGGGAGCCTGCGAACTCCCAGGACTGCCCCTCCATGGAGGGTCAAGGAAGCAGTCTGGCTTTGGCGGGAACTGCAGAACAAACAGACGGATCCAGAGCCGATGTTAGAATTCTCCTCCCGGCCGGGCGCGGTGGCTCACCCCTGTAATCCCAGCACTGGGGGAGGCCGAGGCGGGAGAATCACCTGGGGTCCGGTGACCAGCCTGGCCAACATGGCGAAACCTCGTCTCTATTAAAAATACAAAAATTAGCTGGGCGTGGTGGTGCGCACCTGTAATCCCAGCTACTCAGAAGGCTGAGGTAGGAGAATCGCTTGAACCCTGGAGGCAGAGGTTGCAGTGAGCCAAGATCGGGCCACTGCACTCACTGTCAGCCTGGGTGAGAAGAGCAAAACTCCATCTCAAAAAATAAAAATAATTCTCCTTCCCCTTGGTGAGGAAATGGAGATGACACCTCTTTCTGGCCGGATGGGAAATGGCAGTAAATGGTCACAGTTCCCCTTCCTCTTGGTGGCCAAGGAAGCATTCTGATTGGGCCTAAAGTCGAGGAAACTCCCATTTCCAAAGTGCCTGCTGGGTCCTTGTCAGCCAAGGGAAGACCATCACATATCCATGAAGGTTCATTTTCAGTGTCGACTTGGCCATGGGATGCCCAGGCATTTGGTCAGACATGATTCTGGCATGGCTGTGAGGGTGTTTCTGGATGCAATTTGCCTTTGAATGGGCAGACGGAGAACAGCAGAACGTCCTCCCTGGTGTGGGTGGGCCTCGTCCAATCAGTTGAAGGCTTGCTAGAGCAAAAAGGCTGACGCTCCCACAGGTAGAAGGACATTACCTGCCTGACTGCTTGCGCTGGGACATCATTTTTTCTTGCCTTCAGACTTGCACTGAGACTTCAGCTCGTCTCACATCTTGAGCCTGCTGGTTTTTGGACTGGAGCTACACCATTGGCTGTCCAGGTCTTCAGCTTGCCAACTCACACTGCAGCCTCCATCATCAAGTGAGTCAATTCCTTATCACAAGTGTGTGTGTGTGTCTGAATATACTTGTATGTATATGTCTGAATGTTTATTTTCCCCCAAAGTTCACATGTTGAAATCCTAACTCCCAAGGTGATGGTGTGCATAAGTGGGGCCTCTAGGAGGTGAGGTTGTGAGGGTAAAGCCCACATGAATGGGATTAGTGCTGTTATGAAAAACATATGCACACCACATCCTCTTCGTTCTGCTTCTCTGGAAAGTCCAGACTAATCCAAACCAAAAGAGCAACATGAGGGGCCGGGCGCCGTGGCTGATGCCTCTAATCCCAGCACTTCAGGAGGCTGAGGCCAGGCGGGTTGCTTGAGTGCAGGAGTTCAAGACCAGCCTGGGCAACATAATGAAACCCTGTCTCCACCAAAATACAAAAAATTAGCCGGGCATGGTGGCACACACCTGTAATCCCAGCTACTCTGGAGGCTGAGGCACAAGAATTGCTTGAACCTGAGAGGCAGAGGTTGCAGTGAGCTGAGATTGCACCACAGCACTCCAGCCTGGGTGACAGAGTGAGACCATGAAAAAAAGAGAAAGAGAGAGAGAGAAGAAAAGCTACTTAAAATTGTCCCTGAGGTTGAAATGACTGTGTCAAATTGTTCATGGCAAAATGTCTTGTATTGTTCTCTATCCCTCCTATGTTCCAACTAAATGGGAATTTTCCATTCCCATTCCCTAATTTCTGTGCTCCGACAGTACTCTCTGCCTGGGGCGCCCTTCACCATTCACCCCCAGGGTTGCACTCAGATGCTACCTCCCGCATGAAGTCTTCCTCTGCACTCCCACACACCCTGCTTGTGTCTATTAGGAATCCTTCTGGCTGCAAGCAACAGAACCTCTGACTAGCAGTGACTTAAACAAAGAGTGGTTTATTTTTCCTTAAATAAGCATGGGGGTAGGTGGTTGCCGACATGAGTGTGGTGGCTCAGAGATGCCAGGTCTGGCTCTCTCAGATTCTTGACCTTCCCCTCATGATTACAAGATGGCTGCAGTTGCCCAGAGCATCATACACTCCCATCAAGTCCAAGGAAGAGAAGTGAGGGAGTGGAGCAGGGGAGAGCTTTCTCATTTGCCTTCCTCTTATCTGGGAGAAAAAAAAACCTTCCCAGGAGCTTCCAACAGATGTGCCCAAAACTAGGCCACAAGGCCCCCCTCACAGACCGAGGATGGATCTGCATTCCTGAGATCAAGGGAGCTCCACTGAGGCCTACACGAAATGGGGTTCTGGCAGCAGGGAAGAAGGGAAGGGGAGGCTTTTGAGGAGGCAGCTTCTCCCACATTGCCAGCTGTCCCTTTCCTATCTCCCGCTGTAGATCACAGGGCTGACCATAAAAGGCACTTAAAACATTCTGACTTCATTTTGATTACAGTCTGTGAGCCTCAAAAGGCCTTGAGCAGGAAGAGGTGTGTTCTGACATGCGGTTCACATGGCTCCCTCCGGCCACAGTGGGCTGTATGCAGGGCGAGAGAGGAGGAAGCGGGAGGCTGCTGCGGAGGTTCAGTGACAGGTGGAGGGAGGTTGACAGGACTTGGCAGCAAGGCTGGAAACAAGTGGAGCTCCGGGAGGACCATGCGGGAGGCAGATCCACGGGGCCCACTCACTTATGGGCAGGGGAGCCCAGGAGAGAGTAAAAACTGCCTGGGGATTAGAACAGAGGAGGAGTGTCAAGAGTTTGGTTTGGGTCATCTCGGATTTGAAATGCTGCAGGGCTGTCCTGGAGTCTTGTCCCCAGTGGGCAGGACAGTGGCTCTGGTGCTCAGGAGAGAGGACAGGGCTGAGACACTCCTTGGAGTCACTGGTGTGTTGATGGAGAAAAGGCAAGAGAAGACACGGGAGAGGACAGGCTTTCCCAGGGAGGCTGAGAGGTGGGTGAGGAACAAAGCCTTCAAAAGCACGGATAGCAGCTGGGCGCAGTGGCTCACGCCTGTAATCCCAGCACTTTGGGAGGCCGAGGCGGGTGGATCATTGAGGTCAGGAGTTCGAGACCAGCCTGGCCAAAATGGTGAAACCCCGTATCTACTAAAAATACAAAAATTATTTGGGCGTGGCGGCGGGCACCTGTAATCCCAGCTACTAAGGTGGCTGAGGCAGGAGAATCAGTTGAACCTGGGAGGTGGAGGCTGCACTGAGCCCAGATCGCCCCACTGCACTCCAGCCTGGGCAACAGAGCGAGACTCCATCAAAAAAAAAAAAAAAAAGCACCAATAGTGGGTGACAGCTCCAACAAGGAGACTGAGAAGGAGGCCCCCCAAAAAGAGAGGAGATGGCAGGGCAGGACAGCTCCCAAGCAAAGGGCTGACACAGCTTGGACTTTATAACTCACAGCGTTCTCATTCCTCTAATTCTGGTCTCCAAGAACCTACAGTAAATCCAAAATTTACTGAACTTCACTGTAAGTTCAGCTCTATGGATAGAACTTAGCTCTAAAAGGAAATATTTCAGCTGCTTCTCCTGAACCACAGTAGTCAGTGTGGTACACGCTTGAGCCTTTTAAACAGTCAGTCTTTGGAGAGAAGAAACTAATCTCAATATCTACCTTCTTTCAGTGTTGTAAGAACCGTCCCCAGTTCCTTAGGTTCCTCAACTGAGACTATTTCACAAATCTTTTATATACACAAGCCAACAGACACAGCTAATCCATTTTTGGATGAAAACATTTTGATTTGTGGTTCATGCAAATATTAATATATTCTGCCAGCCAGGCGTGTTGGCTCACGCCTGTAATCTCAGCACTCTGGGAGTCTAAGGCAAGAGGATCGCTTGAGCCCAGGAGTTTGAGACTAGCTGGTGCAACATAGTGAGAACCCATTTCTACAAAGTAAAGATAAATTAGCCAGGCATGTTGGTGTGCGCCTGGAGTCCCAGCTATTCGAGAGGCTGAGGCAGGAGGATCGCTTGAGCCTGGGAGGTTGAGGCTACAGTGATCTGAGATTACACTACTGCACGCCAGCCGGGGAGACAGAGCGAGACCCTGTCTCAAAAGTATAAATGTATGGCTGGGCATGATGGTTCACACCTGTAATCCCAGCACTTTGGCAGGCTGAAGAGGGCAGATCACTTGAGGTCAAGATTTCAAGACCAGCCTGGCCAACATGGTGACACCCTGTCTCTACAAATACAAAAATTAACTGAGTGTGTTGGTGTGCGCCTATAATCCCAGCTACTCAGGAGGCTGAGGCAGGAGAATCGCTTGAACCTGGGAGGCGGGGGTTGCAGTGAGGCAGGACTGACTACTGCACTCCAGCCTTGGTGACAGAGCGAGATTATGTCTCAAAAAAAAAAAAAAAAAAAGAAGTGGCCAGGTGCGGTGGCTCATGCCTGTAATCCCAGCACTTTGGGAGACTGAAGCAGGCGGATCACCTGAGGTTGGGAGTTTAAGACCAGCCTGGCCAACATAGAGAATCCCCATCTCTACTAAAAATACAAAATTAGCCGGGCGTGATGGCGTATGCCTGTAATCCCAGGTACTCGGGAGGCTGAGGTGGGAGAATCACTTGAACCCGGGAGGCGGCGGTTGTGGTGAGCCGAGATCGCGCCATTGCACTCCAGCCTGGGCAACAAGAGCAAAACTCCTCCATCTCAAAAAACAAAGAAGTATAAACATATTTATTACTGCCTACCAGACCATGGATCCAAGGTTTAGCACAGAGGCGTTGATGCACATCAGTGTGGCTTTCCAGAACTCCGCTTTCCCTAGCCTTGCTTTGGGGTGAAGATGAGGCCCTGGGGTGCCTGCCTCATAGCCACATCCACTGCTCCTTGCTGGGCAGCAAGGAGCTCAGGCAAGCAGGCTGGGTCCTGAGGTACGCGTGGTAATTCGTCTGAACCGATTAAGGGAATCTCTCCTCTTTGCAGATGAAGAGTAGTGGGATGGGGCCAGCTCTGCCTGAGATCTGAAAGTCACCAGGGGCCACAGAAAAGTTTCCTGCCTGAGAAGAACGGAAGGGATGCACAAGGAGGAAACCTCCTCCCGGGAGCTGAGGCAGTGACAGTGGCCCTGAGGAAAGGCAGGAACCTAGCGGTGGCATCCAAAACTGTGGAATTAACCAACCCGGGCCCTCGTACCTCAGGGTTGAGAGTCACGTGTGCTAATAAACCTGTAGGGTAAGACCTAAAATTTAAACCCAACACTATGTGCTGCCTTGATCTCTGCTCCAGTCGGAAGGGCCAGGTGTGACCGAGCTGCAAGTTCCCCTCCTCACTCTTTTCTCTCAGATAAGGCCCCCCAGCCAAACATCCCTCCTTACCCAGGGGACCAGGCAGGGCTCCTGCTCACCCACCAGCTGTGGGTTTCACTTCCTTACCAGCCTGTGGAATTACTTAAACAAGTCAATCATATTCTCCGGTGGGAACCAGGGGTCACCACACCCTCTTGCTACTACCACCAAGCCTGCCTCCCACAGCCCCTGCTGGCTCCCTCTGTTCCTGAGTGCAGTTCCCATGGGGCCCTGTGTGGGGCACTGTCCTCCTCCCCTGAGCTGTGAGTTCAGGTTACTAATAACCTGCTGTCAATCGCACCTGTCCAGTATCAGGTGCTGTGTGTTTGGCCATTGCTACAATCCCAGGGCAGGAATCCTTCTCTCATTAACAGGTGAATAGGAGGAAATTAAAACTGTTATTTACATAAGCTGCTTTAAGTCAGGTGTTATTTATGGCTGGACGCAACGTGTCATCTAAGCCCAGGTGCTCCTGTAATACCAGTTACTCCTACCCTGAATGTCTCCCACTTGTACTCGCTTGACACGGACTCAGGAAAGCATCAAGCCAGTGGGTTTATTTCCTGCACCCATAGCGTGACAGATCACAGAACCTGATCACCGTGTGGCACATCCATGAATCCAGGTAGCACTGGCACGGCTACTCTCAACAACTGTCCAGGAAATGAGAGGCCGTTCTGTTTCCTAAAGGGGCCAATATATTATTTTTATTTTCCCTCTGGAATACTTAAAAACAATTTGTATTGGTGGTTTTTTAAAGGGTTATATTTTCTACATTCTAAATGTGCAGAAGAACGTGCTTTCTGGCAGACAGGGAGTATGTCACACATTTTTATGTCTTCTGTGCCAGAACCTTAAAATCGTTTTCTTTTTAAAATCAGACTAAAACGTTCATTAGGACCTCTGAAGCTCCCTAGAAACCATGCAGTCTAATGTGGCATGTGCCGGGATTTCAGAGGACAGAGCAAAATGTTTCCAATTCTTTCCCAACCTCTCCAGCTCACCTCCTGTCTTGCCTCCACCCCACGGCTCATCTTCCAACCTTGCCCATTTACGGGGCCTGTTGCAGAACAGCCCATGCACTCTCACACCTGCAAACTGCTCGTTGCTCTGCCAGAAATACCTTTGCCCCTCTGATGCCCAAGAACACCTGCTCATTCTTAACAGCTCGTCTGTTAATTCCAGGTGAATTGACTTCTCCATCACCACCAAGCAGCTGACATTATTTCCCCATCTGTTTGTATATCATTCTGTATAATTTATTACACTCACATTGTAATTTTTGTTTTGTAAACCAATTTAAGCCAAATTGTTCACTGATCTACTTGTCTGCCTCCCCCTAAACACACATGGACTTAGGGACCAGGGCTCTATTTTAGAGGCAAGTAAATGCTTCTCCCTCTCCCTTGCCTTACAATTCTAGGGAAAGAAGTGTCATTCCATTCGTATCTGGGTGTTGAGGCCCTTGTGTATTTGTGATGGGGTTTATTATGGGAAGAGAACGTTAAGCTGATCTACCATCTTGGGTAAAATCTTTTCAAGCTCATTCACATAATTTACAAATTACTTGGAACTGGCTCCTGTCTGAATTCCAATTACCCTCCATCCTCCCCACACTTACAGCTTTCTCTAAGTGAGATTTGGCAGGGCAGGGGGACCGGCGGGGGAATGAGGCACCAACTCTGACCAGCTGCCTCTTTGAGCCGTCGCTGTCTGGCAGGGCTGGAGCTAATGATTTCTATGGTTACCCCAAATTATGAACTCTGATCGTTCTGCGATCCTTGGCCCTTTGACATGCCCCTTTTATAATCATGCTTTTTGAGTTTACAGTTCCAGCCCCATCCTTGCTGTTCAGTACCCACTCCTGCTACGTTAATCCACGAGGATTCCGGAAAGCAGCTCTGAAATTTGGAATTCCAACAATGCCTGCATTTGCTCATTTGGAGGCATTTCAAGCAGCTATTTTTATTCTTTGTTCACATCACCAGGTTTCAAGAAAGCACCCGAGACACTGTGCCATTAAGTGTTGAGTCAGGACAGGAGATCTGCAAGGCAAAAACAAATTCCCCTTCCATTTCCACCTGCTGTGCACACTCCCAGCTTCTGGACCCTTGCTGACCTACGCGTCTCAACATTTACAAGATAATCTGACACATGGGATTGATATCATGTGGAAAAAGTCTTTTCCCTTCTTTTGAAAACTTAGGAGAGCTAGAGAGCTTTGGGACTTGAACAGCTCCCAGTTAAGTTATAATAATAATAAATAATCTTTGGCAGTGGCTCATGCCTGTAATCCCAACACTTTGGGAAGCCAGAACAGGAGGATTGCTTGAGACCAGCCTGGACAACATAGCAAGACTACATCTCTAATTACATTTTTAAAAAGTAAAGCACTTTTTTTTTTTGAGATAGAATCTCGTTCTGTTGCCCAGGCTGGAGTGCAGTGGCATGATCTCAGCTCATTGCAACCTCCGCCTCCCGGGCTCAAGCGATTCTCCTGCCTCAGCCTCCTGAGTAGCTGGGATTACAAGCGCCCACCACCACGCCCTGATAATTTTTGTATTTTTAGCAGAGATGGGGTTTCACCATGTTGGCCAGGATAGTCTCAAACTCCTGACCTCAGGTGATCCGTCCATGGGTTTTCTCCATGTTGGCCAGGCTAGTCTGAAACTCCTGACCTCAGGTGATCCGTCCACCTTGGCCTCCCAAAGTGCTGGGATTACAGGCATGAGCCACTGCACCCAGCCACTTTTTTCATACTGACAAAAATTACTGGTACTTAACACTGGAGATTTGTATCTAACCATCCACTTCATGCCCCAGATTACTAGACAGAAAGTGGAATCATCTCCTTTAATCAAGCAAATTCCCGTCTCATAATGGGGCTGTGGGAATTTCTCTAGAGGACATCATTTAGGGAAAAACAAAGAAGGCAGCCACTTCCTTGGCCTTTGGGTATGTGCTCTTGCTTCTTGTGCCCTGAGAGTGAGACCCCTTTATAATCTGCAGCTCAGGAAAGAAATGTCTGGTCCATCAATTGACAACTTGTTAGGAAGCAATGCTAAATGAACGAAAAAATTAATTTCATTGAGTATAAACTCACCTTATTGGAGGAAATAGGCCTTATCTTCTAGGTAAATGCTTGCAATAAATGTAGACATGAATAATATCGTTGTTAAGAGGGAAGGAAAGTTGTATTCGAAACTTAATTCCACGTTTCAGGGAAACAGAATGAGACCGCAGTTAGTTAGCTGTCCAAGGCAGGTTCGGTTCTTTCGTTGGATTGTTCCCTGTGCTGCCCGTGGGGCCATTCACAGAAGGGAGCTACGACGGAGGGAGGCTCGCAGCCCCGCCAGCTGACATGCCCATAAATGGCTCCAGCACTGCTAGGCACGTTTAGAAGTGGGTCAGGATCTACTGAAGCTGAACGCAGGCATACGCTGTGACCCACCAACGCTATTCCTAGTCACACACCCAGAAGAAACACATCCATATGTTCACCAAAGACACATGCTAGAATATTCATAGCAGGACTACCCATAATAGCCCTAAGCTGGGAACTACGATATCACGAGGACAGACAATCCACCACTACACACACTACGGATGATCTCACATGCAATATTGGGAGAAAGGAACCAAGCACAAAATAGCAGGATTCCTTCACATCAAGCACAAACACAGCAACCTCGGGGGTCAGAAGTCAGGAGAGGGGTGATGCTGGGAGGGAGTGGCTGGAAGGAAACACGAGGGGGCTTCTGGGTCTTGACGTCTTTTCTCGCTTTGGGTGCTGTGCAAATGGGTGTAGTTTGTCAAGATAGTGAGCTGTATGCATACGTACACTTTTCTGTCCATATGTTTTACTTCAATAAAGTTTTTTTAAGGCTGAGCATGGTGGCTCATACCTGTAATCCCTGCATTTTGGGAGGCTGAGGTGGGAGGATTGAGCCCAGGAGTGAGACCAGCCCGGGCAACATGGCCAGACCCCATCTCTAAAATTAAAAAAAGTTTTTTTAAAAAAGCCAAAACGTGGTGGGCAATCCCAGCTGTGGAGGCTCCTGACAGCAGCCAGCCCTTTTGTGGGGCTTCAGTGGCCTCATCAGTGGGGCCCCATCTGTCCCAGGAGGCCTGCTCACCTCGGCTTCCCAGCTGGCTGCGACAGGACCTGTCTGTAGGGTTCCAACACTTCACCCAGCGGCAGGAGCTGTGGCAGGAAAGGCCCAACTCAACGCGACACATTTTTTGCAAACCAGCTTCCTGGCTTCTCAGACTCGTTTTTGTCTTGGGGGTCGGGAGTGATGACTTAAGAGCTATAATCATCCAAGGATAGACATCACTGTCATATCCCAGGTGACTTTTAAAAATGCTTTGAAGCATACATCTCCAATGCCTTTACCCACAGGAGTGGCCTTGCAATATTAAAATTGGTTCAACGCTGTGTTACTCCTCAGTCAGAGGCCTTTGCCATGAGAGCCTGTGGCCAAGGAGAAATGACAAATGAGTGGTTCTTTCTAGCTTGTTCACAGAGAGACGCCTTGAACTTCACCCACATAACCCCTCCATACTAGTGTCTGCAGCTGTCAGTGTGGTGACAGAGGCTATCTCGCACTCTATGATACTGTCACTGTCAGCTGGGCCACCTGGGTGGGGAGCCTCAGCCAGATACCCCCAGCATATTGAAACCATAGAAGCTGGAGCTGGAATGACCTTTGAAGACCTAAACACCTCACTTTACAGCTGAGAGGAGAGAAGGCTAAAATACAACTCCCGGACTCAGTGCCCAGGTGCCACGGTGTCCTTGCCCACACTGCCCAGGGCTAGGGTAGCAATCTCATGACAATAAGCTCCAAAAGTTACTGGGAACTGAGGGGCTTCACAAATCTTTTCAGCATATAGTCTCTTAGGGTCTGGCCTCTTTGCCATAACACAATGGGATTCAGCCTAGAATGAAAACATCCAAGAATACAGAAGGCTGGGTCAGCTCATGACTGCAGTGGCAAAATGCATTCCCCTACAGCCCCTTTCCGCTGTACACCAAGGGCTTCTCAGTTGAAAAGGAGAGGAGAGGTAACAGACATTCAGTCTATTTAGAAATGAGGCTGGCAAAAAAGGAGGTGACAAGTTACTCTGGTTCAGTTGATGAACCTTCTTTTCACCTGAGCCTTCTTTTCACCTCCCTGACATCAGAGAATGAAAACAAAGACATCATACAGAAAAGTGTGGCCATTAAAAGGATCACACCCTTTACACTAATGTGCCAGCAAGCTCCTCACAAACCACAGACTCCCAGATATTCTTAGCTGAAAGGCACCTGCCTCTAGGGACCTCCAGTGAGGGGCAGGATGGTCACAAAGTGAGAACACCAAGTCCTTTTTTTTTTTTTTTTTTTTTTTTGTAGAGACGGGATTTCGTCATGTCACCCAGGCTGGTCTTGAACTCCTGGACTCAAGCAATCCGCCCACCCCTCCCAAAATGCTGGGATTACAGACATGAGCCACCATGCCCGGCCTGAGAACACTAAGTCTTATGTCTGTCTTCAGCTCTTCAAAGCCCCAAAGCACTTGCACCATTGTGTAGTTTTGCAGTGGTCCCAGTACTGGTTCCTGCAGTAAGTACGCTTAATACTAAAATGCACAGGGCATTTGGTCCTGGAGGAAAATAGCACGTACATGCAGCTCGTTCATTTACCAACAGGCTGTTCACTGGCTTTGGACGCCTCCAATGAAGAGGTCACCAAGCTTTCCGTCATAGAGGAGCAGCAGCATTCAGGGAAAGGATGGCGGATCGCAAAACACTCCCCTTGGTGACAGGCTGAAATGCAGAAGGACCAGTATAGAACGCTCCTCAAGCTTTTAGAACTGAGCGTATTTTAAGGTCAGAATCACAACCAAGACAAAAGAATGCAACTCTTTTCATGTCGTATACCTTTGGTAAATTAAGAGCAACTGGTAAAATAAATACAAATCTCATTTGAATTAAGTATTTCATGTTTTTATTTCAAAAGAAAAAAGGATACCAAGAAGCAGAAGAATGAAGCAGTTAAAACCAGCAAAGCTGCAAAGTAGGAAAGAAAGCTGAGGGAGAGATTGATCCGATTTCAACGATGTGGCCACTTAATGCAAACACAGGGGTCTGATGCTGCAAACCTAAGTCACATGAGTCCAGTGACTTCAGCAGGTCCACTGATCCACCACAGTGACAGGGCCAGGCCCCTTCCTGCTGAATCCTAACTTTACACATTCTAGACACATGTCATGCACATACAGGTTACACTTTATGGTTACATGAAATTGCATGCAATTCACACAGAGAATCATTTTGAAGGCACTGTATTTTGCAGCAGGAGCTGCTACTTTCTGGCAAGTCCTTCCTAGGTTGGCTCACAAGTGGTCCTCCTTTTTATTTATTCCTATATGAAACTTTGGTCCAAAAATCAGGTGCAGTCTGATCCTACCCTCCCAGCTGTTTTAGTTTCATGTCTCACCTTCTCTTCCACGTTCCCTTCTTAAACGTAGATGTCAAGCTTAGAAGATGTTTCCTGACAATGAGATCCTGTTTAATTCAGATTTTCAAACAACTTGAGTCAAGCAAGCAGGAGCTTATAGTATGTTGATTTAAAACAAGTTGTTACCAGTTTCCCTTACCCTTGAATTCGGCAAGGCCCATTAATTCACAAATTCCATGATAAGATACATGAGGTTCTGTATGCATAGTAAATGATTTCTAGTTACAATTAAAATACAGCCTTGTATATGTTTAAGTCAACCTTAACTTTTAAAACATGACTTCAGTATACGCAACCTTAGGCTCACTTCCAGATTATAAAGTCCCATTCATGGGGTGCAAATGTTTACATTGTTAGCAAAGAAAATAGCTCTGCATAATCTTTTGACATACATGCACACTTCTAGTTCTAAAATTCAGAGCAAAGCAAGATGACAAGAGATTCCAATTCCAGCATATATTATGAAAGGTTATGGACTGTGACTATCCATCCTTTTGGACCATAAGAAATTCACTTTTAAATTTTTTCTACTGTGCTGTTCTACTATATACTTTTGGTCTATCAACTTGGTAGGCCTGAAAAAAAAAAGTATTTAACCTTCTAAATCTCATAATAGAAATTATGTACGTTGTTCTTTAACCAGAAAGGTTCACTGCTGACTCCCCCACCTCTCAAAAAACAAACAAACAAACAAACACCACCAAAGCTTTCCGCCATTCATGCACATGCTTATTCTGACCCCAACCCCATCCCTACAAAGGGGCAGCAGACAGCACAATAGTCAAGGACAAGGTTTTTATTTATTTATTTATTTATTATTTATTTATTTATTTTTTAAGGAGACAGGCCTCGCTATGTTGCCCAGGCTGGCCTCCAACTTTGGGCTCAAGTGATCCTTCTGCCTCAGCCCCCCGAGTCGCTGTGCCTAGGAGCACGCACCACCACACCTGGCTTAAGTAGAAGGTTCTGAAATCTGCCAGAGGCTGAGCAACAGAAAGCTTCCAATGAGAACTCAGAAGGCATTCACTCTGCCTGAAGTTGTGCTCTGCTCACAGCACGAGTGTGGCTGTCCCTCTCTCGCTCCCACCAGCTACATAATAGGGACTTTCAGGATGCTCCTATAAATACAGACTCCAGAGAGGTTTCCTCAAAAATTAAAAAAAAAATTCTATGCAAATATGTAAGTACTGTCATTGAGGATTACAGAAATACTTTGCATCAACTACAGATGTCTCAAAATAGAATTCTTTCTAGCTCATTCAGTTTTGTTAGAAACACTTCATGTTCTCCAAAAAAGAAAAGCACCTAACGAAAAGCATGTCCTATTCATGCTAGCAAGAAATGAATCCCAAAGGACACGCACCAAGAACCAAAGTAAAAGAATGTCAGCAAAACAGGACCCATCTTTTATCATCCCAAACTGCTATTTCCATCTCTGACTTTCTGCCAAATTATCTTTATCTTCCTAAGACGAAGCAAAGACTCAGAGCCCTCAAATGGCACGGAAGCGGCACCTGGTCTGCCAAGACATTGCTGTTAAACAGAGTCTTTTGGATTAAAACCAGGGAACTCGGAAGGAATGACTACATGGATATAGATGGATAAGATGGAAGATATAAAATAAGAAGGGCAGGAGGGTAAGATTATTCCTTTTTTCCTTTCAAGGCTGACAGTGATAGAATAAACAGCAGCACAGCAGGTTCAGATGATATGAAAACCACTGAATTCTGCCCAGGAATTGAAAGAAGGGCTTCTTCACTTCATCGAGCTCTGGAAAGTCTGTTTACTTAGAAACAGCTCTTGAACTACAAGAGTCAAATGGACCTTCTGCTATTCATATAATTGGAGCATGGATCTCGTGTGGTCCCATTACATGATTGGAATCAGTCTTTCTGAACGGCAGAATGTGCTTCCAGGTTGAAGCACAATGGAGAATGTACTGAAGCCACCACAGAGATGCTGGTAATTCAAACTGTGAAAGCACGTGGCGCAGAGGAAACTGACACAGAACAGCACACCACTGGTGCTTTATGCAACACCACTGACCCCAAGATGGTCACTCCATTGATTTTTCCGCATTGTTTACATCCAGGATGCATGCTGTCCAGTGCAATAGCGTCTATGACTATAAAACAACTAAAAGCTGCACTTAAGATGGGAGAGCCAAACTCAGATCTTTTTTCTCCTTCTCTTCAAAGATCAAAAGAAGAATAAACCAAAAAAGATTAAAAAAAAAGAATAAACCAACCAGTAGCTGCCGAGAATACAGTGAAAGAGGAAATTCAGAACTCAACTTTATCGGGGATGGGCACGGTCGCTTATGCCTGTAATCCCAACACTTTGGGAGGCCAAGGTGGGTGGATCACCTGAGGTCAGGAGTTCGAGACCAGCCTGGCCAATACGGTGAAACCCTGTCTCTACTAAAAATACAAAAATTAGCCGGGTGTGGTGGCGCATGCCTGTAGTCCCAGCTACTAAGGAGGCTGAGGTAGGAGAATCGCTTGAACCCGGGAGGCAGAGGTTGCAGTGAGCTGAAATCACACCACTGCACTCCAGCCTGGATGACAGAGCGAGACTGTCTCGAAATAATAATAATAACAATAATAATAAAAAGCTTTATCTATCCTTGCTTGTATAGTGGCAAGGAAAAAATAAAAACAAAACAAAAAGAATTTAAAAAAAGAACTCAACTTTAGAGGTAGAAGGCTCAGAGAGAATGACTGACTAGCCCCACAGCCTGAAAACTGGTAAAGTCAGTCCCAGTCCAATGACCTGCCCACAACTCCACACACAAAAAAGGACAGACTGAGAGAGACTGAGGGCGGGAGGAACACAGAGAAAGGGAAATCAAGTCCAACAAGGTGGCAAAGACATGGACTCAATAACAATTTTTACCATGTTTTCTTTCAGAAACAAGGACATTTTATGTGAGGATCAAATATTCTCCCTTCAAAAACTTCTGCAATTGAAGGCCGAGGCGGGCAGATCACCTGAGCTCAGGAGTTCAAGACCAGCCTGGGCAACATGGTGAAACCCCATCTCTACTAAAAATACAAAAATTAGTCGGGCATGGTGGCACGCGCCTGTAGTCCCAGCTACTTGGGAGGCTGAGGCAGGAAAATCCCTTTGAACCCAGGGGGGGGAAGTTGCAGTGAGCCGAGATCGCACCACTGCACTCCAACCTGAGTGACAGAGCAACACTCCGTCAAAAATTTTTTTTTGCAATTGAAACTTAAAATGATCAAGCCCAAAGTACCTCTGGGAAGGACACCAAATTGTAAAGTCCTGACTCAGGCCTGAACCTCCCATCCCTCTAGTAATAAAGAAGAAAGGAAATGCTACCTAGATTTTAACAGGGCTTTCTTCTCAATATCTAAGCCTTCCCAATTACTTTCCTCAGATAAACTATAAGCTATTCTTCTCCTGGAAATTTAAGTGGCAAAGTCAACGTCTTTTACCAACCATCCATGGGCTATTGCTGAGTTGCGGAACTAGCCTACAGCTAACTCAAATTCATCACCTCAGACTCACTGTGATGCCCAACCACTGGCACTGGGGTGGCCTTATGACTTACGACAATCAAATGGGGTTTGTGAATCCATGGTTAAGCTAGCCTGCCACCAAGGATGGACAAACCTCAGACTTGATCAATGGGTGGAGGGAAACTCCATATTTAAAATGCCCAGTGCCTCGGTCAGCAGAACCAACCAAGTGACACCTGAGATCAACTGGTAGTAATAATGAAAAGCTGGTATTTCTCACATAAAACACGTTGAAAAACATTTATTTATTTAGAGATGGAATCTCGCTCTGTCGCCCAGGCTGGAGTACAGTGGCGCGGTCTTAGCTCACTGCAACCTCCACCTCCTGGATTCAAGCGACTCTTCTGTCTCAGCCTCCCGAAGAGCTGGGATTACAGGTGCCCACCACTATGCCCAGCCAATTTTTTTGTATTTTTAGTAGAGATGGGGTTTCATCATGTTGGCCAGGCTGGTCTCAAACTCCTGACCTCAGGTGATCTGCCCACCTCAGCCTCCCAAAGTGCTGGGATTACAGGCGTGAGCCACCATGCCCGGCCATGAAACATTTATTTTTAAAATGCCTTTAATCTTTAAAAAAAAAAATAAAAGAAAAAGAAAAAAAGAAAAGAGGTTTCACAGATGTGACTAAAGCATGGACTGTTAGGCGCTTAAGAGACCAAATTTTTAAAAGCGTTCTGTAATGTATCTCTCTTATATGGTTGCAACAATGTGTATTTTAAGTGTAAGCCAAGAACCTTTTCTCTCAGTTTCTATAGACTTGGATGGAAACTTTTGGACTTGATGGGAAAATTAACTCTCAATCTAAACACTAGCCAATGTAGACTTTTTCTTCTGAGTGCTTTTTCCTATGGAATTCAAAGTACCAACTATTCAATTCTCGATTTTCTAAGCCTTCTTAGAAGAATAACTATTTACTAAAACCCAACCAAACCAACCTATAACATCATCCATCTCCTTTATTAGTTATTTCTTTATGCTTTTAGAATTGTCATCTACTGCTGAAGAAATCTTTCTTGGAATTGAAGGGAACAGTTAAATCAGATTTACATGATAAACTATGGGTTGTCATTTGTATATAGAACTTTTACGGAATAAATGTAGTCTAACAAACTGGGCTCTCTAATGAAATATGTAAGCTTTTCTAATAATTTCTATGAAAAGCTATATTCTCTTAGAATTTTTTTTTTTTTTTTTTAGAGACAGGTTCTCGCTCTGTCACCCAGGCTGGAGTACAGTGGCATGATAACGGCTCACTGCAGCCGCGTCCTCCCTGGGCTCAGGTGATCCTCCCGCTTCAGTCTCCTGAGTAGCTGGGATTACAGGTGTGCACCACCATGCCTGGCCTAAATTTTTAAATTTTTTTGTAGAAATGAGTCTCCCTGTTACCCAGGCTGATCTCAAAACTTCTGGCCTCAAGCAATCCTCCCGCCTCTGACCAGTTTACCGAGCTATTTAGATGTCCTAACTACTAGGAATTATATGTCTTTAAAAACTGAGGAAAAAGAACAGCACTACTCAAATGGTATATTCTTTTTACTCTCAGCCACCAACTGGGGCCCCTAATTTTCTCCCTCTGCCTAGAATTCCTGTGTCCTACACCAGAAGCGTCTACGGGCCCTGCTCTCTGCTCTTTATGAGTATTTAACATGCTTCACAGAACGGGGGTGCAGCTCAGTGACTGTGATTCTTTGGTTCAAACACTTAATTGGGGCTTCATCTTTGATTTTTTCTGCATGTTAATCTGCAAATACTCAAGGCCTACTATGTGCTTTAAATGATACTAACACTTCCGTTTAGAAGGTTGTGTGCATCACAGAGTATCTGTAACGGGGACAGTCCTATTTCCCTTTCTCAATTTTCAGATGTATCGATTCCTTCAGATTTCAACAGAAATAACCAATAAATGTGGCAGACATTCTTACAACATCCTAAGTCATTATGACAGTCATTTATCCTTTTACAATGTTTCTGTTACTTTATAAAGAAAACTATTTAGAAAGACAAATTTAGTTAATTCTTTAGCAGTTGTCAAATGTGTCTCCTCACCAAAAGATTTTACTCTTATGTGACTTGACCATTAGTATTCCACAAATAATTTATCCTAGAACTCCATTTATTTATGTTGATGGTGAGTATCTGTAACCATCCTAAATTTACTGCATTAATATTTTACTTTTCTTTCTAATCAATTTTAGGTTTTAATTTGAAGGTTTCATCTTTCCAGTATTGATATTTTAAAAAATCTTGATGTCTCAAAAATTATCGAGAGATAACATAAAGGGGAACACACCAAATAATCCACAGCTTTTGATGTTGGGAACAGAAAAACCTGCATCACAGACCTCCAACAGTTCTTGGCTTCTATAAACGGACTTTCTTGAGGGGTTACTGACTTCAGCTGCTTAGTCAAATCTACAAATCCTCAAAAGAAAACTCTTCTTTAAGTAATTGTCCTCTACTATGTCTTTACATAGCCAAAGCTACCTACATCAATTTCATTCCTTCAGAGTCATGGAGATTCCTTATAAATACCTGTATGTCAAGTTTTGACTTTAAAAATATTAAATGGCTTTTAGTGAAAAGGCAGAGGTATTAAACATCAGTAATTTCAATATACTAGGATCCTTTTCTCATTCCTTAGAGCTTTGGAGAGATGTACAGATATGAACTCATCTTTCTATTAAAAACAAAAGTGGTGCTACCAGAAAAAGGTTTGGAGTTTGGAAGTGAATGAGAGTAAATGTCTTCAGGAAAGTGAATTTTATGATAGCTACATAAAGGAATTAAGAGCTCCTGCAGAGTTCCTTTGCGATGTTTGCTTTATATAGTTACTTTTACGCTGCTTATAATCGGTAGAATTTAAAGGGTAATGGTGTTATAAAATTATAATGGCCACACAGGAATTAAAGAGACCTTGTAGCATACCTTTGCACACTGTGCTTCATAGGGTAATACTACTTAGAATTAAAAGGCCAATTCTTCACAATGGCACTGAAAGTATATATAAATTTACAAGAGACATAAAAGTTGTAGCTAGGTAAATTTAAAAGATTATCATGTTACTTAACTCATTTTTGAATGACAAGTGACTTTTAATTTGTAGACAAAAATACTGACTTACATATGAAGAGAAGCAAGAACATGAGACAGGCTAGAGCAAAAAAAAAAAAAAAAAAACAGCTGAAAATTTTACAACTGTAACTCTGTAATGGCTGCAAATGTTAATGAATATTGGGAACACGCGGTCCACGAGAAGTGGAGAGGAGAATGGAGGGGGGAAGGGGAAAATTTGGGTCTGGTCAAAGAAAAAATACAAGGATTGTATTTTTGTATTTCTAATGAAGACATCAGAATTATAAAATGGAACTCAAAATTAATACTTTATAATAGAGAAAAAGTACTACTGCTTATATGTAGGTTTTAAGAAATCAGCATCATGTATAAACACTATACATATTTTGCTATACTTAAAATTCATTACTCAATAATGCCCTTTACCACACAATGTCCTTTACCATGCAAACTACATAAAGGATAATTCTAACTGCATGAATGAGTTTTAAGTACCTGAACGTGTTGCAGAACAAAATGGAATAAAAATTAAACACTTAATCATCATCTTGACTATAAGAGGAAGTTACTGTGTCAAGGTGGGCAGAGAGAAAATAAGAAGAGGGAACACCCAACAGTTATTTCAAACAAAAAGTAGACACATCATCACATATTTCTTTTGTATACATTACTTAGTATTCACGACTTCTATGAAATCTGTAAAGAATAGTGACGTGACATGTAAACTTTTAAGTAGTAAAGTCTTGGACTTTAAAAGGTGTTTTTCACATCCAATATAACTTACTTTAAAACAAATTATTTCAGAAGATTATCTAAGTGTCACAAACAAGCAACATATATATACTGCAATTTTATTTCAATCGCACAAACGAAGTTAGCGTGTAGGAAACTTAAATGAAACAAATTTAAACGAAATAGTTACGGTAAAAATAGCAGAAAACTGAAAATTCTAAAAAGGAAGTACACCTAAAAGCATGAGAATTCAACATTCATTAGTGTTTCATCTTCAGTTTTGATTGACACTTGATGCTTGCAAATTTTTAAACAAACTTTTAAATCATGATGACTATTCTGAAGAGATTTCAGCACCAGCACTAAGATTTGTACATTCAGTTTGTTTGCAATTGACTTGTGAGCCATTTACATAGTGGATAGTACAGACTTGTCACAGGTCAGATCACAGTGTTGAGGAAAGCAGTGCCTTCCTGTCATTAGAAAGGATCCCCTAAACTGTACTCAGCTTAAGACATCCAACGTACAAGAGCACAAAAACCATCATAATAATGTGGTTCCAAGGAACGTGGTTTTGATAAGGTAAATAACTTAGGCTTCTGTTTCCCATTTTAATTACTGAAATCTCTAATAATGACACAACTGTCATGTATGATAGCAAATGTATATAATAATTCATTCAGACTTCTTGGAAAGAACATTTAGCAATCTGGGATGATGGGAAATATAGCATGATTCAACACTGGTTTTTTTTTTTTTTTTTTTTTGTCAGTTTACACATACATCATGTTAATATTAGACCAAGGCACAAAACGTTTAGTGCATAAACCCAGTTTCTTTTAAGATTTAGCATTTTATTTTAGTCTCTTATCTTAGTTTGGACCACTTGTACCCAGTACTCTACCTACTACAGACTATTTAACTTACCCAACAAAATCAAAAGAGGTTGCTGACCAGATTTATAGGGGACATAACTGTTTATATTATCAAAGTGTTTGCATAACCAAAAGTACAATAATAAAGATGAAAATGCCTCCTATTTCTTTTAGAAAATAATACTTAATAAGCTTGCTGCATCTTTGATGTTTTTACTACTACTGCATGACAATGAATATCTGATAGAAAAAAGAAATGTATACTTGAATTATGATAGCTCATCCATCACAGTTTAATCTAAAAATGAAATTTCTACAGAAACAGGAACTATTTTGACAAAGAAAAAAAAAATCCCTCATCCAAACTTCTTTGTAGTGGTAAAGGCTGCAAATTTGCAGCGTTTAGAAAACTACACTATCAACAAGCTTTGCTTTATGGACTGAGATGTACAAAATCTAGAAAGCAGATGAAAGTGAATTATTTCAAAGTTTTAGTAAAACTTCTGATAATCAGAGTTCAAAGCAAATATGGCACATAACAACTCAAGCATAAATCAAGATGGAGAGCCTGGAGAGTTTCTTAAATTTTCCAAAAAGCTATCATTCCAACATGTAGGATTTCTCCCCTATTTTAACCTTACCAGTTTCAAAGGAAAGAAAAGGGAGTGGCTTCCATATAGACAGCACGTGCGCGAGAGCACACACACGCAGAGTGGCAGGCAGAGTGTCTAATTCCTTCTTCCCACCTTCCTTCTTCCCACCACCCAAGTCTCACTTTACTTATTAAAAGAAAACTGCAGAACTCCTCATTGGTTTTCCTTTACCTAATGATTTCTGTGACCTTAATTGCTGCCATCATTGTTATTTCTTGCATTTCAACATAACAAAATTCAAAAGCAGCTTCATTCAGGAACACGTATCTAAACACCTGTGTAACAGCGGGGGTACCTAGGTAATAATAACTGCCAAATTCAGTGATCAAACTTTTGAGTTCCACAGTTAAGATATTATGTGAAGCTCAGAATCATGTTTCAGACCATTGAAATTACTGGTTAAAATACAAATAGCTGAAGACATGATGTAAAAGATTAAGTACTTGGTTTTGTAACATATTTACCAATTAAAGTCACAAAATATTTCTCATTATTTATTCATGCAGGTAACTGAGAAAAAGATAGTGCAGAAATCAACTTTAAATAAAAAATTATTCCTCCCCTTCCTCCCACTCCCCTATACTCTACAAAATGTTTTCCCTGGGACTAGGCCTTGAAAAGGCCACTACATATTAGTGTGACATGCATTACTGTCTGCAATTAAAAAAGCTAACCTTGTGGTGATTGTAATTACATTATAAAAATGTCCACATGCATAAATCTAAAAAAGGTTGAAAACCTACAGTAAATCTACAATATAGTGTTTACATTTGACCACTGGTTTGTGTTATGTAGAAGTCATAGATTTGGTAAAGCATTGTAACAATTTAGGAAGGCATCTAAATCTTTAAGTTCTGGACAAATTTTATGTTTTAATCTACAAAATTGCATGAAGGCTAACTCGAGAAACTTCCTATCATTCTAAAATTTCTCAAGCTGAAGAAACATTTTTCGGACACTTTCTTATAAATATTACCCTTTGAAAGCACTTACAATTCCATTTGTTCCACATATTATGATCTTAACTTACATAGGGCTGATCTCAATTATTCATGGAATATCAAACATGATAGGAAGAACAAACCTGAGAGAAACATTACAATACAATAGCAAACTTGCTCAATTCTTTACCAGCACTCTCTGCAAAAAAACTTCCTAAGCCTTTCTCCTCTTTATTTTAGCAATGTATTGTGGAAAATGTGCGACTTTATCTTGATATGAAAATATTTCAATGCGTGGTGATCTTGCCTGATGGGTTTTAGTATTTTCTGCATAACTGTTACAGGAACTCTTAAATGATTCTCTTCCATTCTGTTGTAAAGGCCAGAAAAAAGCAGCAAACGGAGAGGGAAAGAGCTTATCACCAGAGTCATAATGTCTGAAGGCTTTCAGAGTAGGTTGGTTTTTCCCTCCTTCTGTTTGTCTCCATTTTCTTCTTACAGCTCATAAATGTAGGGGTTTGCTGTTGTGAACAGTTGTTGTTTGTAGGATATTTTTCCTCCAGATTAAAGTCCTATCTCTCCTTAGTCTGTTCCTCTATGCAGTATTTGACTTGCTCAGTTCCTGCCTGATTGCTGGATGGAAAAGAACAAGTATTGAAAATAAATATAATGATAAAGTAAGATAAATGAGTGATTCATTCCTAAGAAACTTTAAGGATTGTGCTCAAACTCACAGTAATAAGAAGATTAACTTTGCATCTTTCATTGCACACATCTTTAATATTAGAAAGATGATACTAATTTCTATATATTTATTTTCTCCTTTTGTATACAAAATGAAAACACTGATTATGTGGGCTCAAAAACAAGAGGACACTGGGATAGGTGAGTAGAGGTAACCTAGAGAAAGATCTGTTCATGTGGTTTTCCATCTAAGAAAAGACAACACCTGAAACTTAGGGATATTGTTTAATCCCTATTTATAAAAATAATTTCCATTATATGAAGGAGAAACCTCCTCCCCAAAACCCTAATCCTAAAAGGGCAGGACTATGGAAGTCATTGCCCTCAACTAATCAGCTGGGTATTTCCTTATTTGCATTTTCTTAAAAATGGTCAATCTTAAACATTGTTTTATAGGAATAGTAAATTTGTCCAGACACTTACCATCAATGAGCTCTTCTTTTAGCTTTGTTAATTCTTTTCTCATTTCATCTAAAATGTCCTAAAATATTAGAGAAAAATACCAGAAATACAGAACAAAATTACCACTAAAGAGATTCTTACTCATAAAATTTTAAGAATGTCATGAAATATGATGTGTAGTTTTTTTTGTTTCCAGAGCCACAATTCTATTTCTTGGAAGACTAGCCTTGGTGAATTTTGTTTTAATATTCTGCCCTTCCCAATCCTGGCTTATTCTAGCCTAGCAATATGTGAAATAGAATGCTTCCTAAAATTAAGATAATTACTCTGTCATCCAGTGAAACGTATGAGTCAGATAGTTTCTAGAAATGATAACAGCTGTGCTTTTAATCTAGTCCTCTGGGAACAGTCTGAGAGGTGATGCAAAGGAAGTTTAGAGGAGGAAGATATTACAGTAAACTGAAAAACTGGCTCTTGGCAAATCTGTCCTTTTGTCTGAAGTATGTATGGAGATTTCTCAGGAATCACCATAGCTGCCAAACCATATTTCAAGGAGTCTAGGATTTCCCTGAAGGGACCTCAGGGATTGCCCTAATGGGTAGGCAGGAAGGTGGATGAGGCCCTGGTTGACCCATGCTGTCCAATACGGCAGGCACGAATCATATGCAGCTGCTGAGCCCCTGAAATGAGGCTAATCTGAAATGAGATGTGCTGTGAAGTGCAAAACACACACCAGATTCCAAAGATTTAGTATGATGAAAATAATGTAAAATAACTCGTTAGTAATTTATAAAAATTGACTACATATTAAAACATACTTTAAATAATTAAGTTTTAAAATTAATGTCCTTTTGTTTTGTATTTTTAAAATGCAGCTACAGCCAGGCACGGTGGCTCACGCCACTGCACTCCAGCCTCGGCGACAAAGCGAGACTCTGTCTCAAAAAAAAAATAAATAAATAAATAATGCAGCTACTAGAAAAATTTTAAAATATATACGTAGCCCACATTATACTTCTATTTAACTGTGGTGCTCTGGGCCCTCCTTCAAGAACTGCAGATTTGGCCAGGTGTGGTGGCTCACACCTGTAATCTCAGCACTTTGGGAGGCCAAGGCAGGCAGATCACTTGAGGCTGGGAATTTGAGACCAGCCTGGCCAACATGGTGAAACCCTGTCTCTACAAAAACTACAAAAGTTAGCCGGGCGTGGTAGTGCACACCTGTAATCCCAGCTACTCAGGAGGCTGAGGCAGGAGAATCGCTTGAACCCGGGAGGTGGAGGCTGCAGCGACCTGAGATTGCACTACTGCACTCCAGCCTGGGTAGCAGAGTGAGACTCTGTCTCAAAAACAAAAAACAAAGAAATAAAAAAACCCCCTGCAGATTCAAGATCAGAGGTCCCATGACAAAGTGACACAATTTTAATGGGTGAAAAGTAACAGCTGTCCTTTGGAAGAATTAGTTTTGAATTGTGTGACTTTAACACTGAATACCCCAGGAAAAATTAAATTGCTCTGTTAAAGTTTACCTTTTGAAAAGCTTCTCATGTTTAAAATAAAACTATCAATTAGTTTGTCTTCATTTTAACAATGGAAAAGACTGAGACACAGAAGTTATTAAATAGACTCACAGATGCCCTGATCCAAATTACTCTTTACATCTCATCCCCCAAATCAAATCTATTCCTGTTATCCTCCAATTCTTCATATGACCAAGAACTGACCATGTTTTGAAGCGTGTGGAAGTGCTCTATTTTAAAATATTTTTCAAGAAAGCCATATTCAGTACACGGCAAAACAAGGCTTGATTTTCAATGGCCACGTGCTCCCCTTTAAAATTTTATAACTCAATTTAACTTTTCCAATAGCTTTGCAGTATGAAAATTCAGTTTATCTAAAAAATGTACTTCACCTCTTCTGTGAATAAGGTATTTTAAATCACAATCTTATCACTTACTACTTTTTCCTGAGTACATAGGTATTAACTATAAGGCATATGAATCCAAACGTGGACAGTATCTTTTTCTTTTTTATAAAATTGAGATAACTGTACACATTTGTTTTGTTACCTAACACAGGCAACTGTTCACAATTTACTATTAAGCATACTAAATTATGATCCCTTGAAGCCTACAGAGCCTCTACTCCACCCACTATACATTTGTATACTTCCATAATATTTTCTTTAAATAAATTCCTGGAATTCATATCACAGAATTCAAGGTAAGACATTTATTTTTCAGGCTTTTGATTCTGTTTTTCCAAACTGCTTTTTAGAAAGCAGAAGTATAGAAGAGTGCCTGTTTCCTTGCACTCTTGCCAAAATCAGATTTGTTGGGTTCAATTTTGCCAAGACAGTCACTGAAAAGTAAAAGCCCATTGTTTTCTTTACAACTGCGTACCATGCACTTACATTTACACCTTATGCTGTTATCACTGAACCACAACCCCACCCTCCACTACCTCTGGACCTTCATGCAAACTCAATGAACCGGAAGTGTAGATTTGCAAAAATGCAGTACTACTAATGCCACTGTTTAATTTGTATAACAATAGCTCTATCGTCTTTCTAAGTACATTCAGGATCCATGTCAAAGATATGCATATGGGATATTTTTTAAAAAGAAACAAGTACAAATAAAGGAAAGCTGCCACTGAGCACCCACCTGCTTCAGCCTGTCATAGTCAAGTCCTTCCGTCTGGACTCCATTGGCACTGGGCTGTGATAAGGGTGTGGATTTTGGTCTGTATAAATGAGATTTCCAGGACAGGTAAACAACATTCTTAATACTTAATGAGTTCATAAATAATTGCAAATTTACCAACCCAACACCAGATTTAAATACATTTCTTTAAAAAAGCCATTTTCTTAAAAAATTATCAAAATTGTAGGGCTGATTAGAACATAAAACAACATTTTTTCACTTTTCTCAGTATTTCTTATTTATAAAGGAACTAGAAAAAGGTGACAAGATGGTGAGACTTCTTCAGAAAAGAGTAGAAGACAGTATTCTTTGGGCATGAGGTAACCAGGTAACGTGGCACGTTGACCAAAACAGTGATGAAGAGGCCAGCTGAAACATCTGAGGCTCAAATAACACAATCTTGTTTTGTCTTTCTTTTGAACTTTTACATTATCTACTTAAATACCTGGACAAACCAGTGAAAGGAGAAACATAAAGACTTGAATGTTTTACACTAACATAAATCAGCTTACAAAGCTGATGCCTTGGATTGCAGGAAGAAAACATTTTTAGTGAGCATGATTTGCTTTATACATATTATTCCATTTCAAGCATCAAAATAAAAAATGTTTTAAAAATGTTTATTAGATTAGACTATGTGACTATTTCCTTGTGAAATTTTTATGGAGACGTCATTTGAATGGTGTGTTTCAGGCTAACTACTTCCATAAATTTATTTTATTAAATAAAAAGGATATGCCAGACAGAAGCAGATTGTCAATTATTATTGCACTTTCAAAAGTTTAGTTTCTATTATAATTCTTAATAAGTCAATGATTAGGTATATTTTAAACAAGTTTCAACACCAAATAAACCAGTCATGGCGCCCTCTCCAAGTCCGGCAATAAAAGAGTCCCCAGTGGAAAACCTAGAGTTTTAAATGGGCACTCCTCCGGGTTCTGGTTTAGTCTAGTAAATGCCCTCCTTTATGAGCCACAAATAAATGCAATTTAAAACCATCAGGCAAATCATATATTCCCAATTTTGCAGAGTACCAATGTTAGCAATCTGAAGCAAGACCCAAAAGGCATAATAAATTTTTCAAAGTTATAATTTATAATTCTTATAAGACATAAAATACTTTAAACCCATAGGCATGGTTCCTGAAGATTAAACACTGAGTTAATCTGCTTTTTGTTGTTGTTGTTGCTGCTGTTTATGAGATGCAGTCTTGCTGTGTCTCCCAGGCTGGAGTGCAGTGGTGCGATCTTGGCTCACTGCAACCTCCGCCTCCCCGGTTCAAGTGATTTTCCTGCCTCAGCCTCTGGAGTAGCTGGGATTACAGGTGCACCACAATGCCTGGCTAATTTTTTTGTATTCTGAGTAGAGACGGGGTTTCACCATGTTAGCCAGGCTGGTCTCAAACTCCTGACTTCATGATTTGCCCACTTCAGCCTCCCAAATTGCTGGGTGTAGGTGTGAGCCACCACGCCCAGCCTGTTAATCTGCTTTACTATCAAAACGTATTACTGCTTAAAAGACTGTTAGGAAGCAAGTCGTCCAATTTTACTTTATTAGGTATCTGCTTATATGAATAGGGGGAAAAATAACTTCCAGAAAATTTCATTCAATAAGCACTGAGCTAGGCACTGTAGGGAATAATATTTATATGAAATATTTCCTTTCCTCTTGTGAGGCTACACCTTCTTACTTTGCTAGGGAAGACTACTAAATTCCAAGGTCACTTAAGATTTACTTAGATCCATAAAATGCAGAGTCACTTCTGGCAAATATTCTTAAAGTTTAGGATGTTATTTCATATATTCACTCATGCTACCTATTCCTGTTCTCTAGAATTAAACTATAATTCATACTCTGCTTTTCTTTTACATTTCCCATTTAAGTGGCCCATTTAGCTAGTTATTTTCTCAAGTTATATAATGAATACCTCTGAAATTCACATGAACTACAGCCTGCTATTTAATTGGGCAAGTATGTTATGAATATATCCATATTTACTAGGCAATGCAAAAATTATTGTTATGTAATAAACAATTGTGGAAACATGCAAATTTTTAAAAATTTAATTCATGCTAACATGCAATCCATCACCACCACCACCACCATGATAATTAACTAAAGGGGGGAACTTTTCATACTGAAGGAAAGATGTAATCACCACTTTTTTTCTTAACTTTTACCAAAAAAGTTTATCAATAACATTATCCCAGGGGGTACTATGTGTGAAAGCAGCAAGATAACTGAGCAGATTTACTACATTTAAAAAATATATGTATTTTTGGACACAGGGTCTCATTCTGTCACCCAGGCTGCAGTGTGCATGATCTCAGCTCACCGCAGCCTTGACCTCCTGGCCTCAAGTCTTCTTCCCACCTCAGCCTCCCACAGGCACATGCAACCATGCCCAGCTAATTTTTGTATGTTTTGTAGAGACAGGGTTTAACCACATTGCCTAGGCTAGTCTCAAACTCCTGGACTCAAGTGATCCTCCTGCCTCGGCCTCCCAAAGTGCTGGGATTATAGGCATGAGCCATGGCACCCAGCCTTAAAAATCTCATTGTTAAATGCTACTTTTCTATGTACTAGCAAATTTTCTAAAGAAATCTTTTGGCCAAAACAAACCACCTCAAAAAAAAAAAAAAAAAAAACACAAAACTATTTCACTACTGGAATATAAACATTTTGTGAAGATTTAACTGGCTGACAAAATTAACTTGTCAAGTATTTTGATCATTAATAGCATAAAAATAATTTTAGCAAGTAAGAATTTGGCCAGAGTCTGCTTACAGAACTCCCAACTCACTGCAATAGACATCCACTATGAACACCACTTAATTCATATTCCCAGTGAACTTGATGTATATTTTTTTAAAAAATAGATGTGTAAAATAACATAAATATATTTCAGTTATTTCTAACCTATGGGTTTTCATCATAATTGATCACAAAATGAGGGTTTCTCAGGTTTTTATTTCACTTTTTTTTTTTTTTCCTAAAAGAGGGTCTCACTCTGTCACCCAGGCTAGGGTGCAGTGGTGTTATCATGGCTCACTGCAGCCTCTAACTCCTATGCACAAGATATCCTCCTGTCTTAGCCTCCTGAGTAGCTGAGACTATAGGCACAAGCCACCAGGCCCAGCTAATTTTTTTTTATTTTTTGTAAAGATGGGGTCTCGCTATGTTTCCCAGGCTGGTCTTGAACTCCGGGCCCCAAATGATCCTCCAGCCTTGGCCTCCCAAGGTGCTGAAACTATAGGTGTGAACCACCAGGTGCTGGGTCAGTTTTTATTTTTTTATGATGAGAGCGTTGCCTTTAAACATCTGCCTATAAAATGACTGTACTACTATATTTAAGTCCCTATTCTGTCAAATTAATTGTGTAAGTAACTGAAAAGCATTGCAGGATTATTTTTAGCTGTCAATTTTTTTAATTAAGAAAAAACTAGTTCTTAAGTCTTCTTAATTAAAAAATGGTATAATAGGGCTCATCCTAGAAAACAATCTACTCAGGGTGTTAGATGTTAAACTGTCCAAGATAATTTACTACAAAGTATCTAGGAAACAGAGATTTTCCTCAAATAATCAATTATCCACAACCATGGCTTTAATATTAGTCCATGTTCCAGTAACAGATGGAAAAGGATCTTCTATTCAACTTTTTTGAAACCTTGTCTTATAATCATAAGGCGAACAGCCTTTAAAAGAAAACGCTTAAGCTACAAATGGCCTAGATAATACATGTGGCCTTAGATTCCCAGTCTAGTATTTCTAATATGTTTACCATTTGTATTTATCCTTGAATCCAACTGTGAAGTGATGGCAGAATTTTTAAAAGGTATTCAAAATAAAGAAAAAAAAATCTCCCTTGTGGTGATTACCAATCCAGGTAGAAAAAGCTCAGCCCTATCCTGAACATGTTATTTAAAAGTCTCAAATCACAACGTCACAGCAGGATGATACCTGTGTAATGAATCATAGGACCTGTTGTCAAAAACAATCTGATTTTTCCTTGGAGAATCCCGTCTATGAAGGGGAAAACCATTGAAAGGGATACACAATAGAACTTTAAAAAATAATTCTCATTATGTTACTGTTTTATAGGTTGTTAATAGCAAACAAAACAAGAATTGAGTCTATTAACCTTAAAATAACCAATTTTTCCCCAATAAAAGATATTTTAAGATTACTTTTAGTTATGTGAAGATACCAGTTACAGAAAATTTTAAAAATCATTACACAATGGCTACTTTTTATATAGGTTGTAGGCACAGTAAGTATATAAAAGTATACAAAATTAACTCTTCTCAGGAGGCATGTAAAGGACTAGTTTTCCCATCTTGAATACAAGATCTGTAAGGTCTTAATAACCACAGATGAATGCACCAACTTCCCAAACGTTATAATCCAGTCATAGTTTAAAGCATTTTTAACCAAACAGTCTTGCTTTTACTCTGACATATTCACTTAACAAATACAGCAATATGCAATATCTCATGCATATTATGGGACATTAATCCATCTTACCACTAACGTAATTTTGACAAAGCTATTCCAAAGAGAAATGGGGACCTTCACTACAATGCAAGGATAAGACATACTTAATACACTTGCTTTCCGAAGGAACAGGAGAGATAACTTAGGAAGAAAAGCAATATAGTTCTTACTCTTTTAAACATATTTTAAAAATCCTTTATGGTTTAAAACAGCTTTTGGTGAAATTTTAAAACCTATATATCAGTAGTTGGATCAAATCTATCAAAAGATATATGAGTGGTCAGGAAATAATCAGGAGTTCCAGAATTTCTATTTTGGGAAAGGGAAGGAAAACCACCTAACAGAATTGGAACATGATTATGGTGCACTACTGGATATTAAGAATCAAGATTCAACTCATCTATATAAAATTATTTTCAAAATGGTGACCTTTAGAGCACTTATTAAATTTCCAAGTCTGAAAAAAAAATCTTTTTTTCCCTACCCTGGAATTAGGAAAAATAAAAAAATCTTTCAAAGAACAACTTTTCCTTTACTAAATGGACCAAATACATCAAAGAATGTATTCCATTTGGAGAACCTCGTCCATGTCCCTTCTAAGACATGACTTCTGCCATCAACGTAGGCTTAGCTTTTAGTTCACTGTGAAATGCAGATCAATGAAGCATGATGAAGAGAAAGGACAAATGACACATGACAGGTCTGCAGACTGGAGTGCAATAGCGCGATATCAGCTCACTGCAACCTCCGTCTCCCAGGTTCAAGTGATTCTTGTGTCTCAGCCTCCCAAGTAGCTGGCATCGCAGGTGTGCGCCACCATGCCCAGCTAATTTTTGTATTTTTAGTAGAGATGGGGTTTCATCATGTTAGCCAAGCTGGTCTCAAATTCGTGACCTCAAGTGATCTACCCACCTTAGCCTCCCAAAGTGCTGGGATTACAGGCATGAGCCACCACGCCTAGCCAGCTCCTTGTTATGGGCTTAATAAATCAGCACTTCATAATGTGCTACTGAAGAAAATCCGTAACTAGTAGAGATGTGTTAGAAGGCCATCTCAGTTAGGAGTCTGAGAAACATAAATGTGCAATTTTTCTACTCTACTGAAAACACATGTCCACCAAAAGCAATTCCCCCTTTCTTCTAAAGTAAAATATGATCATCTTTCAATCACTTAGAAACTAAAAGCTTTTATACATTCCAAAAGGCCTAGTTTCTTTGTGGAGCTTAAACAATTGTGTCACTACCAAATCTTCTTTCCTACTAGCAGAAAGAACCACATAGGAAGCCAAATCCAAATTCAGACTTAGACTAACACAGAACAGGTCTGTGATAATATAAAGTCTATCCCTGTACTTATCTTTATTAGGTTTCTATAATTAGAGTCAAGTTGCTTTTTACGAGACAAAAATAAGGCAAATAGCTCAGAAAGAAAAGACAAAATACCTTTTAGTTTCTAAATACATACTTTTTTTTTTTCTGGGAAAAATACAAGTCCTTTAAACTGTCTCATAAACCAAGAAAAGGTTTCATCTATGTTCAGGAGCTGTGATATAAATTTAGTCATGAAAATAAAGTATGCCTAGCTAAAGGAAGAACAAATTTGCCTAAATATGCCCACATGTACTTGTAGAAACAAGTATTAACTAGCCTTGTTTCTGGATACTATCTTTTCTAACTTGATTACACTTACAAGTTTCAAATGAGATAGGGAAATACATGTTTCTACTTTACAAATTCAAAGATGTATGTTTTATTTTGCTCTCTTTTCTCTCCAGCTGATATTCAGGTTTAAAAAAGGCTCCAAAAATTATATATATACATAAATATATATACATAAAATCTATGTCATTGGAACTAATGGGGAAATGTGACTATATACTATAGTAGATAATATTATTGCTTAATGTTAAATTTCTTGAGAGTAATAATGGTATTGTGGTTACATAGCAGATGTCCTGGTTCTTCCAAAAAACACTGAAGTATTTAGGGTGAAACAGTTCTTATTTGTGAATTGCTTTCAAACTAATCAGAGGGGAAAAAAGTGTGGATAGGTAGATATTTAAGACAAGTGGGGCAAAATGTTGACAACTGTTAAACCTAGGAAATGGGTATACGCATATTCACTGTACTATCCTTTTAATTTTTCTGTAGTTTTGAATTTTTCAAAATACAAATTGGGAAAAAGAAAGCTATCTTAAAATCTCAGATCATCTGGTTAATAAATGTAGGGTAGAATTTATCAATCACTAGTAATGTAGATGAGTAATATATAATGAGGCTTGGTGGTTGTCCAATACTAGGAGGATCACGAGAGTTTTATGGGCTCCTCTGTATAATTTCTTACCATTCAATTTTTTTCTACACTAAGAATGCATTAATTTTTTTTTATACAAATAAAATATAAAACTTAGAGAAAAAAATTGATACCTGGAGATAACAGGTGACTTGCTGCCATTCATTGTATTTGTTCTTTCCCAAGGTTTTCTTGTTGGTTCTTTAAAAATAAAAAACAAAAGCTATTAAATAAATAAATGCTTCCAGAGTTATTATAAAACAAATAACAAAATACTAAATCTCATTATACCTGTTTACATAGTAGTAATATAAATAAAAATTTAAATTCTAAACTTTAATTGAAATCTGTAAGGACTCTAATTTGCACAATGCCAGACCTTAAAATGAGAAGAAATTATAAGCTAGTACAGTAAGTTTCCAAGGAAAACTTACATTGTTAAGTCTAAAATATTATGATTCTATAACCTTAGGATAGTAAGGAGTTTCTCTAACAAAGAAAGGACAGTAAGAATAAAGTAGGATAATTTTAAAATTAGGATAGTTCAATTAATTAAAATGGAATAGTATTACCGACACTGTTTTAAATTATTTTTTAGTGCCAATGATAAAAACAGTAAGTATAACTTATAATATGTTCATGTATTTCAACATTTAATCTAAATCCAAATAGTCCCTCTTGGGGAAAAAAATAGGAACAACTCAAAATAAATATCAGAATCCTGAAATTCTATTGTACTTCCTTGATTCTTAAACAATTAATTCTTGGGCCTTAGCCGATTATTCCAGTTAAATATAAACAAGCTCGCTCTAAGCTCTTATTACAAAAGACACTATGTAGTCAGTGACTCACTAGTTGGCTGTCTATTGTGCTTGAATTGTTTTTCTAATCTGGGCTGACTCACTGATGCTGTCACTGGCCTCACTACATGACTGGGTAAAATCAGAAGTGGAATCTTCTCATGGAGGAAAGAATTTGGGCCACAGGAGAATGAAGTCTATTCATGAATTGTGATCTCATTGTATAGTTTTAACTAAAACTGCTCTGAGTTCCAATGCAGCTCCTCAGCTGGCTTTTGCACATTCTCAGGTAGCTTACCGTCTCTTCAAAGTACACTTAACGCAAAAATAAACTCACACTCTTCCATGAAGCCCTGCTTTTGGTTCTGGATTTCTTGTTGCATGAAGGCATTAGATGTGAAACCTTAAAGTCATTATTGATCTTGCTTTACTCCTCATCAACTAAATTCCTTCTTTTTTATATTCCTTCTTTTGTATTCTAACAGCTAACACAGCCTCTCAATGACCGCCACAGTGGTGTCAAGTTCCACACTTGACCAGGAAGATCAAATAATCGGATGGGGTTTGGGACAGGCCGAATCAGAAACATATCCAAGTGACACCAGCCCAAGCAGGTGAAAAAAGGGAAGTCCTGAATGAAACTGAGGGACACCGGGACAGGGAAGGGAACGGTCATCGGACACTGTCACTAAAGAGGCGGCGGGTGGAAGGATGAGGGAGTAATTCCAAAGTGGTTAAGATGTAGCAAGTGCTACCTTTTAACAGCTGGCTGAGGTCCTTTCTCAATCAGCCAAACCAGAACTATCTTTTAGTCTTAAAAGGGCTCATCTGGTTCAGCTGGCCCTGTGGAAGCTGAGAAGCAAGGGCCTCTTCTCTCTAAGGAGCTCGGGTGTGTTTCAGGAGGGGCAAGGCTGGGTTCCCTTCAGAGGATCTTTACTGGCATGCGTATAGAGCTTCCTAATTGGTCTGCCTATCTTAATCCTCCCTAGTTTCAATGGGAAAATCACAAGTGCCATTTTAATGTGCCTCAAACAGTTTCAGTGGATTAAATGTCCACTGAACTCAGTACTTGCAGGATAAAGTCTAAACTCTTGATAATTTTATAAAAGGCTCTCAACATTTTTGTTTCTAACTCATATTTTCAACCTTTTCCCTACAATATTCCTCAAAAAGAATTCCCCGTTCTAGTCTATTTCCTATTTCCTAATCTCTTCTTGCTCATCTCCAACTCCATACCTTGCTCATGCTATACTTACATCCTGAAATATCACACCTTCCCCTCACTTTCAGCCAAACTAAATACTCTTCAAGGAATACTAAGATGTCACTTTTCCCTACAAAGTTGACTCAGGTGACTCGTATGTGTCATTTCCTCCCTCTGTGACACACTACTTAGTATTCAACAAGTGGTTGTAAAAAGGTTAACTTCACACCTGTGTGTCTCATCTTCCCAGCTGTACCATGAGTTTTTTTGGGCTTAGGACCTGTACCTTTCACTTCAGGTGCCTGACACAATGTCAGTTTAAAAACGGAATGAAACAAGTGAGAAAACAGGCCCTGCCCTTTTTGATTTTATATATATGACACACACACAAAACCTGTGCCTTAGTTTTTCATATTTTATATAAGGGATTATATATTAGATAAGGAATTTTTAACTTGGAGTCCATGGATAACCTTCAAGAAATTCATGAATATTCTGAAATTATGAACAAATCTGAATAAAAATACAATTTTCCTCCCTGGAAAGAGGATCTATAGCTCTCATCATATTCTAAAGGTTCTGTGAGCCCAAAATATGGTTCGGATTTACAACATCTATGCGGTACTAATGAGAGTACATACAATTAATTTTGGCTTACAGAAAGAAGGATAAAGCTAAAATAAGTGGGTCACAAACCAGTGAATTTTTAATGAAAATAACAAACTGAGTCCTATTCAGAGGGAAAACAAAGCCATGATGTTAATTATGGTATAGCAATCAACCTACTGAAGAGTCACCATTTAATAATAAGAATGAGGAATGGGGGGAGTGGTGAAAAGATGGATTACAATCACAAAAACAAAAACTTCAGAGGTACTTAAAAAAAAAAAAAAAAAAAAAGGAATTCTAGGTGGTGCACTGTGGCTCACGCCTGTAATCCTAGCACTTTGGAAGACTGAGACAGGTGGATCACTTGAGCTCAGGAGTTTGAGACCAGCCTGGGCAACATGGTGAAACCCTGTCTCTACCAAAAATCCAAACAATTAGCCAGGAGTGGTGCCATGTGCCTGTGGCCCCAGCTACTTAGGGGGCTGGGGGGCTAAGGTGGGAGGATCACTTGAGCCCAGGAGGTGGGGGTTGCGGTGAGCCAAGACTGCACCACTGCACTCCAGCCTGGGCAACAGAGCAAGACCCCATCTCAAAAAAATTAAAAAAATGAAAATTAAAAAGGGAACTGTAGATGCAGCTGGTTGTCTTTAAATCAAAACTGTAGGAATATAAGCATTTCTCTATAATGGTTTCTTATGGACCACTCTAGATATTAACTCATCAAGTTTATTTATGTCATTTCATTCCAGAATAGATAAGGAGTTCAATAGATAGTCCAGCCCTTAGTCTTTAATCAAATATGAAGAAATAACATGTGAATATGTAATGAGTTCGTATTCTCATCTTGGATACAGTACTCATCAAGTACTTCTAGTGAAATATACTTTTGTTAATATTCTAGGTGATTTATCAGATGCTCAAGAATTCTCAATGTCAGAAATTTCACTGAATTCAAGAACACTTCCCCAAAATTTTAAGGAGACTTTTTAAGTTTACAAATCAGAAACTTTATTCCCTTAATTATCAATATCACCCAAATGAATGGCTAGGACATCCTTCTCAATTTGAGAATGTTCTGAAGCAGACTGTAGTACTAACTAACATGCTCACTTTATTTTTACCTCTAGAAAAACAATTATGAAAAATACTCTTGTCATCTAATAGTACATTAATATTTTCCTTGTTTTAGTAAGTAACCTCAAGAAAGTAACAGCAGCTTCCAGGAGGAAAAAAGTGAATGCTTTCAGGTGGGAACAAAGAACTCTGGCATTTTAGTGTCCAGTCACTTGGTCCAAATATGGGGAAAGGGGGAATTTTTAACTGGGGAGTATTAATATTTAGAGAAAGTTTATAAAGGTTAAAATATTTATCTTGAACTTACCAGGTGTACTTGTTGAAGAGGCCTTAGAAGTTACAGGCTCTGAATCTTCCTAAATATACAGATATATATTAATATCACATCTACCAGTCCCCTGTTGCTATATACATTTAGTGTTTTACACGAACACTTCTAATATTCTTTCTGCCACTCCCCACTTTCTCTTTCATCGGTCTTCTCTCCCTTTCATTTCAGCTTAGACTTTCTTCTCCTGTCTTCAACCATCTTCCCTTCAACCCTCCCCACAGCTCCTTTCCTCATGTGTTCTCCTTGAGAACTTTCACTAGCCAATGCTACAAAGCCAGACACGAGAGACAGATTTGAGGAATGGCATCTAAGGTGGCCAGATGGAGCAGGGGGAACATATTATTTGTTGCACACCAATATACAGCACAGACAAAGCAGAGTTTGCCCAGCTGAATCAGGGAGGAGGGCATGAAGGTTACACTCTGAAGGGGCACAGCCAATAACCATCAAGCTCCTAAGGGAAACATATGAATTTAGGCGAATTCCTTCCTTTTAAATTAATGCAAGGGAACTGAGATTCTAAGAGATGAAAAAAGTAGTGAAATGTCATTCACTCATTTAAGGAACAGAATTAAACTCCACAGGTTTGAACTTCAATGCTTTTCCCATAATTTCACATATTCAACTCACTTTACTAAGACTGCCATTAAAAATTTATAAATAACAGTCAAAACAAGCCACTTCACATGCATAGTTAAAAATTAGCAAATATAAGTTCAAACTAATTAAGCCCAAATTAAATAAATGCTGACACTATTTCCTGAATGAGCTGTGCCTGAATTCCATATTTTAAGGTATGGTAGACTATCTTTATTAACTTACACCTTTGTCCTCTTTTTGTTCTGTTTCTATTGTTGATCCCTTTTCAGCAATTCTTCTCCTACAAAGAAGGCAAATCCGATTTTTAAAAATATTATCTGATTCAGTATAAAAACCACTTCTCTACGAGGAAAGAAGTGCATCTAGTTAGTTGTATTTGGAATACAATTAAAATCCTCTCAATTCTGGGCATGTCCATTATAATGAAATTCCTTACCTCCTGGCCAGCAGGGCACTCATTTCTTCCATTAAACCACTACCCCCTAAAGGAAGGGGTCCATTTCCACGGCCTGTATCTGTTTTAGATGAGGCGGAGTTCACACCAATAGCATTCCCTCCACTTGGGAAAGAGGTATCCTCCATCTTAATGAGAATATACAGACATAATCAACTCCTATGTTAGACAACCATATTTTTATTAATATATTACATCTAAAACAGAAGGAAACATCAGCATTAATTTTAAAAAACCTAAATATTATTTTTTAAGCTTTAAGAACCAATAGATTCTTAGCATGACTTTATATATCAACAAGAGTTTATCAAAACTACTATCACCAAGAATGCAATGAAACAGTATCATGTATCTCTTCCTGTGCTGCCATGAAAAGGGCATGACTTTGCTCTGATAATATTCCTGCTAAAACAACCCCTGCATAACTAGAATCTAATCTTGAGGAAAAATCAGATAAGCCAAAGTGAAGGATAACAGGCAAAATAATTGTCCTACAGTCTTCAAAAATGCCAGTATTATGAAAGATTGAGGAACTGTCATAAAGTATATCAAAGAGACATTATAACTAAATGCAATAAATGATCTTGCACTAGGAAAAAAACTGTCACTAAAGATGTCATTGGACTATAGATGAAATTTGAATAATACATTTGTAGATTACAGTATTCTATCATGTTAACTTTCCTGATTTTGATAATTATATTACTGGTTATGCAGGTAAATGTCCTTGTTCTTATAAAATTCACACTGAGGTACTTAGGAAAATAGAAGCTTGTGTCTCTGAGTTACTCTCAAATCATTCAAACAAAAGTGCATGTGTAGGCCGGGTGCGATGGCTCACACCTGTAATCCCGGCACTGTGGGAGGCTGAGGCGGGTGGATCACCTGAGGTCAGGATTTCAAGACCAGTCTGGTCAACATCGCGAAACCCTATCTCTACTAAAAATACAAAAATTAGCTAAGCATGGTGGTGGGTGCCTGTAATCCCAGCTACTCAGGAGGCTGAGGCAAAATCGCTTGAACCTGGGAGGTGGAGGTTGCAGTGAGCTGAGATCGCGCCATGGCACTCCAGTCTGGATAACAAGAGTGAAACTCCGTCTCAAGAGAAAAAACAAAAAAAGTGCATGTGTAAAGAAGGAAACATATCCAAAGAAGGAATAAAAAAGCAAATACTGGTAAAATGTTAATGGGTGAATGTAGGTGATGAATTTATAGAAATTATTTATACTATTCTTACAACTTCACTATAAAAATTTAAATTATGTCAATTTTTAATTTTTATTTATTTTATTTTTTGAGACAAAGTCTTACTCTGTCACCCAGGCTAGAGCGCAGTGGCATGATCTCGGCTCACTGCAACCTCCACCTCCCGGGTTCAAGCGATTCTTCTGCCTCAGCCTCCCGAGCAGCTGGGATTATAGGCATGTGTCACACATCTGGCTAAGTTTTGTATTTTTAGTGAGATAGGGTTTTAACATGTTGGCCAGCCTGGTCTCGAACTCCTGACCTCAGGTGATCCGCCCACCCCAGCCTCCCAAAGTGCAGGGATTATACAGGTATGAGCCATTGCGCCAGGGTAAATTATTTCAATTTTTTAAATCAATGAAGTTCATAACATTTCATAAAATTAGAATACAATAAATTCAACATTTTAGATATTTAGGAAGAATAAGACATATTAAAAAAATTTTTCAGAAAGGTATTTACCCGTGACACTTTCCTAAGTTTTGCTCCGGCAATTGCAGCTGCAAGTCCAGTTAAAGGGCGATTGTCTTCTGACATGGATGCCAAAAAGAATCCAGATGCAGGGAGGGGTGGGGCAGGAGGTGGTGGAGGAGGAGGGGGTACTTGATTAGGGAGAGGAGGGGGAGGAGGGGGCGGTGGAGGCCCGGTGGATGGGAGTGGAGGAGGTGGAGGGGGCCCTGGGGGAGGAGGGAGGGCTACTGAAGCCTGTGCAGGCCCTGGTGGGAGTGGTGGAGGAGGTGGAGGTGCAAGTGGTCCCAAGACAATGCCTGAGAGAGAGAAATGTTAAGTAAGACCATCAACAATAGAGCTGAGTGATATTATTTTATGTGGGAAGGTACGCAGAATGCCATGCTAAATTAAACTGACTCATGTATTTACTTAATGAGTCCAATTTATCATAGTTGTAAAAGTCTAGATCAGTTTTTGAAAGATACTGAAATGTAAGGTCCAAGTATATATAACTACTTACTTTAGGTTAGAGCTTTAGTAATAGAACTATGCAACAGATCATCTAATTAAGACTTTTTTTTTTCATGGGGATTTGGTAAATAAGCAAAATAAATACTTATAAAATTTGGAAGAGAGGTAAGCGTCCCTGAAAAAACAAACTAGTATATAGGATGGCAGTTAGTACTACTTGAAATATCAGACCCAAAATAATCCACATTAACCTTAAGTGTTGAGACAGTAAATTCAGTAACAGTGAACACATACATTTAATTGTTTACAGTCAAAGTGGCTGTATTAAAAACATGAAGGAGGAGTAAGTCCCAGCTTCAGCATTTTAAAAAATACTTCACATTTAAATTCAATGGATAGCCAAGGCTGAGAATCACTGAAGTAAAGGAATTTACTAGTACAAAGTAAAACCTCAAAATAACGCTCGGAAATAATTAAATACCATAGGATTTGAAGTAGAGTTGTTTTTATCCCACAAAATGGGGGGCAAGAAGAGAAATGTTCAAATGTTATAAAATCACAAAGGGAGTGAACAAGAATTTATTTAATAACAGAATCCTGAAACAGTAGGTGCTCTTTTAGTTAAGGTTTAAGAGGGGTGTTTTCAGAACGAATAAAATGCTATTTTGCACACTGGGTGGTAATTGCTAACTTTTTCAGCTTGAGCAGTTACACAAGCAGAAAACATCAATTGTTAAAAGAAGCATCTAGAAATAGTCTGTCCCTTCTGTAGGGGTTGTTAAGAGTTCTGAGGGTACAGCAGGTCACTTTGTCAGGCTGACTGTGCCCATTTTGTACAGTATAACTGTCATGGTGAAACCAAACTGAACGTCTTAGAATTCTGACTAACCTTTTAAGCAAATTTGTAAGTCAACAACAACAAAATATATACATATACAGCAATAACAAGCCTTGCAATGTTTAAGTACAAATTTGTTTTCAGTTTTCTTTCTGTAGTCCTCCTTAAATCATATTTTAAAAACTAGGGTTGCCAAGCATCTTCTTATTTACTTACAGAACCAGGTCCTTTTCTACTTACAAATAATCCACTTAGAGATTACATCCTGCCTTCCCTGTTACCATAACAATAAGGTAGGGACGGGGAGAATAACTACAGAGGATGCTATTCTCTCTTGATTACCCCTTCAAGCCACTACTTATTGTAATTTTGGACCTTGGAACCCTTTAGGGCATATATGAACCCTGCCATCCTCTCTACTCCTCCTGCAAAGTCATAATGCTCCAAGGGTTAGGGTGACACCTATCCTGGAAGTCCAACATGGGGCATCTAATATAGGAAAGGCAAGAAGGAAACAGGGCCCAAGATCAGAACTGTTCCAAAGGAAACTCTGGGATGACGTATCTAATGACTACAGTTGGGCACTAAATATATCTCTCTAAGTCTCCCAGAAAAATGAAGGAAAACAATTTAGATCATGTATTTATTGTGTGGTAGATCAACGTGTCAAGCAAAGTTTTCCCAGTGAAAGACATGTATTAGCTGGGTGCGGTGCTCACACTTGTAATCCTAGCAACTTTGGGAGGCCGAAGGGGCAGATCACATGAGGTCAGGAGTTCAAGACCAGCCTGGCCAACATGACAAAACCCTGTCTCTACTAAAAATACAAAAATTAGCCAGGCGTGGTGGCATGTGCCTGTAACTCCTGCTACTCAGCTGGCTAAGGCAGGAGAATTGCTGGAACCCGGGAGGTGGAGGTTGCAGTGAGCTGAGATCGTGCCACTCTACTCCAGCCTGGGCAACACAGCAAGACTCTGTCTCAAAAAAACAAAAAAAAAAAAGAAAAAAATAAAGAAATGTATTATGAGGGGCTCTTAAATACTAGAAAACATCTTTAACTGCGATACTATAAAAGATATCAAAACCTAGTTCAATAAGGAAATTCCTCCAAATGCAATTAATCCAACAGGAAAAACATTTTTCTACTTTAATTTTTTTAATTAAAAAAAAAAAAAGCATGGCATTATGGCATATAAATGTTCAAGGATCAAAACCATCCTACCCATCCATTCAGGCAATTAAAGTCACTGCTATATAACATTTTCAAGTGATTAGCTGTTAGTAGCAATAATGAAAGCCTTACCCTGTTGGGATGGAGTCTCGGCCGGCTGAGAGGCTGCCTGCAAGCCTGGCTCAGAAGCAGAAGAGTCTCCCAGCACAGAGTTTAGAGGAGTCTCAACAGAGGCAGGGGCAGCTGCAGAGGGAGAAGGGAGAACACTAGGCTTGGATGAGGGAGTTGAGGCAATAGGGGTGCTTGGAGGAGGAGAAGCTTGAGATCCACAGTGTGAGAGTGATGCGAGGGAAGGCAGTGGAGGCGGCGGCGGAGGAGCTGCTGGCCCTGAGGTAGGCGGTGGAGACACTGGATATGTTACAGAGTCAACCAGCCCATTGGGTGCTGTCGGTGATGGAGGCATTTGGGGCACAGGAGAAGAAACACAAACAGGGAGGACAGGCCTTGGACCAGTAGCTTTGCCTGGGGGGCTGCTAATCATTATTGGAGGAGATGGAGGGAGGGGCGAAAAATTGGAAGTAGACCAGGCACAGGGCTTCGTAGCTGGAGGCTGAGAAGAGGGTGTGTTCACAGGAGAAGAAGGTCGAGAGTTTTTGTTCAGAGGACGAGGAACTGTAGCGTAATGGGGAAGAACAGGGTGGAAGGCTGAACCTAAAGATGTTGCAAAACGTGTCGCTGAGTGTCGCAGTGGTGGTGTAGGGGGTGTGGAAGTAGGTGGCAAAGCAGTCACTACAGCATAATCAGGAGTGGCATCTGACACTGGAGCTGAGATGACTTTAGCGTATGATGGAGGAGGTGCTGAAGGAGGCTGGCAACTGGAATACTCAGGAAGTGGAGCGTTATACAGGGAGCTGTCTGAAGATGGAGCTGGACAGAAGGTGGAAAGCAGCAGCAAAAGACAGGATAAAAAAGGAGAGAGAAAAAGGGAGCTAGTGAAGCCACAAAACCAGCATTCAGACACAATGTATAAATGTAGACTACAGTTAGTATCAGAGAATTAGGCACAAACGCAAATAACTATTTTCACCCAAGAATATTTTAACTTGTAAATACATTTTGAGATTCAGAAGGGGATGAAATAAGTTTCCTTTTATCTAATAAGTGGATTAATAAATTTAATTGACTAATTTCTTTTACAAGAAAAAGCTAGTATTAGTCTTAATTTTTATTTAGTCTACAAGAAAAAGGACATTAAAATCACATGAATAGGACCATAAACAGAAGAATAAATTTAGTTGTTTTTTTAAAAACAACAAATAGCAAAACTAGTAAAGCTGGCAAAACATTTAATATGAAGGGTTCAATGCTCCTATTCAATGCTAACTTGTGGAAAAGTTTTGTTTTGTTGGCCATAACTCCAGAAAATAATTAGGTAGCTAAAAATACATAAATTAACTTAATAAACCAACCAACCAACCACTGTTTAATCAAACCACATTAAGACTTTTTAATTAGGCCATAAGGAATATTCTTAAATCCTATAATGAATGTTAATTTTAATAAACGTTAAAATATCTCAAACTTTCAGCCATATATTAACCCTTATGTCTTTCAGTAAATTCCAGATTCCATAATTTTCACTAATTTTTCATAATACTAGAAAGCATATTTAAATAACTAGTCTTAGAGAATATTTCTCTAAAATAATTCTTCCTCCAAAATCTTTAGAATGCAATCAAGCAAATTTCTTGCTGAATGGTACTACAGTACTATAGTATTTGAGACAATTTAAGTGATCTCATGAGGGAAATATATTTGAAGTTCATCCAGTATAAAAAATTTCCCATAAAAACACACTTACACTTTATAGCCATTTTATAGGGTGTTAGAAGAATTAGAATGGCAGAATAAAAATTTCCAAGAGCTTTCTTTAAGTCTCCAAGCAATAAAAGCAATACAGAGAGAAATAAAAAGAAAATGTTAAAGTAGTAATTGCTGCATATTTATTCATAATTTCAAATTGTATGGCTTAATCCCAAACATCTCAAATGTGAAATATTTTAACACATGACTGCACAAGAGACATCATCCAAGCTCAGATACAAGAACACAGAAGAGTTTGTAAACTTCTTACCAGCACTTGATATTCTGCGCTCTCTCTCCCATTCCAGCTGTTCCCTTTCTAACTGCTCTTGTCGCTCCCTTTCTTGCCTCTCCCGTTCCAGTCTCTCCAGCCTCTCTCGTTCTTGTCTTTCTTGCCTCTCCCGATCCAGGCGTTCCTGCCGCTCCAGGCGTTCCTGCCGCTCCAGGCGTTCCTGCCGCTCCAGGCGTTCCTGCCGTTCCCGTTCTTGTCTCTCTCTCTCCAGCTGTTCTTGTTCCAGTCGCTCCCTCTCCAGCCTTTCCCTTTCTAACCTCTCTCTCTCCAACCTTTCTCTTTCCATTCTTTCTCGCTCCAGCCTTTCCCGCTCCAGCTCCTTTTGCCGTTGCTGTTCTTGTAGTTGTCTGGAAAAAAAAAAAAAAAAGTAAAAACATGCATCTATGGCTACTCATCATGAAAAAGCGATTCTTTTCACCTATGTAAACTATTTCTGAGTCAAATAAAAGCAATGTAGAGCATGCAAACATCTCTCCTCCCACATGAAGGCTACCTTGGATAGAGACTGTTTCATACAAATGAAAATCATTTCTCCTATTAGCATCATATTGGCTGAATGCTTCAGCACATTGCACTAACATTTCATTTTATTCTGTACTTTTCATGAGTAGTGTTGCAAGTAAATGAATTTTCCAAATAACATACCACTTTAATAACCAAGTCATTATTTTAATTATTTAGTGAAAACATTTGTAATTGTAATATCCTTAATATCAAATTTAATTGTACAAATAATATTTCAGAAAATACAATGACTGGCCACAGCAATAGCTCAATAAATATTTACTGAATGGGCCAGGTGTAGTGACTCACACCTGTAATCCCAGCACTTTGGGAGGCCGAGGCAGGTGCATCACTTGAGGTCAGGAGTTCGAGACTGGCCTGGCCAACATGGTGAAACCCCATCTCTACCAAAAATATAAAAAATTAGCCGGGCATGGTAGCGTGCGCCTATAATCCCAGCTACTTGGGAGGCTGAGGCAGGAGAATCGCTTGAACCTGGGAGGCAGAGGCTGCAGTGAGCCGAGATCGTGCCACTGCACTCCAGCCTGGGTGACAGAGCAAGACTCCACCTCAAAAAAAAAAAAAAAGTTTACTGAATGAAAAAGAGTCAAGAAAGAAGAAATAAACTTTAAATGATTGAAATCTCATATCCAGAGGCAACTATCATCAACATATGTATATAAAGACACACATCTATATATACACATACGCGCACACACGCACCCCTATATACCTCTAGACTTCCCCTTGTGTAAAAATACACATATAAACTTTAAAAACAAAATAAAATGTAACCATTTCCCGCTACTGTGAAATCTGCTTTCCTTTCTCTCACTTAATATATTGTGAAAGTTGGTCTGGGAGCAGTGGCTCAGCTGTAATCCTAGCACTTTGGGAGGCTGAGTGGGAGGATTGTCTGAACCCAAGAGTTCAAGATGGGCCTGCACAACAAAGCAAGACCCATCTCTACAAAAAATTTTAAAATCAGCCAGGCATGGTGCCATGCACCTGTATTCCCAGCTACTTGGGAGGCTGAGGGAGAAGGATTGCTTGGGCCTAGGAGTCTGAGGCTACAGTAAGATAAGATTGCATCATCACACATCAGCCCAGGCAACAGAATGACACCTTGTCTCCAAAAACAATGAAAGAAAAGAAAGGAGGAAGCGGGGAAGGAAGAAAAAGAAGGGAAGGAAGGGAGGAAGGGAGGGAGGGAGGGAGGGAGGGAGGGAGGGAGGGAGGGAGGGAGGGAGGGAGACATAAGTTAGTAAAACTGAGGATATCTGGGATGAGAACCTGCCTGTGTGTACAACTCTGGATGGACACACGCACGCGCGCGCACACACACACAGAGTTATCCTAAGGCACTTAGTTCAGCATCTTTATTTTCCATGAGTGCATAATAATATTCGATTATTTTGCTGTCCACAGTCTAAGCAGTCTCCTACAGTAGGATATTAAGTTATCCTAACACTATTGGCAATACTGCAATAACATTTGTCTTCATCTTTGAATCTTTTTCTGTTTCTATAGGATCAATAAGGACATAAATTTTGCTAGGTGAAAAGGTATGAATTTAAGATTTTTGATACATGGTTCCAAATTGTCTTTAGGAAAAGTTGTGTCAATTAACCTTCCCTAAAAAAAAAGTTATCTTTGCCAGGCACGGTGGCTCATGCCTGTAATCCCAGCACTTTGGGAGGCCGAGGTCAGGAGTTTGAGACTAGCTTGGCCAACATGGTGGAACCCTGTCTCTACTAAAATTACAAAAATTAGCTGGGCGTGGTGGTGTGCGCCTGTAATCCCAGCTACTTGGGAGGCTGAGGCAGGAGGATCACTTGAACCCGGGGAATGGAGGTGGCTGTGAGCTGAGACTATGCCCCTGTACCCCAGCCTGGGTGACAGAGTAAGACCCTGTCTCCAAAAAAAAAAAAAAAAAAGTATCTTTATCTTACACATACGTATTTCATAGCACTGTGGGGAAGATTAAATGAAGTAATACCTAAAAGCTCTTTAAGAAGTACTTGAAACATAAGAACGTTCAATGTGGGCTATAACGATAGTTTTTTTGTTTTGTTTTGTTTTTTCTTCCCCGAGACAGAGTCTTGCTCTGTCGCCCAGGCTGGAGTACAGCCATGCAATCTTGGCTCACTGCAAGCTCCACCTCCCAGGTTCACACCATTCTCTTGCCTCAGCCTCCCGAGTAGCTGGGACTACAGGTGCCCGCCACCATGCCCGGCTAATTTTTTGTATTTTTAGTAGAGACGGGGTTTCACAGTGTTAGCCAGGATGGTCTCGATCTCCTGACCTCATGATCCACCCGCCTTGGCCTCCCAAAGTGCTGGGATTACAGGTGTGAGCCACCGCGCCCGGCCCAACAATAGTTATTATTTGGAAATTTCAAATTGGGACTTTCTGGACTGGCTAATAAACTGGGTGGGTCTAGTTAGAGACAAAGCTAAATGACAGCACATGCATGCTATCCCTTTGTTCCTTCCAGCGGTACCAACACACCAGTAAGATCTTTCCAAAAATCTCTCTCCTTCATGTTTCCTAAGCTGGCTATACAACAAAAGAAAAGGCCCATTTGACAAATACATCAACCCCACTGCTCTCATAAAACACACACCCTCTCCTGGACATACCATCACACTTAACAATGACTGCAAGAGAAAAACACAAGAAACTGACTTTATTTATGAGTAGTTATTTATTTATGAGTAGTTGTTTGAGATACTGACTACTAATAAAATCAGATTTTCAGGATCTAGTACGGACTTCATTATGCTATTTGATAAATCACTAGCTGCCAAAGTTTTTGAGGGATAACAATAACTTTATCTGCAGGGATGAGGGGAAGAAATTAGATGTATTCAAAAGAATGTTTTTAATAATAAACAGAGGAAAGTCAGGGTTGGTTGTTGTTGTTTCTCCAGTAACCTGCAGTTAATAAACTCAGCTGGAGCCTGTATTAAATTTCAGATAATTCAACCTACATCAAAAAATATGGGCCATTTTACATATAATGCTCTAAGCAATCTGTTGGGCCCAAAGGGCAAAAGATACACCCATATTATTCTAATTAGAACAAATTTAAATACAGAAGCTAAAGAGAAACATTTAAGAGCACAGTAGCTGTCCCAAGAAATCTATGATGAAAAGATCTAAGTTTTTAGATCTTTGAGCATTTGTTACTTCTTCTATTTTACCAAAACAACATAAATATATAGTTTTTAAAGTTTATAACAAAAATCAGTAGTTCACTGCCTCAACCCTCCCACCCGTTTCCTACTCTTGCAGCTGTTTCTTACATTTTAGCTTTTGCTATCTACTTTCTAACAGGAAGATGCCTTCTACAACTCCCTCACTACACTCATGCTTCTCCCAATATGGAAAATCAATATTCACAGCTTACATTATTAACATGATAATGTAAATACTGCTCACAGCTGAACCAAATAGTATTCTATGACTACATTTCATTTCTCATTCAAGTTCTTAGTAGTTGGGTTTTTTTTTAACCACCAAGTTAATGGCTGTTTCTCTAAGCAATACAATGCTTTTAACACACAAAAAGTAAGCTTAAGTCACAAGCAGAAGGCCAGGCATGGGTGAGGTGAATCTGAAAGAATTATTGGTAACAGCATTTACAGCTAGGTTGTATTGACTTAAGAAGTTTGTTCCACATGTCATCATATTCCAGGGTTTTCAGGCTATAAAAGATAAGGAGTGTCTACTGATATAGGAAAAGGACACAATGCTGGAGAATATTTCTAAGTTCACAGACAGATGATTCAAGCAGGCAATTCATATAGCTGCAGGAGATTCTTACTATTTTCTTGTTCTGAAGGTAAGAAAAGAAAGTGTTGAACACTTTAAGCTAATTTTTAGCTTGCTTGCTGAAAAGATGCCCATCTAAACGGATTTCCCAAAATAGTGATTCAAGCAGAAAATCTCTGGCTTCCGAATCTTGTGTGGCATGAATAATTCCCACCTAAATTGGATGGTTTATAAATTTGACTCTCATGTTTTGACCTCTAAAGCAAGACATTTGTGTAGCTTTCTAGGAGGAGTTTCCAAATTTATAAACTTTGCTTTTCCTCAGAATTATCGCTGCCAATTCACATACTGGAAATGCACATGGCTCCTCTTCCTAGAGTTCTCTCTCCAACTGTTTTCTTCAGTCATTAATAGAATCGTCTGAGGACTTTTTTCAAAGAAAGAGTGCCTTAATTCTGAACCATGAAAAATCCTGACGGACTACTTTAATTTTTCTTTTAAGCTAGGCATATATATTCTACAATAATTTGAAAGTTTCTGAGAATATAAATTTTTTTCAGAAACAATTATAGTGCAAATCACCAATATTATTTTTTAAGCATTTAAAAAATATCAGACACAGTTCCTCCACCACCCAAATACCTATTTCTCTCCAAAACAGCTATCCCCAAATGTAAATAGATGCACAAAGCATCAGCCCACATTGAGATTAATAGCTTTTTAAATATATATTCATTATTTAGTTTATGTTGACTCAAAGACATTTCTTGAAGCAAGTAAAATGTTAAGTAACATCAGTTCAAAATACATTTCACCCAGCTTTACCTATAATGAATAGTGTTACTAGGTAAATAAGAATGATTTCAATTTTAACAAAATGAAGTAGGAACAGTCTAGGAAAAATGTTCTGAGTTGGTAATATTTAGTAACACTGTTATTATTGACATTTCTCAGAAAATAAAACTACACAGATACAGTTTGATTGTATAACATGAGCATTTCACTTCACTATCAGTAAACAAATAAAAAATGGATAAAATGTAATAAGACAGCTAAGTTTTAATATTACAAAGCCGCTGAGGCAAGAGTTGATACTCACAAGAGAAGGCGGTCAACTTTTGGTCCATCCGGCCTCCGAAGGCCAATAGGAGGGCTATACACTCTCATTGTTCCAACATTGTTCCAACTGCTCAGTTCTGTGCCGCAATTATTATTCCCCTTTTATAACTTTCAGATAGTACTGGTGATTTGCGAACTATTTATAGATATTAACTATATTAAGGTTCTATGTGGAGACTAACATAGGACTGACTCATGTTTCTTAGAATATGTTTCCTCATCATGGCCAAGCCAAATATTAATTATATGAGTAGGAACCAAAAACTATTTAATAAATGATATAATAATAAAGGGTATTGGACTAATAAGAATGAACACTTAGACATGTGCTCTATTGACTCTACATTTATTAAAAATAAAAAATTAAACATAACAGTAGTAATAAATAACTTAAAAAGCCAAATTATATTATAAGACTTAGAACAGTAATCCTCTTACTAACGCTCACCACTTCTGATTTTGCTCCCCAGAAGCAATTATTTTCAATACTCTGGTACTTATCACATGTTTCTAAATACAGTAATTCATTTAGAACTATTACTTCTAGACTTTTCATATTTAGATGTTATCTACTGACTTCCTACTATACAAATGATTTAATTCCTATATCTCTAGCTCCCCAAAACTTTTTCTTCTCCATTTTCCCAATAAACTCATACCACCACTTTGGATACACCAATATTCACATATCACATAATTCACTGCTGATCACATTTACTTTCTAGAACAATTTTTTTCTTACTTTGGTGCTAAAAAGTAGTACTTTTAAAAATTTGATTCTTTTTCTATATACCTGTCCCTACTTCACCCCAAACTCTCCATTAGAACTGTAATCCCTATCAACATGGTCCAACATAGCAGAACCACGGTCAGGTTTTTCTATTCTTTTGTTTTGCTTTCCCTCAGAAACTACCCGTCGGGAGCCTTCAGCCCTCCCAGCGCCCCCAACCGGATGGGCTATTCCCTAGGTTTTGCTTTGACCTTAGTCGTGCGGGAATTACCTATCTCTTTCCTAAGTTGGATTCCTTGTCTCCTGGATGCTGTCATGGGTTCATCATTCTTGCTTTACTCCCTCATCTTAACAGAACACATCTTCCAATAGCTTCTTAGGAAGTTGTGCAGAAGAGGAGATTTTAGACTGGAAAGAGATTCTCTTAGGATTTTGAAGCTCCCCCACCTTGTCACTCCCACCACCCCTTACCAAGCATTTGAAATCTTACTTATTCTAGGACAACATTCTAAAATACCATAGTGAGAGGTCTTGGTGGGAGGTCTTTGTTTTTTTCCCCACTTACTGGGCTGGACTTTTGGTGAGCTTTTTTGACCTAAACCAGAAGCTAGCAAACTGTATACAGCCCTAGGGCCAAATCTGGCTACAACCATTTATTTCCGTTTTGTCTATGGCGAGCTACAAAGGAAGAGTCTAGCAAATGACACAGATGGCCCTTCCCAGAAAAAGTTTGCGGACCTTTGATCTAGACGATCAATGAGTTCCAGCAAATTTTCTTGTTATTTATTTGCAAATTCAATTTCTTCACGTTTTTGTTCTCCTTCCCACTCCCCCAGAACTTCTATTATTTGGATGCTGAACCTTCTAATCTGATCTTCTTACTTTACTTTCTTTCTCATATGCCACCTCTTTGTTTTAGGACTATTTTCAGAGAATAAATTCCTCAACCTTAGTTCTCAAAACTTCTATTTCTTTCTTTCTCTCTCTCTCTTTTTTTTTTTTTTCTTTTGAGACAGAATCTTGCTCTGTCGCCAGGCTGGGGTGCAATGGCACGATCTCAGCTCATTGCGACCTTGGCCTCCCGGGTTCAAGCGATTCTTCTGCCTCAGCCTCTCAAGTAGCTGGAACTACAGGTGCATGCCACCAGGCCTGGCTAATTTTTGCATTTTTAGTAGAGACCGGGTTTCACCATATTGGCCAGGCTGGTCTTTAACTCCTAACCTCGTGATCTGCCCACCTCAGCCTCCCAAAGTGCTGGGATTATGTAAGCCACAGCACACGCCCTTCTATTTCTCGGCGGGGAAAAAAACAGTGAGGTGGTTTTTAAAAAAAGTTTCCAAGTTTACTTTCTTGTTCTCTGAATGATCCATTTAAAATAACTACCCATTTTTATTTCATCAATGAAATATATTCTCCTAGTTCTCTGAAGCTATTGCAGTATATTTTTAGGTTTTCTTCCGCTCCCTGCATTGCATCTATTTCATACAATTTCAACTCTTTGTTTTGGTCCTTCTTTTATAGAAGTTGGCCTGAAAGGTTTGATGATCCTTGGCTGTCTGTTCATATTTATAAGCAGCACCAAAGTTGATCAGAGGCCCTTAAGTAAATGAGCTTCACTGGCAAGGACGAGTGTCAACATCTCTGTCTTCTCTTGGCCATGGCAATTTTCCCACAGAGGAATCTTAGTTTCTTGCTGGGCTCTACAGGTCTGGCTGCCAGCGTCTAGGAGCTGAGCAAGGGAAAGAAGCCAAGTTGGCCAACTTTCACCTAATCCCTCTTTTCATTTGGCACCTCACCCACATCCTCACAGCTGTGAATTTATAATGCAAACTGATAATGTTTTTCACTACACGTTCCAGTAATAGTATAGAAAAAGGCCAGTTAAACAGCCAAAGTTAACAGGACAATTTCACTCAACTTATGAAGTAAAAAGTTGGCCTGAGGGTATTTTATTGTGCCTCTGAAGATTAAATCAAGTTTTAAAAAATGATTTTTATATAAATAACCACATGAAATAAATTTTGGAAATATAATTTCTACTGGGAACCAAACTTCACACTAGACTGTGCTATACATCCTTCCCGTTTGCTAGCCTACACAACCAGATCCAGCCATGCACTACTGTCAGCTGAGAGAAAGTGAAAACCAGTACTAAGTGTCTATATAAATATTTAGTAGATATTTTAGAGTTTTGTAGTATCTTTTTCCAAGTATGGTTTAACCACAGGCAAAAACAGATTGTACGGGATATATGTCAAAGAAAAATGACAAATATCTCTTTTATAATTGTATATAAGGCCCTTACAAGGTGGACACAACCTCATCTAACCATACCACTGGTCCTGGAGGGGGAAGGAGGAAGCGTACTCACATTGCACGTGTGTTTGCATCGCCTTGCCTTTACACACCTACTCTTTCTTCCTGGAATGCTTTTCCCTTCTATGACTGGAAACTCCTACTTTATTGCCTCTTTAGGCACAGCTCAAAGAGCACCTCCTCCGTGAACCTCCCACCAACTCCCAAAAAACACAGAAAATCCTAGGCAGCAAGAAAAGAGTGTGTTATCTTAATCAACTCAACAACCTTCCTAGGTAATGTCTTCCCTAGCACCTGGGAAGTCTCTAAAAGGCCATTTACCAGCTAAACATCAGTAATTTCTCCTCTAAACCCATAGGCAAAAGTGAAGAAAATTACCACATTAAAGGTCAAATATATACTTTCTGTCTTATACCCCAAAACCTGCATATAAATTAATTCAGTACCAGAAACTTCTTAACTTTTTATTAGAAATTTTATTGAGGTTTCTACTCTCAAATTAGCCCATAATGTTCACTGTGGAGGTAATACTCAAATGTAAAATAAACACGTAGGAAGAAAATACAAAACACTGTGTGATTAAGTTACAGGAATTCAGAAAACAAGAACATCAGTGTGCCTGGAGAAGAGTCTACAGAAAATGACAACGTAGAAAGGATATGAGAAGGACATGTCAGAAGAGGTGAATGCTACACACAAACACAGAGCGAAAGATGAGTATGGTGTACACAGAGACAGTCATGAGGGGGTGAAACACAAACATGGGGTGAGTTCCTAAATGCCAGGCCAAAGAAGTAAACTGATGTGAGGAGAGGCAGCCATAAGGAATGCTGAGCAGGGAGATGACAAGACAGGAGTGTCTGGACTCTTATTCGGGTTGGTAGATTGAGGAGTCCTGTAATCTTCCCCAAAATTCTACTAAAATTCCAGAAACATCATTAAAATGCATATAAATAAACCCATGACCAAGTAGAAAACTGAAGGTGGTGGTCATTAGTAGGGCAAATTTATCATGAGATTTCCGGAAGACAGAAAGGGTAGGAGTTATATGTTTAGAATTCTTCCTTAGTCTCCTAGAGACTAATATTCAACATCTCTACTTACATGTCCAGTAAAAATCTCAACCAAACATCCTCAAAATTCATTTTTGACATCCCCCAACAAGACCTGCTCTACGCAGTCTTTCACAACTATTGATGGCAACTCCATCCTTCCCACTAGCTTAGCCTAAAAACCTCAACCCCTCTCCTTCCCTCATCCCCACCATACAATCCACCAAGACATATAAGGATCTGACTTCTCAACAACCACTTCTATCACCTGGGGGAAGCCACCATTATCTCCTGCCTAGTTCACTGCAACAGCCTCTTAACTGGCTTTCTTGTTGAGCTGCTGTCACAACACTGCACCTGCCTCAAGTCGTCTCTCAATAGTGTAGGCTCAACAGAGCAGACTGACTGATTCTGCTAAAATTTTAAGTCAGATCATGCCTATGTTCAAAACTGTACAATGGTTCTCCTTTCTCTCAGAGTAAAGGTTAAATTCTTCACAGTAGCCTGCAAGGTCCTGCATGATCTGACCTCTACTCCTAATACTCTCTTGTGCTCCAGCCTCCACGGCCTCCTTGTTTTCCCATGTACACACAAGCATCATCCTTCCTTAAGGCCTCTGCACAGAATGCACTTACATAGGTATCTGCTTGGTTAATTCCTTCTTTTCATCTCAATGAGATCTACCCTGACCACTCTATTTAAACTCACAAGTACTGAGACTGATAAGTAATGGACGGAAAAATAAAATAAAATTACAACCAGCACTTCCCTCTGCCCCTTCACAACATATAATCCTCCTTACTCTGTTGCATTTTTCCCCATAGCACTTACCATCTTCTACTATACCATGTCATGTTTATTGTCTGATGAGTTTCAGGCTTTTTGTTCCCTCCACTCTCCCCACCCTTCCCAATATAAGTACTTAGAACAAAAAATGCCTGTGACATAAATAAATGGAGCAGTGGAGGCATCCATAACCCAGAACACATACTGAAGACGGTCAAAGCAGACATGGGAAGAGGAATCTGGGAAAGATCTAACCTGAGGTCAGCAGGTAGAGAGAACGGGAATGAGCAGTGCCACAATAATCAAGCTGATTAATAAGTATATACACTGTCTGAAGAACAGCTGTACCAGCTCCTCCCCTGTCCTCCCCAACCCCAGCTCAATGGATGGAATGGCATTTACCACAGAAGACTGTTCTCTAAAGAAACTGAACAAGCTGCCTCAGATGAGTTGGGGCTTCCAGTGGAACTTTTAGTAGCTCAGCGTTTGTGCGGTTCTGAGGCCTGCCTGCTCACCATCCTGGTACTCCAAAGGTTAGCCTGTCAGCCTACGTACTCTGACCACTTTCAGAGAACTCCTAGTCATGGAAGAATGCTGCCCAGTAGAGAATGATTTTGTATTCTACTACTAAACCCTATAGTAATATCTGAAGATCAATGTGTTACAGAAACAGCCAACAATATTTCAACTTTTTAGTTAAATTTGTCACATGAAAATCATAGTACTCACAGATCACTTTATAATTACAAAAGTAAGACTTCTTGAACCATAAGAAGATTTTGAATTCTGTTAAGCGTATTTACAATATTTTAAACATACCTTAAGTATAATTTTTACAAAAAAAAACACATATGAAATTTTATAACATCTCATGTCCAGCATAACAAGTATCTGGTAACTTACTAATGACAGTCACAAAACTTACTAATGTAAGAATAAAAGTTGTGACTCTTAAACAGCTGATAAGACATAATCTACTTTAAACACAGGATGTTCAGTTTTGTCTTCTGAAGCATAAAGAAAAAGTACAAACAATAACTTGAAAATTTACCTTCTTTGAATTTCCAATTCTTCTTGGGATGGGCCATTTTGAACTTGAGCAGGTAGTTGTGAGTTTTGTCTAGGCAATGTTGGCCCTACAGAGGGAGAAAACATTACAGATGAACATTATTTTCATATCTAGCTGGACAGAGGAGATAAAATCATGAGAATAACATAAAACCATCACATATTTACAAACGTGTCTTCTTTTTGTCTAGCAAAATAAAATATAAGCTTTACATAACACAGAGCAAATGAAAGACTGCAACATAATACTGTCATCATCTCCAGAAGGCTTACTTGAAACAAATGGAAAACATCAACAATAAGGAAAAAGAAACATTTATATATGAAGAGCTTGAGTAAAACAAGTGTTCGATGAGCATCTGAAGAGGCACCTAAGCTTGACAGTTTCTAAGACAATGAGACATTCTCTTTGGGGTAATTATTCATGAAGTGGAGAGGGAGAACTTAAATGAAAAATCAGAATTCAAAAACTCACCTAAATAGAACACTGGAAATGAAAAACAGGAGAGAGAGAGAGCATGAGAACCTTATTACTAGACTCCAGTATGCTAAAGCATTTATCAAATTTGCCCAATTTAAGCTGCCATTTTTGTCTAATAGCCTAGCATTTCCAGCACTGGTGAAAACAAACATTTGCTAAACTTCCATATAGTAATTAACCTACTGAACTGAATTTTTAATGTAACAGGTAATTTTAAGTTTTCATTTAGGGTAAGAAGAAAAAAAAACTTGCATTCATACAACATGGTTCTGTCATGAGACACTAATGACCATCCATTCCCACATATCATGTACAATGCAGACCTGTTTTTTGCATCTTAGATAGAATGCCACTGAATTATGGGACATCTTAATGTCATTGGATATAAAAATCAAATCTGTCACAAAATGAGATAAATACTGGACCTAATATATAATACCTAGGGTTAAAATAGAACAATCTTAAAGTCTAATCCAGTAAACAAGAAAGTAAAGAAACAGTAGTTATCTTCCACTCTTGGAGAAGAATATATGAGTAATGACACACTACATATATTTGTGAATTCTAGTGTACCAGCAAATGCTCCTAACAGATATTCTGAAAGATTTGTAGACAACTTAGGAAAATAAGTTACGAAATAAATGCTTCTGTGCACTAAATTCTTGTAATCTATGGGCTAATTGTGCAAAGTATTTTATACTAGTGGAGTAGATTTCACAACCGGAAGTAAAGATTTATTAGGATGTAATGCAGTACTGGTGTATCCCAAGTGTGGAAAAACAGAATTAATTTGATCTGAACTTACCTACTAACTTTTTTTCTCACCTCTTTACAAATGTTTTTAGATTAATCACTTTATTTGTCCTCTAAAGACAAATTGATGACAACTGCAGTGATATATTTCATTAGATTTCCTAAGAGTCTGCTATTTTGAGAACCAAATAAATATTATAAAAAAAAATTAATCCCATGTAATCAATAACAAAAAAAAACAAAACTTTTGAAATTAAATACACACGTAAATGTTTGTATAAATGAAAATACATGATTGCTGTCTAGTAAACAGACTAGAATTCTTTTCTTGGGAAATTAAAATAATGATGTAAAAACAGACTCTCCTATTAGGCTATACACAAATGTTTAATACTTTACAGAGAAAAGACCTCTCTTCTGGGGACACACAAGTGTGGGGAGGGGCGGGTAAATCTGAGGTAGCATGAAATTATTTAGGGAATGTACTTTATATATCCAAAGTACTAAATGTGAGCATTTAGCATGGGCAACTCACAAGACCATTATGTTTTAACTATTTTTTAAAATAATGTTTACTTGAGTATTTAAGTTGAAAGCCTCAGGCTGCTTAAATAATGAAACAGCTGAATGTGAGTAGGTTAGACCTGTTTGGCATCTACCTCAAAGAAGAATGCAATTATACCAGTCACACACCTAGGACAGGTGTTATATATCAAAGGTAATATTAATGGATTAAATTTGCCAATTAAAATCTCAGTTTTAATTCAAATATATAGATTCAAAAAAGACGTCAAAATTTCAACTCAATCCTATTTATTTTATTTAACAGGTTTTTAAAAAACTAACACAAGTTTAATGTAACTCACAAAAGCTGAGAAAAGAAAATCTTTTAGCAATTTACAGAACCTGCTTTGGAATATTTTTTTAAAGCTTTTTAAAAGCTTACTAAGCAAATCTGTTCAGAAAGGAGATTTTTAAAATGTGGGTAATATTTTGTGGCTGTTATCATAATTATAAAAAAAATTTACTACAGTTTATTCCTGCAGCTGAGATGAAAAGCTTCAAGGAAGTTCCTTTTAAAATGGGGAGAATTTTGATCCTAGAACAACTCTTAACAATTCTTTTCTACATGGTTCTTTGTGATGATAATGGATTTTTGGGCTTTTTGTCTTTCCAGACATCCTTTAAATTGGGTGTGTGTGTGTGTCCGTGCATGGAATCACTCCCTTTGGCACTTTTTCACATCTACATTTAATCTGGTTGTTCTGTTTGTTTCTTCTTCAAATTGTCAGGTTGCAGTAACTAGCACATTGAAATTTATGTGCATTTAAAAATTAATACAAACATACTATAAACATTAAAAGTTCCAGGTAAATATAAATTTAAGGTACACAATTACATTTTTCCTTCTTGTCAAACATTCTAATGGGCTATAAAATTGGTAAGTAATACCAAAGGCACCCCACATGACATGAAGCAGCAACTAGGATCAGGCAAAGTCTGTCAGCTGCCGCTGTATGTTCAGGAATATAAACATTACTTTACACAGGTCACATTCCTAAATGAGTGTGTTCTCATAAAATGCAAAATAGGTACTTTCATAACCATTTCAGTGGGAAAATGACAATATTTTATGAGCATCATGTGGTGGTTAACAGCCCTTTGGGGAGGGGAAAAAGAGGGAAGAACAACCAAGGTTAAGAAACTAGTGAACCTGCTTTGCTCTTTCTATGTTATCATAAAGAATAGCAGCTGTTTGAGAGTTTGTTCTCTCCCTCACAGCCAAAGATAGTGGCTGATCTTAATTTGTCCTGGCTACAAGAAGAAGGTATATAGCAAAGTCTGTGAGTTACTGTTTGTAACAGAGAAATGTGGCAATGTCACTGATACAGTACCCTATAAATGATTAAAATCAGATCAGGAGACTCTATAATAGGAACTGTATGTCAGTCTTGCCTTCAATATTGAGTTTTGGTTAAAGCACATTCCACTTACTGTCACATTTTAATTTTCACAAATCTATTTTCACAATTAGCCACAGACTATTTAAAAACACAGGACTAAAAGACAAATCGGTGTTATTATATACACAATACAATCAAGTTTAAACTTAGCAACGTGTTAATTATATTGTTTGCACACAGTTAAATTAAAGGTAATAATGGGGGGAAATCTACTTTTTAACACATTATTTTACAACTTTAAAGATTCACCTTCACTTAGGTCAAATCAATATTTTCTCTGCAATTGGGTAAAGTATCCATTATTCTGCGTATGGACCTCAACATATTAAATAGAAAGGCATACAACATTGGATGGGTTTTCAAAATGAGCTAAAGAGAGTCCTAATAACACAAATATCAATAATCACTCATGACTAGTTCAAAAGATAGCCCGGAAAAACCCCCAGGAGGAGGCAGAAAAATGAGGAGAAAAAGTTACTGATTACACACTTAATCTGCAGTGTTTCATTGTGGGATCTGGGAGGGAGAGGAGGGATTTATGAACAGCCACACAATAGGCTCACTGCTGTAACTGTGTCCTCTGGAACAATCCTAAAATATAACTTTAAGTGACTAACAAATACATTAGCCTTTTCTTTTCTTTCCTTTTTTCTTTTTTTTATTTTAAAGAAATTTGCAACACGTACTTCTTTGCCTAAACCAGAAAGTACATACATTTTAAAATAATTCTCTTCATAGGTAAAAAAAAACAGTATCATTAGTATTGAGGAGTCACATTAAAAATTCTGAGTCACATAAAGTACATACACAGAGCTGAACACTTTATGTAAAATTGGAGCAATACTGTATATCATTTAATAACTTTATCTCTCTCATAAAATAATCTGGCTAGCAAGGTACACATGAATCAAAAAGGCATATATGAGGTTTCTTTTCAAAGCTCAAGTAATTAAAAGTAACTCTTTGGAACTTGGGTTTTTAAAACAAAGTTTCAGAAACAAATGGAAATAAAAAGAATTTAGACAAGGATATGTATCTATCTGTGTTTATAGATAGATACGTATCCTTAGATATATATCTTATTCTCTCTAATTTGGGGTGGCTAAGTGACATACCTGGTTTGTCCATGCAAACAATACATATATGTGCACACATGTGTATATGAGAGTGAGAGTGAAAGAAAACACTCAATAAGCCTAAATTCACTCTTAAGTCACAGATTTCTAACCTACTGAATAAAGGAGGCTGTCAATCAGAAATCAACCTATTAAAGCAAGTAATAGCTTACATCTGCCTCACAACATGCACACCTAAAATTAATTCAAGTTAAGCAAAAGTTTCCTTTGCACAAGGCACATTTACGTTCCTCAAATCATATTAAGATGGACATAAATTTTTTCCTTAAATTCTAAATCAAAAATTTGCTCCCAAACAAAATAATTAAAAACAAAAAAGTACAAACAAACAAAAACCCCTCTCATTTGTGTTGGAAGAGGTGGACAAGAAGTGTTTTAAGATCCTAATTCTAACTAATTCTAATGCTCGCTAACAAGCCAACTCAAAGCTGACCAAATCACCTACATGAACCACAACAAATATCACAACATAAAAACAATAGCTTGCTATATATCCCAAATATCACAAACCAGACTATGGCCTAAGAAAACAAAAGTTATGGAAATGCGCAAGTAGCATGTACCACAGCTTGAAAAAGTAATGTAAACATAATGTTGCTTACCACAGAAAATACATCGCAAATTAGTGCTGTCCTGGGTAGCAGTAACCTTGCTCTGGGCTGCAACAGACACCTTGGTGTTAGAAGCTTCGAAGGACAACGGGGCCATCTGAAGAACTTCACATAAACTAAAAGGTGCTTTGAAATGTTCAAAATGTATTTATACATACGTCCTATCTAGATCCTCATCCTGGAAGCTCTGTAATTTAATAAAAACGCATCCTCTTTAACATAGGCTCTTAAAAAAATTTATGCAATCGTTTTTTGGTGGAAAAACCCTGTAAGCAGCCATAGATCAAATGATGCACTTATAACTTAGTTATTTCCTAAGTTATACGGTCAAAGAGTGCAACCAGCATTTTAGGGTTATATATTTTTAAAGTCAATGAAGATAAGGTAGAGGAAGCCAAGATCTGTGGCTATTAGTGTTAATTTCACAAGATCTATATTCTCATTTAGGAGAATTGAATCTGAAAAAAATTTAAGCTTGGAAGTGCTTAAGATTAACTCATTCCTACTAGTTGGAAAGAGACCAAAGCCATTATAAACGGCACACTGCAATAAAGAGTTTTATATTCACTGATACAAAATAAGAATATCTTTGGTTTGCTAAAAGTCAGCTATTCATTTTTTACCAAGCCACATGTTACTATTTTTTTTCTCAATATATATATACATACTTGACAAAATGTCTTATTAAAAATGTGTGGCCAGATCAAACAGCCATTTATTTAGGCTATTTACATTAAATTTTAGCTTAAGTGTCAATGAAGTAAATTCTCTTTAGGAGAAAAAACTCAATGAGAAGGTGATGATCTATGAAAAGGGGAAGGGTTTATATGAAATCAAAGTGACACTCAAAATTGAGATGAGACAAACAAAAGTAAATTTTTTTTTTTACTATTACTTTAGTGACATCCAAAACTTTACATCAATAATTTTCTGTAAAATCCTGAAGAAATTATTTTCAGCATGGGAAAGATTTTCTTTTTCCGTTGGTATTAACCAAGAAACAATTAGTGGTTAAAATGCACTGGGGCTTAGGAAAGCCCACATAAAGGCAAACAAGACAGTGTTTTAGATCTCCCCTAAGACTGTTATTATTTAAAACATACAACTCATGCTAACTAAAAGTTTTAGAAAAATCAGAACCAAACCAATTTATAATTAAATAACACACATCTAAAAATGGTAATGTCTTAAATAAAAGAGAATTTTTCATCATTTTTAGAAATTATTTAACATAATCCAATTGTCTTGCTTTGAAAATATTACATACACTGTATTTTTTTTGCAAACACAAAATAAGATTGATAAATGTCACCTTTGCTAAGTACTTCCAACCACCCAATCTATTAAAGTTGCATGCACAATATTTATTTACAGTAATGACATAAGATATAGAAAGACCACAGGCGTACACATAAAATGTCTACCAAGCTAATGAGATCATTCCACAGGAGATAAACAATTTAGAATATTTTCAATAATTATAAGTTTAAACTGTTTTTTTAAAAATCTGTCTTACCGACGTTTGCAAATGGCTACTTCTATAAAACCTTTATTAAAGAAACATGACTAGTCTTCAGGTTTTACCCTTCAGTTCCTTTATTCCATATTTAAAGAGAAAAAAAAACCCATAAGGACAATTTTTAAAACTTACAAGAAAAACCTGAGAAATTATCTCTTCTTTGACAGCAAAGATACTGCCACATCCCATTACCAATCATGTTGGCAAAAAGTCATCTGACAAGTGTCAGAATGCAGGTAAACCATTATTGCTGCGTAAGACAAAACATTTCCAATAAAAAATTCCCAGTCTTTCTCACAGTTTAAACTATTAACATTCTTCACTTGGTATCTTTAAGCATCTTCTTTCCACTGACTTTAATTTCATACTATCATGTAAAATATTGATCTAAATTCTGATAGGTTGCTTAAATTCTACTGCAGTTTGCATTTCCTGAAGATGCTAAATTATTCATGCCATCATATGCATAAGCCTAACAGAACTTCCTGCTTAATACTGATACCATTAACTCTTTCTTCATTCAGTCAGGGCAACAGAGCAGAATAAGGGAAAGAACACTTATTGTCCAGGTTGAGTAAATTCAGTAATACGATGTTTTCAGCATACTTTTTAACACTAGCACTGATGTTACATAAACCTTACGTTTTACCTATGAAAGGACATTTCTCTTTAAGTTAGGCCTATTGACTTTTTTTTTTTTTTCACGGCTGTCCCTTTATCGCTAATGCAGTTGTCAAACAGCCATCCTTCAGGCTTACCCCTGCCTTTAACATACTTTACCATTAGGCGTTTTGTACAAGCAGGGAAATGTAGAAACGCTGGGTAAGTTAGCAGTAGTGGAAAACGACAGGCTGTTTAGATTTGATTGGCATGACTGTATTTTATTACTGTATATAATTACTACAGTAGACTCTGCATTCATGATTTTCACAACCAGCAGTTTCTCCTATTAGCAATTAGTCCCAAGGCAATTGATAATGTGGATATGACCCATCTCAGCATTGTTTCTTACGATTAAATGAGATGTTTGCTTAAAGACTGGCTTGAATCTGATTTGCATTCTCTGGAAGGCTGGTCAGTTGACTGGGTGAGTGATCACAACATCAGCATCTAAATTAGTGGTGTTCACACTTCGGACCATCAGTAATGTCCCCAGGTATTTCTCTCATGATTGCAAAGTTCTACGCAATACATTTTTGAGACAGAATGAAAGCAAATGAGTTTACGTTTGCTCAAAGGTATCTAGAATAGAAGGGAGGCAGATACTGCAGTGGTACAGTTGCTGCATTAAAAAAAAAAGTTACCACATTGCAGGGCACTGTGCTAGGAGGCATAAGGATTACAAACAGTAAATTTTATTCAAAGCAATGCATTTTTAAAGTGGCATTTTGAAACATTTTCAAAAATATTATTTCAAATTTTGTTTTAAAATGTGATAAAAAAACTTTTCTATATCTCAGGAAATGGAGCATCGTGCATATATAGCTACACATGAAAATGTACCATCATAAACATCTTCCCCCCCGCCTTTTTTTTTTCACTCAACCTTAAGGCAAAACTGTATATATGATTGGGTTTTTTTCCCATCCTTTATTTCTTGCAATCCTCTCCCAACTTATGACCCGAATGCATTTTATTCCCTTCTAAGCCAATATGAAAATCACTTCTATCAGTTGATAACTTGCTGAAAAATTATTTGTCTGCACTGGCAATAGTCTTAATATGTTCCTCAGTCCACCATGTTTTGTAAGCCGTTTATTTTTAGTCGTGAAATGAATGGCCCTGCCTCTAGCTAAAGACACTTGAAGAGGCAACTGGAAGTTGAGGGGCCTATCATTTACCAATGCTGTCATACCCTAATGCCTCCAAAGGCAAGAGTAACCTGTGTCCTCAGGTTCATTGCTCTGCTTCCTCTTCCTGAACACAGATCAAGACTTGCCCATCAAATGCCCTCCTACCATTTGTTACTAAGGGCATTATTGAGTATATGCTCAGAGAAACCACCACATTCTGGCAGAATGCTACTTTAACACAATTAGCATCTATCAGAGTGTTGGTTGACTCTTTAATCAGAGCTCTTATCTGTTCAGTTACACAAACCAGAAATCCACTACCTTTTCTTTTACTCCTATTTAACCAATTTTCAAGTCCTGTTAATGCAACCTCCTAATTTCTCTCTCCAAACTCTCTCCATTGCTACTGTTCTTGTTCCATGATCCCTTGCTTAGTCATGTTCAGGGTGGGGCAACAAGTATCCCAGAAGCTTAACATACATCAGTTGGGGCAGGGAAAAAAATAGTAGCACTTCCATTCATTAATTTTTCTCATCCATTTTACTGTTTTTTAACGTCTTATAATGTACTCAACTTGTCAACAACAAAGTACATATATATAAATGATAAACACACATGTATGAGGGGATAAGCTCAAAAACTGAGAGACCACCAACCTAGACAATTACATTAGCATCATCTAATTAAGTTGCCCATTCCAATCGTGGTATCTGTCCCCTTCCCCACAGTAGCCAGTGATACTTTAATAATTAACCCAAATCATCGCTCTTAGTAAAAGCTCTTCAATTGCTGCCCACTGCTCTTAAGATAAATACCAAAATCCAGTGCTTGCCCCCCATGATGTGATTGCCACGTATCTCATCCAATTCCTACTCTATTGCTCTCTAGGCTCTAGGTACACCGGTCTCTCAATTTCTCAAATATGCTGTATCACCTTTCCTCTGCAGAGCCTTTCTGAAACATGCATGTGCCTTCTACTTCTAATATTATTCTCTTGCTCAACTGGCGTGCCTCTTTTTGTACCAACTAGAACTTTCTGGCAGTCAACACTCAGAGTTACTATTAGCCCTCAGAAAACTAAAATAATTAGTTCTTCTTTCACTTGGAATCTCACTTCCTACTTCAGGTTTTATTGTATATGCTTTTTTCTGATTAGCCACTTCAAGAGATTTGAAAGGAGAGAAGTATAAATATAAAATTAGATAATATCAGATTTCCTAGGAAATATGAGAAATCTGTCTAAAGACTCTCGGGAGAAAAGTTTTAGAATGATATTAAAATTAAGCAAAAAGGTTCAAACTTATATTTGGGTACAAAAGAAAGAGGGTTTGTTTTCGTTTCTTTCACTCTGGATGCGAGTGGGCAACAGAGAGAAAATAAACCTGGAATAGCCTAAAAGCTGGAAGTTTCAGGGGAAAATGATAAAGGCACCCAATTCCATAGCGTTCAAGATAAGAGGATACCTCACATCATTTTAAGGAAACACAATTTCACTCTCTTATCCACATGTAAAAAACTGAATCTCCTTTAACCAAGATAGGTGTTTTTACTCTTTATAAGTAATTTAAAAAGACTTTCAAAGACCATGTCTGTTTTCTCCCACTTTTATAGGAGAAAAAAAGAATTAAGAGAAATACAAAGGCATGAGGTTTCTGATAACTACAGTAACATACTTAGGGGTGGGGAAAAAATGAAGGCAGTGAAGATAGGGCAATTCTGGGCAAGAAAACTGAGCCTGGACCAAGAGAATAAACCTCAGACATTTCCACAATTTGGTCAAGAATTCATCCCTGTTTACATTCAATCTGGCATTGAAAATGCTACACAGTTCTCCTTTACATAATTTACCAAGTTTTAAAACGTTTATTTAAAAAAAAAAAAAAAACTAAAGAATCTGAGGAAGGCTTCTTGCTTTGATTTTAATCTTTGCTTTAAAAATTCTTAAGATTTAGCCATTACTTTTCACTATACACCACACTCACACAATTAAAATAAGAGCCAGTAACTAAAACTAAGAAAGCATGCCTAGATACATAAATACATGTTTTTTAACTAAGATTTGCTTTTCAAAATGCCATGCATGATAAATGCTACAAGATGTATGAGCCCTGAAAACAGTACACTAATTGAAAGCCAGTCACAAAAAAAACCCCACATATTTTATGATTCCATTTATATAAAACGTCAAGAACTGGCAAATCTTCAGTGATAGAAATTATGTTAGTAGTTGCCAGATGCTGGGAGGTATGGAGGAATTGGGGTAAAGGGACAATGACTTAAGGGTAGAGGGTTTCTTTCTGGTGTGGTTAAAAATGTTCTAAAATTGGCCGGGCACGGTGGCTCATGCCTGTAATCCCAGCACTTTGGGAGGCCAAGGCGTGCGGATCACGTGGTCAGGAGATCAAGACCATCCTGGCTAACACGGTGAAACTCCGTCTCTACTAAAAATACAAAAAATTAGCCAGGCGTTGGTGGCATGTGCCTGTAATCCCAGCTACTCAGGAGGCTGAGGCAGGAGAATTGCTTGAACCCGGGAGGCGGAGGTTGCAGTGAGCCAAGATCGCGCCACTGTACTCCAGCCCGGGCGACAGAGTGAGACTCAGTCTCAAAAACAAAAAAAAAACCCAAAATGTTCTAAAATTGTGGCAAAGGTTGCACAACCCTGTGAATATACTAAAACCACTGAATTGTACCCTTTAAATGGGTAAACCGTATGGTATGTGAAGTAAAGCTCGATAAAGCTGTTACGGAAAATAACAAGTGCCATGCTGTGCATCTGTTCTTCATCTCACAATTGTTTATAACACAAAGTTTAAAAATATCCCAATGCCTACTGCTTTTTCCATTTTGAAAAGTATTAGAGGTGATTGGTGGAATTTTCGGTATTTTTATTTTCTTCTTCATGCTTCCTATACTGCTTAAATTTTTATAAATAGCACACGACTTTATCATCAGAAGAACTTATTCTCACTTGAAAAACAAAATGCTGTGGAAATTACAGTTCTGTTAACAAGAGTGGTTCTAGATGGACAGAGCTCTAACTGGCTCTAGTTTGTTTTTTGTTTTGTTTTGAGGCAGGGTCTTACTTTGATTGCCCAGACTGAAGTGCAATGGTGAGTTCCAGTGAAGTGGAACCTCAAACTCCCAGGCTCAAGTGACCCTCCCACCTCAGTCTCTTGAGTATCTGGGACTACAGGTGCATACCACCACAACCAGCTAACTTTTTAATTTTTTGGAAGAGACAAGGCCTCACTATGTTGCCCAAGCTGGTCTTAAAATCTTGACCTCAAGTGATCCTTTCACCTTGGCCTCCTGAACTGCTGGGATTACAGGCATGAGCCACTGCGCCTAGCCTAGCTCTAGTTTCTAACAAGAGAACTGGACATAAAGAATGAAGTGACTCTATGAATAACGCCAACATGACCCCAAATGTTTGGAAAGACTGCAAAGCCAGGACCTGAATACCCTTTTCCAAACACCAGAGCTGGTTGAGAGAAGGCATACAGTGGCTGTTCTGCCATCACACTACTTTCCAGGAGGAATCAAACCCAAAGGCATTTTTTAGGTCATGACTCTCTCAGTACATATCCATTCAGGATGGTTCATCAAAAACCAGGACTGTCCTAGTTAAACAAAGACAGCTGTCTCCCTTTTCCATGGGAATCCTATTGCCCTTGCCTTCTCTATCTCTCTGCGTGACAATTCCTGGTATTTCAAGAAGCTGCTTACCAAGAAGCAACCTCTATCTAAAACAACACAAGACAGCTAATATTTAAATGACAAAATTGTCCACATTTACTTTTTGAAATTCAAAAATATGTAAAATTCTATTAAAATAGTTTGGTTGAATACATAAAAATTAAATAAACTGGGTTTGTCTCACATGGGATTTACTAAATAGAATTAAAGATGGCCAGGAGCAGTGGCTCATGCCTGTAATCCCAACACTTTGGGAGACTGAGGCAGGACATTGAGGCCAGGAGTTCAAGAGCAGCCTGAGCAATGTAGTAGCAAGGCCTCATCTCTACAAAAAAATTAAAAATGAGCTGGGTGTGGTGGCATGCACCTGTAGTCCCAGCTACTCAGGAGGCTGAGGCAGGAGGATCCTTTGAGTGCAGGAATTCGAGGTTACAGTGAGTTATGATCGCACCACTGCACTCCAGATTGGGCAACAGAGCAAGACTCTCTCTTAAAAAAAAAAAAAAAAGTTCTGTACTTTATTCTAAGATTGATAGGAAGCCATTGCAGGGTTATTGCTGCATACTACAATAGTTATGCAAAAACCCACTCTACCATCTTCCTAGCAATATAAGGCTAATTCCATTAGTTATCTGCAGAAGAGACTGGAGACACATTTCCTAGGCACCCATATCATTCATCCAGTCTTCAAAGTGGGACTGATTTCAAGGCTTGAGGAAAACTTTAAATCAATGGGAAACCAGTGAGTATTTCTGAATAGGAAAAGGAATTCTCTTTGTTACAATATTACCACAGCAAAGAGCAGGATAATATTTGCAAAATAAACTCCTTCATAAAAAATGTATTTCTTCCTACATGAATGACAATGTAATAGCCAAATACTCTTGAAATTTTCCAGAACACAGAAGTCATTTGTTTTCTCATGTGAATCATTTCAGAAATTACAAAAGCTCACATAAATAGCAGGTCTACCTTGTAAGAATTATTTTTGGTACCTTTACATGAGTAGCATTCTATATTTGTTTCCTAACTACCATTCTGCACCATTCATGTTACTTACACTGCCTTGTGGATATTTTTGACCATGACTTATACTATCTACACAATTAACAGCCTCCTTAAGACCAAAAATTTTGAATTATTTGTTTCTCTCATCTCATGTAACATAGTACCTTAACAGGAATACAAATAATTCCAGTTAACTACAGCATTTCTTCTCTTAGATTAGAACAGCATCTACCCCTTAGGAATTTTTTATGTATTAATGAAATAATGTCACAATATTTTTCATATATGAAATACCAACTAACTTCAAAGATACTGCTATTCAACACCATCTTCAAAAGACTCCTTAGAATTTTTCTACCTTACCTAGATTATGAAAACAGGAATGCCCAATGTTAACTCAGAGGCAATGCCCCAAAATATGCACATGGGCGACCTGACAGGGCACCATCACGCTTCCAAATGCACGAAAGCACAGCCGAGATTAAGCTGTAAAAATCGTGGAACAGGTTTGGCTGCTGCTGTGTGTTGTGAATGGTCTCATCAGAGTGGAAGTGGTTCCTGCAATTCATCTCTTATCATCAGTGGAAAACAAGACAGACTATTAAAGCCTCTCTTTATTCTTGTTTTAAGAGGAAAATGTTCCACACAGAGGTATCACAATTTTTGACTATTTAACATCCAGCAAAATGCTTCTTCAATTTATGAGCAATAAAGGATAAAAATTCATGAATAAAGATAAAGTAATTACATGCAAATTACTATCCTCATGTAAGAAAGCATGCAAATAATCACAGATGACATCCTCAGGTCATTGTAGCACCACTGAATAAAGATCAAGCCTATTGTAAAATAAGCCTGGAAGAACTGAAGTCACTAGCTGGACATGCATCAGACAATAGATTATAAGGTGCCTAACTGCCAGAGAAACAAGGAAGTAGAGAAAAGGGAATGAAAGGCAGACAGAATATAGTGTCTGTATGACAACAAACTCCAGGCTAAAATAACTTGCTATGAGACATGAAACCCATATTTATCACAAAAATAGTATCTGCCTCTTTTTAGCCATTTAATCATTCCCACCTTGGGGCAGGACAAGATGTCTTAAGTCCCACAACGTAAGACTAAAAGCTGCGCTCATGAAAAATGAGGCTTCATAAGCTAAAGCAGCTTTCCCAGACAGTTAGTGAACAAGAACTTAAAAGTCATAGAAGTTAATATATTAAAATGTATTTATTGTAATTTAGTATGAACAATTTATAAATCCACATATATGAATATGTAATTCAGATATAATTATGAAAAAATCACAAAAAAAATCACAAAAAGAAAAATCACAAATGTACTGACTGAGACAGAGCTAGAAACAGCTAGTAACAACAGTTACTGCTATTAAATAGATGGTGGTTACAAAGCTAATTGCTGGGCAATTTTTATATATTAAGCATCAAAAAGGCCATCAGACCTACATTTTCCCTTTCATTGACAGATGATAACAGCAATTAGGAATAATTTTTGCCACTTCTGTGACTTGCAAAGTCCCACTTCTGGCCAGCCCTCCATAATGTCCTCATGGGGGAGGAGAGAAGATGAAATACAGAAAGGAAAAAGACAGGAAGAAAGAGTTCTCTGTTACAGGCAAAGCTAGGCATGTCCATCTACATTGAAGAGACAGAAAATATGGAATAATCAAGCCCATCTGACACACGGCCTTTAAGATTTTTTTGCTTTGCTAGGCTGTTTGGAAAAGATAAAAAGACTATAGAAATCCCATTCTTAGTGAACAGCTGTCCCTCCTAAGTTATGGCAGTAGTTTTCAAAGATCTTGTTCCTAGGATCCACTTATATTCCTAACAATTATTAAAGACCCTAAAGAGCTTTTGCTTATGTGGGTTACATCTATCATTATTTACTGTACTAAATAACTAAATTACATGTTTTAACTTTTAGGAATTCACTTTTAAAACAACTAAAAAGCAGTTATATTTAAAATAACATTTTAATGAAAAATAACTATTTCTCAGAACAAAAATATTAAGTGATTAGAATGCCATGGTTTTACAAATCTCTTTAGCATTTAACACTAAATATTAAATAATAATCCAGACAGCTAGATTATTTCAATTGCTTTTGTATTCAGTGTGCTGTGGCATGCTGTTCTGGCTGAAGTATAATGAAGAAGATCCTTGAAACGGTCCAGAAGGGGACCCTCAAGAGTTGCCATGGACCACACTTTTTGAATCCCTGAGTTAGAGGTTTAAATTCAAGATTCCCAATTTTACACCTGATTTAGCCCAAAGGAAAATTAAAACATGGAGAACCAGCAAGTACATAGTAATTTAGGCCTTATTAGCTCTAATGATTAGGACATCTGTAAACTTTTTTTTTTTTTTTTTTTTTTTTTTTAAAGACACAGGGCCTCACTGTAGCCCAGGCTGGAGTGGTGCAGTGGCGTGATCATAGCTCACTGTAAACTCAAACTCCCAGGCTCAAGTGATCCTCCTGCCTCAGCCTCCCAAGAAGCTAGGGCTATAGATGTACGCCATCATGCCCACCTAATTTTTAATATATGTATTTTTAAAGACAGGCTCTCACTATGTTGCCCAGGCTGGTCTGAAACTCCTGACCTCAAGAGATCTTCCCAAAGCACTGAGATTACAGGCCTGAGCCAGCATGCCTGGCCCTAATGAGAATCAGCCTGGCCTGAGGTCTGTAAACTTTAAGAGGATAAGCTACTATCAAATATTCACTCAAATTTTCTTTTTAGTGACTATGAATTATTAGATATAATTTCAAGCATTAATCAACACAAATATTAGAAGATAAAGCTATAGTCATTTTCTGGTCCCAATTCCAACCCAGAACTTTGAGGTTGTTCCTGTGTGTAAATGGGGGATCACAAAACAGAAGCATAAAGAGAGGGAGAGGGCAAGGGAAGAGAACAGAAGAGAAGCATCCTTCCAAGAGAGTCTGGCCCTAACACATCCATGGTAGGTAAAGAATACCTAAATACAGTCCTTGGGAGAACTGATATTAGTTACTCAAACAATTTTCCTTAGAGCTTAACTGTCTCACAGCCCTGGTTGAGAAAGGCTAAGGAAGCGGCTGAAAATTGAGGCTTTGAGGTATAACAGGTAGGCCACAGGATCTGGAGGCCTAATTCAGTAGCTCCCAACCTTTTCAACAGCTAGAAACCCTTTTATACTGTAATTAACCCCCTTGAACTCAATATTTAGAGTCAATCTGCCCAAAGAAACTGTATTTATCATTAATCTTAAGAAATTAATGAAGTTTCTTTTGCCACATTGTGAACTATTTAAAGCCAGAATTGTGTCTACGTACCTTTCTTTCTAAAACCTGGACTGAGGCTCACAGTGAAACTCAAACTGATGCTGAATTACATTTTCATTTTTACCTGTTTCTCCCAAAGTACTGATTTTCTTCATACAGTAGAAATAATTTTAGGTGTCACACACATTATATTCAAACATATATGATACTTTCCCGGAGACATCTATTATTTGTTGTTGTTGTTGTTTTTGTTTTGTTTTTTTTTTTGAGACGGAGTCTCACTCTGTCGCCCAGGCTGGAGTGCAGTGGTGCAATCTCGGCTCATTGCAACCTCCGCCTCCTGGATTCAAGTGATTCTCCTGCCTCAGCCTCTTGAGTAGCTGGGATTACAGGTGCGCACCACCATGCCCAGCTTATTTTCGTATTTTTAGTAGAGATGGGGTTTCACCATGTTGGTCAGGCTGGTCTCGAACTCCTGACCTCGTGATCCACCCACCTCAGCCTCCCAAAGTGCTGGGATTACAGATGTTAGCCACTGCACCCGGCCAAGACCTCTATTATTAACATATGAGAATAGGTAGCCAGAATTCTTTCTTAATGAAAAAGTTACCTAAGTGAAGTACAATCAGAACCACATTGGTTTCCTGTTTAAATTCACCTCATTCTACCACTGTTTGAATTTTCTTCTCTATTTCTGCCTCCACTCAGGAACTGAATGCTTGACTTACAGCCTCCAGTAGCTCCCTTTTCAAACCACAGCTAGCTTTCTGGAGTACAGCTTTACTCACATTATCACTCTTGCTTGAAAACTTACACTGAATCTCTATCACCCAAAGGTCTCAAACGCCCTTCTTGATCACCTACCTTTCTGAATTTATTCCCACCAGGCCAAACAATTCCCTGCTCTACAAACACAGCTCATTCTTCCCACTTTTTGTACAGGTATGCTATTCCTCAGGCCTGATATGTCTTTCCCCCTCATCTTCCCATGCCTACAGTATGTCCAACTTTCAAAATCCAGACCTGAAAGTCAGCTTGTCACTAATATGTTCCCGGCTGCTCCAGTGAGAAGGCGGCTCGTCCCCTTCACACACCCAATACAGTATGTTATCTGTCCTCAGACAGGGTTTCTCTTGTGTGTTATGGTTGTGCCTTACCTCCCCTGTAAGAGGAGAAAGAAGATCTGTGAGGACAAGACTTGTGTCTAATTTGCGCTGGCATACAGATGCACTCAAATGATGGATGAATTAATTTGTCTATAGAAAAAAAGAAAACACCCAAAAGATATGTCTTTACCGGGCAGTTAAGACAAAGCAGATGTTGGAGAAAATTTGAAAGCCTACTTTTTTTTTTTCCTCTAAGTTAATCCATATAGAATTTTCATTTTCTTTTTTTTTTTTGGACATTAGCATTCAAAATAACATTTTCTAGTTTAATACTATGCCTTTGCCTTGTTTAATTCCCATGATATCCTGACATAAATATTCTCATGACTCACATTTTATAAATTAGGAAATAGCTTTAGAGAAAGCACCAGAGGGAGAGACAGAACTAGAGTCTTTTGACTCTAAACTCAAGTTCTTTCTACTAAATCACAATAAAGACCTTAACAGTTTACTTAAAAACACAAAACTAAAAGTAAATTCAAATTTTTGCTTTCCTAATTTCTCACTCTAAACTGACTTCCCTCAAAGGCGTTTTTAAAAATGCTTTGAAGATCTTGAACTGAAGGCCAGACAAACGCAGTAAAAATAAATGGCCTGAAGGCTCGAAAACCCAATCCCCTTTGTGCCTCCCTTTCTAGGTATGGACAGCCTGGGGAAATCCCAGCTCTCCATGTCAACCTTTCTAATTGGAAATTGGGAGTGACAACAGACATATTAACCTCACATTACTGTGATTCACAAAAGGGAGGACTGTGAGAGGTAAGTATGAGAAGAAAGTAGAGCAGGCAGACCTACGAAAAGACTGTCCCCACCTACCCAATCCCCAAACCTGTTACTCACTTAATACTTAGTGAACAGATTTTTTTTTTTTTTTTTTGAGGCAGAGTTTTTACTCTTGTCACCCAGGCTGGAGTGCAGTGGCACGATCTCAGCTCACTGCAACCTCCGCCTCCCGGGTTCAAGCAATTCTCCTGCATCGGCCTCCCGAGTAATTGGGACTACAGGTGCCCGCCACCACGCCCAGCTAATTTTTGCGTTTTTAGTAGAGATGAGGTTTCACCATATCAGCCAGGCTGGTCTCGAACTCCTGGTCTCAAGTGATGCACCCGCCTCGGCCTCCCTAAGTGCTGGGATTACAGGTGTATGCCACCGCACCTGGCCAAACAGATAGGTTTTATAGGGTTCAAAATGTTAATTCTCCAATAAGATTAGTTGTTTCGGAAAGCTAAACTAAAAAACTTTGTCCAGGGTTATCTTTGGGATTCTTTTCAGGTCCAAATTTTTAAGATTTCATGAAAGCATTAATAAAGAACCGCAAATGGAGTATATCCAGAACCAAATGTGTTATCTGCAGCACAGTATTTCCTCTTCCATCCTCTTTCACTCTGTCTCTGGTTAACAGGACCATCTTTACCGGGGGCCCAAACTGACACACCTGGTCATCATTTTAAAACACTGTTCTCTCCTTCCCGGCCTGCCCATTACATCTTACTGACAAAGAGAAAAGAGGTTGAGTTCTAAGACCTCGGTACAAAAGCCACTAATGCCACTGTCTAGCTGTGGGTCCTCGCATCACTACAGTAGTGACCTTCTGTAAGTGCCAATCTCATTTCTAAAACAAGGATAATACCACCAACCTTGTAGGGTTGTTATAAAGATGATTGGTTATGTATACGCCAGATTAAGACCAAGCACACAGAAGGTGACCAATAAATAGATCATTATTCCTGCCTCAGAATGGCTTTAATTTCTATGTGAGGACAAAGGTAGAAAGCTAGAACACTGCCGTGGCAGGTATAGCCAGCACTAAATGAAAGCTGGTCACCTCCTCTTCATTCTGCTCCTCTCCTCTCTCTACTTTGTCAGTTCAGGCCTCATCTTTCTCACCGGTATTATTACAACAGTGTCCTGAATTGATCTTCATGCTTGTAAACTTGCATGCTCACCACACTTGTCCTAAAGCACAAACTTGATCATATCAATCCTTTATTTAGCATCCTTCAATGACTCTTCACCACCTCCATGATAACATGCACACTCGTCAGCACTAGGCCCTTCCCAACCTTATCTCTTGGGATGCCCTGCTCCTGACCCCCACCACATAAATTCTCATGTCCAAGCCACATCATGGCATATTTGTTATTTCCCAATTGCTCCATGCTCTCATGCTTCCAAACCTATCTAGAATGTTCTATCACTGATGAGCCCTCCCCATTCTTCAAACATAGCTGAAACATCACCTTCTCTTCAAAGCTTTCCCTGACCCTAGAATTTTCTTTGGTATTCCGAAGGCCTTTCTTCACACTACATTCGCAAGCTGTATCCTAATTTTGCTGGCCTTGTTTCTGGCAGCTGTAGCCCGACTGTGACATCAGGCAAGGGACAGGCTTTATTTATCATTTTTGTATTATTCCCAGTGCCTAACACAGTTTATAAAAAATACGCTTTACTGAAAATATTTTTGTGATATAAGCTTAATATTGTTTGCATTAATATCAACAATCTGGAAGACTAAAAAACAAAACTGTCACTATAAAGTATTTCTAGAAACTACTGAGATTTTTTTAATCCTATTAATTCCAAACATAAAGAGATTTTTAAATGCTGTGATAAAACTCATACAAATGTACATACTGGAAGGTATGTCAGGCCAAATTATCATTAAAAAATGAAATCTCAATATTATAAAACCTCTAGAAAATTTCAACCATAAGGAAGGTATGACTTTTGACCATGTTCTCATGTTCAATAGATTAAAAAATAAAACCCAGCAAAAGTAGTCTTTTAGATAATGGTAAAATACTTATTTTGGGGTGTTCTTTTTGAAAAGGCATGCTTCATCTTGGCTGAGAACAAAAGCAGTGGGATAATCTTACTGGTTATGCATATAATTTTCTTTTTTTTGGATTTAAAAATTATTTCCTATTTTCAAATGATTTAAACCTTTTAAGAAAATAAAAGTTGGGCAAATTTGCCTCCACCAATTATCACAAAAATTAACTTTGTAGTTTATATAATCCATAACTATTACCTATAAAAATCTATAAATGTACTGGATAAATAATAGAGAAATCAAAAATATCACTTTAGGTAATACACCCATTTAAAATTGAATCCATTTCCATGGAGAAAGGAAAAAATACACTGTAGCATTTGGTATAAAAGGAAGAGCACTAATTCAGCTCTTTTTCAAAAATGTTAGAACATGTGATTTGTGTTTTTTTAACTTCCAAATATAACTCACTGTATTTAGCACCTTCTGTACTTTCCAGTATATTAGATAATTGCATACCAAGTTAAAAACAAAATAAAGGAAAACATTTCTGCCACCCACCATTTTCATTAAAAAAAGGAAATATCACACAAACACACAGAGCACCTTGTAAAGGTTGGTATGACTAGCCCCCCAGAAAGCTGTTTTTTATAAATTTAAAAAATTTGAGGACGTAGGGGACACGGAAGAAGAGGAAAGGAAAATTATGTGATTATTGGTTTTAGCACAAAACGTGAGCTAGTAATTTTCAAATTCAGTTCTAGAGAACCATGGAGGCATCTCAGTGGTTGCGGATCCGGAACCCTATATCAATCAGAGAAGCTCCATATTTTCTGTCCATTTATACACTGAACTACCAAAGATCTCATTTGCACAAAAATGTCCATAACTTTTTAAAGTCTGAAAATCACTGAGAAGGATTAGCCGATGACAACAGTGGATAATATTGATATTAGCACCTAATAAATAAAAATACAAACAGAAATGTTTAATATGGAAAAATGTTTTAACAAGTGGTAAAACATTAAGAAACAGGCAAGACTAATATTTGTAGTTGCTTTATCAATAAGTTTGTTCTGCTTCTCATCAGTTTTATCAGGCTACAGTTTGTAAAGGGAAGGGAGATGTAAGTTAAGCTTTTTCAACTTGGTTTTGGAAGAAAGACAGTAGATGATTTCAGCAGCCAATTGGCTGTGAATCCAAAGCAAAGATTTTTGGCAGGGTATGATCAAACTGAGAGGTGACATTATTGGGTATGTTTGTTTAGATAAAGGGGAGGTGGCCCATATAATGTTGGGGTAGGGTACATACCTTTTCTACACTGGAGAATCTGCGTAAGAAATTATATCTATTCCCAAGAACACTCCTGATTCTTTTTTTTTTTTTTTTTTTTGAGACAGAGTCTTGCTCAGTCGCCCAGGCTGGAGAGCAGTGGCACGATCTCAGCTCACTGCAAGCTCCGCCTCCCGGGTTCACACCATTCTCCTGCCTCAGCCTCCCGAGTAGCTGGGACTACAGGCGCCCGCCACCACGCCCGGCTAATTTTTTTGTATTTTTTAGTAGAGACAGGGTTTCACCATGTTAGCCAGGATGGTCTCAATCTCCTGACCTCGTGATCCACCCGCCTCAGCCTCCCAAAGTGCTGGGATTACAGGCGTGAGCCACCGTGCCCGGCCCTGATTCTTAACATCTTACTCTCTCCCATGCTTCTACTTCCACACTAATTAAGGCCATCAAAAATAAGAAATAGTATTTAACTACAGTAATTTATGAAAACAGTCATTTTCTAAGTAAATCAGACTATTTAGAACTTAGCCATTCTATATGGTTTTTTTTCCATGATGAAAAACTACAGAACTAAAAGCTTCCTTGCCAGTGACTGATCCACAATACCAGGAGGCAGCTGTGATGGACTCATTTCTTCCACCATTATCTCTCTTTCCTCAGCCCCTAGTATGAGTGGTTGAGATTGTGACTGAGAATAAAGTATCAAAATCATCTAACAAGAAGCCTTTTTCCCACACTAAAATGCTTGTGTAGCTTGTAAAATGATGGCCGATTTTCCTATTTGCCAAACTTTCTATAATGTGGAACATTGTTTCTTAATGCTTATTACCTTACAATAGAGAATGTAATTGAGTCTCTCCACATTAAGATTCATTAATTTGAAAAGATCAAGATTTAAAAAAAGGCTGTGCACGGTGGCTCATGCCTGTAATCCCAGCACTTTGGGAGGCCGAGGTGGGCAGATCACTTGAGGTCAGAAGTTTGAGACCAGCCTGGCCAATATGGTGAAACGCCATCTCTATTAAAAATACAAAAATTAGCTGGGTGTGGTGGTGAGCACCGGTAATCCCAGCTACCTGGGAGGCTAAGGAGGGAGAATCACTCGAACCCGGGAGGCAGAGGTTGCAGTGAGCCAAGATCGCGTCACTGCACTCCAGCCTGGGCAACAGAGCTAGGCTCCGTCTCAAAAAATAAATAAATAAATTTGCATTTTGAAATCAAACCATATGACTACTCATTGAGAGAAACAATCCTTTCCATTTGGCTAAAAACTAAAAATCAAAAGTCAATGACAAGAGGAATAATAAAATTTTAACTACTTTTAAAAAAGGAACATTTAGTTTCCAATATAAGTTCCTAATATCAGTAACATTTAGTTTCTAATATCAACGGATACACTTTTGAAAGTTTAGAAATAAAAATAATGCTAGTTTGTTCTAAAACACGGGATAGTCAAATGTCTACTCTCCAAACTTTGGTACCTTAATTATTTATCACATAACTGACCTATCCAACAAGATATTAAGAAAAAAAAAAAAAGAATCACAATTCTAGCTTCTTCCCTATGGTAAAACTACAGTAAATGAAAAGCAATTCTATACCTATGATAGCATGCCAATAAAATACTGACACCTAGGAGAGAAGTACAGAGACTTAGAGAAATGACCTACATACAAGACTATACAGACTTTCCTATGCTATTTTCTGGACTTAGAGACACACCAGGCCAAGTTCTAGTGGTTTATTTTCTCAAACTAGACAAAATATGCAACCTATGTATAAGTTATGTATTGATATTAATTTCCTCAAAAGAAGATCTGATACAAAACATCTAAAGGCATAACAACTTTAAGTTTCTGCAAGATCCCAAAATGTCTTCTTGCTCTGAAATTAGTATTTGACAGACTAACACACCAGCTAGATGCTTCAACCCTTTTTAGTATAAGGCAACATATACATTGTTTAATGTATTTATAACAGATTTTGAACAGATTTTGATATTCTACACTTTCAACAAAGTATCAAATTTTCATCTGACTGCAACTCTTTCCTCTTAAAATATATATTGTTTACAGTACATTTATATCATTAAAATCATTACTAAATATACAATATAGGCAAGAGTAATCATATTTGTGTTTTCATGTATAACAATTATTTCCTGATTATAAAATCTCTCTCTTCAAAGAAATAACCACACACTGGTACATTTTTCTATTTTTTAAACCAAGACAAAACTGAGCTTATCCTTGACATATGTACAGTTTTTAAAAATTGAGATTTTTTTAAAAAGTGATTTCTATATATATTTCTAACCAATATGCACTATCAGAGGAGATGCAATTCATGACTGATACCACCTGAGGGCACTCCTAAAATCTTTAAAAAAACCGAGAATCACATTTTTACCTACTGGGAAGGAGACCCAGTCCTACTTCAAGTCCATGCTTTGAAAAATGTCTTTCAGAAAACATGTGTTTCTTTACACAAAGATGATAAATAAGCATAATTCCTATCCACTGCATATTCTCTGGGCTTCATGTACTTGCAACGGAAGTGTTTCTAAAGCAGGATGAAACCCATCTAAATACTTCAAATAAAAGGGTTACAGAATTAAAAAGAACTAAACTCACAGGATTATCTTTCTAGATTATACATTTATCATCAATAAAAAGTTCACATTTCTATAGAAAATAAAAATTCAAAAACTACTTCAAATATATACAAGATCTAAAAGTTAACAAACATTTGTTTTAACATACACATGGCACTTCAGTTCAAGAATACAAGTAAATCTTCAGTTTTGCTTTGTCTCTGGAAAAAGAAAGAAAATACAAATAAACCATGGGCACCTTACCTGTTTCCTGTGAATTTAACACTTCTAAGGCATGCATCATGGCACTTGCGAAGACATTGGCATCCTCTTTGCTGCCAAAGTTGAGACCATACACCTGTCTAGCATCTCGCCACTGGTGGAAGGTCTGTGTAGCTTGATTGTACTTCAACCCTTTAGGAATGGCACAGTTTATCACGACCTAAAAAATAATAATTCTTTATAAAGTCAAACCAATAATTGGCAAAATCAAGGATGTCAACAAATGCTGATTGTATATATTCATTCAAATGTGTTCCTAACAGACCTTGGCAAAAATTGCTTAAACAATTATCTGGGTAAAATCTACACAAATATCAGTCTGATAGAAGTTAAGCTTTTCGCTGATTACAAAGGTCTGCCATAAAACAGTAAATCAGCCGGGCACGGTGGCTCACGCCTGTAATCCCAGCACTTTGGGAGGGCTCGAGGCAGGCAGATCATGAGGTCAGGAGATTGAGACCATCCTGGCTAACACGGTGAAACCCCATCTCTACTAAAAATACAAAAAATTAGCCAGGCGCAGTGGCGGGTGCCTGTAGTCCCAGCTACTCGGGAGGCTGAGGCAAGAAAATGGCGTGAATCCAGGAGGCAGAGTTAGCAGGGAGCCAAGATCACACCACTGCACTCCAGCCTGGGCGATAGAGCGAGACTCTGTCTCAAAAAAAAAAAAAGTAAATCAGCAAAACAAAAAAAAATTTTCCTCATTAAATATATTTTAACTTGTTTGCTGAAGTTTTACAAATACAAAAAAGTATACACAACCTAAGAGTGTATCTCTCTGAATGTTCACATGAAGTCAGTACCCTGATTAAGAAATCAAACAGCAACACCAGAAGCCCCTCTTCTTAACTCCTCCCACCTCCCAAAAGGTACTAGCCACACTTCTAACATCATAAATTACTACATTTATATGAAATCCAAAAACTAACATATCATTCTGAGGAGGGTCTTGAGTATCTATATAGGGGTCTTAAGTATCTTTCATTAGATTTATTTCCTATTATTAATCGAGTTTTGTAGGTTTTTGGATTTTATATAAATGGAGTTATACAACATGTATTAAACGTATCTGCTCTCTTATCCTCAAAATTGTAAGAGCCATCCACTTGTTGCATGCAGCTGTGGTTTGTTCATTTTCACTGCTCTATGGTAGTCGTTTGTATAAATCATATTTATTTAACCATTCTCCCATTAATGAACAATTGGATTATTTGCAGTTTGGGCTATTAAAAATTGCGATGTTATGAACTTTCTACTGCATGTCTTTTGGTACAAACAAGCATTCATTTTTGTTGGGCATATACCCAGGAGTGGAAATATCACAGGACATGTGTATGTTCAGCTCTAGTAGAAAATTCCAAGTAGCTTTCCAAATTGGTTCTAGTAATTTACATTTCCACAAGAGTATACAAGAGCTTGTGCTACTTCTACATACTATGCAACATTACAACTGGTACTGTCAGTCTTTATTTTAGCAATTCTGGTGGGTATGAATGCTTTATCACTGCAGTTTTAGTTTGCATTTCCCTGATTTTTATTAGGTATCTAGATGTCTCTTTTTGTGAATATCTGCTTGAATTAAGTCTCTTGTCCATTTTTCTCCTGAGTTGTCAACTTTTTTCTTCTTTGATTTCTAAGCCCTTTATATATTCTAGATATGATATCATTGTTGGTTATCTGTGATGCATATATCTTATGCCATTCTATGAATCGCCTTTTCACTCTTAACGGTGTCTTGATGGATGTAAGTTCTTCACTTTGATTCTGTTCAAATTAGCAATCTTTTCCTTTATAGTTACTGCTTTAGTGCCCTGTTTAACAAATGTTTCTCAATCACAAGGTCATGAAAATATTGTCCCATATTATCTTGTAGAAGCTTTATTATTTTACCTTTCATATTTCTATCCCCAATCCAACTGGAATTGATCTGTGCCTATGGTGTGAGGTAGGGATCAAGTTTGCTATTTGTTTCAATATGGCTGTCCAAATGATCCAGCACTATCACTGTGCTGCAGGTTTGCCTGCAGCACATAAATCAAGTGTCTATAAGGCTCTATTTTCACCTACAGATCAATATGCCTTTTTGCCAACTCTACAATGTCTTAACTGTTGTAGCTTTATACGAAATCTAGATGACCATTAGAGTGTGTCTTCCTGTTTCATTCTTCAAAATTGCTTTGGCTCTTCTCAGTCCTTTGTGTGCAGCTAGTTTTACATTCTGATTATCAGTTTCTACCAAAGAAATTTTGGGGACTTTGAGGTTGCATGAAAGCTAACATATCAATCTGAGGAGGCTCTTAAGTATCTTTATAGGGGTCTTGAGGATCTTTCATTAGATTTATTATTTTCTATTATTAATCGAGTTCTAAGTATTAGAATCTTCTAATATTCCTAATAATTTACATTAAGGTTTTTTCCTCTAAATACACAATCATGTGATCGGCAATGGACAGCTTTATTTCTTCCTTTCCAATCCATTCACAATGTATTTATCTCCATACACTGGCTAGAAATAACAATACAATGCTGAAAAAAAGTGTTCATAACAAGTATCTTTATTTTCTGATTTTAGAAGGAAAGCTTTCTCAATTAAACCGTTAAAAGTATGATCTTTCACACCAGGCAGGTGGATCATGCCTGTAATTCCAGCACTTTGGGAGGCCAAGGCAGGTGGATCACTTGACGTCAGGAGTTCAAGACCAGCCTGGCCAACATGGTGAAACCCCGTCTCTACTAAAAATACAAAACTTAGCCAGGCGTGGTGGCATGTGCCTGTAATCCCAGCTACTTGGGAGGCTGAGGCAGAAGAATCACTTGAACCCAGGAAGCAGAGGTTGCAGTGAGCTGAGACTCTGCCACTGCACTCCAGCCTGGGCAACAGAGTGACACTCTGTCTCAAAAAATAAATAAATATATAAATAAATAAATGACTTTTCATGTAATAATTTTATTGATATCTTTTATCTGGGGAAAAACCCTACTACTTGACAGCTAAGGGTTTCCATCATGATTGAATACTGCATTTTATCAAGTCCTCCCCAACATCTCTTGAGGTGACTGGTTTTTCTGTTTTTATGCAGTAAGTTACACTGATGATTTTCTAGTATTAAACCAACCTTACATTCCTAGGATAAACAATCTTGGTCCTCATATATCAATTTTTATAAATCTCTAGATTTTTGTTTGATATTGCTCTGTTTGAAATTTTTACATGTACTTTTATGAGTGAGATTAACCTGTAATTTCCTCTCTATTGTATTCATACCAGGTTTTGATACCAAAGTAATGCTGGACTTAAAATGAATTGGCACTGTAGAGTTGACAAAAAGATAGGCATCCTCTTTTTGTATTCTCTGGAAAAAAGTACGTAATACTGGTGTTCTTTAAAGGATTGGTTGAAAAGAACACCACCAGTAGAGCCAGCTAAACAAAGTTTTCTTCCTTTTACTTCTTTTAATGATAGTCTTAATTTCTTTAAAGTGTTTTCGTAGGAATTTCTACATCTACATTTTCAAAATTACTAAAATAAAGTAGCTCAAAATATCTCCTTAATCACTTAAATGTCTGTAAGATTCACAGTGATGTCCCTTCTTTCTTCATAATGGTTAAACCATTTTTTTTTTCAAGAGCTGTCCCTCACAAGGACTTTAGAGACAAACCTCTCCTCCTTAGTGTGTTTGCTTTCTACTGCATTAATTTCTGCCTTTTTTTTTTTTTTTTTTTTTTTTGAGATGGAGTCTCGCTCTGTCGCCCAGGCTGGAGTGCAGTGGCGCGATCTCGGCTCACTGCAAACTCCGCCTCCCAGGTTCACGCCATTCTCCTGCCTCAGCCTCCCGAGTAGCTGGGACTACAGGCGCCCGCCAACACACCCGGCTAATTTTTTGTATTTTTAGTAGAGACAGAGTTTCACCATGTTAGCCAGGAAGGTCTTGATCTCCTGACCTCGTGATCTGCCCACCTCGGCCTCCCAAAGTGCTGGGATTACAGGCGTAAGCCACTGCGCCTGGCCTGTTTCTGCTCTTATCTTTATTGTTACCCTCTTTCTATTAATATTCTATATGGCTTTAATGGCCTATTATTTAATTTCTTGAGATGCATCCTGAGTTCTGGCTGAAAAGTCAACAATACTTCTTTTTCAAGATAAACATTTTAGCCTCTAAATTTCATTTTAATCACAAGTTTAGTTGCATTCTATTAGTGTTAATATGTGGCATGTTCATCATTATTCAGCTCAACCAATTTTTCTTATTTCATCGTGATTTCTTCTCGGACTCATGGACTATTCAGAAAGGTATTTCTTAACACCTACACCTATGGGATTCTCTATTATCTTATTTCTAGATTAATTCTGCTGTGACCATACACTTTGTATGATTTTAATCCTTTGAAATTTGTTGACACTTTCTTTAGGGCCAAGCATATATACAATTTTGAAATTGTGACGTACATTTCAAAGGTATGTGGTATATATGTCAATTAGGCTAGGGAGGTAATTGTATTGTTCAAACCTTCTATACATTCTTACAGACCTTTTTTTCTGACTGCCTGTTCCATCAGTTACTAACAGAAGTAAGTTAAAGTCTCCTGCTGTGACTCATAAATTTGTAACCAGAACAAGAGGAACTGTGAAATATCTGGTTCCAAAATGGCAGCGCAGAAGCAAGCTATGGCAAAAACCACCATTACTTTTGCACCAACCTAATAGTTCCCTACTCTCCCTGCACCCCAACAAAACAAAATCAAGTATACAGCACCAGCAATATCCCACAACTCAAATAGGAGTAGGAGACAGTTCCTGGAGACACAGAGAAATAAAAAAGCTCTCAGCAGACAGTAAGAGAATCAGACCTCCATATCCACAATGGCCCTCCCCACAGCCTGTTGGCACCAAGCACGCAGAAAATCTCCCCCAACTCACGCCTTCTACACTGGAAAAAGTGAGATCAAGGTAAACAACAAACTTCTCCACCATCCTGGGTTCACGGCAAAAGACTCATCTGTCATCTCAAACCATGGGAAGCATTGGGAGTGCCAGAAGGGAGAAATATCCCTGAGAACAGCCAAAGTGGGGAAGCAGGACTAGCCCAGAAAGTCTGCTCTGTAACTTGGCCAAAGGAGACACCGAGTCAAAGTGGCTGTTCAGCAGCACCATAGCCAGCCTTCCCACACTACCAGGACATCCCCATTGGGACTTCCTCAATTTGGGATGGGTAGCACTCTGTTTACTAGAACCTAGGCAAATCTGAACTTTTTTTTTTTTTTCCTGAGACAAGGGCTTCCTGTGCCCCCCAAGGCTGGAGGTAGCTCATGGTAATTCCAGCACTTTGGGAGGCTGAGGCAGGTAGATCACTTGAGGTCAGGAGTTCGAGACCAGCCTGGCCAACATGGCAAAACCCTGTCTCTACTAAAAATACAAAAATTAGCCAGGCATGGTGGCACATGCCTGTAATCCAGCTACTTGGGAGACTGAGGCAGGAGAATCACTTGAACCCGGGAGGCTAAGGTTGCAGTGAGCCGAGATCATGCCAGTGCACTGCAGCCTGGGTGACAGAGTGAGACAAAAAAAAAAAAAGATTAAATGTTATGCACATTTTACCATAAGGCTGGAGTGCAGTGGCTATTCACAGGCACAATCATGGGACACGACAGTCTTGAACTCCTGGCCCTAGGCAGTTATCCTGCCTCAGCCTCCCAAATAGCTGGGACTATAGGCACAAGCCACTGTGCCCACCCTCCTGATGTGGTTTTTATAAATATTGGGGTGGGGGTGTCACAATTCCTTAGAAGACACTAGAAACCCAAAGCTACTAAATTTTAACATTATCAGAAAATTAGAAGACCCATTTTAAGGCAAATCAATATCCCTGCTTGGCAAACAGCTTAAAATGGCAAACAAGAGAAAAGATGTGTTACATTTACTTTTTCAATTGTTCATAACAGAATGCTAGAAAAAGTTGTGGAAAATATTACTAGGATCAAAATTACATAAACTACTGTTTCCTTTTTCCAATATAAAAATTTGAAATCTGGGGTTGGGCACAGTGGCTCATGCCTGTAATCCCAGCACTTTGGGAGGCCAAGGCGGGCAGATCACGATGTCAGGAGATTGAGACCATCCTGGCCAACATGGTGAAACCCTGTCTCTACTGAAAATACAAAAATTAGCTGGGCTTGGTGGTGCGTGCCTGTAATCCCTGCTACTCGGGAGGCTGAGGCAGGAGAAAAGCTTGAACCAGGGAAGTCAGGCTGCAGCGAGCAGAGATCGCACCACTGCACGCCAGCCTGGTGACAGTGAGACTCCGTCTCAAAAACAAAAACAAATTTTTTTTAATCTGAATTAATTCTTTCACTCATCTAACCATTGAGGATAGACAGTACTGCAAATAATCTTTAAAAGTATTAAAATTAAATATTTTCAGGCTGGGTGCAGTGGCTTACGCCTGTAATCCCAGCACTTTGGGAGGCGGAGGCAAGCAGATCATGAGGTCAGGAGATCGAAACCAACCTGGCCAACATGGTGAAACCCTGTCTCTACTAAAAATATAAAAATTAGCCAGGTGTGGTGGCACATGCCTGTAATCCCAGCTGCTTGGGAGGCTGAGGCAGGAGAATCACTTGAACCAGGGAGTTGAAGGTTGCAGTGAGTTGAGATGGCGCCACTGCACTCCAGCCTGGCGACAGAGTGAGATTCCGTCTTAAAATAAAATAAAATAAAATAAAATAAAATAAAATAAAATTAGTATGTTCACTTAATAACTACTTATTGGATGTCCACTGAGCATGCTGTCAGGTTTGGACTACATCATAATCCTAAATTCTGTGCTTCAGAACCAGTGAGCTTGAGTCTAGACTGGTGGTGACGTTCCATCTCACACATGCCTATACATTTTTAGCCTGACCATAACAGAGTAAACAGTGCAGTAAACACCCACAGTTCCTTGTGACCTCGCTCACTATCTTATCCTGTCTATGAGGTCATACATGACCCTTTCTCCTATCTTCTCAACAAACTGATGATGCTTTTATGCCCTCACTGTGCTCTATTTTACACTTATCACAACTGAAACATTTAACTGTGGTTCTTTGCTTATGTGCTTAACATCTCCATCCTGCCTCAGCCTCCTGAGTAGCTGGGATTACAGGCGCGCGCCACTACGTCTGGCTAATTTTTGTATTTTTAGTAGAGACTGGGTTTCACCATGGTAGTCAGGCTCTTCTCAAACTCCTGAGCTTGTGATCCACTCACCTCGGCCTCCCAAAGTACTGAGATTAAAGGCGTGAGCCACTGCACCCAGCCAACATTCCCATTCTTTACTGCATCTTTGATTCAAGGTCAGGAACGATATTCTATATAAAACCCAAGCACAGGCCGGGCGCAGTGGCTCACGCCTGTAATCCCAGCACTTTGGGAGGCTGAGGCGGGCAGATCACGAGGTCAGGAGATCGAGACCATCCTGGCTAACATGGTGAAACCCCATCTCTACTAAAAATACAAAAAATTAACCGGGCGTGGTGACAGGCGCCTATAGTCCCAGCTGCTCGGGAGGCTGAGGCAGGAGAATGGCATGAACCCGGAAGGCAGAGCTTGCAGTGAGCTGAGATCGAGCCACTGCACTCCAGCCTGGGCGACAGAGCGAGACTGCGTCTCAAAAAAAAAAAAAAAAAAAAAAAAAAAAAAACACACCCAAGCATAGTACCCATAAGCACTTAATAAATGTTAGGCTGGAAAATGAAGTATTTTTTTATATAACATATTTATATAATTGTACATATTCAATTTTGTAAGTAAATGGTGGGTGGTTTTAACAGCTCTTACTATAGAAAGTTTAGATATTTAGTAAATTATAACAACATGTGCCCACTTAGAACAGACTGATAACCATTAAGATATGTAAGAATGATGGCCAGCCACAGTGGCTCATGCCTATAATCTCAGCTACTCAGGAGACTGAGGCAGAAGGATCACTTGAGCCCAGGAGGTCAAGGCTGCAGTGAGCTATGGTCACACCACTGCATTCCAGCCTGGGCAACAGAGCAAAACTCTGTGTCAAAAAAAAAAAACCCGAAATGCAAGAATGAAAGACAGAAAACCAATTATTTATTAGATTTATTCTTAGGGATGGTGTTTCCTTAAGTATCATTATATTAATAAAATTATATTTTCTAATCGTTTATTGCTTATACAAAAATGCGAGTGGCTTTTATATACTGATCACGTAACCAGCAACCTCACTGAAAATCTTGTTAGTTCTAATAGTTTATCCGCAGATACTCCTGGGAGATTTTTATGCAGACAATTACATCATTGGTGAGTAACCAGCTGTTTCTTTCTTATCAATTCTTACTGCTTCTATTTCTTAAACTTTGTATGGCTAGGTTATCTAGTACCTCCTCTGTATCACTAAATGAAAGTGATTAGAGCTGAAATGCTCAATTTATTCACAAGTTTAACGGGAATGCTCTTGACACTGTACAATCCTGTAAGATACCTGCTGTATGCTTCTATTATCTACCCATATCAGCTTAACAAGATTAATTTTATGCCTAATGTGATGAGAACTGTTATGTATTGATTCAAATTTTATCAAATGCTTTTTCCAGAACCTCTTGCTTTTGTAGGTTTTCTCCTGGGAAATAACATTAGTAAGTTATCTAATGTTAACCATCCTTATATTACTAAGGCAAACAATGATAAGCCCTATTTGATCAAGAAGTGCTTTTGTTTTGTTTTTTACTCATTACTACATTTGGTCTGCTAATATCTTATTGAGGACTATTATATCTAGGTATATATTCATAACTGAAGACTGGCTCCTCTCCCAAACGTGTTCTGTGTTTTGGATATCAAAATTATACAAGCCTTATAAAATATCATTCTCTACAATGGTTGCATAAAACAGAAAATATCATGACATTTTAGATTTCATTTGTAAATGCTCTGTACTCTCCTGCAGCTTTTTAAAATTTGGGGGGCAGATTATTTACTATTTATTTATTTCATGATTGTAGGTCTATCACGTTTTCCTACTCTTCAGTTTTAGAAAGTTACGTTTTTCTACAAAATGGCCCACTTACTGGCATAAAGTTTTTTATAATATTTTATTTCCTTCAGTAACTATAGTGGTATTCTTTTTTTCATTCCTAAAATTGGTTATTTGTACTGTTCCTTTTTTTTGTTTGATTCTGCAAGTTTTTTTTGTTTGTTTTTTTGAGACATGGTCTTGTTCTGTCTCCCAGGTTGGAGTGCAGTGGCACAATCACACTTACTACAGTCTCCACCTTCCAGGTTTAAGTGATTCTTCCACCTCAGCCTCTCGAGTAGCTGGGACTACAGGCACACACATCACACCTGGCTAGTTGTTTGGGGTTTTTTGTTTTTTTTTGAGATGGTGTTTCGCTCTTGTTGCCCAGGCTGGAGTGCAATGGCGCAATCTCGGCTCACCGCAACCTCCGCTCCCAGGTACAAGCGATTCTCCTGCCTCAGCCTCCCAAGTAGCTCGAATTACAGGCATGCACCACCATGCCCGACTATTTTTTTTTTTTTTTTTTTTAGTAGAGACGGGGTTTCACCATGTTAGTCAGGCTGGTTGCGAACTCCAGACCTCAGGTGATCCACCCACCTTGGCCTCCCAAAGTGCTGGGATTACAGACAAGCACCACCACGCCTGGCCTGTTTGGGTTTTAAAAAATAGTTTTGTAGAGACAGAGTCTCATTATGTTGACCAGGCTGGTCTTGAACTCTTGGGCAAGCAATCTTCCTGCCTTGGCGTCCCAAAAAGCTGGGATTACAGGTGTGAGCCACCACGCCAGCTAGTTTATCTTTTCAATGAAGCAGCTTTTGTATTAACAAATACTATTTATTTTCATTTAATTAATATCTTTTTAATATTTTCTTCTGTTTTCTTTGGGTTAAGCTCATTATTTTTTAGTTTCCCTTTTTTTCCTACTACATACAATTAAGACTTGTCCATCTAAGGACAGCTTAGATGTCCTACAGGTTTCTATATGTAATATCACTCAGGTCTCAGTGTTTTCTTATTTTCTAAATATTTTTTAATATACATAATAATTTCCTCTTAATGTCACAATTTAGAAGCACAGTTTTAAATTTTTAAATGTTTTAAGAAACATTCTATTTTCCAAAATCTAAGTCATAGGATAGTTTACTTCTCCTAGAAATAAAAATTTTGGTATTTCATATGCAAATTTCCTAGCTTAAATTTCTTTCCGAGCCTGGCGCGGTGGCTCACGCCTATAATCCTTGCACTTTGGGAGGCTGAGGCAGGTGGATCACCTGAGGCCAGGAGTTCAAAACCAGCCTGACCAACATAGAGAAACCCCATCTCTACTAAAAATACAAAATTAGCCAGGCATGGTGGCACATGCCTGTAATCCCAGCTACTCTGGAGGCTGAGGCAGGAGAATCGCTTGAACCCGGGAAGGAGAGGTTGCAGTGAGCCACAATCACGCCATTGCACTCCACCCTGGGCGACAAGAGCAAAACTCTGTCTCAAATAATAAAAAAAAAAAAGAATTTCTTTCTGATTATCTTCAAATATTCTTTTTTGTTTCTCTAAATGTAGGATTGTTCATCAGTACTTTCAAATAACCAATTCACTAAATTTACCAAAAACGTAGTTTCTTTACAGCTATTAGTTTGGAATGTTGTATTAAGAAGGTTCAACAATTTCTACAAAATTTTAATTGTCCAGTTTTCTTTTTTTTTCCCCATAATAACATCTTGGGGTGTATTTGATTTATCTCTGGACTAAGTCGCTGCTGGAACAAAGACAAAGATGAGACAGTGCTCCCCAGAACCTGGACTACAAATGGGACAAAGGGGGCTCTTGGTAAAAAGCCTGGGAGACCAGAAAAAGGCTGTGCAACACAACAAGGAAACTGGAGCCTAGAGGAAAACGCAGGAAGACTAAGGAGGGAAAAGAAGAGGGCGGGGCACAGGGGAGAGACAGACAGAAGGGAGCCAGAGAGGGCAGAAAGAGAGGCAGGCCGAAACCGTCTGTATAAATGGATAAATCTGGTAAATTCAGAGAATTGCTCTTTCCACAGATTGACTCAGAGCTGTGAAAGTTCATCTCCACGCAGGCACCACATTTGTTTTTACCACGTGCCCCAACAGTTTCAGTGCTCTACAACCAGTGTTTCCTAATTTCTTGGCTTAAGTTGCTTAAGTGAAGGAGTTTCTCATTTCTCGGGGGAGCTTCTAAGCCAGCTAAGAAAGCAACACACTCCTTTGCTTCCCTGTGCTGATAGAAGGATTTCTCTTGTCTTCTTTCTACGGGGTGTAGCCCCTCTAAGATTGCTAGTTTTTTTGTGTGTTTTTTTGTTTGTTTGTTTGTTTTGCCAAAATACCAGTTTCACAGCCCAACCTCTCGTAGGCCCACAGCCCCTATATGCATACATGACAAATCTTACCAATCCATAATCACCATCCTAAAACCCAGGGCTAATGCAGCATCTGTTTACACCACACTACCACACAATGTAGGGGAAACCTAGGAACTTACCTTTCTTCATAAGAGCTCAGCTGGGCAATGAAGAAGAAAATTTGTTACATTCTTTCCGCATGTGTAGCAGGATGATTTTTAAAGTCAGTTGATTCCAACATCTTTGGTAAATATTTTTTCCCAAAGTATTTTGTAAATCTACTCTTTATAAAAGTTCTTACTATTAGTATATAGTTAATGCTAGTAAGAGCTTATCTGCCTTTTCCTCTATCTACTGCTGTTGATCTGTTAAGGCCCAAGAAATCAAGTAATCAGATAATCCAGCTACTTTCTAAGAAATCCAGAGCGAGGAATTAGTAAAAGCTTAGCTGTCGCCCCAGACATGAACTGCAAAAGCCAAACTATTCCAGCAACCTCAATACCTACTATTTTTCTATCACATGTGAATTTAACAGTATTTTCTGAAACTATCTATACTTTCAACTCCCTCCTCTAACCCCATATCCCAAACATTGGCAGGAAATTAATTCCATAAACATACAATCTGCCACTTAAGTAGAGTTTTGTTTGTTTGTCCTTAATTTGCTTTAGATTTCAAAAACTAATTGAAGGCCAGAAAATCTAATGAAAATTCATCATAAAAGAACTTGTATTTCTATTTTTGTACAACTTGTTCTAAATCTTCGTTTAAGTTCAGGCTTCATAAAAGGTAGAAAGGGTGGAGAGACAATTTTATATTCAGTTTTTCCCAGAGAGAGACTATTTTGATTACAGTTTTAAAACTACTTTATTTTACGGAATATGCCAAGTCCTTTTGTAATACTAAATCATTTTTAACAACAATTGTAGTAAAGCCTTACCTGATGGTCCTGAATCTTCCTGCCCACCACTCTGAATGTGTTGTTGCCTGTATGGTGATAGATATGAACTCTGCTGAATCCAGTTGAGCCACCAGCTGGCACCCACTTCTTATTGGCATCATCATAAACCATCACAGCAGCTCTTGCCTGACAGATACTCTGTTCACTGTAAAAAATAAAATAAAATATTCAAACTTGCAATATTTAAAATATGCTAAGTGTTCCACATAGCCACACAAACCTAGGAGTCAGTCAACGATCAGTGCTGTTATTGGGTGCTGGAAACAATAATGGACAAGACAGAGGCTTCCTGTCTTTATGTGTACAGTCTAATGGTGAAGACAAACCAAAAAAAATAAAGTATAATTAAAAGACCAAAAGGAGAGCAGGATCCACGAAGAACACTTAGATAAGCAACACAAGAAATGGTTTCTTCTAAATTTGAGTATCTAATTCATTCACTAAACTGAATACAACTATTATGTTGGTTCAAAAGTAATTGCACTTTTTGCTATTTTAATGGCAAAAACTGCAATTACTTTTGCACCAACCTAATACAAGTGTAAATTAATCATTATTTGCTTAATTGCATACATGTTTAGTATACTGATGACCTGTCTGTGATAACACCTTCTTTACTGAGAAAATTACTTTTATCCTCAGGCTTGCCCTAAAGTCTGTAACTAAGTCTGATAATCAACCATCTGCCCCTTGAGACATGGAGTGGCCGCTAACAACCAATGGATGGCAGTGTAACTAAATTCCTCATTCGCCTTGGGCAAGATAACATCTTGTGCTTCAAATTTCTTCATTTAAAAATGAAAATGTAAAATGAGGTAATTTCTAAAGACCCCACTAGATTTTAAATTCTAGCCTCCAAAGATAAATATTAAAGGGGAAAAGGCCAATTCTGTCATAGAATCTTTAAACATTAGCTTCATCTAACTCAATTATTTGTTACCAAGTGAGACTGAGATACACAAATAAATAAAATAGAGACGCCAGGCACGATGGCTCAATGCCTGTAACCCCAGCACTTTGGGAAGCCAAGGTGGGAGAATAACCTGAGGCCAGGAGTTCAAGACCAGCCTGGGCAATATATCAAGACCCCGTCTCTATATTTAAAATAAAATATAAAGATAATCTCAATTTCATCTTAAGCAATGGGTTCATCTTTCAAATATTCTAGGATATTAGAATAGGCACATCAACTCTATGCTATTAACCCAATTAAAATAACTCAACCTCAATAGACAAGCCTTCTGATACTCCTGAGACTTAACAGTCATTAATGGAAATCCTCTGAAGTAGCTCGTGCAACCACATCCTTCACAAAAGCACTGCTTATTCTATCAATTTTATCTCAAAAATTTTAAACAATAAATCATGTCGGTTCTTTCCTAAAAATTCTCAAACAGAAAGTCACCCTCACACTCTCCCCTCTTGCTCGTGCATCTGCCCCACCTCTTAACCCATCCAAGAGGGATAATGAAATGCAACTTTGCAGGAGATGGCATGTGTTTTATTCTTGTCCTTGATGACAGAGGATCACTGAAGGCCTAAAAAGGTCACAGCACTGAGTAATAAAATTGCTTCAGAACAACAGGGTTATAATTATTTGTAATTTTCCATTAGAAAAATGTTTACAAAAACTAACTTGTAACAATATTTGTGCAGCAAACCCAATGGTAATGTCTACATTTTTATGCTGCACTGACATTTTTGGTAAAATACTTCTGGGAATGAAAACAAGCCAATGACTAAAACTTGAATTAGTTTTAAAAGATAGATTAAAGGGCATGTGTCAGTAGCAGTTGAAAAATCTCTCCATCATTCACAACAGAAATATTTTGCATGTGATGACATTTACATAACCCTATGGAAAGATTACATGAAACAAGCCAAGGCAAAGTGCCTCTTACAGCTTACAATTCAAGCAACAAATTTACTGCTAAATGTAAATAATTCAATAAACAAATCTAGAATAATACAGGATAGTAGTTTCCAGTTTTCAAATAATATTTTTGCAGCTACATTGTTTCTAAGATTCCCAAGATTCAAGAGATAATGTCTTGGGGTGTGGGGAGCTGGGGGAGGGACAGCGTTAGGAGAAATAACCTAATGTAAATGACGAGTTGATGGGTGCAGCAAACCAACATGGCACACGTATACCTATGTAACAAACCTGCACGTTGTGCACATGTACCCTAGAACTTAAATAATAAATAAATAAAATAAAATCATGTCCCTTTAAGAAGTGTCAGTAAGATCATATAAGCTAAAGCAACACCTCATTTTGTAAACAGGTCACTTCATGCCTCAAAAAAATTTTTTTCTTTTAAGTATAAGAAATCTAAAACAAGGAAAGTTAGCTTTAATGGCCCCAAAGTTTTCCTCTACTTTTTTTCTCCAAATGAACATATCCAAGTAGCCAAGAAAAGTCAAAAATGCAAAAAATTAACTGGTTTTCTGAAGATGAAAAGAAATCTTCAAAATGAAATGTTAAACATTTCCAATTCTAAACAAAGCTGAGAATAAAGAGAAGAAAAAATAAGCTATGGGTAAGAGCTGAGGTGTTATTGGAGAGGTAGTAATTGCCATGTGGGTATGTGGCACACTGTGAAGGGATTAGCTAAACCCAAATAACTGTGTAGCCCTAGAAGATATCAGGCACTGGTGGGGCGCAGTGGCTCACACCTGTAATCCCAGCACTTTGGGAGGCCAAGGCAGGTGGATCACCTGAGTTTAGGAATTCGAGACCAGCCTGGCCAACATGGGGAAACCCTATCTCTACTAAAAATACAAAAATTAGCTGGGTGTGGTGGCAGGCACCTGTAACCCCAGCTACTTGGGAAGCTGAAGCAGGAGAATCATACTCACACCATGGACTCCAGCCTGGGTGACAGAGCAATGCTCCATCTCAAAAAAAAAAAAAAAAATACATTAGGCACTCAGAGAAGCCCCCATCAAGGCCCAGCCAGGAAAGGATGGCACTGCCTGCTAGGGTTTAGCGACAAATGCAACTCAGTCCTCTTATTCCTTTCCACAGCATCTGAGGACCTCTTCTCACTAGAGACATCCTGCCATGTACGCTGACCATTGAACAACATGGGAACTGCGCAGGTCCACTTATACATGGATTTTTTTTTTCCAGTGTTTTTCAGTATTTTTTCCAGTGTTACACTGGAAAAACTGTGCCTGCCTCCCCTTCCACCTCCTTCTCCTCTCCCACCTTACCCTTCCTAAGACAGCAAGGCCAAGCCCTCCTCTTTCCTGCCCCTCCTCAGCCTGCTCAACATGAAGACAAGGATGAAGATCTCTATAATGATCCATGTCCATTTCATGAATAGTAAATATATTTTCTCCTTCTTGTGATTTTTTAATGTTTTTTTAAATAACATTTTCTTTTCTCTAGATTAAGAATATGGGCCAGGCGTGGTGGCTCACACCTGTAATCCTAGCACTTTGGGAGGCCGAGGCGGGCAGATCACCTAAGGTGAGGAGTTGGGAGACCAGCCTGACCAACATGGAGAAACCCTGTCTCTACTAAAAATGCAAAAAAAAATTAGCCAGGTCTGGTGGCGAGCACCTGTAATCCCAGCTACTCGGGAGGCTGAGGTAGGAGAATCGCTTGAACCTGGGAGGCAGAGGTTATGGTGAGCTGAGATCGCGCCATGACACTCCAGCCTAGGCAAGAAGAGCGAAACTCCGTCTCAAAAAGAATATGGTATAAAATACACATAACATAACAAAACGTGTTGATCAACTGTTTATGGATATCTATAAAGCTTCTACTCAACAGTAAACTATTATTAGTTAAGTTATGGGGGATTCAAAAGTTGCACTTGGGCCAGGCACAGTGGCTCGTGCCTGTAAACTCAGCACTTTGGGAGGCCAAGGCAGGCAGATCATTTGAGGTCAGGAGACCAGCCTGGCCAACATAGTGAAACTGCATCTCTACTAAAGATACAAAAATTAGCCAGGCATGGTGACGTGCACCTGTGGTCCCAGCTACTCGAGTGGCTGAAGCACAAGAATCGCTTGAACCCAGGAGATGGAGGTTGCAGTGAGCCGAGATCATGCCACTACACTCCAGCCTGGGCGACAGAGTGAGACTCTGTCTCAAAAAAAAAGAAAAAAAAGAAAGAAAAACAAAAGAAAAGTTGCACTTGGGGGCCAGAGTCCCTAACCTCCTCCACCCCTCTACTCACCTTTTATAACTCTACTGTTCAAGGGTCAACTGTATTTGGCCTGGGGTCCTGGGTACAGGGCTCCTCAAAGTGTCTTTGGTATACTAATGAGATGATTCTTGGCTGAAGGGGCTTCTAGATGGCTTCAGATGGGGCCAAGTGGCCGGAAATATCATGGCATGACTGGAAGGCTGGAACTCAGGCCCACACTTCCCACCTCATTACTGCCCCCCGCCAACAACTGGGGAAGGGAGACGGACTAGAGATCGAGTTCAATCACAATGGCCAATGATTTCATCGATCATGCTTATGTAATGAAACTTCCATAAAAACCCTGAATGACAGGGTCAGAGGGCTTCCAGGTTGATCAACATATGAAGGTGCTGGGAGAGTCGCACTTGGAAAGGGCAGGAAAAGACTCAACCCCCGCACCCTCACACCTTACCCTATGCCTCTCTTCCATTTGGCTATTCCTAAATTATATCCTTTATAATAAATGGGTAATAGTGAAGCGCTTTCCTGAGTTTTGGGAATCATTCTAGCAAATTATCAAATGTGGGTTGGGTGGTTTCAGGAACCTCAGTATTTGCAGTTGGCTAAGCAGATGTGGGTAGCCTGGGCACTCCATTTGCAGCTGGTATCTGAAGTAGGAGCAGCCTTATGGAACTGAGCCCTTAACCTATGGGGTCTACGTTAACTCTGCACAGTGTCAGAGTGAACTGAATTATTGGACACCCAGCTGGTGAAATCTCGAGAAGAGACTGTTGAAGTAAGGAAAAAAGCTACTCACATACTAACTCCGATTACAGGTGTGATGCACAAAATAAATTGGTGGTAAGCAGTTTTAGACTTCATGGAGCCATGAACATCAAAAGCAGACTAGATAAATCAATACAGAACTGGCTGCCAATATTTTGCCCTACTTGACAGGTATGCGATGGGGCGGTGGTGGGGACAAACATAACTTATTTAAAATGATATTTCTGGAATCTAAAAATAGGAATATTTCAAAACAAAGACAAATCATTAAATGCAATAACTTGAGCTTTCTAGACAATTCCCTCTATTATCTGCAGATTTTGTTTTCTCCCCGTTTCTCCCTGGTCCAGTGAAATGCTTAGCCAAGGGCCTGCTTTAAAATATGGCTGGCCTCAGCCACAAGAGACAGTATTGCTGCATGGACACTGGTGAACAAATACTAGAGCAATGCATCATTTTACTACCATCCTATCTGCATCATGACAAGCCTCAAAATGAATGCCCAGTCAAAGTCTTCAAGATTCTGAGTCAGTGAAGCGACTACGCAAAAGATTAAATTAGTAAATTACCAAGCTGTACTTTTGTGAAGATCAGGCACTAAATTAGTTATAAACAAAAACTTCATTTTTATGACCCAGTGCAATTGGTATATATAGTTAATTATACTTCATCTTCTGATGTTAATTTTGGTATTTTAAAATAAAATATGGCATTAAAAGGCTAGAGATAGCTGGTTTAAAAGAAGGGAAAAAAGGTCTAAAAACCAAGACACCAAATTACAATTTTGTAGTTTTGTCAGGTAGTTCATTTCTGAATATTGTCAAATTGACTGAGCAGGTATATGTGATGAGAACGCTTGCCAAGTTCTATTCTCACAGGTACCAGTGAATGAAGCGCTTCCTGGTATTTAAGCAGACTAAGGATTGCTAGGCTAGTCTTGTATATACTATTTATTGAGATTGCAGTAAAACCAAGTTGTTAACAAATATCAATTTCTTTTCAAAGATATCACTTATTAATCATTACTTGTCAAAGAAAGCATGAATATGACAATATGTAGCACACAGTAGGCACTCTTTAAATGCTTTTTCAGCACTTACTGTAATCTAACAAAATCCTACTCATCAAGACCTGGATCAAATACTATTCCTCTTATTAATTCTCTCTGTGGTTCCCAAAGCCAGAACTAATTGCTCCTTCCTCCGAGTTCTCAGAGTATTCATTAATCTCTCAACAAACAAGACTCTCTGAGGAGGCAATATTTAAGCCATGGGAAAGACTTGAGTTTTACTCCAAGTGTATACTGGGAAGCCACTGAAGGGCTTTAAGCAGAACACGGCCTACATTTTAAAGATAACTGTAGCTACTATGTAGAGAAAAAATTCAAGAAAGTGGCAGCAAAATCAAGAACAGAAGCACAAATACCAGACGAGAAAAAAAGGAGGGAGAGGAAAGCACTGGGGATGTATGTTGCAAGTACAGAAGAAAGGATCTGTAGATAGACAGGATGCAAAAGAGGAGGCAATCAAAAGGAGGAAAAAAATTATGGATGCACCTAGCATTTTAATGATACTCCCAGTTAGTATGTGATATGCTGTAAAGTATTAAAATGTACCACCACTGAAAGTCATGGCCCAACTCACTTATTCAGAAACATGTCTTCATCATCTTTGAAAATGGAAAATATGTCATCCCTTCTTGAATCCCCTATGTGCAGCACAGAGCCTAGTCTGTAGTGAGTTATCAACATGTGCACAATAACCTCTACTATACTATCAGCCTCTTAAGAGAATATATCCTAAAGAAAGAGAATTAGCATCACGTCTGTTATGATACTGAGTCATTCTATGAACTAAGATGTCATTTATTCAGAAGATAAAATACTAAGAAATAACACTAAAAACTTTGGAATTTTAAATTCAGGATTTCCATCTTATTCTCTGATATCAATTTATTGGGCTATGTCTACAATATTATGACATTTCAAAGATTAAAGAGGCTCAGAGTAAACACAATTGTGTTAGGTTTCAACTCGATTCCACAAATATTGTTCACATTTATAACACAGGTCCTGGCATATAGTAAAAGTGGGCGAGACCAGCTCAGTTATATAAGATTGTGGGCCAGGCGCGGTGGCTCACACCTGTAATCCCAGCACATTGAGAGGCTGAGGTGAGTGGATCACCTGAGGTCAGGAGTTCGAGACCAGCCTGGCCAACATGGCAAAATCCCATCTCTACTAAAAATACCAAAAATTAGCCAGGCATGGTGCCTCGTGCCTGTAGTCCCAGCTACTTGGGAGGCTGAGACATGAGATTCGCTTGAACCTGGGAGGCAGAGGTTGCCGTGAGCCAACAGTACGCCACTGCACTCCAGCCTGGGTGACAAAGTGAGACTCTGTCTCCAAAATATATAAAAAAAAGGCCGGGCGCGGTGGCTCACGCCTGTAATCCCAGCACTTTGGGAGGCCGAGGCGGGCGGATCACGAGGTCAGGAGATCGAGACCATCCTGGGTAACACAGTGAAACCCCGTCTCTACTAAAAATACAAAAAATTAGCCGGGCGTGGTAGCGGGCGCCTGTAGTCCCAGCTACTCGGGAGGCTGAGGCAGGAGAATGGCGTGAACCCGGGAGGCGGAGCTTGCAGTGAGCCGAGATCGCGCCACTGCACTCCAGCCTGGGCGACAGAGCGAGACTCCGTCTCAAAAAAAAAAAAAAAAAAAATATATATATATAAAAAAAAAAAAAGATTGTGCATTCAGATACGAATAATAAACATATTTTCTCAAATAGGAAAGTGAACAATAAATAGCATGTGCTATATACTGTGTTAAGCACTAGACGAGCTTTTTCCTAGTCCATAGCACCAACACCACCACTCTGAAATCACAACATCCTACAAATGTAGGGTTCACTCCAGAATCCTCCGTGACCCTCACTGCTCCACACACACAGTCACCAAGCCCTGTCAATTCTATTTCCAAAAGACTCCTACAATGCATCAGTACCCTTTGTTCACAATGCTCAATGCTCAAAAGCTTTAATTTGGGCCCTCCCTAGTTCCTCAACTGGCTTATTTCAAAAATCTCCTTACCTGTATCTCTCACTGCAATCTTATTCTTCCCTCTCAATGCTTCCAGAGGGATATTTTTATAAATAAAATCTGATCATGCCACTCTTCTGGTTAAGATACCTCAAAGACTCATTTCAGGATAAACTCTGGCTTCACAGCATCACGTACAGGGTCCACTATAATTGGGCCTCTGTCTTCCTCAACATTTATTTTTTCTTTAAAATACTTATTAAGCATGTAATGTGTGCCAGACATTATTCTACCATCCTAGTGCTGGGAGCACACTGGTGTTCAAAATAGTCTAAAACTACAGCAATAACACGCCTTCCCCTCTTCCTGACCTATCTGCCCCATTTTCATCTTCCCAGATACCTTCTAATTCTGATCTGTCCTTGAGAATTCAGAAACTCACCTCTTCTTGAAAGCTTTACACTCCCCCAAAACAAGAACTTATTTCCTGTGCTCTCACAATATATTGTGCATATCATCTCTACCAATATCAGATGTTAAACCCAGGAAGGACTGGCACTGTCTCTCTCCCAATTAAAGATTTGTGAGAGAAGTGGCCTGAAAAGTGGTGAGAGATACTAAGTATAAAAAGTAAACATCTGTAAACTTGGAGTAAGAGCCCTGAAATACGACAGTGAAAGCTTCCTTTTCTGACCTCCAATGCCCAAATGGACAATCTCTCCACTCCTCCCCTTCCCATCCACAAACCATACCACTAGCACTCTAAATGCTCAGAGCTCCTCAACTCATCACTCTGCACTGTTCTGCTCCCAGAGGTTGAGAATCAGCTGTGCAGCCTGGGCAACATAGCAAGACCCCCACCTCTACAGAAATGAAAAAACTTAAAAATCAGCTGGGCACAATGGCACATGCCTGTAGTCTTAAGTACTTGGGAGGCTGAGGTGGGAGGATCACTTGAGCCAGGAGTTCGAGGCCACAGTGAGTCATGATCATGTCACTGCACTCCAGCCTGCATGACAGAGTGAGACTCTGTCTCAAAAAAAAAAAAAAAAACCCAAAAAACAAAAAGAATCAGCTGTCTGTGACCAAATGTATTCATTATAATTGTACTTGTAAGTCTGCAATCTAAATATTATATAAATTGATATGTGAGTATACAGAAATACTATAAAAATTAAGTTAAATGTTTTGAAAAGTCTTTATCAAGGTAGGTCACTAAAAAGATCATACAAGTCTAACAGAATTCTGTATTCAGAATGCTTTGCATATGTCTAAGTTCTCTCTCCACTTCAAAGAAACCAAAGCTGAAACGTCATTATCTGCTGGGGCATGCTTTAGGAAGAAAAACAATATAGAGTTCTCATCACCAGACTAACACTAAAGAAAAAGCTTTACAGCAAAAGACTAGAGAATTAACACATATAACAGAGACTAGAGTATTTAAAGAGTGAGAGGCACCATAGGAGCAAGCACACAGAGGAACATCCATATGAAGAGGCAGCAAGAGGGCGGCCATCTGCAAGCCAAGGAGACAGGCCTCAGAGGAAACCAGCACCAGCCCTGCCAGCACATCAAGCTCAGACTTTTCAGAGCTGTGAGAAAGTAAATTTCTGGGCCAGGCACAGTGGCTCACACCTGTAATCCCAGCACTTTGGGAGGCTGAGGCAGGTGGATTGCTGGAGCCCAGGAGTTCAAGACCAGCCTGGGCAACATAACAAAACCCCACCTCTACAAAAAGTGCAAAACTTAGCTGGGCAGGGTGGCAGGCACGTGTAGTCCCAGCTATTCAGGAGGCTGAGGTGGGAGGATTACTGGAGCCTTGGGCCAAGATTGTGCCACTGCACTCCAACCTGGGTGACAGAGTTAAGACCCCATCTCAAAAAACTTTTTAAAAAACTTAAAAATCTGTTTAAGCTTCCAAAAATAAATGAAAAATAAATATTTAAAGTTATATGTCATTTTTAAGGATACCAAACTTGATTTCAACTAACTAACCACTATCACCAGTAGACCAAATTAGAAACTTATCTCCTTTGCCATTCCATTAAAAAAAGAAAGAAAAAATCTTGCTAAGAATCAGGAGAAAAAATTTGCTTGCTAGTTACAATTCGGTTCTGCCACAATGGCTGAGAGATTGAGGAATACAACAAAAACACTGTGAATGCCACTGACAAACAGCAGATGCAAATAACGGCAGCCTACAAAGTTATTTTCTGCAAGGCAAGAAAACCATCTGGAATGCAGCAGCACCAAATATGCAGAAAGGCAAAACTTCCTCTAAAGACCACACTTATGTTTCATTCATCTTTCTGAGAAATAGAATAATAAATAAAAGGTAAAAACATCAATATGGCACTATTAAACTCTTTGTCCTACAACACCTATATTCATGTGCAAAGTACAAATGCAGTCTAGTATAACTGATCCAGATTCACCAAAGAAAATGGTCAGTCTAAATGACCATCAAAAGCAAGATGGCATGATTTAAAAGAAAACATTTCAGCAAATCTATTGGGTCATTCTGCAGGATGAAAAAATCTCTTAAAATAGGGGAAAACGTTAAAGGTTAAATACAATAGTATGTAGAAAAAGTACTTTAGAGAATGTACCTACCACATGTAGTCATGTGTGCTTAGGAGTAATCTTTTTTTCAATAGGGAGTAATCTTTTTAGGGAGTAATCTTTTCTCAATAATTCTTATGGTACTATTTGACTTCAATCATGAATTCCTCTTACTTAAGTATAGAATCTGCAAAATTCAATAAATGTGACTCAGGCGGTAAAAAGAACCTGTCCCTATCTGCAACATACCTGGAGACAGAGAATAATAAAGACAATTAGAATGCACAATTTCCATATTCTTAGAACCATAAGAGAGACAGAGAAACTTGTAAAACTTACAAAAGCTCTGGAGACCGAAAAAAATAAAAAGAAACATTAACAGGCTGGATACAGTGGCTCTAACCTGCAATCCCAGCACTCTGAGAAGCCAAGGCAGGAAGATCACTTGAGCCCAGGAGTTAGAGATCAGCCTGGACAAAACAAAGTGAGACTCTGTCTCCACAAGATATGAAAAATAAAATAAATTAGCCAGGCACAATGGTGTGCACCTGTAGTCCCACCTACTTGGGAGGCTGAGGTAGAAGGACCACTTCAGCCCAGGAGTGCAAGGTTACAGTGAGCTATTACTGAGCCACTGCATTCCAGCTTGGGCGACAGAGCGAGACACTCTCTCTTAAAAAAGGAAGAAAAGAAAGAAATATTAACAAACTAGTAAGACTGAGATTATCTAGGGTGGGAACCTGCTCTGTGTGTGCAACTCTAGCTGGCCACATAATGACAAAGACAGCCTGCTGCTAAGCAGCACAGAAAAAATTCAAGCAATGCTCTTTCTTGTAATATGAAAGACTAATTAACAAAGATAAAGCAAACGTTACTTGGAAAAATTAAAACCAACAGTTTCAGAAGAATGCACTCTACAACTGTCTATAAATATTTCAGAGTATTGTTTAACTGTAGGCACAAAAAATCCTATCAATGAGGAAAAATCTTATCAGTGAATTACTATCTAATAGAGACTAACAGCTCCCCAGTTAGTCAGTTATAAAGAATCCAAATCTCTTGGTTTATGTTATGAAAGACCTAAATCCCAGAGACAATTAAGTGACATAAGCAGTTACTGAGCCAGTGTTGATACTAATAATACTACTAATAATAGTAAAAAATAAGGATATGTATATAGTACTTACTAAGTGCCATATATGGTTCTATGTGCTTTGCCTTTATTAATTCGCTTATTTCTTCAACAACCTTATGTGGTAGGTACCGTTAATATCCCCATTTTACAGATAGGAAATGGAGACACAAGAAGTGAATTAACTTGACTAAAGACATACTGTAGGGAGAGGCAGAAATGGGACTTAAAGCAGCCAGTCTGCTTCCAGGTCTGGACTTGCAACCACTCTACTAAAAAAAGAAAGATTCTGACTATAAACTATATTAGTTCCACAAAATTACCTCTTCACATATTTTCTATTATTTCCACATTATACTTCATGTTATATTTAATTTGAAGCTAAGAGGAAAGAATTTATTTGCTGAAATTTATGTTCTTTTTAGAAATAACCAAGGTTTATTTTAAAGGTTTCATTACTGAAGATACAATGTTAACCTATAACAAAAACATGTCTAGAATATCAGATTTTTTTAAGGCAGTAGGAAGAAACTTATTCATAAAATTAATACTCCAGGGAAAGTTTCCTTCAAATAGAATCTCAACTTTCTTCAAAGAATTACATGAAAGACAAAATCTGTGGGAAACATTTTAGACATCAAACTATAGATACAGATAGAGATTCACACAGACATGCACACAGAAACATGAAGAATAGAATAGCAGCTATCGTTCCATTATTTTATTTAAACTACTCCAACTTTGTTACTACACAATGTATGAGTTTAGCACATTACAGGACGCACATGAACTTTGAAATCTATTAGCCAATTAGAAGAATATGTCTTTACATCTTTCAAAAAGAATAGGTAAAAAGAAATAATATATTTTCAGTTATAAATATTTTCATCCAAGTCAGTGTAGAAAAATATTGACTAGAAAATTAAGATAAAACTTCAACCTAAAACTACAGAAAAAGAACCTTTCAATGTTTAAAGTTTTGTTATGTTCCTTTATTTGAGATGCTTTGCTGTTCTTCCTATGTAAGACATCACATAGCTTCCTAGTGGTAAACTTTGCTTTTAAAATTTCTCACCCTACTGTGTGATTCTGGTTCCTACTCTAAGTATACACTGTAAGAAATAAAAATTTATTATACCTTCTTCTTCTTCCCCACACCCTCAACTCATCAACAACAAAAAAATAGCTATTAATAATCTCCACACCTCCTAGTATTCATGCCCAGAGACTTACCTCTACTGAACAGAATATGGGAAAAAAAATACATATATATATATATGGAATGTCACTTCCAAGGTTAATTTACGAAGTGACTCTGGCTTCCATCTAGCTTGCCACCACCTTATGGAGAGGCCCACACGAGACAATTATCAGGAATAAAATGAGGCCCTCAGTCTAACAGCTGGCATGCAACTAAATCCAATCCATTAATGTGAATGAGCTTAGAAGCAGATCCTCCTCCCCCCGTGATGACTTCAGTTGAGACTGCAGCCCTGGCCAACATTTTGACTGCATTTATGAAAGACCCTGAGCTAGAGGAACCACCTAAGCCAAACCCAGAATCCTGACCCTCAGAAACTGTGTAATAAATACGTGACGTTTTAAGCCACTAAAACTTTGTGTAATTTATTGTGTGGCTATAAGTAACACACTACCCCTTCACTCCCTCGTGCCTGACCCCAAGACCTTAAACTACTTAAGATTGGGCCGGGTGCAATTCACGCCTGTAATCCCAGCACTTTGGGAGGCCAAGGTGGGTGGATCATTTGAGATCAGGACTTCGAGAACAGCCTGGCCAACATGGTGAAACCCTGTCTCTATTAAAAATACAAAAATTAGCCAGCCATGGTGTCTCGTGCCGTAATCCCAGCTACTTGGGAGGCTGAAGCCTGGGAGGGTGGAAGTTGCAGTGAGCCGAGATCGCATCACTGTACTCCAGCCTGGGCAACAGGGCGAGACTCTGTCTCAAGAAAAAAACCAAAAAAAAAAAAAAAAAAAGCCAAGATTACCTCAGATTTCATAAGCTCCGTGACTTTTAGCACACATATAGGCACACAGGGCTCAGATTCTTCGTCTGGCCACCCATCTTTTTTTAACTGGACTTGTAATTTTCAAAGATCAATTCCCAGTGCACCAGCAAACCTAAACCGTCATTCACAGCATGAGAGTTCACAAAAAGTACAGACATCTAGAAATGGTCACAGAAAAAAAAGAAAAATGTGGGAAAACACTTCACTTGGCAACACATACTTCCCTATCTTAATAAATTCTCCCATTAATAAGAAACTTTTCTCAGTAACTGAATAGATTATTTCACCTGTTTCCTGTAGTTCTTCTTTTCCTCACATTATTTTCATGAAGTTATATGGCAAAGCCTCTCAAAATACTTTCCAAGCACCGTAGAGTTAAAAATATCAAGTGTGGCTAATTTTAGCTATAAAGGCACCAGGCAGAGCCAAGTTAGACAGACGTGGAAATAAAAACGGGATGAAAGATGGAGTGGGAGTGGAGGGTGGAGGGTGAGCCACACTGACTTCTTATATTTTTATTTTGCAAGGTTATTAATTTCAATGAATGAATAGTGTCAGCAAAAGACAAGTACCATATGAGATCAAGAAAGAAAAACTAAAGCAGAATACTATAGAATCTCAATCTATTTTTCTCAAAATGTAAGCAGGGAGGGTTCTGCTTCTGGCCAAGTAATGGCCAACTTTCCAAATGACCCTCCCATAGATAAAACTATAAACTCTGGATTAAAATTAAAAAGAATTTTTTTCTGAGACAGGGTTTCACTCCGTCACCCAGGCTGGAGTGCAGTGGTGCTCACTGCATCCTCTACCTCCCAGGCCCAAGCAATCCTCCTACCTCAGCCTCCCAAGTAGCTGGGACAAACCACAGGCACGCACCACCACACCCAGCTAATTTTTTTTTTTTTTTTTAATTTTTGGTAGAGATGGGATCTCCCTATCTTGCCAAGGCTGGTCTCTAACTCCTGAGCTCAAGCAATCCTCATCTCTGGATAAAATTTATAGAACAACTATATGAAATGTATGGTTTGGATCTGTGTCCCTGCCCAAATGTCATGTCACTGTAATCCCCAATGTTGGGGGTGGGGCCTGGTGCAAGGTGACAGGATAATGAGGGTCGTCCTTTCTGAATGGTTTAGCAACATCCCCTTGGTGCTATTCCTTTGATAGTAAGTTCTCATGAGATCTGGTTGTCTTCCCCCCCTCTCTCTCTCTTGCTCCTGCTCCAGCCACAGGAAGTGCCAGCTCCCCCTTTGCCTTCCGCCATGACTGTAAGTTTCCTGAGGCCTCCCCGGAAGCCAGCATCATGATTCTTGTAAAGCCTATGGAACCGTAAGCCAATTAAACTTCTGTTCTTTATACATTACCCAAGCTCAGGTATTTATTTATAGCAGTGAAAAGAACGGACTAATGCAGGAAGGCACTGGAGAATGAGAAGAAGGGAGTCAACTCTTTTAAGAAAGGAATAATACGGGGAGAGTTCTCTGATGTTTACAGCTTTTAGCCTGACAACTGGTCCTGGTCTGTGCTACATGGGAGAGCTAAAACTCCAACAGAAACCCCCACAGACTTTCTAGCTTAAAGATAAAAGGATAGAGTTCAGGGCAATCCATAGCTGCTGCAAAATGAGAGGAAATTCCTGGGAGGAAAATGAGCCAGTGGGCAGGAAGGAACCCCAAATTCTGTATATAAACTCTGCCTAAATCTCTGGATGATCCCTGATCTACTCATGTGTAGGGCAGTTTCCAAGTAACTAAAAGAGCTGAACCAAAATATGACCCACTGCCTAAAAGACAGAATTTGCTGTTTTGAGTCCAACCAAGTTATACAGATCTGTGGGACAGTATCATTGGGGCTAACATATTAATATGTGTAAGAGTCTGGGACAACTCCCCACTCTCCGCAAAAAAGAGCAAAGCATATTCAATCTAAAAACAACCACAAGTAGGTATATCACAGTTGAAGACGAAGATACTTGAAATGGCTAGAGAAAAATGAAACTTTACATAAAGAAGAACAATAAATTGGATGACCACAGACATCTTCATATTGTACTGCAGAAACAAAAGAGAACAGAGACAATAAAACAACATCTTTAAAGAGCTCAAATACAAAGCTGCCAATCTAGAATTCCATATCCAGGGAAAATATTCTTTAAAAATGAAGGCAAATAAAGATATTTTAAGAAAAAAGAGGCCAGGCGAGGTGGCTCACACCTGTAATCTCAGCACTTTGGGAGGCTGAGGCGAGCAGATCACCTGAGGTCAGAAGTTCAAGACTAGCCTGGCCAACATGGTGAAACCTCATCTCTACAAAAATACAAAAACTAGCCAGGCATGATGGCGGGTGCCTGTAATCCCAGCTACTCAGGAGGCTGAGGTGGGAGAATTGCTTGAACCAGGAGGTGGAGTTGCAGTGAGCCAAGATCGCGCCATTGCACTCCAGACTGGGCGACAGAGGAAGACCCTGTATCAAAAAAAAAAAAAAAAAAAAGAGAGAGAGAATTATTCAAGTTGAAAGAAAATGGTACCAGACACTCAAATAGTCTGTAAGAAATGAAGAGCATTAGGCTGGGCGCAGTGGCACATGCCTGTAATCCCAGCATTTTGGGAAGCAGAGGCGGGTGGATCACCTGAGGTCAGGAGTTCATGACCAGCCTAACATGGTGAAACCCTGTCTCTACTAAATACAAAAAAAGTTAGCCAGGCATGGTGGCGCATGCCTGTAATCTGAGCTACCTGGGAGGCTAAGTCAGGAGAATCACTTGTACCTGGGAGGTGGAGGTTGCAGTGAGCCCAGATTGCACCACTGCACTCCAGCCTGGGCAACAAGAGCAAACCTCCATCTCAAAAAAAAAAAAAGAAAAGAAAGAAAGAAAAGAAATGAAGAGCATCAAAAATGGTAAATGTAGGCCGGGCACAGTGGCTCGCACCTGTAATCCCAGCACTTTGGGAGGCCAAGGCAGGCAGATCACTTGAGGCCAGGGGTTCAAGACCAGCCTGGCAAACATGGTGAAACGCCATCTCCACTAAAAATACAAAAATTAGCCAGGTGTGGTGGTGCACACCTGTAATCCCAGCTATTTGGGAGGCTAAGACACAAGCACTGCTTGAACCCGGGAGATGGAGGTTGCAGTGAGCCAAGATTGTGCCACTGCACACAAGCCTGGGCGACAGAGCAAGACTCTGTTTCAAAAACAAAAAAGGTAAATACAGGATAAATATAAATTGGACTGTGTTCTTTTAAGGTAAAACTTGTAACGTTATCTTAAGAAGTTTCAAATTATGCAGATAGGATATATCAGACAAATACAGCAAAACAAACTGGGGGGAACAAACCTAGAGAGTTGCAAGGTTTCTACATTTTATGCAAAGTGCTACAACATTAACTCTAAGTAAATGGTAAAAGTGAAAGCAATAACTAACAGGAGAGAGAAAATGCAAAGAGGTATAGCAAAAAAGTCAGTAGAAAAATTAAAATAGAATTCTAAAGGTATTCAATTTATCCCCCAAAAAGGCAGAAAAGGAATAACAAAGGACTGAAAACAGAAGGGACAAACAGAATACAAATATTAAAATGGTAGACTGAAGTCCAACCTCTCCATAATTACATGAAATGTTAATGACTAAACACTCTCATTAAAAGGCAGACATTAGATAATAAAGAATCAATTACATGCTGCCCACAGAGATGCACTTTAAATATACAGAAAGCAGGTAGGTTCAAAGTAAATAAACATTGGTAAGCAACAAGATCTTCAAAGTAACATAAAAAAAGGAACAAAGTAAATAAAATATTATATGTCATGAAAACAGTACCCATATAGTAATATCAGAATTGACACATTAGTATCAGATAAAGTAGACTTTTAAGCAGAGGAATTTTTCAAAATTATAAAATGGTCAATTCATCAGAAACAAGTAACAATCCTGAATGTACAGCCACCTAATCACCATCTCTAAATACATAAAGCAAAAACTGACAGAATTAAAGGGAAAAATCTCAGCACTTTGAGAGGCTGAGGCAGGTGGATCATTTGAGGTCAGGAGTTCAAGACCATCCTGGCCAACATGGTGAAACCATATCTCTACTAAAAATACAAAAATTAGCCAGGCAGTAGTGGCGTGTGCCTATAATCCCAGCTACTCAGGAGGCTGAAGCAGGAGAATCGCTTGAGCCTGAGAGGCAGAGGTTGCAGCAAGCTGAGCTCATGCCACTGCACTCCCATCTGGGCGACGGAGTGATACCCTGTCTCAAAAAAAAAAAAAAAAAAAAAAAAAAAAAAAACAGAGAAAGAGAAAAAGACATTTTCACAGTATTAGTTGTAAATTTTAACACCCCCTTAAACTGATAAAACTAGACAACAGAAGTACACAAAAAAATTTGCAAGCACATAGAATAAATGAAGGTTATTAACCACTTTGACTCATTTGATATTTTAAAGACACTATACATAATAACTGCAGAATACACATTCTTTTCAAGTACATCTATAATCACCAAGATAGATGATATGCTGGGCCATAAAAAAAAATTGAATAAATTGCCCAGGTGCAGTGGCTCATGCCTATAATCCCAGCACTTTGGGAGGCCGAGGCAGGTGGATCACCTGAGGTCGGGAGTTCGAGACCAACCTGACCAACATGGAGAAATCCTGTCTCTACTAAAAAAATACAAAATTAGCCGGGCGTGGTGGTGTGCACCTGTAGTCCCAGCTACCCAGAAAGCTGAGGTGGGAGAATTGCTTGAGCCCAGGAGGCTGAGGCTGCAGTGAAGCATGTCTGTACCACTGCACTCCAGCCTAGGAGACAGAGTGAGACCCTGTGTAAAAAATAATAATAAATAAATAAGAAAAAAATCATGAGATGCAGCTAAAGCAGTGACGAATGGGAAATTTATAGTTGTGAATGCATATATGAGAAAAGAAAGGCCTAAAAGCAAAGACTTGAGCTTCGTTCTTAAGTTAGAAAAGAATGGGCATGGCGGCTCACGCCTGTAATCTCAGCATTTTGGGAGGCCAAGGTGGAAGAACTGTTTGAGCCCAGGAGCTTGAGACCAGCCTGGGCAACAAGGTCAGACTCTTAACTCTATAAAAAATTTTAAAAATTGGCCAGGCATGGCTGCGTGCACCCGTAGTCCCAGCTACTTGGGAAGATGAGGCTGGAGGATCAGCTGAGCCAAGGAACTCAAGGCTGAGGCATAAGAATCGTTTGAACCCGGAAGGCGGAGGCTGCAGTGAGCCGAGGTTGCACCACTGCACTCCAGCCTGGGAGACAAGCTCAAAAAAAAAAAAAAAAAGGAAGAAAAAGAGGAGAAGGAGGGGGAAGAAAAGAGGGGAGAGGAGGGGGAAGGAAAAGGGAAAAGTAGAGGGAAAAGGAAGAAAGAAATTGATATATGAAGCTCCTCACAAACAAAACTCCAGGCACATGGTTTCACTAGTGAATTGTGTCAAATAGCTCAGGAAAAAACAGCCCTGATATTATATAAACTCTCAAAAAAATAAAGAAGAAAACATTTCCAGCTTGATTCATGAGACCAGCGTGATCCCAACATGAAAGCCACACAAAGATATTACAAATAAAGAAAATCATATTATCCTTAAATAATACACAAAATTTCTTAACAAAATAGTATCAAAGTTGGCAATATTAAAATACTAACACATCATGACAAAGTAGGGTTTATTCCAGGAATGCAAGATTGGTTTAACATCTGAAAATCAAGGTAATTCACCGTAACAGAATAAAGGAGAAGAACAACGTAATGCAAAAGAGGCAGAAAAAGGCCGAGCATGGTGGCTCACCCGTTATCCCAGCACTGTGAGAAGCCAAGGCAGGCGAACCACTTGAGGGCAGGAGTTCGAGACCAGCCTGGCCAACATGGTGAAACCCTGTCTCTACTAAAAATACAAAAAGTAGCCAGGCGTGGTGGCACGTGCCTGTAGACCCAGCTACTCAGGAGGCTGACCATCTCAAAAAAAAAAGAGGTGGGGGTGGGGTTGGCTGGGGGACAGAAAAAGCAGGGATAAAATGCAACATCTGTCTTGACAAAAACTCTCAGAAAAGTAGGAAGAGAAGTGATTTCCCCTAATGTGATAAAGATCATATATTAAAATATCTAGAACATCATACTTAATTTTGAAATACTGAACTCCTTCCCCCTAAGGTCAGGTAGAAGGCAAGGATTAACCACTTCTATTCAACATTGTATTGGTGGTCCTAGCCTTTGCACTAAGGCAAAGAAAGAAAAGGAAAAAAAAGAAAGGACAGAAAGGGAAAATAGCCTCTACTTGCAGATGACGAATTGCTGCTTATGGAAAATCCTAAGGAATCTACAAAGCAGCAAATTAGTAAGTGAATTTAGCAAGGTCACAGGATTCAAGTTTAATTTAAAAAATCAGTTGCATTTTTTATATAGTAGCAACAACAAACCAGAAAAATAAAGTTTTAAAAACTGCATTTGCAATAGCACCCAAAAAAGAAAATCTTCATAATATCATGCGTAAAATCTTTATGCTGAAAACTAAAAAACACTGGTAAGAGAAATTTTAAAAAACTTAAACATATACAATGTTCATGGATTGGAAGCCTCAATATTGTTAAGATGTCAAGTCTCTCCTAAATTAATCTACAAGTTAAATGCAATCACAATGAAAATCCCATCAAGCCATTTTTGTAGAAATTGACAAACTAATTATAATATTCATATGGAAATTCAAAGAGCACAGAATATCCAAAACAACAACAAAAAAAGAATAATGATAGAAGACTAATAGTATCTGATTTCAAGATTACAAAGCTACAGCAATTAAGAGGGTATGGTAGTGGCCTCAAAAATAGACAAATATATCAATGAAACAGGACAGAGTCCAGAAATCAACACATATAAAGACAACTAATTTTTTAAAAAGACGTCAGTGGAGAAAAGATAATCTTTTCAATAAGTGGTGCTGGAACAACTGGATATGCATGCAGAAAAAAAATCTCAATGCATACCTCACACCATACAAAAAAATTATTCAAGATATATCGATTTAAACCTAAAAGCTAGACCCATAAACTTGGAGAAGGAAACCTAGGAGAAAAATCATCACAGGAAGGCAAAAGCTCTTCTCAATAATTACAGGGAAAAAAGGCAAATTAAAATTTTCTCCCATAAAAAGACACTTTTAAGAAAATGCATAGAGTATATAAATTTTTTCTCAATAAAGCTGTTACAGGAAGAAAGAGAGGGAGGAGGGGAAAAGGGAGAGAATGCATACATAGGCAAGGCACAGATGAAGAAAAAAATCTACGAAACATAAATCTGACATGAATCCAACATTTCTGAAACTCCAACAACCAATAAAACATTGGGCAAATAAGTTGAACAGATGTCACAAAACATGATATATAAATGCTCAGTAAATTTGTGTTAAATCATTAATCATCAGGGAAACGCCAGTTAAAATCACAATAAGATGCCACTACATAACCAGCAGGATGGCTAAAACATGGTTTAACCCTAACTCCCACACAGCAATGGTGAGAGTATAAAATGGTTCAACAAACTTTGAAAGAAAAGTTGGGGCCGGGCATAGTGGCTCACGCCTGTAATCCCAACACTTTGGGAGGCCAAGGTGGACGGATCACGAAGTCAGGAGATTGAGACCAGCCTGGCCAACACGGTGAAACGCCGTCTCGACTAAAAATACAAAAATTAGCTGGGCTTGGTGGCGCATGCCTGTAGTCCCAGCTACTCAGGAGGCTGAGGCAGAATCGCCTGAACATGGGAGGCGGAGGTTGCAGTGAGCCGAGGTCGTGCCACTGCACTCCAGCCTGGCAATAGAGCAAGTCTGTGTCAAAAAAAAAAAAAAAAAAAAAAAAGGAAAAAACTTGGCAGTTTCTTACAGAATTAAACAAACACCTACCCTCTGACAAGTCAATTTCAATGTTAGGTATTGCTCAAAACTGGAAACAGCCCAGGTATCCATCGACAAGACGATGAATAAATTGTGGTGTATTCACCCAAAGATTCATCAGAAAACAAGAAAAGCAAACAACTGATATACATGACATGATAAATTGCAAAAACATTATGCTGTGAAGAAAGCCTTACACAAGAGTATATATTTTACGGTTCCTAGATGAATTCTGGAACAGGAAAAAAAAGCTAATCTATAGTAGAAACAAAACAGTATGGGCAGCAGGGGAGGCAAAGCGAGGAGTGACATGGGAAGGAGCTTCAGGGAATTTTGCCATCACCCCCAGAACATTCTGTAATCTTGAAAGGAGTTTGAGTTACACGTTTGCATCTGTTAAAACTTTCCCAATAATCTGTGCATTCCGCTATATATATATCACAAAAGGAAAAAATATATATAAGCATTATTGAACCCTAGGTAACGATATAAATACTGACATACTTAGGCAATAGTGTGCTGACTACAACTTACTTTTTATTTAGAAATGCATCTAAATAAATAAATAAATTATAGTCAGCCCTCAGTATCCTCGGAGGAACTGGCTGCAGGACTCCCACAGATATTAAAATCTGCTAATACTCAAGTCCCTTACATAAAATGGTATAGTATTTACATATAACCTATACACATCCTCTGGTATACTTTAAATCTCTGGATTACTTATAATACCTAATACAATGTAAATAGTTGTTATACTGCATTGTATTTTTATGCGTATTATTGTTGCATTGTTTTTTAATATTTTTTATCTGTGGATATGAAACCCATAGGGGGCCAACTGTATACAGAGAAGGATGGAGAGACAGATGTGTGATAAAGCAAATATAGTAAAATGTTAATATTAATAGTAGGCTCTAGATTGTGGGTATACATATGTTAACAGAAAAATTCAACCATTCTGTATTCTTGAAATTTTTCATAATAAAATGTTGAAGGGAAAATTAAGCATGTGTGCACTCCCCGTGCAGCTTTTTCTAATAAAAGAACTAATTATGCACAGACTTCATTAGAGGGGAAAAGAATGTCATGTTTTATTTCTCCATATTCATTCAAGTAAGTATTCTAAGAATTTTAAATCAAATGGGTTGAGAAACAACATATAAATGATAATAAAATTTGGTAGATGCTGTGGTGACTAATTGCCTCCCCTCATCACTCAACACACACACACACACACACACACACACACACACACACACACACACACAGCACCAAGGTTTAAACACAGATTCCAAATTCACCATTTCAACTAATACCTGTTAAAAAGTGCCAAACAGGGGCCAGGCGTGGTGGCTCACGCCTATAATCCCAGCACTTTGGGAGACCGAATCACTTGAGGCCAGGAGTTCGACACCTGCTCAGCCAACATGGTGAGACGCTGTCTCAACTAAAAAATACAAAAATTACCCGGGCATGATGGCGCACACCTACTCAGGAGGCTGAGGCTCAAAAATCACTTGAGCCCGGGAGGTGGAGGTTCCAGTGAGCTGAGATCGCACCACTGCACTCTAGCCTGTCTCAAAAAAAAAGAAAAAAGAAAAAAGAAAAAAGGCAAATAGGTATTTACAGTCCATACTTCTCTCCTGAGCAACAAACTCACATAAACAGCTGCCTATTATGTGTTTCTACTTAGATATCATACATACCTCAAAATACAACCTATTTTTCTCCCCCCCATTCCCTTTCCCAGATGAAGGATACCAAAACCATACTGTCTGGCCCGAGCTAGAAACTGGAGTGCCCTAGATGACTCCTCTGCCAACATCCCTATGTCAGTCTCCAGCCCTGTCAATTCTACCACCCAAACATCTCTACTAACACCTCCTCCACTCTGTTCCACTGTGCCACTACATTAATGCATTCTTTCTTTCCTAGATTACAACAGCCTCCAAAACAGCCTTTCTACCGCCAGCCTCTCCACCTAGAAGCCCCATAATCTACTTCCTGAGCAAGAATAAGCATCTAAATATTACCTAGAAAATATAATATCCTACAATTTCTGCAAAGGAGAATCTAGTTAGGAATAGTTCAATTAGAATCTTTTATAAAATACATTTACTTTTCCATTGGCTTCATTGGTCTTATTTTCAGGTGAACTATTAAAGACAGCTTATTAATGCTATAACACTTTTTAAGTTAAGACCAGATGACAATGATGATTTTATTATAGAATTGTTGCTAAGCATATTTTGTGTTATCAGAATCATTGGCACATGGACTATACATTTTTTTCTCACACATTCTATACCTCAACAAAGCTTCAGGCCAGGCGCGGTGGCTCATGCCTGTAATCCCAGCCCTTTGGGAGGCCAAGGCAGGGGGATCATCTGAGGTCAGGAGTTCGAGACCAGTCTGGCTAACATGGTGAAACCCTGTCTTTACTAAAAATACAAAAATTAGAAGGGCGTGGTGGTGATGCCTGTAATCCCAGCTACTCAGGAGGCTGAGGCAGGAGAATCGCTTGAACCCCGGAGGTGGAGGTTGCAGTGAGCCGAGACTGCGCCATTGCACTCCAGCCTGGGCGACAAGAGCGAAACTACGTTTAAAAAAAAAAAAAAAACAGTCGGGTGTGGTGGCTCATGCCCGGAATCCCAGAACTTTGGGAGTCCAAGGTGGGCGGATCACGAGGTCAGGAGATCAAGACCATCCTGGCCAACATGGTGAAACCCTGTCTCTACTAAAAATACAAAAATTAGCCAGGCATGATGGCAGGCGCCTGTAGTCCCAGCTACTTGGGAGGCTGAGGCAGGAGAACTGCCTGAACCCGGGAGGCGGAGGCTGCAGTGAGCCGAGATCGCGTCACTGCACTCCAGCCTGGGCGACAGAGACAGACTCCGTCTCAAAAAAAAAAAAAAAAAAAAAAAAAAGGGCTTCAAAAGTCTTTCTGAAATGTTTAACATCAGTACTAAATTATTCAGGGCAGAGTGTTGGTCTCTTTAGAAGCACCAGAGCATGGGGATTAAGAGGAGGCAATCTGAAGTTAAACCTAAGTGAATTACAATTCTGGCTCTGTCATTTCCTAGTTGCGTCACCTTAAACAAGTTTTTATTTAGCCTCATTAAGCCTCTGTTCCCTGATTTCTAGAGTATAATAATAACAGTAATACCTCATGGATCTGTTGTGAGAATAAAACCATGTACATGAAGCATTCAAGTATCTGGCACATGTTAGGTACTCAGCGATGTTACTCATTACTATTACTGTGAGCAGCAACAGTATTTTGGTAAATGGAGATTGCAAATAAATAAATCTAGCTATCTGCTAGAACCACAAGTGAGCTCAACACTACCAAACAGTACACCTTTAACATTTGATGTGTTAACAAACAATCCCAAAGACCCACATGCCTCGAGCCATCCTCTGACCAATACAAGAATCTAAACTTCCCATTCTGCCAGTCTGATATGTGGGGAGTGAACGTGACCAATTCCCTATCCAGCAAGTGAGCCTGGTGAACTTCCTATGAAGTGCATCCCAATGAGGCTCTCTTCATTTTTACTCTTCCCTGGATACTCATTTTATGTGGTGGGTATTCTAGGCCAAAGTGGTTATCTGTCAATCTGAGAATCCGCGATGTTTAGTACATCTCTATGAACTGAAATACAATTCTAACTTCTTGTTTCAATTTAAGTTAACTGCTACTATATGTGACTTAAGGTTTATGTACTTTTCAAGTCCTCAGAAATTGTCTTTTGTTATATTTTAGTATTTGGATTAAAAGTCAACTTGAAATAAAACATAAATGAATATAACTAAACCAATTATGAACTGCTGCTTCTTATGCTTAAATATAACAACTTGAGGAAAGCCTGGTTTTACTATTATCCTAAGGAAACCCTTAATTTTCCAAGAGCCTTTCTTGGACATTTGTGGCTGCAGACCAGATATTTATAGTTTGGCAAATACATACATTTGCCAGCTGCCAACTTCTGCTCACAACTACTTTATAAAAGTTGTAAAATTCTGTCCTGAAAAACAGCCTGTCCACTACAGCTGGGGAAACATATTTATTTCTCTTTCTCTCTCCACATCTAGTTCCTCCACACAGATGAGGAATACGGCCCCTAAACATGACATGCCAGATGACCCCTGGCACAAATTTGCTATATCAAACGAAGTTCAAAATAGTTTAGTTCCAAGGACTAGACTAGCTATAACTACCATATAGCTATAACTATCATATAACAAAAATGCCAGAAAAGATTGATAAGAGATGGCACATAGTAGACCTTCCCCCCACACACAGACTAAAGACGTCTAGCCACCCTGAAGAGCAAACAGATTTCTCAGGAGTTTCATAGTTCACATTAAAATTGAATGAGTATTTTATAATTCACCCCACTACACTGCCTATCTTAATATAATGTTCTCTCCATAAATCTTTCAGTAGAATTATCTTCCAGGTAGATATGCCACTTTTGTCATCTACAGTGTGCTCCATATGCTTGCACACTGCAGCCTGCCCCTGTGTGTGTGTGGGGGGGGGGGGGGGGGTGGGGGGTGCCCTAGTATGAGAACCCAGAAGTACCAAAGAGTCTTTGTGACAAGAGGAAGACTGAATGTTAAGGTAAATACCAAAACTTTATGCTTTGAGAGGGGTGGAAAAGTAAGTATAGAATGCAGTGTCACGCAGTTGACACTACCAACAGAACAAATATGATGAAAGCTAAGAGTGATTTGGGAATCACTAGCATATGATGTTTTGTTCACACACTTTGGCAATGTGTTCAGAAAGTAATTTTAGCACAGCCATAACCAAAGAGAATTACTGGCCGTAATCTGAAAAACAGCAGCCCACTTTTATCATTCGTCTTCAGCTAATTACGAACCGCATGACATTCAAAAGATTCTGGAACTTATTGTCCTGTGCTTCTACAAAAGGTTAAAACAAGGTAGAATAGTAATTATTACAATTTTTTAAAGCTGCTTGACTAGAAGGCCTTAATGTTGTGCTTTTCTGATAATATCAATAAAGTGTAGTTATTAACAATCAACAGTTGCTTGCAAAGACTACTGGAACCTACTGAAGAAGTAACCAAATTGATGGGCCTTGAGATTACACTTGGTATTCTTACATGATTTTCAGCTATAAAAATTCCCTTTTCAATCTGCCTTAGGAAGAAGGTGAAACGAGTGTGCCTGCCATAAATGTTGGCATGAGGCTAGAAATTCAGAGATGATCTTGTTATCTTGAGAACCATTCACATTGCTTCTCTGGAACACTGCTAGATTCAAAGTTTAAGGACAAACTGTTCTTAAATGGATGTGAAAGTGACAGGCACATGCAATATATTTTACTTCTAATTTGAGTAAGGACATCTTCAAACACTGCGCAAAGTCTCAGTTTTGGGGAAATTTCAATGAAATTACATCATTACAACAATCTATTAAATCCTATCATTCCCACTGGGGCAACAGTCTCTCTTCTCTTCACTCATTTAATCATGCTATTCCTGATTGTCAAATAAGAAAATCCTTCCTTTCCTCCATCACCTTCTTAATTGTTACTGCTCAATTGTATCTCCCAGTTCACATCCAAGTAGTCTACTCAGACTGCCTTCTTCCAAAAACATCCCTCTAGGAGGGAGGTCTCCAAGCGCCACAGAACTGCAGGGATACTCCTACCACGGCATGATCCTCACTCTATTACGATGATTTGTTGATTAGACTATACACTTACCAGTGTAGAGAACTGCATCACCTCTATCTACAATATTAATATCTGAAGCATATTCAAGCATCTGCTGAATGTCAAATTAGTAAATGGAACATAATGCCCAGCAGGAACCATGGATAACCACTATTTTAATCTTTTTAAACTTTCTTTAGTAGAGATCACTTTCAATGAAAATAATACGCAATTCTGCATTTGAAGTTTCTCTTTATGACATCTTTGCTATAAGTACAAAATACTTTATAGACAGCTTTGCTAAGAGCATAATCAATGAAGGTTAGAAACTACATATGCTCTCAATAAACACAGAATTAATACAATCAAGAAAAAATAGGTATACAGAAAACACAGACAGTATCAGAGCTATTTAATTGTAGCTTGGGAGCAACTCAATCTTAACACTACTAAATCAACCATGGCATGAAGAATCTAAGTATTTAGGTAAATTTTAATCAGCCCAGGCGCGGTGGCTCAAGCCTGCAATCCCAGCACTTTGGGAGGCCAAGGCAGGTGGATCACAAGGTCAGGAGTTCGAGACCAGCCTGACCAACATGGTGAAACCCCGGCTCTACTAAAAATACAAAAATTAGCCAGGCATGGTGGCACGCACCTGTGATCCCAGCTACTCAGGAGGCTGAGGCAGGAGAATCGCTTGAACACGGGAGGCGGAGGTTGCAGTGAGCTGAGATTACGCCATTGCACTCTAGCCTGGGCAACAGAGCGAGACTCTGTCTCAAAAAAAAAAAAAATTATCAAATGAAATACAAAAGCTGAAGTTGGTAATGCAATTTATCTTGACAGGAGTAGCTGGTCCCAGTTACTCTAATTGCTATCAAAATGAGGGGAGAATACTCTCAGCTCTCCAACAGAAAACCTAAAGCCAGTCTCCTAATCATGAAATGTGGTATGTCATGACAAATAGTTAGGTGCCTAAAACAAGGGCAGGCACTACCCAGAACATTTTAAAATATGATATTCATACCCTTTAAGAATTTTTATTCCCATGTGTTAGGATCTCTTCATTTGTAGCAGCTGACTATCAGCTGGCATAGGACCCAAATCATGATCCTACTGCTCCAAGTAATTCACATACATCTCCAAGCAACAGCTGTGTAATCTTTATAGTATAGCTAAAAATATAAAGTTCAAAACATTAAATGAATTTCATCTAACATTTAGGAATATGACTGAAAAAGAATACAGTTAATTCATGCTAAAGGAGTAACTTAGCAGAAGGCAACATTCAAAATGAGTAATCCAATTCATAAAAAATAAAAATGTTATGGGCTATATTTTAATTTTAGAAGTGTCCTCTTTTTTCCTCAAGATATGCAATGTCTGCAACTGAACTTAAGCATTTTTTCTCATTATTATTTCCTTACTACTAAAGAGGATACCCTTTTGGTTAAAAATTTAGAAACTATAGTTTTCTCAGCATCTTGACATAATTCTATAGCCTCTCACAATTTTTCTAATAACAAAGAAAGACTCTTCTGAAGCTGGCTTATTTTTTTATTCCTTGACTGACCTCATAAGCTGCTTAGCTGCAAAAGACTCATGATATCTTTAATACTCTACCCTGGAAATCCCATTGCTAGTGAGACAGACAGCTATGTCTAACACAAAGTACTCTTCATTGAAAAACCGAATTTTCAGATATTTTCCCCCCTTAGTGATAACCAGGAATTTATATTTTACTTAGGGTAAGCCTGCCAGGCAAACCCACATGACTGATCCTTCTACGAGTCAGAACTAGCACTTAATCAGCAAAGAGTCAGGACTCAAGTTGAGTTTAGCCCTCTCTGGTTTTCAATGTCCTGATCTCTTAAACAAAAAGGTTCCTGAAATTACACCAGCCTTATTACAAAACTAGGAGGACCACATATAGCCATAGTAAAACTAAACAGCTTCTGATTAAGAAGGAGGAAGGGAAAAAAACTGGCTTCCAAAGTACTCTGTTCAAGTTTAACTATACTCCTCAAATAGCATTTAAATTATGAAACAATAATAAAAGACTAGAAATATTCTTCTCCAATTATTAAGCCTGAAAAGAGTGATTTAGCATATATACATTGCTCTAAATCCATTGTAATGTTTCTATGAAGTTTTATTTATTCTAGAAATACACTTTGAAAACTTGATTTTACAGATAGCCACAAAATAAAAACATCATAATCAGGCAACACAGGTACAACTTGGGCAGTGAAGGGTTAAAAACTACTGTTTATCTGCAGTTGGACAGTCTACTACTTACACACAGCTGACATCTTAAGACTTCAACCTTTCTTTAAATGTTCAAATGAAAATTAAAACATCTGACCAGTGGGATAAAAATGGCAACTAAATTGAACAAGTGGTCACAGCTGTTAGGTGTACTGTTTCTGTCATTCTGATGAGATCTAGGATAGAAGACTTCTAAATCCCCTTCCCACCTCTCCCCTTCTTTTGCCCATACTTTTTAAAAAGACAATAAAAGTCTTCAAGTCAAATACTGAACATCAATCCTACATGTAGGACGTATACCCAAAATAGCCTATTATTTATGTTTCCATTCCGCCGTGAACCAAGTATTCTACCCATAGGAAAATATAAGAATTTAAACATTAATACCATATTAAATCATGAGTCTCCATGTTTCATAATGGTAGTGCCTTGGAACAAGGTCAATACTGAAATAAAATATAACCTAAAGTGGGAGATGTTAGACAAAATAGTCGTTATTCATCAAAAATGTCTATGTTAAGACTGAGGAATTGTTCTATATTAAAAGACACAAAGAAGGCCAGGCATGGTGGCTCACACCTATAATCTCAACACCTTGAGAGGCCGAGGCAGGAGGATCTCTTGGGCCCAGGAGTTCAAGACCAGCTTGAGTAACATAGAAAGACTCTGTTTCTACAAATTTAAAAATTAGCTGGGCATGGTGGTACACACCTGTAGTCCCAGCTACCCAGGAGCCCGAGACAGGAGGATCACTTGACCCCTCGGAGGTACAGGCTGCAGTTAGCCATGACTGCGCCACTGCCCTCCAGCCTGGGCGACAGTGCAAGAGCATCTCAAAAAAAAAAAAAAAAAAAAAGACGCTAAAGAGATGTGACAATGAAACCCAATGTGCCATGTGAATTGAATCCTGGGCCAGAAAAACAAAAAAGAGTATTTTTCTTCTTTTGCTACACTGAAACGGAACAAAATATTAATAGATGATGCATAAGGCCTACCGAAGGTCCATTCTAACATCATATTCTACTGAGAGCTAGATCTGAAATCAACCTGTTTAACTTTTTATTTAAATCCTTACTTTCTAATCAATGACATTTTAAGAGTTTCTCTCCACTTAACTTTTTTTTTTTTTGGCAAATATTAATATTCTTTTCCAGTTCTATGCTTCTGTGTTACCGGAATCCTCACAAAACCTCTGCAGTCAGTATTCTTCACTCCTTTTTTAAGGTAAGGAGACAGTTAACATAAAGAACTGAAGAAACCTACCTTCTTCAGAGCACCCAGCTGGACCTAAAGCCACTTCCCAGTGTTTAACACACTAATGACTCATGCATGTGGTAGAGTTCTTCCACTTACAAGAGGATTCCTATCCTTGCATACACACATATCAAAAATTTTTAATTATTACTTTAATCATTTGGAAAGAGAATATAAAGTAAATTATATAATATCTTGCTGTTTTCTAAAAGATAATCTACCCAAGAGTGAAAAATAGAAGAAGAAAGTGAGAAAGAAGGAATGAAGGGAAAGAGAGTAAAGGGGGAAAGCACAAATACAGAGAGAGTGAAAAAAAAAGGAAAAGACAGAAAGTATATCGATAATTTAAAAAACTAAAAATTCTAGATTAACATCAACTTGACTGGGTGAGGGGAGACCTCACCCAAGAACACAGAATGAAATAAAGTACCTATCTTATTAAAGAGAAGATAGTAACATTACTGAGTTTTTTTTAATCAACAGGAATAACCATCTCTATGTTTTAAGGGCAAATGGCTAAGAATACACACACACACACAAATGTATAACCTTTAAACCAGAGAAAGAAAATTCTATCCATCTATTGGAAAACAGGACAAAAAGGGATGGAAAAAAATAAAAGAATGGGAAAAGGTGTAAAAGACAAAGGAAAGCTGGAATAGCAATCTTAACACCCAGTAAAATATAAAGACAAAATTATAGAAGAATGGCAGCTAACAAAAGAATAGAAATGGAAAATCACCATTTAAAACTACTATAATAATATTTGATTCAGGCAAAAAAAAAAAATCAACGGGTGCTAAATCACTGAGTTAGGGAGTGTTAGTTATTCAGTTTCAAAGCATCACTCTACAGTCCACTGAGTAATTAGAGAAAAGGATGTCTTTAAAATGGAGAGATCTGGTGGACACTACCTTAACAAAATAATCAAACTTAATTTCGCAATATTGGGAAAACTGCCATCAGGTGCCTCCAGATGATGGACTGAAAAGAACACATCACTAGGTAATACAATAAACAGTCCTGCCCAAAAATGTTTAGCCTGAATCCATTCATGCAAAAACAATGAAACAAATCCAAAATGAAACATATCAAAGAGAACAGATCTTTCACAAAACAACTGGCCTGGCCTCCTAAAAGTGGCAACATCAAGAAAGAAAAACAAAGCTAAAGAGAGACTGAAGAGACATGAAAATGAAATGTAATGGTAGAATCCTGAATGGAGAAAGAGGAAGGCTAAAGGGAGGACAGTAAGAAATATCATTGGGAAATCTAAGAAAATCTGGGTATGGAAAGTATATTAGATGATATTCAATTTCCAGAGTATGATAACTGTACTGTGATTATGTAGGAGAATGCCTGTGTTATTCACACTGCGGAGTAAAGTGCTGTGACTTAAATGGTTTGGATGTTTGTCCCCTCCAAATCTCAAGTTAAAATGTGATTGCTGGCTGGGTGCGGTGGCTCACACCTGTAATCCTTGCACTTTGGGAGGCTGCGGTGGGGAGATCACCTGAGGTCAGGAGTTCAAGACCAGCCTGACCAACATGGTGAAACCCCGTCTCTACTAAAAATTCAAAAAAATTAGCCAGGCGCCTGTAATCCCAGCTACTCGGAAGACTGAGGCAGGAGAATCACTTGAACCCCGGAGGCAGAGGTTGCCGTGAGCCAAGATTGCACCACTGCACTCCAGCCTGGGCGACAGGGCCGAGACTCCGTCTTAAAAAAAAAAAAAAAAAAAAAAAAAGTGACCCCCTTTATTGGAGGTGGGGCCTGAAGGAAGGTGTCTGGATCATGGGGGAGGAGGATCCCTAGGAATGGCTTGGCGCCCTCCCTGTAGTAATAAAGTAAGTTCTTGGTCTGTCAGCTCACTTGAGAGCTAGGAATGCTGGTTATTTAACGGAGCCTGGGTCCTCCTCTTCTCTCTCCCCATGTGACATGCCTACTCCCACTTCACTTTCTGCCATGAGTAAAAGCTCCCTGAGGCCTCACAAGAAACCAACCAGATACTGGCACCACACTTCCTATAAAGCCTGCAGAACCATGAGCCAATTAAACCTCTTCTCTTTATAAATTACCTAGTCTCAGCTATTTCTTTAGAGCAACACAAAATGGACTAACACTGTGACTTACTCTCAAATGGTGCACTCAACACACACGTAGAAAATGAGTAAGACCGCTATTCGGGAGACGGAGGCCGGGAGGATCACTTGAGCCCAGGAGGTCAAGGTTGCAGTGAGCCATGTTGGTGCCATTGCACTCCAGCCTGGGCAACAGTCAGACTCTGTCTAAAAAATAATAATAAATAAGAAAAAAAATAGATGCAGCTAAAGTAATGTTTAATGGGAAATTTATAGTTTTAAATCCTTATGTTAGGTTGGTGCAGAAGTAATTGTGGTTTTGCCACATTTAATGGCAAAAAACGCAATTACTTTTCCACCAACCTAATACAAAGGCCTAAAAGCAACGACCTAAGTGAGCTTCCTTCTTAAGTTAGAGAAGGCTGAGAATAGTAGCTCATGCCTGTGATCTGAGCACTTTGAGAAGCTGAGGTGGGAGGATTGCTTGAGCCCAAGGGTTCAAGACCAGCCTGGGCAACAAGGTGAGACTCTATTTCTACAAAAAAATTAAAAAATTAGCCAGGCATGTGGTGTGCGCCCGGAGTCCCAGCTACTGGGGGAAATGAGGTGGGAGGATCATTTGGGCTCAAAACTGCAGTAAGCTGTGATCACAACACTGCACTGCAGCCTGGGAGATTTAAGAGGAAAATATATAGCTTTAAACATTTACCAGGAAATAAAAAAGACTAAAAAAAAGAAAAAGAAAGAATATTAATTGGTAAAGCTATATGATGAGCAAAATAATTTTCTTTGTAACATTCTTACAACATTCTTAAAGGTCTGAAATTTTTCCCCAAAAAAAGCAAATTAAAAGGGATTTAAAAATACATGAAGAAGAGGCTATATAGTGATGAAAATGACAGCAAAATATATCTACCCACTTCAAACAGGTCTTAAAATATATTCAACAATTAACAGAACTGTCAGAGAAAAATCAACAATTACTCTTAATCAACTCTGTTCAGACTACTGATAGATCAAGCAGACAAAATATAAGCAAAAAAATTCAAGTTCTCAACAGTACAAACAGAAGGTTCCAATTACGGCCAGGCACGGTGGCTCACGCCTGTAATCCCAGCAGTTTGGGAGGCCGAGGTGGGCGGATCACGATGTCAGGAGATTGAGACCATCCTGGCTAACAGTGAAACCCCGTGTCTACTAAAAATACAAAAAATTAGCCGGGTGTGGTGGCGGACGCATGTAGTCCCAGCTACTTGGGAGGCTGAGGCAAGAGAATGGCGTGAACCTGGGAGGCGGGGCTTGCAGTGAGCCAAGATGGCGCCACTGCACGCCAGCCTGGGTGACAGAGTGAGACTCCATCTCCCCGCCAAAAAAAAAAAAAAGAGAAGGTTCCAATTACAAAATACTTATATTAAAAAAGAAAGTCCTAAAAGCAATGACCTACACTTCCTTAGGTCAAAGAAATACATCCCAATGGACGGGGATACATTTTTTTTCTCACATACCCTAAACATTTATATTACTAAACCATGTGGTAGGCACAAGGGCATACAGATTATGTTCTGATATAATACAATGAACTCAGGAATCAATAATTTTTATAAATATTCAAATTTGGAAACTAAAAAAAATATAACTTAATAACCCTTACGTTAAAAAGGAAATCAATAAAAATCAGGAAACATTTAGAAAATATATGTTAGAGCCAAGGAAGAACTTGAGGAAAATATATGGCTTTAAACATTTACCAGAAATAAGAAGGTGAAAAAAAAGAAAAGCCTAACAAAGAAAAGCCAAATAAATAAAAAGGAAAGAAATAATAAAGGACAGAAATCAATGAAAATCTAGTCCAAATGAACAATTAAGAAGATAACAAAACCAAAAGCTGTTTCTTGGTAAATATTAATAGCCTAGATAAAATTCTAGTAAGATTCATCAAGAAAAAGACAAAGAAGATCCAAAAGAAGAGAAATGACAAAATTATCAGAAGAAATAAAGAGGATTTGAATAGATTGAAAGAAAACAGGTTGAAAAACAGATCAAAAGATTAAAGCAACTGAAATGGCAATGCTCTTCTCCCAACAAAGTAAAACAAAACGAACTCCGTGATGAGACCTTTTTTTAATAGGTGGATTCTACTAAGCTTTTAAGAAACATTCTATTCTTATCTTATACAAGTTGTTTCAGAAAGTTAAAAAGAACAAAAGCTACGGTCATTTTTATCAGGCTAGTATTGAATCTAAAACCAGATAACAATGCTATAAAGTTACAGCCTAAATAAAATACTGACTAATCAAATCCAACAGTGTTTTTTTGTTGTTAATTATTAAAGGCTAAAAGAAAAAACTCAGGTGGTTATCTTGATAGAAGCAGGAAAACAACTGGACAAAAGAAGAACCTACTTAATAATTTTTTTAATCTATGCAAACCTGGAATAGAAGGGAGTTTCCTTAATTTAGCAAAGGTTATATATATATATCAAAAACGTATAACAAATATAAAATAGAGACTTCAAAAGCCTTTCCCTATGTCAACAAATATGACCATGCTGTCTAGCACAGTGCCAGACTGGCCAACACTGTAAAAAATAAGAGTGTAACATTTGAAAAGAAAGAGAGAAAACTGTCACTGCTGCTGATGACATCATCATCTATCTAGAAGAACCAAAACAATCCACAAATAGAATAACATTTCTCCACCAAAATTAATCTATAAATGTAATGCAATCTCAAATTGCCAGTTTGATTCTTTAAAGAATTCAATAAACAGCCTACAATGTTCATGCTAAAATAAAGGCTAACCAACAGCTAAATCAACCTCAAAAAAAAAAATAAACTTGCTTGACCAGATATTAAAACATACTATGAAGTATAGCCAACAGTAAGAGATATGAGCACAAAAACAAATACCCAAATAGAACTAAATGAGAACTTACTCTGGGACACAAAGAACTAAATGATAATAAAGGATTAAAAGGTACCCACAAATCAATGGCAAAAACAATAGAAATTTGTTAATGGTTCTTGGCTATCCAAAATGTGAAGACTCAACCTTTAAGCAGTCATTCTCCCTAAGTAAAAATAAATAATTAAGCAAATATTTAGAATTATATGTATAACTTCTTAAAAGCTCAAAAGTTTAACTACACCGATGGCTCTTTATTATATAGCGCTTGAGATACATACTTTAAAGCTCCTAAATTATTAAAAGAATAACCCCTGAAATAAATTGAAATATGGTAATTTGCAGCTTCTATAAAATTACTTTTATTAATTTAATAATTACACATTAACACTCAAAAATAGTCAATGAAAGTTAGAAAAAAGTGTACCTGCAAATATAACCGTGCTTTTCTCTTTCTCCAAAACTAAGCTCTGTTCATCTTTAAATTCAGTACTAGTATCAAACTTCCATTTCAAAAAGGAAAGGAACTGCTATGTTTATTCTACCACAGCCTCAAAATGTACAGAGGCATTCATTACAGGCATGCTCTGGCTACCCAAGTGCTATGAGTCATGTTTATTTTCAAAGACAACACTTTGAAATCAATCAGAAGGACTGTGAAAAAGTACATTAAGAAAAACATTGGTATCTACCAAATGTAAAGTTTTCAAAATTAGACCATCAGCCAAGATACAAACTTGTAAAACTGAAATCACTACAAAGAATTTCACAAATTTAAGTAGCTAATGGCTATGGGTTTAAATGGTCAAAATAAAAATTGCTGATCACTTAGAATCAACCACAAGGAACAAAAAAAGTATGGTGAAATCACACATGTGGTATAAAATTAATGAAATTATTACCCAGTAGCCTTTTGCATACCAGGTTTTCAGGGGTCACTCATTCTAAATCTTATTTATTCAAAACTTTTTGTGAGTGCTATAATTTCAACTAGAAACTTCTAATAAGCAAAAACTTGCATGTATGCCAAAGAATCTTTAATAACACTACACACTATGAGTAATAACACTGTCATTCTACTAATTAAACTCAAATTTAAACAAGCTACTTTCAGTGGCAGACATAAAAACCAAAATTCCTTATCACTTTGACTTTGAAAATAACACTCTTAGGAGGTATTCTGGACATAATCAAAGTCCAGGCTCTCTCACTATTTTTATTCAGTGAAGTTATTACTGTTTCTCTTAACTTTGGAAAATGTCAATGACTTGCTGAGGGAGAACAGGCAGGCAGAGCTAAAGGAGGAAAATGAGGGCTTAATATAAATGGGGGTAAATAAATAGGTGGGAAAATATGCCCCAGACAGCTATTAAACAAAGGGAGACTACTATTGTGTGCCTTATCCACTAGAAAAAAACAATATTTTAAAATTGTACAAATGTGGCCAGGCGCAGTGGCTCACGCCTGTAATCTCAGCACTTTAGGAGGCCGAGGCGGGCAGATCACTTGAGGTCAGGAGTTCGAGACCAGCCTGGCCAACATGGTAAAACCCCGTCTCTACCAAAAAAAAAAAAAAAAAAAAAATTAGCCAGGCATGGTGGTGGGTGCCTGTAGTCCCAGCTACTTGGGAGGCTGAGGCAGGAGAATCGCTTAAGCCCATGAGGCAGGGGTTGCAGTAAGCCGAGATTGCGCCATTGCACTCCAGCCTGGGCAACACAGCAAGACCCTGTCTCAAACAAAAACAAACAAAAAAAGGACAATTGATAAAAGATTTAGAGAGGGCTGATAAAGATATGAAAAACATTAAAGCTAGCTAGTAAAGAAATGCAAGTTAAATAAAACAAGATATCCTTTTAGACTTTGATACTTAGGAGAAAACAGTAATGTTAGAGTGGGAAAAGGGCATCCTCATACCTTGCTGATAAAAAAGCAAAGGCTCTTGTCCTTATGCATCAAGAACCTTTGAAACGTGAATATCCACTGACTCAGCAGATTACACTTCTGTAGGTTTCACTTAAAGCATGTAAAATGTTAAACTGAACTACATGATGATTGGAAATTCTGACAAGCGACTGGGTAAATACAATTGTAGATTGAATCTTAAGAAACTGCTGATATTCAACCACTTGTGAATAGAAAGACTAAGCAATTTTAAAATGATACATATCTACACTCGAAATTGACACCTTCTGATATTAAATAAGGGGGAAGGATACAAAACACTACTTTGGGGAGTGGGGGAGAGAAAAGACCAGTAAGAACATAATATTTAGAAGTCAACTCGATGTCAGGCACTTTTAACATACATCGTCCTTAATTTCTTACCATCATTCTGTGATGTACAGTTACTCCCAGTTCATAGATTTGGAAGCAAGTCTCAGAGAAGTTACAAAAATTTAGGGAACTATTAAGAGGCAAGGCTAGAGTTCAAACCAGGCCTACCTATCTGACTACAATGTCCGAGTTATTTCCACTTCATCACACTAATACATTCCTTTCTGAAGTGTATCAGAAATGATACTCCTTTAAATGCATGAGATAATAAAAATATTTGTTATGTGCTGAGCTGTGCCCCTCCAACACCCACCAAATTCACATGTGAAAATCCTTACCCCCATTACCTCAGAATGTGACTGTATTTGAAGACAGGGCCTTAAAGAGGTAACTGAGGTAAACTGAGTATACAGGTGGGCCCTAATCCAATATGAATGGTGCCCTTATAAGAAGATTAGGACAGACACACACAGAGGGAAGATCACTGTGGACAGAGAAGGAGAGCCATCTGCAAGCCAAGAAAGAGGCTTCAGAAGGAACCAACCCTGCCAACACCTTGACCTTCTAGCCTTCAGAATTGTGAGGAAAGTACTGTTTAAGCCACTGGGTCTGTGGTATTTTGTCATGGCAGCCCTAGCAAACTACTACAACACTCTTACCTAAAAATACTGAACATCTTAAAAACCTAAACCTCACATTCCCCTTTTATTATTATTTTTTAATGTTCCTTTTGGATAGATTATGCTTAAAATACCAAAATGGAATTTTTCACAAATACTTTTAATGTTATATTAGACCATTAAAAAAAATACACCTGAATGTGACCTATTAGAATTACCATATTTTGGCCAGGTGCAGTGGCTCATGCCTGTAATCCCAGCACTTTGGAAGGCCGAGGCAGGTGGATCATCTGAGTTCAGGAGTTCGAGACCAGCCTGGCCAACACAGCAAAACCCCATTTCTACTAAAAATATAAAAATTAGCCATGCGTGGTGGCAGGCACCTGTAATCCCAGCTACTCGGGAGGCTGAGGCAGAATTGCTTGAACCCAGGAGGCAGAGGTTGCAGTGAGCTGAGAACGCACCACTGCACTCCAGCCTGGGCAACACAGAGCAAGACTCCATCTCAAAAAAAAAAAAAAAGGAATTACCATATTTTAACATATTAGTTGATAAGCACTCGTACAATCTAGTTAAGCTATAATGTAGTCCATTCAAAATAAGTCAACTTTTGGCCAGATGCAGCGGTTCACGCCTATAATTCTAACACTTTGGGAGGCCAAGGCAGGCAGATCAGTTGAGGCCAGGAGACCAGCCTTAGTCAACATGGCAAAACCTCATCTCTACTAAAAATGCAGAAACTAGCTGGACGTGGTGGAGTGCACCTGTAGTCCCAGCTACTTGAGAGGCTGAGGTAGGAGAATCCCTTGAACCCAGGAGGCAGGGATTGCAGTGAGCCAACATAACACCACTACACTCCATCCTGGACGACAGTGCAAGACTCTGTCTCAAAAAAAAAAAAAAAAAAAAAAAAAAATTATTTTCAATAAACTTAACCAATCACAAAACTAGCCCTTCTCACACAAATCCAATAAAATAACTACGTACAGCCCAAGGTCCTGAATAATGCAGCTGAGAGTGCCAGGCACACAGACCTGTGAAGGCCTCACCACAATAGCTCACCTTTTCCTCGGCAGAGTGGAGCAGAGTGTTTCTTACAAGTCCAACACTAAATAATAAATAATTTATAAATGCAGAGACTACAAACAAACAGAAGAGGACACTACAGCAGACTCTAGATCAGGAGTGTGCAATCTTTTGGCTTCCCTGGGCCACACTGGAAGAAGTGACTTGGGCCACACGTAAAATACACTAACAACAACGACAGCTGATGAGCTTAAAAAAAACAAATCGCAAAACAAAAATCTCATGTTTTAAGAAAGTTTACGAATTTGTGTTGAGCCACATTCAAAGCCATCCTGGGCCACATGTGGCCCACAGGCCATGGGTTGGACAAGCTTGCTCTAGATATAAGCACAATTTTGAAAGCCGAAAAGCAGATGGATTAGAGGTAACTGACTTAGTAGGCTGAAGAAAACAGAAACTGTCTAGCAGAATTACTGAGGGAATGTACCAAGAATAAAGCCTAGAAAAGTTCAGGAATCCAGAGCAGGGTGGGGGGCAAAAAAAAAAAAAAAAAACACCTGGTTGAAATTCTAGATACGGAGCCATTCATCGAAATCCCAGATATCATAACCCAAACAATGCCATCAGACACTCAGCCCATTACTCTGGGAAGTTTACACAGGAGAGACTGTAAACAAAGGCATTCTGAGGGAGGTATGATGGGGATTAAATGCAAGCCTAAATACTGAATGATAACTTACCACCCACCCACCACCCTCCTTTTCCCCAATTCACCACAGAATTCTGGCAGTCAAGCTTAGACAGGAAAACAAAACAGCCTAAAAAAGAGAGACCTGGAGACACTGACAGCTGAGGGTCCCCACGGAAAGCCAGATTCACCAGTTCATCCCTCAGAGAGGAAGACCATGTCACAGGCCCATACCATGGAAAGACTTCCCAACTTGCTTTAAAAATAAAAACTTTTTTAAAAGCCTCAGGCTTAAGTCTGAACAGATAGGCAAGGAACATCAAACATTTAAGAAAACCTTTAATTTGAAAGATAGGAATCAAAACAGAGCAAGGGAAAAAAAGAAACAACGCAAGGAACAGAATCATAATATCCTCAAAGGGTCGAAAAAAAGATACGCATCCGTGAAATAAGAATGATTAAAAGAAACATTCATAAAACAAAAGAAAAGCTTTTCAAATTAAAGACAGCAGAAACTTTAAATCCAATAAAGGAGTTGGAATATAAAAAACAGAAAAAAAAAAAAAAAAAAGACAAAATCAGACAGCAAAGAGTAGATAAAAGAATTCAGAAGACCCAAAAACCCCCTAACAAGGAGTTCTCCCTTTTCAGAGTCCATTACCAAAGAAACAACTTTCTAAGCATTGAAGGGCATGTTTCTAAAATAAAAAGATCCATCAAGGGCACAGCACAACAGACTTTTTTTTTTTTTTAAACAAAGACTCACATTAAGAAATATCATTATAAAATTTCAGAACACCAGGAATAAGAGAAGATCCTAAAGGTTTCCAGAAAGAAAAAAACAGCTTTCTTATAAGGGTCTTGGAGGCCAGGCACCGTGGCTCACGCCTGTAATCTGAGCACTTTGGAAGGCAGAGGCGGGCAGATTACCTGAGGTCAGGAGCTCGAGACCAGCCTCATCAACATGGCGAAACCCCGTCTCTACTAACAATACAAAAATTGGCCAGGTGTGATGGCAGGCACCTGTAATCCCAACCACTCAGGAGGCTGAGGCAGGAAAATCGCTTGAACCCGGGAGGCGGAGGTTGCAGTGAGCAGAGATCACACCATTGCACTCCATCCTGGGCGACAGAGCGAGACTCTGTCTCAAAAAAAAAAAAAAAAAAAAAAAAAAGGAGGGGGGTCTTGGAATCAAAATGACATCAGACTTTTCAGAGCAACTCTAGAAACAAGTCACTTGAGTAATGCCTTCAAAATTTTGAAGAAAAATAATTTCCAACCTTGACTTGTAAATACAGCCAAGTTATCTATCAAGAGTAGGCTCTAATAGATATTCTTAAATATTCTAAGTCTCAAAGAATTTGCTTCCCATGCTTTATTTCTAAGGGAGCTACAATGAAAAGCAACAGAATAAGGCTGAAAGAATTCCCATGAAAATGGTAAAAATCCCACTCCAGGAAGCAAGCCAAGAAGGCAATCAGTTCAACTGGAACACAAAGTTAGAGGTATCCAAAATAAAAAAAAAAGAAACTGAAAGATTACCTGATGTGTTTATTATATTAAAAGGAGAGTTAAACTTTAGTAGTATAGTCTGAGCTGAGTAAGTGATGAATGCATGGAAAACAAATAAACACAAAGATTCATTAAATCCAGCTAAAACAAAAAGCTGTTTCAAAAAAAAAAAGTAACCATATTAAAATAGTACACAGCATGGCTCCAATGTGAATAGTTATATAAACTTTGATTAACCAAAATTGGTTATATAACCATATAGAGAAGATGGAAAGTATGCATCGTGGGGAGGAGAATGTAAAACAGCTAAACCACTATCTTCCATCATGGCAAGTCAAAAGATAAATCTAAAATTGAAACAGTCAAAAAAGGTTAGTTTAAACACGTTATCTGGAAATTAAAAACTACCAAAGAAATATGTCAGTTGATAGTGGTTCCTCTTGAGAGCTGGATTCTAGCAGGAAAGGGAAAAATGGATTTTTTTTTTTTTTTTTTTTTTTTTTTTGAGATGGAGTCTCTCTGTCGCCCAGGCTGGAATGCAGTGGCACGATCTTGGCTCACTGCAACATCCACCTCTCAGGTTCAAGTGGTTCTCATGCCCAGCCTCCTGAGTATCTGGGAGCACAGGCATGCGCCACCATCCCCAGCTAATTTTTTATATTTTTAGTAGAGACAGCGTTTTGCTATGTTGGCCAGGCTGGTCTGAACTCCTGGCCTCAAGTGATCCGCCTGCCTCAGCCTCCCAAAGTGCTGGGATTACAGGCATGAGCCACCGCGCCCGGCCTACTTTTTTTATTAGCCTTGTAAAACTACATGACTATATAAATTATTAATATGTACATGTATACCACATGATAAAAATTAAATTTTTAAATCATGCTCTAATTTTTTAAAACCATGCTTTAGAATAATATTTAATTACAGAGGAAAGTATTCACAGTATATTTAGGGGAAATCACATTATAGAACATTATGTTCAATAAAAAAAAAAAACTAGCATTGCCTAAAAACAAACAGGAAGTGTATGTACTAACGTGATTTTCTCTCAAGTAGTGACATTATTTTGATTTTCTTATGTAACTTTCAAATGTTTTATAATATGTACGCATTATTTTGTAATTTTAAAAGAAAATAAGAAAAGATAGAGAAGTTTACTAGAGCTCAAAGATCAAACAATTAAAACAATATTGCTTTCTGTTCCAGTTAGTCTCTAGGACCTACTGTGGGGTTATAATAAATTTGTGATTTTATAATTACTATAAAAATATTGGGGGATACTCTTAACATTTGGTAAGAAAAGAACGATAGGTCCCCAGTAAAAAAAATTCTTTTTTTTCCCAAGTATGCTTGCATTTCATTCATCTTAAACTTCATACCAAGATTATGTGACTCAAGAGAGCTGACTTCCAATTTTAAAACTCTGGATGAAGGGGTCACAATCCAAACTTAAAACTAACCAAATAAATGAACAAAAGAAAACCACTTACAACTTCTCCATGCCTAAACAGAACTAAAATTAAAAGAAAAAAAAGAAACAGCCAACAAAGTAGAGGAATTATTTACACCAATGGCGACATTTTAACGCTAGTACGATCAACCACTCCAAAAGCTGTATTTGGCCCACATACACGCTCAAGAAAAAACAAATAGCAGAATATTCACGACATTATAAGATCCAAAAACTGCAACCAATCCAAATGTCCATCAACCTTAGAATGAATAAACTAGTATTTCACACAATAGAATAAAATGAATGATACAGATGAACGGCACAGATCTAACGTTAGGCCGAAAAAGGCAGATACAGAATATGTTCTATGTGATTCTATTCACATGAGTACAAAAGCAGGCAAAACTAATTGACGCTGTTCTGGGTCAGGTGGGGTTACTCTTTGGTGAAAGACTGTGACTAGAAGAGGGCATAAAGTGATGGTTACACATGTGTACTGAGTTGGTGCTATGTGCCCTTTTCTGTACATCTTATATTTCAATAAAAATTTCAAGTTGAAAAAAGATAATAGTCCCTGTAATCCCAGCACTTTGGGAGCCAAAGGTGGAAGGACTGTATGAGCCTGGGAGTTCTAGACCAGCCTGGGCAACCTTGTCTCTACCAAAAAAAAAAATTTATTTATTTATTTACGTATTTATTTATTTATTGAGACAGAGTCTTGCTCTGTTGCCCAGGCTGGGGTGCAGTGGCGCGATCTCTGGTCACTGCAACCTCTGCCTCCCAGATTCAAGTGATTCTCCTCCCTCAGCCTCCTGAGTAGCTGGGACTACAAGCGTGCATCACCACGCCCAGCTAATTTTTATATATTTTGTAGAGATGAGGTTTCACTATGTTGGCCAGGCTGGTCTTGAACTACTGACCTCGGGTGATCCACCTGCCTCGAGCCTCCCAAAGTGCTGGGATTACAGGCATGAGCTACCTTGCCCAGACAAAAAAAAAATTTTTTAATTAGCCAGGTGTGGTGGCCCACATCTTTGGTCCTGGCTACTCAGGAGGCTGAGGTGGGAGGATCAGCTGAGCCCAGGAGGTCAAGGCTGCAGTGAGCTGTGTTCACACCACTGCACTCCAGCACAGGTGACAGAGTGAGAAAAAGATAATACTCAACGGCCAACAAGCACATGAAGAGATGCTGAACATTTTTAGTCATTAGGGAAATGAAAATAAAAAACCACAATGAAATCAAAAATCACACTCACTAGGATGGCTATCATAAAAAACAAAACACAAAAAATTTAAAAATAATGTATTCGTGAGGATATGGAGAAATTAAAACCCTCATCCACTGCTGGTGAGAATGTGAAATCACACAGCCAACGGGGAAACCAGTTTGGCCAGTCCTCAATGAGCTAAATGGAAAATTACCTATCATGTAACCCGGCCAATTCCACTCCTAGATATATGTCCGAAAAAACTGAAAACAGGTATTCAAATACTTATACATAAATCTTCATAGCAGCTCTATTCACAAGAGCTAAATGGTGGAAATGACCCAATGTCCATCAAGAGATGAATAAATAATCAAAATGTGGTATATCCAAACGATGGAATATTAGCCATAAAAAGGGAAGACGTACTGACACTGCTATGACACGGATGAACCCTGAAAACTTTATGCTTAGTCACAGAAGCCAGACACAAAAAGCCATGTACTATATAATTCCATTTACATGGAATGTCCAGAATAGGCAAATCCATGGAGACAGAAAGCAGATTCATGGCTGCCAGGGGTTGATGGGGAACAGGGATTGGGAAATGATTGCTTGGTGGGTACAAGGTTTTCCACTTAGGGTGATGAAAAAGTTCTGGAAGTAGATAGTGGCAATGGTTGCACAACACTGTGGATTTATTTAATGCCACAGAATTGTACACTTTTAAATGGTTACCATGGTAAATTTTATGTTATCTGCATTTTCCCACAGCAAAAAAAATTTTCAAAACAAAAATAATACTTAATGCTGGCCAGGATACAGTAAACACTCTCTACACTTTGGTAATTGGAACATAAACTAAAGCTTTTGCCAAATATTCTGGCAATAAATACTAAATAATTCATATCTTTGCCCCAGTTTATATTTTGCCTTCTGAGGACCAACCGTAAGAAGCAAAAAAGTTTTATATCCAAAGTGCTCACTGTAATACTTACAATAATGCAAAAAAAAGGGGGGGAGGAGGGATCTAAATGCCAAACTATTGGGGAATGGGTAAGTCAACCACGATACATTTACAAAATTAATTGTGTCAACACTAAAAATGTTTACTAAGGTATGAAATGAAGAATGTTTATATTATGAAGCAAATATTAAAACAGCAGAATACAAATTCTAAAAATACAAGCCAAAGTATACATCTACAAAGACTCAGTATGTGTCCTATGGTTTTGCTACGGACACTATTTTCTTCCTACTTTCTGTCCCTTGAACAAAGCAAGCTCATTTTCATTGCAAGGCCTTTGGACCTCTTCTGCTTAGAGTACTCTTTTCCCTGCTCTCCAATGACTGCCTCCTCATCTTTCAGAGCAACTCAAACGTCCCTCCCTAAGAAGCCTTCCGTGACCACCCCAACCAAGTTAGGCCTTGCCTTCACCACCCATCTTTTCTCACTACACATTTTATCTTTTTCACACTTACTGAGAATAACAGACTTATTGGTACATCCTTCTCCTCCATTCAGCTACCAGAATGTAAGCCCCCTGGGTACATGACTTGTTTAACACCATTTCCCCAGGGCAGAGAACAGTGCCTGGTGGTAATAATAAATATTTGTGAAGATAATAAATATTTGTTGATTAACTTGTTCCTTCTACTTTTTCAGTTTGTCAATTTTATGTGTAATAAGCACATATTTTATTTTTAACACTATTTTTAAATATACAACTAGATCAACAAACAACACTTATTGAACCAAAGAAAATGTGTAACTTTGCTAGATATTTTCTGAGAACAAAGCAAAGGTCTGGTTCAGCCATAACAACAAAAATAACTAATTATAAACTCTTCCTAATAAGGGATAATGCTCTACTACACCTTATAGCATATTTTATTATTAAAGATGGGGAAAAAAACAGTGTTTTTTCTACTCTCACACAACACACTCCTGACACCAGATTCTCTGGCAGACACTAAGTGAGTTATGATTTAACTCAATTCTGACACTATGTGGAAATAACATCACATCCCATAGGTTAAGGGATCAGTCCCAGAAGACCACCCCAACTTCTAATGCCAATCTCATGCCCCAGGTTGTGACCTGTGCTTCTGGCCCAATAGCTCTAAATCAGGGTTCCCATAAGCTCTCCCCAGAGTTTAATTTGCTAGAGCAGCTCACAGAACTCAGGAAAACACTTTACTTATGTTTACCCATTTATTAGAAAGATTTTTTTTTTTTTTTGAGATGGAGTCTCATTCTGTCGCCCAGGCTGGAGTGCAATGGCACAATCTCGGCTCACTGCAACCTCCACCTACTGGGTTCAAGTGATTCTCCTGCCTCAGCCTCCTAAGTAGCTGGGATTACAGGCGCCCACCACCATGCACAGCTAATTTTTGTATTTTTAGTAGAGACGGGGTTTCCCCATGTTGGCAAGGATGGTCTCGAACTCCTGACCTCAGGTGATCCACCCACCTCGGCCTCCCAAAGTGCTGGGATTACAGGTGTGAGCCACTGTGCCCAGCCAATACTAATATTTTAAAGGATACAAATGAATAGCCAGACGAAGAGACACATGGGGAAGGTCTGGAAGGGTCCTAAGAGCAAGAGTTTCTGATCTCCTGTACCTGGGATGTACCCCCAATCGCTGCACTTGGATGTGTTCTTGCTCATCCATCTGGAAGCTCTCCAGACTCTATCCTTTGGGTTTGTATAGAGGCTTCATTATGTAGACATGACTGATTAAATCACTGGCCACTGGTTATCAACTCATCCTTCAGGCTCTTCCCCTTCCCCTCCCAGGAGATAGGTTGGTTGCTTCTCCTAGCAACCAGCTCCCCCACCCTGAAGCTATCCAGGAGCCCCAGCCACCAGTCATCTCATTAGCATACAAAAAGACATTTATTACAGTACTTTGGTCAGTCCAAGGGTTTTAAGAGCTGTGTGCCAGGAACCAGGAACAGAGACCAAATATGTATTTCTTATTATATTACAATACCACATTTACCTATTTTCACTCAGAAACCTGTCTCAAATTTCCGATTCCATAAGGTAAGTAACCCTTCCTCCAACACCAATCCTACCTCTATTCCACAACCTCAATACCCTTCTCCATACACAAATCCTTAAGAGTAATACTTTTCTCCCTCTCCCTCTCCCCGGTCTCCCTCTCCCTCCACGGTCTCCCTCTGATGCCCTCTCCCCGGTCTCCCTCTCCCTCTCCCTCTCCCTCTCTCTCCACGGTCTCCCTCTGATGCCGAGCGGAGGCTGGACTGTGCTGCCGCCATCTCGGCTCACTGCAACCTCCCTGCCTGATTCTCCTGCCTCAGCCTGCGGAGTGCCTGGGATTGCAGGCGCGCGCCGCCACGCCTGACTGGTTTTTGTATTTTTTCGGTGGAGACGGGGTTTCGCCGTGTTGGCCCGACTGGTCTCCAGCTCCTGACCGCGAGTGATCTGCCTGCCTCGGCCTCCCGAGGTGCCGGGATTGCAGACGGAGTCTCCCTCACTCAGTGCTCAATGGTGCCCAGGCTGGAGTGCAGTGGCGTGATCTCGGCTCGCTACAACCTCCACCTCCCAGCCGCCTGCCTTGGCCTCCCAAAGTGCCGAGATTGCAGCCTCTGCCTGGCCGCCACCCCATCTGGGAAGTGAGGAGCGTCTCTGCCTGGCCGCCCATTGTCTGGGATGTGAGGAGCCCCTCTTCCCGGCCGCCCAGTCTGGGAAGTGAGGAGCGCCTCTTCCCGGCTGCCAGCCCGTCTGGGAAGTGAGGAGCGTCTCTGCCCGGCCGCCCGGCGTCTGAGATGTGGGGAGCGCCTCTGCCCCGCCACCCCGTCTGGGATGTGAGGAGCGCCTCTGCCCAGCCGCGACCCCGTCTGGGAACTGAGGAGTGTCTCTGCCCGACCGCCACCCCGTCTGGGAGGTGAGGAGCGTCTCTGCCCGGCCGCCCCGTCTGAGAAGTGAGGAGCCCCTCTGCCCGGCCGCCACCCCGTCTGGGAGGTGTACCCAACAGCTCATTGAGAACGGGCCATGATGACGATGGCGGTTTTGTCGAATAGAAAAAGGGGGAAATGTGCGGAAAAGAAAGAGAAATCAGATTGTTACTGTGTCTGTGTAGAAAGAAGCAGACATAGGAGACTCCATTTTGTTCTGTACTAAGAAAAATTCTTCTGCCTTGGGATGCTGTTAATCTATAACCTTACCCCCAACCCCGAGCTCTCTAAAACATGTGCTGTGTCCACTCAGGGTTAAATGGATTAAGGGCGGAGCAAGATGTGCTTTGTTAAACAGATGCTTGAAGGCAGCATGCTGGTTAAGAGTCATCACCACTCCCTAATCTCAAGTACCCAGGGACACAAACACTGCGGAAGGCCGCAGGGTCCTCTGCCTAGGAAAACCAGAGACCCTGTTCACATGTTTATCTGCTGACCTTCCCTCCACTATTGTCCTATGACCCTGCCAAATCCCCCCTCCGAGAAACACCCAAGAATGATCAATAAATACTTAAAAAAAAAAAAAAAGAGTAATACTTTGAAATAGTCACATTTAAGGCATGAGAATTATTTCAGACTCACTGGTGACAATATGTCAATATTAAATAATGTTGAGAAAAAAATTTAATGAATGAGTTTATTCATACAAGTAAATTTCAAATTAAAATACATTTAAAAAGGAACCTAACTACAACTACTCTATGTTGATGTATGGTTGAAATGCGGATTCACAAGTACATGTTATATATAGTATTTATAATTATATATTGCATCTATATATAAAAATTGAAGATAAAATATTCTTCTAGGAAAAGATAAGCTAATTGAGATGCTCAAAAATCAAAAGTGATACCACCAATCAGAACTACAAAGTCAATCTAAATATCTCTGGAGGTGGTAATTCCAGACTCCAATAAAATACAAGCATTCAAAATTTATGGTTACTGAGTTTCTACTAGTGATTGGAAAACTAACTCCACCCATTAAATTAAGATTTGAAACCAGGCATGGTGGCTCAGGCCTGTAATCCCAACACTTTGCGAGGCTGAGGCGGGCAGATCACCTGAGGTCAGGAGTTCAAGACCAGCCTGGCCAAGTGGAGAAATCCTGTCTCTACTAAAAATACAAAAACTAGCCAGAGGTGGTGGCAGGCACCTGTAATCCCAGCTACTCGGGAGGTTGAGGCAGGAGAATCGCTTGAACCTGGGAGGCAGAGGTTGCAGTGAGCCAAGATCATGCCACTGCACTCCAGCCGGGGCAACACAGCAAGGCTCCATCTCAATTAAAAAAAAAAAAAGATTTGAAGATGTCCAACTTAAGTGCTGACCTCAGATCAACAAATGCAAATGCATTATCAGACACGAAAAAGAAAAGGACATTTCCATCTGTCTTCCTTATAGTTAGTTGAAATATACATGTCCACTGACAACTATGACATTACTTCTAAAAGTGAATTTAAATTCTATTCACAAAATAACAACCTAACCAAATAAGCAAATATGTAAGTGTACTTCCAGGCCCTATACATTATCCTTTCATACCACAAAAGACGTTCTAGTACTGAGTGACAGCTTTTAGACTATGCTTAGATAGAAATTGGGGTTACTAGGATCCTGGCTCAGGATTTAGACACATTATCTGATACATAAAGGTCAGCATAAACCCAAATTAAAAGCACCCATTGCAGGTTCTTATATCTGTGGTATTAAAAAAGTATTTTTTAAAAAACTGAAAGGATCTTAGCTGTACAGTGCTAAGTGGACAGTGTGGTGACAGGATGGCAATTAATTTAGTCTCTTCCTTAAACTCAACTTAATTTGTATCATCACAACTGGTCAGAGGTATGATTCACGCATGCAACTCCAACTCACTAGTAAGCTTAGGAATAGCCAGCTAAGTAAATTTTACTACTAATGCTTCCAAAGGTCATTAGAATTTACATTCCAACACACAATATGAATAAATCTCATGTGATACTGCCATCTAAACCATCAGAAAGCACCTTAAGTCTCTCCCCTTACCAAAATGGTTAGATAATATACAGCTAATTTTGAACTGAAAGGTTCTGTTACCACCAACCTATGATTAAATCCTGAGCAAAATCTTAAGGGAAGGCATAACATTTTTAATTGTTCATCGTAGCTATCAATTATTCTTTCAAGGAAGCTCTCTTAAAAGAGGAAAGTTATCAGTCAGAAGCATTACCAGCCAGAACTAAGTGAATGTAACTGGAATGAGCAGGAAAACATTTATCCTTGAGGCAAAGGAACATAATTTCAGGAACCAGGAGGCAGATTTCCACTACATACCAACTTGCACCTAATCCCAAACAGATTGTTCAACAGCTGTTGCCCTTGCCAAACTGGTCTCCATTCTCATCCAAACATCCCCCGGAGGAAAATGACAATTCCCTGAAAGCAATCAGCCTTACTAGCAATCAACTTTTCCAAAAACTGGGGAGAAAGAAAAAGTGAACCATGGGCCAATATCCCTAAAACCTAATAAAACAATATCCTGCCAGCAGCTCTTTATATGAAAGGTTCACGCATCTCACTTAAAAAAGAATGGTCATCCAGATACAAAATTGGCCACAGGGACTTCTTTCAATCATCTAGTGGCCAATTTGGAACCTTTTTCTCCTCACCTCTCCAAGATAGTACAGCACAGAAAAAAAGGGGAAGATAATCACCTCTCTGTTCCTACTATCAACTTCTGCTTCATATTCACTAATACGTAGTTCACTGATCCTAGACAGGTGCTCAGAACTGTCTCCACCCATTCCACAAATCTATCAAGTGCCTACCTACCAGTCTTTCTTGTTTTCCTCTGAAATATAGATGAATTCTCAGTGATCACTCTACAAAAACTCAACTTAGAAAGTTTCATGTTCTACTTAAAACACTTAAATGAGAACACTATCTCTGTGCTTTAGGTTTTCTGTTTTTAACCACCTTTATACCAGCAACTACCAGGAATCACCTTTAAAAAAATTCCAAAGGATTCTACTCTATACTAAATTACATTGCGTTACATGCAGGTAAAGGAAAGACATGAGCCAGAGTTCAGAGGAGTTTGATGGCACCAGTGGAGAGAGAGAAGGCCTACTTTCTGGCCCACAATAGGAGGGCAAAAGGTTAAAGAAGTCCGAGGACCCCTACAATGGCTTACCTTCTATCCCCAAGATGCCAAGCCTACATCAATTCATCTCCCAAATCAGCATTACTCAAATGTTTAAGGCCTGTGATAAATAAATACACTGCATATACAACCCAGTACACACACACACACACACAAATGCACAGACACTAAATGTTTCATGAAACACTTGCCATTACCATGTGCAATGTTTCCTGAATATTTTCTATTGTCTTTCATTTGTGATAAATCCTGTTAAAAACCTACAGTTAGAAAAACTAACCTACAGTTAGCAAAACACCACCCTTGCCAATCACGGTGGGTCACGCCTGTAATCCCAGCACTTTGGGAGGCCAAGGCGGGCAGATCACTTGAGGTCAGGAGTTTGAGACCAGCCTGGCCAACATGGTAAAACCCTGTTTCTACTAAAAAATACTAAAATTAGCTGGGCATGGTGGCAAGCACCTGTAGTCCCAGCTACTCGGGAGGCTGAGGCAGGAGAATCACTTGAACCTGAGAGGCAGAGGTTGCAGTGAGCTGAGATCCTGCCACTGCACTCCTGCCTGGGCAACAGAGTAAGACCCCATCTCAAAAACAGAAAAGAGAAACACCACCCTAAAATACTCCCACCTCCCTAGTCTTATTTTGGGGATCAGGGGAAGGAGGATGACTATAGAGAGAAAACCCATCAGAAACTTGGGATTAAGGAGAATCCCTGGGGCAGAAGGGCCTTCAGTCTCAGACATCCCAATTTAAAACCCTGAATGGTCTCAGAGAAATGCTTTTAAAACACAGCTATCAGGTCAATTCTGCAGTCTCAGTGTCTTCCCAAATAAATTATAGACATCAAATGTCTGGTGATACCAAAAACTACTTGTACCCTAAAAGTATTGAAATAAAAAGTACATAAATGATAATAAATTTTAAAAATTCACTAAGCTAAAAAAAAATGTCTGGTGATAATTAAATGTACCGGATTGAACCATGTGAAACTGCCAACATCTGGTGATCTGTGACTTCCAAAAACAGTAATTTCTTACAGTTTAGCCTAATAGTGTAACACATACTTCAAGGATACGATGCATTAAATGGCCTTGTGTGTACTACTTGAGAACGTACTAGCCCTCATTATAACACAGTTCCCACAGAAAGATATGTGCTAAGCTCCTACCAAAAATCTGATTTGAAAGCTGGAACTATCTGCAATTAAGATGTAATGTGATCTAGTATCTCTGAATGCTTTTCAATGTGACCACCAGCGGTTTCAACACTTCGTCACTAGAAAAGTACCAGGCCTCGCGCGGTGGTTCACACCTGTAATCCCAGCACTTTGGGAGGCCGCGGCAGGTAGATCACAAGGTCAGGAGATTGAGACCAGCCTGGCCAACATGGTGAAACCCCGTATCTACCAAAAATACAAAAATTAGCTGGGCGTGGTGCCACATGCCTGTAGTCCCAGCTACTTGGGAAGCTGAGGCAGAAAAGAAAAATCGCTTGTACCCAGGGGGCGGAGGTTGCAGTGAGCCAAGATCGGCCACTGCACTCCAGCCTGGGTAATAAGAGCAAAACTGTCTCAAAAATGTCCCAGGCCTCTAATACAAACCCACTACTTTTCCATGCAACTTGGGATACTTGATTCATTCTTGTTTTCACACAATTACCAAATCTGGAGCCTCAATCTCAGCCTGCTACTTTCTATCAGATCTATCTTATTTTCTGAAGGTATGTTCACTTCAATCAGATCATAAGCTCCTTAAATGTGGAGATAGGGCCGGGTGCAGTGGCTCACACCTGTAATCCCAGCACTTTGGGAGGCCAAGGTGGGCGGATCACCCAAGGTCAGGAGTTCAAGACCAGCCTAGCCAACATGGTGAAACCCCGTATCTACTAAAAATACAAAAATTAGCTGGGCATGGTGGCGGGCGCCTGTATTCCCAGCTACTCAGGAGGCTGAGGCAAGAGAATCGTTTGAACCTGGGAGGCAGAGACTGCAGTCAGCCGCCATCTCACCACTGCACTCCAGCCTGGGTAACAGAGCTAGACTCCATCAAAAAAAAAGAAAAAAAAGTGTGGAGATAGTCCTTTGTAGTCTTTGAAAGCCTCCTTCCTTATGGTGATATACTATCATTTGATAAAATGTGTCCCGAATTAAAACAAATCTCCTTGGGAAAATCTTCACCCATGTCCACTTGCCTAATCATCTTTTTAAGAGTGACAATGCTATCATCCTATTACCAAATTCCAGAACCTTGGTGTGACCTTTCACACCAACCATTCTCATTATACTTATCACCCTTCTGACTCAGTATGGCCATGGGAATTACTTCTTTAAATCTATCTCTCTTTTTTTTTTTTTTGAGACGCAGTCTCGCTCTGTCGCCCAGGCTGGAGTGCAGTGGCGGGATCTCGGCTCACTGCAAGCTCCGCCTCCCGGGTTCACGCCATTCTCCTGCCTCAGCCTCCCAAGTAGCTGGGACTACAGGCGCCCGCCACTACGCCCGGCTAATTTTTTGTATTTTTAGTAGAGACGGGGTTTCACCGTTTTAGCCGGGATGGTCTCGATCTCCTGACCTCGTGATCCGCCCGCCTCGGCCTCCCAAAGTGCTGGGATTACAGGCGTGAGCCACCGCGCCCGGCCTAAATCTATCTCTTAATCAACCACTAAGATTATTTTACATATACACCATAATGGCCCAGTCACTCAATCTCCCAAATTCTTCATTGGCTTTTGTTAACCGCACACATCAAATACAAACATTTCCCACCTGCTACATGGACCTCTAACTGAATAAATCCCAAGCAGTCACTCCTAAATTTACCATTTACCTCAGCACACAGCTTCAGTTTCACCTAATCAGAAATTAGTTACTCTCTGTGACATACCTATCCTCCTTCTCAAAGCTCTACTCAGTCCTTGGAGACAGAAGTATTTGCCTTGGAAGAGGGGAGACCACTGAGAACTCCCTGTGCTCTCTTTGATTCTCTCATAGCCTCCCTCTTCGTATCTCTCACTTCAAAAGAAGCTGAAAATGTTTCTACTTCTAACATGAAACAATCTATGTACTATCATCTTAGATGTGTAAAGAACATGTTTTTAACATGCCATTGCTCAACTCTTTAAAAAGTCATACTATTATTAAGACCATGTAACAACATGGAAAAGTGTCCATGGTTATGTTCATTGAAAAAGAACACTGAAGGTTATTATACATATTGAGTGTTAGGCTTATGGGGTGATGTCCCTTCAAATTTGTGTTCATATGTTTATATATTAGGAGTGATGGATATGTTTGCTATCTTGATTGTACACCTTAAATATGTGACATTTATTGTATGTCCTCAATAAAGGTGTTGGCCAGGCACTGTGACTCAAGCTTATAATCCAGCACTTTGGGAGGCTGAGGCAGGAGGATCCTTTGAGCGCAGGAGTTAGAGACCAGACTGGGCAATATGGCAAGACCCCATCTCTATTTTTTTAAAGCTGTTAAAATGTTATATATTGTATTAAATATTTGATAAGCTATGTGTCTTAGTTGTTCCTGCTGCTACAACAAAATACCTTAGACTGAGTAATTTATAAACATGAGTGTACTGCTCACAGCTCTGGAGGCTGGGGAAGTCCAAGATCAAATTGCCAACAGATATGGTGTTTGGTGAGGGCATGCTGTTCATGGATGGCACCTTCTATTTGTCCTCATATGGCAGAAGGGCAAAAGGAGCAAGCTCCCCTGACCTAACCACCTCTCAAAGCCCCTACCCTCTTAATACCATCACCTTGGGGGTAGGTTTCAACCTAAGAATCTTGGGAGCATACACATATTCAGACCATAGCACTATGGCAGAATGACATAACCACAAGCCTTAAGCATGTAAGGGCAGCTTATAAGAGCTAGGGGATAGGGGATCACAGAGAGTAATTTGCACCAGGAAGTAACTCGAAGGATGGATTTCAAAAGGAAAAAACTAGAAGCAGTGAGGGGCACAGGGATAAGACATAAAGAGAAATCCTCCACTCCAGCACCCCCACCATGGCCCAGTTTACAGAACCTTCTCAACTTGAAACAGAAAAACTTGCAAGTTAAGGCTTTAAAAGTAGGGGAACTTTTTATTACAGAAAAGGTTCTGGATTATGCTAAAATGCAAAAGAAAGGCAGATAGAATTTTTCAAGACACTAGAGTTCTTACTACGGATTTAAGAGATCTCTGAAAAAACAGGCTTAGAGAAAAATAAAACAAAGGTGGTTTTAATTTTGTCTATAATTAGCAAAGTAAATTCATTCCCTTGTTTTTCTAAATTATATTTCCCAATTTTTCTGTTTGGCTTAATATTGGTAAAAATGCTTCCTCTAAGGCTGTTAGATTACAGGCTATCTCATTTATGTTGTTGAGCTCACCAGTACTAACCTGGTGACTGAGAAAAGAAAAAAAGAAATTAAGTCTTTATCAGCAAAGACTCATAATTTCACTTGTATATTCAAAAATATGATAATACTTCCATTAACAAATTTTTCTTTTTTTTAGATTCAGGGGTATGCAGGTTTGTTACACAGGTACACTGCATGATGCTGAGGTTTGGGCTTCCTGCCCCCCAAGTTGTGAACATAGTACCCGACAAGTAGTGTTTTTTTGTTGGGTTTTTTTTTTTTTTTTGAGACGGAGTCTTGCTCTGTCGCCCAGGCTGGAGTGCAGTGGTGCAATCTCGGCTCACTGCAAGCTCCGCCTCCTGGGTTCACACCATTCTCCTGCCTCAGCCTCCTGAGTAGCTGGGATTACAGGCGCCTGCCACCACGCCCGGCTAATTTTTTTCTTGTATTTTTAGTAGAGATGTGGTTTCACTGTGTTAGCCAGGATGGTCTCGCTCTCCTGACCTTGTGATCCACCTACATCGGCCTCCCAAAGTGCTGGGATTACAGGCGTAAGCCACCGGGCCCAGTCAGTACCCGATAAGTAGTTTTTCACTCTTGACTTCCTCCCCTGCTTTTGGAATCCCCAGTGTTTATTGTTCCCATCTTTGTGTCTGTGTGTAACCAATGTTTAGCTCCTACTTATAAGTGAGAACATGCGGTTATTTGGTTTTTTGTTTCTATATTAATTTGCTTAGGCTAACGGCCTCCAGCTGCAAAGAACATGATTTTGTTCTTTTTTATGGCTGCAACAAATCTCTTGAAAAACATAAAAACTTTAAATACTAAAAGCTTCATAGGTTGGGTACAGTGGCTGATGTCTATAATTCCAGCACTTTGGGAGGCCAAGGCAGGAGAATTGCTTAAGGCCAGGAGTTCAAGACCAGCCTGGGCAACACAGCAAGACCCTGTCTTTAGAAAAAAAAAATTTAAGATTAGCTGGTAGAGGAAGAAAAGGACAAAGAAATATTTTAAAAATAAATATGGCCAGGCATGGTGCCTCACACCTGTAATCCCAGCATTTTGGGAGGCTGAGGCAGACAGATCACTTGAGGTCAGAAGTTTGAGACCAGCCTGGCCAACATGGTGAAACCGCGTCTATACTAAAACTATAAGAATTAGCTGGGTGGGGTGGTAGGCGCCTGTAATACCAGCTACTTGGGAGGCTGAGGAAGGAGAATCGCTTGAACCTGGGAGGCAGAAGTTGCAGTGAGCTGAGATTGCACCACTGCATTCCAACCTGGGCGACAGAGTAAGACCCTGCCACTAAATCAATCAACAAATAAATAAATAAATAAATAAATATTTTAAAAATAAATAAAAATTCCCCAGGTGTGGTGGTGCAGGTCTGTAATCTTAGCTACAACCTGTCCTAGACAATGAAAGGATGCTGTGATCTCAACACTGGACTCTATCCACCGGGGATGAAGAAGCCCAGATTAAGGTCCCCTAAAAGGAAAATGCCCCAGGATTCTGCTTTTGTTATCTGTCACAGGGTTGATTCTTCCCAGGTCACAATCTTACATGGTTTCTACATCACTGCATCACCAAATAAGTGGGAAAGCTAAGGACTATGTGCTCACCTAACCTGGTGGGATGTGAAACAGCTGACCCCTTAATGTGACAGATAGAGCTCATGGTGGAGAACTGTGGTCAACAATGGGGATGTCAGATGTTCGGAATTCCAGTGTCCCTATTCTCACACATAACCTGTTCCTGAAAAGCATGTGAAAGCAGAAGAGCTGAGCGATAGACTTAATTTCAAAATGGGTTTTCATTCCAAGAGTCAAAAGATATGAAAAATCCTTAGGCTATGAATGTTTAGTTTTAAAAGCTAGGGTATAAGCAATCATTTAAAACAAGATAAAGTAAATATGAAATGCAGATAAAGTTAATTTTCTTAAATTCTTAGCTCAAATTCTAGTCTTCTTGGCACACCTAAAGCAATATTTAGCAGACAAAAATAATTTTTAAAAAACTGCTCAGAGACTTTGCAAGAAATGAGATGTTGTCTTACCAATTTTCTTTAAGAAATATCTTAAGACATAGTTGAACTCCTGCCTTTTCTTCTTTTTAAAAAAAGAAGTCGTGCAAGCTACATTCCTCCACAAACTCTATGGTCCTGTCAATATAACAGATTACTAAAACAGTCAACACGTTTCCTGTATTTTTGTTTATTTTTTGAGATGGAATTTCGCTCTTGTTGCCCAGGCTGCAGTGTAATGACATGATCTCAGCTCACCCCAACCTCCACCTCCTGGGTTCAAGCGATTCTCAGCCTCCCAACTAGCTAGGATTACAGGCATGTGCCAACGTGCCCGGCTAATTGTTTGTATTTTTAGAGAGACAGGGTTTCACCATGTTGGTCAGACTGGTCTCAAACTCCTGACCCCAGGTGATCCACCCACCTCGGCCTCCCAAAGTGCTGGGATTACAGGCATGAGCCACCACACCTGGCCTCCTGTATTTTTTAAATATAACTTAATTTTGCTATTGTCCTCTTTAGTTGAATTATCATAGTAGATATCCATTGCCAGCATTCCTTCTTCCATTTTAGAACTCTGTTCCTTCTACCCATTGGTGCCCACCACAGTACCTCATCCCCCATTAAAGAAGAAGGGACAAAGATGCAAGTTGGACTTTACCAGTCTTTTTCAGGATTTTCCTCCCTGAAGATTACAGGAAACATCCTTTGACTCTCCATTTATGAAAGCTGGAATAATGGGAATCTAGAAAAACCATGAAGAAAGACTGCAGGGAAAAAAAATAAAGCTAAGCAAATATGAAAGAGTCCTATTTAACCAAAATGGTCAGCTCTGTTCTCATCTTTGAGGTCCTCAAGCTGCCCTAGCTCCAGCAACTCTCACTTTGCCTCTACCAGGAGAACTAACTTGAGTTTCTATCAGTGCCAACAAAAAAATCTTGTCTGATAAACAGTCAGCTTAAGTACAAACTGGGTATCGTTCTACTGAGGTTAAATGCTACAGTTTGAATGTATGTGTCTCTCCAAAATCCCTATGTTGAAACTAATCACCAAGGTGATGATATTGCAAGGTGGGGCCTTTGGGAGGTGAATAGGTCACAAGGCCTCCAACCTCGTGAATGGCATTTATGCCCTTAAAAAAGAGCTAGGCCCTCCTGCCTTTGTGCCTTCTACCATGTGAGAATGCAGCAACAAGGCGCCATCTATGAAGCAGAGAGCAGCATTCAACCAAACACTGAATCTCTTGGCAACTTAATATTGGGCTTCCCAGGCTCCAAAACTGTGAGAAATAAATTTGTGTTTATAAATTACCCAGTCTAAGATGTTGTGTTATAGCAGCAAGAACAGACTACAACACCAAAGAATTACCACTTTTGGAAAACCAAGTGACTTCCATCTTTATCTCAACTGTGTTAGCATTAACATTTCCTTTCTTCTATTCTCTAGTTATTTTTATAAAGGCAAAACCACAATAGCGTTCAAATAAATACACTACAAAGGCACTGATACTAGTGAAAATGAGCTGAGTGGACAAGTTGTATCACCATGCAATACAGTTCAAATCATTGTCAGCTGACATATGAGACACTAAACTGAGAAAGAGGAATGGTATTTCACGACACAAGTACATATCATATGAGAAAAACACACAAATAAAATCCTCTAGTGAGAATTTTTGTTCTCAGTCATTGGGAAGGAAATAGGTAAACTTTCTTCTGGCCTATCAAAAGAAAAATTATGGGCTCTACAGTTTACAAAATGAGAAAGACAGTTTTAATACAATGTGTCTTAAATTGATATTATTTATAATTTAGCCCCCTGCGTTATTTTTATGTCTGAAACTTTGGGAAAAATGTTACTGAAACACCTAAGTATAAACTTGTATGAAAATATCACAACACCCTGATTTGGACACGTGGTATTTAAAGTGCCTATTAGTTATACAAAGAGAATTAAGATGCCAGCTTATTTATCTAGGGCTCAGGAGCAAGAGCCAGGTAAAAAATAAATCTAGGAATAAGCAGCACACAGGTTGTAAAGCCCAGGGAGTAACATTGTGGAGGAGGGGAAGACTGATGGGGAGAAGAAAATGAAAAGGGAGGAAAGGAACAAGATACAGCCAATGAGATAAGGAGAGAACCAAGGGAGCTTAAAATCACTGCAAAGTGGCTCGAGGCCAGAATGGTCAACTGTGCTGAGTGCTGTTATGAGGCCAGAGGAGACCAGATAAGACCTCCCTGTTATCAACTTTCAGTAGGAATGGTGTCCCCTGACCCTCCTTCTATTCAGGGAGAAAATTTTCCATACTTAATACTAAATTATCTAACAAGTTCTTAGGGAAAAGCTACTTTACCTCCAGAGTTGTTAATGATTTCCTAGCTAAAGAAGTAGCAGTGACTCAGGCTACATCTAATTAGCACCCCTGGACAAGGTGGCTACTGAATGTAACTTTCAGACGCCTCCAGACACACCAAGCCCAGTGGTGGAGTGGAGAAGAGAGCCAAACCTACCCCAGCTCTCAAGGGAAATGTCATGTGAAACATACACTGTTTTGTCCCCTACCAACTTATAAACATACACTGTTTTGTCCCCCACCAACTTATCAAAATAATTAAGGGGGCTGAAAAGCAGAAAAGGGCAGTTACTTCATGTTTCCAAAAGAATTCACCTTAACTGGGCAAAACAGAATATAAGCAGCTGAAGGGGCAGAAACTGGTAAACCAGGCTTTCCTTCTTTCTAATCCAATCTCAACCACGATTATAATTCTGGGTGTAATTCAGGATAGAAGCTCAGCAGAGCTGTAAATCAATTCTTCTTAGATTTAAAGGTCAGCATCAAAACATTCCCTCCTATTGCTGGCTGAGGTGAAATGGACACTCCATATATTTGCTGGCTGGCATGAAAACTGGTACAACACTTTTGGAAAGCATTTTGGCAATAAGATTCAAGAGCTTTTAAAATCGTTTCTATTCCTTCAGGGATCTAATACTATTTCTGGAAATCCATCTTAAGGAATTAGTCTGCAATTAGGAGGGGAAAAAAACCTTTGGGTTCATGAAAGCATTATTCATTACACAAAATCCCTGTAAACCACATAAATAGCCATTTTAAAGGAAGTAAGTAAATTACAGTGAAATATGCAACTAATAAAATTCTAAGTTTTTAAAAAACATAGAAAATGCAAAACATATCAAATGAACAAGGCAAAAAATGTATCAAGTATAATCACACATATATAAATGCACAAAAATAAAAGAAGAACATTTTTTTAAAAGATGGTGCAACTAGGCCGGGCACAGTGGCTCACGCCTGGAATCCCAGCACTTTGGGAGGCCAAGGTGGGCAGATCACCTGAGGTCAGGAGTTCGAGACCAGCCTCAACATGGAAAAACCCCATCTCTACTAAAAATACAAAAATAGCCGGGCGTGGTGGTGCATGCCTGTAATCCCAGCTACTCGGGAGGCTGAAGCAGAGAACTGCTTGAACCTGGGAGGCGGAGGTTGTGGTGAGTGGAGATCGCGTCATTGCACTCCAACCTGGGCAACAAGAGCGAAACTCCGTCTCAAAAAAAAAAAAAAAAGATGGTGCAACTGTGAACAGATATGAAAAGCAAACTGACTAGAGAGTAAGTCTGGTTGAGCAAGACAGAAATATGGGCCAAGCGCAGTGGCTTACAACTGTAATCCCAGGACTTTGGGAGGCCGAGGCGGGCAGATAACGAGGTCAAGAGTTCGGGACCAGCCTGGCCAACATGGTAAAACCCCATCTCTACTAAGAATACAAAAATTAGATGGGCGTGGTGGACAGTGCCTGTAACACCAGCTACTTGGGAAGCTGGGTCAGGAGAATCGCTTGAATCCGGGAGGCAGAGGTTGCAGTGAGCCGAGATCACGCCACTGCACTTCAGCCTGGGTGACAGAGCAAGACTCCATCTCGGAAGAAAGAAAAGAAGGCAGGGAAAGGCTGGGCGCTGTGGCTCACGCCTATAATCCCAGCACTTTGGGAGGCCAAGGCAGGTGGATCATTTGAGGTCAGGAATTCGTGACCAGCCTGGCCAACATGGTGAAACCCCACCTCTACTAAAAATGCAAAAATCAGCCAGGTGGTAGTGGAGTGCACCTGTAATCCCAGCTACTCGGGAGGCTGAGGTAGGAGAATTGCTTGAATCTGGGAAGCGGAGGTTGCAGTGAGCCGAGATCATGCCACTGCACTCCAGCCTGGGCAACAGAGTGAGACACTGTCCCAGAAAAAAAAAAAAAAGTAGAAGGTGGGGAAAAAAAATCAAAGGAAAGTAAGCTCCTTAAGGATGCTTAAGAATGGTAGTAGAGATATTACATGGCAGAAAAAAAGCAGAGTCTGCAAAAACTCATCCCTATTCATCAATTGGAAGTTAATGACTCCTTGCAATGTTTTTCTCCCTTTTTACTCCTCCCTATTGCTCTTTATTCTAAACTGCCAATACTACAATTAACTCCAGATTATTCGTGAAAAAGAAGATCATAAATTTAGAGAATACTAAGTGGATGATCCAATGCCAACTGGCTTTAGTCTTTGGATGGCATCATATTAAAATTCTCTAACAGCAAGTGTACCTTCCTATTTACATTAAATGACCAGAAAATGATTTGCATTCTCTATTGGAAGGAATGGCATGAAAAATGGTCCAGAAACAAACTGAAAAAGGAAAGTAAGTCCTTTCTATATAATTAACCATAATATGTATAATTTCATATACAAATAACACAATATAAAATAACATAAACTGCATCCTTTTGAAATATTTAGAAAAAAAATGTCTAGAAGATTGCAGGGATTTATAGCCAAACTAAATTTGTTAACAGTCCAAAATGCTGTTAAACTGTATTAACTTTACTTGGAAAAGCTACAGAAAGTAATTTTTTTTTTAAATCAATGCTCTTAACCACTAAACAAAAAAGAAAGTAATTCCAAAAGAGGGTAACATAGCATAATAGTTGAGAGCACAGAAGAGTTGGACTGTTGGTGTTTGAATTCCGGCTCCACTAATTACTACTTTTGTGTTCCTTTTTGTGCCTCACTCTTCTCATTTGGAACAAAAGTACTTCTCGTACATATAGGGTTCTTACGAAGATTAAACGAATTAAAGGATTTAGAAGACAGTCTGGACTAAGTTACTAAATGGGATGCAAAAGGTTGTTATCCAGGAGATGAACAGTTGATATTTGCACAACTATGTGAAACACTCGAAATGGTTAAAATTGTAAATTTTGTGTTATATATATTTTATCACAATTTTTAGAAGGCTATTAGCCATCACCCATTTGCTATAAAGGCATTTTAATTTCTCCTGGCAGAAAATAAATTATCATACATGAGACTTCATACAAGTTTAGGGTTCCTATTTAAAAAACTTTATCAATAAAAGGGTTTTTTGGGTTCATGTTTTTCATAAATAAATTTAAAAATAATATGATGTGCTTACAATAAACTTCTGATGTTCAAATTATACAACTTGAATTCTCAAGCTAAAATTTACTCTTTGGAAGTTGGCAATATTACCCCTGTTACAGCAACAAAACAAAAATACACTGCTCTAACCTGAAACAACTTGGAAACAGATCTATAAACCCTTTGAACACTAGCATTTTATTGTATCTTCTAGTAAGTACAGAAAGACTTCACCGACCTTAAATATAACCAATTACAAATAGCAACAAAATTTTTTAAATGCTTGTTTTAAAATAAAACCTTGCAAACTAGCCCCAAACCACTTCTCTCAGATTACAAAATGAGCATGTGGTGAAAAGGGACAGAGAATACCAATTTACTATACCCTATACTGACTGACAATTTTTGTTGCATAGCAACAAGATTCTGCAGTCTGAAAACAGCACAGAACTCCTTTTCTTGATTTGCCAAGCCACAATTAACCCCACCAAGGCTGAGAAGTATGCAAAACAAATCTGTACAAAGGCCAGGGACTTTGGCTCATGCCTGTAATCCCAGCACTTTGGGAGGCGCATGGATCACCTGAGGTCAGGAGTTTGAGACCAGCCTGACCAACATATAGTGAAACTGTCTCTACTATAAAAAAAAAAAAAAATTGGCTGGACGTGGTGGCACACGCCTGTAGTCCCAGCTACTTGGGAAGCTGAGGCAAGAGAATCACTTGAACTTGGAAGGCGGAGGTTGCGGTGAGCTGAGATCGCACCACTACACTCCAGCCTGAGTGACAGAGCAAGACACCATCTCTCAAAAAAAAAAAAAAAAAAGGCATAAACTAATATCCAATATTAAAAGTCTAATGATATAAATTCTAAAACTATAAAATCACAAGCCCAAATTCCAGCCTATTTACAACTTGAAAGTATTAATATGCCTTCACTCTCAAAGTTTCTCCATGTACCAGCAAAAAGTGCCAGTGCTCATTTTTGGACTACATTTCTTTTGAAAGCATCATCTAGCAAGAGTTAGTTGTTTTGTTTTGTTTTGTTTTTTTAATCCTAGGTAATAGCATACCCACAGATTTTGTTTCCTAATTTTAAAGACATCATTTGATCCCTTCAGTTTATTTTCTAAAAATTATAATTTATAAGAAAAGACTATAATGTCTTAACAGTTTAAGTTTTTCTCCTACTCACAATTTGTTTGTACTATTTTTATGGATTGCCTTTGTAGGTAACTAGTAACAATTCACAAAACATTTTTGTTTTTTCACAAAATTCTACTTCACCTAGAGAACAAAAAACAAGATTGCAGTTATTCTTGCGGTAGCTTTAAATACTTTCATTGTTTAGAGGTTTCCTCCTTTATTTTGAGAATGTTAAATGGCTGCCAATCTCCGCCTAAGAAACAGATTAAATAGAGAAAACATCTATGTAGAACAGTGGTTCTCAGCTGGGTGCAGGGGCTCACACCTGTAATCCCAGCACTTTGGGAGGCCAAAGCGGGCAGATCACCTGAGGTCAGGAATTCAAGACCAGCCTGGCCAAGTGGAGAAATCCCATCTCTACTGAAAATACAAAAATTAGTTGGGCATAGTGGCAGGCGCCTGTAATCTCAGCTACTCAGGAGACTGAGGCAGGAGAATCTCTTGAACCTAGGAGGCGGAGGCTGCAGAGAGCCAAGATCACGCCATGGCACTCCAACCTGGGTGACACAGCGAGACTCCGTCTCAAAAAAAAAAAAAAAAAGTGGTTCTCAACATTTCCAAAGATGAAAAGACCTTTTAACTTCATGAATAATTGCTCTACTTTTAATACTGTATATGTTGACTGAAAAAATGTGATTTAAAAGCACATTATATTTGCAAGCTTTTAAATGAATCTATACATTATCAGAAAAGCATCTACATATAGTTGAAATATAATGCATGTAAAGGCTGGCATCTTTGGATTACAGACAAATCTTGCTATACCTAGGGGTTCAACTATTCTTTAAAGGAATGGCGCAGACGCCCCCCAGGGCTCACAAACTGGAAGTCATTAATCCAGTGGAAAAGTTCAAATTATTTTGAATAAAACACTTAGGGTAAGGTGCATATAGGCTTGGAAATGAGACAAAGCTGGGTTCAGGTCTAGGTGCCACTACTTACTAACCATGCAGGCTTGACATTAATGAAGACATGTTCCCTGTATGGTGGCTTACGGACTGGAAGACATAATGTACAGGAAGTATGTGGCATGTTAGTTCTGTTCCTTAAACTGTCACTCAAAGTCTTTTTTTTTTTTTTGAGATGGAGTCTTGCTCTGTCGCCCAGTGCCCAGGCTGAAGTGCAGTGGCGCAATCTCGGCTCACTGTAAGCTCCACCTCCCAGGTTCACACCATTCTCCTGCCTCAGCCTCCTGAATAGCTGGAACTACAGGCACCTGCCACCACACCTGGCTAATTTTTTTTTTTTTTGTATTTTTATTAGAGACGGGGTTTCACCATGTTAGCGAGGATGGTCTTGATCTCCTGACCTCGTGATCCACCTGCCTCTGCCTCCCGAAGTGCTGGGATTACAGGTGTGAGCCACCGCACCCAGCCAACTGTCACTCAAAGTCTTTAACACCCCAGCCCAACTGCCATTATTTCCTACTGCTTCCAACACAAACTCCAACATGAGACTTGAGACAGCATTGGATGTGATCTTAAGGATGAAAAATGAAATTTGAGAAACAGCATTGAAAGGTAAAATAAGAGGCTATAGAAAGTATTAAGAGCAAGGACTTTGGAGTTACGCAGGACTTAGATCTGAATTTCAGCTGTCATTTATCTACTGTATGACTCCAGCCAAGTCACTTAAGTATCCTAAGCCTTGGTTTCCTACACTGTAAAACAGCAATGACGACATGAATCTCATGGCTTATTCGAATCCATTAAATGAAATGATCCATGTGAAGTTGCCTGGCCTATCTTTAAATATTCAACAAATAATATCTATTAATATTATTTATCAAAGTTATCATATATAATTGGTTAGACCACTTAATTTGCACCAGGTGTGAACAAACATTACCCAAAGGTTAGCCTCAGAGATGCTCTGGTCTGTGGCGAAGGACTTATACCCTGTGGCATGCATGTTTTGGATATTCAGCTATGAGGCCTCTGGATCAGTAAGGACATTTAATATCAGGTCTTTGGAACTCAAAAGCTAATCTTTAAAAATAAGTTTATTTTAAGTATTTGCAATAAATTAACAATGAAGTACCTCAACTTCTTTAAAAGTGTTTTATTTTTTCCATTTCACTTACGTTAAAATTCAAAAGCTGATTTTTTTTCTTTAGTCAGTTCCAATTTATAAATGAGCTTATGATTTTTAGGATACAAACTGATTTTCTTTCTTGAAACTGCTTATAAATTGTGGTTGGGGTACTAGGCTAGTCTATTAAAGTCTAAGCAACCAAACAGATATGTGCATTTTGTAATAAAAGTAGGAAACGGCATGAATGCCACCTCATCTCACTTAAAGCATTTAAGAGTTTAAAATATGTTGAACATATTTTTTAAAATGTGTAACTTATATAGTAGTTGCTGACATTTTACAGAATTTAAAGAGGTTCTCCAAGAGTGATTTTAGCCCTCATAAACATCTGGCAGTATGTAGAGACATTCTGGTTGTCTCTTCTGGGAGAGAAAGGTTAAGGTGTGTACTACTGGTATTTGGTGGGTACAAACTAGGGATACTGCTGAACATCCCACAATTCACAGTACAACCCTGTAACAGGGAATTATCTGGCCCCAAACATCAATAATGTTGAGGTTGAGAAACTCTGAAAGTAGGCACTGATGTTTTAAGAAAAAAACACTAAACTCTCTTTGAAAAGACCTGCGAATATCATTTCCCTAGTGTCATTTGAAAAGATTATCCCTTCTCTCAGGAGAAAGTTCTTGTCACTGTCATCAAAAATCTATTGAATGTGAGGGTTTACTGGGCTCTCTATTCTATTCACTGGTCTGTAGGTCTGGTCTATAGGTATGTCCTTACTATGCCTTACTATGCCTTTACCTGTTTTGATTACTGTAACTGCAAAGTTAAGTTTTGAAATCGGGAAGTGTCTCCTCCAACTCTGTTCTTTCTCAAGATTATTTTGGCTATTTGGGGTCCCTTGAAATTCCATATGAATTATTTTTGCAAAAAACGCCATTGGGATTTTGATAAGGATTACGTTGTGTCTGCATATCAATTTAAGTAGTACTGTCACCTTAACAATATCAAGTCTTATCAACTATCACATCTTAACAATTATCAAGTCAATATCAAATTTATGAAGACAAAGTCTTTTTATTTATTGAAGTCTTTTCTTTCAACAATATTTTATAGTTTCAGTGTACAAGTCTTTTACTTCCTTGGTTAAATTTATTCCTAGGTGTTTATTTCTTTAGATGCTACTGTAAGTGAAATTGTTTTTATATAAAATTTATTTTTAAAGAAACAGTCTATGTTGCCCAGGCTGGTCTCAAATTCCTGGCCTCAAGTGATCCTCCCATCATAGCCTCCCAAATTGCTGGGAATTATAGGCACAAGCCACCACACCTAGCCTGAAACTGGTTTAATTTTTTTCAGTTGTTTATCGTAGGTGTATAGAAATAACTGATTTTTGTGTGACGATCTTGTACCCTGCAACTTTGCTGAAGTCGTTCATTAGCTCCAGCTGCTTTACTGTGGAATCTTTGCATATATTTATTTTTATTGTGTACATGCATGTCTCCCTCTGTATCTGTCACCTGAGACAATTAGTTCATCTGACTAATGAGAGAGATGAATGAGACCACTGTGGTCCATACTCAAAGAGGAAACTCAGGCAAGAAGTTGATGTTGAAGTCCTAACCCTCAGTATATCACAATGTGACCTCTTTTACAAGCAGGGTCTTTGCAGATGTAATTAGTTAAGATGAGGTCACACCAGAGTAGAGTGGACCCCTTAATCCAATATGGCTGGTGTCTTTATAAGAGGAAGAAAACATCAACTGAAGACAGACAGGAAAAGACAGCCATGTGACTGCAGAAGCATGAGACTGAAGTGATGGACCTAGAAGCCCAGGAATGCCAAAGACTGCCAGCAAACCCAAGCCAGAGAAAGCAATTCTGCCTCAAAACTGTAATACAGAAATCCTCCTGTTTTGAGTTTCCAGCTTACTGACTTGCTCTGCAAATTTCAGACTCAAGATGCAACATCAATTCTTGCCTGAGTTTCCAGCCTGCCTGTTGGCCTTACAATTTTCAGACTTACCAGCTCCCATAATCATGTAAGCCAATTCCTTTAAATAAACAAATACTGGTTCTGTTTCTCTAGAGAACCCTGGCTAATAATGATAGGAGCATTTATGAAAACAGGGGAAGAGTAGATGTGGAGGTCACAAAAAATTAACTGCCTACCTCAGAAGTGTACCCAAGATCTGCATAAATTTATGTAAAGTTTTTGTAAAGCCCTTACTGTATTAGTTTCTAATTTTAGTTAACTTTTTACAGACTCAGAAAAAACTAACAGTCAATATGTTACAGGGAAACAGAACTGCTGACTGGGTGACAAGATTCTTATTTTGTATAACATTTCCAGGCAGGAAAAATAAAACCAAATATATTTGATGTCTTGTCTTTATATTTTCAAGTGCATATTGAAAATTTTGGTTAAAATGTTATACCATGACACCTTCACTTTGTCACTTACCAAAACATCCTATGTACAATATAAAATTGTTTAAAGTACTGTCCCAATACCTTTATTAAAAATCAGATGATTTAGCTAAAGAATAAAATGAGGGTGCAGTGGCTCACAGCCGTAATTCCAGCACTTTGGAAGACTGAGGTGGGAGGATCGTTAGAAGCCAGGAATTTGAGACCAACCTGGGCAACACAGCAAGACACTCATCTCTACAACAAATAAAGAATAAAATGAGAAGGCCAAAAACAATCAATAGTCATGAGTTTAGTTTTTTAATTTATTCAAAAAAGTTATTAATAGTGTCTCATTGAACCCAGCATGATATAAAGTGTTCAGAGAAATGTGTCATGAGTTTATACTCCGTTTTTTTAAGGGAAAAATGTATGTATGACACACCAAAAGAGCTAGTCGACAAAAACTATGAAAAGAGAGAGACTCAGCCTGGAACAATCACTAAAGACAAACCAGAAGAGGAAACTAAAGCAAGAATGGGATTGAGGTGAGCACAGAGAAGGCAGCTTTCCAGAAGACAGACAGAATAAAAGTAATGAAACCGCAACTTCACTGGTACCTTTGGAAAACAATAAACGACCATTCTGAAGTGAATTCACATGGGGAGTATTGAAAGGCACTGCTGAACTGTTTCTCGAGGGCCCTGAATGCCAAGTTAAGACATCTCTTCTGTGTGCTCCAGGGTGCAGGGGAAGGTTTCTTCAGTAGATTTTTTTTTTGTTTTCTGTTGTTGTTGCTTGGTTGTGAGACAGGGTCTCACTCTGTCGCCCAGGCTGGAGTGAAGTGGTGCAATCTCTGCTCACTGCAACCTCTGTCTCCCGGGTTCTAACTATTCTCATGCCTCAGCCTCCCGAGTAGCTGGGATTATAGGCATGCGCCATCACGCCCAGCTAATTTTTGTATTTTTAGTAGAGACGGGGTTTCACCAGTTAGCCAGGCTGGTCTAGAACTCCTGGCCTCAAATGATCCACCCGCCTCAGCCTCCCAAAGTGCTGGGATTACAGGCGTGAGCCACCGTGCATGGCCTTTTTTTCAGGAGAAAGTTTAGACAGGATGGCTGACCACACGGGAACCACACATTATGAAGGGAAGGTAGGGTGACAGATCTAGGGGGAGAACTTAGTTCTAAGTAATGCAAATAACCATTCTATGTCTGGGTGCTGGTTTTTAATTTAAATATTCATCTTAAATTATAAACATCATTTTAAAATACAGGTACTCTAAGAATTTAACTGGCTATTTGCTTTCAGAGTGCCTAAAAAACAGAAACTTTCATATTAAGTTAAAAAAGGCAACAGTGGGTGTGATGGCAGGTGCCTATAGTCCCAGCTACTTAGGAAGCCGAGGTGCAAGGATGGCTTGAGCCCAGGAGTTCCAGGTTGCAGTGAGCTATGATCGCGCCACTGCATTTCAGCCTGTGTAACAGTCAGGCCTTGTCTCAAAACAAGAAAAAGCAAGCAAGCAAAAAGGGCAAAACAACATTCAGAAGCTTGAACTTTATTTTTTGTTTTAATCTCATGGTACAATACAAAGAAAACAATAAACAGAATATGCCCAATCCATAAAAACTCTAACTACATTATAGCAAATTTCAAAACAAGGCAATGAATTATTAATCCCATTTTGCAAAAAAAGAAATTAAGGTTTGGGAAAGTCAAGGTCTCACAGCCAGTAAATAGCAGAATGGCTCTGAAGTCAATGCTGATTCTATTAAACTTGACTAACCCCAAAATGCAAACACCTTGAAAAAAAAGCAGCCTCAACATTCCAGGCTCAAGTGATCCTCCTACCTCAATCTCCTGAGTATAGCTAGGACTACAGGTGTGCACCACCACACCCAGCTAATATTATTTTTTGTATTTTTTGTAGAGATAGACCATGTTGCCTAAGCTGGTCTTGAACTCTTGGGCTCAACTGATCCACCCACCTCGGCCTCCCAAACTGCTGGGATTATAGGCATGAGCCACTATGCTCTGCCAGCTCTTGAAAATTAATGTCTCCTCCCCCACTAAACTGTAAGTCTAAGGCAATGGGTCATACCTATGCACATTTTTACTTTTTTGTAAGTTATTGTTGAGGATTTTTCTTATTGGGTCATTTTACTTACTTTGGAATCACTGAGAAAGTAAAATTGTGCAGGACTTAGGCCATAATGAGGAGGAGCTTAGTGGAGCTTGGTCTTAATTCCAAGAGCAATGGGAAGGCACTGAAGTAGTTCAGACTCAAGGCTGAGCTGATCAAATCTAAATTTCATAAAGATCTAACGGCTCACAGCTAACAGATTGCATAGGAATAATAGACCAATGCAATAAATTAGAGAATCTATAACGACATATATGTAAAAATGTAATACAGAACAAAATAGGTACAAGGGTCTTAAAATCAAAGTTCATTATCAGACACAGAAGTTGCCAGGGAAGCAAAAGTATTCTTAACACAAAAATATCCGCTAATGAACTAAACATTTATAATATCAGTCCCCATTAAACATCCCTCCCAAAGCAGCATTAGCCTCTATGTCAGGCCATTTCACCTTTGCCCTGTCAGTCTCTCAATGATTGACAGGTTATTTCAATTACAAAGCAACACAATGCATATCATCTACAAAGTGAAAGTGCAAACATTCCAAAAGATGTAGGCCTTTATGAAGTCACTGAAAATGATGAAAACTCTTTACAAAGCAACTGAAAAAAATGAGTATTTGGAAAGATACTGACTGGGAAGGGGCATGAGGGAACTTAATGGCCTAAGTGTGTTCTATATCCAGACCTGGTTGGTGGCTACACAGGTATGTATACATAGTAAAAATGTACCAAGCTATATGTATACATGATTTATGCATTTAGCTGTATGTAAATGATACCTTAAGAGAGCTGCTATGGTTTGAATCTTGAAACTCATGTTGAAATTTAACTGTAACAGTACTAAGAAGTGATTCGGCCATGGGCATTCCACCCCCATCAATCGATTAATAACATTATGATGGGAGTGGGTTAGTTACCACAGGAATTCAACCCCTTTTTTCTGTTTTGAGCATACACCATCTTGCTCTGAGATGCCTTCCACCATGTTATGAGACAGCAAGAAGGCCCTCACCAGATGCAACCCCTTGATCTTGGACTTCTCAGCCTCCGAACTGTGAACCACATAAATCTCTTTCCTTTATAAATTACCCAGTCTGTGGTATCTGTTATAGCAGCACAAAATGGACTATGGCGGGATTAAACACACACACACACACACACACACACACACACACACACAAGAAGGATGGTCCTACTTCCTCCAAGAATTACTGGGTCTCAATGTGAATCCTGGAAGCCCTATGGTCCACTTGTTACCAATATAAAGATGACTGAACACCAAAGATGGCAAAATGTACCCGTGTCCTCAAAGACATCAGTGACCCACTGACTGTAGTATGTGTGGAGTCTACCTTACCTCTGGACCTCTAATTATATGGGATAAATTTTCTCAATATTTAAGCACTTTAAGTCTTAAACAGTTACTTGGAGCTGAAAGCATTTTAACAGATTGTAAATTAATAACTGGAGAACTAACAAAGATGAGATTACCAGGAGGTCAAAAGAAAATCTGAAAATCAAAGTTAGGAAAACTAATGAAGCCCTTGAATATTTTGGCAAAAAGGACTGTCTTTATGATCATACTGCAAAAGTCCATCATAACATGGATAGTTTCATGTGATCTTACAATTTTCTCAGAAAAATTATGTAAAATTTTTTAAGCAACCAACACTTGATTCATTCTTCTTTCATTCTAATAATTTAACACATAGTTGCAACCATAACATGAATGTTTTCATAGTTTTGTTTCATTTTTCAAGATTAAACCCAAATAAAGCCTTTTCTCCCCACCCCAACTATGTACTATTATCTCTGAAATGTTCTAGGTCAATTCATCCTACAAGATCTTGTTCTTACGCCAATTATTTTCAGAAAGTAAAGACCCCCTAAACAATGAAATCACAAGGAAAAATAAATTACTCACTCACACATTAACATTTGGAAAATTCAAATATAAGCTTCAGTTCAAAAGTTAACCATTACAAACAGTTATGTATGAGAGCTTACTGGTTAAAAACCATGGGCTCTGGAACCTGACTGCCTGAGATGGAATCCCAGTTCCACTCTCTACTAACTGGGTGACCCTGGGCAAGTCACTTAACTCTCTGTGGCTTAATTTCCTCATCTATAAAATGGAGATAACAGTTCTATCAGTGTTAAATGAGTTAATAAAGGTTTCATACAGTAAGTACTCAATAACAGCGATTACATTTTTTTTAAACTCTAAGAAAACTGAAGAATATAAATGCCAACACTGAAATTAAGTTAATTAGCAAAGGAAAAACATTTTTAAAAACACAAGCTTTATGGTTTAAATACAAGTACATACTTTTTTTTTTTTTTTTTTTTGAGACAGAGTCTCGTTCTGTTGCCCAGGCTGGAGTGCAATGGCGCGATCTCGGCTCACTGCAAGCTCCGCCTCCCGAGTAGCTGGGACTACAGGCGCCCGCCACCACGCCTGACTAATTTTTTGTATTTTTAGTAGAGACAGGGTTTCACCGTGTTAGCCAGGATGGTCTCAATATCCTGACCTCGTGATCCACCCGCCTCAGCCTCCCAAAGTGCTGGGATTACAGGCATGAGCCACCGCGCCCGGCCAAATACAAGTACACACATTTTAAATAAAATTAAGACAAAGAAAAATGAGAACAAATGTACTTAACGATAAAAAAGAAAGCTAAAAGCATATTATATATGCTTTTATATGATGTCTATATAGTAAAAAATTATGCATTTTCCTTCTAAACATGTTTTTTTAAAGGTACCATGTCGAACCCATTAAACTAGAAACTAAGCCAAGCACTGTGGTTCAGTAATCCCAGCACTTTGGGAGGTCAAGGCAAACAGATCACTCAAGGCCAAGAGTTGAAGACTAACTTGAGCAACACAGCAAGACTCCATCTCTAAAAAAAAAAAAAAAAAAAAGTTTTTAATTAAAAAAAACCAATGAGTTGCCGCACACTTCACTAAAGATAAAATTTTAAATCTTAATATACAGATGAAAAAAAGAATGGAAAACTCAGTATTACCGAAGATACAAGGCTGAACATGGTGGCTCATGTTTGTAATCCTAGCACTTTAGGAGGCTGAGGCGGGCAGATCACGTGAGGTCCGGAGTTCGAGACCAGCCTGGCCAACATGATGAAACCCCATCTCTACTAAAAACACAAAAAAAGCTGGACGCCGTGGCTCACACCTGTAATCCCAGCACTTTGGGAGGCCGAGGCAGGCAGATCACCTGAGGTCAGGAGTTCAAGACCAGCCCGGCCAACATGGTGAAACCCTGTCTCTACTAAAAATACAAAAATTACCTGGGCGTGGTCTCGTGCATCTGTAATTCCAGCTACTTGGGAGGCTGAGGCAGGAGAATCACTTGAACCCGGGAAGCAGAGGTTGCAGTGAGCCAAGACTGCACCACTGCACTCCGGCCTGGGGGACACAGCAAGACTCCATCTCAAAAATAAAAATAAGAACAAATACAAAAAAATTAGCCAGGCATGGTGACGCACACCTGTAATCCTAGCTACTCAGGAGACTGAAATGGGAGGACTGTTTGAACCCAGGAGGCAGAGGTTGCAGTGAGCCGAAATCGCATGACTGCACACACTCCAGCCTGGGTGAGAAAGAGTGAGACTCCATCTCAGGAAAAAAAAAAAAAAAAAGAAGATACATATAGTAAAGTTTACATTATGACCACCAATGAATCGCACCTCTTGATCTGTCCTTGTGTAATCACCTCCCCCACTGACTTTGGGCTTGACCATATGACTTGTTTTGGCCAAAGAAACATAAGCAAACAGGATGCAAGCTGAGGTCTGGTAAGAGCTTTCATACTAGGGCATGTTGTCATGAGGAGGCTGCTATTGTTAAGTGAGCGATGAGGCAGAGGGATGGGATAGACACACCAGATGAACCTAAGTGAAGGAAAACACACGAATGAGTCCAGGTAAGAAGAGCTGCCCAGCCAATCCGTAGCACATCTGCAGTCTCAGCTACTCAGGAAGCTGAGGTGGGAGGATCACTTGAGCCCAGGAGTTCGAGGTTGCAGTAAGCTATGATTGTACCACTGCACTCCAGCCCGGGTAACAGCTTTACTAGGCTTTGAGATGCTTTGTTAAACAGCAGTAATATCGGATACGATATATGTATATGCACTATGAAGAGTTAATATCCTCATTATTATAAATCATTAGAAGAAAAACTACACATCTCATTGGGAAAACAGAAAAAGCACATGAACAGACATCCACACAAAAATAAAGCTGTCCAATAAACAAACAAAGAGACCCTACAGGTAATCAAAGAAATACAAATTAAACCAATGAGGTAACACCTTTTACCTATCACATTGGCAAAGATTAAAAGACCGATAATGGCCTGAGCTGGCCAGAATGTGGGGTAACTAGAAATCTCATCTACTCTTGCTTATCTGGTAACGTGTATCAAAAACTGATACAACTCCCTTTAGTCATTTTGTTTATTATTCACTCAAATACTTATGCATACTCACAGAGGCCTGTGCTGGGAACTTGGAATGCAGAGCCAGGTCACGCAAGACCTTAATAATTTTGGTTTTATGACAAATTTGGGTTTTAGTCTAAGATGCCGCTGAAGGCTTTACATGGGAAATAACAATATCTGATTTCCACTTTAAGAGTATTCTGAGTGATGCATGAAGAACAGGGGACATGAATGGAAATGAGGAAACACTAATAGTTCAGGTAAGAGATAACAGTGGCCTGGACTTGAGGCAGTGAGATGGACAGAAGCAAGTGAAGGTGACCTGGTAGGACAATGATAGACTGGATACAGAAAGGTAAAGAAACAAAAAATAAAAAAAAAAACAAAACACAGCACTACTTCTTGATTTTACTTCTAGGAATGTATCCTAAAACAGTATCAGATATGTACACAAAGACATATAACCAAAGATGTTCACAGCAGTGTTTTTTATAATAACAAAAATAATGGAACAAATCTAAAAGTCCATCTTTAAGATTTAAGTAGACAAAGTCATCCATCCAAAGCAATGGAATATTATGCAGTCACTTAAAGTTATGTAGCTATATAGTTAGGAACAAGAATTACTGGCTGGACACAGCAGCTCATGCCTGTAATCCGAGTGCTTTGGGAGGCTGAAGTGGGAGGATGACTTGAGGCCAGGAGTTCAAGACCAGCCTGGGCAACATAGCGAGACCTTGTCTCTGCACAAAAATCTTAACAATTAGAGGGTGTGGTGGCGCACATCTGTAGTCTCAGCTACTCAGGAGGCTGAGATGGGAGGATCGCTTGAGCCCAGGAGTTCGAGGCTGCAGTAAGCTATGATTGCACCACTGCACTCCAGCCTGGGTGACAGTTTAAGACCCTATTTAAAAAATAAAAATAATAAAATGTAAAAAGTATAGATATTATATATATGGAAAGGGACAAGCTACAAAATACACAATACAAATATAGTATAATTCCATTTTTAAATAGTATAATCTTACTTTTATATATAATCATATGCACACGCACAATGATCTGCAATGCTGCAAATGCACTACAAAAAGTTTAGAAATCTACACATTAAAATATTAAAATACTAGATGGCTTGGATTTAACATTTCATAAATAAATGTTTTATACTTTCCATACCTTCTAAAATCTGTTCAAAATCTGTACTACTTTACAATGGAAGGAAAAAAGTAATTTAAAAAAATACTGACCAGACATATGGACAACAGTAATTGATTTATTTTTCTAAAAATAATTCTAAAAAAATTGTGCAAAGACCACAATTAAGTAGACTGTAAGTAAAAGTTTTAAATGAAAACTTAAGATACATAAATCTTAAATTGTTAAAAACTGAACGGTCACAATTTTGCTTGCAATATCAGTCTAACATGAGAATTTGGGGGAGGAGGAGAAAGACTGCAGAACAAAGCAGATATTCAAATAACCAGTATATAATAATTATTAAGACTGCATAAAAAGATCCCTTCACTGAACTGTAAAAGGAGCAATTTGGACTCCCTTGAGATTTGACCTCAAGAGCTATTCATTTTATTTTACTTAAGTTCTTGGTTCTTCATAAAGCTCCCCCGCTGCCAAGTTGCAAATGTAACAGATACCAAAAAGGACAGAAGACTGAGGACCTCTAAGGCACAGTTAAAGGTAGTCATTTTGATTTCACATCATCAGATGTATTCTTACCAAGACCAGATGTTCTATAAGGCCTTTACCACTGGAAAAGGGCTCAGTTTATTTAAAAATATCATGATTACCTCATTCCCCAAAGACAAAACTTTTGGTATTTGAGACTACTGTAAACAAACCCCAGAAAATCACCACCCAGATTTAAGTTTTCTGAAGATTCTGATGGATTTGCTTCATCACATTTTACTGGTGACTTTAGTCATCCTTACTTACAACAGGCCTACCAAAGAGATGGCTGGCTGTCTCCTTAGCACGAAGATACAGCTCCAAAATTTGTTCAGGCCTTTCAAAGCCACCACTACCAAGGTTTCCACCTCAGCATTCCCACGTGCTTGTTTCCCTACAGAGAAATGTCCAGTGGTTCTATCTTCAATCTCTCTTCTTTAAATAGCACGAAGATGTCAATTCAAAATATTAATCCAAAGTAATAAAAATGTCAGAAACAACTCACGTAAAAAGCAAATGAGATCTTCTGGTGTTATTATATAGATCTGTCTATTCTGGGCATTTCATATAAATGGAATCATGGCATATATCGCCTTTTGTGTCTGGCTTATTTCACTTAGCATAATGCTTCCATCTACGCTGTGGCATGTATCAGAATTCCATTCCTTTTGATGGCCAAATATTATTCTGTTGTATGGACATACCACATTTTGATGATCTATTCATGAAATCAGACACACCTGGGTTATTTCTGCTTTTTGGCTGTTATGAATAACGATACTATAGACATTTGTGTACAAGTTTTTCTGTGGACAAATGTTTTCATTTCTAGGAAAGGAATTGCTGGGTCATACGATAACTCTATGTTTAACTTTTGAGGAACTGCCAAACTGTTTTCTAAAGCAGCTGCACCATCTTACATGGTTTTTCACATTCTTAACATAAACTTAAGAGATGTCAGACTTTCATAAAAGTGGGGGATTTACTCTTATCAAGCTCATTTTGTGTGCCAAGTGTTATGCCAGAATTTTATTTAATTTTCTCAACAGCTCTATAATTCACAAAGTATATTCGATCCCAAAAAATGTTTATAACCCACTCAAAAATAAATTATTTAGTAAATGTCAAACTAGAGTCAAACCCAGAGTTAACTTCAAAGCCTGTCCTCTTTACCCTACACCATTCAATCTCTACACTTAGATATACATACATTGCCTCATACCCAAAGTAGTCTTTGGAAAAGTTGCCTGTTAATAAAACTTACTTTAATCATTGTAAAATAGAAGGTTCCCAGTGTAAAGAGATTTCTAGAAAATTTAACGGATATCTTGTATAAATCAATCAACCCCCCTAATTTATCTTCTTTAGTAAACAACTTCTGGTTACTTAAAACAAAACTTATCTAAAGTTCACCTAAATATTAAACAAATTATTTTCTTCCAAAGTTGTATGCACTGACAAAAAAAAAAAATGTAGTTATCTTCTGCTATAGACTGAACTGTGTTCCCCTAAAATTTATATGTTAATACCCTAACCCTCAATGTGACTCTATTTGGAAAAAGGGCTTTTAGGAGGTAACTAATGTTAAATTAAGTTATAAGCACAGGGCCCTAATTCAATAGGATTAATGGCCTTATGAAATGAGGAGGAGAGAGAAATCCCCCCTCATCTCCCCGACCCCAGGATTCCCATACCCACCCTACCATGTGAGGACACAGAGAGAAGGATATCTTCTGCAAGCCAGGAAGAGAACCCTCACCAAAACCCATCCATACTGGCAACCTGATCTCTGACTTCCAGCCTCCAGAACCTTAAAATAAATGTCTAGGCCGGGCGCTGTGGCTCCCACCTGTAATCCCACGAGGTCAGGAGATCAAGACCATCCTGGCTAACACAGTGAAACCCCATCTCAACTAAAAAATACAAAAAAATTAGCCAGGCGTGGTGGCAGGCGCCTGTGGTCCCACCTGCTCAGGAGGCTGAGGCAGGAGAATGGTGTGAACCCGGGAGGCAGAGCTTGCAGTAACCTGAGATCGAGCCGCTGCAATCCAGCCTGGGCGACACAGTGAGACTGTCTCAAAAAAATTAATAAATAAAAATAAAAAATAATTTTCTGTTGTTTAAGCCACCCAGTCTATGGTATTTTGTTATGGCAGCCCACACTAATACTTCAAGAGTATCATACACTACCCAGTGATTGGTATTTGAAGCACTGATAAGAATCAAAACAAAGCAGGGCTGGGGGCGGTGACTCACGCCTATAATCCCAGCACTTTGGGAGGCTGAGGTGGGCGCATCACGAGGTCAGGAGATCAAGACCATCCTGGCTAACATGTTGAAACCCCATCTCTACTAAAAATACAAAAAATTAGCTGGGCGTGGTGGCACGCGCCTGTAGTCTCAGCTACTCGGGAGGCTGAGGCTAGAGAATTGCTTGAACCCAGGAGGCGGAAGCTGCAGTGAGTGGAGATCATGCCACTGCACTCCAGCCTGGGCAAGAGTGAGACTCCATCTCAAAAAACAAAAACAAAAAAAGAATCAAAACAAAGCAAGCACTAAATGGGGTAAAAATAAATTAAACCAATAGAGATGCATATGCTTGTTACTTGAAAATATTTACAAGTTCTTTGGTCAAAGAGACTTAAAAACAGATTGATGGCCCTTTCAGTAATTCAGAATTTAATCATAAAGTCAAGTAAACATGGTATCCTCCAAAGGGCTTAGAATTTAGACAATCCTGACACTTGTAGCCACTTCCAAGCTCTGTGTTAGAATAAGAAATAAATTCTGGCCAGGTGAGTTCAAAACCTGCCTGGTCCACATAGCAAGACCACATCTCTACAAAATAAAAATTAAATTAAAATTTAAAAAAGAACAAAAGAAAACCAAATTCTACACCTATTCCTGGAGTCAGGATGTGAGTTTTTGCTTGCTTAATTAAATTATGTTATTAACATTTAGTATCCACCAAATACTACACTACACCCTACAATATCCAGTAGAGCTTCTAGAACACTACAGGTATTCCAAAAATGGGGTTGCTAGTGAACAGATTCTATAAAAGAGCAACGCAGTCAAAGTCAAACACTTACACAGGCCACCCACTATTTGCCAAGTATTTTGCTAGTACCATGAATATAAAAATGCTAGTATTTTGCTAGTACCATGAATATAAAAATCCTCTTCAAGGAACTTACAATGAAGAGGGACAAAAAGAACCACATAATTATAAGACAGAATAAATTCAATAGCAAAAAAACATGTAAAGTGCACTGGAACACACAGGAATAGTGGGGGACAAGGGGGTTGGGGGAGCATGTTAGGGGCAAGTCAAGGACTATATCCCAGGTCTGACAAGGAGTCCCCTTCTTGTTTCTAGTCAGGAAAATTTCGTAAACCCTTATCTGAAGAAGCATCCACTGAAGTACAGCCTCAGCTCATATTCTCTAACTTTTACTTCCACTTAATTCCATTCATCAATTTCAAACAAGGAGGAGAAAAAAGAGGAAAAGACAACTTTAAGTTGGCACAAGTAGGGTTTAAATACCCTTTTACTCCCCTACAACCATATAAAAATTGAAATCACATTTTTTCAAATCTTTCTTACACTCATGATACAGACTAGATATTTTACAAGTTATACAATCACCTGTTTTAAGCCTTCTGTAAGATAAATCACCAAAACCTATTCAGTATGTAATTTCTTCTATACCAGCCAAATGGTGCCTCCATAGTTATTTTGCTTAATCCAACTGGGCCAACAAGGTATCCAACACCTTGAATACTGAATAAACTTTAGTGAATTTTCTCTATTAATCCACACTCTTCTTCAAGATTTATTCACTTAGTAAATTCCTACAATACTGACATTCAAAAAATGAAGATTTGGCTCTTGCTCCTAAAATAAACCTCTGTGGGAAAGTCACACATCCAACAGCTACGAGTATAAATGAAGACCCATGGGAACAAAGAGACTACTATTTGTATCCTTTCATGGATATCTCACTTGACACTTCACAAAACAATCCTGTGAAATATAAGATTATCTCCTTTTTTTTTTTTTTTTTTACCAGTTTACTCAATTAACAGGTCAGCATATAAAACCTGGATCTTCTGACCCTTGATTGTACCACACTCTGAAATGTATATAAAATTTATGATTACCACAAATAAAGATACTTCAAAGACCCTAAGGAAGGAAACACAGAAGAAGGGAACAGCTTCCTCACCTATAAAATAATAAAAATGTGGTCTTTTTGACATCCTTGAGCTAAATAAGGTCGCAAGGTGGAGCCCACTGCCCAGAAGTTTTACCCAAATAGTCTAACATAGAAATAGGCCTGGAAACAGGAGGAGTAACATAAATTTAAGGCTTACCAGTGTATAAAGTACCTTCTATTATCATTTGATCCTCACTACTCAGTTAAGAATTATCTCTATTTTTACATATTTTTTAAAAAGGCATCAGTGAAATAATGTGATTACTTCAAGGTCACCCAGCTAGTAAATGGCTTGGACAAATCCTCATAACCCTACTATACCTTTTTATATGAGAAAGTCAGAGTAGCTAGTGGAAGCCTGGACTATTTTAATACGGATCCAAGAATGTAAATACAAAATCTTCTGAGCTCTCCTTAGCCACCAGGCTACATGCAACTATTTTAGATCAGACAAGCTCCTCTTTCAGTTAAAAAAAAAAAAAAATCTTAAGTAACAAACCAACTAATTTTAAAAATGCACTTAAAAGGCACACACTGTATGTACATGCATACAAACGCATTCACATACATACACGCACACTTTAATCACAAAGCATCTTACACTTTTGAAACATTGCATAAATGAAAAATAAGAATAGAACTAAACAGACAGGACACTAAAAGTACCAGCTTTTTGGTCTCAACCTTTCCACTGTCCTGTATAAGTAATATGCTTTTTCATTTTTTAAATATTCATCTTTAAGCAAAATATTAACAAGTAAATCTATATACTGCATTTTACTCAAATGCCTATGACCGTTTCAGGAACATAAACTATTATTCAGTTCTCTTCTGTATAAGATTATACACAGTGATCATGCTATTCCTAAAATTAAAGTCATCTGACAGATACCACTAATAGTTATACCGTAATATATTCATCATATCCTCTGTTCAGGATTCTGACCGACTTAATTGGAAATTCCTGTTCAGGCATTCCTATTTCTGGATGGCCTTTGAAACATCAGAACTACCTCTTAATATAACCAAAAAGGACTCAACTTAAAAGACTAACATTAACGTCCCACAGGACTTGAAAGCATGAAGACTAAGCATATATTAATATAACCTGAAAAGCACTTCCTAAGCACCAAAATATCCCAAAGAATATTCCAAAGACTTTTGCAAGCAGCACAAGAACGTTTTATCCCATACCAATCTCACTTTTACAGGTATCTAAGCAAATCTAAGTACTACCTAACCACCTGCCAAATAATCCAGTACCTTCCAAAGTGAAAAGCTGACCCTCTTTCCTGCTCTTATTCAAAATTAGCCTACGAAGAATTACTGTAGACTGCTTAAATAAACTTTTCAGACCTGTGTACCAAGTTCTATATTTACGTTACTGGAAAACATCAGCGTGGTTCCTCTCTCTCTACACTTCATAAGGAACAGAGCAAGAAAAGAGCTTGAAAAACAGAAGTTACTTTTTATTAGAAAAGGAATTTTCAAGTGAAGACATAATTTACCTGTGACAGACTGACATCTATACATGACAGTGATTAAACTTCACTGAATACCCAAAACGGTAACTTTTTTTTAGTTCACAATCTTTGAATTAGACAACTATTCCTGTTTTTATTTAAAAATAACCCACTTTCGGCCAGGCACCGTGGCTCACGCCTGTAATCCCAGCACTTTGGGAGGCCGAAGCTGGTGGATCACGAGGTCCGGAGTTGGAGACCATCCTGGCTAACATGGTGAAACCCCGTCTCTACTAAAAATACAAAAAATTAGCCGGGCGTGGTGATACCCGCCTGTAATCCCAGCTACTTGGGAGGCTGAGGCAGGAGAATCGCTTGAACCCAGGAGGCGGAGGTTGCAGTGAGCCGAGACCGCGCCACTGCACTCCAGCCTGGGCAAGAGAGCAAGACTGCATTTAAAAAAAAAAAAAAAAAAAAAAAAAAAAAACTTTCCCTGTTTTATATTTCTCAATGTTAAGATAAGTTTACCCAAAGTTTGAAACAACTGATAACTTCTGGTCTGCAAGATCCCTACGGCATTAGATCTCTAAAACAGAAACCAACAACATATAATATTACAAGATATAACAGTATGTATATTATAGTTCCTGAGTTTAAGGACATCAGTAACTTGATTTAAAAAAAAAGAAGTCATGCTCAAACATACGACTCAAAGTTTTCAAGCCATATTTTACAAAGATTGTGTTTTTTGGTTCGTATGCTATAATTACTATTTAAACTCATCGCTTATATTTGAAAATAACTTGTGTGAAATCATCAAGGGAAAAGGGGTCAGTCGCCTAGAGACACCACATTAAACTCACTCTTTAAGGCCATCATAAATACAGGTAACTTGGAATCAGAAAAAAAAATTCAAATTCACAGTAAGCCTAAGTAAAAATTCAACAAAGATATATCACAATATATATATAAAAGCAAAATGGAAACACGTTTAACCTTGATAGAAAAAAAAAATGAAAAGCAAAGTTTAAAATGGAAACTACCGAAATTGAGAAAGAATTCCAATGACATGACATTTTCTTGCCAAAGCGAAGGAATTTGTAGATTATATCATTCAAATCTCATTGTATTACATTATAAAGGTCTTAGCAACGGTTGGCCATTAATCTTTAACACAAAGGAGATTCAAATCCAAATGAACTGTAAGACTATCTCTTCCAGGAGAGAGAAATGGAGTAATTTACTTTATCCACAATTGTTTAACCCAAAAGGAAGGCCTTTAAGGATGATAACGCAGAATGGATCAGCCTTCAGTCTACCAAGTCCCATTTCACACGAAGTCTTGCACCAATCCGAAAAGAGAAGGTTATGGACACAGAACAGGTTTAGGAAAGGCTGGAAAAAAAATCTCCAATGAATGACACACCACATCACGGTTTATTCTCCTACACAATTTGAGAAACAATAAAGAAAAATATCATACCATATGTTTCATCGTATCAATTAAAAAAATATTTTACGACAGTACATTCAATTCTTCGGGGCCGCAAAAATAATTTAGCTCCTGTTTTATTGAGTACAGAGCAAAGGGAAAAAGCAGCTGCTGCAATGCAACACAGGCTGCTACAGAGAAAGGGGAGAAAAGGCTTTTCCAAACAGATCCCTTCCCCGCCCCCGCTTACACACCCCTACCAACTTACTTATCCCAGTCTTTTACTGCCCCCACCACGTGAACCTAATCAATTCTTTCCCTTCCCCCACCATCGTGAAATTTCACCTTTCACAGCTCCTTCACCTACCCCTACCAGAGGCACTTTATTACCCGCAGAGATTTCAGACCTTTCAAACTTTTCTTCCTTTTTTAATTAAACACGAGAGTTCGGAGGCAAAAGTGCATGAAATTTTTACATATATACGAAAAAATACCTGTTTCCCAGCAACACGCACGCTTCGATTCTCGAACCCCTCCCCATCTCCCGGGTTTCGCTTGCAAAGGCTTGGGGGAGGGAGCCAGGCGCAAATTAAATTTAGGAAGGGAAATCCTGGGTGAAAGAAGAGCATTTGAGGAAAAATGAGAGAACGATGAAGCGAGACCCCCAAACCACACGGGTTGGGGAGGTTTCCAAGAAAGAAAGAGAAATTGGAAGGGACAAAAGGCGGAGGGGGGAGGAACAGACCGGAGACCAGGGGAGACGCGCCGGGCCGGGAGAGGGAAGGCGGGGTCCGAGGAGAACGGGGGTCGCGGCTCCCGCGGCACAATGGCCCGCCCGGCCCCCGCCCCGCGCGCCCCTCACCTCATGGTGCCGGCGGCGCAGAGGCTTCCCCACCAGCCGGGAGACGCAGAAGGCGCCGAGCCGAGGGGGGGGTCTCTCCTCCAGGGGTGGGGAGCAGCTCGGAGACGGGAGACAAGTGTCCGGCTCCTCCTTCGGCGGCCAGGGGGCTACACCATCTCCTCGCACAAAGCCGAGGCGCCGGCCGGGAGTGTGGGAGAAGAGGGCGAGAGAAAGGCTGGGGAGGGGGCGGAGAGGCCGAGGCGCGGAGCTGGTCCCCAGGCGGCCGCCGCCTCCCACCTCCTCGTGGTCCTGCTCCTCCTCCCGGAGCTTCCTCGGCCGCCCTCTGAGGGGTGCCCGCCGGGGCCGCGCGCCCGGCCGCCGCTCCACAGGCCCGCGCTCGCCGCGCCGCCGCCGAGGCCGTGTGCAACCGGCAGCTGCTGCAGCCGCGGGAGGAGAGTCGGGATCGCCGCGAGGAACCCGGGAGGAGGCGGGGCGCGCGGCGGAGGAACACGCAGGCGCCGCCCTCCTCCCCTCCTTCCCCCGGGGGCGAGGGGGCGGTGCGGGGGGAGGGGAGGAAAGGGGAGGCGGGGGGCCGGGCGCACTCCCCCGCGCCGGCGGCCGGGCCCCCGCCGGACTGCGGAGAGCGAGGCTGGGAGAGAGCGAGCGCGACGGCGGCGGCGGCGGAGAGAGGCTCTTTGTTGCCTCCCTACCCCGCCCCCTGCACCCCTCTGGGATTCGGGCGGGCCACCACCCCCCCCTCCCGCCCAACACCTCCGGCCAGTTGTCGGCCGGGGTTCCTCGCCCGTGGTTGTCCTTGACCGTCGGCCCCCTCCCCGTCGCCTCCCGCTCCCCAGAGGCTTGGGGAGCTCCGAGGCCTCCCCCACGGCCACGGTGCGGAGACCGAGGCGCCGAGACCTCCTGGGCGCCAGACCCGTAGGCACCGGCGTGGGGAGCTTGGACGCGTGACTGGGCACAGGGCCGGGCCAGGAGACTCCGGGTCGGCTCGCGGCCGGGTGCCCTCGCGCGGGGCGAGTGCTCAGCCCGCCCTGTTGCGGTCTCAGGACGGGGATGAGGGAATCGGGGGGCATCCCGGTCAGCCCAACTGCCCGCCCTCGCCGCGGCTGCGCCCAGCGATTCCTGCGGAGTTGAGGAGGGGCATATAAATGGAAAATATGGTCATCATTGTTCCCTTCGCTCCTTTTCTTCCCGAGGAATCCCAGCGTGCTGCGCCGATGGAACGAGTTGATGTGCACACTAGGTATAGGGATGACTTCATCCCCAAACGAACGCAGCCGACTCTCGGGGAAACGCAGTCGCCGGGAGACGCGCGCGGAACAGTGTGTTGCCGCAAGAGTGGAAGAAGAGAAACGCAGCCAGTGGAGCCGCTTTCCAGCGTCATTAGCAAAGAGGGAATCCCGGGCAGGGGGCGGGGAGAGAGAGGAACTAATGATAATTTTAAATTTTTCGTCATTCCCAATGGTCTTGAAGTCACCTCCCTTAAAAAGTAGATATAAAATACTGGCGAGGCAATTTCATTTCAAGTCAAGTCGGGGAGGAGGGCATCCAGGAAGCCAGAATTGATCGTTGTTGAAGGTTTTGTTTTCGGTTTTTTTTAAATCTAAAAACAAATCCAATAATAAAATTTTTAACTGTACGAATTACGGCCCCCTTTTAGTCCGGAAGACAGGGATGTACTTTCTGTATAAAAGGTGAGGAGGATAGAAAAGGGTTGTTGCTACAGGGATCCTATTGCTGAAGGATCTCATCCAAAATGGAGGACCTACCATGACTCCAGGAATCCATTCAAAAGTTTTGGTGTTTTGTTTTAAGATGCAGGTACCATTCAAAAGATAGTTAGGAAGGTTGGGATAATGTACACTTCCAAATGAAAAGACAGGTTATAGTGATCCGTGGTCAATGCCTGATTTGTCTATAATTGAACTGTGTAGCCCATTTTTAACCATAAAAAAAGCTTCCTGGTTTCAGCCGGGTGCGGTGGCTCACGCCTGTCATCTCAGCACTTCGGGAGGCTGAGGCAGGCGAATCATCTGAGGTCAGGAGTTCCAGACCAGCCTGGCCAACATGGCGAAACCCTGTCTCTACTAAAAATAAAAAATAAAAAAACAGCCGGGCGTGGTGGTGCACGCCTGTAATCCCAGCTGAGTCAAGAGAATCGCTTGAACCCGGGAAGAGGAGGTTGTAGTGAGCTCAGATCACACCACTGCACTCCAGCCTAGGTGACAGAGCGAGACTCCATCTAAAAAATAAATAAATAAATAAATAAATAAATAAATAAATAAAATTCCTGGTTTCAGAGCTCAATACCGAGTTATTTTCTTTTTGGAACCGGCAGCCTTAGACCAACAGCCCTATAGAAGCAGTGACCCGGAGCTATGGCAGAGGATCAAGGTGGCCTCAGGTAGTAGAAAGCATGATGCCTCTGCCTTAAACATGGTGTACTTGAAGAACGCTAATTTCCACCCACATATCTAATTACAGCTTACCATTACAGAGGGCATTTTATTCAAGGATCTCCAACCACTGGAGAGAAAACAAACTTGCCAGTCAAATGTTCTAGTTGCCATATTGCAAGTAGAGACAGGGAAACATAGAGCTCAAGTAACTGGATCAATTAGTGCAACAGGCATGATTAAAAATCATAGCTACCAACTATGAGGGTCATTGTCTTACGTAAGTTTCTCCCTGTAGTTTGAAACACATACCTCAAGTATTTGAACATGTGCTGTGGAGAGTTTTTTCTTGGAAAAATTAAGACATATTGAACCATCTTGGAAAAGTATTAATAAAACATATTCGACCACAGAGAAGTCACACCAATTTGCCTTAGTCCATTCATAGCAATACAGTAAATCCGACAGAGCTTATGTTTCAGGGAAAACTCTTACAAAGGGCCAAAAGGGGTGGAGAGAGTGCTGTAATGACTCAAGCTATCTCCTGCCAGACACAAGAAACAAGGATAAAAATTCCTTACAGATGACTCCATAACCTACTTCTCATTTGTGAAAGTTAATCCATCCTGCGCTAAATAAGTGATATATCACATCATCTTTATTCTAACAGCAAATGTTCCAATGGTATGGGCACCAAATTAAGCAATCCAAGTGGAAAATGCTGTTCTTATTTTCTATGTTTATTAAAAATGTACCAGCCAAGAATTTTGGCTGCCTACAACCATTTCCATCCTTTTGGATGGCAGCCTGCCAGCTCACAAGTTGGTCATAGCATTCATTGCCTTTTGGATTTAGATATTGCAATGGGTGGCCTGACCCCCAAAGGTCATTCTGTGGAAGGGCAATTTGTTGGCTGTGACAAAATGTTATTGCTTCTTGTTCATATTTGGTTTAACATTCAAAGAGTGCAAAGCGATACTTGAGGTAGGAAGTCACAGACTAATTCTGGTCACAAAGGAAATGCTGTGGAATGTGTTACCATATAGAATAAAAGAATTTTAGAGATGGAAGGAATCTTCGGTCCAGCCCACTCATTTTTCAGAAAAGAAATGTGAGACCCAGAGAGGTTAAGTAACTTGCCCACAACTTAAACTCAGGATTTCCAAATCTTGGTCCATTGTTCCTTCGACTATATCAAACTACCTTCTTATGGGATGAGAGTGCACTAAGGCAATAAAAATTAAAGCTGATTCTCTTCTCATAAACTCTGCTTAAAAATTAGGTCTGGGCCTGGCATGATGGCTCAGGTTTGTAAACCCAGCACTTTGGGAGGCTGAGGCAGCAGATCACTTGAGCCCAGGAGTTCAAGACCAGCCTGGGCAACATGGCAAGACCCCATTTCTACAAAATTTTTAAAAAATTAGCCAGGTAGCCAGGTACGGTGGCTCATACCTGTAATCCCAGCACTTTGGGAGGCTGAGGCAGGCGGATCACTAGGTCAGGAGTTTGAGACCAGCCTGGCCAACATGGTGAAACCCCATCTATATTAAAAATACAAAAAATTAGCCAGGTGTGGTGGCAGGTGCCTGTAATCCCAGCTACTCCAGAGGCTGAGGCAGGAGATTCACTTGAACCCGGGAGGCAGAGGTTGCAGTGAGCCGAGATTGTGCCACTGTACTCCAGCCTGGGAGGCAGAGGTTGCAGTGAGCTGAGATTGTGCCACTGTACTCCAGCCTGGGAGACAGAGCGAGACTCCGTCTCAAAGAAAAAAAATATGAGCCAGGTATTGTAGCACGCCCCTGTGGTCTCAGCTGCTCAGGAGGCTGAGGCAAGAAGATTGTTTGAGCCCAGGGATTCGAGGCTGCAGTGAGCTATGATCCAGCCACTGCACTCCAGCCTGAGAGACAGAACCTGTCTCTAAACAATTAAAATTAAAAACTAAAAATTAGCTGAGATTGTGTTGGCTTGGCTGAATAGTGGAAATCATTTGAACTCTTCTCTCATAAGGGTTGCTGGCCCAAGGCCCAATGGCTGGCCCATCATGTAGGCACCTAGGTATTTAAAAGGTGAATGAATAAATGAGTGAATGACTTCTCTAATTAAAAACTATTCATCAAAAGAAATATACTCTGTTGTTAACATCAAGTATATAGACCTCAACTTTCTCTTAGATAAACTTTTACCCATGCTTTTTTTTTTTTTCGACCGACTCTTGCTCTGTTGCCCAGGCTGGAGTGCAGTGGTGAGAGCCCTGCTCACTGCAGCCTCCTCCCAGGTTCGAGGGGTTCTCCTGCCTTAGCCTCCCCAGTAGCTGGGATTACAGGCGCCCGCCACCACACCCAGCTAATTTTCATATTTTTAGTAGAGACAGGTTTTAACATGTTGGCCAGGCAGGTCTCTAACCCCTCACCTCAGGTGATCTACCCGCTACGGCCTCCCAAAGTGCTGGAATTACAGGCATGGGCCACCGCGCCCAGCCACCCCTGCTTAATATCACAGTAGGAGGCCTGCTCCAAGCCCTAGGTGTACAGTACAGAGCCATCACATTGGCCTATACATTTGTTAGCAGTGTGTACTCAGAAAAGGAAATAAAATTTGCTCCTGTTGAAGATGAGTTTGCTGCAGGAGTGTTGTCAGTCTGGCTCTGAGGGTTCACTTGGAACATGCCTTGTTTAAATTCATCTGATAGCATCAGTGTAGGCTTGTCCTCCATTTATGGGCATGAGGAGGATGCGTGACTAATGCTACTCAGCAGTTAGGAAATCAATGCTAAGGATTGTAGGCACGGTCTCCCCCATCACCCAAAAAAAAGGCTCTCCCTCGAAAAATTAAGTTACTTTACAGATGGGTGAGGAAGAGAAGGTAGTTTGGAGTGAACTTGATTGTACACTTTCTGCTTATACCTAACAGTATTTTGTTTTCTTTTGTGGCAGTTAGTTCACAGTGTAATTTTTGTTTGTGTCCCCAAGAATGGAAAAAAAAATAACGTAGAACATGATATTCCAGTAGGATTCAAGATATTTTTATTTCTCATCTTTCAGCTTTAGCTGCCCATATATAATGTCAGCTCTAAAATATTATCAGGAGACACAGACATTAGAGGAAACTATTTGCCTCTCTGCCTTTTGCATTTTTCTTCCATTTGTCATTTTTCTCCCTTCCAAATTAGGATTTATTCAGTTAATTTCATTTCGTCTTCCCCAGAGTCTCTTTCTTTTCTTAGCTCTACAGTGTTTAGATTTGGCAGAAGATTCCCATAGCCTGAATGGTTTTGGAGTAACATTAGTCTATAGAGGCCATATTCTATAAAATGCAATGCATTTTTTCCCACAAAATTCAGCTATGGCCACCATTTAAAGAATATGGCAGGTGGTCCCCATATCTAGATAACAATCAAATTATAGTGCTTTAGAAATTGGATTGAAAATAAGTGTCGAGCCTGGTGCAGTGGCTCATGCTTGTAATCTTGGCCCTTTGGAAGGCTGAGGCAGGAGGATCACTTGAGCCCAGGAGTTCGAGACCAGGCTGGGCAATATAGTGAGACTCTATCTCTCTAAAAAATAAAATTCTAGCTAGGCATGGTGGCATGCACCTGTAGACCCAACTACATAGGAAGCTGAGGGTGGAGGATGGCTTGAGCCAGGAGGTTGAGGCTGCAGTGAGCCATAATCACACCACTGCACTCCAGCCTGGGTGACAGAGCAAAACCCTGTCCCAAAAAATAAAAAGAAAATAGAAAAGAACCATCACCATCCGGGCGCGGTGGCTCACACTTGTAATCCCAGCACTTTAGGAGGCCAAGGCAGTCAGACCACCTAAGGTCGGGAGTTCGAGACCTGCCTGATCAACATGGAGAAACCCTGTCTCTACTAAAAATACAAAAATATTAGCTGGGAGTGGTGGCGCATGCCTGTAATCCCAGCTACTTGGGAGGCTGAGGCAGGAGAATCGCTTGAACCTGGGAGGCAGAGGTTACGGTGAGCTGAGGCCGTGCCATTGCACTCCAGCCTGGGCAACAAGAGCAAAAGTTCGTCAAGAAAGAAAGAAGGAGAGAGAGAGAGAGAGGGAGGGAGAGAGAGAGAGAGAGAGAAAGAGAAAGAAAGAAAGAAAGAAAGAAAGAAAGAAAGAAAGGAAAGAAAGAAGAAAGAAAGAAAGAGAAACGATCATCATAATCTAATTCTGAACTCTTAGCCCCTATTTTATAAAATCTAGCTGGTAGCTAGGTAAAAAAAAAATTGGTACCCTCTTTCTCGCATTGAAGTGATTTATTGTAATAAAACTAGAATACCACTCAATTTTCACAGACAATACGATCAGGTGACAACTGACCTTAGAGTATTTCCTCAAAGGAGATCAGAAAAAATGTTATTAAATAAAAGATTATTTTCTGGCTAATTACAGTACAGAAGAAAGATATTACCACTAGGATGTATCCTAAACAAGCTGTCTAAAATTAATTCACAGGCCGGGTGCGGTGGCTCACACCTGTAATCCCAGCACTTTGAGAGGCTGAGGTGGGCAGATCACGAGGTCAGGAGATTGAGACCATCCTGGCCAATGTGGTGAAACCCCATCTCTATTAAGAATACAAAAATTAGCTGAGCATGGTGGCGTACGCCTGTAGTCCCAGCTACTCGGGAAGCTGAGGCAGGAGAATCGCTTAAACCTGGGAGGGGGAGGTTGCAGTGAGCCGAGATCGTGCCATTGCACTCCAGCCTGGGCAACAGAGTGAGACTCTGCCTCAAAAAAAAAAAAAAAAAAAAAAAAAAAAGAAAAATTCACACTGCTTAACACCACACTTTTATCCCACCTTTAGGTAAGTTTCAAAGCTCATTAAAAATCTCAGTTATCTTTCTCTTTGAAACGGTTGCTAAGCCTGGTGACCTGGCCAAATTCTACTTTGAGAAATTACCTTCAAATGTTCATTTTCTTGGGTTTAATGTCCAAATTCAGCCTCTAGTCAAGTCTTTCTAAAATTGAAAGGCAGGAAATAATCAGATAAATAATGTCATTATGTGTCATTAGTTATAATACTTTCATTTGGCCTCCAAACATTCTAATACCCTTAACTCACTTATCATGAGTACCGACTTTTAATGAAGTAAAATGTTGATATTGTACTCATTTTGTATATGAAGCTGTTGGGTTCTTTGATCAAAGTAGCCAGTGATTGAATACTCTATTTGGTAGCAAATGAATTGAACTGCAAATCAATAATTAAAGCCATTGAGGGAAAAATTTAAATTTAGCCTCTTATTTCAGGCCCCTCTCTGTGGGAATACCTACCTTAGATGGAGTCTGACACAAACAAGCTTTATATTTAAGAAAAATAATGTTATTTGAGTGGCAGGAATGTAAGAGATGAATGTAGCTAAGTGATTGGTTGACCAATAGTCATATTTACTCACCTGCTAGGCACTTACTTATATTAACTCCATTAATCTTCACAATATTCCTATGAAGTGGGTATCATTATAGTCATGCCTGCTATACAACTCATGAAAGTGAGGCACAGAAAGGTTAAGAGACTTGCCCGAAGTCACACAGCTAGTAAATGAGAAGGCCAGAAAGGCCAGTTTCATAGCCCACACTCTTAACCTCTGCACCACAGGATCTCTTCTATTTCACTTTACTTCCTCTGATTAAAAAAAGAAAAGAAAAAAAAGCCTCAAGGCCCACTTAGGAAATGGAAGGTAAAAATAAAACAAACAAAATACTCTCAATTCCTTAACTTCCTCATTCTGCCACTAGAAACTACAGAGATATCCTATCTGGTAAATCATGACACTTCTATCTCCCAAGCAATAAATAAGGCCTTCCCTTAGGCACAGATTTGATTCCTAGTGCTTAGGCTTGTGGCTTTGTGCACTGTAGGGGCTCAATAAATGAGTTAAATGAGCCTCCAAATTACAACTCCAAATTAATGTTAGGACTTCATTTCCAGAACAGTAATGCTACTAGAGAAGTAGCCAGTAGCCATTCATTCACTCACCACTCCTTCAACTTAGATATTTCAGGCATACAACTAGTGGAGGTTTTATAAAGCTTATAGGGATAGAGTTACTTAAACCAACTCAGTAAACAAAAAACTCATAGAAATGCTAACAGTTTTTGTTGAACACAGGGTGATAAACAAAATAAAGCCAAGCCTGTGCGTGTGTGTGTGTGTGTGTGTTGTCTCTTGTGTTTTTGTATTTTTTTTAAAAAAACTGCCTATATTTAATGTATACAATTTGCTGAGTTTGGATATATGCATATACTTGTAAGCCAATGTTTTTGTTTTTGTTTTTTGGGGGTTTTTTTTGAGACGGAGTGTCACTCTGTTGCCCAGGCTGGAGTGCAGTGGCGCGATCTCGGCTCACTGCAAGCTCTGCCTCCCGCATTCACGCCATTCTCCTGCCTCAGCCTCCCGAGCAGCTGGGACTACAGGCGCCCGCCACCACGCCTGGCTAATTTTTTGTATTTTTAGTAAAGACGGGTTTTCACCGTGTTAGCCAGGATGATCTCAATCTCCTGACCTCGTGATCCACTCACCTCGGCCTCCCAAAATGCTGGGATTACAGGCATGAGCCACCGCACCCGGCGCCAGTGTGTTTTTAAAGGTGTTCTGAGAATGTCTAGCATTCTTTTTATTAACGTTCTAATTAGATTCAGAGAGTAGCTAAGGGATACTGTACCCCAAAAGTAACCTGATGCTATATTTAGCTTTGGTTGTCTGCAAAGCAATTTGCCATAAAAGTCTTACTCTAGGATGAGATGTACCAAAATCTTTGACAATAACTCATCTATTTCTTCATTTATATTCTTGTGAAAAACTTTTTTTTAGGACTTGCTCATTTAAAATTTATCACCAATGAGGGTGCTTATATTTCAGGGAAAGGCCCTGAATAGAAAACCACTATCCTAGCTTCCCATTCAGGTTTTCTTGTCTAACTCAGGTGGCATTTTATATCTGTCAACATCTCATAATTAGTCTTTAAATAGCTCCTGTTTTGTGTGTTTTTTTGTAATGTTCACTGAGGAACTCATTGTACTTGATTTTATTCAGTGTCTCTCACTTGCAAATAATATTTCCCTTCAAAAGTTCACAGTCTGGTCTTTTCCTTCTTATTTTTCACTTTATTTTCTCTCCTCCTACTAGTGAGATGGTGATTCTTGATTTGCTTTATTTGAGTTATTTATATCTTCCGGCCTCTGTTTAATATCAAGTCTGGCGTGGCATTCTTTTCCTACTGAATGATGCCCAAATTAAGTTAAGAAGCAATTCCTAAGAAAGCTGGCCTGTGATTCTTCATGGTCTTCTGGTATCCCAAGCACTGGACAGTCTGTTTAATTTTGAAAGTTGATGTAACTAGCTAAGTTAATAGTTTATGTCAGGTTTGATTCAAGAGTTGCTTTCCAGAGTAACTCTGTTCCAAAACTAGATGAGGAGATAGAATAGGGAAGGAAGAATTAAAGCAGTCTAGGTAGAGGTGGCTCACACCTGTAATCCCAGCACTTTGGGAGGCTAAGGCGGGCAATTGCTTGAGTCCAGGAGTTCAAGACCAGCCTGGGCAACATTGAAAAACCTTGCCTCTACCAAAAATACAAAAATTAGCCGGGCTTGGTGGTGCATGCCTTGTAGATCCAGCTACTTAGGAGGCTGAGGTGGGAGGATGGCTTGAGCCCAGGAGGCAGAGGTTTCAGTGAGCTGAGATCATGCCACTGCACACCAACCTGGGCTACAGGGCCAGATCGTGTCTCAATAAATAAATAAATAAAGTTAATGAGGCAATTTGCTCTCTTGGTTAAGTTCTATTCATTTGGCATCAACCAATAGAATATAAGGCCCTTCATGGTAGCAGGTACCTGTTATCCCAGCTACTCAGGAGGCTGAGGCAGAAGAATCGCTTGAATCCGGGAGGCAGAGGTTGCAGTGAGCTGAGATGGGCCGCTGCACTCCAGCCTGGGCAACAGAGCTAGACTCTGTCTCAAAAAAAAAAAAAAAAAAAAAAAAAAAAAAAAGACTATAAGGCCCTTAACTGGCTCTCAATGATGGGGCTCCAAGAGAGAACAGTCAGTGGAGTATAATAACAAGGGGTCCTGATGCCAACTTAACTACTCCCACCATTAGCATCACCCGCATCAAAGAAAAAGAGCTTTTCTGCTTTTACCTTCTATCCGGTCTTTTTGTTAGGATTCTGGTTGCTGGTGATAGAAATCCAATTCAAAGTAGCTTAATGTTACTGTATATTTTCAGTATGCTCTTCCGGCTAGCTAGATCCAGGGGCTCAAACAATGGCATCCTCTCCATCTCTTAGTTCTGCCTATCTTTGCCTTTCTTTGTGTTTTGACCTATTTTCTCCTCCTATATATAGTCCCAACTTCACTTTCTACCAGTACTGTGATCCCAAAGCTGGACAATCTGTCCAAGTAGCAAGGTCTCTCTGATTGGACCAGGAGTCACATGGTCATCCTGAACCACTGGCTGCAACCAGGGTGAAGAGGTTCTCTTATTGGCCAGAACCAAATCATGGGCCCACCCTTGGTCAGGAAGACAGCTCTCTTACTTCAAGGGGTAGGACATAAAATAGTATATTGGGCAACCAAATCCACAACTACTCAAAGAGCCTCCAGCTAGGGAGCGTGGGTTTAACTAAACAAGAACAACATTCTTGAGTGGGGTAGGAGGAATGGGTGAGGGAATGATTTTTCTTTGGTGGTGGCAGTCAATTTATAAAGAACAGATACCTGGCCGGGCCAGGTGGTTCACGCCTGTGTAATCCCAACTCTTTGGGAGGCCACGGCGGGCAGATCTCCTGAGGTCAGGAGTTCGAGACCAGCCTGACCAACATGGTGAAACGCCGTCTCTACTAAAAATACTAAAATTAGCCGGGTGTGGTGGCACATGCCTATAGTCCCAGCTACTCGGAAGGCTGAGGCAGGAGAATCGCCTGAACCCAGGAGATGAAAGTTGCAGTGAGCGGAGATCGCACCACTGCACTCCAGCCTGGGAGACAGAGCAAGACTCTGTCTCAAAAAACAAACAGACTGGGCATGGTGGCTCACGCCTGTAATCCCAGCATTTTGGGAGGCTGAGGAGGGCGGATCACACGGTCAGGAGATGGAGACCATCCCATACTGTCTAACATAGTGAAACCCCATCTCTACTAAAAATACAAAAAAATTAGCTGGCTGTGGTGGCGGGCACCTGTAGTCTCAACTACTTGGGAAGCTGAGGCAGGAAAATCACTTGAACCCGGGAGGTGGAGATTGCAGTGGGCTGAGATCATGCCACTGCACTCCAGCCTGGGCAACAGAGCGAGACTCTGTCTCAAAAACAAACAAACAAACCCAGAAAGCAGAAACCTCTGAGGGTAATATTTCCACAGGTTCAAACACAGCCATAGGTGCTTCCACAGATGCCCTGGGCTCCTTTGAAGTTAAGCTTGTGCCAACAGCCTGCTCACCTCAACAGAATGATAGACCAGAGTAATAGAGGGTGCAGCACCACAAAGTCCCTGGATCTCCCTCATTTTCTTCCTTCCTTTATCCTTCCCTCCTTCTTAACTGTGGCAGATTTTTTACAAAAATTGTCACAATCATTACGCTGTCAATATCCATGCTTTTGGTTGGCCTCTCCCTCACTAACCCTGAGCTCGGCCCTGTGACTTGCTTTGGACAGTGGTACAATAGCAAATGTGACACAAGCAGAGACTTGTAAAGGGCTTTTTGCATCAGGGCCCACCCTTTCTTGCTGCTCTCTGGAAACCTATGATGGCCATGTGAAGAAGCCTGGACGGGTTTATTGAAGAATGAGAGACTTCATGGAGTAGAATCAAGTTGCTCAAGCTGAGGCCCTGGACCAGTGGCCTGCCAACTGAAAGACTGTGCATGAGACCGTTCTAGACCATCCAGCCCCAGGTGAGCTCATCTAGACCAAAATAACTGCCCAGTCAACCCACTGTTTTAAGGCCACTAAAGTTGTGGAGTAGTTTGTTTTACAATAAAAGCTAACTGATAGACCCATTCTCTTCTTCAACAACTTCCCATAAGTCCTTGAATAGAGCAATGGCTCCTGCACTGAGAGAAGTATCTGTGGTTGAAGCTCTTGCTCCAACTGAAAGATGTTCACTTTCAGCTGGGTGTGGTGGCTCACACCTGTAATCCCAGCACTTTGGGAGGCCGAGGCAGGCAGATCACCTGAGATCGGGAGTTCGAGACTAGCCTGACCAACATGAAGAAACACCGTCTCTACAAAAATACAAAATTAGCTGGGTGTGGTGGTGCATGCCTGTAATCCCAGCTACTTGGGAGGCTGAGGCAGGAGAATCGCTTGAACCCGGGAGGTGGAGTTTGCAGTGAGCCGAGATCACACCATTGCACTCCAGCCTGGGCAACAGGAGTGAAACTCTGTCTCAAAATGAAAAGAAAAAAAGAAAAATATTCACTTTTGCCCAAGATCGCATATCCAGGCATATTCTTAAGACATCGCAGAGTCCATGAGCCTTGATGTACCACAACTACTCACCACTGGTTCGTTGGCTGATATTCTTTGGAGTTCTTCCTCCAGAAGGGGGCAGGAAATCCAAGATGGGAAGGATGAGAATAATAAAAAGTTGGAACCTCTGAGGGCACCAGATTACAAGCAGTTAAGGCAGGAGTCATTATTTATTATTTATTTATTTATTTATTTTATTTATTTATTTTGAGACAGAATCTCTCTCTGTCACCCAGGCATCATGCAGTGGCGTAATCTCAGCTCACCGCAACCTCTGCCTCCCAGGTTCAAGCGATTCTCCTGCCTCAGCCTCCTGAGTTGCTGGAACTACAGGCATGCACCACCACGCCCAGCTAATTTTTGTATTTTTAGTAGAGACAGGGTTTCACCACGTTGGACAGGCTGGTCTTGAATTCCTGACCTCATGATCCGCCCCCCTCGGCCTACTAAAATGCTGGGATTACAGGCCTGAGCCACCGCGCCCGACCCTATTTATTTATTTTTGAGACAGGGTCTCACTCTGTCGCCCAGGTTGAAGGCAGGAGTTCTTGAGGCCATGAGCAAGAGCTGTAACTTGATATCAGATGATCTAGATTCTTATTTCCCTCTCTGCTTATTTTCCAGAAATCTTTGGTAAAGTCTTGTTGGAATGTTCCAAATTGCTCTCAGCTGGTCCACAAGGTAGTAAAGGAAAAGTCTTTGTCCATGCTCAAGTTCAAGTTTCTAAGGAGAACAGCACCCCTCTCATGCTGTCAGGTTGATGGCAGAGGAAGATACTCTCTCTAGTCCACCTAATAAATTGCTTAGGAATAAACACTTAGGAATCAGCTCCTACTCAGGTATGCTTGGCAGAGTTCTCGGTGAGAGTCCATTGTCTATATGTCATGGCTAAGGAGGCGGGCATGAGTTGGGATAAAACTCATGTTTCTTTCCAATTTGAAAAAGACACTGAGGTCATCCCTCAGAAGAGTTCAATGAGGCCATTTCTCTCGAACGGGGGAAGAAGGAAGGAAGCCGATATTCCTGGAGGTCTCAGAACAATATTTTAGATCTTGGCCTCCAGACTTACTAGGCAGCAGTCCAGTGGAGTAACTGCAGTGAAGTTAGATTATTTGAGATCCAAGAAGCCTGTAATAAGGGAACGGAGAGCTCAAGACACTTAGATCTCAATAGAAGCTGACATCTGGGTCAGGAAGAGGAAAGAATCAAGACTAATAGGAGAGGGAGGGAAATTCTTTACAAATATCTGGTATGCAGCCATCTGGAAGGGGTTCTGGGAACCAACTATATTGCATATCAATATAAACCCAGCCTCACAGGAGGAGCCCTCAGTTTTTTTCACTAGGGACCCAAGCCACTCTTCGCTGCTTTGGAAAGATTGACTATATTATAATCTATGCCAGAGGACTATATATACATACATACACACACACACACACACACACACACACACACATATATGTTTTTGTTTGTTTGTTTGTTTTTTGAGACAGAGTCCAGCCTGGAATGCAGTGGCATGATCTTGGCTCACTGCAACCTCCGTCTCCTGGATTTAAGCAATTCTTCCTGCCTCAGCCTCCCGAGTAGCTGGGATTACAGGCGCCCGCCACCACACTCAGCTAATTTTTGTGTTTTTAGTAGAGATGGGGTTTCGCCTTGTTGGCCAGGCTGGTCTTGAACTCCTGACCTCAGGTTATCCACCCGCCTCGACCTCCCAAAGTGCTGGGATTACAGGCATGAGCCACCGCACCCAGCCCAAGAAACCTATATTAATTACTCATTTTTAAAAAGATTTCAATGACAGCCAGCTTGAACTACGAGAATTCTTTCTCATGTAATGAACTCTCAGGAAAGACAGGGATGAACAGCATCTCAAACAGGTCAGAACTCTTTCTGTCTTCCATTTTTTACTTCTCTGTGAGTATTAGCTTCTTTTTCTCAGGTTGGCTTCTTCACAAAGCTGTAACCACAGCAGCCAGCAGCTCCTGGCTCACCTCTTCCTTGGCCACCAGAGAAGGATGGACTCTTCCCCCAATAAACTGTAGGCGGGGGGAAACTGGGGAAAGGCTCTGATTGACTTACTTGGGTCATATGCCCATATCCACCCAAACACTGGTCAGGAGGTGAAGTACTTTCATTGATTCTTCTTGGGTCACGCGCCCAGCTTCAGAGCCCTCCTAAAATCATACCCCTGGAGGCAGGGAAGAGAGACTCTCCTTCAGAGAAGGGAGGGATTACTCTCTGAAGATAGAAATAAAACAATGTGGCCAGGCGTGGTGGCTCATGCCTGCAATCCAGCACTTTGGGAGGCCGAGGCGGGCGGATCATGAGGTCAGGAGATCGAGACCATCCTGGCTAACACTGTGAAACCCCGTCTCTACTAAAAATACAAAAAATTGTGAGCCGAAATTGCACCACTGCACTCCAGCCTGGGTGACAGAGTAAGACTCCGTCTCAAAAAAAAAAAAAAAAAAAAAAAGAAATAAAACAATGCTAAGTTCTGATTTTCTTACCAGGTTCTGCTGCTTCCCAGTGGACCACACACTAAGGAGTAAGATGGAAAATAATAGAGAAAAACCTAAAATAATGGCATAATAACAAGTTCTGAGCAATGTCATTCTCTTTCTTTCACTATCACCCTATTTTACTTTTTCCCTAGATTACTTTTCTGAGCAATGTCATTCTCTTTTTTCACTTTATCACCCCATTTTACTTTTCCCCTAGATGTGTAATAAAAATTGTGAAAAGAAGAATGAAAATAAAAAGGAATAAATAATTTTTTGAAACCAGCAGTATTAAAGATAACCCAGTCATTGTATTAGGCCTAAATACATAAATAAAGCAGCAGAGATGCAGTTGAATGTAGAAAAAATGACATCATCAACATTTAGGGAAAAAATAAATAAATGTAGAAAAATATTTTTAAAAAACTTTTCTAAGGAGTGGAAGGGGGTACAAGAAGCCCTTAAAATAAATTCTTTCCAGTTTTAGGGGAGCTTATTAATATCACATTAACATTTAGTTGAGTTGTTTTTTGCTGACATTGGAACTGGAGCTCTGTATCGTATTAGCTACTGAATTTTACTGCATAAGTCCCTCCCCTTGATTAGCTGAAGGGAGTGAGAATCCTTTCTAAGTTTGTTTCCATTCTGTTTGGACTGCATTAAGACATCAGTCCATAATTACACAGAACCAAGGGAAAAGCCTATAAAATCAGATCAACTACCGTGTTGTTAGTTTATTCCGTTAACCATCTAAATTCAATTATTTTTAATGAAACGTATTGTGATATAACTTATATATAATAAAACGCTCCTGTTAAATGTACACTATCAGTTTTGACAAATGCATATGATCATGTGACCACCATCACAATCATGGTAGAGAACAACCCCATTACCCCCCAAAATTTCCTGTAATCCTTCCTAGTTAATCTTTCTCTCACCGTCAGCCTGGTCTGCTTTCTGTTACTATAGATTAGATTTGTCTGTTCTAGAGTTTCATACAAATGTAATCACGTCGTATGTACTCTTGTGTCAGTTTCTTTCATTCAGCATAATGGATTTGTGATCCCCCATGTCACCATGGGTATCAGCAGATCATTCCTCTTTACTGCTAAGTAGTATTCCGTTGTATGGATATCCTACAATTTGTTTAAATTTGTTGATCCATTTGTGTATTGTTGGACATTTGGCTTGTTTCCAGTTTGGGGACTATTATGTATACAGTTGGTATGTACATACATATACAAGTCTTTGGACATATATTTTCATATACCTTGGATAAATAATTAGGATTGGAATGGTTAGATCACATGGTAAGTGTATATTTAAAGAAAACTGCCAAGCTGTTTTCTAAAATTGTTGTGTCATTTCACATTCCCACCAGCAATATATGAGTTGCATTTGCTTCACATCCTGGCCAACGCTTGGTATGATCAGTTTTTAAAATTTTGACCATTCTAGTGGATACGTAGTGGTATCTCACTGTGGTTTATTTTTATTTATGTATTTATTTTTTGTTTTGTTTTGAGACAGTCTCACTCTGTCACCAGGCTGGAGTGCAGTGGCGCGATCTCAGCTCACTGCAACCTCCACCTCCAGGGTTCAAGTGATTCTCCTGCCTCAGCCTCCCAAGTAGCTGGTACTACAGGCATGCGCCACTATGCCCAGCTATTTTTGTATTTTTAGTAGAGATGGGGTTTCACCATGCTGGCCAGAATGGTCTCCATCTCTTGATCTCCTGATCCACCTGCCTCAGGCTCCCAAAGTGCTGGGATCACAGGCATGAGCCACCGTGCCTGGCCTATTTATTTATTTATATTTATTTTATTTACTTGGTTTTTGTTTGTTTGTTTTGGGTTTTTTTTTTCTTAAACAGAGTCTTCCTCTGTCTCCCAGGCTGGAGTTCAGTGGCGCTATCTCAGCTCACTACAACCTCCACCTCCCAGGTTCAAGCAATTCTCATGTCTCAGCCAACCAAGTAGCTGGAATAACAGGTGCACACCATGGCTGGCTAATTTTTCTTTCTTTCTTTCTTTTTTTTTTTTTTTTTTTTTTTTGAGCTGGAGTCTTGCTCCGTTGCCCAGGCTGGAATGCAAGGGCGCCATCTCGGCTCACTGAAAGCTCTGCCTCCCGGGTTCACGCCATTCTCCCGCCTTAGCCTCCCGAGTAGCTGGGACTACAGGCACGTGCCGCCACACTCGGCTAATTTTTTGTATTTTTAATAGAGACGGGGTTTCACCGTGTTAGCCAGGGTGGTCTCGATCTCCTGACCTCGTGATCTGCCCCCCTCGGCCTCCCAAAGTGCTGGAATTACAGGCGTGAGCCACTGTGCCTGGCCAATTTTTCTATTTTTAGTAGAGACGGGGTTTCACCATGTTGGTCAGGCTGGTTTCAAACTCCTAACCTCATGTGATCCACCTGCCTCGGCCTCCCAAACTGCTGGGATTACAGGCATGAGCCACCGCGCCAGCCCTCATTGTGGTTTTAATTTGCATTTTTCTGATGACTAATGGTGTTGAGCATCTTTTGATGTGCTTACTGGCCATCCATATACCTTTTCTGTTCCTCGTTATTGCCACTCTTCCACATATAGGCTTGTGATGGTTAATATTGTGTGTCAACTTGATTGGATCGAAGGATGCAAAGTATTGTGCCTGGGTGTGTCTGTGAGGATGTTGCCAAAGGACATAAACAATTGAGTCAGTGGACTGGGAGAGGCAGACTTACCCTCAGTCTGGGTGGGCACCAGCTAATCAGCTGCCAGCATAAAAGCAAGCATGGAAAGAGCAGACTTCCTGAGTCTTCTGGACTCCATCTTTCTTCCATGCTGGATGCTTCCTGCCCTTTAACATCAGACTCCAAGTTCTTCAGCTTTTAGACTCTTGGACTTACACCAGTGATTTGCCAGGGGCTATTGGGCCTTTGGCCAAAGACTGAAAGCTGTGCTATCAGCTTCCCTACTTTTGAGGTTTTGGGATTTGGACTGGCTTCCTGGCTCCTCAGCTTGCAGACGGCCTATTGTGGGACTTCACCTTGTGATCCTGTGAGTCAATTCTCCTAATAAACTCCCCATTCATACGTTCATCTATCCTATTAGTTCTGTCCCTTTAGAGAACCCTGACTAATACAAGGCTCTCATTATCTCCTGTCTAAAATGTAAAATTCTAATTCATCTCCAGCATAAACCAAGGTCTGATTGTGTCCTAGCCCTACTTATAAGCCTTCCCTGGAGCCCTATTTTCTCAGAATAAAGTCCACACTTCTTAGAATGACATTCAAGGCTTTTACCAAATTAGCCACAAAAGACTAAAAGACCAAAAGACCAATTTCCTTTAAGTGGGGTAATCTGGGCAGGGTAATTTTTCTTCCTCACCTTTTCTGCTTGACCCCACATCCTCCACACATGCACATTGGACTGTTGACTCTTCCCTAATTTTCTCACACATGCTCATGGGGTTGTGGCTTTGCTCATGCTGTTTATCCTACCTGGTTGCCCTTTGATCTTTTCTACATGACGGCATGTTCATTCTTTAAGGCTCAGCTCATAGGTCTGCTCTTCTGTGAAGCCGTCTCAACCTCATGAAGTAGAATCAACAACTATTTGTGCTCTTTGGTAGCTCTTAGTCTGTAATGCTCACAAGCTCCTCACCACAGACTACTTACTGTATTAGCTGGTTGAGGGGCTCCTGTCTCTCTTTGCTGGAGCTTAACTCCTTAAGAACAACGGTGGTATCTTACTCTTTTTACATCCTGAGGGCCTCACATTAACTCCTGCTTAGTAACATGGTTGACTGAATGTGTGGAAGAATAACTGAGGAAATAAATGAAAAGAAATCTGCCTTGGCCGGGCATGGTGGCTCACGCCTGTAATCACAACACTTTGGGAGGCTGAGGTGGGTGGGTCACCTGAGGTCAGTAGTTCGAGACCAGCCTGGCCAACATGGTAAAACCCCGTCTCTACTAAAAATACAAAATTAGCTGGGTGTGGTGGCGCAAGCTTGTGATCCTAGCTACCTGGTATGTTGAGGCAGGAGAATCGCTTGAACCCAGGAGGCGGAGGTTGCAGCGAGCTGAGATTTCGCCACTGCACTCCAGCTTGGGCGACTCCGTCTCAAAAAAAAAAAAAAGAAAGAAAGAAATCTGCCTTTAAGCAAATGGTTTACCCTCTCTAGACCTCCATTTCCTTATCTGTAATTTGAGAGAGCTAGAATCATTGATTTATAATACCTTTACAGTTCTTTTCTTTTCTTTTTTTTTTCTTTTTCTTTTTTTTGAGACAGGATCTTGCCCTGTCACCCAGACTGTAGTCATAGCTCTGCAGACTCCAGCTCCTGGCTCAAGCAATCCTCCCACCTCAGCCTCCCGAGTAGCTGGGACTGCAAGTGTGCACCACCACATCCAGCTAATTTTTAAATTTTTTTTTGTTTTTTATAGAGACAGGGTCTCTGCTTTGTTGCCCACCCTGGACTTGAACTCTTAGCCTCAAGTGATCCTCCTGCCTCAGCCACTCAAAGTGCTGGGATTATAGGCGTGAGCCACCATACCCAGCCTCTTTCCAGTTCTAATATATTTGATTTATTTTATTTTGTTTCTAATGTATTTTAAATTCTATGTTTATATTTTCAAATCCAGTAAAACAGTATATTTGAATGTATCCAAAAACTGGATGATGGATCAAATGTGCTAATTAGATAATGCTGGATTATCAGTGACACTTTGAGGGGCCACATCTTATTCCCTGGGAAATATAAGATGAAAATAGTGGGACCTTCCTCAGTTAACTTTGCTAGCAGATGTGATCGTGAAGAATTATGATTTGTCACTATTTTTAGTCTGAATCTACAATGCAGCAGCAACAGCACATTCTCACACATTCCTATAAGTTTATGCCTTTATATATGTCTATATATTGTGGTTTTTTTCTTCGTTTATTGTCTGGGGGAAGACAAAAGGAAGAAGAATGATAATACTTAGAAGCTGTAATCTACCATTTAGTTTTATAAGGAATTGTTACTTAAATTGTAATTTATAGTATTTATAATGGAAAAAAGTTGTTTACTCAAGTATATCAAGTTTAAAATATATAATGAAGGCCGGGCACAGTGGCTCACGCCTGTAATCCTAGCATTTTGGGAGGCCAAGGCGAGTTCAAGACCAGCCTGGCCAACAGAGTGAAACCCCATCTCTATTAAAAATCCAAAAATTAGCCAGGCGTGGTGGTGGGCACCTGTAGTCCCAGCTACTCGGGAGGATGAGGCGGGAGAATCACTTGAACCCAGGAGGCGGAGGTTGTAGTGGTCTGAGATCTCACAACTGCACTCCAGCCTGGGCGACAGAGTGAGACTCTGTCTCAAATAAATAAATAAATAAATAAATAATAAAATATATGATGAAGACTTATTTTCATATAAAATATAACAAATATTCCATTTTATTTTTAAATTATGCAAACATTCTATAATTTTTTTTGTCCTATAAATCCAGGAGTTTCTTTTCTACATGATTATCCTGGATAAAGTTAGACATTGAGGCAGTCTGTGATAGCTTCTTAACTTCTTTCCAGTATTATAGCTTCTGTTAGCTGGCAACAACCAGAGCCAAATCTACAATTTGGATTTCAGATTTAGTAAGTGGTAAATCATTTGTAAGACCCAAGACACACAAAGCTGCAGCAGTGACAATATCCTCCCCAAGCATTTCAGAAGGATCACAAGCACACTGCCAACATTTATTAATTGCTCTATAAAAAGACACACATGAAGGCATGAGCCCCAAAAGGTCTGACAATGTCAAAACATCACTGGGATTACTGTTAACTGTCATTTAATTCTGAAGCAAAAGCTGCTCATGGAATTATAGAACAATTAATAAACCTCCAGGTCTCTTTCATATATTTAAAGAGTTTTTGTCCAAATTATGGATTTTCTTCCTCCTCTGACAGTTTGAATGCTGCATTGAATTAACCTATTCTGCATGTCTCTTTCCCATATGAATATTGTTGCCCAATAGTCCTGCCATTTAGAATCCAGGATCTAGAGATCCTCTGTGGGTGTCTTTCACATCTGCGAAATGGAGGTAACACTCTTGCAAAAGAGTCTACCTAGCAACGCTCCTGTAAAAACTAAAAACAGGTTTATTAATTTACTTTTTTTTTTTTTGAGCCAGGTGGTCTTATTATGTTGTCTAAGCTGGTCTCAAACTCTTGGCCTCAAGCGATCCTCCCATCTCAGCCTCCTGAGTACCTGGATTATAGGCAGGAGCCACAGAACCTCTCTTAATTTTTTTTTAACTCTGTAGTATCCCCAAGAAAGTCAAGTACGTGAAAACCTCCCAAACAGATGATGAGTGATTATATTTTTAAGGATTCTTACTATATAGCTATTAATCACACCACAGATACAAATGGTAATCACAGATACAAATGGTATGTATCTGAAGATTATGTGAAGATATGATGACATAGGAAATGCTCTTAATGTATTATGAAATGAGAAAACCAGGCTACCAAACTGTAAGAATGGAATGACGACAATTTTTAGAAACCACAGTGTGTGCACACATAGATGGATGTGTGTGTGAATGTATGTGTGTATATATACATATATAGAATGCAGGGGATGCACCAACACGTTCATTAAAATGATCTCTGACCAGTGGGATTACTGGTGACTCTTCTTTTATTTACTTTTCTATAGTTTCCTAATTTTCTACAATGAACACCTATTATTTTGTAATAAGTTAATTTTCAAAAGATATTTTTAAAGAATCCATTATAGGCTTCTTTTAAATAGCTAGATACTCTGTACATTTAAAATATGATTTTTGGCCAGGCACAGTGGCTCACTCCTGTAATCCCAGCACTTTGGGAGGCCGAGGCGGGCGGATCACCTGAGGTCAGGAGTTCAAGACCAGCCTGGCCAACATGGTGAAACCCCGTCTCTACAAAAAATACAAAAACTAGCTGGGCATGATGGTGGGTGCCTGTAATTCCAGCTACTTGGGAGGCTCTGAGGCAGGAGAATCTGTTGAATCAGGAAGGCGGGGGTTGCAGTGAGCCAAGATCACGCCACTACACTCCAGCCTGGGCGACAGAACAAGACTCTTTCTCTCTCTCTCTGTCTCTCAATATATATATATGTGTGCGTGTGTGTGTGTGTGTGTGTGTGTGATTTTTATTATCACAACTACTATGCAAAGTGAGACATACCTACCTAACTTATTGATTCATGTTGGAAACACCCCCACCAATCTAGAGATCTGAAAGCCAGTAATTTTCACTATCTAAAAGACAACTGAGAACCAATAAATTAGCAAAAAAGGAATCTGTGAGAAAAATAACAAATATGGGTGAGGATTTAGAGAAATTGGAGACCTTATGCACTGTTGGTGGGAATATAAAACAGTGCAGCCACTATAGAAAACAGTATGGCAGCTCCTAAAAAAAAATTATAAATAGAATTACCAAGTGATTCTGCAATTCCACTTCTGAGTGTATACCCAAAAGGACTGAAATCAGGGTCTTACAGAGATATCTGCACACTCATTTTCATAGCAGCATTATTCACAAAAGCCAAAACCCAAGTATTCCTTGATGGATGAATGGACAAAGAAAATGTGGTCTATTAATACAATGGAATATTCTTCAGTCTTAAAATAGAAGGAAATTCTGACACGTGCTACAATATGCATGAATTTTTAGAACAGTATGTTAAATGAAATAAGCCAGTCACAAAAAGTCAAAAACTGTATGATTCTACTTACATGAGGTACATACAGTTGTCAAATTCATAGAGACATAAAGTAGAATGGTGATTGGCAGGGACTCCGGGGAGAAGAGAATAGAAAGGTGTTTAATGGGCATGGGGTTTCAGTTTTGCAAGATGAAAGTTCCAGAGGTGGATGGCGGTGACTATTGCACAACAATGTGAACTGTCTTAATGCCACTGAACTGTATACTTAAAAATGGTCAAGATTGGCCAGGTGCAGTGGCTCACGACTGTAATTCCAGCACTTTGGGAGGCCGAGGTGGGTGGACCACTTGAGGTCAGGAGTTCGAGACCAGCCTGGACAACATGGTGAAACCCCGTCTCTACTAAAAATACAAAATTTGGCTGGGCATGGTGGCTCACGCCTCTAATCTCAGCACTTTGGGAAGCCAAGGCAGGTGGATCACTTGAGGTCAGGAGTTCAAGACCAGCTTGGTCAACATGATGAAACCCCATCTCTACTAAAAAAATACAAAAATTAGCTGGCTGTGGTGGCGTGCGCCTGTAGTCCCAGCTACTTGGGAGGCTGAGGCAGGAGAATTGCTTGAACCTGGGAGGTGGAGGTTACAGTGAGCCAAGACTGCAGAGATCACGCCACTGTACTGCAGCCTGGGAGACAGAGTCTCTGTCTCAAAAAAAAAAAAAAAAATCAAGATAGTAAATTTTATGTCATGTGTATTTTGCCACAATTTAAAAGAATGATAATTTTAAAAAAGCATTTGAATGGTTTTAAAAATCGATGTACAAGAGCTCAGCCTTGACATATTCATATGAGGACTTCTTGGGCTATTTATTTATTTATTTATTTGAGACAGAGTCACACTCTGTCACCCAGGCTGGAGTGCAGTGGCGCGATCTCCGCTCACTGCTACCTCTGCCTCCCAGGTTCAAGCGATTCTCCTGCCTCAGCCTCCCGAGTAGCTGGGATTACAGGCACCTGCCACCATGCCCGGCTGATTTTTGTATTTTTAGTAGAGACGGGGTTTCACCATGTTGGCCAGGCTGGTCTTGAACTCCTGACCTCAGGTGATCCACTCACCTTAGCCTCCCAAAGTGCTGGGATTACAGGTGTGAGCTACCGTGCCTGGCCTTCCAGGGCTATTTATTAGTGTTACTTATTAATCAATTCTGAGAAGTTTGACACTGACTCCCTGGCCCTATACAAATTAAAGACAGCAAAATAGGCCTCAAGAGGTAGCGATGGGTGCGATAGCAGAGCGAGCCGGCGCCTACAAACAGGTGGGGAGGGGGGTGGTGGGGAGAGTGGGGGGTGCAGATGGTGGTAGCAGAGGAGCCCCGCACACCTTAGACGTTCTGAGCTGGAACAGTGAAAGAGCCTCAGCAACGAGGACCAAGAGCCTGCCACATCAGGGTAAATGAAAGGAATACATGTTTCAAAAACAAAAATGTTTTAAAAATTTGCAGCTTGGGTTCTTAAAGAAAGAAGTTGCAGTTACCTGGAAGATTCATCAAAATTCACCAATACCGAGAAGTTTTTTCTCCACCCCCAGTGCTAGACAAAGGAGGTGTGATTTGTCCAACGCTCGCAGCCATTTGAGCCACCCCACACGGAGGCGAGCCTCGCTAGCGCCTCGGTTACAGCCTTTCCCGCAAGGCTTCATTCAGTCGCGCCGGCTCCGGGGATGCTGCCTTCTCTCGGGCCGGTGCTTCGGCCCTCCAGACTGGGCCCGGACTGACCCCCGCAGCAGCCCAGCCTCTCCGGAGGGCTGGAGGGGGCAGGCGCAGCCACAGCCGCGCTCCGAGGGTTGGGGCCCTGGGGCCTTCCCGGGAGCCGCCACCGGCCCTTAGGGAGAGAATTGATGGACTCGTTGAAATCACAAGTTGCACACGTTACTTTTCACTCCACCTGCTCATCGAAAGGGAATCCCTTGTTTCTCCTTTCTTTCCCTCTGGGTGACAAACCATTTAATATGCGTAGCGCTTAGTATTTTAAGTGCTCGACGACCACTTAAGGCTGGTCCCAGGGCGATCATCAGAAACAGAGAGATACAACCCCATTTGGAGTTGGGTGACTTTCTTAGAGCAAGCAGTTTTGAAGGATTTGCGGGGGCGTGGAGCGGGGAGGTGGGAAATAACCAGCTTTGCCGCACAAAAGGTAAATGCCAGCCTGATGGCTTGAGGGGAGAGAGGGCGCCAAAGTGAGCTTCCGTAAGGCTTATAAAGGCTTGGGAAGTTCTGGTCAAACTAACGAGCAGTTGATTCCACCTAGGATCCCTTAGGTCAACCTGTGGACAGCACCCCCTTAGGGGAAGTTTCTGGAGTCCTTAGCCCCTTGGATCAGAGCAGTTTTGCCTTTGTTAGTTTTAAATTCTGAATACACTTGTCTTTGAAAAACCATAAGCAAAACTTAAAAAAAAAGTTTCTGCTTCTAGAATGTAGGTAAAGGTTGAGGACACTTCAGTTGGAAGTTTGGGTTACATTCTACGCTCACTAGTCCCCAGGCAAGTCAACTACTTGAGCCCTAGTTTCCAAGGATGAGAGGTGGAAATGATGTTATTTGTCTCACATGAGATAACATGAAAACAGCTTGCAAGTTAGTAATACTTCACCCAGTCCATAGCGGTATTCAGCCTACCTCTGTCACTTCTCCCAGGATTAGAAACACCCAGCCTTGCTGGTCTCGAACTCCTGACCTCTAGTGATCCGCCTGCCTCAGCCTCCCAAAGTGCTGGGATTACAGGCAAGAGCCACCGCGCCCAGCCCCAATGCTGCCATATGTTAGGTACATAATCTTAGATATGTCATCTAGCTCTTCTTAAATGTAGTTTCCTCACTTGTAAAATGTTTGTTAATACCTGCCTTATCCTCCCCAGAGGGTTATTGTGAAAACCAAATGAAGCAACACTTAAGCTTTCGTGTTTAAATTGATGTAAAAATATTCATGTTGAATGTGTTAATGTACTGAAATTGTCAACATTTTTACTTACAGACTGTCTTACAGCGTAATTTGCCCAAGGCCTGATGTTATGAACTGCCTCCTTTTTTTTTTTTTAATTCATGAAGAACTTGTAACATAATCCCATTTCAGTCAAATTGAAAACTCAGGTTTAAAACATTGCTGTTCAGAGGTAATGGGGGATTGGAACTTGCATTCCCTAATTGCTCATCTGGACAAGATTAAAATGGTCACACTATACTCTGGTTTCTCTTCAAATGGTATAAATCTTTCGCTTTAAAATTGTCACACTGGCTTTATTAGTTCTGTTAAAGGTTTTTCTGGTAGGCTTCAGTGGAATTTTATTAGTTAGAAATATTAACGTAATTTTTTTTTTTTTTTTTGAGAAGGAGTTTCGCTCATGTTGCCCAGGCTGGAGTGCAGTGGCATGATCTCGGCTCACTGCAACCTGTGCCTCCCGGGTTCAAATGATTCTCCTGCCTCAGCCTCCTGAGTAGCTGGGATTACAGGCATGCGCCACCACGCCTGGCTAATTTTGTATTTTTAGTAGAGACGAGGTTTCTCCATATTGGTCAGGCTGGTCTCGAACTCCTACCTCAGGTGATCCGCCCACCTCAGCCTCCCAAAGTGCTGGGATTACAGGTGTGAGCCACCATGTCCAGCCAGAAATATCGATGTAATTCTAAAGACACCTAAATCTCTCAATCGCTCTCTCTCTCTCTCTTTTTTTTTTTCTTAAGACAGTGTACCACTCTGTTGCTGAGGCTGGAGTGTGGTGGTGCAATCGCCACCCATTGCAGCCACAAGCAATCCTCCCACTTCAGCCTTTCGAGTAGCTGGGACTACAAGTACTCACGCTCAGCTATTTTTCCTTTTCTTTTCTTTTTTTGAGATGGAGTCTCGCTCTGTCACCCAGGCTGGAGTGCAGTGGCGCCATCTCGGCTCACTGCAAGCTCCGCCTCCCGGGTTCACGCCATTCTCCTGCCTCAGCCTCCGCAGTAGCCGGGACTATAGGCGCCCGCCACCACACCTGGCTAATTTTTTGTATTTTTAGTAGAGACGGGGTTTCACCGTGTTAGCCAGGATGGTTTCGATCTCCTGACCTCGTGATCCGCCCGCCTTGGCATCCCAAAGTGCTGGGATTACAGGCGTGAGCTACAGCGCCCGGCCTTTTTTTTTTTTTTTTTTTTAAGAGACAGGGTCTCACTATTTTGCCCAGGCTAATCTTGAACTCCTGGGCTCAAGCGACCCACTAACCTCAGTCTCCCAAAGTGCTAGGATTACAAACGTGAGCTACTGTGTCTGGCCCTGAATCTCTTTAAACCAGGGGTTCTAAACACGGGGGTAAAAGGATACCTATGATAAACTGCTGCTGGTAGAACTTTTCTGGCAGATCTTGCTGCTGCCTACCTGGCCTCTCAGGGTAACGGAGCCTGAATCGAGCATGGTCCTCTCTGCCTCACTCTGCATAGCATAGACATGTGGTTGCCCACACTGCCTCCTCTTTCTCTCCTCACCTGCCTCACCTCCAACACACCCCCTACTCCGACTCCCCAGTTGTGTCCACTCTGTCTAGCGATCTAGAAATGGGAGACGTCAGAAAATGAACAGGTATGGAAAGTAACATCTTAGGTGAAAACAACCTGTGTCTATTAATGGATTAATGGATAAACACATGTGATCTATACATGCAGTGGAATATTCTTCAGTCTTAAAAAGGAATTAAATTCTGACGCACGTTACAACACAGATGAACTGTGAAGACGCTATGCTAAGTGAAATCAGCCAGACACAAAAGAACAAATATTGCATGATTCCACTTGCCATGTATATGAGGTACCTAGAATAGTCAAATTCTTAGAGACAGAAAGTAGAGTGATTTTTGCTAGAAGTTGGGGGAGAGGGGAATGGGAAGTTATTGTCTAAGGAGTATAGTTGCAGTTTTCACAAGATGAAAAAGTTCTAGAGATGAATGGTAGTGATGGTTGCATGACGATGTGAATATACTCAATGCCACTGAATTGTACACTTAAAAATGGTTAATATGGTAAATTTTATGTTAGGTATATTTTACCATAGTTTTTTTAACGTAACATCTCCTAGCAGAAAGTTTAAGGACACCCAGTGATGTGCTTTTTTTCTCCCACCAAAAGGTCAAACTCAGGACCAATTCAAGTTCCCTGACCAAAGTGTTAGAAATTAAAGATAAGTGCTTATTACTTCTCTAGAATATCTTGCTGTGTTCCACTTATTATAGGACTGGCTTAGCCAGTAAATTATATCTTTATTTCTCACTCACCAAACAGCAGGAATTATAAGTGGATAAGTAGGATTTAGTCATATACTGAAAATATAATTGTGCTGGTAACCTAAACTCTAGCAAATACTCTTAGCAATGCAGGAAACCGCTAACTACTTTTCCCTATAAAATGTCTCAGTTTTCAAAAATCTCAGGTGTCTTAGTACCCTTTCAAAAAATTAAGACAGTATTGTGGTACTTTACTACCTGCTCATTTATAAATTCATTTGTATTAAAGGCAAATAATGTTGATAGGACTCCCAAAATTCAGTACTTTGAAAGGCCTGAATACACTGGGCTGTATAACAAGGAATGCAGACGAATACTTGATTTAATTATAATGTTTGGTCCAATACTCCTAGCCTGGTTTAAAGGAGAGATTGCTTTGTTCAGTGGAATGACTTCTTTAACAATGAGCCATTCATTCACTTGTGATAGCACCAGAAGGAGAGAATTACTGGTTCTTCAAAATCGCTTTTTAAAGCAAGAAATTAACCTTTTGGGGTGAGGAGGGCTAGAAACAGGTAAAGGTTAGGAAATCAGATCTAGAATAATTGGACCTAGACCACCTGGGACTTGGAAGCCAGTTCCCAAACTCAAATTATCTGAATTCTAAACTAGGGACCCTATTCCTATGTTTCATTGCTGTTGTTGTTTTCTCACTCTGTCACCCAGACTGGCATGATCATGGCTCACTGCAGCCTTGACCTCCTGGGCTCAAGCAATCCTCCCACCTCAGCCTCCAAAAGTGCTGGGATTACAGGTGTATACCATTGCACTCAGCCCTATTCCTGTTTTTAGTATAAATAAACCTCTATCACACGGAACACAACTGATGCTCATGAACACTTTAGCTCGTCTCCCCAGCAGAAGAAGCAAAAGCTAAGGGGGCCAAGTGACCTTCTGCCCCTCTGTCTCGAAGCCATGGTTGAGGTGGTGAAAGAAGGAGAACACGTTCTCATCCTCTTCAGAGGACAGTTTTTCCTTCAGAATCGTCTACATAGCACCCTTCATCTGAATTGAAGACTCCTCAAAATAAAACAGCTCTATTTGGGGGCATGAGGAATTTGTAATGAGGAAGAAAAATGAGGTTTTGGATGAGGACGAGAGACAGTTCTTGCACAGAGAGCCAGTTAGAATGAGGAGAGGACGGGCCGGGTGCAGTGGCTCACACGGGTAATCCCAGCCCTTTGGGGGGCCGAGGCAGGCGGATCTCTTGAGGTCAGCAGTTCGAGACCAGCCTGGCCAACATGGTGAAACCCCGTCTCTACTAAAAATACAAAAATTAGCTGGGTGCGGTGGCCCGCACCTCTAATCCCAGCTACTCGGGAGGCTGAAACAGGAGAATTGCTTGAGCCCAAGAGGCGGAGATTGCAGTGAGCTGAGATTGTGACACTGTGCTCGAGCCTGGGTGACAGAGTGAGACTCCATCTCAAGCTGAGCCTGCTCACAAGAGAAGGAATGGGCAGGCACCAGCCAATAACTCAAGCACTGTACCCACATTTTATACATGAGAAAGGAAACCATCTCCCTCCATTCCCAGCCATACAGTTTGGACATGAGGACCAAAACCACATGCTGTCTGCATTAACCCAACTTTATGATTCTATTGTGTTTATCAGAATTGCTTTTCTATTTCAGGGATTTCCCAGGCAAATAACTTTATTGTTTATTACAGAAACTTCCAACTCTTTTAATAAAAAGCATCAACTGTTTATGTCCTAAGATTCTTTGAAACCCTGTCTCAAAATCCTCGGCCAACTGTTGCCACCAACACTAAACCACCCTTTCAAAAAATTAAGAATTGGGTAATTCTTACCCAATGCTACCAAAGCCACATCGAAAGACCTGCACTAAACCAAATTTCAAATTCTCAACAAATTCCAACCTTACCTTTTCCCCTCCAAGACCCTATCAAAGCTCTATGGATGAGGTGTTCTCCCTAACCACAGTAAGCAATGAACTTGGCTATGTCTTATCAACAGGCTGTGCGGTAGTATTTGGGGATCCAGCATTCAACATCCTAATATGTACAGTACATTAGAAGGTTAATTGATAATCATTGCCGGCACTTCAATAGATGAAAAATAGAATATTTAACATAGTAGTGTAGGGCTTTACAATTTACAGAAGGCTTTCCCATGGGTGACTTCACTGGGCTCACTTACAGTGCACTATGAGAGGTGAGGGGTAAATATTAGTATCATGACCAAGTCACACATGAGAACACAGCCCAAAGACGGGACATGACTTATCTGAGGCTGAAGGGGACCAATTAAAAGCCAGAGTAGAATCTTTATTCTAGGTCTCCCAATTTTAAATATTGACTGTTAACCTACGGAAGTCCCAACGGCAATATTTAGTATTTACATTAAGAGATGAAGCATTTTCTTAAATCTTAAAGAACCAAAGTGTATTTGTTTGCTAGGGCTTCTGAACAAACCACAAATTGGGTGACTTTGTGGCACCGAGGGGTTAATTTGATCAGGTCTGCCTGCCCTGCTTGCTTTTGCTCACTAGCTTTTTCTTTTTTCCTTTTTCCATGAAGCAGAAGGCCGTGGTAGTTGAAGGTCTTGCCACTGAACTCTGAAACTTAACCTTCACTGGCTACTTTATATATAACATTCATACATTACCATGGTAATGGCTGCTTCGGTTGTTTTTCAGGAACTTGGGCCCGCTCCTGTTCAGTTCAAACTAGTTGAGACCACTGACTGACTCTTCCGCCCACCCCGGCCTCCCAGAGTGCTGGGATTACAGGCGTGAGCCACCGCATCCGGCTAGTCCTCTCCTCATTCTAACTTGCTCTCTGTGCCAAAACTGTCTCTTGTCCTCATCTAAAACCTCATTTTTCCTCCTCATTACAGATTGCTCATGCCCCCAAATAGAGCTGTTTTATTTTGAGGAGTCTTCAATTCGGATTGAAGGATGCAGGCACTGGGCCCTCATGAGTGCCTGAGAGGTGGCCTTTTGATGTTGGAGGGCCCAAAACTCCACCCTCCTGATCATGCTAGCAGCACCATTTTCTGTGCATATGTCCTATAAAATGCCACAAACCCCAACTATGTTTGCACAACATGAACCCATTACTTCATTTTTCCCCACCGCCAATCACCTCTCCCTGCACCTTAGACAACCCCACTCCCCTAACCCATCAATATCCCTAAGCTTTATCTTTGGGGAGGCAGATTTGAGAACTGTTCTCCCACCTCCTTGCTTGGCAGCCTCACAAATCTTTTCTCTTTTGCAAAACCCGTGTCACAGTGATTGATTTACTGTGCACAGGCAGAACGGACCTGGACCTGGCCGGTGACATTAGAACAACCAAAATTTGTTGTCTCACAGTTCTGGAGACGAGAAGTCCAAGATGAGGGTGTTGGCAGGGTTGGGTCTTTCCGAGGGCTGAGAAGGAGAATCTGTTCCAGGCCTCTCTTCTCACTTCTGGTGGTTTGCTGGTTTGCTGGCAGTCTTTGGTGCTCCTTGGCTTCTGTCGCATCACCTGGTCTCTGCCTCCATTGTCACATGGTATTCTGCTTGTGCGTGTGTCTGTGTTCCCCCAGCTTTTTTTTTTTTTGAGACTAGGTCTCCCTCTCTCACCCAGGCTGGAGTGCAGTAGCACAACGATAGCTCTCTGGAGCCTTGACCTCCCAGACTCAAGCGATCCTCCTGCATCAGCCTCTTGAATAGCTGGGACTACAGGCGTGCATCACTACACATGGCTAATTTCTTATTTTTTGTATAAGCGGGGTCACGTTTTGTTGCCCAGGGTGGTCTCAAACTCTTAGGCTCAAGTGATCCTTCTGCCTCCACCTCCCAAAGTGCTGGGATGATAGGCATGAGCCACTGCACTCAGCCACATTTCCCCTTTTTATAAAGACACCAGTTTTACTGGATTCAGGGCCCAGCCTACTGTAGTATGACCTCATCATACTTTAACTAATTACATCTGCAGTGACCCTAGTTTCAGAGCCCCGATGCTAAGCATTACACAATGACCCTATTTTCAAATAAGGAAATCTAAGGTACTGGGCTTAGGACTTCAACATGTGAGCTGGGGTGGGTAGGGGAAACATGCAATTCAACCCACAGCACAAAGATAATGAAAGTTTGGTCCATCTCTGCAAGCCCAACAGTTCATAATTGATCCTTGTATTCCAGTAAATCCTTGGGACTAGGGATGGCTTTTAAGACAGGAAAATTTGCTTTAGTGCAGTAATGCTTATTACCCTAGGCAGATAAATTTCCTGGGCTGCTATGTGGCTAATTTTATTTTATTCTCACTAATAAGTAATCATGAATACTTCATGAATTATTGAGCAAAATGCATGCCTGAAAGCCACTGCTTGTATTCAGTTTAAAGAATAGGTCCATTTCAACTGAATTTTGAGTGATAGCAGTAAATAAATTGTGTCTACTGGTGACTCACACCTGTAATCCCAGTGCTTTGGGAGGCTGAGGCAGGAGGATCACTTGAGGCCAGGAGTTCTATACCAGCCTGGGTAATATAGCAAGATCCCATCTCTACAAAAAATTTAAAAATTAGCTGGGTATGGCAGCACACACCTGTAGTCCCAGCTACTCAGGAGGCCAAGGTGGGAGGATCACTGGAGCTCAAGAGGTCAAGGCTGCAGTGAGCTGAGATTGCACCATTGCACTCCAGCCTTGGTAACAGAACAAGACCCTGTCTCAAAAAAAAATTGTGTCTGCAAAAGAACCTGGTCCAGTCTGGTGCATGCTACATGCTACACTCCTACTGGTAAAGATGGGTTTGTGTAAAAATGTAGCTTGAAGAAAATGATGTGTTTTAGTCTACAAAAGTAGACAGGGAACATGGTCTGTTACTAACTTGGGTGAATTTATTCTGGAACCTTTTCTGCTTTAACATTCAAAGGTTGATCCCAGGAGAAAACATTCTACTCCTCAACATGGGTCTTGCCTGATTCATTTACCAACTATGACAGTAAGTACTGATCCATGTAGTCAATGCTTTAAAAAAAACCAGTGACGACAGCCTAGACAGGCTGTTCTTTTTCTTCCTCTCCTTTTTAGTTCATTTTTGTTGATTTTGATGGAAATCTCTATTTTGAGGGAAAGAAATATATTTGCTTACTGTAATCAGATGTTTTTTGAGCCAGTGCATTAGATGTTTTCATGGTTATATCAATTTTAGTTTTATGTAATATCAAATAGATTTAAGTATTACATACATGTATATATACATATGAAATCTATCTGTAAATTATAAACTAATAATAGAATAAACATATGGGAAAACCACTTTCAACAACTTAAGAATCAGAACATTACCAGTAACTGTCTTCTTTCCTCCAGGGGTAATCATTCTCCTAAATTTGTGACTTCTTTGCCTTTAAAAACTTTTATCTTTTTTAATCGATATATCATAGTTGTACATTTTTTGGAGTAAATGTGGTATAAAAAAAGTTGACTGGGCACAGTGGCTCATGCCCGTAATCCCAGCACTTTGGAAGGCTAAGGCGGGCGGATCACCTGAGGTCAGGAGTTCGAAGCCAGCCTGGCCAACATGGTGAAACCCCATCACTACTAAAAATACAAACAATTAGCCGGGCGTGGTGGCAGGTGCCTGTAATTCCAGCGACTCAGGAGGCTGAGGCAGGAGAATCGCTTGTACCTGGGAGGCAGAGGTTGCAGTGAGCCAAGACCACACCATTGCACTCCAGCCTGGGCAACAAGAGTGAAACTCCATCTCAAAAAAAAAAAAAAAAAAAAGTTTTGCCACATATGGCATATGTTGTTTTGTTTAGTTTTGCTGGTTGGGGGTTTTATAAAAATAACATACTATTTTAGTCTTCTGTGACCAGCTCTTTTCTCTCAATATTGTGTTTCTGGGATTCACTCACATTGCTGCATGTAGCAATATAGTTCATTCCTTTTCATTGTTGTGTAATAGACAATTGTGTTAATGCTCCACAATTTACTTATCCATATTCCTGGCAATGGGCATTTGAGTTGTCTGCAGTTTTTTGCTCTTGTGAATTATGAACATTCTACATTTCTCCAGGTATGTATGTCAAAGAGTTACACTACAGGGCATTGGTTTCCAAACTTTAAAAAACTGTAATATGTTTTATACACACATATTTTACAGGTACCATAAATACTTTACATCACAACTGTACACACATGGTGCACACATATGTGAAACCAACAATTTATGAAACAAAACTTACTCTTTTTTCTTTTTTTTCACTCCAGCACTCAAGTTGGAGTGCAGTGGTACAATCACAAGGCTCACAGCAGCCTCCACCTCCCAGGCTTACGTGATCCTCCCATCTCAGCCTCCCAAGAAGCTGGAACTACAAGCATGCACCACCATGCCCAGCTAATTTTTGTATTTTTTGTAGAGACAAGGTTTCACCATGTTGCCCAGGCTGGTAAAACTTACTCTTACTATACTAAGTTTTTCCACTCTACTGAATTTTATTTTGTTTGTTTAAAAAAAAAAAAGTTGGTTGAGGCCAGAAGCAGCAGTTCACATCTATAATCCTAGTGCTTCAGGAGGCCAAGGCAGGAGTATCACTTGAGGCCAGAAGTTCAAGACCAGCCTGGGCTGGGCGCGGTGGCTCACGCCTGTAATCCCAGCACTTTGGGAGGCCAAGGCGGGGGGATCACGAGGTCAGGAGATTGAGACCATCGAGACCATCCTGGCTAACACAGTGAAACCCCGTCTCTACTAAAAAATACAAAAAATTAGCCGGGTGTGGTGGTGGGCACCTGTAGTCCCAGCTACTCGGGAGGCTGAGGCAGGAGAATGGCGTGAATGCAGGAGGCGGAGCTTGCAGTGGGCCAAGATCGTGCCACTGCACTCCAGCCTGGGCGACCCAGCGAGACTCCGTCTCAAAAAAAAAAAAAGACCAGCCTGGGCAACACAGTGAAACCCCATCTCCACAAAAATAAAAAAAAGTTAGCTAGGCTTGGCTTAATGGTGTGTGCCTGTAGTTCCAGCTACTCAGGAGGCTGAGGTAGGAGGATTGCTTGAGCCCAGGAGTTGGAAGCTGCAGTGAGCTATGATTGCACCACTGCACTCCAGTCTGGGTGATAGAGCAAGACCCTGTCTCTGAAGAGAAAAAAAAGGTTGTACCACCAAATTGTAGATGTTTGAAAACACCCAGATCTAGAATACTATACCCAGGAGTGAAACTGCTAGGTCCTGGTTATATGCATGTTTGCCTTTACAACAAAATGACACATTGTTTATACCAAACTGTTTATAAAAATTTACATGCTCATTAGGAATGTGAAATAATTCCTGTAGTTTCACATCCTCTCCCACACTTGGTATCATCAGCATTCTTAATTTTTGCTAATCTGGTAGATGTAAAAGAATATCTCGCTGCATCTGCATTTGCAATTACCTGAGGAATAATTAGCTGGCAGAACTTTTTTTTCTTTTCCCCTGTTTGAAACAGGGTCTCACTCTGTCACCCAGCTGGAGTGCAGTGGCTCACTCAGCCTTGACTTCCTTCTCAGCTCACTGCAGTCTTGACTTCCTGAGCCCAAAAGATCCTCCTACCTCAGCTTCCCCAGTAGCTGGGACTACAAGTACATGCCACCACACCTGGCTATTTTTAAAATTTTTTTTATACAGACAAGGTCTTGCTATGTTTTTCGGCTGGAGTCAAACTCCTGGCCTCAAGCAACCCTCTGGTCTTGACCTCTCAAAGCGCTGAGATTACAGGTGTGAGCCACTATGCCCAGTCAGCTTGAATATGTTTTGGATCTATTCACACACTTTGTGAAATACCTATTCATGTTTTTTGCTCACTTTTTCTATTGGATTTTTTTTTTTTTTTTTTTTTAGACGGAGTCTCATTCTGTTGCCCAGGCTGGGGTGCAATGGCACAATCTTGGCTTACTGCAACCTCTGCCTCCTGGGTTCAAGCGATTCTCCTGCCTCAGCCTCCCGAGTACCTGGGATTACAGACACCCACCACCACAACCGACTAGTTTTTGTCTTTTTAGTAGAGACGGGGTTTCACCATGTTGGCCAGGCTGGTCTCGATCTTCTGACCTCAAGTGATCCACCCACCTCAGCCTTTCAAAGTGCTGGGATTACAGGCATGAGCCACCGTGCCTGGCTCTGTTGGAATTTTTACAAGGCACCTGTTGGAGAATTTGCATCACATTCTATGGCATTTTGTGTATGTAATTCAGGCATAAATTGGAAGATTATTCCTTTGGGGAGGGATTAAGAGTCAAGAAACTTGATTTGGTCTGACCGGGTATAGGAGGAAAACTGTGGCCCCATTTTTTGTTTTAGCCTTGTATTTCCTCTTGTCAGGAATCAACCTGTGTCGGGAATACTCCCCTCTCTTAGCTAGGCCTGGTACTTTTTTTTTTCTTTTTTGAGGCTACAACAGCTGCTGAAGACAGTAGCAAGGAGAGTGTCAACCATTCTTCATTGATGCTGCTTCAATATGAACAGCGGCCCTGCTCCCCATTTCCTGCCTCATTTCTCTTTGACCTCAACTGAGTATCTTACTCCTTTGCCCGTCTGGCACTGGGATTATGGGCTCCTGAATGCTCTGGAGCTCCTTTTAATGTCATTCATAATTTAATCTTGAGCTGCAATTCTGGGTCTTTTGGTTCACACACCTCATTCTTCCTGCATATTTCACTATAAGTAGAGAGAAAAATGCTGGTCACTGGGTGCTGGTGGTAGCCATGCTCTGACCAGGGAGCCCCTGTTCATGCCTTTTGTCCAGGTCCCTGCAGTGCTGTCCTGTGGCTGTCTCTGGGCCAGGGTGGGCCTTTTCCCACCAGTGCTTTTGGTAGCAGTGCATTCCATGCAACCGCTTCACAAAGTAGATGATATTTTTCCAGGGTAACCATGTTATAATTGGGGTTTGTGTTATTAACTAAATCAATCATAATATAAAGCCAATCCAATATCATAAAAATAAAAATCAAGTGACACACAAGCCTCTGTAATAATTATGACCCAGATTAGGAGTACAGCTCATATCTGACACTGGTATGATCTGGAGCATGATTTCATCATCATCGTGTTCATAGGTGGCCCTAGTTTTGCTTTGATGAATCATCCTTGGTGGTAGCATTGGGCTCTACTTCCCATATCTAAAATTGGGTTCCTTGGAACCCAACTCTTCTGGAGGAAAACTTTTGAGTTGACATCCAGCCCCTCAGTGTCATTCCCTAAGATACCAAGACAATGAAAGCAAGGAGGATGTGTGGGTGGCCAGAGCCTTGGGCCCTCTCTGTTTCAACCATGACAAAATGTTTGATCACATTTTACAATCCTTCTGGAATTTCTTCCCTAGAGCACTGCTCTTAGCTGGGTGGCCCCCTTCTCCATCTTTTGGCACTCTCTGCGTTCCCTCCCTCTACTTAGCAGACCCAGCTTTCTGATTGATCCTACTCCCTGGCCTCTTGCTTTTTTTATATATTTTTTTCTTTTGAGACGGGGTCTCACTCTGTCATCCAGGCTAGAGTGTAGTGGTGCAATCACAGCTCACTGTAGCCTCAACCTGCCAGGCTCAAGCAATCCTCCCCACTCAGCTTCCTGAGTAGCTGGGACTACAGGTGCGCACCACCATGCCTCGCTAATGCTTAAAATTTTTTTTGTAGAGATGGGGTCTCACTATGTTGCCCAGGATGGCCTCGCACTCCTGTGCTCAAGCAATCCTCCTGCCTTGGCCTCCCAAAGTTCCACGACTTCTTTTCTCTCTTTGTCCTATCTCAGTACAGCATAAAAATGGGGAGTAACCAGGGATCCCTCAGACGTCAGCCCATAAGACACCAAGACAAACAGGGACAGATTACTGAAAAGCACAATCTAAAGAAGTCCAGGCCTGGCGTGGTGGCTCATGCCTGTAATCCCCGCAGGATCACTGGGATCGCAGTGGCTCATGCCTGTAATCCCAGGTGGATCACTTGAGGTCGGGAGTTTGAGACCGGCCTGGGCAACATGGTGAAACCCCATCTCTACTAAAACACAAAAATTAGCTGGGAGCGGTGGCAGGCGCCTGTAATCCCAGCTACTCGGGAGGCTGAGGCAGGAGAATTGCTTGAACCCGGGAAGCGGAGGTTTCAGTGAGCCAAGATGGCGCCACTGCACTCTAACCTGGGCTACAGAGAGAGATTTTATCTCAAAAAATAAATAAAATAAAAAAGAAGCCCAGGGACAAATGAGCCCACCTCCACTGTAGACACTGGGAGCCACATTCTCAAAATGAGTAACTGCAGGGAAGAGACAGAATTCTCACAAGAGGGCATATCCTCCGCCCTTCATACATTTCTCCTGTAACACCCTTCTGGTTGAAAAGAAATAAGAAAGCTGTGCTTGACTTTTGCTCTAGTGCTTTTTAAGATCAAGCAGGAATCTTACATTCTTTCATTGCCTTTCACATTTCTTTTCCTTCTTCCGTGTCCTCTTTCTTTTTAAATTCAGATCATTTAACAGACAAGGGTCATAGCTAAAAATAAATCTTCATTGACCTGAGCTACCTATGATGTCATTTACTGTATTCATAGGTCTCCAGAGTCAACACTCCAGGCATGTAGACACACACAGGAGAATAAAACCTCAGTTCCCAGGCAGCTTCCAGAAGCTGTGGCATTGCTGTGGCCTGAGGCCTGGACTTTCCCAGGGGATAGGTATCCAGATCGTTTGTGCCCTTCCATATCACCTTTCATTCAGAGGCCTTACCTGGATTGGTAGCCAAGCATTGATACTCATGCCTCCCCAAAGAGGTAAGTTTTAGTAGGAAACTGAAAGAAACCAAGGCCCAACAAAATGAGGCAACTAGACGGAGTGACTGGGGAAGTTTCCAGCCAAGTCAGATATAAAATTTGTACTGTGAAAAACTGTTATCTGTATTTTGGTATTTACCAAAAAACAGTGAGCCATGATCACTCCATGCAGTGGGTTAAACTTGTGGGAGAAGTAAATTCTGTGGTGTCAGCTCAGAACAGAACATATTGGGAATGCATAATAGAAAAGCAGTACTCTCACTCAGCTTCATAACTCCAGCAAATTTGTGGATTGGGGTTAACCACGTCTGGAATTCCAGAACTCAAGTTACCCAAGTGTGGCAGGCCAGGGGAATTTCTGCGGGCTGGATGGGAAATCTTCAAAGTCAGCATTTATTTTCATCTGCACTCAATATTTTGGCCCAATATGTAAGTAACTTGATGTCCATTCTTGTGTTGATAAGGAGCCTAAAAGCCTGGAACAGAGAAAGGAAAAGTTGGTCTCCACTTGGATCTCAATGTGGTCATCAGTCATGGAAAATGCTGACTATGACCATTCCCAATCAGCTCCTCATGCCTGGCACTAAGAGACACTAGACACCTTGGGCTGCAATGACTGCATTGTGCGTTTGTCACTTTACCATAAGCTACATGAGTCCCCAGCTGGCTGTGTTAAAGTGCTCCATCTTCCCAATAGCCATGTGTCCCTTGACGGCAGGAACACTTTCATGTTTCTTCTGCAGCTCTCATGGTGCACCATGTTGCTTATTCTTTTTTTTCCCTTTTTAAATTTATTTATTTTTAGAGATGGGGTCCTGCTATGTTGCCCAGGCTGGTCTAGAACTCCTGGCCTTAAGACATCCTCCCACCTTGGCTTCCCAAAGTTTTGGGATTACAGGCATGGGACACCACGCCCAGCCCATGTTGGTATTCTCTCTGTCAGCACCCAAACAGGGAAGCAGAACCATGTGTAAATTTTGAAGGATATATTAGGCAATGGTGGGAGAAGCTAAGGAAGGGTGCATGACAAGGAGTTAAAGCATCAGTCACAAACCAGCCTTCCTGAAGCACTGGTGTGGATGGAACAAAGTTTGCCAAGGAATATAGGCAGCTAGGCACATCTGGTTGCTGAAGTGGGACCGTGAAAGTAGAGCTGGTAGAAAAGTCTATGTTTCTGATGGTGAGCCGGCCCCACTAATGGTCTTAGGAAGAGTTGCTGGCTGTGGAATGGGAAACTGAACAAGCTGGAACCCACCAGCACCCCTGCACCTGCCAGTCAGAGCATCAAACCACAATGACCTTCAGAGAGTAGTGGCTGTTGCTTTACTTCCACCTTCCTAATCTTGGACAAATTTCTCTTTTGTCCAGCTCTCACCCAGAGGCATACCAAGAAAGGAACTTGAGAAAACCATTCCAGTTAAAGCAAGTTGACCCGGCACAGTCCAAAATCCGTGCTATGCAGCACAGTCCAAAATCCGTGCTATGCAGCACAGTCCAAAATCCGTGCTACCCAGCACAGTCCAAAATCCGTGCAGGTATGTACTAGTTGCTCAGAACACAAGCAGTCAGTTTCTAGCATTGTGAGAAAAGCCCTGATCTAAAGTCAGGATATCTAGGACTTCTGGTCATAGTTCTACCTCTAAAAATGTGTCCTGGGCTAAATTGTTAACCTCTCTGCCCCTCAGGTCCTTAGGGAAAGAAAATGACGACTCATCACCTCTTAGATGGTGCATACAGAAGTGAAGGAGTTAAAATGTTAGCAGTGAAACTGTCAAACAGTACACAGGGGGAAAAAAAAGAAACTTCCATCCAAAGACTCTAAAAGATGCTAGATTCTGTAATGTTATTTTCTCTGATTTTCTTACTGTGCATGTAAAGCATGTTTATTTACAGCTAAGTCTCCCTGCTAAAGCATGGGTTTGAAAATGAGAAATTCTAGGCTGGGCATGGTGGCTTACACCTGTAATCCCAGCACTTTGGGAGGCTGAGGCAGATGGATCATCTGAGATCAGGAGTTCAAGACCAGCCTGGCCCACATGGTGAAACCCCGTCTCTACTAAAAAAATACAAAATTAGCCGGCGTGGTGGTGGGCGCCTGTAATCCCAGCTACTCAGGAGGCTGAGGCAGGAGAATCACTTGAACCCAGGAGGTGGAGGTTGCAGTGAGCCGAGATCGCACCACTGCATTCCAGCCTGGTCAACAAGACTGACACTCCATCTCCAAAAAAAAAGAAAATGAGAAAATCTAGCTATTTTTTCCTGTAACTATAATCTTGGTGTGCTATGAAATTTGGAGCAAGTCATTAAACCATTTTCTGTCAACATTTACTTATATACAGAATGGGATTAATAATATTCTAACAATAGTAATTGACCATTAGCTAAGTCCTTTAAAGAAATGAAGTCTCCAGCATTTGTTGCATCAAGGCCCTGCAGAGCTGTATGAGCTTCAGCCCCGCTGTGTTCTACTAGACTCCAGGGCTTGCCTGTGTTATCTCCAACAGATAAGATCATGCCAGAACACATGAAGTCAGCACTCACCCCATTTAACCTTAAGTCAACACTACAGGGTTTGCTTCCTTTTACCAAGTACCAGCAAACATAGAAAAACAATCAGTTTCCTGGTTCCAGTCTGATCTGCTGCAAAGAACAAAGAAGGGACCACCTTACTTTATCCACTGGATAAAGGGAACAGGGAGCCAAAAAATGATGTAGGAGATGGTGCCAGGCCGGGGTTGAGGAAGCAGGACAGAACCCAGGAATTTGCTTTCTCCTTGGACCTACTGCTTTCTACAGAGGGTCAAAGAGTTCGGCCAGAAACCTCCTCCAAGACCAAGGTTATGTGTGTGCCTCCTTAATTAGAAAAACAGGCCAGACACAGCAGCTCACACCTATAAGTCCAGTACTTTGGGAGGTCAAGGTAGGAGGATCACTTGAGGCCAGAAATTCAAGACCTGCTTGGGCAACATAGTGAGACCTTATAATTACAAAAAAAAAAAAAAAGCCAGTCTGTTAGTTCATTTTCATGCTGCTGATAAAGACATACTTGAGACTGAGCAATTTACAAAAGAAAGAGGTTTAATTGGACTTACAGTTCCACGTGGCTGGGGAAGCCTCACAATCATGGCGGAAGGCAAGGAGAAGCAAGTCACATCTTACATGGATGGCAGCAAGCAAAGAGAGAACTTGTGAAGGAAAACTCCCCCTTATAACAACCATCAGATTTCATGAGACTTACTGTCATGAGAACACCATGGGAAAGACCTGCCCCTATGACTCAATTACCTCCCAATGGGTCACTCCCACAACACATAGGAATTCAAGATGAGATTTGGGTGGAGACACAGCCAAACCATATCACCAGGTGTGGTGGCATGTGCCTGTAGTCCCAGCTACTCAGGAGGCTAAGGTCGGAGGATTGCTTGAGCCCAAGAGTTTGAGGCTGCAGGGAGCCATGATCGTGTCACTGCACTCCAGCCTGGGTAACAGAGTGAGATCTCGTCTTAAAAAAGAAAGAAAAAAAAAAGACAACCCCAACAGCTCTGAAGGACACAAACTTCACACACACACACGCACACGCACACACACACACAAACACTTCATGAATTTCAACCCTTAGATCTGGAGGGTTAACTTCATGGCAAACATAGGGGTTACGAAAATAACGCACCATAATATTTCCCCCCTAGTTTTTCATTAACAACATGAGCCCTCCTAGGTCTGGGTACTTTGGTGTCTATCCTTAATAATTAATATCTGGGCATTAATAGTTTCAGCTCTTTCTACCTAGCATCTGTAAGCGTTAACCAGAACCTACTAACAAATGTGAACATACAACATTTGAACATAAAGTAACATCTCTGGCCTTCGAAGGTGACAAAGCTCAGAGTAGCATTTCTCATCCTAAGCTTCCAGCTGTTGGCCTGAGCATATTCACAAAGGTGAAGCCTTGTACTGCACCATCCACATTCTCTCCCATGTCTCTGCAGGTCAGGAGCATGCTTAAGCAAGTTGGCTGATGGTCTGAAGAGTTACATAGAGTCAAGGATAAACATATTTTGGTCTTTTTAAAACCCAGCATAAAAATAGCAGTAAAAATATTTCACAATAAAAATAATCATTTCTGAAGCCCTTTATTAGTTTGCCCCCTTTCTTAACTGGAAGACTTTTAAGTGACTTACAGCATTTAGGTCCAATGTCGTGTTTGTTATGTTTATATAGTAACCAAAAACTCTGGATAAATATTTATATAGTTACAAAACTTTTAACAGGCCCCAAACTTGGAATAATCCAAAAGAAACACAACGCTCCATTTTGGGCAGTTGTAAATCCCCTGTTGTCAACATAACTCAGACATTGGAAAGGAGGGAATAAGCCTGAATGGCTCCCATATGTTTGCCATGAGCAGGCTTCAAGGGATGGGGGTGGAGGAGAGAATGGAGGAAGGGGCTGCCATGGCTGGCCTGCATCGAGTGTCCTGACAGTCTGGTAATCTGCAGAGCATTGTTTTGCGCTTGTCAGCTGTTGCCCAGGGATGCCTGTGTGATAAATGAATAATGGGCTCCACAGGGCTCTCCTTACACTAAAAAATTCAGCGCATATGGTTCTGGCCAGTTTTCTATCCCATCCTATCTTTTGGTCACTCTAGAAGTACATTTGTTCCCTTGGCCATAAAAAAGAATATTACAGCTTTTAGGAGAGAATTGAGGCCAACAACTCAGAGCATCAGTCTTTAGGGACATGACATAAAGAAATCATATTTGAAACCTGGATGCAAGATCATCTAGAAAAGTACCCAGGATCAATGGGGTGGGAGAGTGGAAATAAAGGAAAATAATTTGACAAAAGTTGCTCCCTTGAATACATAAAGACCCAAACTTACTTATTTTATTTTATTTAATTTATTTTTTGAGACAGAGTCTCACTGCTGCCCAGGTTGGAGTGCAGTGGCATGATAATGATAGCCTCAAATTCCTGGGCTCAAGAGATCTTCCTGCCTCAGCTTCTAGAATAGCTGGAACTACAAGAGCATGCCACCAGGCTTAGCTAATTATAAAAAAAAAAATTTGTTTTAGAGGCAGGGTCCCAATAGGTGCTTGGGCTGCTCTTGAACTCCTGAGCTCAAGTGATCCTCCCATCTTGGCCTCCCAAAGCACCGGGATTACAACCCTGAACCACTGCACCTGTCTGGCTCAAACTTGCTCATTTTTAACTGGTAATCATTTCAGAAATTTTATGAGACAGAGAGAGAAAGAAAAGGATGCTCCTAGGCCTGTACATACAACAAGTTGGCCATGGAGTCATAGTAATTTGGGGCCAGTCCTCTATAAAATAGTAATAATAACTGTATCTACCTCCTGAGGTTGTTGTGAGACCTATCTACAGCAATACAGAAGTTGCTTCGAACAATGTCAGGCACAGAGTAAGTGGTAATCAATGCTAGCTAGTATTATTCTTCCTCAACTCTTCAGACACTGATTCACTACCCTCACCGCAGGGAAAGAGTTAAAACTAGACATATTTAGCTGTAATGACTAGAAAAATTGAGCAGAAAATCTTTCCAAAAAGTTTTGACTTGGAGAAAGGAGGTTTATGGTTCTGTTCCCTGAAAGCTATGGCCTAGCGGGGGACAGTCTCTGCCCAGCAGGAGAGAAACCCTACCGTCACTGAGGCTAAGTTAGCAGAAGACTGTTCTCTTAAGAATGGAGGCTGGGAGGGCCTTTTGGTCTTTGGATAGTTCAAAGCATTTCTCAAAGCTTTACTAGTGGGGCAAGAAATACTCAGTAAAACCTGAAATAGCCCCTGCCAGGGCTGATGGCCAACAGCTGTGGGAATGGCAGCTGCTGTGACCCACGTCACTGCACCCGACCCAGGCATGGGGATCCCTGACAAGTGGTCATGAGAGTCTCACATTTTTAATCTGTCTGGAAGCCAATGGGAGGTGTAAGGAAGCCAGATTCTGATCCCTAACAGTGGCATCCAATCAATTTGTGTAAATTTCTCATCGTGATCCCTTCCTCCTTACCATGGAGTTGGAGAGAAAGGGAGAATTCCCACACTTTGGCAATATGAAAGGACTATTCTGTAATCCTATTTTCAGGACAGTTTTCCTTCCTTTTAAAAATCCAGGTTGGCTGGGCTTGGTGGCTCATGCCTGTGTAATCTCAGCACTTTGGGAGGCCGAGGTGGGCGGATCACGAGGTCAGGAGATCAAGACCATCCTGGCTAACACTGTGAAACCCCGTCTCTACTAAAAAATACAAAAAATTAGCCGGGCGTGGTGGCGGGTGCCTGTAGTCCCAGCTGCTCGGGAGGCTGAGGCAGGAGAATGGCATGAACTCGGGAGGCGGAACTTGCAGTGAGCCGAGATCGTGCCATTGCACTCCAGACTGGGTGACAGAGTGAGACTCCGTCTCAAAAAAAAAAAATCTGCCTGTAATCCCATCACTCTGGGAGGCCGAGGTGGGTGGATCATGAGGTCAGGAGTTCAAGACCAGCCTGGCCAAGATGGTGAAACCCCATCCTACTAAAAATACAAAAAAATTAGCCAGGTGTGGTGGTGGGCGCCTGTAATCCCAGCTGAGGCACAGAATTGCTTGAACCCAGGAGGCAGAGCTGGCAGTGAGCCAAGATCACACCACTGCACTCCAGCCTGGGTGAAAAAGCGAGACTCCATCTCAAAAAAAAACAAAAAAAATTTTCAGATAAATTTCTCATCAGAATAGAATTCTATACCTGGGGCCCTTTGAATACTGTTTTGAATGTTGAACTTCATTTGAGGTGAAATAATGATGCTAACTCACATTTATTAAGCATTTACAATATGTCTTGCACCCCTGCAGGCACTTTATATCTATTTAATTTAATCATATAATGCTTATCTCTAATACCAAGGTTACATACTAGTGAGTGCCAAAGGTGGAATCCAACTCACCTTTTTCTTTTCTTTTCTCTTTTTTTTCCTTTTTTTTTTTTTTTTTCGATGGTGTCTCACTCTGCCACCCAGGCTGGAGTGCAGTGGCATGAGTTTGGTTCACTGCAATGTTTGCCTCTTGGGTTCAAGCGACTCTCTTGCCTCAGCCTCCCAAGTAGCTGGGATTATAGGTGTGTGCCACCAGGCCCAGCTAATTTTTGTATTTTTAGTAGAGACGAGGTATCACCATGTTGGCCAGGCTGGTCTTGAACTACTGACCTCAAGGGATCCGCCTGCCTCAGCCTCTCAAAATTCTGGGATTACAGGTGTGAGCCACTGTGTCTGGCCTAACACCTTTTTCTTTATAGAAAGCTGCCTGGTTTTTGAAGGAAGTCTTGAAACAATTTTTTTCTTCTTAAAAGTACTTTATAAAGTCTTTTGATTATAAAAATAATGTATGCTTATAATAGAAATTTTGGAAAATGCAAAATGTGTAAAGAAGTAGTAATTCTACTACTCCACATGTAACTGCTGTTAATATTTTAAATTCTCCTAAGGTATTTTTCTGCACATTTATTGATAATATTTCTTTTTTCTCCAAATTGTGATCTTAAAACTTTTAGACTTTCCAAAGATTTTGTAAACTTCTTTGAAATACCAGGAAGCCCATCTAACCCAGTGCAGCAAGTATGGACTTTTGAAGTTCAAACATAGTTTGGAAAATTGACCACACGGTTTCCAAGAGGAAACTAAAATTGGCAAAATGCCCTTTTCCACCCTGATAGGGGCTTTAAATGCCTAACCATTTGTTTTGCTGGCAGCAGGACCATTTTTTAGTGGCAACCAATGACTATTAGTGCCAATAAAAGTTCTTAAACCCCTCACAGCATTAATCATGCTCCAGATGTTACAAAAGTTGAGTGACCGAAAATGTACATACATTGAAGTCTTCAGCTGCTGCCTCAAGGTCATGGGGATTTCAGCTTCATTCTCTTAATTCAGAGTTAAGCCAGACCCCATCAGTGAGATTTCAGCCTCATTATAAACCACAGAGGCTTCATTTTGCATATATTTCAGCATTTTATATTTTCCTTTGGCCACTCTCATAGTGTATGTGTTCCTTTAAAACATCTCCTCTTTGATGAATAGTCCTTCCTGGGGCCCTTTTGTAGGCATGAGAGATTATACTCTGTTTTGATTCTATCTTTGCCCCTGAGATACCAACCAGTAGCATTCTTCCCACTTTGTCTGATCAAATGGAATTATTTTTAGAAGAAGCTGCTGTGTTTGAAAGACAGCTTATAATCTTAAAAAAGCCCTTTACATTGCAGACATATGGGCTTCTTGACAGTGTGTGTCTAGAATTGCAATGTTTTCTCTGCCCAGAGGACTACCTTTGAATTCACCCTTTCTGCTTGTGTGTGTCTGTAAAGATAAATGAATTGCTTTGGCACTGAATATAGTAACTGTAGCGTGCATCATTTCTGACAACTACTTCCTGAACTTCTTCCCTGAGTTTTGTACCAACTGTTCTCATTGGTTCTCCGCAGAGCTCGTGGCACAGAGGAAAATGGACATAAGGTAGCGGTAACAGGCTGGCGACTGTGGCTTTTACACATTGCTTCACACAACCCTGTCCAGGAGTTTTACACACTCACTAAACAAACAGAAGACACCATCCAATTCACTGGAGCCCCGTTGGATAAATACGGAAAGAATGTGGGAGCTATGTCATGAACCACAATGGTTTTGTGTTCTGTGTAATTTGAAGACGAGATTCCTTTGCTGTGTGTCACCTCCCATATTACCACTGTCGCCCAACATTTCATAACCATCAACTCTTTGCCAGTGCCCACATGCAAAGATGGGTTTGTATTAAAAAATAAATGAGAACAGCACATTCTGATGTGGTGTAGTATATCAGCATTTTCCATGAAACCTCGTCTCCGGCCTTCCCCTTTTAGGAAACAAAGGACCCGTGACAGAGCCTACTTATCCCGTTACAGCTCCTGGTGAGAAGGGCGAAGCCATGTCAGAAATAATAGAAAAGGCTTTTTCCTTTGAAATATCTAAACGTTCAAAGATGGGAACAGCCGCAGGGGGGAGAATACTGTGCTATGCAAGTTGATCTGATTTTGTGGACCATCCATTTCCAATTGGGAAGCTCACTTACTTTCAACTTGAAGCATCAGAAAACCAGACTTACAGCAGCTTCAGCCTATAGGGGTTTATTTTTCTCATGTAACAAGAAGAACAGAAGTGGACAGAGGCCGAGTTCTCAAGGACTCAGTTTCTTTCTGTCCCACCAACCTTACCATGTTGGATTGTCATCTTTGTGCTTGTTGCCTCATGATGGCAAGATGGCTGCAGCACCTCTGGGACTCACGACTGATTTTTAAGGTAGGAAGAAGGGGACAGGACTGTACTAGCCAGATGGCTTCCTTTCATCTGGAAAGCAAAAGGTTTCCCTGAATCCTCAGCAGATTTCTGCTGTCTTCCCATTGGCCAGAACTGTGTCACATGGTCACTTTTAATAGGTTTAAAAATGAGTTTTTCTTGGGAATATTGCTGGCTTGAACTAAATTGTGGTTCTGTTAGTGCAAAAAAGAGGAGTGGGTGGAGTTTGGTCACATACCTCACACAGCCGCTCTTCTTAAGATGCTACTTAGAGGATGGTAGGGACTGAGAGGAGGAGGCAGAAGGAGCATAGCGACCTCTTTGGAGATGTAAGTGACTGTCTACATCATGTGTTTGTAGAGCCATGGGAATCAAAAATAACTCTTGCGATAGATTAGCAGCCCCAAACTTTTTGTTCACATGCGAAAATCTCTGTAATGAATTGTTAGTTCCGTGTTACAATTATTATGAAAATCTGCTGTGTTTAAATTATTGGGAAAGTAAAAGTATGATTTTTAAAAGGTAAATCTGACCATTTTGCCCACCCCTGGCTTAAAATCCTTCAGGAGATTTCCATAGCTCTTGAGATAAAATGCACCATCCTTGGCATGGGCTCTAGAGACCTACAGGACACTATTTTAGCAGCCTCCTGTGTGTCTGTCTGCTCCAGGGCTCTCTCTCTGTCCCTCCTTTTCCCTAGAACCCTCTTTCCCCATTTGGGGCCTTGCAGCCCCTGCTTATTCTTCAGCTCTAAGATGAAGGGTTCCTTAGAGAAGCATTCCTTTACCCATCAGCCTGGCTTTGGGCACCCCAATAGGAGCGCTGAGTATTCTGATCGTCTCTTTAGCATTAATTTTTAATTTTTATTTATTTTATTTTATTTTTGAGACAGAATTTCACTTTTGTTGCCCAGGCTGGAGTGCAGTGGCACGATCTCAGCTCACTGCAACCTCCGCCTCCCGGGTTCAAGCAATTCTCTGCCTCAGCCTCCCGAGTAGCTGGGATTACAGGTGCCCGCCACCATGCCAGGCTAATTTTTTTGTATTTTTAGTAGAGATGGAGTTTCACCATGTTGGCCAGGCTGGTCTTGAACTCCTGACGTCAGGTGATCCACCTGCTTTGGCCTCGCAAAGTGCTGGGATTACAGGCATGAGCCACCATGCCCAGTGGTATTTATTTTTATAATTAATTATAAAAAATAATTAATTCTCAGTAAATTGTTTCAATTCTGCTTTCCCTGCTAGAATGTTAACTTTATGAAGGCCCCGTTGTTCTTTTTTCCTACTTGATTTGTAGCACCTAGTTGGGTGCCTGCTATGTAGTAAGCACTTAAAAAAATGTGTATTGAATGAATGAAATGAAATTTTAAAAGTATGAAGCTGCTTTGTTGATACCACATATTGGTGCCCATCAAAATACTGTCCTCGAACTGGTGTTGGCCTGCAAACTCTTCACTATTCATCTACAACAAGATAAGTCAGAAATTGAGAGGATTTAGAAACTCTTATAACAATTATCAAATTGTATGCAATGATTAGGAGATTTTTTCTTTTTTGAGACAGGGTCCTGCTCTGTCACCCAGGCTGGGGTGCAGTGGCACGATCAAAGCTCACTGCAATCTTGAACTCCTGGGCTCAAGTGATCCTCTTGCCTCATCCTTCTGAATAGCAGCTGGGACTATAGGTGTGAGCCACCACATCCAGCTAATTCTTTTTTTTTTTTTTTAAGAGATGGGGGTCTCATGTTGCCCAGGCTGGTCTTGAACTCCTGGGCTCAAAGGATTCTCCCACCTCAGCCTCCCAAAATGCTGGATTTACAAGTGTAAGCCATTGTGCCTAGCCAGATTTTTTTTTTTTTTTTAAGATGGAGTTTTGCCCTTGTCGCCCAGGCTGGAGTGCAATAGCACAATCTCAGCTCACTGCAGCCACCGCCTCCCGGGTTCAAGCAATTCTCCTGCTTCAGCCTCCCGAGTAGCTGGGATTACAGACACCCGCCACCATGCCCAGCTAATTTTTTGTATTTTTAATAGAGACGGGGTTTCACCATGTTGGCCAGGCTGGTCTTGGACTCCTGACCTCAGGTGATTTACCCACCTCAGCCTCTCAAAGTGCTGGGATTACAGGCATGAACCACCACGCCCAGCCCCCAGAAATTTTTAAAAATAAAATCAAATTGGCCAAGCGTGGTGGCTCGCCCCTGTAATCCCAGCACTTTGGGAGGCCAAGGCGGGTGGATCACGAGGTCAGGAGATCGAGACCATCCTGGCTAACAAGGTGAAACCCCGTCTCTACTAAAAATACAAAAAATTAGCCAGGCGTGGTGGCAGGCGCCTGTAGTCCCAGCTACTCGGGAGGCTGAGGCAGGAGAATGGTATGAACCCGGGAGGCGGAGCCTGCAGTGAGCTGAGATCACGCCACTGCACTCCAGCCTGGGTGACAGAGCGAGACTCCGTCTCAAAAAAGAAAAAAAATCAAATTAGTCCTTCGCACAGTTTGAGAAACACTGCTATGGGTTAGATACTGCAAACTATCATTACACTAATAAAATGCAAACACTTCTGAAGCTTCAGGAGCTCAGAAGCCACTGTCAGCCGCATGGGAAGCCGGCAGGTCAACAACAACCTCCTGCAAGAGGGAAACCATATAGCCCCCACATCCCCTTCCCACTTCCTGAGTGGAATCTTAACTCCTTAACTTCCCAGCAAGTTATTTAACCCAGCTGCCTCAGTTTCCTCATGTGTAAATGGGGATTATAAAAGAACCTTCTTCACAGTGTTATTTTGAAAGATTACGTGGGGGCAACTATATGCAAAGCGTTTAGTGCAGAATCTGTCTCCAGTATACACTAGCTAAGCATCTGCTATTATTATTACTTGCAAACCATTTTGCAAAAAATAAAAGAAGATTTTTTTAAAAAAAAACAGTTTTGATTAAAATAACACCTCAAATACAACAGCACACTGAACAGAGATGGTATCAAGCCTACACTGAGAGCAAAGTGCCTGCTGGGAGGATATGCAGTTGTGTGTGCCTGAGGCCTGGCTCTGACCTCATATCAAGGAAAATATTTGCATGGCAGAGCTGTTATATTCATGCGTGATTCTTTTTTCTTTTCTTTTCTTTTTTTTTTTTTTTTTTTTTTTTTTGAGACGGAGTCTTGCTCTGTCGCCCAGGCTGGAGTGCAGTGGCGCGATCTCTGCTCACTGAAAGCTCCGCCTCCTGGGTTCATGCCATTCTCCTGCCTCAGCCTCCCAAGTAGCTGGGACTACAGGCGCCCGCCACCATACCTGGCTAATTTTTTTGTGGTTTTTCAGTAGAGACGGGGTTTTACCATGTTAGCCAGGATGGTCTCGATCTCCTGACCTCATGATCCACCTGCCTTGGTCTCCCAAAGTGAGGCCTTGGCCTCTTTTTTTTTTTTTTTTTTTTTTGTGAGATGGAGTTTCGCTGTTGTTGCCCAGGCTGCAGTGCAATGGTGTGACCTTGGCTGACTGCAACCTCTGCCTCCCGGGTTCAAGTGAGTCTCCTGTCTTAGCCTCTGGAGTAGCTGGGATTACAGGCACACACCACCATGCCCGGCTTATTTTTTGTATTTTCAGTAGAGACAGGGTTTCGCCTTGTTGGCCAGACTGGTTTCAAACTCCTGACCTCAGGTGATCCACTCTCCTCGGCCTCCCAAAGTGCCGGGATTACAGGCATAAGCCACGAGCCCAGCCTCATGCATAATTCTTACAGGGGAAAACTTGCAAACTGAACAGAGAGAGAGAGGGATGACTCTTTTTTTGTTTTTTCATTACTATTATATTTTTTTCTAACTCAGGAAATGGCTGAAATTCTATCATTAAGACTGCAGGCTGGGTGCAGTGGTTCACGCCATCCCAGCACTTTTGGGAGGCCGAGGCGGGCGGATCACCTGAGGTCAGGAGTTGGAAACCAGCCTGGCCAACATGGTAGTCTCTACTAAAAATACAAAATTAGCTGGGCATGGTGGCGCATGCCTGTAATCCCAGCTACTCGGGAGGCTGAGGCAGGAGAATCGCTTGAACCCGGGAGGCAGAGGTTGCAGTGAGCCAGGATCACTCCACTACACTCCAGCCTGGGCAACAAGAGCAAAACTCCGTCTCAAAAAAAAAAAAAAAAAAAAACAGAAAACAAAAAACAAAAAAAAAAAAACCCAGCTTCTTCTTAGTTGAAGTCTTTAATGTAAAATGCAAGTACAACTTAAATAGGTTACGTTTTTAGTCCTTCTCAGTCATTTACACTTTAATGTGAAGAAAACCTCTGAAGGCATCTTAGATGGTAGAGGCCTTGCTCCTGTCTTACTGTAACCTGGCACTTGCTCCCCAACTCCACCCCCACTCCGCAAAATCCCGCCCATCATAGAGTTTAGCTTAGCTCGTACCTTAAGCTTCAAGATTTCTTTGACTGTTCCAGCCTGGCTGTTCTCTCTCTTCCCTGGTAGGAAGCACAGTCTGTGCCACATAACTTGGCACTTATATTCTGCCATCCAGTGTTCAGTAGAGTTCCGTGTGTGTATCTTAGTCACACCTCTGAGTTCAGAGGGCCACTTTTTGATAACTTTTCCTTCCCCACCACCGGGCTGCACACAGAACAGGTGCTCAATGAACCCGTGTTGAACGATGGGGAAGGTGAGGCAGAAACCTAGGGCATATGTGTCAGTAGAGAGTAGGGGCAAGCCTCGAACGTGAGCTGGACTAAGTCATTTGTGACCTTAAAGAAAGTGTGTTTGGCTGGGCGCGGTAGCTCACGCCTGTAATCCCAGCACTTTGGGAGGCCGAGGCGGGCGGATCACGAGGTCAGGAGATTGAGACCATCGTGGCTAACATGGTGAAACCCCGTCTCTACTAAAGATACAAAAAATTAGCCGGGCGTGGTGGCGGGCGCCTGTAGTCCCAGTTACTTGGGAGGCTGAGGCAGGAGAATGGCGTGAACCCAGGAGGCAGAGGTTGCAGTGAGCCAAGATCACGCCACTGCACTCCAGCCTGGGCGACAGAGCGAGACTCCGTCTCAACAACAAAAAAAAAAAAAAAAAAAAAAAAAAAGGAGAGAAAGTGTGTTCAATATAGACGGGAAGGAGAGGGGGCCAGGAGGAAAGAGCGAGAGGGTGAAAACAATGATGGAGGCAGAAAGTATAGTGGAAAATCCCTTTTAAAATAATTTGTTGGCCAGGTGCAGTGGCTCACACCTGTAATCCCAGCACTTGGGGAGGCCAGGGTGGGCGGATCGCTCAAACCCAGGAATTCGAGACCAGCCTGGGCAACATAGTGAAAGCCTGTCTCTGCAAAAAATACAAAAATTATCCAGGCATGGTGGCACATGCCTGTGGTCCCAGCTACTTGGGAGACTGAGGCAGGAGGATCACTTGGGCCCAGTAGGTAGGGATTGCAGTGAGCTTTGATCACACTGCTGCACTCCGGCCTGGGTGACAGGAGTGAGACCCTGTATCAAAAAAAAAAAAAAGAAAAAGAAAAGAAAAAGTCACAATGTTTTCAAGATAGAAGAGACTTCATTCAGCTTGTATATCTGTAGAAAGGAAGGAGACCACAGACAGGACGCTGTTAAATGGGAAGAGAAGGGGACAATGGGTGCATGATGGTTCCTAAGAGGCATAGCACCAAGGGTTCTCATAGAAGGGCTAACCTTGGCTGGAAGGAGGGACCCCTCCTCTTCTGACGCAGAAAGGAAGGCAAGGTGGGTAAGTGATGATACATTGATGCTGAGGGGTGGAGAAGAAATGAATGAGGGAGGGAGCTGGTAGACTTGACCTCAGAAAAGACAGAATCCACGTTCTTCTCTTCCAAAGGAAAGTCACCCCACCTCTTCTCTCCTCCACCCCTGGCTCAGAGTTTGAGGCTTGGCAGTGGAAAGAATGTGTGGGTCAGTGATGAGCTTTCAGAAAAGAGGTGCTTAAAAAGCTTACACAGTAACCTCCAAGGACCAGGTTTCTACTGGCTACATGGATATGTAGAAGAACCAGTGGCCCATTCATTCACCCAGCAATCATGTGTCCTCCATTTATGTACCCAACATTCACGTGTCCTCCATTTATTCACCCAACAATCACCTGTCCTCCATTTATTCACCCAACAATCACGTGTCCTCCATTTGTTCACCCAGCAATCACGTGTCCTCCATTCATTCACCCAGCAATCACATGTCCAGCACCTACCTCGAGCCAGGTGCTACTTAGAGCCTTGTTCAGCAGTGAACAAAAGAGGCTGAGTCCCTTCATGAAGGAGTTCGCAGACTAGATGAGAAGACAGGCAAACAGGCAGTTGGGACACAGTGTGGGGAATGCTACAGTAGGGTAAATAAGGGGAGCTGTCGGGGGGATGGCCCCAGTGGTAACAAAAACTTAAGGCTGCAAAGATTAATCTATTTAGAGTGAGTGGCAGAATCAAAGGCCCAAAGACAAGAAGGAGCCTGGCTTTTTGGAAAGTAAAAGTGGAGCTGTGTGGCTGGAGCGAAGGGTAGGTGGCAAAGAAGAGAAAAGACCTGAGGTTGGAGAGGTAAGCAAGGGCTGATCACAGGGAGCAGAGCCTGCCCCTCCAGTCCCACCCAACCTGCCTAGAGTCTGTGTTTTATCCTGCGGCAGGGAGGGAGTTGGAAACAAGAAGGCCAGTTACAAGAGAGTAGTGACTGTGTAAGTGAAAAGAAACAAATGGAGTTGAGAGATTTATAGGCGGGATAATGGACAGGCCTTGTTAATTGATTGGCTAAAGAAGAAGTAAAGGGAGACTCTCAAGTTTCTAGCATGGGCAACTGGGTCAAGGGAGATGCTGTTCACTGAAATAGGAAACAGGAGGAAGGACTAGTTTATGGGGGAAGATGAAGAGCTTATTTTGAGCATGTGGATTTTGAAGGGCCTGTGGGGAATGTAAATGGGGAATGGCAGCAGACAGCTGGATTTATGTGTCTGGAGCCTGGAAGAGAGGTCTGGACTGGTGGCACTGGATGATTGATCTCCAGCTTTGGATGATGATGGAAGCCTCAGAATCATCGGGATGAACCAGAGGAGAGGAAAGAGTAAGAAAAGAACAAAACGAGGGCTAGACCAGCAGAGAATACAGCCACTTAGGGATGAGCAGAAGCCGAAGAACTCACAAAGGGAGAGGAGCCCACACAGGACACTGGGAGGAGGGGCTGGGAAAGTAGGAGTTAAAGGAGTTAAAGAGCTGGATGTCCTGAAGTCAAGGGATGAAAAGCACATTAAAGGGGGAACAATAAGCAACTTGGGAAGCTACTGAGAGGTCAAGGAAGAAAAGACTCAAGGCAGTCACTGGATCAAGCCACAGGGAGGTTTTAGTAACCTTGCTAAGACTGACTCCGAGGAGTGCTGGGTGGATGCAGAAAGGAAGGGAGGAAGACAGCGTCACAGAGACAGTGAATGCGAGCTACTCTCCAAAGACTGCAGCTGAGAAAGAAGGACAGATGGAGGGGCAGGTGAGGTCAAGGAAAGTTCTTAATTACGCTGCCATCTTTAAAAATTGAAGTAAATTGTATTTGTTTATATGGTGATGGGTAGGAGGCTATAGAAGAAAGGCTGAAGGAACAGGGAGAGTGAATAACTGATAAGAGTGGAGTTTCTGAAAAGGCAAGATACCATGGAAGGCATTGGCCTTGGACAGAAATGATAAGAATAGTAACAGCAATATTAATAATTAAAGAAAGTTTCTTGTGCCAGGCACCATGTACCTTTTCCATTATCTCTGTTTGTTTGTTTGTTTGTTTGTTTGAGACAAGGTCTTGCTCAGTTGCCCAGGCTGGAGTGCAGTGGTGCAATCATGGCTCACTGCAGCCTCGATCTCGACTCCGCCTCAAAAAAAAAAAAAAAGTGGGGGACAATCTTTAACTGAGGCCCTCACAATTGCTCCATGTCACAGAGCTAATAAATGATGCAGCTGGGGCTCGTTCCATCCTTAACAGAGGAATAAAGGGGAAGATGGACTCAGGTGCAGTAATGTTGCAGGTTTGGTGACTGTGGGCATTGTCCTCTGATTACCTCTATCTCCTGTGAAGTAGGAGGTAGGGGGGTGGTGGCGGAGGGGTCAATGGGAGGGAGAGGTTACCCAATCACCTGTAGTGAATGCTGTGACAGATGAGCAGCTGTTGAGGGCCACATCTCCAGTAGCTCCGGCAGCCAGCGGGCAGAAGAAGGAGGAGTCGGTGACACAGGACTGGGACTGGTTCTCACTTGTCTCTCCCTGTTTTTAACCTTCCAAAACTGAGGGAGGACCTGCCTTAGAGGTGTACTAGCTGGAGTGCCAATTTAGTTCCAGAAAGGAAGTGGAATCTCTGGTTACCTGCCAATGTTAATACATGTCAGAACAATAGTCCTGCTTGGGTCCTAGAAAATTGTGGTGCAACACCCATGTCATTATCGTCCTTATAATTTTTCATAGGCTTTGTAGCAACTTTGTAATTTGTGCTGAATTTCATTGACATACCAAATCTCAACAGCACAATACTTTTTAGTTCTGAAATGTTTCATTCATTCCATCTTTCATTTATTCATTCCACAAATATTTATTGAGAGTCAGGCAGTGGTGGCCAATACATCCAATGTTCCTGTCCTCACAAACCAGGAAAACACACCTATTTTAACTAGACTAGATGTGCGCCCCATGAGGTCATGGGCTTTGATTATTTTATTCACCACTTCATTCTGAGTGCCTGAAACAGTGCCTGGCATGTAAGGGATGCTCAATAAATGTTTGTTTGCAGAGGTGCATTTATCATGAAACTAAACAGAGTTTAAGCTTCATAGCCCCTCAATTGCACTGTCCTCTTTCATGGCTCTGGGAGGGGACTACTGTGTGCTCTCATGGTAATCTGTTTTTATAAAAATTTCAAAGGTAAGATACTTTAACTAGTTCTCTGTCTCTACCCTAACTTCCCCTCTACCACTTTCCGCTGATGTCAGTGACATTGGAGAGGCCATGGGCATTCTGGATATCCAGCTAAGAGGAAGTTGCATTGGGACTACATTTAGTATGGGATGTTGGGGACATATTTATGGGATGTGGGAGACGTATGTGGTATGCTGTCACTTAGGTAGATATGAAGTTATTGCTAGCTAGCAATATATAGCAATATAGCTATATCAGTACATAGGTGACGTCCAGGAATACTCCTTTACTCACTGTAAAGACCCACCTGGCATGTCATAAAGGTACAGGGTCAGATGTGATGTCACAAAATGAGCCTGTCCTGGGCTCCTGGCACTAGAAGTTTGGGGGTGGTAGAGAAACAAGGGCTTTTTTAAAAGAAGGCCTCCAAAATTGTCCAAGCTTCAGGCCCCTCAAAATGTGAATCTGCCCTTAACTGGATATGGATAAATCTAAATCAGCTCATACTTTATTTTCTCTCACATTTACAGACTACAGAGCCTAAGTCAAAGCTTGTTCTTGGACCCAGGAAATATGTCAAATCCTTCCAGTGAATGGTATGTCTTCCTAAATGACGCACTTGTGAGAACAGCTGGACCTAACTGTCTAAAGGACAGCTAGCTTCCAGCCCGATTTTCAGAGCTGATATATCAAAATCTAATTCCTTTTACAGAATAGCCAAATAAATATTTTCACTGTCAAATTCTTCACACCAAATGCTGTACAAGCAAAATCATTATACCTTAGATAATGACTGTATTATATTCGTAGATTTCTAGTGGTGTTCATTTATTCACTCACTCACTTGATAAATACACGAAGTCCTTACTACAAGTCAGGTATTGGGGGTAATACATTAACTAAGACACAGTCCCCTTCTTCAAAGAGTCTAGTGGGGGAGTGAGACATTTAAACAGGCGATGACAATACATGATTCACACTAAGATTGGGGTTGATGATGAGCACAGCATTTTCGAAGCACTTGGGTGGAGCTCCCACCTTGGCAAGGCAAGTCAGGGAATGCTTCTTGGAAAAGCTGAGTCAACCTCTCGGCAGGGATGCTGGAGCACTGGGTGGGAGGGTGAACTGGATCAAAGGTTCCCAAATCTGGCTGATCATCAGAATCACCTGGGGGAGCTTCGAGAGTCCCAGGCTTGCCCCCAACCTACTGACTCAATTTCAGTGGGGTGAATTTCAGGAATCTGTCTCCTAAAAAATAAAAGCATGCCTGGTGGGTTTTTGATCCACCAAATTTGGTGAAGTGGATGACTTGTGATTTTGGGGAGAGGGCCCAGGGCAGGAAGGGGTAGATAAAAAAGCCCACGGGAGGCTGCAGAATGCCCTATGGAAAAGGCAGAGTAAGGAGGGGCTAAGGCACAGGTAGGCAGAGGAGACTTTCCAGGCAAGGGGAAAAAGAACCTTCTACATGGGCTGTTTGAAGGAGCTCAGGCCCTTTTAGAACAGTCACTCAGCATGGCTGGCAGCTCACAGGGCCGCTGGCTAACTCAGGTTCGGAAAATCATTTAGCAACCTGATAGAGACCACAGAGGTGGCTGTGTTTCATGTTGGGGAAAGGGGCAGGAATGCCTGCACTGTGGAGCAGGAAGGAAAAGGCTCAGACTGCACCTGTGACCCTGCAGGGACTTTGGTCCCCTGAAAGCTTTGCACTAGTCCAACTTCCAATGCTCTGGTTTAAGAAACCTCCTTGTGTCATTTGCCTCTTTTTTTTTTTTTTTTTTTTTTTTTTGAGATGGTCTTGCTCTGTTGCCCAGGCTGTAGAGCAGTGGTGTGATCACAGCTCATTGCAGCCTTGACCTCCCAGGCTCAAGCTATCCTCCCACCTCAGCTTCCCGAGTAGCTGGGACCACAAGCATGCACCACCACACATTTTTGTATTTTTTGTAGATATGGGTTTTTACCATGTTTACCAGGCTGGTCTCAAATTCCTGGGCTCAAGCAATCTTCCTGCCTTAGCTTCCCAAAGTGCTGAGATTATAGGTGCGAGCCACCACACCCAGCCTTTTTTTCTTTTTTTTTCTATAAATATATATATATATTATATATATATATATATATAATACTTTAACTTCTGGGATACATGTGCAGAACATGCAGGTTTGTTACATAAGTATACATGTGCCATGGTGGTTTGCTGCACCTCTCAAACCGTCATCTAGGTTTTAAGCCCCACATGCATTAGGTATTTGTCCTGATGCTATCCCTCCCCTTGCCCCCTACCCTTTTATTTTCCTTTCCTTTCTCTTTTTTATTTTTTAGAGATGGTGTCTCACTATGTTGCCCAGGCTGGTCTCCAACTTCTGGGCTCAAGCAATCCTCCTGCCTCAGCTTCCCAAGTAGTTGGGATTGCAGGCATAGGCCAGCACATCTGGCCCCTTTTCTTTTTCTAATAACAGCTTTACTTAGATGTACTTTACATGCCATAAAATTCACCCTTTTAAAGCGTACAATTAAGTGGTTTTTAGTATATTCACAGAATTGTGCAACCATCACCACTATTTAATTTTAGAACATTTCATCACTCCAAAAAGAAACCGGCACCTATTAAGTCACTTCTCATTTCCCTACCCCATCCCCATCCCCTAGCAACCAACAATCTACTTTCTATCTCTATAAATTTGACTCTTCTGGATACTTCCTGTAAATAGAATAATACAATATATAGTCTGCCTGGTGTCTGGCTTCTTTTTTTTTTTTTTTTTCTTGAGACAGAGTCTCGCTCTGTAGCCCAGGCTGTAGTGCAGTGGTGCGATCTCAGCTCACTGTAACCTCTGCCTCCTGGATTCACACCATTCTCCTGCCTCAGCCTCCCGAGTAGCTGGGACTACAGGTGCCCGCCACCATGCCCGGCTAATTTTTTTGTATTTTTAGTAGAGATGGGGTTTCACCGTGTTAGCCAGGATGGTCTTGATTTCCTGACCTCGTGATCCGCCCACCTCAGCCTCCCAAAGTGCTGGGATTACAGGCCTGAGCCACTGCACCCGGCCATCTGGCTTCTTATTAGCATGTTTTCGAAGTTCAACCATGTTGTATGTGTCAGTACTTCATTCCTTTTGGTGGCTCAGTAATTCTCCGTTGTATGGATTTGGTTTATTCATCCATCAGTTGATGGACATTTTGGTTGTTTCTACCTTTTGGCTGTTAGGAATAACACTGCTATGAACATTTGTGTACAAATTTCTGCATCAACATAGGTTTTTAATTCCCTTGGATATATATGTAGGAGTGAAATTTCTGGGTCATATGGTAATTTTATTTAACTTTTTGAGGAACTACAAAGTTGTGTTCCAAAGCAGTTGCCCTGTTGTATGTTCCCACCAGCAATGTATGAGGGTTCTGATTCCTCTATATCCTCCCCAACACTTTTTTTTTCTTTTGAGACGGAGCCCTGCTCTATCCCCCAGGCTGGAATGCAGTGGTGCAATCTCGGCTCACTGCAACCTCCGCATTCCTGGTTCAAGCCATTCTCCTGGCTCAGCCTTCCGAGTAACTGGGACTATAGGCGTGCGCTACCACACCCAGCTAGTTTTTGTAGTAGAGACAGGGTTTCACCATGTTGGCCAGGCTGATCTCGAACTCCTGACCTCAGGTGATTGGCTCACCTCATCCTCCCAAAGTACTGGGATTACAGGTGTGAGCCACTGCGCCTGGCCCCAACACTTGTTTTTATTCCTTTTTTTTTTTTTTTTTTTTTTTTCTGAGATGGAGTCTCGCTCTGTCGCCCAGGCTGGAGTGCAGTGGCGCAATCTTGGCTCACTGCAACCTCTGCCTCCCGGGTTCAAGCAATTCTCCTGCCTCTGCCTCCCAAGTAGCTGGGACTACAGACGCGTGCCACCATGCCTGGCTAATTTTTTGTATTTTTAGTAGAGACGGGGTTTCACCATGTTAGTCAGGATTGTCTCAATCTCCTGACCTCATGATCTGCCCGCGTCGGCCTCCCAAAGTGCTGGGATTACAGGTGTGAACCACTGCACCGGCCTACAATCCATTTTGAATTAATTTTTTTTTTTTTGAGAGATAGAAAAGGTCTCTCTCTGGCACCCTGGCTGGAATGAGGTGGCATGAATATGGCTCACTGCAGTCTCAGCCTCCTGGGCTCAAGTGATCCTCCTGCCCCAGCCTCCCCAGTAGCAGGGCCCACAGATTGTACCACCATGCCAGGCTAATTAAAATATATATATATTTTTGTAGACATAGGGTTTTGCTATGTTGCTCAGGCTGGTCTCGAACTCCTAGGCTCTTCCTGCCTCGGCCTCCCAAAGTGCTGGGATTACAGGTGTAAGCCACCACACCCAGCCTTAAATTAATTTTTATATGATATGATATGATATGATATGATATGATATAGGGGGTTCAATTTCATTGTTTTGCATGAGGAAATCCAGTTACCCCACACCATTTGTTGAAAAGATTATTTTTCCTCATTGAATTGTCTTGCCACTCTTGTTGAAAATCAATTAACCATATCTGACAGTGTATTTCTGGACTCTCAATTATATGCCATTAATTTCTATCCTTATTACAGTATCCTGCTGTCTTGACTATTGTAGCTTTGTAGTAAATTTTGAAATTGGGAGGTGTGAGTCCTCCAACTTTGTTCTTCTTTTCCAAGATTGTTTTGGCTATTCTGGGTCCCTTATATATTCATATAAATTTTAGGATCAGTTTGTCAATTTCTGCAAAAAAGTATAAAAGGGGCAGCTAAAATTTTGATAGGGATATTGTTGAAATCATTTATTATTGAAGTAGTTCCATGAGGCCACTAACAGGTCAGAGTGGGAAACAACCATTTATTATCTGTTTGACAGGAAAACTGAGACACAAACAGTGAATTTTAAAACTTCCTCAGCCTGACAGTGCTGCTTTCAACAGCAGAACAGCTATCTCCCAAATCCCATGATGCCAATTTCCTTCTGTCCTTATTAGAAGCAAATATTTCCTGAGTGTTTGCTCTGTGCCAGGCACAGTTCCAGGCCCTCAACAATGTAGAGGTCAAGCTTGAGAAAGAACCATATAAAACTTGCTGTCAGGCCGAGTGTGGTGGCTCATGCCTGTAATCCCAGCACTTTGGGAGGCCGAGGTGGGTGGATCACTTGAGGTCAGGAGTTTGAGACCAGCCTAGCCAACATAGTGAAACCCTGGCTCTACTAAAAATACAACAATTAGCCAGGCTTGATGGCGGATGCCTGTAATCTCAGCTACTCAGGAGGCTGAGGCAGGAGAATCATTTGAACCCGAGAGGCAGAGGTTGCAGTGAGCCAGGATCGTGCCACTGCACTCCAGCTTGGACGACAAAGCAAGACTCTGTCTCAAAAAAACAAAAAACAAAAAAACTTGCTGTCAAATCAATTGCTCTTTCTAAGAGAGGTGATGTCCATCAGGAATTTTCATTCTCTCTACTATCCAATGTATACCAACCAAATTTTCTTTTAACTTAATAATTTACTATTTTTCCTTTCCTGATTATCTATCACAGAAAATTTAAAAGATACAAAAATTCCAAAGAACAAAATAAAAATTACCTATAATCCCATAAATCAGAGACAGTCGTTATTAACATATTGGTCTAAGACTTTAAACTCTATAATAATAATAGTTAACATGGTGGTGAGTGTGTGTCTGGCCTGTTTAAATATTTTACATTCATCAATTCAGTTTAATCCTCACGAAAAACCAACGAGTTAGGTATTTATTTATTTATTTGTTCACTTATTCAGAACATGTTTTTCAGCCCCTATTATGTGTTGGGTCCTTAGCTATGTGCTTAGCATGCATTAGTAAATCAAATGAATAAAAATCTCTGTCTTCTTTGATTTTACATTCTAGAAGGGGAAATTGCTGCTAAACAGTATGATAAATAGGTTAATTATATACTACGTTAGAAGATGTTAAGTGCCATAGACAGGGATGGGGTGGAGAGGAGGTGGTATGGGTTGCCTCACTGAGTAGTAAATAGGATAGTCAGGTCTGTTTGTCTGCTTACCGTGATCGTAGTGGATGCTCTGGTTCTGCCTAGGTGCCTTTCAGGATTGGAGACTACTCCCCCAGTTGCTGATGGTGTGGTCAGCCCTCAGTTTTCAGTCCTCTTTGGGAATTGCCTTGGATGAAGAAAGTCACCTCACCCAAGATCACTCCAACTCCTGGGACCCACATCCAATGATTGGCCAATATGGGGACTCAAAGGCCTGGTCCCCCTTCCCCAACTTGAGACTACTCTGAAGGATCACCCAGCTTCAGAGCTTCCCATGGTTGAGACTTTTAGACTTCACTGTGGTCCAACCAATCTCTTCCTATACACGGTCCTGACTCCTTCACTTCCCTCCCAGCACTTCTTCTGTGTTAATATCAAACTTCTGTGCTAATAACAAACTTCTTCCGTGCTAATATCTCTCAGTGTCTCCTTCCCTGGGAACTCAACCCTAGATTGTTTATACCAGCAGTGATCCAAGAAAGAGATGCCAACATGAGATTTTGGAATTGGATCACCTACCATCCAGCTGGCAGTGCAGACCCCATCAGTGGCAGTAGAAGAAGTACATATAGTCCGTAGCACAAGATAGCAGTGAAATTGTTAAAACTTTTGCCAATGGTGAACTAGAATGGTATTCCCATGGAAGGAAATGCACCAGAGGGTGTGACCTATCAGGTGGTTGAGAAATATGGGGAGAATTACCACAAGGACAATTCAATTAGGTGGCTTTCACTAAGGATAATTAACACTTTGAAAAAAATAATGAAATGTTGAAAAGGATTCATCAGCAATTGAAAACTGAGTGGAGCTCATAGGGATACTCTCATCCCTTGCACCTGGAGGAAAGGGAAAGCTGAGGACCAGGTACATGGTGTAATCCTAATAGTAGCAGAGTGCAGGCCGGGTGCGGTGGCTCATGCCTATAATCCCAGCACTCTGGGAGGCCAAGGCGGGTAGATCACGAGGTCAGGAGTTCAAGACCAGCCTGGCCAAGATGGTGAAACACCATCTCTACTAAAAATACAAACAGCTGGGCACGGTGGCTCACACCTGTAATCCCAGCACTCTGGGAGGCCGAGGCAGGCAGGTCACCTGAGGTCAGGAGTTTGAGACCAGCCTGACCAATATGGTGAAACCCTGTCTCTACTAAAAATACAAAAAAATTAGCTGGGCATCATGGCACAGGCCTGTAGTCCCAACTACTCGGGAGGCTGAGACACCCGGGAGGTGGAGGTTGCAGTGAGCTGAGATTGTACCACTGCAATCCAGCTTGGGTGACCGACTGAGACTTCGTCTCAAATAAATAAATAAATAATACAAAAAAACAAAAAACAAAAATTAGCTGGGCGCAGTGGCAGGTGCCTGTAATCCCAGCTACTCAGGAGGCTGAGGCAGGAGAATCACTTGAACCTGTGCGGCAGAGTTTGCAGTGAGCCGAGATTGCACCATTGCACTCCAGCCTGGGCGACAGAATGGGACTCTGATACATGAGATGTGAATATCTGAGTGGATGTACCCAAAGATCTTGAATTCCCAGATTGCTCTGAGCCTGCAGAAGTGGCCCACCTTTCTCTAAGGGCTGGCACTCCCGGTTTGCTAAAAGATGATGCAGAGGACTCTCTTCTGCAGGACAACATGCACCTCATGTAGAATCTGCCACCATCTGCCCTCCTGACCACTAACCCAGTAACTAGGGTAAAGTCACAGCATGACTTGGCCAGAGACACGCTGGGTCTCATAAGAGAAGGAAGCGCTTCTACTGTGAAGGAGCTGCAGAACCTACCAACATGTACCGGGAGCTGTTGACAGACCGCTGGGGATGGATCCTAGGGGAGACCCTGAGACTGGAAGAATATGCCCGAGACTATGTTCAGAAGGCATGGGATCAACAGGGGCAAAACATTTCGAAAAAGGAAAGGTGATCAATTTGGGAATGCCCTGGCATGATCGCGGGATGACAGTGGGAACATACTGCTGGAATGGCTCTTAGAAGCCTGAAGAAAATTATGGCCCACACCAACTAAGGTAGGAATGCCAGAATTGCCATAACAGAAGATGGAAGAGGGGAAAAGGCTCAGAAAAATGGCCATGCTAGAACTGCTATACTGCATGCAGCAGGAAAGCCTGCAAGGTGACTATATCCCACAGGAGACCCAGAAGATATCCCAAAGCAATAAGGAATGCACTGCTGGGAGAGACATAAGAGGGCACCAGTATCACCAGGAGTCTCTAGGCCAGGGCTAATGATCAGACAGAACTAGACTCACGCATGGCAGTGGGGATGATGGGACCCTGAAACAATAGAAGCTGTTAGCCCTCAGTAGCCAGGTGGATGCAATTATCATAATGAGCAGCAAGTTTGGAGTGGCAGCTGGGGGACCCTGATCCTCAGAGAGTTGTGGCGATAGTTACTAGAACATAGCAAAACTAATTGGGCAAAAGGGTTCTGCTCGCTGGGCACAGTGGCTCACGCCTGTAATCCTAGCACTTTGGGAGGCCGAGGCAGGCAGATCACGAGGTCAGGAGATCAAGACCATCCTGGCTAATATGGTGAAACTCCGTCTCTACTAAAAATACCAAAAGTTAGCCGGGCGTGGTGGCAGGCACCCTGTAGTCCCAGCTACTTGGGAGGCTGAGGAGAATGGCATGAACCCGGGAGGTGGAGCTTGCAGTGAGCTGAGATCGCGCCACTGTACTCCAGCCTGGGCGACAGAGTGAGACTCCGTCTCAAAAACAAAACAAAACAAAAGGGTTCTGCTCAATCTGTACAACAAAGAGAAATCAAGAACAGTTGATCAGCAAGCCAAGGGCAGCTGCCCCCAATAAAAAGTCACAATCATTTGCTCAGTTTCCAGACAGGAACTAGTTTTCAGACCCAGAACCCATAGATGAAAAGAGAAGCCAGGTCCCCAGTAAGTACGCTGTCAGATCATGTACACTGATATATATGGTAAGTACCCAGTAAGTACCCTGTCAGATCATGTACACTGATGTACATGGTGGACATTTCCCAGGTTCTTCCCCAAAGGGAACTCTGGCCACTTATTTGGGTAGTCATACTCTGAGAAAAGGGAATACTCTTTTTTTTTTTTTTGAGACGGAATCCCGCTCTGTTGCCCAGGCTGAAGTACAGTGGCATGATCTCGGCTTGCTGCAGCCTCGGCCTCCTGGATTCAAGCGTTTCTCGGGCCTCAGCCTCTTGAGTAGCTGAGATTACAGGAGCCCACCACCACACCAGCTAAATTTTGTAATTTTAGTATAGACAGGGTTTCACCATGTTGGCCAGGCTGGTCTTGAACTCCTGGCCTCGAGTGATCCGCCCTCCTCTGCCTCCCAAAGTGGTGTGAGCCACCGTGCCGGGCCAGGAATACTCTTTTAAACACTGTTAGGTATGAGGTCCTAGTTGAGACCCTGAGACTGGAAACATCATCATGAGACACGTTTAAAGTACACATGGGGGCCAGGTAGTAAATGGAGGCTGGCCTAGGTGTGGCCCACCGTGTGCCCACCAAGTCCACAGATTCACCAAGTGGTCATTTTTCTAGTCCTTGAATATATCATTAGAATGGACTTACCTTGGTTTCTTGGCCTGTGGAATAAGAGCTATTATAATGGGAAGGTCAAGTGGAAGCCTCTGAAACTGCATTTCCGGCACCCTCCTTCCCCCATGAGCCAAGACAGTAAATCAAATTATGCATCCCAGCTGGGGGTGACAGCCATTCATAAAAAAAGTAATGGGGGCTGGGCACAGTGGCTCACGCCTGTAATCCCAGCACTTTGGGAGGCTGAGGCAGACGGATCATGAGGTCAGGAGTTCAAGACCAGCCTGGTCAACACGGTGAAACCTCGTCTCTACTAAAAATCAAAAAATTAGCCAAGCATGGTGGTGGGCGCCTGTAATCCCAGCTACTTGGGAGGCTGAGGCAGCAGAATCACTTGAACTTGGGAGGAGGAAGTTGCAGTGAGCCAAGGTCGAGCCACTATACTTCAGCCTGGATGACGGAGTGAGACTCTGTCTCAAAAAAAAAAAAAAGTAACTGGGAAAGACCCAAGGGATACAAGGTAGGTAGTTTCCACCACATCTCCATTTAATTACCCATCCAAACTGTGAAAGTCAGGCAGATCCTAGAGGATGACAATAGGTTACTGTAGTCAACCAAGCAGTAGTCCTATCTGTAGCTGCTGTGCCAGATGTGATATCTTTGCTAGTGCAAATTAACATATTCTCAGGTACATAATAAGTGGCCACTGAACCGGTGAGTGCGTTCTTTTCCATCCTATCAAAAAGAGGATCAGAACAGTTGATTCACTTGGAACAGACAACATGTACATTTACAGGCCGGGCGCGGTGGCTCACGCCTGTAATCCTAGCACTTTGGAAGGCTGAGACGGACAGATCAGGAGATTGAGTCCATCCTGGCTAACACAGTGAAACCCCATCTCTACTAAAAATACAAAAAAATTAGCCGGGCATGGTGGCAGGCGCCTGTAGTCCCAGCTACTCTGGAGGCTGAGGCAGAAGAATGATGTGAACCTGGGAGGCGGAGCTTGCAGTGAGCCGAGATCACGCCACTGCACTCCAGCCTGGGTGACAGAGCGAGACTCTGTCTCAAAAAAAAAAAAAAAAAAAAAGTACATTTACAGTCTTGCCCCAGGGCTGTGTTAATGCTCCTGCTCGTGGCATAATATAGTCCTGAGAGACACGGGCTGGCTGGATACTGATGACATCATGCTAATCGAACCAGCTAAGCGAGAATTCACTAGTGCATCAGAGACCTCTGTAACATGCATTCCAGAGCGTAGGAGAAAAACCCTATGTTAGACATCAGAGGTCTAACATCTCAGTGACATTTTTAGAGGTCCAGGGGCCTGGGACATGCTGAGACTACTCCTCAAGGGAAAGAATACATTATTGGATCTTGTACTTCCCATCACAAAGTAGGAAGCCTAATACCTAGTAGGCCTCTTTGAGTTCCAGAGGCAACATATTCCAAAAATGGGACTATCGCTTTAACTCGTACTCCAGATGACATGAAAGCCTGTCAATTTTAAGTGGGGCCAAGAGCAGGAAAGGGCCCCGTAGCATGTCCAGGCTACAATGCAATCAGTCCTGCTGCTTCGGCCAGATGATCCAGCAGACTCTATGTTATTAGAGGTATCAGTGTTGGAAATTTATGACAAGTCCCAGAGGGAGAATCATAGTGCAGATTTGCAAGGTTCTGGAACAAGGCTATGCTATCTGTAACAGAGAATTAAATGCCTTTCTAGAAAGCTCCTGGAATGCTATTAGGCCCTGTTAGAGACAGAGCACCTGACCATTGGACACCAAGTAACTAGGCAGCCATAAGTGCTCAACATGAGCTGGGTTCTATCAGAGCCATGGAGTCATAAGGTGAGGGAGGCCCAATCCCAGCAGAAGTCCATCATAAGGCAGAAATGGTATATCCAGGATCAAACAGGTGCAGGCTGAACAGCACATGTGATCTGCATGAGCTAGTAGCCCAGACACACAAGCCACTCATCACTGTTATACCAGCATCTCTCTCAGCTCACACCTATGGTTCCATGTGGATCCCTGATTGTGATTAGTTAACAGAGAAGAAAAAAACTGAGTGTGGTTGATGGATGAGTTGGTTCGATACATGGGTACGAACTGAAAATGGGTGATGGCTGCACTACAGTGCCATTCAGGGATGACCTTGAAAGACAATGGTGAGCAGAAATATTCTCAATGGGCAGTGAATCTGTCATCAGGTTTATATGCAAAAACAAATGGCTTGGGTTTAGAACAAACTAGGACTCATGGGTAGTGATAATGGCTTGGTCAATGGCGTTCAAAGAGAAAGATATGAAGATCGGGACAAAGAAGTATGTGGTAGAGGCACTTGGATGACATGTAGGAGTGGACGCGCAGTGCGAAGATCATTGATTAGCATGTTAGTGCCTATGCAACAGCACTCACAACACATGCGTGGAGCAGCCATGGTGGAAGGGATGGAGGCTAGACATGGGCCCAATAGCAGAGGCTCACCAAGGTCGCACTAGCTCCTGCTACTACATGTCCAATCTGCCAGCAATAGTTACCAGCACTGAGTCCTTTCTTTGGTATCATCCCTTGAGGGGACTGACCAGCCACCTTGCAAGGAGTAGCAATTAACTTAGACAGAAATAGACATTCTGGGGATGGTTTCGGCTTTCCTCCATACAGTGTCTCAACCAGCACCACTATCCCAAGGCTTATAGAGTGTTGAATCCACCAGCACGGGATCCTACATAGCATTGCATTAGACCAACAGACCCACTTTACAACAAAGGAGGTGCAAGAGTAGGTCCATGCCCATCATATCACATATTGAAACCAACTCAATAGTCCCACAGTTTTTTGGATAAACCACCAGAATTGATGCTTCTGGTCTTAAAGCTTGAACCTTATATTTGTTTTATCTGCATTCCTTCTTCAGGAAGCAATCTTCAGGCCTCTCAAAAAACTATCAGGCCGGGCACAGTGGCTCACGCCTGTAATCCCAGCACTTTGGGAGGCCGATGCGGGCAGATCATGAGGTCAGGAGTTTGAGACCAGCCTGACCAAAATGGTGAAACCCCGTCTCTACTAAAAATACAAAAATTAGCTGGACATGGTGGTGTGCGCCTGTAATCCCAGCTACTCAGGAGGCTGAGGCAGGAGAATTTCTTGAACCCGGGAGGTGGAGGTTGCAGTGAGCCAAGATCACACCATTGCACACTCCAGCCTGGGCAACAGAGCAAGACTCTTGTCTCAAAGGAAAAAAAAAAAAAAACTATCAAAGAACTGAAATTCAGCCAAGCGCAGTAGCTCACGTCTGTAATCCTAGCACTTTGGGAGGCTGAGGCAGGAGGACTGGGGTCAGGAGTTCGAAACCAGCCTGGCCTACATGGTGAAACCCTGTCTCTACTAAAAATACAAAAAAATGGCCAGGTACAGTGGCTCATGTCTGTAATCCCAGCACTTTGGGAGGCCGAGGCAGGCTGATCACAAGGTCAGGGGTTCAAATACAAAACAAATTGGCCAAGCGTGGTGGTGGGCCCCTGTAATCCCAGCTACTCAGGAGACTGAGAAGGAGAATTGCTTGAACCCAGGAGGCAGAGGTTGCAGGGAGCCGAGATGGCGCCACTGCACTCCAGCCTGGGCAACAAAGCAAGACTCCATCTCAAAAAATAATAATAATAATAAAATAAAATAAATAAAAATACAAAAAAATTAGCCAGGCGTGGTGGTGTGTGCCTGTAATCCCAGCTACTTGGGAGGCTGAGGTAGGAGAACGACTTCAACCCAGGAGGCAGCGGTTACTGTGAGCCAAGATGGTGCCATTGCACTCCAGCCTGGGCGACAGAGCAATACTCTGTCTCAAAAACAGAAAAAGAACTGAAACTCACCAGATCACCACATCCAGACAACGGACAATGAGATGCTGGATCCCTCATTCATCATGATTGCTTCCTTGCCCCTCCCTAGTTCCTATTTTGTTGTACATTGTTACACTTCTTCCCTACTATATAAACCTCTAGTTTTAGTACAGCAGGGAGATGGATTTGAGACTAAGCTCCCATCTCCTCGGCTGTAGCACCCAGTCTGTAGCTACAGAAGGCTATAGCACGCCTTCTTCTTCTTCCTTCTTCTTCTTTTTTCCTTATTCCTTGGTAATACTCATCTCAATCATTGGCTTTCTGTGCAGCGAGAAGCAGGATCTAGACCAAACCCCTGGTGTTTCGATAACAATATCATACTACCCAGTCTCAGAGAATGGTAGAGGTGGAGTAGCCTGTTGAAGCATCAGCTGGGAGGCATTACAAAGATGGCAACAAACTTTCAATCTGGAAACCAAGAGGCAGAAGCAAGAATGACTCCATTTATTCATCATTCTCAATCACCCACTCGGGAAATTTGTGCTTCCTGTCTCTGCAACTATGGGCTCTGCAGGGTTAGAGGTCCTGGCATTGAAATGGAGAAATGCTGGCCAGGCGTAGTGGCTCATGCCTGTAATCCCAGTACTTCAGGAGGCCAAGGCAGAAGGTTGCTTGAGCTCAGGAGTTTGAGACCAGTCTGGGCAACATATTGAGATTCCCATCTCTACAAAAAATTAAAAGTTAGCTGGACATGGTGGCACATGCCTGTAGTCCTGGCTACTTGAGAGGCTGAGATGGGAGGATCACTTAAGATGGGGAGGTTGAGACTGCAGTCTGTCACAATTGTGCTACTGTACACCAGCCTGAGTGACAAAAGGTCTCAAAAAAAAAAAGCTTCCACCGGGGGACCCAGAAAAAATCTCATTGAACAATAAACTATGGCTGCCACTTTGGTACTTCAGGCTATTTGTGCTAAGCAGGACCAGCAGACAAGAAGAAGAGTCACCATCTTGGCAGAGGCGATTGACTGTGATCAGCAAGGGAAGGGAGCTCTATTGCTACACACTGGGGGCAAGGAAGAACATGTTTGGCACCCAGGTGATCTACTTGGGTGACTCGGTCCTCACCCAACTTTGACAGCTAATGGACAAGTACAGCAGCTGTGGCCTGAGAAAGGCCTGGTGACCAGGGAGCAAATAGATCGCTCAGGGATGAGGGTCTAGGTCCCCAGACCAGATAGGCCACCTAGACCAGCAGAGTCTATTTGTGGGTGAGGGGAAATCTAGAATTGTATTATCAGTGTGAAAGGGAAAAATGAATATTAATCGTAGCCTCAAGACAAGCTGCAATGTCAGGGGCTGTTGTTCATCTCTTTAACCTTCCTGTTATAAGTTTCTCCCAGGAAAGAAGCCCACTGGAATTCCAGAGGAACTGCTCCTTGAACTTATTTGAAGTAGATCTGAACAGCACAAGGGGTGAATTATAATGGACACTGAGATGCGCCATCCATAACCCCCATTAGGACTGATTACTTATCTCCGCAACTGCTTGGGAGTGCTGCAAGCAGACAGCTCTCAGCTGTGAGCACTCCTTAGAAATCGTCTCTGTTGCAGAGAGCAGTCTACTCGCTTTCCTAGGGCTGCCTTCATCCAGTGACCTGGCCCCCTCACCCTAACTCAGGACATCTCTGAAGAGCCTGCCAGCCTCGGAGCTCCTCTTAGGATTGGCTGACGCCTTTGTTGAGACTACTGCACAGTCCAGTCCCGCTTCCTCCTCTTCCCTTCCACAGGAGTTGACCTCAAGAGCACTCCCCAATAAACTTCCCACTCAGTCTCTATCTCAGAGACTGCCTCCAGAGAACTCAACCTGTGACGGTGATATCTGAGCAAAGACTTAAAGGAAGTAAGAAGGAAGATTATTCCAGGTAAAAGGGCAGCTAGTCCCAAATCTCTAAGGCAGGAATGTCTGTGTGGTCAAAAAACAGCACAAGAAGCCAGAGTGGCCGTAATGGAAGGAGGGAATGGAGACCATGGAGGAAGATGAGATCAGAGCAACAATAGGAAGCCAGATCATGGAGTGCCCCAAAGACCGTTGTTGGATTTGGCTTTTTACTATGAGTGGGCCCCATTGCAGAGTTTTGATAAGAAAAGTGACATGGCCAGGCGCGGTGGCTCACGCCTGTAATCCCAGCACTCTGGGAAGCCAAGGCAGGCAGATCACCTGAGGTCAAGAGTTCGAGACCAGCCTGGCCAACATGGTGAAACCTCGTCTCTACTAAAAATACAAAAAAAAAATTAGCTGGGTATGGTGGCACATGCCTGTAGTCCCAGCTACTCAGCGAGGCTGAGGCAAGAGAATTGCTTGAACCCAGGAGGTGGAGGTTGCAGTGAGCAAAGATCATGCCACTGCACTCCAGCCTGGGTAACAGAGGGAGACTCCATCTGAAAAAAGAAAAAGAAAAAAAGAAGGAAAACTGACACACTCTAACTTGAAATGGAAAGCATCATTCTGACTGCTGTCTTGAGAAAAGAGTAGGAAGGGTAAGGATGGTCACAGGGAGACTAGCAGGGACTCTATTTCAGTCATCCATTGAGATGGGACAGTGGCCCAGACCATGGTGGCAATGGAGAAGACAGCAAAAACTGATCTGATTCTGGATATAGCCCAAAGCTAGAACCAACAGATTTCCTGAGCCATTGGGTGTAGTCTGTGACAGAAACAAAGAAGTCAAGGATGATTCTAGGGTTTTTTGTTCTGAACCACCTGAGGAATGGAATTGAGATGGGGAATGCTATGGATGGAGCGAATGGGGGAATAGAAAATAAGGAGTTTAATTTCATTTTGGATGTGAATTTTGAGATTCCTATTAGACATCCAAATAAAGATGTCAAGTAGTCAGCGGGATGTACCAGTCTGGATTTCAGGGGAGAGGTCTGGACTGGAGATATAATTGGAATCATCTGCAAAGGGACATGGTTGAAAGTCTTGAGACTGGGCCGGGCGCGGTGGCTCACGCCTGTAATCCCAGCACTTTGGGAGGCCAAGGCGGGCGGATCACGAGGTCAGGAGATTGAGACCATCCTGGCTAACACGGTGAAACCCCATCTGTACTAAAAATACAAAAAATTAGCCGGGCATGGTGGCGGGCGCCTGTAGTCCCAGCAACTCGGGAGGCTGAGGCAGGAGAATGGCGTGAACCCGGGAGGCGGAGCTTGCAGTGAGCCCAGATGGCGCCATTGCACTCCAGCCTGGGCGACAGAGCAAGACTCCGTCTCAAAAAAAAAAAAAAAAAGAAAGAAAGTCTTGAGACTGGATGAGTCCACCAAGGTAAGGGGTATAGATGACGAAGAGAAAACCAAGGACCATGTCCCAGGTGCTGTATCCTTAAGAAGGCAGGGAGGAGGGAGATAGAGGAGTGACCAGTGTGGGGTAGGAAGGAAATTAAGAGAAAATAGGGTCCTAGAAGCCAAGAGAACCAATTGTGTCAGAGAAGAAGGGGGGCCCAACTGGGTCAAATTATGCCCAAAGACCAAGTATGATGACAGCTAAGGACTGTTCCTTGAACTTAGTCAATGTTAGCAACTTTGACAACATCAGTTTTACTGGAGTAGCAAGGACAAGAGCCTGGCTGGAGTGGATTTCAAAGAGAGTGCACATCAGTGCGTATCACCTATTCTTTTGAGAAGTTTCATTGCAAAGAAAAGCAGAGAAATGGTAGGTAGTGGCAGAGAAAGTGGTTAGGAGAAGGTATTATTATTGTGATCCATTTTACAGATGAGGAAAATCAGGCTTAAAAAAGTCGAGGGCCAGGCACAGTGGCTCACGCCTGTAACCCCAGCACTTTCGGAGGCCAAGGCAGAATTGCTTGAGCCCAGGAATTCGAGACCAGCCTGAGAAACATGACGAAACCTTGTCTCTACAAAAAATATCCAGGCATGGTGGTGCACGCCTGTCGTCCCAGCTACTAGGGAAACTGAGGTGGGAGGATTGCTTGACTCAGGAGGTCAAGGCTGCAGTGAGCTGTGACCGCACCGCTGCACTCCAGCCTGCATGTGTGAGCAGGCTGTGTGAGCACAGCACATCTGTGATGTGACAGAACAAAACCTTGTCTTGAAAAAAAAGTCAGGGAATTTGTTTAGGTTCATTCAGATAGCAAGTTGTGATTTGAGCTCAGAATCTAGAAGCTGAGCTCTTACTTTTTTTTTTTTTTTTAACCAATTCCCTATTGATGGAACTAAGTTTTTCTCAAATTTTTCTATTATATTGATTTATTTCTATTGTTAAAAATGTCAGTTATAAAGCAGATGAATATTCTTTTTTTTTTTTTTAATGTTGGCCAGGCTAGTCTCAAACTCCTGACCTCAGGTAATCTGCCCACCTCGGTCTCCCGAGGTGGTGGGATTACAGGCGTGAGCCACTGCACCTGGCCCAGATGAATATTCTTACAGGTAAGCATATAATCACATTTCTGATTATTTCCTTAAGATGAATTTCTGGACGTAGAAATCCTGGGTCAAAAGGTATGCACATGCGTATAGCTTTGGATGCCTCTTGCCAAAGCTCTATGGAAAGGTTGTAGTCGTTCCCACTTTTGTCAGCAACACAGGAGAAGGTCCATTTCCTGCATCATTACCAGCCCTGGGTCTTATCTTTCTCTCCCAACCGCGTCCCACTGCATAGTGAGAATGATACCATTTTATTTTCCATATGTACGATTACCAGTTAGATTTGACCATGATGTACAGGTCTATCTTCCAGCCACCCCTTTGGCTTCTGCTGGTGTTTATCACTCTCAGACCTGATCGCCTTCACCTGACCCCTCTCATCAGGAATATTTATCTCTTGCTGCAACAGACCCAGTTTAGAAGGTAAACTGCACAGAGCTAGGTTGAATTTTAAAATAACAATAATTTTAGGGTAAGAAATTAGATCTTGGGTGATTTTTCTATCTGAGAGACTGTGGAAGAGCTAAGATTTTAGAAAAGCTAGGGGAAATATAGGAAGGTGTGATAATTGGACCTTCTGTGTGACTCTCCATGTAGCTATGACCTAAGAGTGTCTTGTTCCGAAGAATCCCCCAGAGTGTGCATTGAAAGGGGAGGGAGGTCCCTTCATGAAATATACTTCCAGGGCCATAATTTTCAATTTAGCCACTGTTGGAGGGCTTTCCTGCTCTTCCTTTGCTCCTCAACCTAGCCCTGTCTGGGAGCACAGCTGATAAGCTGGCCCCAGCACATTTGAAAGAAGCATAGATATTTCTTTTCTTTTGTTTCTTTTCTTTTTTTTTTTTTTTGATGGAGTCTCGCTGTCTTGCCCAGGCTGGAGTGCAGTGGTGTGATCCCAGCTCCCTGCAACCTCTGCCTCCTGGGTTCAAGCAATTCTCGTGCCTCGAGTAGCTGGGACTACAGGCATGTGCCACCACACCTGGCTAATTTTTGTATTTTTAGTAGAGATGGGGTTTCACCATGTTAGCCAGGCTGGTCTCGAACTCCTGACCTCAAGCAATCCACTCGCCTTGGCCTCCCAAAGTGCTGAGATTAGAGGCGTGAGCCACTGCACCCAGCCTGATATTTCTTTTCTTTTCTTTTCTTTTCTTTTTTGAGACAGAGTTTCACTCTTGTTGCCCAGGCTGGAGTGCAATGGCGTGATCTTGGCTCACCGCAACCTCCACCTCCCCGGTTCAAGCAATTCTCCTGCCTCAGCCTTCCGAGTAGCTGGGATTACAGGCATGAGCCACTGCGCCTGGCCAGATATTTCTTTACATCAGTAATACATAGTTGTTGTAAAAAGATTAGGAAATAGGCCAGTACAGTGGGGCATATCTGTAGTTCCAGTTATGCAGGAGGATTGCTTGAGCCCAGGAGTTCAAGGCCAGCCTGGGCAACATAGAGATACCCCCTCTCCACTCACCCATCTCCATCTCAAAAAAAAAAAAAAGATTAGGAGGCTGGGTGCGGTGGCTCACACCTGTAATCCCAGTTCCTTGGGAGGCTGAGGCGGGTGGATCACCTGAGGTTGGGAGTTTGAGACCAGCCCGACCAACATGGAGAAACCCCATCTTTACTAAAAATACAAAATTAGCAGGGCATGGTGGCACATGCCTGTAATCCCAGCTACTTGGGAGGCTGAGGCAGAAGAATCGCTTGATCCCGGGAGGCAGAGGTTGCAATGAGCTGAGATTGCACAATTGCACTCTAGCCTGGGCAACAAGAGTGAACCTCCGTCTCAAAAAAAAAAAAAAAAAATAGGAGGTAATGACAGCAGAAAGAAAAATAATTAAACCAATAGAAATTCCTTCCACTGTCCTCTCAGATAATTGTTATTTACGTTTTGCCAATTTTGGTTTTCAGATCTTTTCATTAAACATTTTGCATAATAAATTTACATAATTTATTCTTTTCCAATAATAAATCTTGAATGTCTTTCTAACTTTCCAATTGTCAATCAATGTTAATCTACATTGTCATTTTTGTAAAAACAACTTTTGTAGAGACAGGGTCTTGCTATGCTGCCCAGGCTGGTCTTGAACTCCAGCCTCAGGTGATCCTCCCTGCTTGGCCTCCCAAAGTGCTGGGATTACAGGCATGAGCCACTGTGCCCAGCTTACACTGTCATTTTTAATGAGTTAATTTTTATTAAATTTCATTATATGGATCATTTTAAGTAATTTAGTTAATCTCTTATTTGTGGACTTTTATTGCTTAGTTTTTTACTACAATAAGCAAGAATGACAATATTGAGGCTAGGTGCAGTGGCTCATGCTTATAATCCCAACACTTTGGGAGGCCAAGGCAGGAAGATTGCTTGAGCTCAGGAGTTTGAGCCCAGCCTGGGCAATGTACTGAGACCCCATCTTTACAAAAAAAATTTAAAATTAGCCTTGTGTGGTGGTGTACACCTGTAAGCTCAGCTACTCAGGAGGCTGAGGTGGGAGGATTGCTTCAGCCCAGGAGGTCAAGTCTGCAGTGAGCCATGATCATGCCACTGGATTCCACCCTGATGACACAGTGAGACCCTGTCTCAAAAAAAGAGTGCCAATATTGTACATACATATTTGTCCACTTGTCCAGTATTCCTCTAGGATAAATCCCAAAAAGTAGGGTTACTAGCTCAAAGAGCATGCACATTTTTAGGGTTTCTGAGATGAACTCCTAAAGATCCAAACATTTCCTGAACTACTTTATCTCCACAACAGCGTTCTAGTTATAGGTTTTCACTCAATGATGTTCATGCTGAAATGAGCAAGAAAGAAGTCACAGGTTCTCTTTGGGACAATGATTAGTTCTACAAGCAAGGATATTATTTGAGAAAGATAAATTGAAAACAAAAGATGAATGGAAGGTGAGGAATTTAACATTTAGAATGCAAAGAAGCAGATCTGTATGCAAGTGAGAACCTGAGCTTCCAGAAGCTTCCATGTGACTTGGCCTCTGCTTAATAGCAGCAGCAGTCCCAGGCCTCTTGCTTAAACTCTGTCTACACTCGCACCATCCTGTCTGATGGAAGAAATGACAGAACTGGAAGAAGAGCCATCTTAGAGATGGACATGTGCTCGGCACAGACAAGCACTTAGTGTCCTGTTAAGAAGACCAAAAACATAAACAAGAGAAGAATCCTCTGTAGCAACATCAACAACCATCTTCACACTCGCCCTTGGTCTCTTAAGCCAACAGGCCTAAAATTGAGCTCATTGTTCTTTTCCATGGACTCTTGCTCCTATCATCCCTATCTTCAATTAGTGGCATCGCCATTACTTAGCAAGCCTAAGCAAAAAACCTATGACTTCTCCTTCTCCTTTAACCCCAACATCGAAGGAGCCAACTATTTGCATGTATCCTATCCTCAGGGTCTTTTCTTTCCATTCTCCTTATAGCCCTGGATGGAGCCTGCATTGTCTTTTGCCTGAGAGAAGGTGGTAGTCTCCAGGATGTGTCTATGGAGGTTTCAAAACCTTCTGATGGCTCCATCGTCTGCAGCTGATGCTTCCACTCCTCAGTAAGACAGTAAAAGCTTTTCCAAAATCTGACCCTAGCCTTGCTTTTCAGCTTCATCCCCGCTACTTCCCTTCTTGTGCTCCAGATACTTGGACTTCCCCAGCAATCGCCTCCCTGTGCTTTTGTTCTGGTGGTTTTTTTCCCCACTGACCTCACTCCTCTTCTCCTCCCTTTCCCAGCCTCCTGAACTCATTCTCATCCTCAAAGGCCAATGCAAATATTAATTCTCTGCAGGTTTCTCTGGACAGAATCAATCATCCTCTCTATGGTGTTCCCATAGCATTTTGTCTAACTGCTAGAGAAACATTTAGCATGGTATCAGATGCCTCCTGATAGACTGGGATTTCACTGAGGACATGGAATGTGTCATATTTATCTTGGATACCAATGGCATAGCTGAATTCCAGGCATATAGGAGGGGCTTAGTAAATATTGGTTGAATTGGATTAAGTCAGAAATACATCCAGGTCACTGACTCTTATCCAATGTCTTTTTTTTTTTTTTTTTTTTTTAGACAGAGTCTTGCTCTGTTGCCTAGGCTGGAGAGCAGTGGTGCAATCTCGGTTCACTGCAGCCTCCGCCTCCCAGGTTCAAGCTATTGCCCTGCCTCAGCCTCCTGAGTCACTGGGATTACAAGTGCATACCACCACACCTGGCTAATTTTTGTATTTTTAGTAGAGACGTGGTTTCACCACATTGGCCAGGCTGGTCTTGAACTCCTGACTTCAGGTGATCTGCCCGCTTCAACCTCCCAAAATGCTGGGATTACAGGTATGAGCCACCACACCCAGTTCCAGTGTCTTTTATATTATCCCAAAGTGAATGCTTGCACCGCGAGGGGGCCATTATTACCAGAAGGCAGAATGGACCAATCTCTCACTCTTCCTGTTCCTTTCTGTTACCCCTTGAAATTCCATTGGAAATTAATTATTTTGTGTATGATATTGTCTCTAGTTACATTACAAATATCCCTTCTGCTGAGCATTCTAGGGATAAAAAAATTACAAATATCCCTGGGAGGGATTAAGACTTTAAGGCATTATCATCAAGGTTAACTCCACTAAAATTTTTGTGCTGAAAATGAACTTAGAAGTTGTTACTCCTAGGCTGGGCGCAGTGGCTCACACCTGTAATCCCAGCACGTTGGGAGGCCGAGGTGGGTGGATCACTTGAGGTCAGGAGTTTGAGACCAGCCTGGCCAACATGGTGAAACCCTGTCTCTACTAAAAATACAAAAAAATTAGCCAAGCATGGTGGCTCACGCCTATAATCCCAGCTACTCGGGAGGCTGAGGCAGGAGAATTGCTTGAACCCAGGAGGCAGAGGTTGCAGTGAGCCGAGATTGCGCCATTGCACTCCAGCCTGGGCAACAGAGAGAGACTCCATCTCAAAAAAAAAAAAGAATAGAAGTTGTTACTCCTTTCTAAAGAAACGACTAACCTACAGGGACTACCTGCAGAAGGAGTGGGCATCGGGTATGTTAACAGGAGCACTGAGAGGAAACAGTTGCAGAGCAGGGCTGCGGGGGTGGGTGGTAAGGGCCAGTTCTGCATGAGGTACCACGGAGGGAGGTATGGGGTGGTGCAAGTGCCCAGATGCCTGGGGAGGGATGTGCAGATGGGGAGGGAATTAGATTGTGGGAGAGGGGAGGAGCAAGGACAAATTCTTCCTACTTCTCAATTCCGTCAAGTGTCTTCCCTGTGTAGAGTGATGATTCTTAATGAAGATCCTGACTTCCAAACACCTCTGGTAGATCTCCTTTTTTGCTAGAGTGCCAGAAAATTCTTAGGTAATTTTCCAATTTTAATTCACTTTCATCTTAAAAATAAATACATGCCTCATGGCATTTTTAAGAGGGGTGGGTGTTTGATGAAATAAAATGAGTGACAACAGGGTGTCACAACTCCAGAAAGGTTTCATATCGCTGGTTTAGAGATTCCCAGTGAGTAGGAGTTTGATGAACTGAAAAAATGAAATGGCTTCCAAATCACTCTGCCCTACTATGCTGATTTGAAACACATAACCTGCCTACACTGCTGAAAAGCTCCCAGCCCTGGGGTGAATGAACCCTGCAAAGCTACTACTTGGCACTCACCCAGCAGTTTGCAAAAGGCAGTGAAAGGAAATGTTCACAGTCAATTGATAGCAGCAGGACCCTTAGGGAGCTAGAGTGAGGGATGGGACCAGCCAAGGCCATTTGGACGGGCATCCAGGTCACCACGCAAAAGCCTTCCTGGGAACTCTCAGGACAATGACGGTTTGGAGCCCTGGCTTCACATTTCACTTTGAAAGAGGCCACCACCTAAATGGGTTGAGATGCTCCTTTCTGCCTCTCTCTAGTCAAAGGTTCATACTGCCCAGGAGAAGAGTGAAAAGGGAAAATCAGCCTTATTAGCATGTATTTATTTGGGGCCTTGGCTCTGAGGCAGCATTTCGTGGTGCCTTTTAGGACTGGAAGAGAGAGGCTAGAAGATTCCTGCTATATTTGAAAGCAATTCATGACTTAATTTCACATTTTTTAGTTCTGGATTATGTAGGGTGCTTATATATTCAATTATTACCTCGTATTAAGATTTCAAATTGTGATCTTCCTATTTCCCAAAGAAGAGAGCTTGAGGAGTTCATTAGGCCAGGATTCTTCTTCCTTTGAGAGACAACCAAGCAGATGGTGTTGCTAATGCGCAGACACCTGCACAGATGCCCTGCTGAGGCCCAAACAACATCTGTGGCTTTTCTTCATACCCAATAAATAACTTACCTTTCCCTCTCTGATTTTTCCTCTTTTAAAATTCTGTATAGTTACTAATGGAGGTGATAAGGATAATGCAGGGCAGGACTTTTAAAACACTTTTAAAGCAACAAAACCCTCTTTCAATTGAAATCTGTGCCTAACTTCAGCATGTAAAACCAAAAAGAAAGGCCAGGTGTAGTAGCCCATGCCTGTAATCCTAGCATTTTGGGAGGCGGAGGTGGGAGGATTTCTTAAGGCTAGGAGTTTAAGACCAACCTGGATAATATAGCAAGACTCTGTCTCTACAAAAAATACAAAAATTAGCTGGGTGTTGTGGTGCACACACCTGTAGTCCCAGCTACTCAGGAGGCTGAGCCAGGAGGATCTCTTGTTTTTTGAGATGGAGTCTCACTCTTTTGCCCAGACTGGAGTGCAATGACGCGATCTCGGCTCACTGCAACCTCCGCCTCCCAGGTTCAAGCAATTCTCCTGCCTCGCCTTTCGAGTAGCTGGGATTACAGACATGCACTACCACACCCAGCTAATTTTTCTATTTTTAGTAGAGACGGGGTTTCACTATGTTGGCCAGGCTGGTCTCGAACTCCTGACTTCAAGTGATCTGCCCACCTTGGCCTCCCAAAGTGCTGGGATTACAGGTGTAAGCCACTGCACCCGGCCATTAGGAGGATCTCTTTTTATTTTATTTTATTTTTTTTTGAGACAGAGTCTCGCTCTGTCGCCCAGGCTGGAGTGCAGTGGCGCAGTCTCGGCTCACTGCAAGCTCCATCTCCCAGGTTCATGCCATTCTCCTGCCTCAGCCTCCAGAGTAGCTGGGACTACAGGCACCTGCCACCACACCCAGCTAATTTTTTTGTATTTTAGTAGAGATGGGGTTTCACCGTGTTAGCCAGGATGGTCTCGATCTCCTGACCTCGTGATCCGCCCGCCTCAGCCTCCCAAAGTGCTTGGATTACAGGCATGAGCCACCACGCCTGGCCCTGGAGGATCTCTTAAGCCCAGGAGTTTGAGGCTGCAGTGAGCTATGATCATGCCACTGCACTTCAGCCTGAGCAACAGAGCAAGACCCCATCTAAAAAAAAAAAAAGTAGGGGGCTGGGTGCAGTGGCTCACACCTATAGTTCCAGCACTTTAGGAGGCCAAGGTGGGCAGTTCACTTGAGGCCAGGAGTTCAAGACCAGCCTTGCCAACATGGTAAAACCCCATCTCTACTAAAATTACAAAAATCAGCCGGGCATTGTGGCACACACCTGTAATCCTAGCCACTCCGGAAGCTGAGGCAAAAGAATCGCTTGAACCTGGAAGGTGAAGGTTGCAGAAGCCAAGATTGCACCACTGCACTCCAGCATGGTTGACAGAGCAAGACTGTCTGAGAAAAAAAAAGAAAGAAAGAAAAGAAAAGAAAAAAAGTAGTGGTTCTTTGGTTAAGCTGGGATGGGGACCTGGAGTCTTGACCTCCTCGCTTCTGGCCCCTGGGAAGCAAATCTCACATAAATTCCAGAATGCTGCCATCATCCCAATCAGAATTTCTCAATCTCCAAGGGAAATTTTATCATCTGGCACTTCAATGGCTGTTTTAAAATGTTACAAAAGATTTGGCAAGGTCCCAATGGGAGGGGCAGGCACCTACATCTGGGCTTGGAAGCCAACGATGTGATATGAGGGAGTCTAAGTGGCCACTGCCAGCTCCGCTCTGGGGACTGCCAGCCTCCAATCCTGCTTGCTGTCTACATCACATAATGTGCCTGGTTGAGAAAAGGCCTTAGGAAGAGCCAGAGAGTGCCAGAGAATGGAAAGAGTATGACACATGCCTCGCTGAGGTCGGACAGCGCGTCAGCCTTACTTTCCCAGCTGACTAAGGACGCCTCCCACCAAGCTGCTTGCCTGCTGAAGCCTGTCTTGAAAACTGACAGTAGATGGCTGTGACTACCCAGAGTTTTTTCCCCAGCAGTTAATGAACACACAGCAGACGCATGCATGCAATACCTTGGAATCATCCCAGAGGCTCCAGGTCAGGTCTCCTTGTCTGAACGCCCCTACCTAGCTGGGCCACACAAGCAGTTTCCATGCTGAGTCCACTAAGTAATCCAAAACAATTGTTCCTTGGGATTTTTCTGAAAAAGAGATAGAAAGTGCTCTGCCTCGGTGAGCAGAGGGAGCTGCTTCAGTATTGGAAACAAAGATAACTGAAATGCAGTCTTTAGAATCTGATAAACCCTCTTCCCAGGACAAGAAAGGCATGAAGTCAGGCCTGAGCTTTGGGGCTCATTTCAGGTACATGCTGGCTTTAGCAACAGAGGAAAAGCCATTATCCCTGTCTTCTTAATTTCCCTCAGCAATCAGCCCTAGCAGGTTCACCATGTTCTCTGTGCAGTTTGAGACAAACTCACTAAACGTCCTGTTCTCTGAAAAATGATCCATCCAAGAGGGCACAGGCCAAGAGTGTTTCTCCTTTTGGTATCAGGGACAGGTTGTAATGCTGCCGTGATCAAAGGCATGAGTTCCTCAGGTGAGGGGGCAGCCCGGCTACAGCCCTGGTGGGGAGGGCTGCACTTAGCGTAGGAGCTGGCTATTTCACTGCCCCCACCCCATCTTCATTGCTTCTAGGCATCCAGAGCTCTATGGTGTAACGTATATCCTGGAATAGTTCCAACATCTCTGTTCCAGGACTTGCTGGACACAGAACCACTTGTGATACGGTTAGAAAAGTCACTTTTCATCTCCTGTCCTAAGCTGCTAAGAAAAACGAATCATGTAGCCTAGATTTACATGTTTGCCTTTTTCTGGTGATCATGAGTGACTGATCTGAGCAATAAGTATATGACTGAGAGGCCCTCGCCAGGCATTTGTGGAGCGGATTGCCGAAGCTTGGTTAGTTAAGCAATATGCCAGAAATTTGGAGATCATGAACTCTGACTTTTGCCACCTTGCCACATGCTCTTCAGCCAGTTATTTCTCCTATGTTCTGCCTTTATAAAATGGGGATAAGCTATCTCTGAGGTTGTTTTAAGAAGAGACACTAATGAAAATGATTGTCAAGTGCCTCTCTAAAGAGAAAGTACAGTAGGCATAAGTGCTTTATGTGATGAAATTCCATCTTTCTTCCTCCCTTTGCAACCTGAACCATGGAATCAATAATGTTTTTCCAAGTGCAGTGTCCCCAGGACAAAATATGAATCAGTTTCCTGAGCTCGGCAGCCCTCGGATGGGGAGTAGCCCCTGCCCTCTGGGGCCTGGTGTCCAGGGTGTGGCTGGCTTTACTGCTGTAAGTGCCCATCTTATCCTGGGATTCCAGCCAAGATGCCAGTGTTGCAAATTTCTCTGATTTCAGAGGAAGATTTGTTTAGGGGTTGAGTCTTCACAGTGGCTTTTGCCATCTATCTCCATTTTATTTTCTCTTTTATCGAGTACCTATTGTACCCCAGGCACTGTGCTAAATGCATTCACCTACATTATCTTGTTTAATCCTCTGAGCAGCTCGGCGAGGGGGGTGTCATTACCATTCTTATTTTACCTCACGAAATAGGCACTTGGAGGGAGTGAAACGAGTTAGCAAGGTAACACAGAAAACAACGGGCAAGGCCAGGATTCCAACCCAAGCTCATCATTACTCTCCCATGCTTCCTTTCCCACAGTTGCCCTACATTCAGACACTTCCCATTTAAGAGAAAATCAAACTGCAGTTTGAGAAAGCACTAACTAGAGAGTTCAAGGGAGTGGGGTCTTCTGCCCACACCTATGGGGAATATGCTGTAGGCATGGCTATTGGGTACTACCTGCCTTGGAGGATGAGGGTGAAGGGAATGGGGTCCTTCCTCCTTCACCTGGTCCTGTAGACCAGTGCCCAGGCCTGTGTGTTCTCAGAGCATTTCCTGCCCATCTGAAATGCAGAGCATCCAGGCTGTCACTGCTACAGCAGGGCCCCTAATGCACTGCCTTACATCAACATGATTGTCAACTCATTTCAGCTCAATCATCCGGCCTTGTGAGAGACGCCCACATGCTGAAGAGCCTTTCTGCAGTTCTGCATTGAACTCTTCATGTGGCCCCATCTAGTAATGAGTGCGAGTGGTAAGTGCAAGAAACAGAGCAAGGGAGAGGACCCTTCTCTTGTAGTTCTTTTTTTCTTTTTCTTTTTCTTTTTTTTTTTTTTTTTTGAGACAGCATCTCTCTCTCTCACCCAGGCTGGAGTGCAGTGGTGCAATCTCGGCTCACTGCAACCTCTGCCTCCTGAATTCAAGCGATTCTCCTGCCTCAGCCTCCCGAGTAGCTGTGACTACAGTCATGCGCCACCACGCCTGGCTAATTTTTGTATATTTAGTAGAGATGGGGTTTCAGCATGTTGGCCAAGCTGGTCTCGAACTCCTGACCTCAAGCGATCCGCCCGCCTTGGCCTCCCAAAGTGCTGGGATTACAGGCGTGAGCCACTGCGCCCAGCCATTGTAGTTCTTTATATAGAGAAAAAAGTACTGATGACTAGTCCTTGTATCAGTGAAAACTGAGATGTAGAGCAAAGCGGAGCTGCCTATAGACAGATCAACTGATTTTTTACCAAAATAAGGGAGGGTCCTTCCTGACAGGTTTGCTTGGGGACTGGGGGAGAGACTGCAGCTTATTGCATAATATCTGTTTCCCTCTTAATTATAAAACTCCAAGTTTATATGGAGCAAAGTACCCAGCTAAAATCTACATTTCCAAGTGTTCCTGGCCACTTAGATATAAGGGAATATTATACATAAAAATTTCAAGAAGTCTGCTGAGAGGGAGCTGACTCAGAGGGCCAACCTTTTGTTGCTTCGCTTGTCCTTCTCCCTTTGTCCTGCTGCCTGGAATGCAGACATGATGGCTGGCATGCCACTGCCCTCTTAAACCATGAGGTAGCCTTGTGGATGGAAGTCAGTGCTAAGGATGGTGCTGCAGAAAGCCAGAAGCAGCTTGGGTTCCTGCTAACTTCGTGGAGCCACTATTCCTGCCCAGAACTGTAGTCCCCTGGAATTCTTTTACATAAGAGGATAAACCTTGTTTTCTGTTGTATAAAGTCTAACTTAATCCTAATTGACAGATTCTGTTTGATAGAGGCACCTGGAATTTCTAGCTAGTCAAGGTCACCTGAGCCCTGTCTGCTCTATCTACCTCCTAAAGGCACATACCTAAGTCTTCCTGATAGTCTTTGCACAAGTTATATGATCACCTGTAGAAGGGTAGGTGTGGAGACTTTTTAGGGAATACTAAATGAATTCCTGAATTCTATTTTTTGTGGAACATGTATATTGAGCACCTACCACACACGAAGTACCATGCTAGATACACTCGGGTCTACTCTCAGGACACTTAAATAGAGCATTTTAATAGACCGACATGGCAATTTAAATAGAGTGAGATGGCTGGGTGCAGTGGCTCACACCTGTAATCCCAACACTTTGGAAGGCCGAGGCAGGCAGATTGCTTGAGGCCAGGAGTTTGAGACCAACCCGGGCAACATAGTGAGATCCCGTCTCTACAAGAAATTTTTTTTTAAAAAGTTAGCCAAGCTCAGTGGCATGTGCCTAGAGTCCCAGCCACTTGGGAGGCTGAGGCAAGAGGATCACTGGAGCCCAGAAGTTCAAGGCTGCAGTGAACTATGATCACACCACTGCACTCAAGCTTGGGCAACTGAGTGAGACCCTATCCTTAAAACAAACAACAAAGTGAGATGTGCACTGTAAGGGAGTACTCTAACAGAGGAGTTCCCTAACCTAGTCTTGTAGAAGGCTTGCAAGAAAAAACTAGAGCCTGTAGGGCAAGTAGGAGCCAGTCAGATGTAAAGTAACCAAATGAAGAGCTTTCTGTGGATGACACACAATCCTTTTTAATGGGCTACAGTTGTCTTTCAAAACAGGCTATGACCCAGCAGCTGATTCTTGCTAAGCTTGCAATGTTCTTGCAATGATCAATACTGGTAGCCACTCCATTACCGTACCCACGGTTTAGAAGGTAGTTTGTATTTTTCCTTCTTTTTCTTTTACCACAAACTTTACTCCCTCCTAGGGTCTAGAGTAAGGAAAAAAAATGTGTGTAGATCAGGAAGTCTGATTATGTACCAAGAGTAGATTTGGGGAAAATTCAGACTGGTTGTATCCAGATGGGTTTGCAGTCAGTATGTGGTCCTAGGCCTTGGTCTTGGCAGAGAGGCAGTGCAGGGCAAGGGAGCTTCCCCAGTGATCAGTGGTCTCTAGGGAACCCGTTTGACTTTGTCATTCTCAGACCTGATCAGATCCAGGCAGCTCTAGGTCTGCTGCTTCTGCCCTGAACCCAGGTTCTAAGTTTTTGTTTACATTCAAGATGAGACTGGCTGGGCACGGTGGCTCACGCCTGTAATCCCAGCACTTTGGGAGGCTGAGGCGAGTGGATCACAAGGTCAGGAGATCAAGACCAGCCTGGTTAACATGGTGAAACCCCATATCTACTAAAATTACAAAAAATTAGCTGGGCGTGGTGGCACGTGCCTGTAGTCCCAGCTACTCTGGAGGCTAAGGCAGGAGAATCACTTGAATCTGGGAGGCGGAGGTTGCAGTAAGCTGAGATCACGCCACTGCACTCCAGCCTGGGCGACAGAACGAGACTCTGTCTCAAAAAAAAAAAAAAAAAAAAAAAGATGAGACTGTTTTTGATTATAAGTAACAGAAACCAACTAAAGCCAGCTTAAGTACAAAAGGATAAGTCAGAGGACCGGTAAGGATTTTCTTTTCTTCATCCAGTGGCAGGAAAGCGCAATGTCGAATGAAGATATCAAAGTCATAAACTAGAAGGTATCAGGAGTCCCCAATCCACATGGTAATGAATAAATAGTGCTCGCGGCCAGACGCAGTGGCTTACGCCTGTAATCTCAGCACTATGGGCGGCTGAGGCAGGCAGATCACCTGAGGTCAGGAGTTCGAGACCAGCCTGGCCAACATGGTGAAACCCTGTCTCTACTAAAAATACAAAATTAGCCACGTGTGGTGGCGGGTGTCTGTAATCCCAGCTACTTGGGAGGCTGAGGCAGGAGAATCGCTTGAACCTGGGAGGTGGAGGTTGCAGTGAGCTGAGATTGTGCCATTGCACTCCAGCCTGAGTGACAGAATGAGACTCTGGCTCAATAAATAAATAAATAGATAGATAAATAAATAGTGCTCGCTTTGGCAGCACATATACTAAAATTGGAACAATACAGAGAAGATTAGCATGGTCCCTGCATAAAATAAGTTTTGTGTGTGTGTGTGGTTGTTTTGTTTTGTTTTGTTTTGTTTTTTTGAAACAGAGTCTTGCTTTGTCGCCAGGCTGGAGTGCAGTGGTGCAATCTCAGCTCACTGCAACCTCCGCCTCCTGGGTTCAAGCGATTCTCCTGCCTCAGCCTCCCGAGTAGTTGGGACTACAGGCGCCCGCCACCAAGCCCGGCTAATTTTTGTATTTTTAATAGAGATGGGTTTCACCATGTTGGCCAGGATGGTCTTGATCTCTCGACCTCATGATCTGCCCACCTCGGCCTCCCAAAGTCCTGGGATTACAGGTGTCAGCCACCATGCCCGGCCAATAAAAAAAAATTTTAATTTAAAAAAGATAAATAAATAATTTGTAAAAGGCCAGGCACAGTGGCTCACGTGTTATCCCAGCATTTTGAGAGACTGAGGTAGGAGGATCACTTCAGGCCAGTCCTGGGTAACATAGTAAGATCTCTACCAAAAAATAGAAAAGTTACCTGCGCGTGGTGCCACATGCCTGTAGCCCTAGCTACTCAGGAGGCAAAGGTGGGAGAATCGTTTGAGTCCTGAAGCTCGAGGCTGTAGCAAGCCATGATGGCGCCACTGCACTCCAGCCCGGGAGACAGAGGGAGACTGTGTCCCTAAAAAATAAATAAAAATAACTTCTCAAAAAAAGATATACACGTGACCAACAAATGTGGAAAAAAGCTCAACATCGCTGATCATTAGAGAAATGCAAATGAAAGTCTGGACACGGTGGCTCATGCCTGTAATCCCAGCACTTTGGGAGGCTGAGGCGTGCTGATCACCTGAGGTCGGGAGTTCAAGACCAGCCTGACCAACATGGAGAAACCCTGTCCCTACTAAAAATACAAAATTAGCTGGGCCTGGTGGCAGGCGCCTGTAATCCCAGCTGCTCGGGAGGCTGAGACAGGAGAATCACTTGAACCTGGGAGGTGGAGGTTGTGGTGAGCCGAGATCATGTCATTGCACTCCAGCCTGGGCAACAAGAGCGAAACTCCGTCTCAAAAAAAAAAAAAAAAAAAAAAAGGCCAGGCGCAGTGGCTCACGCCTGTAATCCCAGCACTCTGGGAGGCCGAGGTGGGTGGATCACGAGGTCAGGAGATTGAGACCATCCTGGCTAACACAGTGAAACCCCATCTCTACTGAAAATACAAAAAATTAGCCAGGTGTGGTGGCGGGTGCCTGTAGTCCCAGCTACTCGGGAGGCTGAGGCAGGAGAATGGCATGAACCCAGGAGGTGGAGCTTGCAGTGAGCCAAGATCGTGCCGCTGCACTCCAGCCTGGGCAACAAAGCGAGACTCCATGTCAAAAAAAAAAAAAAAGAGAGACAGAGAGAGAGATGCAAATGAAAACCACAATGAGATACCATCTCACGCCAGTCAGAATGGCGATTATTAAAAAGTCAAGAGACAACAGATAGGCCGGGCGTGGTGGCTCACACCTGTAATCCCAGCACTTTGGGAGGCCAAGGTGGGCAGATCACTTGAGGTCAGGAGTTTGAGGCCAGGCTGGCTAACATGGTGAAACCCTGTCTCCACTAAAAATACAAAAATTAGCCAGGCACCATGGCGCACACCTGTAATCCCAGCTACTCAGGAGGCTGAGGCAGGTGAATTGCTTGAACCTGGGAGGCAGAGTTTGCAGTGAGCCAAGATTGCGCCACTGCACTCCAGCCTGGGTGACAGAGTGAGACTCTGTCTCAATAAAATGAAATTTAAAAAAGAAACAAGAGCTGCTGGCGAGGTTGTGAAGAAATAAGAAAGCTTTTACACTGTTGGTGGGAATGTAAATTAGTTCAACCATTGTGGAAGAGAGTGTGGCGATTCCTCAGAGATTTAGAACCAGAAATACCATTTGACCCAGCAATCCCATTACTGGGTATATACCCAAAGGAATATAAATCACTTTGTTATAAAGATACATACACACATATGTTCATTACAGCACTATTCACAATAGCAAGGACATGGAATCAACCCAAATGCTCATCAATGATAGACTGGATAAAGAAAATGTGGCGGCTGGGCATGGTGGCTCATGCCTTTAATCCCAGCGCTTTGGGAGGCTGAGGCAGGCGGATCACCTGAAGTCAGGAGTTCGAGACCAGCCTGGCCAACATGGTGAAACCCATCTCTACCAAAAATACAAAAATTAGCCGAGTGTGGTGGTGCATGCCTGTAGTCCCAGCTACTCCGGAGGCTGAGAGGCAGAGGAATTGCTTGAACCTGGGAGGTGGAGGTTGCAGTGAGCTGAAATCATGCCACTGCACTCCAGCCTGGGCAACAGAGCAAGACTCCATCTCAAAAAAAAAAAAGAAAAGAAAAAGGAAAGAAATAAAACGTGGTACATATACACCATGGAATACTATGCAGCCATAAAAAGGAACAAGATCGCCGGGCGCGGTGGCTCACGCCTGTAATCCCAGCACTTTGGGAGGCCGAGGCGGGCGGATCACGAGGTCAGGAGATCGAGACCATCCTGGCTAAAACGGTGAAACCCCGTCTCTACTAAAAATACAAAAAATTAGCCGGGCGTAGTGGCGGGCGCCTGTAGTCCCAGCTACTTGGGAGGCTGAGGCAGGAGAATGGCGTGAACCCGGGAGGCGGAGCTTGCAGTGAGCCGAGATCCCGCCACTGCACTCCAGCCTGGGCGACAGAGCGAGACTCCGTCTCAAAAAAAAAAAAAAAAAAAGGAACAAGATCATGTCTTTTGCAGCTATATGGATGTAGCTGGAAGCCATTATCCTCAGCAAACTAACGCAGGAACAGAAAACCAAACACTGTATGTTCTCACTAGTAAGTGGGAGCTGAACAGTGAGAACACGTGGACACAGGGAGGGGAACAGCACTCACTGGGGCCTGTTGGGGGTGGGCAGGGGAACGGAGAGCATTAGGGAAAAGAGCTAATGCATGCTGGGCTTAACACCTGGGTGATGGGTTGATAGGTGCAGCAAACCATCATGGCACACATTTACCTGTGTTAACAAACCTGTACATCCTGTACATGTACCGAGGAACTTAAAATAAATAAATAAATAAATAAATAAAAGTTAAAAATAAGGGCCATGCATTAGCTCCTGGTTTTGTTTGTTTGTTTTTTGAGACAGAGTCTCACTGTGTCGCCAGGCTGGAGTGCAGTTGACGCAATCTCAGCTCACTTCAACCTCCACCTCCTGGGTTCAAGCGATTCTCCTGCCTCAGCCTCCCAAGTAGCTGGGACTACAGGCACCCACCACCATGCCCGGCTAATTTTTGTATTTTTAGTAGAGACGGGGTTTCACCATGTTGGTCAGGATGGTCTCAATATCTTGACCTTGTGATCTGCCTGCCTCGGCCTCCCAAAGTGCTGGGATTTATAGGCGTGAGCCACCGCACCTGGCCTCCTGGGTTTTAACATGAGCTCAGCCCAGACTGAATCTCTTAGTCTCAATTCTAGGTCATGTGGCAAAGACACTTTGAGGAGCCCATCCTGGGATGAAAACCATGGCCAGGGAAGAGGCCACAGCAGAGAGGCAGAGGTGCTGAAACCACTTCTGCAACCACAAGGACGAAAGTGCACCTCATTGGTGAGGGAGCGCTGGTGCCTGCCCCCATGTGCACACAGCAGCCCATAGCTAAGGAGTCACAGAGCTCTTACCTCAATCCTACCTGATCAGTTCAGCCAGAACTGATCTCTCAGCCAAGTCTGTACCCTGGCTAGAATGTGATCTTCAAAATGTGATCCTAACCTGTTTTGTTCACTCCTATGACCCCAGCATCCAGAACAATGCTTGGCACCATTGGTAGGCACTCAAATACTATACTTGGTACATCAAATAACAAATTAACTCCTCCATTCTATGCCTTCTTGGAAGGGATACAGGATGGCAGCTGGGGAGAGGAGAGCACAGAAGAAAGATGAGAACAGGATCTTAGAAAACTTCCCTGGGGCATATTTGTAGGCCCTGACTTACCCAGATCCTTGGAACAGGAATTATGGCTTAGGGAGCAGTAGGCAAGCCCTGATCATGGAGCCTGGCAGACCCATTTATTCCTTCAACAAGGATTTATGGAACACTTACCAGATGCCAAGTCCTGCTGTATTCTCAGCCTTGCCAGGCCTAGCTTTCATACCCTTCTGGCCCTGTGATTTCTGGCTAGCTGTTAGCCTCTCTCTCTGTTCATTCATTGGTAAATACATCACAGGGTTCTTGAGAAGATTAAATGACATAATATATAAAATACTTGCTTGTGCATAGTAACTGTCCTGTAAATATTTTTGCTGCAAAACATGGTTGTTGGGTTTTCTGTTGTTTTGTGGGGGGTGGGGAGATGGGGCTTAAGGTACAACTGTAACTGTGTAATTTACCACTGTCTGGGGTTCCTCCAGAAGATGGAATTGATCTGTATAATCATCATTTCTCGTGCAAGAATAGCCTTGCCTTCACCTGGCTGCTTTTATATGAAGGAAGTGCTCTTCTTTCCATAAGAGGGCACAGCTTCTGGCGCAGCAGCAGGAAGCTGTAGATGCAGCATGGGTTACTTGGGGAATAATCGGGTTTGCACAGCACCACACACCTTCCTACTCACATGGGGTGCCCAGGGTGCTGGTGTCGGCCTGGTCAGAGGGCAGGTGAAGCTAATGGCTGCCATGCAGTGAATTCACGGGGCTACCTTGTTCTACTTCTCTCTACCTCCTCCCTCCTGGCTTCTGGTCCCAGGTGTCTCAAGCACAGTTCAGCGTCTTTGAATCTCCATTCAGGGCCATCCCAGTCCCTCAGGTTCTCTGATATGAGAGAGAAGATCTCCCAGGCCTCCTTCCTCCAAGAGACCCCCTCTGTCCCCCCCCACTCTCCCCCAGTTTGGCCTCCTAGGCAGACGGTTTTTGTTTGAGTGTCATCCCTCTCCTCCGGACGCCCCATCATTCACCTTCAGCATTTAGGAACACAGCAGCAATCTAAACCAAATGGAGAAAGCAGGAGAAATTTTTAAAAGAAAGAAAAAAAAGGCCAGGTGCAGTGGCTCACACCTGTAATCTCGGCACTTTGGGATGCCAAAGTGGGTGGATTGCTTGAGGTCAGGAGTTTGAGACCAGCCTGGCCAACATGGCGAAACCCGTCTCTACTAAAATACAAAAATTAGCCAGGCATGGTGGCAGGCGCCTGTAATCCCAGCTACTCCAGAAGCTGAGGCAGGAGAATCGCTTGAACCTAGGAGGCGGAGGTTGCAGTGAGCCCTGGGATGAAGCCACTGCACTCCAGCCTGGGTAACAGAGCAAGACTCTATCTCAAAAAAAAAAAAAAAAAAGAATAAAAAAGAACAGATAATTTCAAAAGGACATTAAGCTCTATTCAGAGACACAATCTCCAATCAACAAAACGAAAGGCAAGCGTTGCCCCACAGGGACTGGCTGAAAGGCAGCCTGGCGGTGAGAGCGTTCTGGAGCTGGCTTCTCACACTGGGGAGGGCGCCCTCCCAGCAACCAGCCCCACCTGACGGGATCAGGCAGGACCCCACCCCAGGCTACGGGGCTTTGGGCTTCCCTGCTGAGGAGTTTCCTCCCGACACAGCTTACAAAGGCTCCCTCACAGGGGTAACAGCAGGACCGTGCTTGGCTGACAGAATGCTTTGGCAGAAAACTGCTGTCTGAGTCAGCCCTGAGAAATAATTAACCCTCATGATGTTTCCTGGAGGACTGAAGAGGGTTGGGTGTGGAGGATACAGGGAGGGCCTGAAGAGCTGGGCTTCTGAAGGGGAGGGAGCGCCTGGGCCTTCGGGCCTGGGCCTCCAGCAGCCTCACCTGAGGTGCCAGGACCCCCCAGCTAGCTCGCACCTGCTCTCTGGGCCTCAAGATTGTTCTCGGGGAGGGCAGAGAGAAGACTCTTACTTTTCTTCTTTTTTTTTTTTTTTTTTTTTGAGACAGGGTCTGGCTGTCACCTAAGCTGGAGCATAGTGGTGCAATCATAGCTCACTGCAGCCTCAGCCTCCTGGGTTCAAGTGATCCTCCCACCTCAGCCTCCCAAGTAGCTGGGACTACACACACACACCACCATGTCCAGCTAATTTTTGTACTTTTTGTAGAGACAGGGTCTTGCCATATTGCCCAGGCTGGTCTCAAACTCTTGGGCTCAAGTGATCCGCCTGCCTCAGCCTCTGAAAGTGCTGGGATTATAGGTGTGAGCCACCATGCCTAGCCTTTTATTTTTTATTTATTTTTTTGAGACAGTGTCTCTTATGTTGCCCAGGCTGGAGTGCAGTAGCATGAACATGGCTCACCACAGCCTCAATCTCCCAGGCTCAAGCTATCCTCTTGCCTCAGCCTCCCAAAGCACTGTGATTACAGTCATGAGCTGCCACACCCAGCTAGTATTTCTTTTCTTTTTTCTGTAGAGACAAGTTCTTGCTATGTTGCCCAGGCTGGTCTCGCACTCCTGGGCTCAAGTGATTCATCCACCTCAGCCTCCCAAAGTGCTGGGATTATAGGCGTGAGCCACCGGCACCCTGCCTGACCCTTACTTTTCTAGACACTCTTCCTGGAGGCCTGTTTCCATTCGGGGCCTTTTTGTAACATGTAAGTCGGGCAGATCACTATGCGGAGCTGCTCACCGTGTGCTGCTCAGTGTGGTACCAAGAGCTCAGAGAAGACACAAGTAAAACATAAGATCCAGACCGGGCCTCAGGGAACTCACCACCTGAGCAGAGAGGGGAGGCATGAAAACCCATTCAGTTAGATGGCCTCTGCTGGTCATGTGTTCATACATCCAGTGTGATAGGGGAAAAGAGATTTTCTTAAGCCTGAGCAGATTACTTTACACATTTAGACTGGGGGCTCAAACACTTGCTAAGGTAATAATGTTGCTTGTGATTCATATTTGTTCTTCCTTCTTTTTTTTTTGAGACAGAGTTTCGCTTTTGTTGCCCAGGCTGGAGCGCAGTGGTGCAGTCGCGGCTCACCGCAACCTCTGCTTCCCGGGTTCAAGCGATTCCCCTGGCTCAGACTCCCGAGTATCTGGGATTACAGGCGCCTGCCACCACGCCCAGCTAATTTTATATTTTCAGTAGAGACAGGGTTTCTCCATGTTGGTCAGGCTGGTCTCAAACTCCTGACCTCAGGTGATCCGCCTGCCTCAGCCTCCCATAGTGCTGGGATTACAGGCATGAGCCACCGCGCCGGGCTGGTTCTTCCTTCTAAGAAGCCTCCAGAGCTCCCTGCCTGTGTCTTTCTGAGAGTCGGTCAGATGCCCCTCTTTCATTTCCCTCCATTCCAAGGCCAAGATTTCTCATCCTCATTTCACAATCGGGAAAGTCAAGACCCATGCCGCAGGCTGGCCTGCCAGGCAACTGGCCCGAGGTTTACACACACTCAAAGATGCAGCCGAAGATTTGAAAATCCCCCTGGCACATCCGTCTTCATGCACTGAATGTATTCATTGAGGTTTTAATTGTTCAGAGCACTCTTGGAAGCGGCCGAGTCCAAAGAGAATTGGAGGCTGGCAGACACGGTGCTGGGGCTTTCTCTGGATCGTATTGGTGAGACAGGATACTGTGGCATGCTAACTTAGCAGTCAGCAAACTGTTTTTGTAAGGGCCCAGATAGTAAATAGTCAGTATTTTAGGCTTTATAGGCCAAATACTGTCTTTGTCACATTTTCTTCTTTGTTTTTGGTTGTTTGTTTTTGAGATGGAGTCTCGCTCTGTCGCCCAGGCTGGAGTACAGTGGTGCCATCTCAGCTCACTGCAAGCTCCACCTCCTGGGTTCACGCCATTCTCCTGCCTCAGCCTCCCGAGTAGCTGGGACTACAGGTGCCCGCCACCACGCCCTGCTAATTTTTTGTATTTTTAGTAGAGACGGCATTTCACCGTGTTAGCCAGTATGGTCTCGATCTCCTGACCTCGTGATCCGCCCACCTCGGCCTCCCAAAGTGCTGAGATTACAAGTGTGGGCCACCGCGCCTGGTGTTTTTTTGTTTGTTTTTTGTTTTTTGTTTTTTTAACTATGGTATAGCTGGGCATGGTGGTTGGTGCCTGTAGTCCCACCTACTTGGGAGGCTGAGATGGGAGGATTGTTTGAGCACAGGAATTTTAAGCTGCAGTGAGCAATGATCACACCACTGTACTCTAGCCTGGTCAACAAAGTGAGACCCTGATTCTAAAACAAACAAAAACCAAAAAAAGCCAGGCTGGATGCAGTGGCTCACACCTGTAATCTCAGCACTTTGGGAGGCTGAGGTGGGCGGATCACTAGGTCAAGAGATCGAGACCATCCTGGTCGACATGGTGAAACTCTGTCTCTACTAAAAATATAAAAATTAGCTGGGCATGGGGTCGCATGCCTGTAGTCCCAGCTACTCGGGAGGTTGAGGCAGGAGAATCGCTTGAACCCAGGAGACGGAGGTTGCAGTGAGCTGAGATTGTGTCAACTGCACTCCAGCCTGGTGACAGAGCAAGACTCTGTCTCGGAAAAAAAAAAAAAAAAACAGACCATACCATGGCTAGATTTGGCCTGTGGGCATAGTTGGCTGACCCATCTGCTAGATGAATAGATACAAGATCCAGATTTGGTAAAATGTAAACACTTTAATCCAGGACAAAGCAGTCTTCATGCACATGAGACAGTACTATAATGCCTCTGTTAGACTCCTAGCTCTGCCACAGACTGGCTATACAATCCTGGACAAGTTACTTAACCTCTCCAGCCCTCAGTTAGCTTGTCAGTGAAACTAGAATGATAATTGAAGCTCCCTTATAGAGTTACTATGAAGATTAAATGAGATAGTGCACAGAAAGCTCTTGGTACGGTGTCAGGCACATGGGAAGATCACAGTAAATGTTAGCCTCTACATGGATCAGGAATGAAGGAATCCCGAGGAAGACACCATCAAGGTTGAAGCTGCTGGAACTCCAAGATGAGGTTACATTCAAATGTGTTTTCTCAACCAGGAAAGCCTCTGGAAGCATGGGGGCTGTTAAGAGCAGATTGCACATTGCTTGGTCCCCTTGCCCTGGGCTCCCGGGTAGGCAGCCAGAAACCCCTGAGCAAACTGGTATTAGCTCAACTGTTTGAACCCTGACAATTCAGCCCGCTGCTCCCCCTGCCCCTTGGCCTGGAGCTTCCATGCAGGGAGAGGCTGCCACCCACCAGATAGCGTTCCCACCAGGCAGAAGTCAGGGTGGCCAGATGGTCAGGAGGGGCAGATGACAGGGGAAGCCACAAGAAAGAGAGCCTGTGGCTAGATCAGAGGTGCTGAAGCCAGCCCCAGAGCAGGACAGTCACCTGCTGTCCACAAACATCCTGCTGAGGGAAGTTCTTCTTTGCCCCGATGGGTGTGATAGTTGGCAACGTGGCTAGAAACAGACTGACAGCTGTGCTCACCCTGGCTCCTTGGCAGACATTGGAGAAATCAAGGATAGAGATGAGGATTCTGATACTCTCCCCTCAACACTGGAAATGAAAGGAAGCCTCCCAGCCCCCAAGTCCTCCCCAGTCTGTCAGCAGCATTTATGGAAGGCCCACTGTGTGCAAAGCCTGTACAATCAGGAGGGAGTTAAATGGGAAATTGAGGACCAGGCTCCACATGCCCATGGAGGGCTCGTGTGGAGCCTAAACATGAGACTGGCTCTCGAACACTTGCCAGGCGAACAGGATGGAGCCTGGATGTCCCAGCCAGCTCCACCACTGGCAGCAACTCCTTACAGGGTCACTAGGCCCTGACTGAAAGGGCACCAGCTGGCCGGGTAGTGGGTGGGTATACATTTGGTTTTAGAGAAAAACAACCACAGATCCAATTTCAAGGCTTTGAGTCTCACCAACCCCTCCTTCCAGTCTTTTCTGAATAGCGGCATTAACTGGGACCCCGAAGAAGGGAGGTGGGAAGCAGACACCCAGCAGGGCTCTGCAGGAATCTCCCTGAGCCCCACACCCAGGTCCTGCTGTCTGCACAAGGGGCAATCATGACTTTCTTCTGTGGCAGGGAGACAGTGGAATCTGTAGGAGGTTCCAGACCCAGCGACGACCAAGCCTGGGTGGTTCTGACACCAAGAACAAAACGCCTGCAAGATCCACACTGGGAACTCAACCAAGAAGAAAGAAAAGAACAAACAAGATCAATTTCTTCCCCACAGGAGCCAGAATTTTCCTAAGTCTCTACGAATGTTCAGAGACATCTTTATCTCTTGCAGGAACTCTACCTCCTCTCCTGTCTCACCTCCTCCTGAAAAAAGAGACAAAGTCCCACTCCCATCAAAACACCTCTGAGGTGTCAGCTTCAAATGATTTATGAATTACTTCTCCCAGCCTGGGTTAGCTTCAAAACTGGGAATGGGTCAGGGTGTCAGCATGGGAAGAACCTTTAAGAATGTCAGGCTTTTAGAGCCTCAAAGCCACAAATCTCTCAAATGGTGCCCTCTCCAACCCTGGGCACTAGGTCCGATGAGCAGGGGATGGAGGCATATTTGGACAGGGGCCTGCATCTGAGACCAGCCCCTGATACCAAACCAAATGTGTCTCTTGTATTTTTAACTGCAAGCTCCCACCACCCTGAGTGAGTTTTTCCCAAAGCAGTGGTGTCACAAGCAGCCATTCAGTTGGCCTTTGCAGTCATGCTGACCCAGGGGTACTTGGTCTTCATCGGATTCTCAGTCTAAGCATCAATCCTCTGACAGAGGGACCTACCCCAGGCACTTCCAGCTCAGCAGAAAGCACCCTGAGCTAATAAAGGAAGATATAATTTAGAGGTCATGCCCCAAAGCCAGCTATTTCTGACTGCAGATCCAGCTCCAACTAAAGCCAAGCCAAAAATTAACATTATTTTGCATTTTAAACAACTTACTAGTCTTTCAAAGGGTACTGATTGGTGAACAGCAATTTACAATGAAGTAATCAGTTGCAAACTACCAATAATTGCTATCACTTCAAGTGTGAGTTTTTCCCCTCCCCATTTTCTTCCCCCTGTTCTGTCTCTGTTTTTAAACCAACAAATATTTATCAACCTTCTTTTAGACAAGGTGTGAGCTAGGAGCCATGAGAGATAAAAAGATGCGGCTGCCAAGTATTTGCATGTGAGATATTCATAGTCTGGCTAGGGTAGTAACATGGTACACATGGGGAAAATAACCAAATGTCAAAAGACTGATAGGTGATGAATGTTGACTCTGTAAAAGTGAAAGTTACATAGAATGTTCAGGGAGCTTGATTTTAAGTTGCCTGAGGGTTGTAAACTACTTTCCAGTAAGGTGTTTTCCTCTACCAGTGCTTCCCAAACATAAAAGTCTATAAAATGATTTTTTTTTTTTTTTTTGAGACAGAGTTTCACTCTTGTCGCCCAGGCTAGAGTGCAATGGCACGATCTCAGCTCACTGCAACCTCTGCCTCCTGGGTTCAAGCGATTCTCTTGCCTCAGCCTCCCGAAATAGCTGGGATTACAGGCACCTGCCACCATACCCAGCTAATTTTTTTGTATTTTTAGTAGAGACGGGGTTTCACCATATTGGCCAGGCTGGTCTCGAACTCCTGACCCTGTGATCCGCCCACCTTGGCCTCCCAAAGTGCTGGGATTACAGGCGAGAGCCACTGCACCCAGCAGTTTTTTTTGTTTGTTTGTTTTTATTTTTGTTTTTTGAGACAGGGTCTCGTTCTGTTGCTCAGGTTGAAGTGCAGTGGCACAATCTTGGCTCACTGCAACCTCCATCTTCTGGGTTCAAGTGATCCTCCAACCGCAGCTTCTTGAGTAGCTGGCAATATAGGCACTCGCCACCACACCCAGCTAATTTTTGTATTTTTTGTAGAGACGGGGTTTCACCATGTTGCCCAGGCTGGCCTTGACCTTCTGGGCTCAAGTGATCCTCCTGCCTCAGCCTTCTGAAGTGCTGGGATTACAGACATGAGACACTGCACTCATCTATAAAATGTTGATACGAGTTCTATGAAAAAAATGTTCTGGCCAGGTGAGGTGGTTCATGCCTGTATTTCCAGCACTTTGGGAGGCCAAAGCAGGATAGTGGCTGGAGCCCAGGAGTTGAATCCAGGAGATCAGCCTGGGCAACACAGTAAGACTCTCTCTACAAAAATGTAAAAAACTAGCCAGGTATGGCGGTACACACAGGTGGTCCCAGCTACTTGGGAGGCTGAGATGAGACGATCACTTGAGCCCAGCAATTTGAGGCTTGCAGTGAGCCATGTTTGTGCCACTACACTCCACTGTACTCCAGCCAGAGTAAAAAAAAAAAAAAAAAAAAGACAGATTTCTTTTCTTTCCTTTTTTTTTTTTTTTTTTTGAGGCGAGTCTCACTCTGTCACCCAGGCTGGAGTGAAATGGCGCGATCTCGGCTCATTGCAGGCTCCGCCTCCCTGTTCACGCCAGTCTCCTGCCTCAGCCTCCCAAGTAGCTGGAACTACAGGCGCCTGCCACCACGCCCTGCTGCTTTTTTGTATTTTTAGTAGAGGCGGGGTTTCACCGTGTTAGCCAGGATGGTCTCGATCTCCTGACCTCATGATCTGCCCACCTTGGCCTTCCAAAGTGCTGGGATTACAGGTGTGAGCCACCGCACCCGGCCAAGAAAAGCAGATTTCTTTATCACACAATGTTGCAGAGCCTCCAAGAGCCAAAGTGCATTGTGAATCTGCACAAGACTATGAATGTATGCAGCAGATTCCAGATTTAACCATGAAATAGCCCCTCCTCCATGCCCTTTTTCTCATAAGCAATACAAATTAGCATCTTTCTAGAATTGTAGTCCCAGAGAGTCTAAATAGTCTGCTTAGATGGCAAAAAAAAAAAAAGGGTGCTCAAGCCTCACTTTCTCCAACATTTTCCCCAAAAGTCCAGCCCATAGTGGATCTCTTTTCCTTAGATTTTCAAAAGAACTTTGGTATCGTCAATTTAGCACCCAACTCCCGTCTGTCTTCTGCTTGTTTATATAGTTCCATGTCACTCATACCACCCCAGCTTGGTGCAGAACATATAGCAAGTGCTCACTAACGACAAATTACATAGTTATTAAATATGCTTTTTAAAATATTTATTTATTTATTTATTTTGAGACGGAGTCTAGCTCTGTCACCCAGGCTGGAGTACAGTGGCATGATTTTGGCTCACTGCCACCTCCACCTCCCAGGTTCAAGTGATTCTCCTGCTTTAGCCTCCTTAGTAGCTGAGATTACAGGCGCGCACTACCATGCCCGGCTAATTTTTGTATTTTAGTAGAGAGAGGGTTTCACCATGTTGGTCAGGCTGGTCTTGAACTCCTGACCTCAGGTGATCTGCCCTCCTTAGCCTCCCAAAGTACTGGGATTACAGGCATGAGCCACCACATGGGGCCTAAATATGGTTCTTATCTGCTTCTTTTTTTTTCTTTTTTTGAGATGGAGTCTTGCTCTGTCTCCCAGGCTGGAGTGCAGTGGCGTAATCTCGGCTCACTGCAAGCTCTGCCTCCTGGGTTCGCGCCATTCTCCTGCCTCAGCCTCCCGAGTAGCTGGGAGTACAGGCACCTGCCACCGCGCCTGGCTTTTTTTTTTTTTTTTTTTTTTTTTTTTTTTTGTATTTTTAGTAGAGACAGGGTTTCACCACTTTAGCCAGGATGGTCTCAATCTCCTGACCTCGTGATCCCAAAGTGCTGGGATTACAGGCGTGAGCCAACGCGCCCGGCTTATCTGCTTCTTATCTCGGGTAAGAGCAGAGCCTGGACTCTGGAGCCCGGAGTGCAGATACTGGCTCTGGCTTATCAACTGTGCAACTTTGGGAAGTTACTTAACCTCTCTGTTTCGTCATTTGTACCTTAGAATGTTGCTGTGAGCGTTAAACTACAGTGCCCAGCACACAGTAACAGTTTAATAGATGTTAGCTGTTTTTATTGCTACTCCTAAGTGTGTTCTACACCTGGTCACCAAGCAAAGGACAGAGCATGGCCAGTGCATGGAGAATCAGATTTCAAGGGCAGCCCATAACATGCTCACAAAACACAGGGATATTGTTTGTTTATCTCTTCTAAGATCTCAAGGCACTTAAAAGTCTCAACTTATCAGTTTTCACAGGACTTTCCTGACATAGGTTGGAATCCATTATAGTCACCCTAGGGAGGGGTTAATGACCTGCTCAAGGTTACTTGCCAGGGTCAACCACAGGCTAGGAATAGAAATTGGCTCTGCAGTCACCCCTTTGTCTTAGTAACTTCCTCCCTATGTGGTTTTGGCAAAGACAAAACACCCAGGAGTGATGCAGCAACTGGAATGAAGGTCAAAGAACAGCATCTGGGTTTAGCACGGCCTTGATGAGGCCTTTTTTCCCTTCATCCTCCCACAAGCAGGCTTGTATATCCAGCAGCCTCCTGTCCCTCTTTAAGCACCTCAAAATAGTATTCCTTGACCTCCTTTCATCCAGGAGATGCCAAGGAGGGCAACGCAGATGCATCCGAGATGCCAAAGAAAGGCTTTCACACACAAAGTGACTCCCTGCCCTTGGATGTGTTTGCATCCTCACATCCTTCTCATCCCTACGTTCCTACTACTGCAGTCACACCAGCTCCTAGGCTCTGCCTTGGACAGAACCCAGTTTCCTGGAAGGAACAAGTTCTCTGCAGTCGGCCCCCTGCCCCAGCATCCAGGGACCACATTGGCCACAGTCCTATTTACAGCTTCCAAAGCAGTCAAGTACAGAAAGCCATGTAACAAAGCGTCTGAGAAGACCTATCCTGGTGTGTGTTTTCAATCACCCCTCTGCCTTCCCTCTCCAGTTACTCAGATCTCCTTGCTTTCAAAATGAGAACAGTGAATTATTTATGGAGTAACATACTGCACTCAGGGTCTCCCATGATCACGCAGATTGTGACCGCCCTGGGGAATTTACTGCCTAAGTCATTCGGAGAGAATGGGCAAATGGGGCATAAGGTGGCAAGTAAGTGACAGTGACATAAGTTGGGGCTCCCTGGCCCTACGACTGGTTGGGAGAAGTGGTATGAGGAGGTGACAGAGGACAAAGGGAGAGTCTGGTCTTCCTAAATCCCTGGTGGTAGCGATATGGAAGCAGGTGGGAAAAATATAATGAAAATATAAAAGAAACAATGAATTCCTGACCAAGCTGTCAGATAACCTCTGTTGTCACAACACAGGCCTGGAGTGACTACTGGGGAACCAAAACGTTCAGCTCTCTGCTTATGGTGAGAAGCATGCATAGGTAGATGACGGCTAGCAGTCTATCCAGGGCTGAGACCCCAAGCCTAGGGATTCTATCCTTCATTACCCACTTATTACCTCCAGCACCACTGGCCACTTCCTTCTTCTTCTTCTTCAATTTCTTTTTTTTTTTTTTTGAGATGGAGTCTTGCTCTGTCACCCAGGCTGGAGTGCACTGGGGCAATCTCGGCTCACTGCAACCTCTGCCTTCTGGGTTCAAGAGATTCTCCCACCTCAGCCTCTCAAGTAGCTGGGATTATAGGCACCCGCCATCATGCCTGGTGAATTTTTGTATTTTTAGTAGAGACGAGGTTTTGCCATGTTGGTCAGGTTGGTCTTTAACTCCTGACCTCAGGTGATCTGCCCAGCTCGGCCTCCCAAAGTGCTGGAATTACAGGCGTGAGCCACTGCGCCTGGCCCAGTTCCTTTTTTCATACAAACGTTTTGCTCATTATTTCACTTGCAGGGCTTCCTGACTGCTCTTTATTGCTCTTTTTGTAGAGAATATCAAGAGGTATCTTTCCCTGGGTCTCTGACTTCTAACGTCTTACAAAATATGGCAGAATAGAGAAGAGATATACACAGTGCTGATTTTACAAGGGAATGTGCTAGAATGTTGTCCTGGAACTATGTTCTTATGCCACCCTAGAACAATGTTTCAAAATCTAATGTTTAACACTGATATTTAATATTCACATCAAATAATAAAAGCTGTTTATTTGCATTTATATACATTTTAAATACTTTCCTATATACCTTATTTTATCGAATTTAAGATAGCACCAATATAAGTGGTACTTTTTACTTTTGTATTCCATCAAGAGAAACAAAGCTTCATTGGTTGTAAGATACACCCTGATTTCAGAGATATTAAAGTGGGAAAAATGCACACCTTAGAATTTATCAAAATTATGCTGAAAGGAATCTCATTTTCCTCAAGTTCTTGCCATAAATCAGAGAACACCACCCTATGTCTCTCCAAGTCTGATGTAAGGCAGCCTCCTTTAGAGCTGATATCACAGAAGAAAATTAGGAGAAAGAAAAGCAAGGGGCTAGATGCGGTGGCTCATGCCTGTACTCCCAGCACTTTGGGAGGCCAAGGCGGGAGGATCATTGAGCCCAGGAGTTCGAAACCAGCCTGGGCAACAAAGGGAGACCCAGTATCTACAAAAAATAAAAAAATTAGCCAGGTGTGGTGGCATGCGCCTGTGGTCCCAGCTACACAGGAGGGTGACGCAGGAGGATCTCTTGAGCCCAGGAAGTTAAGGCTGTAGTGAGCCATGTTTGTGCCACTGCACTCCAGCCTGGGTGACAAAGCAAGACTGTCTCAAAAAAAAAAAAAAATAAAAGAGGAAAAGAGAAAGGAAAGGAGAGGAGAGGAGAGAAGAGAGGAGAAGAGGGGAGGGGAGGGGAGGGCATGGGAGAGGAGAGGAGGAAAAAGAAAAGAAAAGAGAAAAGCAAAGCAAAGCAAAGCAAAGGGTGAGATGGGTTTAGTGTGCAGATGTATGAGATACTTTATGGGTAACCGTGTCTATTCGTCACACCTCTGCTTCCTGGGTCTGCTGAATCTTTCAGCTCATTATCAATGGAGAGGAATCAGGGCGAGGTTACAGGGAGAGGTGCCGTAGTCCACACCTGCAGCAGCACATGGACGGTGCCATGGAAATGCTTCCAGCAGTGGTCTGGGCAAAGGTTTCACGCAGAAGAGATTTGACCTGAGTGTGAAGGGTGGGAAGGCAAAAGCATCTCGGGATGGAACAAATGCAAGAAGACAGGAAAACAAGCAGCCTGAGGGGGCGGTGATGACTGCCTCTTTAGTGACAGCGGACAGTGGGCAACAAAGCTGGGCCAGACTTTGAGGTTGTACACAAATGGTTAAGGATTTTGGACCATCTTATGCTGGCAGTGGGCCACCAAAAGTTTTTCAAGCGTGGGAATAATTGATGCAAAACAGTATTTCAGGGGAAAAAAAAAACACAACAGCATTTCAGAAAAAAATGAAAACCAGAATTTCCAGAAGATAAATTGGCAGTTCTGTATATAGTGAACTCAGTGAGAAGAGGCAAAAGTTGAAGGGACTAATGAAAATAAAAACTACCATTTATTGAGTGTGCTATTGACAGAAATAGAATTTTTTTTTTCCTTGAGACAGAGTCTGGCCCCATCACCCAGGCTGGAGTGCAGTGGCGTGATCTCTGCTCACTGCAGCCTGCACCTCCTGGGCTCAAGTGAGCCTCAGCCTCTCCAGTCTCAGCCTCCCAAGTAGCTGGGGCTAGAGGCATGCGCCACCACACCTGGCTAATTTTTGTATTTTTAGTAGATATGGGGTTTCATCATGTTGGCCAGGCTGGTCTCAAACTCCTGGCCTCAAGTTGCCTGCCCTCCTCAGCCTCCCAAAGTGCTGGGAATACAGACATGTTGCCGTGGCTCCTGGCCAAGAAACAGAAAATTAAAAAAAAGAGCTGTTTTGAGATAGCAGTGTTAGAGATAATCAACTTAGATGATAAATTTGACAAAATAGAAGACATAGCCATTAAGTGGGTGGAGATACAGAAATGATGCTGGGAAAAAAAGGATAGAAAATCAGATTTAGGAACCATTTTCATAGAGGTGAACTTGAGCCGAGGGGTTCTAAAGTCATGAAAAAAGATGAGATTTAGCCTGGTATGGTGGTGCACACCTGCTGTTCCCAGCTACTAGGGAGGGTGAAGTGAGAAGATGATGTGAGCCCAGAAGTTTGAGGTTGCACTGCATAATGATCACGCCCGTGAATAGTCATTGCCCTCTAGCCCGAGCAACATAGCAAAACCCCACCTCTAAAACAAAAAAAGAACAGGCCAGGTGCAGTGGCTCATGCCTGTAATCCTAGCACTTTGGGAGGCCGAGGCAGGCAGATCACCTGAGATCAAGAGTTCGAGACCACCCTGACTAATGTGGTGGAACCCCATGTCTACCAAAAATACAAAAATTAGCCAGGTGTGGTGGCATGAGCCTGTTATTCCAGCTACTTGGGAGGCTGAGGCAGAAGAATTACTTGAACCCAGGAGGCAGAGGTTGCAGTGAGCTGAGATCACGCTACTGCACTCCAGCCTGGGCCACAGAGCAAGACTCCGTTGCAAAGAAAAAAAAAAAAAAAAAGATGAGATTTAGCAAGAAGAAACTTTAGGACCTCAATTAAGAACAAAATTTTTAATTACAAAATATTTCACATATGCAGAATAGTACAGAGAACAATAATATATAACACTCCATGCCTACCACCCAGATATTCCAATGTCATTCTTTTGATATATTTGCTTCAGATTCTTTTTTATATTTTTTTCCTAAAGGAACAACAAACATTACAGATACAATTGAGGCCATCTCCATTCCCTTCTCTCCTTCACTACAGATATGTACTATCCTTCTATTGCTCTGTGACCCTTCTAATTATTTTTGTACTCTTATGACATAGAGAGAGCCAAAATATTATGCTAGGTGTAAATTAGGTATGGGCTTGGTGCAGTGGCTCACGCCTATAATCCTAGCACTTTGGCAGGCCAAGGCAGGAAGATTGCTTGAGCCCAGGAGTTCGAGACAAGACTGGGCAACATGGCGAGACCCTGTCTCTATAAAAAAATTAAAAATTAGCCAGATGTGGGGGTATCCACCTGCGGTCCCAACTACTCTGGAGCCTGAGGTGGGAGGATGGCTTGAGCCCAGGAGGTCGAGGCTGCAGTGAGCTATGTTCACACCACTACACTCCAGCCTGGGCAACAGAGTGAGACCCTGTCTCAAAAAAAAAAAAAATATGTACATGATATATGTCCATATTCTTTTTAAATTTACTTTTCTTTTATTCAATATTCATATATTTTAGAAATTCATCCACAATTATATATGTGTATATATACAGGAATATGTGAAGTACATTCATTTTAACTTCTATATAGTATGCCATTACATTAATATGTCGTGAAATATTTCTCCATTTTTTCTAGTTTTAGCTTTTATAAACAATGTTGTAATGGACAGCCAAGTGTATATTCCAAGCATATGTGCACACTTGCCCAAGAGTTTCTGAGGGGTATAGAGTCCACATTTCTTCTCTTTCTTTTGAGCCAGGGTCTCACTCTGTCACCCAGCCTGGAGTACAGTGGCGCCATCATGGGTCACTACAGCCTCAACCCCCCAGCTCAAGTGATCCTCACGCCTCGGGCTCCCTAGCAGCTGGAACTACAGGCATGTGCCACCGCATTTCGCCTTGTTGCCCAGGCTGGTCTCAAACTCCTGAGCTCAAGTGACCTGCCTGCCTCGGCCTCCCAAAGTGCTAGGATTACAGGTGTGAGCTACCCCACCTGGCCTGGATATACACATTTCTAACAGATAATACCAAATTGGTTTCTAAGTGCATGAATTCTACTCTACATCTCCATGAATACTTATATTGCCAGATTTCTAATTTTTGCTAATCCAACAGGCATAAATTATTGTCTTGTCCTCTAATTTGCATTTTTTGATCACCACTGAGTGTGGACATTCTCATTTGGGTCCCTTCTTCTAGGAATGAAATTGCTTACTGTAATCTTTGTCCTTAGTTTCTATGAGGTTGAGGGTCTTTTTTCTTTTCTTTCTTTTTTTTTTCTTTTACTGAGTTATAGGAGTTCTTTATGTATTTTGGATAGGAATCTTTTGTCAGTTGCACATGTTCTAAATGTCTTCTCCCAGTCTATGGCTTGTCTTCTAACACAATTTACTGTGCCTTTAGGTTTTTTTTGTTTTCGTTTTTTTGAGACAGAGTCTTGCTCTGTTGCCCAGGCTGGAGTGCAGTGGTGCGATCTCAGCTCACTGCAATCCCTCCTGGGTTCAAGCAATTCTCCTGCCTCAGCCTCCCGAGTAGCTGGGACTACAGGTGCCCGCCGCCATGCCCAGCTAATTTTTGCATTTTTAGTAGAGACAGGGTTTCACCATGTTGGCCAGGCTGTTCTCGAACTCCTGACCTTGTGATCTGCCCATCTCAGCCTCCCAAAGTGCTGGGATTACAGGCATGAGTCACCACGCCAGGCCAAGTTTTTTTAATTATGAAAATGTTCAATTGCTCACAAAAGTTGAGAAAACAATATATTGAAACCACATTGTCTGTTACCGAGACTCAAAAAGTAACAAGATTTTGCTATACTTGCCTTATCGCTCTCTTTTTCTTTCTTACATTACTGCTAACATATTTTAAAGTAATCCCAGATTGCATGTCATTTCACTCCTACATACTTCATTAAGCATCTATACAACTAAGGACATTTTCTTATATAGTCACTATGTGCCAATCATGATGATTTCTATCAAAATTAACAACTATTCTTTCATATCACCTAATAGATGGTGATTTGGGATACCTGGAAGTTTTTAATGAGGCTGCAATTTTTCTGCTGCAAAACACAGATATTGCATTGCCTGGCCTGGGATTACAATTGCTGTCCTTCCTATGTGATGATGACCCATGGGTGATTCCACTACTGACTGATCAGCAGGTCCTTCTTCAGGAAGCAGGAAGGCTTTTCTGCACCTGGGAGACAGGCGACGCCTGCTTCAGTCTATACCACTGGCAGCTGCTTACAAAGCATATGACCACTTAAGTCATTGTCTCTGACACTTCTGTTGGAAAATAGCCATCCACCTCAGAGGAGGTGGTCTGTCGGCTGCCGATAGTTCCCAGGAACCACACTGGTGCTTCCCTCTGAGGTCTGGAAATTCACACATAAAAGTCTTCATAACCTTTAGGGAAGAGGCAGCCAGAGAAACTGGATTCAAGTCAGGATGGTTTGGGGGATGGGCTGAGGTTAATCCCTCTACCGTGTTCTCAGAATGAAGAAAACAGACATTTACTGAGAAAAAGAACAGCTCTGAATACAAATACTAGAATAGGGCTTTTCAAATGTGTGCCTTCTGTGGCTCCCTTTATCCAGAGAAAAAGAGTCCATGGATTTCTCCCCATACTGCTTAACGTGGCAAAAGACCCCGAATTGCTGGAATTAATGGGAAGACTAGAGCAGCTCTGGATAAGACACCAGTGAGGTAATGTCTGGTTTTTGTTAAATATCCCAAACAGATTACTCACTCTTGCTAGATAAAAGGTAAAGACACTGTCGTGCTATTAACACAAATCCTGCTGCAAACAGGGCCCCCACGGGTCCCTGGACTGGGAAGCTGCCATGCTGTTCAGTGGTGGGGGCGGGAGAGAGAGGCAGTCACAGTAAACATTGTCCAGAGAAGAAAACCAGTCAGCTCTGTGATCTTTGCAAACTCCTTTTTGTTAAGGAACCCAGAACACCAATGAGACCCTGGGAGGCTCATATTTGACAGAGCCAGAAAGAAGGTCCTTGGGAAAGATCCCTTCTCTCTGTCTTCAGTAGAACTTGGCAGAACTGGACAGCCAGGCCCAAAGGCTCCGCTGGCTCCTCTTACCCTCGGGGCCTTTGATTCTATACCTGGAGCAATTCCTTCCATTTACAGCACCTTTTTTTTTTTTTTTTTGAGACAAACTCTTACAAAGCCCAGGCTGGAATGCAATGGCATGATCTCAGCTCACTGCAACCTCTGACTCCCAAGTTCAAGTGATTCTCCTGCCTCAGCCTCCTGAGAAGCTGGGATTATAGGCCCGCACCACCAAGCCCGGCTAATTTTTGTATTTTTAGTAGAGATGGGGGTTTCACCATGTCGGCCAGGCTGGTCTTGAACTCCTAATCTCAGGTGATCCGCCCACCTCAGCCTCCCAAAGTGCTGGGATTACAGGCGTGAGCCCACCATGCTTGGCCTTTTTTTTTTTTTTTTTTTTTTTTTTTAATTATTTTTTGAGACATGGTCTCCCTCTGTGGCCCAGGCTGGAGTGCAGTGGCACGATCTTGGCTCACTGCAATCTCCACCTCCCAGGTTCAAGCGATTCTCCTGCCTCAGCCTCCTGAGTAGCTGGGATTACAGGCTTGTGCCACCACAGGCCAGCTAATTTTTGCAGTTTTAATAGAGATGGGGTTTAACCATATTGGCCAGACTGGTTTCAAACTGCTGACCTCAGGTGATCTGCCTGCCTCGGCCTCCCAAAGCTGGGATTACAGGCGTGAGCCACTGCCCCCGGCCCCATTTAAAGCACTTTACAAAGAATTTCCACATGCATTGTTTCAACTGCTCCTCATAAGAGCCTTGTAAGATGAGCTGAGAATATTGAGGCTCAGATTGGTTAAGTCGTCAAGCAGGGTCATGGCTGTTTTCCTCCATTTATTGAGAGTTGGATAAAAGTCTCCGAGGTAGTTCCCTTCTCAACCTTAGAGTCTAGGGTTGTCAGAGGCCTGGGAGAGGCTGAGAAGAGAGCCAGGGAATTGGCAGAGCTTCCGTTCTGCAAACAGACAAATGGAACACCAGGAAACTGGACCTTTTTCCCCAAGGATTCTTGCTTTTAGCCAAGTCATCCCACACACTCTCTGACTCTGTGGTAGGGTCCTTGAAATTTCATCTCACAATTTCCTGGCAGATATCAGGGCAGCGGATGGTAATCCCGTTATTGTTGGCCAGTCTCCCAAACAGGCCCAAATGCTGCCTGCTCGTCCTGTTGCAGACTTCCTCCTCCCCTCTACCATTGCCTGGCCAGCCGGCCTTTAATCTTGGTGGTGAGCTCTGCAACCTTGCCAAGAAGTCTCCCAGACAAGTGAAAGCTCCTTGTGATTGTGAGAAAACAGCAAGGCTGGCATCCCCATCACACCTGCCATCCCCCTCACTCACTTCCATTTATAAGCTTGCACTATATGCAGGACCTGCCTTTCAGAAGCCCTGAGACACAGTGAGGCTCACAGGAGCTGGGAACTCAGCTCCTTCAGACCTGGAAGGACCTGGGTCTGCGCTGGGAAATGTTTGTGCTCATCACGTCAGATGCATCATCCATGAACTTTTCCTCTGAAAAGCTCAGCACATCTCACTATGATTCTTGCTGCTCCCAGTTCCTCTTTCTAAAGGAAATCACCAGCCTCCTCTGGTACCTCAAAGCTTTAGTAATCAGGAACTAAATAACATGGAAAACATGGAGAATCGCATGGAGGCAAAACAGTACCACAGCTGTACCTACTATTTATAATGAAAGTCAGCCCAGAGTGCCTGCCTTTTTCATCATCTCTCAGTTATCCACATGCTCAACCTGGGGGACAGGAGGAACAGGGAGAAAATCATGATTATCCTGTGGTTCACTTTACAGTTTACAATGCATTTTTAAAATTTACATACACTTGGCCGGGCACGGTGGCTCACGCCTGTAGTCCCAGCATTTTAGGAGGCTGAGGCGGGTGGATCACTAGGTCAGGAGATCGAGACCATACCAGCTAACACGGTGAAACCCCATCTCTACTAAAAATACGAAAAAATTAGCCGGGCGTGGTGGCAGGTGCTTACAGTCCCAGCTACTCAGGAGGCTGAGGCAGGAGAATGGTGTGAACCCGGGAGGTGGAGCTCGCAGTGAGCCAAGATCACGCCACTGCACTCCAGCCTGGGCAACAGAGTGAGACTCCATCTCAAAAAAAAAAAAATTTACATACACTTAAAATATGTTATTTCTCTCAATTCTCAGAATAAAACCATATGGTACATAATAGATACAAATTTTGGTTTCTCTCTTTTTTCCCAATGAGGTTGGAAAGGAAGATATTACTATTTCTACCTTACCAAGGAGCAAATCAAGGTTGTAATTATTCAAAATCAAATAAATATATTGTAGTGGACTCTAAACTCAAATTCAGCTTTCCTGGTTATAAATGCCAGAATCCCAGATTCCTGGGATTTCTATACGACCCCTTCCTTCCTCTTAAGTCCTTTGCTCCCTGTGGAGCTGTAGCTTTGTTTTGTTTTATTTTATTTTAGAGACAGGGTCTCACTCTGTGAGACCAGTACACAGCATGATCCTGGCTCACTGCAGCCTCTACCTGCCAGGCTCAAGCAATTCTCCCACCTCAACCTCCCGAAGAACTGAGACCACAGGTGTGTGCCACCATGCCTGGCTAATTATTTTATTTTATTATTATTTTTGAGATGGAGTCATGCTCTGTTGCCCAGGCTGGAGTGCAGTGGCGCAATCTCGGCTCACTGCAGGCTCCGCCTCCCGGGTTCACGCCATTCTCCTGCCTCAGTCTCCCTAGTAGCTGGGACTACAGACGCCCGCCACCACGCCCGGCTAATTTTTTGTATTTTTAGTAGAGATGGGGTTTCACCGTGTTAGCCAGGATGGTCTTGATCTCCTGACCTCGTGGTCCGCCCACCTCAGCCTCCCAAAGTGCTGGGATTATAGGCATGAGCCACTGCGCCCAGCTTATTATTTTATTTTTTGTAGAGACAGGGTCTCGTTATGTTGCCCAGGCTGGTCTCGAACTCCTGGGCTCAAGCAATCCTCCCACATTAGCCTCTCAAAGTGTTAAGATTACAGGTGTGATCCACCACGCCAAGGCAATTTTACTTTATTGAGACAGTTCTCGCTATTGACCATGTTGGAGTCCAGTGGTACAATCACAGCTCATTGCAGCCTCTATTTCCTGGGCTTAAACGATCCTCCCACCTCAACCTCCCAAATAGCTAGGACTACAGGCAAATGCCACCATGTCAGGTTAATTTTTATTTTTTGTAAAGATGGGGTCTTGCTATGTTGCCCAGGCTGGTCTCAAACTCCTGGGCTCAAGCAGTCCTCCTGCTTCAGCCTCCTAAAGTGCTGGGATTATAGGCATGAGCCACTGTGCCTGGCCTATAGCTTTAAAAATTTCCCCAGTGTATACCATCCTCACTATTCCCAGGCACAGTTCTAAGTAATTGAAGTCTACTGAGGTAGGTATCAATATTATTCCCATTCTCTAGATGACGAAACTGGTGCATGTAGCAGTTAGGAAATATGCCCAAAGGTACACTGCTCGTAAGCGGCAGAGCAGGAATATGAATCCAGCCAGTCTGGTTCCGGAGTCTGCATTCTTGATCACTGCACTATACCAACTTTCACTTTGTTGTGAGCACCTGCCTATCTCAGACATCAGTCAGTAAGTCCCTTGAAGGCAAGAACTGTCCTTTGATCCTTATTCCTGAGCCCTAGGCATTACATTTGGCACAGAGTATATGCTCAATAACCATCTATTCATGCATCTGAACAAATGCATGGATAACTGGTCAGGAGGGGACGCCAGCAGAAAGGCCACCTGTTTAAACCTAAAATCGCAGAACTCAAACTGGTCCTCCATTCTTTCTTCTGCTTTTCTCTAAGATATTACATAGCCACAAAAGCAGATTCTTGATTCCAATCTAGTCCATCCTTTCATAGACTTTGAGTGATCAGCCCTCCCTAAGGCAGTGCCCCTCTCAAGGACCCAATGCAGAGCTGCTGGGGACCCCGCCCGAGGTCCATCTTTAGGCTCCCAGGGCTACACTTCTGTGTCAGGGTTTAGGTCAGCAGGATTCACACAGAAACTGGAAATCAGACCCATGGACGGCATCTACGGTGAAGTGGAATCAAACGGTAAGGGCTTCCCAGAACATCCGAGTGAATCAGCTGCTCAGGCTGGGACGAATCCAGAACACATGCCCACAAGGGGTGGCAAGTTGTAAATTGAGATCTAATATGAGCCATCTGGTCTGGCAAAATGGCCAACTGGAGAGATGGGAGCCTGGAAACTGCCCAGAAGCAAACTTATCTTGGGGAAATGATGAGTCAGCTCTGTCCAAAAACAAAAGCCTTTAATGAAGTCCTTCACAGTAAGCCCCACAGAATCTTTCTGGAGCAGCTAGAGTTAAGTAACTCCATCTAAAGGTTACCTCTGGTTTCAAAGTTTTCAGATGCCTGGTTCCAGGCTTGGGTGTAACAGAGCATGAACACAGGCGAGGTAAACCCACACTGCTTTGTGGGGGTGGGATGGGATTCAAGAATCATTTCACAGCCAGATAGATGTGTCAGGTAAGATGTGACGAGACATGCAGGACTAGCTGGGGTCCAGCATTTCCCCCTAGCATGGGGACAGTTTAGCCTTGGTCCTGGAGGACAGCTTTTCAGTGTCTTCTCCCAGCCACAGTCGCTAAAAAGCAACCAATTACCAGGTCTAATTATCTTCCTTCAGCCTCTTTACTGGCAGCAGCTGCCAAGGCTCTTGCCAAAACTCTGCTTCACCAACATCCTGATCCAAAAAGCCCCAAGTCAACGAGGAGAAGGCTCTGCGGGCCCAGAACAGCTGTGAGGCTTCCCAACACCAAGACGGGGCACAAGAGGTCAGCGCCGGGAGCTTCAAAGCAACTTGCCCCCTTGAGCCCCCTTGGCCTCAGCATCTGGATGGAGGAGAAGCAGTGGCGCCAGCCACCTGGAACCACACCAGAAAATGACACAACGGCAATCAACACACTGGCCCCAACCACCCCCGCCCCAGGAAGTTAGGAAGCTTTTTAAAGGCCTTGTTTGTGCTTGTGGTGGAAGCTCCAAGGTCAGGGCTGGCCTAGAGCTCAGTGTGTGCCTCACAGCTGAGCGTAGCTGGGAGGTATGTCAGGAATTCTCTAGGTCGGGGCTGGGGGTCTCTCAGGGCACCATGCCACTGCTGATCCCTACTTCCTTGCACTCCAAAGTAGCTTGCCTACTTCTGCCCACAGGTGAGCCTGAGACCTGATTAGCCTCTTCCTGCACGGAACAAGAGGTAGCTTCCTCCTGAAAGATGTCCTGAGTCGCAGAAGCATTCTCTGACTTGCACAAGAATGAGTCTCCAAAACCCCAGTCACCTGGGGGGCCTGGACTTGTCTGAGCAGGGAGTGGGGAAAACCAGGCGGCCATCCACTCGGCCTCCAACCTTGCAGCCCCAGGGGAAGAAGGGCCAGGTGCAGTTTGCTGGGCAGTTATGAAACTTGAGAAGCTGGAGTGACTTTGGGCTGGTGCTTTGAGAACAGGGAGGTATTGTGTGATGAGGCGCAGAGCGGGTATAGAATACCCAACAGTTCATGCACAAACACGATCCCAGCCTTGTGCAGAGAAAGGGGCTTCCAGGGGCCTGGGTGGTTTCAAACTGGAATGTGAGGAGAAAGGTAGTGCCCATGAGGCTGTTGGTGACCCATACCCAGGAGGAGGCCCAGAAGCCAAGCCAGCCCTCACCCCTACGCACAGACAGTTCCACAGATCTCAACACGTATGCCCTGAGACATCATCTCTGGGGATACAGAAATTCTATCCGTCAGCAATTAAAGAATATTTTCTTAAAACTTGGGTGGGTATCTTCCCCATGTGTTGTCATCTTGGTCATCAGTAAATACCCACTGAGCAGGACTATCTGCATGGTCCTGTCAGAGGTATTATGGTCACAAAGGCCAGTGCCTGCCCTCCCGGGCCCTGCGTCCTGACGACAGGGCACCAATCGTAAGAGGCAGCAAAATAGCTGGAGATTGAGCAACCAGACACACCAGCCTTGCAACTGGTCAAACAAGAGATGCAGTGCACCTCATCTGTGCACTACAAACAAAAGCTTTACATGTTTTACAATTTTTCTCTCTCACAGTGGCTGGAAAGCTGGATGAGGTGAGAAGAGAATAAGAGCAAAGCAGAGAAATTGGGTAGAGAAAGTGATAATGGAGTGATAAGCCAGGGGAGCTGGGAACAGTGGCTCTCAGGTCTGAGTCGAGAAGGATCCAGGACAGACACCTAATTGGTTATGATTTCACCCCCCCTCTCTGGGCTTATCTTCTCCATCTGTCCTCCCACAGTTCCCAGCTCAGGGCGCTGAGCTCTGATAGTTCTCAAACCCTTTTCTCCCTTTACTTACTGCGAGAAAGCTGTGGTTATCAGCATGCTGGCTCTTGCAGCCCCAGGTGCCACACTAAGCTCCTAGGCCAGTCCCTAACCCTGTTGCCTCTAAAAAAAATTAAGTCGAGACAGGGAGGTGGGAGGACCTTCCACACCATGTTCCAGTCCTCACTGCCCACTCCAGTGCCTTCTTTCTCAAACGGTCATCTCAGACATCTCTGCCATATTCCCACCCCCAACTTCCCCCTGGAGAAGGGCTGCATCTGCTTCCTAAAAGCTTGTCTTCTGGGCCTTTTCTCATGCCCACCTTGTATCTGAAAGCCTGACCATTCCATCAGTCATCATCTGACCTTTATTTCCCAAATCCAGCTCCTCTCTGCAGCTTTCCCTAATTGCCACCCCCAATTAACCAGTCCCAATGAACCTGAGCAGAGGCTCAGCAGAATTTTGGGACTCGATCGTAAACACAGCTTATTATAGCTAGTGGTATATGCAGACATTACCTTATTCATGTTGTGTCCTCCCCACAACCTCCACAAAACCCAAGTGAGCCTTTGCGCCATGTTGGACTGCATGACTGATGACATGACAGCTGTGATCAATCAAGATTCCGCAATCACCATTCTGCAGGCCACTGGGAGCTTTTCTACACCAAAGCCCTCTGCTGAGTGGAGATGTCATCTGATTTATTAATTAATGCAAACACTGTTCATCCAAATGCTCCAGGGCATGGTTTAAAAAAAAAACAGAACGTTTAAAAAATGATAAAAATAACTTTTGCCAGCATAGAAATAGCTGAAGTTTTCTTGTTGTTGTTGTTTTTGTTTTGAGACAGAGTTTCGCTCTTGTTGCCCAGGTTGGAGTGCAATGGCACAATCTCAGCTCACTGCAACCTCCACCTCCCAGGTTCAAGCAATTCTCCTGCCTCAGCCTCCCGAGTAGCTGGGATTACAGGTGCGTGCCACTACACCCGGCTAATTTTTTGTATTTTTAGTAGAGATGGGGGTTTCTTCATGTTGGTCAGGCTGGTCTTGAACTCCTGACCTCAGGTAATCTGCCCGCTTCGGCCTCCCGAAGTGCTGGGAATACAGGCGTGAGCCACCACGCCAGCCTAGCTGAAGTTTTATTCCTGGCCCTTTCATCCCAGCAGCAATTCTTCCCTCCCCAGCCCCATCACACCCCTCTTCCCCCTGCAGCACCCCCACCCAGGTCGCTGTCCCCCTTTCCCACCTTCCCTACCGTGCTTCTTTGTCAATTAACAGAATTCCTGCCGCTGTTTGCTAATTGGGTTAATGGAGTGACTGCATAATTGTTCTCTCTCTCTTCACAGCCCAACTCACTATACTGGCTGCTTTCCGACAACCTACCTCTCAGCTGTTCCAGGATCACTAATTTGCAACAACAGCTTCCATTGTCGTCCACATCTGGGACTTCGGGATTTTAAGTGAATCTCTCTAAGGCGGAGAACAGAAGATGCTGCTATTTTGGTTTGTCTGGTCTACAATGGGGCCATTCTGCGGAGTTTCTGTTCAGTGCGGGGCTGCCCGGGTGAAGGGGAAATTGGAGCGGTGATGGGATTCAGCCAGAGAGCTGCATGCTGAGGACTAGGGAGGGAGGGGAGGAGGGGAAGGGGATGGGAGGAGGTGGGAGGTGGGGGCAAAATCTTGACCTTTTCTTCCCAGCCATATGGGTTTGCATTTCATTTTAATCAGTTTCAGATGAAACTGACAAGCCAGGAACCTCAGGAATCTCAGTGCCCCCACCTTTGGCCTCTGGTCTCTAGAACAGCCAGCAGCTGAGGTTGGACAGGGTGTGACCTGGCCTGACCCAGCTTCCCCCAGAGGAGGCAGCATTGAGGGTGGCCTTTGCGATACCCAAGGTTCCATCTGAGCCTGTTTTCTCTCAACGTCCTTGGGAAAAAAAACCAAGATTTTTTTTCCTCTGTTGTTTTTTGAAGGTGTTTGTTCGGCTTGAAATCTGTTTCACCTAAAAGGGATCATTACCTACCCAAAGTATAGAAATGATCACATTCTTGGAGTGGGGTGCAACTGGGGCAGTGACAGAAGCCTCCAGGAACTCTGAGATGTCCCTGGGGGATGCCTTAGTAGGTAGGGGTGGCATGAGGGTGCTAGTACAGTCTTTGGTCTAGAGGTCCCTTGAGCCCCCTTGGAGGGGCTATATTTCTTAGGTTGACTTCTTTTTTTTTTTTTTTCCTAGATGGAGTCTTGCTGTGTCACCCAGGCTGGAATACAGTGGTGTGATCACAGCTCACTGCAACCTCTGCCCCCCAAGTTCAAGCAATTTTCGTGCCTCAGCCTCCCAAGAGTAGCTGGGATTACAGGTGCACGCCACCACACCTGGCTAAGTTTTGTATTTTTAGTAGAGACGGGGTTTCACCATGTTTGTCAGGCTGGTCTTGAACTCCTGGCCTCAAGTGATCCACCCACCTAGGCCTCCCAAGTGCTGGGATTACAGGTGTGAGCCACCATGCCCAACCTTCTTAGGTTGACTTCTATCCCTGCCTTCTTTGCCCTTCCCTCCCCACTGTTCTCAGCCCCGGCCCCCACCCCAGCTGCAATCCTTGCTCCAGGGCTTCTGATCGGAATCCCCTAGGGAGTGCTGAATGTGGGTCCCTAGGGGTCAGCTCTGGGCTGCTCCCACACATACACAAGGAAGAACATTTTTCGGCATTTCATACAGTGACACTTTATATTGTTCTATCTTGTAATTGGTTTACTTCCTGATTTCCCCAAACAGCTATGAGGGTAGGAAATGGTCAGGCCTCTCTGAAACCCCAGTGTACTGTGCCCTGTTATGGTAGGTGCTTCATCCATGCTTATTTCTGCCTTCAGTTTTGATTATTTGTAAACTTGCCTAATCCCTGCACCCTCCCCTGCTTTCATTACTTGTAAGCTTCTTGTGCATATCTTTGTAGTCATTGTAGCACCCCTGGTAGGGTGACAGGCCCGGATTAGGTGCTCAGTAAGGAATTAATAAATTAAACTGGATTGGAGATTCCTGGTAATCAAATGAGAGCCCTTGTGAAAGGAAGTGTTGAGATTGAGCAAAAGGTAAACAAGTCCACCAACATGATTTCAGCTAAGCTGGGTGTATGTACTGATGTACTGAATGGGCGACCATTTCCTTCCAGAAAGGCTGGAGTCAGCCCTCCGGGATGGCTGTCTCTGTGTGACTGTCTGCACACCACTGCCCTCCACTGGACACTGAATCAAAGCTGCCCCAGACCCACGTTGGTGTCAGGACTCCCTCAGGTTTCCTTCCCTCCCTATCTGGGACACAACCTCCTGGGCAAACCGGTTTCTTGGTTGGCTTCTCTTACCAGGTTTGTTTTACCCTGTCTGCCTTGCATTGAATCCATGAAACTTGGGAAGTACAAGAGGAACAATGTCTTCTTTCACTCCTGGCATATAGCGGGGTCAATAAATATTTAATAAGTGAAAATAAACATGACACACATTCCTGGCAAGCCAGCAGCACTTCGGACTAGTACTATGATTATTAATATAAGAATCCATTTAAGGACCTATATATGTTCTTAGTCTAAAGCAGCTACAGTGCTGATTGTTTTTAGAAGACAACTGAGGAAAACAAAGAGGCACCAAAACTTAAGCAAAAGAAAGAGTTCAAAAACAGTCACTCCTCTTTATCTTAACAACCACCAAACTTTCCTCCTCTTGCATGCCTCCGCAGACCTTTGGGAAGATACAGAACAGGATGTAAAGGGAGGGGAAGTGAACACAGGTACTGCCAAGCCTCAGGGATTAGACTGCTCCCTCCCTCGCTTTGACGCGCTCTCCAGCTTCAGCTATTGGCATTTGTGAACTTGCCTTATTATCTCTGCCCCTGACCTCACTAGCTTGTAAATTGCCTTGCCCAGCACAATGACTGGCCTATAAAAGGTCTGCCATACACAGTTAACTGAATTCTGGTGGTTGAATATGCATGTTACTAATAATTTGCCAACAGTAATAATAAAATAGGTTGTTTTTTTTTAAAGAGACATCACATTTACAGCTTAGAAATTTTGATTTGGTGAGAAATTGTTTTCACCTTCCACAATTCAACTCTGGGGTTAGCTGTGGACCTGGTAGGCAGTGGGATATATGAATCTGAAGCTCAGGGAAGAAGCCTGGACGAAGTAGGAATCCAGGAGCCTCATAGCATGGAGGTTGGGGTTAAAACTCAAAGGGTATTGTCCAGGAAGAACTAGAGAAGGTGAAAACCAGAGGCTGGTGTCTTGGGATCCCAATCCTGAAGAACCAGGGGAGGCAGAGGAGGTCAGGACAGAGCCAGAGCAGAAGTCAGAGAGGAGCGAGAAAGAATGGGGCCAAAAAAGCCAGGGGTCTGGGAAGTTTTCGGGATTAGAGGGTGGCCAGTGGCCTCAAATACAGCTGAATAATCTAGTCACAAAGGATTGAGAGATGTCTGCTGGAGTGGGTAATATAATAGTCAGCTGGTGAACCCATGAAAGCAACTTTGGGGTGAGAGGGTAGATACAGTGGAAATGGGATGGGAAATGGGATCAGAAATGGGATCAGGAATGGGAGGCAAAGACATGAACACAATCGCGGGAGGTGGTGAACATAAGGAAAAGTGCAAGGGCTTTTGGTTTTGACCCTGCACCCAGGCTCTGCTTTACCGATCTAGCTTCTGTATTTCTACTAGTTACACTTTCTAAAAATCAAAATTAATCCTGTCACTTCCGGTTATGATTAACATCCACTGGCTTTTGCCATTTGCTGGACAATCCGGAGCAAAGTCTGGGGCCAATCTGTTTAGTGTCACTTATTTTTCAGGTTTGGTTTCTTCATCACCTGTAAAGGAGAGTGGCACAGGACTATAATCCCTTGTCCGAAATCCTTGAGGCCACCCGTATTTCAGAATTCACAGCCTTTTGGATCCTAGAAAGGTGATACAGTGCACATGTGGTATATTACATAATACCACCAGCAGGGTCTGTGCCCCACCCTGGAACCAAACACACCAAGTGAAACAAATAAAGACTAAGCAACCTTACTTGAGGTCAGGTCATTTTCTACTAATGGAGTTACCAAGATACTTTTGTTTTCCAGAGCTTTTCAGATTTTTGGAATTGTAATAAGGCTCACTGACCACCCTGGCAGAGTTGTTTGAAAGCTCAAATAAGATATGTGTGTGAAAATGAAGCAGAAAGGATAACCACAAAGGGTACAGAGGCCCTGATCTTCTTGACTGGGAATGAAAGGAATTTTTCCTTTTCTGACATTGTGCATGTGTGAGCAATTTATAAAGGACACTCTCTGATAGCCTTTCAGAAGCCACAGCAGGAAAGGAATAACCTAGTTTAAAGGATGCATCCAGCAGCCATAAAAAAAAAAAAAGAATGAAATCATGTCCTTTGTAGCAACATGGATAGAGCTGAAGGCCATTATCCTGTCAACGAACGTAGAAACAGAAAACCAGATACAGCATGCTCTCACTTATAAGTGGGAGCTAAACAATGGGCACTCATGTGGCTTGGCTCTGTGTCCCCACCCAAATCTCATGTTGAACTCTAATTCCCAGTGTTGGGGGAGGGACCTGGTGGGAGGTGATTGGATCATGGGGGTGGATTTCCCCCTTGCTGTTCTTGTGATAGTGAGTGAGTTCTCACAAGATCTAGTTGTTTAAAATTGTGTAGCACTTCCCCCTTCTCTCTCTCTCTCTCCTGCTGCCACGTGAAGAAGTGCTGGCTTCCAAGCACTTGATTTGGCCCTTCTGCCAGGATTGTTAAGTTTCCTGAGGCCTCCCCAGTCATGCCTCCTGTACAGCCTGCAGAACTGTGAGTTCAATTAAACCTCTTTTCTTCATAAATTACCCAGTCTCAGGTAGTTCTTTATAACAGTATGAGAATGGACGAATACGGGTACACATCAACATAAAGATGGAAATAATGGACACTGGTGACTCCAAAAGGGGGAGGGTGGGAAGATGGAAAGGGTTAAAAAGGTACCAATTGGGTACAATGCTCACTATTTGGGTGATGGGTACACTAGAAACCTAATGCCCACCAGTATGCAATATACCCATGTAACAAACATGCACATGTACCCCCGAACCTAAAATTAAATTTTTAAAAAAAGAATGCATCCTAGTGTGACTGGGGACATTTGCATAATCAAGGGCAATTCCCATAACTTCTTCCTTATCTTGATTTCTCTGCCTCTGTAGGGGCTGAGGCTGGGCTAAGCTTGGAGATGCTGGAACTCACAGTGATGGGGACCCTCACAATGGAGATCTGTTCTTTACTGTCATTCTCTCCATAACTGTGAGCTCTATGAGGCAGGGACTGGGCCTGTCTTGTTCACTGCTGGGTCTCTAATGCCTAGCCCAGCTCCTGGTGTTTGTCCAGGGTGGACACTTGTTTTACTTTTTGCTGAATTGAATTGAAACTGATCTCTTATGTTCCTTGTGACAGAAGGCAAAGTTGGCATTGTCTTAACTTCCATTGTTTTCATCTTCAGGGAAAAACCCCTACACCTGGGGGTCATTCTGCCCAACTCTGCCCTCTCTGCCTCTGCTCATTGCTCTTTATAGCTTCCCTCAACACACACACACACACACACACACACACACACGTGTCTCATTAAATGAGGATTTGGGTCCCTGGCTCATAGCCTTCTCCTTCATCTTATTCCTTTTCTTACTCATAGAAGACTTTGACTTTGTGTGGACAACCCAACTATAAATCCAGCCTCACCAGGGACTATTGCTACTCTAAAATGTTAAACCCCAATATCCAATCTGACTAAAACTTATTTCCTGCTATATTGAATTCAGATTTCCTTTAATCCTGGTTCCTTAACTTCTCTCTTTTGACTCAATTAATTACCAGCTATCTAGCATGGATCCCATAATTTATCATTTCAATCATTCTCTTGCCAGTACCACCTACAACATTCTTGACCCTTTGTTCTTCTTCCTCATGTACCCTATAAATCCCTAATATCTGTCTTTTCCAGTCCAAAATCCAAGCTTCTGGGTGTTGCTGGAGACAGACCCTAATTGGGGCTATTCCCAGATATGATCTCCAGTTTCAGCTTTTTACTCTACTTGACATATTGCTTTTGAGTTTCTTTTTTTGTTGTTGTTGTTGTTGTTGTTTTAGAGACAGAGTCTTGCTCTGTTGCCCAGGCTGGAGTGCAGTGATATGCGATCTTGGCTCACTACATCCTCCATCTCCTGGGTTCAAGAGATTCTCCTACCTCAGCCTCCCGAGTAGAGTAGCTGGGATTACAGGCACCCACGACCAAGCCCAACTAATTTTTTTATTTTTAGTAGAGATGGGGTTTCACGATGTTGACCAGGGTGGTCTTGAACTCCTGACTTCAAGTGATCTGCCCACCTCAGCCTCCCAGAGTGCTGGGATTGCAGGTGTGCACCACCGCTTCCCACCTGTTTTTTTCTAATAGGCTTCCTTATTCATTTCTCACAATGGCTTTTCCAAACCTTCTCCTCAAGGATCCAAACCCATCCTTGCTTCCTCAAAGATCCAAAACCACCCTTCCTATTTACGAAGGTGGTCTCCTGTCTTAGGTGACAAGAAAATGTACCTTCTTGCCCTCGTATCTACATGCTCACCTATACCCTCACCCGACTTTTCCCTCCTCCTCACCCCATCAAAGGCAATAATGCACCTGTTTTTATTCATCTGGGCCTTTGGTCTTCCCCTTCATATTTCCCGAGACCTCGCTTTCTTCTTTCTCTTGTATTTTTTATTTTTCTATCTCTTATGTGTCCTTCTCTAAAAGTTATAAACATGCACAAAATCTTTCCATCTCAAAATATAATACCCTTTACCTGGTGTCCCCTGCAGGCCATCTTCTTTATTTATTTACTTTTGCGCCAGCGTCTTCCTCTGAAGCCCAGGCTGGGTGCGTAGCGCGATCATGGCTCACTGCAGCCTCGGACTCCCGGGCTCAAGCGATCCTCCTGCTTGGAGGATCAGATTTTTTATCCTTGCAGAAGTGATAATATGGCTTCTTCCTCATCTCCTAAACACCAGTCATCTGACATACACTGCAGATCTAAAATGGGCCTACGTGTTCTGCCCTTCCTTGCCTACCTGTTGAGCTTGCACCGCTTCTGTGAGTCTCCCCCCACCCACAAGAGATCCTTCTTCCTTCGCGCTCCACTAACCCGACATAAATGTTTATCATATAAAGTTTTCCGTTGCACTCTTGTGTTTATGTCTCCTGGCTTCTTCACCAAGCTGTGTGACAGCTGGGCCCTGTCGCCTCCTTCCTCGTATATGCAGCGACTATCGCAGAGCCGCTTAATCTTTGTTGAAGGCAGCTGCGGTTCAGCCCTGAGGGCCACGGGACGGACGCCACTCATTCAGCCCTACCGGGGGCGCTGTGGCAGCCGGCATTGGTTGCCGTGCCCTCCGCTTGTCTCGCTCAGCTCTCGAGCCACACGCCCTGGGCTCCGCCCACTCCCTGACAACATCCCTCCTGCCCATTGGGCGAGCATGGACGGGGCTGTCCAATGGAGCGAGGCGTTGGTGCGAGGAGGCGCCGCCATCTTGGGGCTGCTGGGACTCGCGTCGGTTGGCGACTCCCGGACGTAGGTAGTTTGTTGGGCCGGGTTCTGAGGCCTTGCTTCTCTTTACTTTTCCACTCTAGGCCACGATGCCGCAGTACCAGACCTGGGAGGAGTTCAGCCGCGCTGCCGAGAAGCTTTACCTCGCTGACCCTATGAAGGTAAATCGCTGGCGGGGCCGCTGCTTTGGGCCCCAGCCCAGGATGTCTTCCCGCCATCCACTCGGCCCCTGGAGCTTCCCCAGCGCTCCCAGGAGGTGCTGGGAATGAACACAAATGGACCCTGCCAAGTTAATGTTCTGCTCTCTCGTCCCCTTCTTCCCTGATCTAGCGGCCCAGTGAGGCCCTGAAGCTGGCAACAGCCAGGTTCATCTCAGCCCTAAACATTTCTGCAATCGATCTTCCCGCCCCAGTCCCTCAGCTTCCTTTATGGCTTCGGTTGTTTTACGAGTCCCTGAAGCCAGGGCTCCTCCCCCTGCAGCTTCCTGTCCTTTGTCTTGGTTCACTTTTCCTGTACCGCCTAGGCGGTAAGGGTACCTCATGTATATAAAACTGATGATGTTTTTTCTACTACCGCTCAGACATTCTTGAAAGATTCCAATTTGGAAGCATCTGTACCCCCCAGAATATTGGTTCTTAGTATTTTGGGAGTCACAGGCTTTGGGACCATAAGAATAATATTTGCACCTTTCCTCAGAAAAATGGTATAAGTAAATGTATAAGTAAATGTTTGCAAACAATTTTAAGGGATTCATGGACCTCTGAAATACATTCTTAGCCCCCACAAAAATTATAATGGAGGTGGATGTCAGAGGTTAGCTCATTATTAAAAAGCAAAGGAGTCCAAGTGATGGGAGTTTAGCATTCGGGTCTTACTTTTCGTCTCTTGAGGTTTTGGTTATTTTATTGTCATGTCTAAGAATTATTTGAAGCATCTTCGTGTTAATTAAAAGTTCTGCTTCTTTTTAGAACTCAGCATATTGAAGGGATTTTATACTGAAAACCTCAGACCTGGTTATGTATGATGCTTCTTTTGTTTTGTGTTTGTTGTAACTCAGTTATCTCTTTTATGCTGCATTCATTTCCCACTCTCGTGTTACTGACCCCAAGTTAAATTAGGTTCTGTGGGAGACACAAAGGTGAATGAGATTCCGTTCAACCCTTAAGGAGCTGGTATTATTGGAGGGTATTATAGATCCAGTGTATTGTGACTGTATCCCTCGGAGAAGAAAGAAAATTAAAAGCAGATAAAATCTCGGAAAACCGGGGCTCAGGATCTTTTTTTTTTTTTTTCAATAGTTTTATTTTTTTTGAGACGAAATCTCGCACTGTCGCCCGGACTGGAGTGCAATGGCTCAATCTCAGCTCGCTGCAACCTCCACTTCCTGGGTTCAAACGGTTCTCCTGCCTCAGCTTCCCGAGTAGCTAGGTTTACAGGCGCCTGCCACCACACCTGGCTAATTTTTTGTATTTTTAATAGAGGCGGGGTTTCACCATCTTGGCCAGGCTGGTCTGGAACTCCTGACCTCGTGATCCACCCGCGTTGGCCTCCCAAAGTGTTGGGATTACAGGTGTGAGCCACTGCGCCCAGCCCAGGGCTCAGGATTTACTGTGTGAAACTATTGATGATCATTAAGTAATATGAATTATGTTTTAAGTGTATGCAGTGAGCTGGTAACCTGTAACTCCAATGCCACATACAGTTTATAGTGCATATAAGTTTAAAGTGTGCAGCAAGAAATGTTGATAATTATGATTAAAAATAGTATTAGACCCACAGAAAGACCTAGCTAAGTAACAAGCTGTAAAACATACTTCTATTTTTTACAATAAAATGATACAATAATAAATGATGGAAATTGTATTTTTTAAATTGAGTAATTTGTTTATAACACTGGTGACTTCTGGTTGCTTCATTTGGTTAGCTTCCCTTGTTGGCAGGGTCATTTGTTTCTTCATTCAGACAATGCTACTCTGAGACCACACAGGACTTTTATCCAGAAGTACCCACAGTATAAACTAAAAATACTTGAGACAACAGTAAAGAATATATAAATTCACATCAAGAGTAACTGTACTGTAAGAATGTGATGGCAGTGGTAGGGAAAATGAAAATAATTAGAGCATCACTGTGAGCAAAGCATGTCTAGAATAGACAAGAAAGAGAATATTTCACCTCTTACCCAGTCAGAAAATTGCAGTTGGCACAGGCTGGAGTGCAGTGGCACAAATCACAGTTCGCTGCACCATTGAACTGGGCTCGAGTGATCCTCCCACCTCAGCCTCCTGAGTAGCTGAGACTACAGACATGCCACCATGCCTGCCTAATTTTTTTTTTTTTTTTTTTTTTTTTTAAAGACGGGGCTCTTGCTTTGTTGCCCAGGTTGGTCTTAAATCCTTGCCTCAGGTGATTCTCCTGCCTCAGCTTCCCAAGTAGCTGGGATTACAGACACAAGCCATGGCGCCTGGCTTGACTGATATGTTGAGAGGGGAGAGGATGAGTGTAGAGGAAGAGCTTAACAGTTTTTTTTGTTTGTTTGTTTTCCAAGATGGAGTTTTGTTCTTGTTGCCCAGGCTGGAGGGCAGTGGCGCCATCTTGGCTCACTGCAACCTCCGCCTCTACGTGACAGGCATTTTACATATGTTTATATGTTACAGGCATTTAATATATATTTATGTGTGTTTACATAGATTTATACATAATATATGAACAATTACAGCAACCCATCAAAGTATATAAATGAATGATTTTATATCTGTTAAGTGATATACCTAGTTTCTTGAGAGATTAAGATGAAATTTGGACCCAGATCTTTGAACCCCAAGTCCATTCTCTTTCTGCTAGGGCTAAAGAACAAATTTTGTCAGGTCTCTGGAATCTGTTTTCCAAAATTCTCTGTCTTCTCTCCGCAACACATTTAACCTGTTGATTATACCCAGTATCTTTTTACCACTCTGTCTTGTATTGCTGTAATTGAAGATGGCATTACCACTGGATTATGTAATAACCTCTTTGTTGGTCTGTCAGCCTTTTTAGTTCCTTAACACTCTTGCCACAACTGTCTAAAAAACAAAAGTTGAATTCTTCATCTCCTGCTTAAAAACTGGCTCTTTGATAACTGGATATAGTCCCAACTCCCAGTCACAGTCTGACCCATCTCCAGTCTTTCTGGCTTTGTCTCACCATTTTCATGATCTTCAGCTCTAGTCTCATGAAGCTACCGGATTGTATCCTTGTTCAGAATGATTTTTAGCCTTTCTTCTGCCTTCTTCTATAAGGTTAAAACAAAAAAAGCATTTCAAAGCCACCTCCTTTTTTAGACTTTCCTTTTTCCCAGTCTAAGTTACTTGTTTTCTCTCTTTAGCATTTTATCTGTATATCCCTTTATAGGACTTAATTCATTCTGTCCTTGTGTTTTGGTTATTTTTGGTAAAGAACCTTGATTTTTCTTTCTTTATGGCATCTGACATGGTGACTTGGCACCCTCTAAATTACCAAATGGACCCTTTTATAAACACGATTGGCCTTTTTTCTTTTCTTTTTCTTTTTTTTTTTTTTTTTTTTTGAGACAGAGTTTTGCTTTTGTTGTCCAGGCTGGAGTGCAGTGGTGCAATCTCAGCTCACTGCAACCTCCGCCTCCCGAGTTCAAGCGATTCTCCTGCCTCAGCCTCCCGAGTAGCTGGGATTACAGACACCCACCACCATGCCCAGCTAATTTTTGTATTTTTAGTAGAGACGGGGTTTCACCATGTTGGCCAGACTGGTCTCGAACTCCTGACCTCGTGAGTGAACTCCTGCCCTCCCAAAGTGCTGGGATTATAGGCATGAGCCACTGCACCCAGCCATGATTGGCCTTTTAACTCTCATTTCTCCTAAATGAAACCAGTGAGTGTTCCTTTAACTGAGAGTTAAAACTTCACATAGTTGTCATGCTTAGTATATTTTTAAGTGTTTCGTTTCTAGAGAACTGAATTTTTAAAATGTGTAAAACTGAATTTACTAGATAAATAAATAGAATCAGGTATTCTAAAGATAATTAACCTAGTTACTACTATTTATACCTGCTTAAATGCTTGATGAGTTCCCTTTCCTCCTTCACTCAGACAAATCGCATATAGTGATGTAACTTTTTTTTTTCAGTCTCAGGAATGCAAAGACCGTAATGGGGAAAGCTGTAGGTTGCAGTTCCATTAGCCCTTTTTATTTAGTTTCCAGAATTGTCTTGAGGCCTCTGGTGCTAGATTGTAACCATTTTAAAATTATGTTTCTGTTCTGGCTTGTAGATAAGTAGCAGTTTTTATTTTATTTTATTTTATTTATTTATTTTTTTTGAAATGGAGTCTCGCTCTGTCCCCAGGCTGGAGTGCAATGGTGCGATCTCGGCTCACTGCAAGCTCCACCTCCCTGGTTCACACCATTCTCTTGCCTCAGCCTCCCGATTAGCTGGGACTGCAGGCACTCATCACCACGCCCGGCTAATTTTTTGTATTTTTTAGTAGAGACGGGGTTTCACCGTGTTAGCCAGGATGGTCTCAATCTCCTGACTTTATGATCCACCCGCCTTGGCCTCCCAAAGTGCTGAGATTACAGGCGTGAGCCACCGCGCCTGGCCGATACTTAGCAGTTTTTAAAACAGCTAGCTAAACAAGAGTTACTGATACTGGTTAGGGAAAAACTGCGATACACTGTGCTTGAATCCATCACTGAAAAAAAATAATGTTCGTGGAAGTGTTCTTGGGAGATGTCTTATAGGAATATGCTAATATCTAAATGCCTTGGCAATCTGTAGAATATTGAACATAAAGTATTGTGTAACATGGAACTTCAGTATAGGAGTTATTCTGGTTTTTGGAAAAGTTGTTGGTGGAGACTTCAAGGCAGAATTCTGCTTTTATGTAATAATGCGTTATGTTCTACCTTCGTGATAAAGACCTGATTTTGCTGAATATTTTAGTCTGAATCTGCTTGCTAAGATTTGTGGAAAAATGGAAAGTGTGAGTTGCACTGACCTGCAGCACTGTTTGCTAATGAATGGATTTGGACTTTTTAACTAGCCATTTCTGCTAAATGTTTTCCTCCCTTTCCTGTCATTCCTCTGTGGCTAGGTGTGTTGGTGTATATTCTTATTGGCAAGAAATGCCACCTTATAAGTCTCACAGACATTCCCTGAATGTGGATGTGTTTTGAGAATGTTCAGTACATCTCTTCAAACTGGCTGCAAATAAAATATCCAACTTTTTAAGTCTTAAATAAATGGTAGCAAAGGAATGAACTAAAATAGCTGATTTTTTTTTTAACTTCATTTCGGTTTAGTTTATAGTAAAAATGCCTTTAGATGTTTGGGGGTATTTATTCTAAAAGGATCCTTTTCAGCCTACCTGAAGACTAAATTATTTATAAGAAATGTCATTTGTCTTCACTGTTTCTAAATATGTATTTTTGTTTCAGGCACGTGTGGTTCTCAAATATAGGCATTCTGATGGGAACTTGTGTGTTAAAGTAACAGATGATTTAGTTGTAAGTATACATTTTTATTTGTTACATACTTTCAGATTTGTTTGAGTTAATTATTTGTTTGAAATTATTTACTTAGAGTTTATGGAGATTACCCATTAGGATGCTTATTTTGCATTTCATTTAAAGATGAAGAACCTCATTCTAGCAGCTACTTTTATAGACCCTCAGGAAATTATTTAACCTGCTTTCTTAATGCATTATGTCAAGTGTCTTTAATAAGTGCTGTCTTCAGACCTTAAGCAACAGAAATGTAGAGACCAAATTGGATGTAAGGGAGTAAAAGTTTCCTTTAAATGACAGTGTTTGAACACAACTTACAGGCTTTATTGTATTTCCTGTCTTTGATATGCTCATTCTTGTTACTTCCTCATATCCCATTCATTCCTTAACCCTCTGCCATTTGTTTTCTGCATATGGTACTCCAGCGAAACTGCTCTTTGTGAGAGCACATCAGCAGCTCCTTTCTTTTCAAACCCAGTGGTCTTATTATTCATATGTTATTTGACCTCCTTGCTGCTTTTGATACAGAAGCCCACTCTTTCATAGAAATAATTATTTTGGCACTTGTGGTTCTGTTTTATCTTGGCCTTACTATTCTGTGTTTCTGTTGTTTCATTCTTCTTTGCTGATTGTTTTTTTTTTGATGTGCCCCATATATATGTGCTTCTCTAGGATTCTGTCCTTGATTGTCTTTTCATAACAGCTTCTGGAGCAGTTCATTTAACTGAGTCTAATACTGCATCTGTCTATGTCTACTTGCAAATGTGTGTTTAGTTCATATTCTTCTGACTTTCTGACTAGCATCTGTATCTCACATACCCTCAAAATTCACTTATCTACAGTGGAGTTTATCACCTGTTCTTTTTTTTTTTTTTTTTTTTTTTTTTTTTTTTTTTGAGACGGAGTCTTGCTCTGTCGCCCAGGCTGGAGTGCAGTGGTGTGATCTCGGCTCACTGCAAGCTCTGCCTCCCGGGTTCATGCCATTCTTCTGCCTCAGCCTCCCGAGTAGCTGGGACTACAGGCACCCACCACCACGCCCAGCTAATTTTTTTTTGTATTTTTAGTAGAGACAGGGTTTCACCATGTTGGCCAGGATGATCTGGATCTCCTGACCTCGTGATCCACCCGTCTCGGCCTCCGAAAATGGTGGGATTACAGGCATGAACCACCCCACCCGGCCTATCATCTGTTCTTAAACTAGCTCTTTCTCATGCCTGTAATCCCAGCATTTTGGAAGGTCAAGTGGGCAGATCACAAGGTCAGGAGATCGAGACCATCCTGGCTAACACGGTGAAACCCCATCTCTACTAAAAATACAAAAAAATTAGCCAGGCATGGTGGCGGGCACCTGTAGTCCCAGCTACTCAGGAGGCTGAGGCAGGAGAATGGCATAAACCTGGGAGGTGGAGCTTGCAGTGAGCAGAGATCGTGCCACTGCACTCCAGCCTGGGTGACACAGCAAGACTCCATCTCAAAAAAACAAACAAAAAAACTAGCTGCTTCTTCTGTTCCTACCTTCCTACCTTTAGTTGCATTATTTTCCACGTGGTCAGAAATCTGGGGATTTTTTTTAATTAAAAAAATTTTTTTAGAGACAGGATATCGCTATGTTGCCCAGGCTGGTCTTGAACTCCTGGCTTCAAGCAGTCCTCCCACTCAGCCTCCCAAGTTGCTGGGATTACACACATGGGCCACAGTGCACAGCCCAGAGTGATTTCTATTTAGACGGAGTCTCGCTCTGTTGCAAGGCTGGAGTGCAGTGGGCGATCTCTGCTCACTGCAGCCTCCACCTCCTGGGTTCAAGTGATTCTCCTGCCTCAGCCTCCTGAGTAGCTGGGACTACAGCCGTGCACCACCACGCCCAACTAATTTTTTTTTTTTTTTTTTTTAGTAGAGACGGGGTTTTCACCATGTTGACCAGGATGGTCTCCATCTCTTTACCTCATGATCCACCCACCTTGGCCTCTGAAAGTGCTGAGATTACAGGGGTGAGCCACTGCGCCTGGCCTTTTCTTTTTATTTGTTTGTTTGTTTGATGGAGTCTCGCTCTGTCGCCCAGGCTGGAGTGCAGTGGCGCAATCTCGGCTCACTGCAAACTGCCTCCTGGGTTCACGCCATTCTCCTGCCTCAGCCTCCTGAGTAGCTGGGACTACAGGCGCCCGCCACCACGCCTGGCTAATTTTGTGTATTTTTAGTAGAGACGGGGTTTCACCCTGTTAGCCAGGATGGTCTCGAACTCCTGACCTCGTGATCTGCCCGCCTTGGCCTCCCAAAGTGTTGGGATTATAGGCGTGAGCCACTGTGCCTGGACTTTTTTTTTTTTTTTTTTTTAAAGAAGGAGTCTGGCTCTATTACCCAGACTGGAGTGCAATGGTTCATTCTTGGCTCACTGCAACCTCTGCCTTCCGGGTTCAAGCAATTCTCCTGCCTCGGCCTCCCAAGTAGGTGGGATTACAGGTGGGCACCACCACACCCAGCTAATTTTTGTATTTTTAGTAGAGATGAGATTTCACCATGTCGCCCAGGCGGCTGGAGTTGAACTCCTGACCTCAAGCGATCCACCCACCTCGGCCTCCCAAAGTGCTGGGATTACAGGTGTGATCCACCACGCCCAGCCCCAGAGTGATTTCTGAAAGGCTAATTTGATTGTTACTCCCTTGCTTAGAAACCTTTAAACTCCACCCTTGCATCCTCTCTAATCTCTGTCATTTCTGTATTATGTAAGAGCTCCTTTAATGTGCTGTGATGTGTTAGGCCTCAGTGCTTTCAAACATTCTGTTTCCTCCTTTGCAATATTGAATCCCACCTCCACCCCTAATGTGGCCAGACTGCTGCTTATCTTTCAAAACCCAACTTGAGGATTACTTCATTTCTTGCTTTTCATTTTGGCTTTTTGTGCTGTATCACAATTCTTTTATCACATTTGTCTTTTTAATAGACTGCCCTTCAAGACAATAGAGATAGATCAGTAATATTCTTACATGTCTTATTTCCATTGCCTACTATGATGTCTTGACCCAGAGAGCACTCAGTAAACATTTTTTAAATAGTTAGTTCTTTTGAAAATTTTATAGAGTGATTTTAAAAATCACTTTTTGTCTTTGGTCATATATTGTATTTGTGTTCAGGGTTCCATTATGATGAGACTGCATGAAGTTAGACCTTTTAGTGATTACCATGTCTTCTAAGAACCAATTGAATGTAGTGAGTAGCTAAACATGTGGAAAAGGAAGAGTGAATCGAGATGTAGTATACTAGACATAGATTGAAGAGATGTGAATCCTAGCTTAGTCATTTACTAGCATTTTGGCCTTGGAAAAGTTTAGGCCAAAAATTTAGCCTTCTGGTCTCAATTTCCTCATCTGTAAAGTATCATAGTGATAGTAAAAAAATATATGAAAGTATCTAACATGAGTGCTTACCCTTGGTAGATTGAGTACATGTATTCTTTTGTTTGTTGATTGGTTGGTTGATTGCTTTTTTTTTTTTTTAGAGACAGTGTCTTGCTCTATTGCTCAGGCTGCAGTGCAGTGGCATGATCATAGCTCACTGCATCCTCGACCTCCTGGGCTCAAGCGGTCCTCTTGCTTCAGCCTCCTGAATAGCAGAGACTACAGGTGTGCACCACCACACTCAGCTAATTTTTAAATTTTTTTGTCAAGACAGGGTCTCATTATATTGCCCAGGTTGATCTGGAACTCCTGGACTCAAGCCATCTTTCTGCCTTAGCCTCCCAAACCACTGGGATTATGGGTGTGAACCACTAAGTACTTCTTAAATCTTGACATTCCACACAGAAAAATTTTAATTGTGATTGTCACAGAGTGGTTAGGTATACTTGCTGAAGAAAAACCCCTATGTCCTGTCTTAAAAATAGGGGAATAGGCCGGGCGCGGTGGCTCGTGCTGGTAATCCCAGCATTTTGGGAGGCTGAGGTGGGCGGATCATGAGGTCAGGAGTTCGAGACCAGCCTGACCAACACAGTGAAACCCCGTCTCTACTAAAAATACAAATATTAGCATGGTGGTGGGTGCCTGTAATCTCAGCTACTTGGGAGGCTGAGGCAGGAGAATCGCTTGAACCTGGGACTGGGAGGCAGAGGTTGCAATGAGCCAAGATTGTGCCACTGCACTCTAGCCTGGGTGACAGAACTAGACTCGGTCTCAAAAAAAATAAAATAAGGGAATAAATGCAGAACGAATTTTAATACAAAAGGCCTTATCTCCAATTGATGGCTCTTTTTGCCCTGTTAATGATTGAATATAATTAAGGATCCATGTTAACTTCGACTTTTTTATAATCCCATGTATCCATCATTTTTCTAATCCCATAATTGATTTAGAATACTGTCTTCTATGGACCTAAAATCTTTTTCTGTCAGAAATTTCAGTGAGAAGGTATGTACATTCTCTCATAGGACATGTGCTAAAATTTTGATGATGAAGATTAATATGGCCTTTTTACAAGATTGCCGCACAAATTTGTACAATGCGTGGATAAAAATTTTTTTAAGTGAGTTGTTTAAAAGGCTCACTTAAAAAAATCAGTTGGGCATGATGAGGTTGAACTTCAAGTTATTTAAGTTGTTGACTTTTATTATAGGATCATTAGTTCCTGTTGTTTAAAACTCATGTGAACCTTTAAGATGGGCTGAAGAAAAGTGGATCTGTACTACAAAATGAGGAAAGGGCTGCCAGCTTAAAGTTGCTGTTTTTGAAGATTCTACAACAGATGGCTTTATGACCAACCATAAGCAGATCTTAAGTATCTAGTGAAGAATTTAACTGCTAACAAGGAAGAATTTGGTTTGATTTAAAAGTAATATCTTCAAGCCTGGGCAACATGGAGAAACCCCGTCTCTACTAAAAATAGAAAAATTAGCTAGGTGTGGTTGTGTGTGCCTGTAGTCCCAGCTACTCAGGAAGCTGAGGATCGCTTGAGCCCAGGACGCAGGTTGCAGTGAGCTGAGATTGCACCACTACACCCCCAACCTGGGCCACAGAGTGAGACACTGTCTCAAAAATACATACCTTCAGCAAATCAAGATTTTTTTTTTTTTTTTTTTTGAGACGGAATCTCACTCTGTCGCCCAGGCTGGAGTGCAGTGGCATGATCTTGGCTCACTGCAGCCCTCACTCCTGGGTTCAAGCGATTCTCCTGCCTCAGCCTCCTAAGTAGCTGGGATTACAGGCACACGCCACCACGCCCAGCTAATTTTTGTATTTTTAGTAGAGACGGGGTTTCACCATATTGGCCAGGCTGGTTTCGAACTGCTGACCTGGTGGTCCGCCTGCCTCGGCCTCCCAGAGTGCTGGGATTACAGGCGTAAGCCACCACGCCTGGCCAAGAAAATCAAGATTTACCTGGTTTATGTGTTGACCAGCTATACACAGAGAATTCTAGATTTTTTTCTAAAAATTATTATCAAACCCCCAATTTCACCAGTAGAAAAAGAGATCTTAAGATTTCTGTGTTTTTTTTTCCAGCATAACTCAGTTACTTATGGCTGGGAGAAAATATGTAGGGAGATAATCTAATACCTAATTCGAAGGAAGAAAATATCTAATTCTAAGTCTTGAGTTCTTCTCATCAGACCATAGCAGGATTTAACATTTAACATTTTTCAGAAGCTTCTAATAGACTTCATTCAGTTTTTTGTCCACAGCAGTGGCATTTAAATTACTGTACTTTAAGACATGGAATTGCTGGAGGCTTGGAAACTTGAGTGCAATTTCCCTAGTACGACCTCCAAGGAGAATAGAGCAAAACAGTGGTAGGAAAAACTCTCAAAATTTTACCCAATTGTATGTTTTCTACATTGTCAGTATCTAGTTTTATATAGTTAATATGTACTTCTAAAATTTCTGACAGTGTTTGGTGTATAAAACAGACCAAGCTCAAGATGTAAAGAAGATTGAGAAATTCCACAGTCAACTAATGCGACTTATGGTAGCCAAGGAAGCCCGCAATGTTACCATGGAAACTGAGTGAATGGTTTGAAATGAAGACTTTGTCGTGTACTTAGGAAGTAAATATCTTTTGAATTAGAGAAAGTGTTGGGACAGAAAGTACTTTATGTAACTAAGTGGGCTGTTCAGAAGCTTAGAGGTCATTTTTTGTAATTTTCTTTTTAATTACTTTAGAGAGCTAGGGATGCAAATGTTTTCAGTTAGAAAGCCTTTATTTACTTTTGGAAATTGAACAAGAAATGCATCTGTCTTAGAAACTGGAGATTATTTGATGTTAGGTAAAACATGTAATTGTTTCTCTGGCAAATTTGTATCAGTAATTTGAAAATGAGATATTAGGAAAAACCAATTCTTCTTAAATTTAGTTCATCTTTCTTTAAAAGAACATTAAATGTAACCATTTTGTCAGATCCATGTATTTTGGAGCATAAAATGTATGCTGTTGTGACCAATAAATATAAAATATGGTAATTGGAATTAACTCCACACCATAGTATGCATTGTTATACATACTGTGTACCTAATTATGTATAGCAGTGTAGTCTCAATTATATCTGAAAGTAATTGTGACTAACAAGTATGCTTTGCCTTATTTCCACATTTAAACTACCTGTTAATATAAGGGATTTGTAGTATCAGCTTGTTGAGCAATGACTTTGAATCTAGTTTTCAGTGATCAGAAGCAGCAGTTATTTGAGTGTATGAATGGAATGATGATCACTGTGCTATAATGTACTGAAACCACCATATTACAGAAATATTTACTACATATTTTCCATCTGTAGTTTCTCAGAAGGGCTATGGATTAGTTTGAACTGTCAAATCCTTGCATACTTCTGTGACACCCCTGCCCATTTTCTGTCTTTAATTAACCAAGGTGTTAGGTGTGACTGTCACAACTGTTATGTTTTCCAGTAAACTAGAAGTACGATATTTGATAATTATATTTGTATTTCACCACCTAAATGTAATGTTGATTCCTCAAGAATGAAATGAAGGCACTACATTGAAATATGTTTTGTATAAATTTGTCATGTTGAACAGCATTTTAGCATGGTAAGTTCCCTTAGCTATATGAATTTTGGCATGTTTCAGAGAGATCAGTAAATAAAATATTAGATAAAATATATATTGTTTGTGTTGAAGTTTTTAACTTTTCAGAAATTGTTGATTTCTGAGCTGGGATATACTATATTCATTTAGTCCAAAATGAGCCTAGTAATGCTGAAAGCAAATTTTTTGTTTCTCAGTACTTTATATTATATGACTTTCTCTGCACTATATGTTAATAGCAAGTTTGTTTTCTTGAATTAGAAAAGTAACATCAAATAGTATAGGATTATTTTGGCTTTTTGTTTTTTTTTCCCCCAGAATTAATGGGATCACCATCAGGGGAGGGGAGAGGCTTGACCTTTTTCCCCCTTATTTAACACTACAGAGATGACCTGAAAAGGAGAGACTGGCATTTGGGTTCTTTGAGTCCTGGTAGCGTGTAACAGAGTGGTTAAGAACAGACATTCCAAGTCAGACTGCCTGGCTTTAAATCCTGGCTCCACTATTTCCTAACTCTGTGGTCTTAGACTAGATACTTTTCTAAGCCTTCATTTTCATCTCTGGAAATGGGGCCAACAATAGTACTTTGCTTGTAAGACTGTTAAGATTAAACATCATGATCCAAGGCTGGGCACAGTGGCTCATGCCTGTAATCCCAGCACTTTGCGAGGCTGAGGTGGGCGGTTCATTTGAGGCCAGGAGTTTGAAACCAGCCTGGCCAACAAGGTGAAACCCCATCTCTGCTACAAATACAAAAATGAGCTGGACACAGTGGCACACTGTTGGGGTGATCAGGCCCAACACCAGGCCATGGGGGCTACAAAGTCCAGCAGGGTCAAAGGAATGAGAAAAGACGAGTGCATAAAGTGGGCCAGGCACGGTAGCTCACGCCCGTAATCCCAGCGCTTTGGGAGGCCGAGGCGGGCGGATCACAAGGTCAGGAGGTTGAGACCATCCTAACACCGTGAAACCCCGTCTCTACTAAAAATACGAAAAAAATTAGTTGGGTGTGGTGGCGGGCGCCTGTAGACCCAGCTACTTGGGAGGCTGAGGCAGGAGAATGGTGTGAACCCGGGAGGCAGAGCTTGCAGTGAGCAGAGATCGCACCACTGCACTCCAGCCTGGGTGACAGAGTAAGACTGGGCCTCAAAAAAAAAAAAGTGCATAAAGTGGGTCCAGAGGGCCAGTGCCAGATTGGAGGCTGTGAAGGCCCCAAGCTCTGGGAGCCCACACTATTTATTGGTGATCAAACAAAGAAGCAGGTGGTAAGGACGTGAGGGTAAACAGGTGAGGGCGTGAGGATGTGGGGTAGAAAGGTAGTGGTACATAAGCGTAGCTGTGATGGTTTAGCATTTCGTTTGATGTATATAGAATATGCTCTGCTGCTTGAGTTAATGGAGGACATGTTTACAAGTAAGAAGCAAGGAACCAAGTCTGTGCACATTCCAGAGGCTACAAGGGGTCTTAGGCCCTGAGCCCTGGGTTCCATCCAAGCCACAAGGGGTTCTATGCCCTGGGCTTAGATTGTGGTGCGGCAGGGCAGCCTTCCACCCTTTGGCACAGAGCTTGGTGTTCCAAAGGCCACGAGGGGTTTTAGAACCTGGACCCCGGACATCTTTCAAGACTTACATTATGACAGACAAGCCAGTCCTGCCTCAGCTCTTCTACCAACATGTCTCCCTTTCCTTGTTTGCAAAACCGCCATAGTTATCATTGCTTGTTCTTGGCGGTGGCTTTCTCTCCAGAGGCAGCTTCCACATCTGCAGGCTGTATAAAGACAAACAACACAGATTAAAAGCACAATCATTATTGAAATCACAGAGCCTCCAAGTGTCTTGATCGATTTTAGCAGGTTAATAGCTGCTAATCCATCTGCAGCTCCTTCAAGCACTTCACTTCCTGGCATTAGTGTCAGATGTGCCTGAGAGGCTTGAAATACTTGTTCCTTCAGTTTTGCAATATCCAAAGATAAATTTCCAGTATGACCTTTTTGTTTGTTTGTTTGTTTTTTGAGGCGGAGTCTCGCTCTGTCGCCCAGGCTGGAGTGCAGTGGCGCGATCTCGGCTCACTGCAAGCTCCGCCTCCTGGGTTCACGCCATTCTCCTGCCTCAGCCTTCTGAGTAGCTGGGACTACAGGCGCCCGCCACCACGCCCGGCTAATTTTTTGTATTTTTTGTAGAGGCGGGGTTTCACTGTGTTAGCCAGGATGGTCTCGATCTCCTGACCTCGTGATCCGCCCACCTCGGCCTCCCAAAGTGCTGGGATTACAGGTGTGAGCCACCGTGCCCGGCTCCAGTATGACCTTTTAAATGTCTCAACTTTTTCCCACTCATGCTCTGTTTCATTATACAGATGAGGAGTAATGTAAAAATCAGAGGTATTTCAATCACAATGCATTCGAATTTTACTTTTTAAGCTTACAATAACGCTCTCCCAATCAAATCACTGTCTGATGGAGATCATTAATTTGGTTCTTTGATTTATTTGAGTTGGAGAGTTCCATAATTTTGTGGAATTCTTTTGCCACTTATTGACAAATTTAACACTTTGTACAGATGAATGTAGAGCCATTCATGTACAGCTATTGCAGTAGTAGTAGTAACAGCAACGAGGCCAATTATAGCAACTATGAGAGCAACTATAAATCTTTTTGAACGGGATAAAAGTTTTTTAAGGATTTCATTTACTGTATGAATGGATGGAGATGCCGCCCACGGTCTATTTAAAGACATAGGTATCCAGACTCCTTCCCTGGCTTTAATTATTAGGACAGTCTGATTTTTATTAAAGGTTGAACTAATACAGGTAAACAAATGACATGCGGGGCATGAAATAAAGTGTGTGTTTATATCAAGAGTAACATTTCCTATTGCTAGCAGAAAAGGTGGCCGGACACAACTTTGAATCCAAAAAGTCCTGTTGGAAAGAAAAGAAAGAGCATATTTATTTTTACCTCCTTCCCCTTTATACTTGTTATATTTACCCTCCCAAATTTGGATTGAACTTTGAGCCATAGCTAATTTCCATAATTCAGAATGTTCCTGTCCTATGGCAGGAGATACCATTTTTGGACTAGGGGCGACAATGCCAGTAGGACTCCATATGATAGGGACCTCAGCTTTTGTCCAAATATATTGTGTATTATTTAATTGCCAATGGTTCTATCAGTTTGTTACATTTGTTCTACAAGAAGGCCTTCTGGTGCAATTTTCTTTAAAGATCCCCTTAGGGGACTAATTAATGATGATTCCATAGGAATTATTTTATGGCACCTCAGCCTTAACTTGCTATACAATTTTCCCAAGTTCAAGCATCCCCACCTTTAAACTAAACTCTATTTTGTTTATATTTGAACTTATTCAGATGGAACCTCAGGGTTTTAGGATGGGAATGATTATATTTTAAACTGTGCCCTGAAATCATATGCAAAACAGCCCATGATTTATTTTTTCGGGGAATACTGCCAACCAGGCCTGTGTGTCAATCTGTAAACCTCCAACAGCAGGTCCCAGGCATATTGGGGATATTTATATTCTATGGATATATTTATTTTTATTCCTTCCTCATTAGGATGCATTGGCCCTTGGTTATCTGTGGGCTCAGACATCCAGCTACTGTTGTTGGTGTATACCTCAATAACAGGGTCCATCCAACTCACAGACCTAATTAAAGGAAGAAATGGGACATATGCCCAATAAGTGAAATTCTGAGTTGCTCCTATAGTAGGGAGGCTTGCTGCCATGGTGAGTACCGCCAGCATGGCCACCATCAGGTTACTAGTTGTTTTTAGTTTGTTCTGTGTTTTCAAGTTGTCCTTTGCCATCTGCGCCAACTTCTTGATTTGTCCCTATGTTGGAGAATTTGCCTGATGACTATTCTCAGTTTTCTCCTTCATCTCTGAGAGGTTTATTTGTGCCATCACTCATACCGGGATTTTTGGCTCTTCCCAGAGTCCTCTCTTCCTGCTGTAGTTCATGATAGATCTTCAGATGTTTGGTGGGCACGCATACAGGCACATGATTGTCACCTGGAGAGACACAAGCAAATCCTCTTCCCCATGTAATTATCCGCCCTTTGAGTAGTTAAAGGGCCAGGGAGGTTAGTATGTGCTTTTATATGAGTAATATAAAAAGGGGGAATGTCTTTGTTGTACTGCTTGCTGTAAAGAATGAAATAAAAGATTAAGTTGGTCATTAGTCACATTTTGAATTAAGGCACATTCAATATTTTGTGTGGCTTGCACTACATAGGCTGAATCAGAAACAATGTTTACTGGCTGTTTAAAAGTTTTTAGTACTGTAATTACAGCCGTAAGTTCAGCCCTTTGAGCAGAAGCAAAGTCAGTTTGAAAAACTTGCTGTTGAGGTCCCACAAATGAGACTTTTCCATTGTTAGATCCATCAGTAAAAACAGTGATGGCCCCCTTCAATAGGAGCTTTTTGAGTAATGGAAGGCAATATCCATGATGTTAATTTAAGAAGTTGGAATATTTTGGATTTAGGATAATGTATCAAGAATGCCAATAAAACCTGTCAAATTACTTGCCATTCCTGGGAATTAATACAAGCTTACTGAATTTGTTGCTTGTTTAATGGAACTATAATTTGATTTGGATCATATCCCATTAACTTTGTTGTGCGCAGCCTTCCTTGTCCTACTAGTACAGCAATTTGATCTAAGTATAGAGTGAGCGTTTAGTTGTATTGTGAGGTAGAAAAAGCCACTCAACCAGATAATTCTGTTGAACAGTAACTCCTGTAGGTGAATGTTTAGTAGGAAAAACTAAAAACTAATGGCTGCATAGGGTCAATTCGAGTCACTTGTGCCTGTTGAATTTTTTTCTTCAATTAATTGAAGTCCCTCTAATGCCTCTTTGGACAGGAAGCATTTACTGTTTAAGTTAGAATTACCTCGTAAGGTAGAAAAGAGGTAAGACATAGCAAAAGTAGGAATGCCTAAAGTGGGATGAATCCAGTTAATGCCTCCTAACAATTTTTGAAAATCATTTAGTTTTTTTTTTTTTCCTGAGGAATAGAAGATTAGTTTAATATGTGACCATCATTGATAATGAACAACAATAACAGAATAAGGAAGAAAATCTCATGATTACCTCAATAAGTACAGAGAAATCTGGTCACACTCACTATCCATTCATGATTACAACTCTTCAATACTATCACTGCAAACATCATACTTTTTTTTTTTTTTTTTTTTTAGTGTTTATTGATCATTCTTGGGTGTTTCTCAGAGAGGGGCATGTGGCAGGGTCATAGGATAATAGTGGAGAGAAGGTCAGCAGATAAACACCTGAACAAAGGTCTCTGGTTTTCCTAGGCAGAGGTCCCTGCGGCCTTCCGTAGTGTTTGTGTCCCTGGGTACTTGAGATTAGGGAGTGGCGATGACTCTTAACGAGCATGCTGCCTTCAAGCATCTGTTTAACAAAGCACATCTTGCACCGCCCTTAATCCATTTAACCCTGAGTGGACACAGCACATGTTTCAGAGAGCATGGGATTGGGGGTAAGGTTATAGATTAACAGCATCCCAAGGCAGAAGTATTTTTCTTAGTACAGAACAAAATGGAATCTCCTATGTCTAGTTCTTTCTACACAGACACAATAACAATCTGATCTCTCTTTCTTTTCCCCACATTTCCCCCTTTTCTTTCTGACAAAACCGCCATCGTCATCATGGCCCGTTCTCGATGGTCGCTGTCTTTTTGGAGCTGTTGGGTACACCTGCAGAAAGGCTGTCACTTCACACTTGGAAGATTGCACAGCGGCCAGGCAGAGGCGCTCCTCACTTCCCAGATGGGGCGGCTGGGCAGAGGCGCTCCTCACTTCCCAGACGGGGTGGTCAGGCAGAGGTGCTCCTCACATCCCAAACAGGGCGGCCGGGCAGAGGCGCTCCTCACATCCCAGACGGGGCGGCTGGGCAGAGGCGCTCCTCACTTCCCAGACGGGGCAGCCGGGCAGAGGCGCTCCTCACATCCCAGACGATGGGCAGCCAGGCAGAGATGCTCCTCACTTCCTAGACGGGGTGGCAAACGGGCAGAGGCTGTAATCTTAGCACTTTGGGAGGCAAAGGCAGGTGGCTGGGAGGTGGAGGTTGTAGCGAGCCGAGATCAAGCCACTGCACTCCAGCCTAGGCAACACTGAGCATTGAGTGAGCGAGACTCCGTCTGCAATCCCAGCACCTCGGGAGGCCGAGGCAGGCAGATCACTCAAGGTCAGGAGCTGGAGACCAGCCCGGCCAACATGGCAAAACCCTGTCTCCACCAAAAATACAAAAACCAGTCAGGCGTGGCGGTGCGTGCCTGCAATCCCAGGCACTCAGCAGGCCGAGGCAGGAGAATCACGGGAGCCCGAGGCAAGGAGGTTGCAGCGAGCCGAGATCATGGCAGTACAGTCCAGCCTCGGCAACAGAGGGAGACCGTCGAAAGAGAGAGAGGGAGGGAGGAAGGAAGGGAGGGAGGGAGGGAGGGAGGGAGGGAGGGAAGGAAAGGAAGGCAGGCCGGCCATTTAGAGTTTTTAAATCATCTCTTCTAATTTGAACCTTTTGAAGCTTAATAGTACTTTATTCTGCTTTCATTCCTAAATACTGAAAGGGAGTAGAAGTTTGGATTTTATCAGGGCTATGATTGATTAATCCCGCTGCAGTCACAGCCTTTTCCAGTTGTTTGTAGCATAGCATTAATTCCTCTTTAGTTTCAGCTGCAAATAAAATTATCCATGTAATGGATAATATAACATTTGTAAAATTGTTCTTTAATTGGCTTCATAACTTTTCCGATATAAGTTTGACAAATAGTCGGGCTATTTAACATGCCTTGTGGCAGTACTTTCCAATGGTATCTGTCCACTGGTTCTTTGTTATTTATAGAAGGAACAGTAAAAGCAAATTTTTCATAATCTTGGGTAGCTAAAGGAATGGTAAAGAAGCAATCTTTTAAATCTATCACTATGAGAGGCCAGTATTTTGGGATCATTTTTGGAGAAGGCAGCCTGGTTGCAGTGCACCAATGGGTTGAATTACAGCATTAACAGCCCTCAAATCTGTTAACATTCTCCATTTTCCTGATTTTTTCTTAATAACAAACACAGGAGAATTCCAAGGAGAGAAGGTAGACTCTATGTGTCCCTTTTGCAATTGTTTCCGTACTGATTCTTTTAAAGCCTCCAGTTTTTCCTTCTTCAGTGGCCATTGCTCTACCCAAACCAGTCTGGCAGTTAACCAAACAAGAGGAATGGGAGCAGGAGGCTCAGCAATGGCCACTCCTAAAAATGATACCCTAATCCAGTTCGATCTGTTTGTCCTTTTAGTTCTAAAGGTTCTGATTGGCCATTTGCATTTTTTCCTAGTCCCTTCCCCAGGAGATTTCCCCTTTTTCTCATCATTTGTTTTATTTACTGTTATTACTATACTGGTCCATAGGAATAGATATTTCAGCACCCCATTGTTGCAATAAGTCTCTACCCTGTAGATTGGCAGGAATAGGTATAATAATAGGTTGAATTGTCCCTTCTTGGCCATCCAGCCCTTGGCATGGCAAAATTAAAGAACTTTGAAAACTTCTGAGGCAGCTCCTACCCCAATAATACCAATGGATGCCTTTTGTTTTGGCCAATGCTGGGGCCATTGATTTAAACCAATAATAGAAACATCAGCTCCAGTATCTTCTAACCCTTCAAAATCCTTTCCTTGAATACTTACTATACAAATAGGTCTTTTGTCAGACACTTGATTAACCCAATATACAGGTTTTTCCTGCTGGATTCGTACTACCAAAGCCTCTTATTCTTTTTAGTGTGCTGCTTCCCAGTTTTGTATAAGGTAACAGCAACAACTGAGCAATTCTTTCTCCTGGGGAAGCAGACCATGGAATTGAGGAACTAATAACTAATTGAATCTCTCTGGTATAATCAGAATCAATTATTCCTGTATGTACAGTGACACCTCTTAAATTTAAACTAGACCTTCCAAGCAATAGACCAACTGTTCCTGAGGGTAAAGGGCCCCTAACTCCTATGGGGACCTTTGGTGGCTCCCCAGGAGGTAAGGAAATGGGAACCGTGCTGCAAAGATCTACGGCAGCACTGCCTGTTGTGGCGGGGGACAATTGTTGTACTTTTATAAGGGCACTGGCTGTGCCGGATATGCCTCGGTTTGTTGAGGGGCCTGAGGCAGGCCCCTCTTCCTGTTTCCCGAAAGAGGTTACCCATCTTTGCTAAATTTAGAATGACACTGATTTGCCCAGTGATTGCCTTTCTTACACTGGGAGCATCCACTGGGACTTTTCTGTTGACTGATGGTAATAGTTTTTGCCTTTTGATTTCCTTTTCTACATTCCTTTTTTGTGTGTCCAAATTGCTCACAATTAAAATAAGACCCTGAGAAATGGGGCATATTTTTTCCCACCTTTAATTCGGCCGTAGCTTGAGCTAAAAGAGTAGCCTTACATAAATTACCCCCAATGCCATCACGTAAATTACCCCCAATGCCATCACAAGCCTTAATATATTCAGCCAAATGAGCCTTCCCTCTCATAGGTCTAATGAAAGAAGGATATTTTTTCCCTGTAACATTTATTTTTTTCCATGCCCGTAAGCATACAGTGCATAACTGAACAATGGCAATATTTTTCATTACTGCTTGATTGTCTATCTAATCAGCCTCAATTAGGGCCCAACCCCATTAACTGCTCAAAGGAAACAGGCACAGGAGGCTGTGCTTGTGTGTTTTCCCTTGCCTGAGTTTGAGCTTCATCAACCCACCAAGTTGTTGTTGTTGTTGTTGTTGTTGTTGTTGTTTGACGGAGTATCGCTCTGTCTCCCAGGCTGGAGTGCAGTGGCGCAATCTCGGCTCACTGCAAGCTCCGGCTCACTGCAAACTCCACCTCCCCGGTTCATGCCATTCTCCTGCCTCAGCCTCCCGAGTAGCTGGGACTACAGGCGCCCGCCACCACGCCCGGCTAATTTTTGTATTTTTAGTAGAGACAGGGTTTCACCTTATTAGCCAGGATGGTCTTGATCTCCTGACCTCGTGATCCGCCCACCTCGGCCTCCCAAAGTGTTGGGATTACAGGCATGAGCCACCGCACCCGGCCTCAGCCCACCAAGTTTTAAACTGTAAGTCCTGGGTCAGAGTGAGAACAGATTTTGTTAAAGTATCCCAGTCATATGGTATTAATCTATTATCAAGAGCCACATTTTTTAGTAAAGTTTGTACAAAAGGAGAATTTGGCCCATATTGACTAATGGCTTATTTAAATTCCTTCAACAACTTAAAAGAAAAGTGGCCCAATTAGCTATATGTTGCCCTCCTTGTTGGGTTATAGTAATGGGAAATTGCCATGCTTCTAGGTCTCCTTCAGCTCTGGCCTTCTGAATAGAATTTTGTATGGCGCCACCAATTGCTCCAGGTTTTAATGTTGCAGCTACCAGAGCAGTAAGTTTTACAGCTAATTCATCTTCTCGCCCATTATGGGGAGAGGAAGGAGGTGGCCATTTACTTAATTCAGCAGGTGGAACTGACAGGCTAGTAAAATATACCTTTTTCAGCTTTCCTTTCTTTTCTTTAATTTCCTCTGGTTCCTGTTCCTTACATTCAGAATCTGAAGGTAATTTTTTACTCTCATCTGCCTCTTTCTCATCTGAATCTGCCTCGCCATCTGTTTGAAATGGCTCAAGAGCTGCCTTTCTCAACGCCCACACTGACCAACAGAAACTGGAATTCTGGCTCCTTCTTTATGCACCTTTTTTAAATCTCTGCCAATTCTTTCCCATTCATCCAACTCCATTGTCCCTTGTTCTGGGAACCATGGGCAAAACTGCTCTACTGTACTAAAGAGTGTTAATAAATGTTGAGTACTAACTTTCACTCCTCCTCTCCATAGTAAATGCCTTAGAAAGTTTAAATAGGCCAGGCACGGTGGCTCATGCCTGTAATCCCAGCACTTTGGGAGGCTGAGGTGGGCGGATCACAAGGTCAGGAGATCGAGACCATCCTGGCTAACAAGGTGAAACCCCGTCTCTACTAAAAATACAAAAAATTAGCTGGGTGTCGTGGCGGGTGCCTGTAGTCTCAGGTACTCGGGAGGCTGAGGCAGGAGAATGGCATGAACCCGGGAGGCGGAGGTTGCAGCGAGCCAAGATCACGCCACTGCACTTCAGCCTGGGCAACAGAGCAAGACTCCGTTTCAAAAAAAAAAAGAAAGAAAGAAAGTTTAAGCAGAATGTTTACTTTCATTTTGTCCCATTGTTACCCTGGTTCTTCTGAGCGCCCAGCTTACCCACCGAGCTCCTTTCGGTCATCCTCAGGTTTCCTTTGATGATGCGTCCTCCACTTCCACATGCTCTAGCTACTGGGGTCTTCATAGCCCCACGCTGGGCACCAGAAATGTTGGGGTGATCAGGCCCAACACCAGGCCATGGGGGCTACAAAACCCAGCAGGATCAAAGGAATGAGAAAAGACAAGTTAAGAGTGCATAAAGTAGGTCCAGGGGCCCAGCGCTAGATTGGAGGCCGTGAAGGCCCCAAGCTCTGGGATCTCACACTATTTATTGGTGATCAAACAAAGAAGCAGGTGGTGAGGACATGAGGGTAAACAGGTGAGGGCGTGGGGATGTGGGGGTAGAAAGGTGGTGCATTAAGCCTAGCTGTGACGGTTTAGCATTTCCTTTGATGCATATAGTATATGCTCTGCTGCTTGAGATAATGGAGGACACGTTTACAAGTAAGAAGCAAGGAACCAACAAGTCTGTGCACATTCCAGAGGCTACGAGGGGTTTTATGCCCTGAGCCCTGGGTTCCATCCAAGCCACAAGGGGTTCTATGCCCCGGGCTTAGATTGTGGTGCGGCAGGGCAGCCTTCCACCCTTTGGCACAGAGCTTGGTGTTCCAAAGGCCACGAGGGGTTTTAGACCCTGGACCCTGGACATCTTCCTAGACTCTTTTACATTATGACAGATAAGCCAGTCCTGCCTCAGCTCTTCTACCAACAGCACACGCCTGTTGATCCCAGACAGAGTGGCTCACGTCTATAATCCTAGCACTTTGGGAGGCAGAGGCAGGTGGATCACCTGAGGTCAAGAGTTCGGGACCAACCTGGCCAACATGGTGAAACCCCATCTCTACTAAAAATACAAAAAAATTAGCCAGGTGTGGTGGCATGCGCCTGTAATCCCAGCTACTTAGGAGGCTGAGGCAGGAAAATCGCTTGAACCTGGAGGGTGGAGGTTGCAGTGAGTTGAGATCCTGCCACTGCACTCCAGGGTGGGCGAAAGAGCGAAATCCATCTCAAAAAAAAAAAAAATCAAAAGGTGTGAAGGCAAGTTAATGGAGATAAGACAGTCTATTCAACAAATAGTGCTGGAAAAACTAGATATCCAAATGTTTTTAAAAAGTGAACTTTGAGCTCTACCTTGTACTATATACAAAAATTAAAAAGATAGATCATAGTTCTAAATGTAAAACCATAAAACTTATAAGAAGAAAAGATAGGAAGAAATCTTCGTGACCTTGGTTAGGCAAAGATTGAGAAACAACACCAAAAAAAAATCTGTAAAAGAAAAAAATGATAAACTGGACTTCTTTAAAATTAAAATCTTCTGCTATTCTAAAGACACTGTTAAGAGAATGAAAAGACAAGCCACATGTTAGAAAAAAATTATTTGCAGCTGGGCACAGTGACACACACCTGTAGTCCTAGCTCCTTGGCGGGCTGAGGTTGGAGGCCAGCTTAGTCAACATAGCTAGGCCTTGTCTCAAAAAAAAAAAAAAAAAGAGAGACCCAGGGTGGTGGCTCACACCTGTAATCCCAGCACTTTGGGAGGCCGAGGCAGGTGGATCACTTGAGGTCAGGAGTTTGAGACCACCCTGGCCTACATGGTGAAACCCAGTCAGTCTCTACTAAAAATACAAAAATTAGCTGGGCACAGTGGCACATGCCTGTAGTCCCAGCTACTAGGGAGGCTGAGGCATGAGAATTGCTTGAACCTGGGAGGTGGAGGTTGCAGTGAGCCGAGATCGAGACATTGCACTCCAGCCTGGCCAAGAAGAGTGAACACTTATCTCAAAAAAAAAAAAAAAAAAAAAAAAAGGAAGAAATTGCATTATTCATTTTATTGCAAAATATCTTTGACAATTTTCAATGGATTTTTGTATTGCCATTGACTCCATATACACGATTGTAATCATCTACTTTCACTTCACCCTTCTCTGTGATTAAATCTTTGAAAAATCCTAGCTTTAGCTGTTACTAGGGGAGATGAGCTTTCCTTCTGCTTTGATGAATTCTTTCCTCATGGACAAGTTAACTCTCTGGAGCAGATGGGGGCTGCGTAGCACAGTGGTTAAGAAGAGGCCTTGGAACCAGTTGGTCTGGCCTCCATCTAGCTCTGCCTTCCACTGGCTGCAGGTCCTCTGGCATGTCACTGAACACCTCTGGGTGTCAGTGGCCTCAGGTGGAATGGGGTTAATGCAGGAACCTACCTGAGGATGAAATGCAGACATCACCTGAGATAATATATGTGAAGTACCTAGTCCATTGTCTGGCCTATTAGGAGACCTAGCTGATTTAATTATTTATGATTCAAATATGTTTATTCATTCATCTTCTCACAAATATTGAGCTTTTAAAACATAGTGAGAGCTAGATCATAAATCTCCCTCCCAGGTGCCCACTAAGCTGTGCCCCAGGCCTTGTGACCTCAGTCTTCCCAGCTGACCTCTGACCCTGCTCTCCTTGCCCACACAGAGCTCAGGGCGACTGTGACCCTGAAGCACCAGTGACCGAGGGCACCTGCTGCTGCCACCAGGAGATGTACACTGACCTGCAGGGGATGAAGTGGGCCAAGAACTGGATGGTGGAGCCCCTGGGCTTCCTGGCTTACAAGTGTGTGGGCACCTGCCAGCAGCCCCTGGAGGCCCTGGCCTTCAATTGGCCATTTCTGGGGCCGCGACACTGCATCGCCTCAGAGACTGCCTCGCTGCCCATGATCATCAGCATCAAGGAGGGAGGCAGGACCAGGCCCCAGGTGGTCAGCCTGCCTAACATGAGGGTCCACCACTACGCCCCGCTAATTTTTGTAATTTTAGTAGAGATGAGGTTTCACCATGTTGGCCAGGCTGGTCTCAAACTCCTGACCTCAGGTGATCCACCCACCTCAGCCTCCCAAAGTGCTGGGATTACAGACATGAGCCACCACGCCCGGCCCTCCTATTCTACTTTCAAGTCTTTAGGTATTTGTCTCTGTATATTTAAATATTATGCTTATAATGCATTTTTCTTACACTAAACCCTACTGCTCCCACTCCATCCCCCCAATATATTTATAATTTTTGTAAAATTTATAATTTTACAAAAGTAATAATTATAATTTTTGTAAAATCAACAATGTCTTTTTTTTTTTTTTTTTTGAGATGGTCTCACTCTGTCACTTAGGCTGGAGTGTAGTGGCGCAATCTCAGCTCACTGCAACCTCCGCCTCCCGGGTTCAAGCAATTCTCGTACCTCAGCCTCCCGAATAGCAGGGATTACAGGCATGCACCACCAAGCCCGGCTAATTTTTGTATTTGTAGTAGCGACAGGGTTTCACCATGTTGGCCAGGCTGGTCTCAATCTCTTGGCCTCAAGTAATTCACCTGCCTCTGCCTCCCAAAGTGCTGCGATTACAGGTGTGAGCCACTACACCGGGCCTAAATCAATAATGCCTACAAAATTATGATTATATAAATATTGTCCACTACAGAGCCAAGCAATGTGCCATTATTACATTTTCTTTCTCAAACAATTTTCCATTTTTCCTGTAGTTTTTTTCCTTTGCTTATTTTTCTATATACTGTCTTAATTTCCCCCCCCCAATATACCATTGGATGTGACAAATGTCCACTGATATTCTTTTCCAAAAACTTTATCAGTTGGCCGGGCGCGGTGGCTCACGCCTGTAATCCCAGCACTTTGGGAGGCCGAGGCGGGTGGATCACGAGGTCAAGAGATCGAGACCATCCTGGCTAACATGGTGAAACCCCGTCTCTACTAAAAATATTAAAAAAAAAAAAAATTAGCTGGGCGTGGTGGCGGGCGCCTGTAGTCCCAGCTACTCAGGAGGCTGAAGCAGGAGAATGGCGTGAACCCGGGAGGCGAAGCTTGCAGTGAGCCAAGATCGCACCACTGCACTCCAGCCTGGGAGACAGAGCGAGACTCCGTCTCAAAAAAAAAAAAAAACTTTATCAGTAAATGCATTAATTATTCCCTCCCCCACAACCCGAGGCCTGCTTCCTAGCACCCTTTGTCTTTCTCTCCTTCCCACTCCGTGTCTTTTTCTTCTAATCTGGACAAGTTGCCCTCTAATTTTGCTGCACAGCTGTCAAGCTGAGACTCCTCTTTGCCGATAATCTGTATTAGATTCTCTGTTTCCCAAAAACCATGTCTTCCCCTTTTTTGTGTATATATATATATTATATATATATAATATATATATATATATATATAATATATATATATATATATAATATATATATATATACACACACACATACATATATATACGCACATATATATGTGTATACATATGTGTGTGTGTATATATATATATATATATATATTTTTTTTTTTTTTTTTTTTTTTTTTTGAGTCTCGCTCTGCCACCAAGGCTGGAGTGCAGTGGTGCAATCTCGGTTCACTGCAAGCTCCGCCTCCCGGGTTCACGCCATTCTCCTGCCTCAGCCTCCCGAGTAGCTGGGACTATAGGCGCCTGTCACCACGCCTGGCTAATTTTTTGTATTTTTAGCAGAGACGGGGTTTCACCGTATTAGCCAGAATGGTCTGGATCTCCTGACCTCGTGATCCGCCGGCCTCGGCTTCCCAAAGTGCTGGGATTGCAGGCATGAGCCGCCGCACCCGCCTCCCCTTTTATATTTTAACTCCCTTGTTTTGCTGGATTATATCCTCTAGTAAGTACCCAAGACAAGGTGCATGAGAAGTAAAAACGTTTTTAGTCCCTGAATGTCTGAAAATACCTTTAATTTGTCCCCACATTTTATTATAGAATTGTTAGAAATACTTTTCCCATAGACATTTCAAGGCCTTGCTGCACTACTTTATGACAGCCAGTGTTGCTCTTGAGAAGTCTGATGATCTTTGTGTTGACCTTTTTGAAAATCTTTCCCTCTCTCTAGAAGCTGTTAGGATCTTCCCTTTTTCTTTAGCATTCTGAAATTTCACAATATGTCTCATTGGTACGGGTTTTCTAACTTTTGAGCGTGCCTTTTTGATCTGGAGCTACTTGTCCTTTGGTTTGGGAAGTATTATTGGATTATTTCTTTAATTATTTCTTTTGTTTGGTGTTCTCTTCCTCTCTCATATAACTCATATTAGTCTGGGTGCTTCCTGGATTGGTCATCTGATTTTCTTTTCCTTCCCCTACCCACTGCCGCCCGACTGTCCATCTCTTTAATTTGTGTTCTGTTTTTCTGGGAGAATTCTCAATTCTATCTCCTGACTTTTCTGTTAGAATTTTTATTTCAAGAAGTATTATCTAATTCTCTGAATGTTCCTTTTTTTCAAATTGTCCCTTTTTCATAGATAGAATTCTTCTCATATCTTCAAGGGCATTGTGATTTCTTTGAAGATTTTTCTGCTTTTTGCCTTGTCTCTGTTGCCTGTGAGCAATTTTTCTCTATTTTGGGCTTTGCCTTTCATGTCACAGGCTTTGCCCAAGTGTTTGGTGATCCTTCAGTATTTAGAAATGAGACACTAAAACATCAATTGAAAGTTCTGTGTGTGGTGGGTAGTAAACTGATTGGCCTCAATGGCAGGTGATCAAATAGGGAGTCAGCTGTTTTGTTATGGGGCCTCTGAATGTCATTAGCTGTAGATAATGGTAATTAATGGCAGTAAACTTACAGTAAAGTTGCAAAACTCCCATACATGTCTTACCCAGACACTAATTGTTAACACTTTGCTGCATTTGCTTTCTAATTCAATATCTCTGTGTGTGTGTGTATATATATACACACACATATATACACACACATATACACACACACATATACACACACACATATATATACATACACACATATATACACACACACACATATAGTTCCTATATATGTGTACACACTGAAACATTTTAAATTTCAAACATGATTCCTTAAATATTAGGTTGGTGCAAAAGTAATTGTGGTTTTTGCCATTGAAAGTAATGGCAAAACCGCAAATACCTTTGCACCAACTGAATACTTCAGTGTACATTTTTTTAAGATCAGTGACGTTCACTTAAGAAACAATTCAGTTTTCAAACTCAAGATATTTAACATTAATATAATCTATTATTGAATCTACAGAACTCCTTCAAATTTCCCCAATTGTCCCAACAATATTCTTTATATAAATTTTTTTTCTGGGCCAGGATCCAATCTAGAACAGAGAGCACTGCAATGAGGTTTCGCAGCTCTTTTGTCCCCCTTAATCAGGAAGAGCTTCTCAGTCTTTCCATATCTTTCATTACATTGCCCTTTTTTCACACTGACATTTTTGAAAAGTGCAAGCCAGCTATTTTGTAGATTTTTTTTTTTTTTTTCGAGATGGAGTTTCGCTCTTGCTGCCCAGGCTGGAGTGTGCAATGGTGTGATCTCTGCTCACCACAACCTCTGCTTCCTGGGTTCAAGTGATTCTCCTGTCTCAGCCCCCCAAGTAGCTGGGATTACAGGCATGCACCACCATGCTGGGTTAATTTTGTATTTTTAGTAGAGACGGGGTTTCTCCATGTTGTTCAGGCTGGTCTCAAACTCCTGACCTCAGGTGATCCACCTGCCTCGGCCTCCCAAAGTGCTGGGATTACAGGCCTGAGCCACCGCACCCAGCCTGTAGAATGTTAATGTCGGGTTTGTGCAATGTTTCCTCATGATTCTATCCATATTGTGCATTTTTGGCAGAAACAATGTTGTTTCCTTTTTGTTGAATCAGGAATTGATCTACAATTTTTATCCAAGATTGCCTCCCACACATTATTTCATTCTACCTGATGTACCTGGAAACTCTCCAGATGTTTATGCAGAACAACAGCCTTGCTCTGATTTTTTACACAATATAATTTATTCTAAAGAGCACACTGTACCCATTCTTTTGCCCCGTAAACCTTTCAATGGCTTTTAGCCAAAAGCAGTGAAAATCTGTCTAAATTTTGCCCTGCTGAGTTGGACTCTGATGCATTTGTTTCTACACTGCCCATATGTAGACTGTACTTAGAAATATCTTGCACTATTTTAGATTTCGCAGCCCAACGCTGGATGGATGATTAACCAAGTAGGAGGGTATTAGGATACAAGAGGTTGCCATTTTAATGCAGTTTTTGAAAAACAACAGCTTTGGCCACACCTGGTGGCTCACGCCTGTAATCCCAGTACTTTGGGAGGCCAGGGCAGGCAAATCACTTGAGGTCAGGAGTTTGAGACCCACCTGGCCAACATGGTGAAACCCCATCTCTACTAAAAATACAAAAATTAGCTGGGTGTGGTGGCAAGTGCCTGTAATTCCAGCGGCTTGGGAGGCTGAGGCACGAGGATCACTTGAACCTGGGAGGCGGAGGTTGCAGTGAGCCGAGATTGTGCCATTGCGCTCCAACCTGGGCAACAGAGTGAGACTGTATCTCAAAAACAAACAAATAAATAAATAAAATAACAACTGTATTGAGACATAATTCACATACCCATAAAACTCACCCTTTAAGAGTGTAAAATTTCACGGGTTTTGGTATATTTACAGACTTGTAGTGATGTAACCATCACCAATATCTAATTTTAGAAGAGTTTTGATGCAGGGCAGCTGAGACCCCAGATTGGGTCTCAGCCCAGCAGGGTTTTTAGCTTTGTCCAGGAAAGAATTCAAGAGAGAGCCCGTGGTGTGAGACAGCAACTTTTATGGAGGTGGCGGTGTCCAGCAGCAGCAGAGGGGGCCTGCTCCTGCAGTGCAGGGCTGCCCCACAGGCAGTGTGCTGAGAGCAGCAGCTCTGGGCGATTCTGCAGTCATGTTGATACCCACTTTTAGTTACATGCAGATTAAGGGGCAGTTTATGCAGACATTTCTAGGAAAAGGGTAGTAACTTTTGGGTCCTCGGGTCATTGCCATGGAAGGGGGGTGATAACTCCAGGGGCGTGCCCTGGTAAACTGACATGGCACACTGATATGATGGGCATATCTTATGCTCATCTTCCACCCAGTCCCTGTTTTAGCTAGTCCTCAATTTGGTCCTCAATCTGGTGTCCAAGCCCCACCTCTGGCGTTAAGTCCTGACTCCTACCTGTTTCACCATCACTGCAGTTTTAAGAGTAACGAATTTGGGTCCCCTGGTGAAGTGGCCAGAGGCAGAGCTTCTGTGTGAACTATTTGGAGGGGAGGGGAAAGAACTCTCCCAGACTGCAGGTTCTGAAAGGAATACAGAGATGTCAGAGACTGCAGTTGCAAGAGAAAGCTTTTATAGGAGGGTGTAGAATTAAAGGACAAGAGGACTCTACATGTGGATGGAGGAGGGCACCCTGTCCGGCAGTACTGCAAGAGCAAAAGTTTGGAGGTGGGAGTGAGGTGAGTGCGTCTGCCGGCCAGAATTCTTGGGCCAGGGTGAGCAGAAAGGTTGGAGGCCAAGGGAAGGTGGGTGGTGGTGAACCTTATCCTGAAGTGTGCAAGGTGACAGTCAGAAGCTTAGAACTCCAGCCACGGGCCCTGCATGTGGCCTCCTAGCTGTAGTCTGTCCACCGAGATCGTGAGGATGCTGGTGGTTGAAAGAACTGCACCTCTGAGCAGGTGAAGAGAGAAGCTAAGGAGGGGTGATGGCAGAGGCGATGGGACAGGCTTTCTAACGATGAGGGGCTGGGGATCAACGCTCTCACGGAAGCTAAAAGAGCCCCAGCAACCACCCGCCTGGGCCCTGAGCTCTCTCCAAAGCGGGAGGGGATTCACTAAGAGGTTGCTCCCCTGGCATTGAACTCAGCATCCTATACTGGTCCTCACCATGAAGACCCCCAAGAGTGCTTCAGACCATTGCTTCTCACATTCTCTGTATAAAGACACTAATTTGTTTTTAGATTTCCAAGCATGTCACGGACCAATATGTTTGTTAAATATACTAAGAATGAATTGCTAGAAAGATGAAATTAAAAAGACATACACCGCCAGGTGCAGTGGCTCACGCCCATAATCTCACCACTTTGGGAGGCGGAGGTAGGTGCATCGCTTGAGCCCAGGAGTTCAAGATCAGCCTAGGCAACAAAGTGAGACCCCCGTATCTACAAAACTTAAAAAATTAGCCAGGTGTGGTGGCGCAGTCTGTAGTCCCAGCTATTCTGGAGGCCGAAGTGGGAGGATCGCTTGAGGCTGCAGTGAGCCGAGATCGCACCACTGCACTCCAGCCTGGGTGATAGAGTGAGACTCTGTCTCCAAAAAAAAAAAGGACATACATCATGCAAGTTTGGATTTTTGTTTTTAGATTCAACTGACGAAGTTACGGGATCAAACTGCTGTAGGAGCTGCCAAACGCTTCTCTCCATTTCTGGCCGCGGGGCCGCGGACCGCCCTTTAAGTAGCCCGTTTTATCCCTGGCAGAGGTGGAGCCTTAGGCAGGCCTAGAGACTTTCCCGGGTCCTCCAGGCCGGGGAACGCCCCGCTCGGAGGCCGGGCTTGGGCGGAGACTGCGCCGGGGCTGCTGAAAACTAGCCGAGGAGAGCCAGGGAGCCGGAGAGATCGCGCGCCTGCCGCCGCCGGAGCCTGCGAGCCGAGACCGTAAGCGCCCGGGGCCGGCCGGGCCCGCACTCCCCGGACGCAGACGCGGTTCGGGCTCCGCGCGGGCTCGGCCGCCGGGGTGGGCGGCGGGCCGGGGCGCCGAGGGGTCGGGGCTGCGGTCGGCCCGCAGGGGTGCAGAGGGACTTGTAGTTGGTCCGCCCCCAGCTCCTGCCCCGGCCAGGAGACTGCGCGTGCCGCCTACTGGGGGAAGGAGCCTGCAGGCGACCGCGGACTTCTCGCAGGGAATTCCGCGTCCCAGACTGTGGGCGGACGCCGCAGGGAGGGAGGCTCGCGACCCCGAGAGCGCACCGCGTCCCCTGGCCTGGGCGAGCTCTGCTTCCAGGGCCGTGGCTCGCTCGGCGGTGAAATGCACTTAATTTGTCACCCAAGTCGGAACACTGATTTTCATGCGCGTCCGTGTGAAGAGACCACCAAACAGGCTTTGTGTGAGCAACATGGCTGTTTATTTCACCTGGGTGCAGGCGGGCTGAGTCCGAAAAGAGTCAGCCAAGGGAGATAGGGGTGGGGCCGTTTTATAGGATTTGGGTAGGTAAAGGAAAATTACAGTCAAAGGGGGGTTCTCTGGCGGGCAGAGTGGGGGGGGTCACAAGGTGCTCAGTAGGGGAGCTTTTGAGCCAGGATGAGCCAGGAGAAGGAATTTCACAAGACAATGTCATCAGTTAAGGCAGGAACAGGTCATTTTCACTTTTGTGGTGGAATGACATCAGTTAAGGCAGGAACCGGCCATCTGGATGTGTAGGTGCAGGCCACAGGGGATATGATGGCTTAGCTTCGGCTCAGAGGCCTGACACTGATCACACCTTTTAGTTGAAATGCGCTTTCATCTCCATCTGCTGCCGCAGCCGCCGCCCGGCACCCCCTCGCTCTGGTCTCGGGATTGAAGGCCAGCCCTCTCCTCTTGTAGAACAGGAAACTTGCCCGGGAGTTCACCTTGTAGTTGAAGCCAGGGAATGTGGTCAACCTGAGCAAAAGCGCCGCGGAGACCGAGTGGCCGCCTGCCTCCCTCCCTGGCAGATGTCGGTTTTCTCTGAGCTTCTGGCTCCTTCCTTGCCCTGGCGGCTCCCGAGATCTTGGAGGTGGGGTGCCTAGCAATGTTGTAATCCTAATTTTGACTTTTTTTTCTTAAAGTTGAATGCCCCCTCCATAGCCCACCTCCCATTGTTTAAACTTCAGGTTCCGCAAAGCCTGGATCCGCCCCTACAGGCAACACTCGTTGTCCTGGAAGTTCTGTGAGGGCTCAGCTTGTGGCTGGAGGTGGGAGGTGAGGGGGACCCATGCACTTGGCAGGCCCGCTTCCAGGACAGCCCTTTGCTGGGATTGATGAGCTGTTGGTGGAAAATTGTTGAGGACCTTGGGGTTGGTGGCTGTTTCGGTACCACTGTGCAGCCTCCTCTGCATCCAGCATAATTTAAAATAAACATTTTCAGGAAGCCACACTTCTCCAGAAAGTAACATTGTTTTCTGGTGTAACGGTTGCCTCCTTCAGGGAGCTAGGTTTGGGGGATAATAGGGGGCCTTTCACTGGCCCCACTTGGTCTGACTTAGCAGCAAAAACTCTGCGAGTGCTCTCCAAGCAGTTTTTCTTTCCCAAATTTCCACACCTAGGAGGCGCTGAGGAGGCATGGGCGGTACTTAGGAACTGCTCACTGTGGAACTGAGGCACAGCGGGGAGCATGCCCTCGTGGGATTTGCAGTTCTAGGGGCAGAGGGATAATAAACAAAATACATTTGTAAACTATAAAGTATGTTAGAAGATGATGTGTAATATGGAGATAAATAAAACTTTAAAGAGGGGAGAGGAGTGCCAGGTGGAAAGGGAAGGCCTCACTGAAGGGTGGCACTGGCATAGACCTGAAGAGTTAGGGAGCAGCCAAGCTGCTGCCTGGGGTGCAGGTGCAAAGGCTGGGGGCAGGAGTGTGCCCAGCTTGAATGGCCTGATGTTTGTGTTTGCAGAGTGTGGGTCAAGCTGATGAGTGACCTACTGGATAAACTGAACTAGCTCAGTCTGTAAGTGAGGGGACTCCTGAGCTTTCTGCGGCCTTCTTCCCAATTCCAGGAAAGGAAGGACCTTCCACAGAAAATAACTACTCAGCAAGACAGCCAGGGTGAACCTCAGCACCATCTGTGACAAGCCACATGCTCTCTGCGTGATGCCTCCTGCCTCTCAGCTGTGCCTGAAGCACACTAGCTGGCATGGACTTACGCGGCTGGGAACATCTTCAGGAAGCCCTGAATGAGGGCTCTGTGGGCAGAGGGACCTTTGCAGAAAGGGCATCTTGACCACTGCAGGAGGTGGAGTGACTCTCCTGGGGTGTCCTGGTTCCTGCCTGATGTCTTAAGCATAACTGGCATTTTCAGGGAGCCCAGGTTCACCAATGCACAGTGCCCCTCCTGTCGACCTGATACCCAGGCTTGGTGATTGCTCACCTGGCACCTTGATTCCCGTTCTGGTATCTTGGCCCAGGCCCAGACATGTGAAAGCAGGGGCTACCGAGATTCATTTCTCAGTTCTTACGCCAAGAGGTTCAACCACATGGATCACAGCTGGGTGTACCAAATAAGGGAGGACCAAGCATGAGCTGGTCACCCCTGCTGAAGAAGTAGCTCGAAGCCCACCCACTCGGGGACAGAGTGGGCACAGATGGGATAGACAGATAGTGATTCGAGGGGTGCCTAGGATCTCATACTGAAAACCCACCTCTGCTAGGGCCATAAATCCCATCAACAGCAATTCATTCCTTTGAGAGGTAATACAGTGATGTGGGAAGAGGATTGGGCTGGAAAAAAGACTTGGCTCATGTCCCAGCTCTGCCATTAATGTGTCCCCTCTCTGGACCTCATCTGTAAAATGAGGTTAGGCTCAGCGATCTGCAGGCCTTCTTGCAGCTCTGCTATGTGATGATTCTGTGGCAAAGTCTGAAGGGATTTCAGGAAAGGAATGTGTAGGAGGGAAACAGTAAGTTTTGAAGGGACTCAGTGGGCCCTGTAGCCTCTGCTGGGTCCAGTGAAGACACTTCAACTAGAGTGAAGGCCCTGGCCACAGGGTAGGGGAGGCAAAATCTTAAGAGTTCAAGAGCCCTGAGTCAAGGCAGGAGGGTCACTGCCCAGCCCAGCTGGCCCCCTGGGCTGCCTGTGTGTGGTTCTTGACCCAGACCTAGTGGCTTAGGAGCAGAGTCTCCAAGGGGCTGTGGGATAAGGTGGGGATTGCAGGAGGGAGAAGGCACCCCAGCAGTTCCCCCGTTAGGGGACCAAAGCGTTGCCAAGGATCCAGCCACACCCCTCTCCTGAGGAGGGAGGAGCTGGTGGGCGCTCCAGGAAGAGCTTCCTCTCAACAAGGAGAAAACTGCGCAATCCAATCCTCCGTTATATAACTGAGCACACGATTGTGCAAACCAAGCTCACACTGAGCAGCCTCCCCTATTGTCAAGGTTTATTTACTTTCCCAGGGGAAGTCATAGTTCATCCTTTCTCAGCAGAAAGCAGCCATTTGACTGCCACAGCCTGACCTACGGCATTCCAGGAGATGGGTTCAGAGACCTGGTGTGGAGTCCTCATGCCCACCCGCCCTGCTGTCTGTGTCTTTCCGTCTGTTGCCTGGTGGGTGGGTGTGGTTTAGTGCATGGTCCAGCCCCCGCACAGCCACACCCATTAGGCTCTCCAAGGCCTAACTGAGCAAGCTTGCAGAAGAGGGGAAAGTGTTCTTTTCTCTGAGGAGTTAAAGAGACTTCTGGAAAATTCTCCAGCTACTCCACAAACTAGGATCACAGGCCTTGTTCTTAGGTCGGGAGCAGGAGTTTTTGCTGCCTTTAGCATTTGGGAAGTTTGATGAATAGAGACTGAATTTGAATGTCTTTTTGGTACTTAAGAGCTGGATTAACTACTTCACATATCTGAGCTTCATTTTTAATTCTTTTTAAAACAGAAAAAGTGGCTGGGCAAGATGGCGCACACCTGTAATCCCAGCATTTTGGGAAGCTGAGGTGGGTGGATCACTTGAGCCCAGGAGTTCTGAGACCAGCCTGGGCAACAAAGTGAGACCTCGTCTCTATAAAGAATAAATTAGCTGGGAGTGGTGGAGCACACCTGTAATCCCAGCACTTTAGGAAGCTGAGGCAGGAGGATCTCTTGAGCCCAAGAGTTCAAGACCACCCTGGGCAACATAGCGAGACCCTGTCTCAAATAATTTTTAAAAAGAAAAACTACCTCTTCTTAAGATGGTTGTAGTATGGGAGATGGTGTGTTTAAGTCTTCCCACCCCAGTGTCACAGCTCAGGGCTTCTCTAGCCTTCCTCACAGCGGTTGGGGGTGCCCAGACACATCCTGAAGTCTAGGCCGTGTTCTGAGTGTCTCTGCCACGGGCCCGCCTGGCTGGCTTTAGTCCAGGAGCAGCCTGGACTGTGACTCTTGAAGGCTGTGGGAGGCTGGTGACCGGGAGCAGGAGGTCTCAGTGCATCCCTGAAGGGTCAGAGAGCCATGCCGTGAGAGGCCAGGAGCAGGCAGCCATTGGCCCTCCAGCCCTCACCAAAGGCCACCACCTCAGCTTGTCCTCTGGCAACTCAGCCTGGGAATTTGCTTTCCCTGTGGAACGAGAGACACTGGCCGCATTGAGGGGTGACTTTCCGGTCCTACAAAATTGTAGCCCTCTTTCTGCTAGAACTGGTGAGACTTGGCTAATTTCGGAGAGACTTTAGGAAAGTAAGAGAAATACATTGGTCCCAGTGCCAAGCCCCAAGGCCATCTTTCCAGGTATGGGTATATCCTGCAGTGATAAGAGAAGACTGACTCTTACCAGCTCTTTGGGGGAAATGAATATACTTTCCCACGTTCCAGTTTTTCTGGCTGTGGCAGGACCTGTTTGCTGCCAAGTTGTTCCTGTGGGGAAACAGCAGTGGGCCCAGCAAATGTAGCCACCAGGTCGGGGCACAGCCACCAGGTGGAAGAAGCAACCCTGCCCTCTTCCGGTTCCATGTGTGCCTCACTGAGGCAGGACTTCCAGACCCTACCAGGAAGGCTGCTATCCGGGTCATAGTGATACCCTGTCAGGACATCGTTGTTTTTGTCTTGTTTTTTTTTGAGACAGGGTCTGGCTCTGTTGTCCAGGCTGGAGTGCAGTGGCGCCATCTCAGCTGTCTGCAAACTCCGCCCCACCAGGCTCAAGCCATCCTCAGCCTCCCAAGTAGCTGGGATTACAGGCGTGCACCACCATGCCCAGCTAATTTTCTTTTTTTTTTTTTTTTTTTTTTGTAGAGACAAGGTTTCACTGTGTTGCCCAGGCTGGTCTTGAACTCCTGGGCTCAAGCGATCCACCTGCCTCAGCCTCCCAAAGTACTGGGATTACAGGCGTGAGCCACGGCACCCGGTCGAGATGGAACATCTTAATTTCAGAGTTGCCTTCAGGACTGTTGATTGAACCCCATAAATATTTTTAGTCTTTTGGGACTTTTAAACTCCTTTTTGAAACCTAAGCATTGCCACAAACAAACTAACCTTCACCACGACCAAACAACCCAGAACTCGGACCCTGGTCCTCGGGCTGCCCTACAGGAAGCACCCCTAGTCCTCTTGCTGCTCTGCTAGATGAGACGGCAGGCTCAGGTTCCTCCATGAGGCCCGGCTTTCAGTGCTCTCCTGTTACACACTGCAAGGAAGCTTCCAGATCGTGGAGCACATTGTTGAGGAAAAGACACCTTGGGGAGAAGGGGGAGGTGCAGAGTGTGGTTAATGGTGGGAAGGAACTCCGGTAAGTGTGTTATATGATCTGCTCCTATTATCCCCTGGAATAGGAGCCTCTCTCCACTCAAGTAGAGAATGCCAAGGACTGGCCCGGCATGGTGGCTCATGCCTGTAATCCCGGCACTTTGGGAGGCCAAAGCAGGCGGATCGCTTAACAGGAGTTTGAGACCAGCCTGGCCAACATGGCGAAACCCCTTTCCTACTAAAAATACAAAAATCAGCCGGGCATGGTGGTGGCAGGTGCCTGTAATCCCAGCTACTCAGGAGGCTGAGGCATGAGAATTGCTTGAATCTGGGAGGTCGAGGCTGCAGTGAGCTGAGATTGCACCATTGCACTCCAGCCTGGGCAATAAAGCAAGGCTCTGTCTTTAAAATTAAAAGAAAAAACAAGTTATTCTAACTTTTTTTAATTTTAAAAGATTAAAAAAAGAGAATGTCAAGGACTGAAATTGCATAGAGGGCAATGCTTTTTCTTTATAGGTGGTGAACTGGGTTCTGCTTGAGTTTTTTCTCTGGTAATTTAGAACCAATGGAAGCAACTCAACAGCTCTAATTTTAATTGGCAGAATGTGAGATGGAATGGGACCTCAAATGAAACTCCAGGCCAAGAGCTCATGAGCCCTGCAGCATGTGGGGCATCTCTCGGTCTTCTTGAGTTCTGTAACTTAAAGTTTGTGTGGCCTTTAAAGAGTGTGGAAGTAGCCGTCCCCTCTCCGAAGGTGCACAGGATTTGGCCAGCCCACCCGCGTGGCCTTCCCCTTCCCCTCTCCAGACCCTCCACAGCAGATGGGGCCACGGAGGCCTGGAGAAGTGGAGTCACTGACCTGAGGCTACATGGCTGGCAGGCAGCAGGGCCAGGCAGCAAAGCAGGCAGTGAGGGCCTAACTGCCCGCGGGCTGGCTCGGGGCTCCCTCAACCACATTGGCATCCCAGTGCCAATCCCAAATTGTTTTCTTTCTATCTCTCCAGACATGTAGATAGCATGGAGGTGGAGGGAATTCCCTCCCACACAGAGGGCGATATGCCCCAGAACAGCACTCCTGCCCCCAAGAAGGCTGTCTCCTGACACTTTTTACTGCTCTTTTACTCTCCCCCAGCTTTTTTTTTCCTGCTTGTAAACTGCATTTTTCCTTTCCCTTGGTTTCTGGCTCTAAGCTGTTTTCCCAGGGCTTGGCTCCGGCGCTTGCACAGAGATAAACACGGCCATTGGCCTGGTGCACAATCCCAGCTTGCCTGCATCCGGCCTCTTCCATCCTGAGTCTCCAGGGGTCCCTGGGGTTCAGGGACAATGGCTGAGGGAGAAGCTGGGAGTTCCCCCCAGGGTTTGCCTCCGTCACTCTTGGGCCAGCCAAGGGAGTGGGGCTGGGAGCTTCAGGATGGCTTTTGGGAAGCCCCTGGGAGCCCCAAGGCTTGGGTAGCTGCTGACAGGGAGTTCACAGCAGGAACGCTCCCAGGCTCCCATCCTGCGTCCGCTTGGCAGGCAGGCCAGGAATGGGAGGGAAGCCATCCGTTTTTCCCTTTCCACTGGATGTTCCCTTCGCCTTCCCCAGGGAGGAGTGATGAGGCTGGGGTGCTGGGGAGGGCAGTATGGGGGCAGGCTTGGGACCAGGCCTGCAGAAGCAGCAGACCCTCCAAGCCCACCTACCTCTCTGGCCTGGCATCTGAGGGGCAGGTCATGCCATAGTTTTTCCCTTACCCTCTCTGCCCCCACACTTTCCTCCCCAAAGTGGCAGACTTCCCCCAGGAGAAGCACTGGCTTTTCACGCTGCTGTGAGTCTCAGTCACTATTAGAGAAACACAGTCAGAGCCAGGCCTGCCCAACTGTCGCAGGGCTGGGTCCACCTCATGGCCTTTGTTCTGGAAAAATACTTGGGCATTCTGCCCTGCAATGCACTTAGCCAAGGCCGGGCACATGGCAAGTGCTGAGTCATGGCCGGCTAGCACTTTACTGCGATTTTAGGAGCACTTTCTTGTGGTGAGGTTCTGACTGCTTGCTTGGGTTGGGGGAGGGGAGTCTTTGGGCAGGCGGTAGACCTGCCCTTTACTTTGTGTGGCCGGATCTGAGTCTGACCCCATCTTTTTAGACCCAAAACCCTGATATTTGTAGTGCGCCTAGGATACTGGTTCTCCAGTCTTCTTTGGGGTCAGGGGGCGTTATAGTGCCTCATGCCACCTACTCAGCCCTCTTCCTGCATCTTATGGTCTGTCTCTACCAACTAGGCTAAGTAGGTTATATTTATTATTCCTCAAGGGGAATTCAGCTCTTCTTGTTCAAAAGTTCTGATTAATTTTCTATGCTCTCATTCAAAGAATTTTTAAATTCATTCATTCATTCAACAAATAATTAAGCTTCTACTAGAATGCCAGGCACTGAGAGTCCAGATGGGAGCCAAAGCAGACATGGTCAGTGGCCTACAGGAGCTTCCGTCCAGCTGTCAGTCACATAATCACCCTGACAAATGTGAGCTCGACGAAGGCTAGGACTGAGAGATCTGCCTTGCTGGGATAGGTCAGGAGAGGCTACCCAGAGGAGGGACAGTCAGTCTGAAATCTGAAAGGTGGATAGAAGTTAGGGAGGTGGGAAGGGGAGGGAATAGCTTTTCGACAGAGGGATTCGCCTTCATAAAGCCCCACAGTAAGACAGCATGGTGAGCACAAAACTGAAAGATCGGGGGGCAGCGTGAGATCCCAGCCCTAAAACTCTCACTTAGCTTTCAAGTAAACTGTTTCTCCATAATATTGATACCAGTAGCACTCTGAGGGGCTAGGGGAGTGGTGAGATCACACAGGCCTTGAAGGCCACACTAACCCAAGGACAATGGGAAGCTCTTTAAGGGTTTCGCAGGGGATGGGATATACATGATCAGATTTGCATTTCCAAAAGATCACTCTGGCCTGGCTCATGCCTGTAATCCAGCTATTTGGGAGGCTAAAGCAGGAGGATCACTTGAGCCCAGGAGTTTGAGACCAGCCTGGGCAATATAGTGAGAACCTGTCTCCATTAAAAAAAAAAAAAAAAAAAAGGTTTGTATGGTGGCTCACGCCTGTAATCCCAGCACTTTGGGAGGCGGAGGCGGGCGGATCACGAGGTCAGGAGATTGAGACCATCCTGGCCAATATGGTGAAACCCCATCTCTGCTAAAAATACAAAAAATTAGCCGGGCGTAGTGGCGGGCGCCTGTAGTCCCAGCTACTTGGGAGGCTGAGGCAGGAGAATGGCGTGAACCCGGGAGGCGGAGCTTGCAGTGAGCCGAGATTGCGCCACTGCACTCCAGCCTGGGCGACAGAGCGAGACTCCGTCTCAAAAAAAAAAAAAAAAAAAAATACAAAAATTATCTGGGCATGGTGGCATGCGCCTGTAGTCCCCGCTACTCAGGAGACTGAGGCAGGAGACTTGCTTGAACCAGGGCGGAGGTTGCAGTGAGCCGAGATCGTGCCACTGCACTCCAGCCTGGGGACAGAGAGAGACTCCATCTAAAAAAAAAAAAAATGTTTTAAAAAGATTGCTGTGGCTTCAGAGTGGCCATTGTGTTGGAAGGGGTAGAGCAGATGTGAGTGGACCGGGCAGGGTAGTAGTCCAGGGGAGAGCCACAGGAACCTGGGCTGGGTTGGAGATGGATTTGAGATGTACTTTGGAAGTTCAGCTGCCAGAACTTACTGATATCTGTGGCGGAGTGAAGGAGAGGGGTTTCAAGGACGTTGCCTGGGTTTTTGGCTTGGCAGTAGCAGGGCGGGTAATGTCAGTTACTGAGGGAGGGAACACCAAGAGAAGACAAAGTTTAGGGGGACAGGATCACAGTGCGATTTCAGATGCACTGGAGAAAATTTTGACACAAGGTACTGTCTGGGCCCCAGGTGGCTCTGCTCTAATACATTTATAACTCTTTGTCCGCACTTAATCACTCTGTCATACTTAGCTGCCAGGGGGCCAAGAAATGTCAAGTGTTTGGCTGGTCTTCTCCAACTAAAATTAAAAATCCTTTGCTAAGGAAGAAGGAGAGAACATTGCTAGCAGTCTGCCTCAACATCCCAATCTGATGGCGTATTTGCCGCAGCCACCAGCTCATCAAGGACAGCTGCGGTGAACCTTTGAGTTCTGAGTAATCTCCTGTCTGGGCCACCTTTCTTCACTCAACCACAAAATCCTCACATTCCCAAGTATATTTTCTTTCTTTCTTTTTTTTGTTTTTTTGAGACAGAGTCTTGCTGTGTTCCCCAGGCTGGAGTGCAGTGGTGTGATCTTGGCTCACTGCAACCTCCGCCTCCTGGGTTCAAGCAATTCTCCCTGCCTCAGCCTCCTGAGTAGCTGGGATTACAGGCATGCCCGGCTAATTTTTGTATTTTTAGTAGAGACGGAGTTTCACCATGTTGGCCAGGCTGGTCTTGAACTCCTGACCTCAGGTGATCTGCCCACCTTGGCCTCCAAAGTGCTGGGATTACAAGCATGAGCCACCACGCCTGTCCCCAAGTATATTTTCTTAGCTCACTCTTTTCAGCATGTAATTTACAGAAGGGTAATCTGAATTGTAAACACGATTTCTAAGTTAAAACTCCTGGGTCAGCTCGTGATGAAGTAGCAATTTATAAAAGAGATAGTATAGTAATAAATGAGACAACTACACTCGGAAATGTGGAATCATCAACTCTTATGCGAAAATAGCCTATGAGACTCTTGTGTTTTTTCATTCATGCCATGCGCTTCCTCACTTCCATCCCATTCCATTCCACATGCTCTTCTTTCTGCCTGGATTATTCCCATTCCACCATTATTTTTCTCCTGGTAAACTCCTATTCATACTTAAAAACCCTGCTCAATGACCCCTTCTCTGTGAAAACTTTGTGGCAAAACCTAACCACTTCTGCTTGTGCACACTTCTCTTCCATCTGTGTGCATATAGTATGTGTCTATAACTGGAAGGGTGTTTATCTGTTATCCGTTTGTCTGCCCTGCTAAAGTGTGAGCTCCTACAGTTACAGGGTTGTGTGTTAGTCCTGGTGCCTGCACAGTACCCAGCCAGTAGTTACACTCAGTGTTGCTGAACCAACCTCTGGTCCAAAAACATGTTTATACTTGCTTTTCCAAGGCGCCAATCCAAATCTCTTATTTACTTTAAAAAACAAATAACTTCTTGGCACTTTAAAAACCACATTCAAATAACAGAAAAAGAGTTCATTTGAACTTTAAGTATCAATCTTAAAATGAATTGTATGTTTTAAAACTTGACTTAGTGACATCACTTAAGAGAATTTTTAAAAAGCAAACTTTTATTTTTACCCCAGTGTAACAAATATTAAGTTCCATTAAATTATTAAACTGATCTACCTTTTCTTTTTTTTTTGAGATGGAGTCTTGCTCTGTTGCCCAGGCTGGAGTCTAGTGGGGCAATCTCGGCTCACTGCAACCTCCGCCTACCCAGGTTCAAGCGATTCTTCTGCCTCAGCCTCCCGAGTAGCTGGGACTACAAGTGCACACTACCACACCCAGCTAATTTTTGTGTTTTTAGTAGAGACGGGGTTTCACCATGTTGGCCAGGCTGGTCACGAACTCCTGACCTAAAGTGATCTGCTCGCCTTGGCCTCCCAAAGTGCTGGGATTACAGGTGTGAGCCACCATACCCAGCCTGTTTTTCATTTTTTGGTTCTTTTTTTTTTTTTTTTTTTTTTTTGAGACAGGTTCTTCCTCTCAGGCTGGAGTGCAGTGATCATAGCTCACTGCAGCCTCAACCACCTGGGCTCAAGCAATCTTCCCACTTCAGCCTCCCGAGTAGCTGGGACCTCAGGCATGCACCACCATGCCTGGCTAATTTTTTTTTATTATTTGTGGAGATGGGGTTTTGCCATGTTGCCCAGGCTGGTCTCAAACTCCTGGGCTCAAGTAATCTACCTGCGTTGGCCTCCCAAAGTGCTGGGATTACAGGTGATTTACCTTTTAACTGTGCCAAAGAACAAAGCACCTACTTTATTTGCTCTCCTGTATTTAAAATGGTCCTTTATACCTCAGATCCAGAAAGATAAACACAAGTAAACTAACAAGTACTCTACTTGTATCATTTGTTGTTTTCTAACAGTTTACATTTAGTCCATCTTTGAAGGGTAAAGACCATTGATTGCTCATCTAACTTCTTCACCTTGAACTTAGTGAGATTTTCTTCCACCTTTCACAAATGCATGCCCAAAATTTGACTTCAGTGTAGAATTGGAATTAAAATGTATGCAATCCCATTTCTTACAGTAGGAGCCAAATGTTCATCAAGTTCCCCTCTGAGCTCAGTATCTTGTAGCTAAATGACCACTATCTTCCAGTCACGTTTTTAAAAAAAATCATGCTGGTTTGCAACAAAAATTGTATTTTCTTTACTAGGCAAGTGAACCATTTTGTTGGGAAGAGTACCTTGGCTTCGAGAAAAAAATGATTTCATTCTGAAAGGCTTCCCCTCCAACCCCCTCCTGCACAAACTCTCAGCCCAGTAACTTGTCAGTATTCTGGAAAAGTGCATTACAAAACAAAAACTCGAATCAGATAAAATATATCTCTGGAACTTTTGAGGCAGATCAATGAAGCTCTGATTTCAGGTGCTAGCAAAATAAAGCAGGCACTCTCATTTTGTATTGTTTTACTTCTCAGTTTTTCATGGTGTCTCCTAAACTTTGATGTTTTGAAGAAGTTCTAATGTTTGCTACATCAGCAGGAGCTGACCACAGGGAAGAGATAAATATAGCTCTCCTTGGAAAGGTGAAGGCTTAGCCACCAGAATTCTGCCCCTTGATGCTGAGAATGCACCTTCTCCGAACAGATGGAAAAGAGGGGTGGAGATTACCCCAGGGACATATCTTGCAAAATGCTGATACCCGAAGATGTACATAGCCTTGTGCTTTGGTCATCCTCCCAAATCATGTCCTTGGTGAAGGCACATGGAGAGGAGAGCAGATGCTGCCAGACCACGGTGCCTGACGCCATGCACTCCCTCACGTCCAGCCTGTTTATGTGCACACGGCTGCAGCGGGACCTTGGGGTGTGGGCTAAATAACAAGAACAGGGGCTCCTCTGGGGTCTGTTACAAGGCAGAGATGCTCCACGGTAATTAGGGATTTAGGGGAAGAGGAAGGAACACACATGTTGATAATAAGTAGTTCAACATTATTATCCCCATTTTACAGATGCAGCTACTGAGCTTAGAGAGGTTTCATAACTTGCCCAGAGCCCCTCAACTAGTAAACAGTGGAGCCGAGATTTGAACGACCCAAAGAGGAAAGCAAACAAGCAGCCCCTTTATTACTTTTTTTTTTTTTTAAGATGAGGGTCTTGCTATGTTGCCCAGGCTGATATTGAATTCCTGGCCACAAGTGATTCACCACCTTGGCCCCACGAAGTACTGGGATTACAGTCATGAGCTACCACACTGGGCCAAAGCCCTCGTATTGTAACCTCCAAGATGTTTTCATTTCTAAAGTCAAAGGTTGTCAGAGTTGCTGTTTTGCAGGGAGCCATGGGATGGGGAGTCTCCGGGAAACCCAGGCTGGCTCCTTAAATGGCATCACCCAAGTTGGCCATCAAGCTTCCCCAGACTCAGTCACTCGGCCCCCTCTTTCCCTGGCTGTAGAGCAGGGGTTTGGACTCGAGGCTGCTGAGTTCCTCTCCAGCTTCCATGCCCAGTGGCAGTGACTTATCAACTGGCCCACCCGGTGGATGTAGGGGTGATGCAGCCCTGCTCTGTCCTCTTGAGTGCTGGGTGGCCATGAGAGAGGGAGGCCATGAGAGGGAGGGGAGGGTTCTCATCTGCTTAGTGCCACCCCCTCCCCAGCCCACCCCAGGTCCTCTGCCGCCTTGGGTTCCTGCGTGAGCAGTCCTTCTCACTCTGGGCGATGTTCGCTTTCACCAGCCCAACCCCAAGAAGTCCACCCTGGGGAGGACAGAGGGAGTCTCCACGGCTCCACACCCCCATGCTTTGTCGGAGATCTGGCCAGGCAGAGTGGTGCCCTCTTGACTGAGCCTCGAGCCTTTGCTTTCCCCTTACTCCACATAAAGCCGCAGCCCTGGCGAGGGAGCCCAGAGGCCTGAGGACAGCCTGCTGGGTGCCTGGCACTCTCTAGATCCTCCCTGCCTGGGCGGTGGGCATCTGCAATTCTCCCTGTCTCGAACTGCAGCAGAATGTGTGGGCAGGGTTAGGCAGATAGAGAGTGGGTGCCTGGACTCATTGGTCAGACTCTAAGACCGCCCACCCCCGCCGCCCCCGCAGTCCTTCCCAGGACTGGCTGACCCACCAGATAGGGGAGGGTGTTGTTTCTTATTATTACATTTTTTGAGAAAAGCTATGCAGGCCTGGGAGACGTCTGTGCCCTAGGAGTCCCTTCTGGCCTGAAGACTCAAGGCTGCAAACAGGTGCTGAGAGGGAACAAGAAGGGGAGTTGGGGTGCAACACACCCAGTGACAGACCAGGAGTGAGTGCTGTGGCCACAGATTCTAATCCTCACAACTGCAGTGTGATTTAGGCTAAGCCCCTTGCCTACTCCGATTCTTGCCTTAAATAAGTGAAAAGGAAAGTCAAGTTTGATGAGTTGTGGCTCTTTAGTGGGTGGATTTGCATGTACCATGGATTACATTTACCAGGGTCTAGGAATTGTCAAGCGCCCAGCAGGCTGCCATCAGGCCTCCGAGCTCCTTCGCCAGGCGGCTTTATTTGGAGTAAGAGGAAAGCAAAGGTTTGAGGCTCAGTCAAGAGGGCGCCACTCTGCCTGGCCAGCTCTCCGACAAAGCAGACGGGGGGGTGTGGAGCCGTGGTGACCCCCTCCGTCCTCCCCAGGGTGGGCTCCTTGGGCTTGGGCTGGTGGAAGTGAATATTGCCTGCAGCAAGAAGAAGGACTGTTCATGTGGGAGCGCAAGGCGGCAGCGGGGTTGGAAACCCACCCCCACACAGTCAACACCTGCTGTCACACCAGGCTAATCAAGAACACTTTTCTTTGGTGCATTAACCACCTGCTATTAAATAAAGGGCTGTTACTAGGTGGCAAAGTAACACACTGCAGTAGAGCCTATTTGTAATCTGAGATCAGTGGCTGTAAGGCACCATCCTTGAGCCAAGCAAGTACTAATATTCTTGTTATCTTAATTAGAATGCAAGAGATCGTGTTTTTAAAATTCTCTTTGAATCTGTCACTTTGCCCTCCTCTTCCTGGGTGATACACCTGGTAGTGCTGGTGGGGGCCATCATAATGCCCCTTGTCCCAGATTCCCTTCTTTTAGATGGGACTCGAGCACTGATCATTTCAGCCCTGTATCTCTCAGGTCAGCGTGGTTCAGTTTGCTGTGCAGAGTCCAGGGGAGATAACCACGCTGTGCACACATGAGATTGGCTGACTTGGCAGGACTGTGCAATTGTCAGAAGGCCGTGGGGAGTGGGGGCCAGTGCCTGCAGCCTGCCCTGCCTCTCTCACAGGCCCTTAGAGCATCGCCAGGTGCAGAGCTCCACAGCTCTCTTTCCCAAGGAGTAATCAGAGGGTGAGAACGTGGAGCCTGGTGGACAGGTGAAAGCACTGGGATCTTTCTGCCCAGAAAGGGGAAAGTTGCACATTTATATCCTAGAGGGAAGCGACAGCAGTGCTTCTCCCTGTGCTGAGGTACAGGTAAGGAGGGTGGTTTGTAAAGTTCACTGGGGAGGGTGATCCCTCTTTATTGTTCTAATATTATGCTCGCAGCCTCCTTGACAACATCATGCAAAATGTGTCTTACTAGCTTCTAGTGCATAAAATATTGGTGGAGCTCTTCGCTGTGCTGGGCCAGTCACCAGTGCTGGGCACTGTGGGTCAAGGCAGTGCCCAGGACGGGCACAGCCCTGCCTTCCCAAGCTATGGTTTATTGTGGTAGGATCTGCCTGCCCAGTGAAGTGTGTTCAGCTGCTCCTGTTGCTGGGGGAAGCTCTGCTCTCTGCCTTCGGCTGCCTCCCACACGCTCCCATGTGTCTCCCAGTCCCTAACCCCTAGTCCTGCTTTCAATACCGCAGGGGCTTTTAGCTGACTTTTCTCCATCTTCTTAAAGGGCAGGATTTCCTGGCAGAGACATAACGTCTTTCTGGAAATGAAAGAAGCTGATGCATGTTTTTTCTTTTCTGAATTACTTAAATAAGAGGAACTCATTTCCAGGTATTCCCTGCCTTGTTTTTATTGTGGGAGTGTGGTCCCAGCTGCCCATCTGATCAGCTGACATAGGGTCCTTGGGGCCCAGGCACTGTTACTGCTTGGGATTGAAAGATGAAAGCCACAGGGCCAGGCACAGCAGCTCGTGCCTCTAATCTCATCACTTTGGAAAGCCGAGGTGGGCGGATCGCTGGAGGTCAGGAGTTTGAGACCAGCCTGGCCAACATGGTGAAACGCTGTCTTTACTAAAAATACAAAAATTAGCAGGAGGTGGTGGTATGCACCTGTAATCACAGCTACTCAGGAGTCTGAGGCACGAGAATCTCTTGAACCCAGGGACAGAAGTTGCAGTGAGCCGAGATCGCACCACTGCACTCTTTGAGACTCTGTCTCAAAAAAAAAAAAAAAAAAAAAAGGGAAAGCAATGGCCTGGCTTGGCTGGAGATGGAACATGCATCAACGTGTCCCACGTGTCTCCAGCAGGGATAGCGAAGGCCTGCCCCCTGGCACATGGTAGACTGAGTAAATGTTGATCAGTGAGACCTTGAGGCACTTTAGAGTTTCACAATCCAGAGAGGGAGATAGATTGGAAGTTCAAGGGTGGACACCTGGGCATGATTCCCAGGACGAAGGCTGCAGTCGGTTCTAAGAAGTATGCTGGTGACTATGAGAGAAGAGGTTGTGGGTTTCCTCTCTTGAAAGCTGTCTCCATAATCACATGTGGGGTGATAAGGGCTCTGGTCCAGGGGAGGGGGCGAGGCACACAGGGGGCTGAATCTGATGGCATGAGGACTTGGTGATGGGCTGTGGGGAAAGAATTGGAGATGACTCTAGGGCCTGAGGGTGGGAAGCTGGGAGTTCACTGGGATCACTGATAGAAACGCGGAGGTGGGGGGTGCCAAGCTGATTTTCCTGATTAGATTTCCTACAGAACTGCAGGAATAAGGCGAGAGCCATCGCCCTGGGTGGATTTCTGTTTGGAGCTCTATCGCTGGACCACTGTGGACAAGTATTTCATAGAACGACCCCCAGTAGCCCAATTCTAGGTTTAGAGGGGCAGCTCTTGACAGGAGCAAACTCCAGGGCCTCTGCAACCCCCCAGCAGAGTCCCAAACATCTGACATGTAGCCAATGGAGGACATGCAAGTGGTGGGGTTCCCAGCAGGGACCACCTCCTGCCTTGGGTTTCCAAGACAGAGCGAGGGGCGCTGCTGGGGCGTGGTTTGCAGGGGCCTTGTCAGAACTCGATGCTTTCTCCTCCGTCTGGGTCCTAACTGCAGTGCATCTAGAGACCCTCCTCTGACTCAGGCATAAGGACGGCCCGCATATTCATGCAGGTTACTCTGAACAAGAACAGTCTATGGGTTACTTCCCTAGGAATGAGGAAGATGAAGAGCTAGATAACAATGCTGGGCTGGTATCTGCCTGATAGTGCTTTGCCAAGACTATGGTTTCTTCCTCTTCTGATCAAAAAAGACACAGGAGTCAGACAAATGGGGATTAAAAGACAACTGAGTTGATGTGAAATGTAACAGGCAACACTATGGACACAGAAAGTAGATTAGAGGCTGCTTAGGACCTAACGTGGAGGGCAGTAGGGGAGCGACAGCTGAAGGGTATGGAGTTTCTCCGTGCCGATGAAAATGTTCTACAGTTGACTGTGGCTATGGCTGCACATGTCTGTGAATATCCTAGAAACCACTGGAGGGTTCACTTTAAATGGGCGAATTGTATGGTATATGAATTATGTTTCAATAAAGCTCTTACACAGCTAAGCTGTGTGGCCATGGCTGGGCTTCCTAGCAGTGTCCCCCAACCCCAAATTGAACTTACTCTCCCAGCACTTGGGCCTCCCCATTACCCCGTCTGCCCTGAGGATAAGCCTCTCTCCAAGAAGGACAGAGCAGGGGCTGTGGGCCACCATTCAGGAAAGGTGCTCCTCTCCCCTGGGGGAGGGAACCCAGAGGTCATGGACAGAAGCCTTCTCAGACATGCAAAAAACATGAGGCTGTCGGGCGCCGTGGCTCACACCTGTAATCCCAGCACTTTGGGAGGCCGAGGCGGGCGGATCACGAGGTCAAGAGATTGAGACCATCCTGGCTAACATGGTGAAACCCCATCTCTACTAAAAATACAAAAATTAGCTGGGTGTGGTGGCACGTGCCTGTAGTCCCAGCTACTCGGGAGGCTGAGGCAGGAGAATGGTGGGAACCTGGGAGGCAAAGGTTGCAATGAGCTGAGATTGTGCCACTGCACTCCAGCCTGGTGACACAGTGAAACTCCATCTCAAAAAAAAAAACAACATGAGGCCTCAGAAATGTAGCTCCCAAAACCCCCTACCCAGGGCTGTGCAGAAGCCAAACCAGGTTCCTATTTTCCCAGGATGATGAACAGTTTTCAAAGCTTAGTAGGATTGTGGGTGATTTTGTCTCATTGTCTGTTGTTTTTCCATTTTTCTAGATCATATATATATAATATTTATACTATATATAATATGTATATAGTGTGTGTATATATATATATAATATGTATATATTAGGTCAAGTGTAAATAAAATCAGGGACAGGGTTGGAGCGCAGCAGGAAAGAGCCTGCTGGGGATCAGAGTCTCTGGGCTGTCAGGGCCGGGCTGGGCGGGCTCCGTTGTTAATGGCTTCCCCTCATCTTGCAGGAGCCATGTGGCTAGAAATCCTCCTCACTTCAGTGCTGGGCTTTGCCATCTACTGGTTCATCTCCCGGGACAAAGAGGAAACTTTGCCACTTGAAGATGGGTGGTGGGGGCCAGGCACGAGGTCCGCAGCCAGGGAGGACGACAGCATCCGCCCTTTCAAGGTGGAAACGTCAGATGAGGAGATCCACGTAAGGCACCTTGGGCCGGGCCGGGCTGGGCAGTGGAGAGGGTGGTGTGTCGAAGACAGGGGTTGGGTCTTAGGCCAGATGCGGGAGGGGACGGGGGCTTGGGAATGGTCCATCCTACTTGGGAGTGTGTTTCAGTCTGCTTTTCCTCTGCTGGGCAGGTGCAGGTTGCTTTGGAGAGGGATGCCCAGCCCTCCCACTTTCTCTCTTCTCCTTTCCCTACCCAAGGCCCAGCAGTGCTCAGGCAGGAGATGGGGTAACCTGTATCAAAGGTCACAGAAAGCAGCTGTCATCACCTCCTCTATGCCCTGCCTGAAGCCTTGGGAGTGAGGTTGTGGGAGAAAGTGAGCAGGTTCCCGTCAGAGACCCAGGAAGCACTGAGAAGGCAGGGATGCTACTGGTTAGGCACCGGCTGTGTGTCAGCCATTCCTGGTCACATTCAATCCCTACGGTGATCCCGCGGGGTGAGGATTGTTGTTCCCAAACTGCAGATGCAGAAGCTGAAGCTCAGGGGCATAAAGCAACTCGTTCAAGGCGGCCTAGCTAACATGCGGAAGGATTTGAAGTCCAATCTAATCCTGAAGCTGCTGCCCCTCCTCTGCACAGGGATAGAGTCAGGAAGGAGGTGACTGGGCAGGTGGGGTGAACTGAGAATGCATTCTCGGGGAGGAGCAAGGCTTGAGTGGGGGACAGGACGGTAGGCAGGCCTGGCATGGCCCTGCCAATCCTTTCTTTCATTCCGTGGGTTTTGAGCACCTACTGTGTGCAGGCCCAGTGAGTGCTTGGGAGAAGAGACAGCCCCTTCCGTCCAACAGCATACAGTCCAGTGAATGAGAAAAGGAATGTGCACAAAGAAAAGTAGACTAAAAGATAAATAAAGATAGGCTAGGTGCGGTGGCTCACGCTTTTAATCCCAGCACTTTAGGAGGCTGAGGCGGTGGATCACCTGAGGTCAGGAGTTCAAGACCAGCCTGGCCAACATCGTGAAACCCCGTCTCTACTAAAAATACAAAAAATTAGCCGGGCATAGTGGCGGGCACCTATAATAATCCCAGCTACTCGGGAGGCTGAGGCAGGAGAATCCCTTGAACCCAGGAGGCAGAGGCTGCAGTGAGCCAAGATCACACCACTGCACTCTAGCCTGGGCAACAAGAGTGAAATGCCATCTCAAAAAAAGAAACAGATGCATAAGGATAAATGTCACAAAAAGCATGGATAAAAGTCATGAGAGTTCCAAGGAGGAAGAGATTTAAAAGCAGAAGCTGGGCTAAACCCAAGAGCAACCAGGCTGAGGCTCCCTGGGTAGGACTTGCTTGCTGCAGCCTTGCTATTTAGGGCCAAGGCTGAGCCCTAAGGAAAGCTCCTTTAGGGAATTAGACTCCTAAGGGAGTCTGAGATTTCCAAAATCTGTTTGGGGGTAACTGAAACACTTGGGAAGAAGCCTGGGAATGGTGATGCTTGAGAGGCTCTCTAAGCTGACATGAACTTCCTCCCTCTGGGGCTGGCCTTTTAGCCTAATACATGCCAATGAGACTTGCACCCTCTCTCCTGGTCTGTAAATTTTTTAGTTTTTGGAGACAGGGTCTTGCTCTGTCACCAGGCTGGGGTGCAGTGGTGCGATCTTGGCTCACTGCAACCTCCGCCTCCTGGGTTCAAGCGATTCTCCTGCCTCAGCCTCCCAAGTAGCTGGCATTACAGGCACCTGTCACCATGCCTGGCTAATTTTTGTATTTTTAGTAGAGATGGGGTTTCGCCATGTTGGCCAGGCTGGTCTCGAACTCCTGACTTCAAGTGATCCACCTGCCTTGGCCTCCCAAAGCACTGGGATTACAGGCGTGAACCACCGTGCTGGGCCTGGCCTGTAATTTTTATCCCAACTCAGTTATAATGTATCATTCAATGTTGTATATCAGGGGTCAGGAAACCAGGCCCATAGACCAAATGTAGCCTGCTACCTGTTTTAGCACAGCGCCCATGCCAAGAATAGTGTTTACCTCTTTAAATAGTTAGGGGGAAAAAAATCAAAAGAAGAATAATAGTTTGTGACGTGAAAATTATATAGCAGTCAGATTTCAGTGTCCATAAATTTTTATTGGAACACAGCCACCCCCATTCATCTGTGCATTGGCTATGGCTGTCCATAAATAAAGTTTTATTGGAACACAGCCACCCCCATTCATCTGTGCATTGGCTGTGGCTGCTTTCACACTATGAAGACAGTGGAGTCACTGCAGCCTGCAAAGCCTAGAATATTTACTATCTGGCCCTTTACAGAAAAAGTTTGCCGACTCCCGCTGTAGAGACGCCTGGGTAAATTAAAGATGAGTATCGTGTATACACTTAAAGAGTAAAAGATGAGCTGGGCGCAGTGGCTTACACCTGTAATCCCACCACTTTGGGAGGCCAAGGCAGACAGATCACTTGAAGCCAGGAGTTCAAGACCAGCCTGGCCAACATGGCAAAACCCCGTCTCTACTAAAAATGCAAAAATTAGCCGGACATGGTGGCTCACACCTGTAATCCCAGCTACTCTGGGAGCTGAGGCATGACTGGCTTGAACCTGGGAGGTGGGGGTTGCAGTGGGCCGAGATCACGCCACTGCCCTCCAGCCTGGGCAACAGAGTGAGACCCTATCTCAAAAAAAAAAAAAGAAAAAAGAAAAAAGAAATGCGAAGTCTACAGTGAAGAAGGAAGAAGTGAAGAACACATCCGCTTTGGGAGTAGCCAGTGATGTGGGAAACTGCCTTGCCACTCCCAGAGGGCAGTATCTTGTGGCTGCAGGGTTTGCTGTGTTTTCTGGAAACAGACTTTGCTCTTGTGCTCTGTCCTTCCCATCCCTCTCAACTTGGGGTCCTGAATTTTGCTCCAGGACTTACACCAGAGGATCGATAAGTTCCGTTTCACCCCACCTTTGGAGGACAGCTGCTTCCACTATGGCTTCAACTCCAACTACCTGAAGAAAGTCATCTCCTACTGGCGGAATGAATTTGACTGGAAGAAGCAGGTGGAGATTCTCAACAGATACCCTCACTTCAAGACTAAGATTGAAGGTATGTTTGCAAAACGCCAGCCAGAGAGGGATGTATGTCATGAGAACAGCCTTCTTCCACAATGTGACTTACAGTCAGATAAAGTTGGAGAGATTCAGAACCCAATTATAGGTGACTGAGATGTACTTATACGTTGTAACCTTACTAAATGCAAAAATATTGCAGTCACAACAAATCTGTCCATCTTTAGAGCTAGGCAGGAACACATACATGCAATTTAAAAACCAAAGAAATGCACCATCCAGTCCAATGATGTGGCAATCTTTGAGAGGAAGGATGGAGATGAGATTTAGACCCAGGCCAAGTGGGGTGGCTCAGAACTGTAATCCCAGCACTTTGGGAGGCTGAGGTGGGTAGATCACGAGGTCAAGAGTTCAAGCAGCCTGGCCAAGATGGTGAAATCCCATCTCTACTAGAAATACAAAAAATAGCCAGGTGTGTTGGCAGGCAGCTGTAATCCCAGCTACTCTGGAGGCTGAAGCAGAGAATTGCTTGAAGCCAGGAGGCGGAGGTTGCAGTGAGCCAAGATCGCGCCACTGCACTCCAGCCTGGGCTCCATCTCAAAGAAAGAAAAGACTCTGCTCTCAGTTCTTTTGGATCTATACTCAGAAGTGGACTTGTTGGATCATACGGTAATTCTGCGTTTAATTTTCTGAGGAACCGCCATACTGCGTTCCGCAGCAGCTGCACCATTTTACTTTCCCACCCAACAATGCCTCAGAATCCCGATTCTCCAAATCCTTGCCAATATTTTTTTCCTTTCTTTTTTTCGGTAATGGTCATCCTAATGGGTATGAAATGGTATCACATTGTGGTTTTGAGTTGCATTTTCCTAATGATTACTGATGTTGAGCATTTTTTATGCGGTACTTATTGGATTCTTTGTAATTTCTCCGAAGAAATGTCTGTTCATGTCTTTTGTCCATTTTTTGGGTGTTTTATTAGGGTTTAGGAGTTCTCTATATATTCTGAATAAAATCTCTTATATTTGCAAATGTTTTCTCCCACTCTGTGGGTTGCCATACAATTAATCTTTTTCAGAGACAAGGTCTTGCTGTGTTGCTCAGGCTGGAGTGCAGCGGCTATTCACAGGCGTGATCATGGCTCACCACAGCCTCGAACTCCTGGGCTCAAGCAATCCTCTCGCCTCAGACCTCCTGAATAGCTGGTACTATAGGCGAGCACCACTGTGCCCAGCTTGTTAATTTTTTATATTGAAGAAATTGTACATGTTAGGAATCTTATTTTTAATGTTTTAAGATAATTTGGCCTTTTCAAGGAACAGTGAAGATTTTAATTTGTTAAAATTCTAGGAATTACTTAAAGTGTATGAAAGACATGTTGGTCAGTCAGATAAACTAAAGTTCCTAAAAAAAGGAAATTGAAATTATAGTGTTAACTGGGTGTGGTGGCATGCACCTGTAGTCCCAGCTACTCAGGAGGCTGAGGCAGGAGGATTGCTTGAGCCCAGGAATTCAAGGCTGCAGTGAGCTACAAGGACACCACTGCACTGGGTGACAGATCAAGACCCCATCTCTTAAAAAAAGAGAGAGAGGCTGGGCACGGTGGCGCACGCCTGTAATCCCAGCACTTTGGGAGGCTGAGGCAGGTGGATCACGAGGTCAGGAGGTTGAGACCATCGTAGCTAACACGGTGAAATCCTGTCTCTAATAAAAATACAAAAAATTAGCCAGGTGTGGTGGCGGGTGCCTGTAGTCCCAGCTACTCGGGAGGATGAGGCAGGAGAATGGCGTGAACCCAGGAGATGGAGCTTGTGGTGAGCTGAGATCACACCACTGCACTCCAGCCTGGGCGACAGAATGAGACTCTGTCTTTAAAAAAAAAAAAAAAAAACAGGCTGGGCGCCGTGGCTCACGCCTGTAATCCCAGCACTTTGGGAGGTCAAGGCGGGCAGATCACAAGGTCAGGAGATCGAGACCATCCTGGTCTAACTTGGTGAAACCCCGTCTCTACTAAAAATACAAAAAATTAGCCGGGCGTGGTGGCAGGCGCCTGTGGTCCCAGCTACTTGGGAGGCTGAGGCAGAAGAATAGCGTGAACCCGGAAGGCGGAGCTTGCAGTGAGCCCAGATTGCGCCACTGCACTCCAGCCTGGGTGACAGGGCAAGACTCTGTCTCAAAAAAAAAAAAAAGAAAAAAAAAAAAAGCCGGGTGCGGTGGCTCACACCTGTAATCCTAGCACTGTGGGAGGCCGAGGCGGGTGGATCCCAAGGTCAAGAGATCGAGACCATCCTGGCCAACATGGTGAAACCCCGTCTCTACTAAAAATACAAAAATTAGCTGGGCATGGTGGCACGTGCCTGTAGTTCCAGCTACTCGGGAGGCTGAGGCAAAAGAATTGCTTGAACCAGGGAGGCGGAGGTTGCAGTGAGCCGAGATCGCGCCACTGCACTCCAGCCTGGCAACAGAGCAAGACTCCATCTCAAAAAAAAAGGGAGAAAGGAAGGATGGACGGAAACCTCGACTTGGAGGTGCCAGGGCAGCAAACATCCTTGTTCTGATGCAAGCAGGCCAGGCCTGTGGGAGAATGAGCCAGAGAAAAGCTAAGTCAAATCCCAGTGGTGTGTGTCCTGGAACTAGAGCCCATCCTGGAGCTCAGCCAAGAACACTAAAAAAAAAAAAAAAAAAAATCTGGAATGATTTTTTGGATCAAATTTGGACTTCTCTTGAGTGTTGCTGTATTCTTTACAGTAATTTGATATCTTCTATTATGAGCCTAACAAGAGGATCCAAGCCACTTAATCCCAGCCAAACTGCTGTATGCAATTACCATAGGTTCCTGTTTGGATTCCTGGCACGAAATTGCCTGGCTTCCTTGAGTTTGACTTGGATCCCTGTGTTGTCCCAGCTCTTCAGTGTCCATCCAGCAGAAACTAACAGGGCGCCTGCTGTACCCAGGCATTCTGCTGGGGCTGGGGACGCATAGAGAGGACAGGGTCCCTCCTTCACAGCTCATAGGCTCTTCAGGGGCAATTCCAGCACATAGTGGCGGTGTTCTGAAGGAGGAGGCTCTGGGAGCTTCATGAGCCCCACAATCTTCCTTTGAATGTGAGGGAAGGCTTCCTGGAGGAGGTGGCATCTAAGCTGAAATGAGTGGGACTTTGCCAGGTGTGTGGGGAAGGTGGTCCAAGAAAGGGGAACAGCATGTTCAAAGGCCCAGAGGCAGGAGGCAGTAAAGGGCCCTTTCCATCCTGGCAGCTGCCAGCCTTACCCCACTGGACCCTTTCAGGGTTCTTCATGAGACTGGGTTTTTTTTAGAGACAGGGTCTCACTCTGTCAGCCAGGCTGGAGTGCAGTGGTGTGATCACAGTTCATTGCAGCCTCAATTTCCTGAGCTCAAGCGATCCTCCCACCTCAGCCTCTCAAGTAGCTGGGACCACAGGTATGCACCACCACACTAGGCTTTTTTTTTTTTTTTTTTTTTTCTTGAGACGGAGTCTCGCTCTGTCACCCAGGCTGGAGTGCAGTGACGCAATCTCGACTCACTGCAAGCTCCGCCTCCCAGGTTCACGCCATTCTCCTGCCTCAGCCTCCCGAGTAGCTGGGACTACAGGCGCCCGCCACCATGCCCAGCTAATTTTTTGTATTTTTAGTAGAGACGGGGTTTCACCGTGTTAGCCAGGATGATCTTGATCGCCTGACCTCGTGATCCACCTGCCTCAGCCTCCCAAAGTGCTGGGATTACAGGTATGAGCCACGGCACCCGGCCTTTGTTTTTTCTTTCCTTTTTTTTTTTTTTTACATTTTTAGTAGAGACAAGGTCTCACCATGTCACCCAGGCTGATCGCAAACTCCTGGGCTCAAGCAATTCTCCCACCTTGGCTTCCCAAAGTATCAGGATTATAGGTGTGAGCCACCACACCCAGCTGACATTGGGCATTTATGGTACAAAACCTCCCTCAGGTACAACGGCTCCAAAAGAGCCAGTTTCCAGCATTGAATTCATCGTGGACTTACCCATGTGTGGTTCTGGCACCCTGCCCGGGGCTGGAGGCCTGTTCTTGGCCTTGGTCCTTTAGAATAGGAGTAAATTTGGCAACATAGGAGGACACCCAGGATACATTGTTAAGTTAAAAAAAAAGAGATTCTAAAATAGAATGTATGTATGGTTCTATTTTTGTTAAAAGTTATGTTCTCTAAGTCTTTTTAAAAAGTTTGAACTGTCACAGCCAAGAAGGGTCTAAAGAGACATGACAGCTCAGTGGTGTGTGAGTCCTGGATGGGATCCTGGAACAGAAAATGGATATCAGGGGAAAAACTGAGGAAATCTGGCTCATATTTTGTTGTGTGTAGATACCAGCATTATCCAGGTTTTAAAAAGGAGAAAATCCTGGCCGGGTGTGGTGGCTCACGCCAGTAATCCCAACACTTTGAGAGGCCAAGGTGGGAGGATGGCTTGAGCCCAGTAGTTTGAGACCAGCCTGGGCAACATAGCGAGACCCCTTCTCTACAAAAAAAAATAACAAAAATAGGCTAGACATGGTGTTGCCCACCTGTAGTCCCAGCTACTTGAGAGGCTGAGGTGGGAGGATCACTTGAGCCTGGGAGGTTGAGGCTGCAGTGAGCCGTGATTGTGCCACTGCACTTCAGCCTGGGCAACACAGTGAGACCTCATCTCTAAAAGAAGAAGAAAAAAAAAGGAAATCCTGCAATGTGTGACAACATGAATAAACTCTGAGGAAATAATGCTAAGTGAAGTAAGCCAGGGACAGGACAAATACCGCATGATTCCACCTATAGAAGGAATCTGAAATAGTCAAACTCAGCAGAAGCAGAGAGGAGAAGGGTGGTTGTCAGGGGCTGGGGAATAGGGGAAACGGCATTGCTGATCGTTGCTGTGTAAAGTTTGAGTCCTGCCAGCCGAATACATCCTAGAGATGGGCTGTACAGCAGAGCGCCGTCAGTGTTGGACACTTACAATCTGTTAAAAGGGTAGGACCCATATTAAGTGTTCTCGCCATATAATAAAAAGTGTAAACACTAAGGAAATCAATGGACTTTATAGTTAATAATATCTCAGTCTGGTTCGTTAATTGTAATAAATGTACCATGCTAACATAAAATATTAATAATGGAGGAAACCCGGTGGGTGTGAGGTATATGGGAGTTTTCTGGATTCTTTGCAGTTTTTCAGCAATCTAAAACTGTTCCAAAATAAAGTTTAGACAGACAACACCATGTTTTCTTTAGAGAGTGGGATTACATGTGAGTCTTCCCCCTTTGGCTTATCTGTGTTTTCTAAGTTTTCTACAGTAAACATGTATTATTTGTATAATATATTAACGACAGAACAGAACATTAGCTAGACCATGCTGACTGCACCAGCCCTGGTGGCAGAGAGTTCCAAGCATGGCAGCCGCCCTCACTGTGAATGCCGTAAGGCCCCAGGTGCTGTCCAGGGCACTGGCCTGGGAAGGGGCTGCCTTCTTTTGATATGCAGAGGCCCCAAGTCAGTCCAGAGGAGACAAGAATCCATTCACCTGCCCTTGGCTATGATGATGTTTTCAGCATTGCACTTAAAAAAAAATCTTCCACTTTATTTTATTTTAATTTTTTGAGATGGAGTCTTGCTCTGTTGCCCAGGCTGGAGTGTGGTGGTGTGATCTCGGCTCAGTGCAACCTCTGCTTCCCAGGTTCAAGCGATTCTCTTGCCTCAGCCTCCCGAGTAGCTGGAATTGCAGGCGCCTGTCAGCATGCCCGGGTAATTTTTTTGTATTTTTAGTAGAGACGGGGTTTCACCATGTTGGCCAGGCTGGTCTTGAGCTCCTGACCTTAGGTGATCCACCCGCCTCAGCCTTCCAAAGTGCTGGGATTACAGGCGTGAGCCACCACACCAGGCCCAAAAATACTCCACTTTAAAGAAAATATCATTTGGTAATCAGAAAAAGGTGACATTTTGTCAATGTGTATGAAAAAAATTATGCATTTAATACCTGTTCATTGTAGAAAAATTGGAAAGTACATAAAACTCAAAGAGAAATTAAAAGCACTGGAATCTACTGCTCAGGAGAACTGCTTTTTACATTCTTGGAGTTTATCCTCCCAGACTTTTAAAATTCACCAATACATAGTATAAGTACAGTATAAGCATAGATGACTTTTTATAAAAACTGGGTCACACAATGGATATGACTTGATCATTTGCTTTTACCTCCCAGCAATATCTTCTGATCAGTTTTCTATGTTAAATAAATATACATCTACCTTGTCAGTTTAGATGACTGTACTGGACTCCAGTATACTGTCAAACTATACTTGATTAATCCTGTATTGCTGGATACGTGGGGCTTTCTCCCTACCCTCCAGATTTTAAATTATTGAACAAGTATTTATGGAGGCCTGCTGTGAGCCAGGAGCTGTCCTGAGCCCTGGAAACCCAGCAGTGGCTGTACAGACCTGGCCCAGCTGTCAGGGGGCACCTCTAAGGAAACCGGGAGGCAATAATCGTAGCTCCCTTGCAGGGAGGTTGTGAAGGCTGAGTGAGGACATCTGTGCACCTGGAGCACAGTGTGAGTGTGAAACCAGTGTCAGCCCTTATTACTGTCAATACCATGAAGGGGCGGCGGGGGCACTAAGGGTGGCAGGACTCAATATCTAGGCTCTGGGGGGTGCCAGAGCCTGACCGTGCAGGGTCTTCTCTCTCCCTCCACCCTGACTGTGCTCTGTCCCCCCAGGGCTGGACATCCACTTCATCCACGTGAAGCCCCCCCAGCTGCCCGCAGGCCATACCCCGAAGCCCTTGCTGATGGTGCACGGCTGGCCCGGCTCTTTCTACGAGTTTTATAAGATCATCCCACTCCTGACTGACCCCAAGAACCATGGCCTGAGCGATGAGCACGTTTTTGAAGTCATCTGCCCTTCCATCCCTGGCTATGGCTTCTCAGAGGCATCCTCCAAGAAGGGTACGGGGCTGCTAGAGGTTCCATAACTGCCCCGTCCTCGCCAAGGGTGGGCCCGGTGTTCCCACCAGGCTCTCCTTCCGGCGGGGTGAGCAGGGAGTTGGCCCGAGGAAGCTGGGAAAGGAGGGGCCTGAGAGGCCGGCCCCAGACACACCGCCCTCCGGGGCTGGAGATGCCACCCCTATATTTGGGCTCCAGGATTCCTTCTTGCCTCTGTGAGCTTTTCTGACCTCCACCTGGGGGTAGGCGGGCCTGAGAAATTTCATAGAACACCAGAGGGCCCAAGGAGCAATCTGCCTGTGACTCCGTGACTCCATGCCTTTCCCCATCACTGCCAGGGTTCAACTCGGTGGCCACCGCCAGGATCTTTTACAAGCTGATGCTGCGGCTGGGCTTCCAGGAATTCTACATTCAAGGAGGGGACTGGGGGTCCCTGATCTGCACTAATATGGCCCAGCTGGTGCCCAGGTGAGGTCACTGTTGGGGTGGTGTGTGTGTGTGTGTGTGTGTGTGTGTGTGTGTGTCCTCTAAGAAGTGGACCTGTGTGCAGGGTGGGCCAAGGACCCCCCAGGGGAGAGGAGGGAGTGTGACCTGTCACTCAGCAGTGCCTGAGGCACGTTGACTTGGATCCTCCTGTCTGTAACCCAGGGTTGCGGCTCTGGGTCAGGTTCCCAGGCAGAGAAGGCCTGTGATAGGAGGGGAAGGTCAGGCATTAGACCTCTCTGCTGGACCAAGCTCTGGGATAGCCCTGAGCAGAACTCCCCAGAAACTGTATTTTTCCCCCAACCTCCCTTCTCCAACTCCCATGGCCTCCCCAGTGGGGCCAGTGCTGAAAGAGGCTGGCTCTGTGCTCGCTCCTCAGCCCTGAGGCCTGTTCCTCCGCCATCTCTCCTCTCTCCCTGTCCTTGACACCAGCCCAGCCTCACCCCGGCCCCTCTCTCTGCCTTCAGCCACGTGAAAGGCCTGCACTTGAACATGGCTTTGGTTTTAAGCAACTTCTCTACCCTGACCCTCCTCCTGGGACAGCGTTTCGGGAGGTTTCTTGGCCTCACTGAGAGGGATGTGGAGCTGCTGTACCCCGTCAAGGAGAAGGTATTCTACAGCCTGATGAGGGAGAGCGGCTACATGCACATCCAGTGCACCAAGCCTGACACCGTAGGTGAGTGTGCTCAGGGGTCCTCGCCCACTGCCGGCTCCACTGGGGCAGGGAGACACCCGCGGGGTAACCTCACCACCCCACCCCAATGCTGCCCACAGAAGGAAGCCTCTTGTAAGGACCTCCCAGCTCTTTAGATCTTTAAACTGCATTTTCCCATAGAATCAAGAGGATGGACCCTCAGCAGATTCCCAGGCCAATTTAGCAACTCTGTTTAGCCGACTCAGTATTCATAGTGGCTTTCACCCCTGATCTCCCACCCCTGAGTCTATATCCTACACTGAGAAGCAGAGGGATGGAGGGGGTGAGGTAGGAGGAATCCTGGGAGTGGGCAGCTCTGGGGCTGCAGGGGAGAGGGGAGAGGGTGCCCTGGGGCCTTGGGGAAGAGGTTCCCAGGCAGTGAGGGAGGGCCCAGCAACCATGTCTGCCACCAGGGTCCTGTTAAAGGACAATACTTTTTCAAAAAGGTAAATTTATAAAGGAACCAGTAAAATTTTAAAAAGAAACAATTCAAAGACAAATAAGAACACTGAAATTAATTTGCTAACAGACACAAAACTTGTCAACATCCACAGAGTAATATCAATTAAATCTCCATGGGACAAAATTCATTTGCCTCTATGAACAAGAGTCATTCGCATTACCCTCAGTTCTTTACAATTCACAGAACTGTAAAATAGCTCAATGACAAGGAAAGATGGGACCCCTGTAGCATCACGTCAGTCCGGAAGGTCTGCTAGGTAACTCCCTAGATCTTGTCCAGAAGACACCCAGGAATTGTCTTGCCCATCTCAAAGTTCTTCATAGTTTTCATGGCAAACCCATGCCCACACACACGAGGCAGCTCATAATCATAATAATGGCACTTTATAAAAGTCAGCATTTTTCTCTGATTATAAAATACATGTTGTCAAAAAGCTTAAAAATGCAAAAAGTACAAAACATTAAAGACAATCTCATATAACCTCTTCTCCCTCCCCACATCCCCTCTCCTTCAAAAGAACTTGTGAACATTTTGGTGAGAATTTTCACAAGTGAAGTACGTCCATATCACCAACATGGCCCCAACACTCCAGATGCCCCTCGGGGTTCTCTCCCAGGTACCACGCTCTGACTTCTGACTGAGATGGTTTTGATTGTGCCTGTTTAAGTCCTATGAATAGAATCACAGAGTATATACCCTTGAGTCTGGCTTCTTTTGCTCAATATTATGTTTGTGAGATTCATTTATGCCATTGTCCCAGCTTTATTTATTTATTTTTTCTCAAGACCCAGTCTGGCTCTGTTGCCCAGGGTAGAGTGCAGTGGTGTGATCTCAGCTCACTGCAACCTCCGCCTCCCAGGTTCAAGCAATTCTCCTGCCTCAGCCTCCCAAGTAGCTGGGATTACAGGCACCTGCCACCATGCCTGGCTAATGTTTTGTATTTTTAGTAGAGACGGGGTTTTACCATGTTGGCCAGGCTGGTCTCGAACTCCTGACCTCAGGTGATCCACCCGCCTCGGCCTCCCAAAGTGCTGGGATTACAGGTGTGAGCCACCGCACCCAGCCTGTCCCACTGTCCCAGCCTTTTTTTTTTTTTTTTTTGAGACAGAGTCTTGCTCTGTTGCCCAGGCTAGAGTGCAGTGGTACGATCTCGGCTCACTGCAACCTCCACCTCCCGGGTTCAAGCAATTTGCCTGCCTCAGCCTCCCAAGTAGCTGGGATTACAGGCATGCACCACCATGCCCTGCTAATTTTTTTGTATTTTTAATAGAGATGGGGTTTCACCATGTCAGCCAGGATAGTCTCGAACTCCTTACCGCAGGTGATCCACCTTTCTCACCCTCCCAAAGTGCTGGGATTACAGGCATGAGCCAATGCCCCCAGCCTGTTCCAGCCATTTTTAATGACTGTACAGTATTTTGGCTTATGAGTATATCAATATTTGTAACTGATCCCCTATTTTAGACTTTTTTAGGTGGCTTCTCATTTTTCATGAATCAGAGCACATAGACTGAAAAACCCCGCCTTTTTAAAAACAGCACTTCTCATTGGGACCCCACCAAATGCAGAGGCGTAGGCCCTTCAGTTTGAAGGAAGCTGAGCAGGCAGTGTGCCAGGCCCTGGGAGACAGTGGGAAGGTATCGTCCCTGTTTATCAGATGAGGATGCCGAGGCAGAGTTAAGGAAGCGAGGCATGTGAGCACCCAGGAGTTAAGGCAGGCCTGTGCTCGAACGTGGCTTCCTGCACACAGCCCCGCCCTCTGCGGCCAGTGCCACACATCACACCTGAAGCTCCAGCTCTCTGGTCCCCAGGCCTGAGTCTCTCCCTTGCTCCCCGCTCCCCGCCAGGCTCTGCTCTGAATGACTCTCCTGTGGGTCTGGCTGCCTATATTCTAGAGAAGTTTTCCACCTGGACCAATACGGAATTCCGATACCTGGAGGATGGAGGCCTGGAAAGGTGAGGCCCTGGTTTGCCCCTGCAGTCATGACCCTGGTCCCAGCAGCCAACCTCCTCACCCTCTTCATCCCCTTGTCTGGTTGCTCTGCATGGGGCACTCAGCAAATTCTATTGTTGGCTTTCTTACAAATCCTCACCCTGTGACCAACGTAGCTGCATTTTTTGGGTGAGGTGGCCTGGTGGGTTGTTCCCAGCCTCACAGTGCATGGTCAAGACTAGGATGCAGGCTCACCTGCTTGTGCTCCTTTTGCTGAACAGGCCCCTCTGGGGATTAGGGAGCCCACAGGGCAGCAGGCACCACATTATTGTCAAGAGCACCTGGGCTTTTCCTCCTGATTCCCTGGAGAGCCTGGCATCAGGGTCACGTGACTGCGTGTTCCAGGAGGGTGGTCGCAGAAAGACAGGAGGCTGTTAATCTCTCAGAGCCTTAGAGGCTGTATCCTCTACATGCCTGACTCCCAGCTCTGTGGCCTGACTCAGGCTTCACCAAGGTCAGCTCTGACCCACCCTTTCCAGGGCCCATCCCTTTATTCCTTCAGTGACACACAGGACCAGACAGTGCTGGGGATGGGAAAGACAGTAAAATGAGACTGAATCCTGCCTTGGGGGTAGGGACTCTGTCTTGGCCATGCTGTAGCCCCATCACCTAGAACAATGCCGGGTGAACAGTGGGAGAGCCCAGTACATAGATGTTGAATGAATGCGCAAAGGACTGTGAGAGTCCAGTGGAAGGAGGATTCTTTGTCTAAGCGGCAGAGAGGGGAAATGACCAGGAGAATGTATCTGATTTGGGCCTTGGAGGATAAGTAGGAGTTTGCTGGATGGAGGAGAGAAACTTAGGCAAAGAGAAAAGCAATAAAAATGCAAGGAAAGGGTGCTTGGAAAGGGTGGCTTGTCCAGAGGCTGAAGCAGGTACACTGGGGCCAGATCAAAAGCAAACTCATTCCTGCAGGCAGGTCCTCACCTCCTCCAAGAGCCTCAGCAGGGCCTTCGTCTGGGATCTGTTTCCCCTGCCCTACATTCAGCAGGACACAGGGGTTGATGGAGCTTCTGCAAGACCACCTTGGCAGGGGGTCTGGCCTGCTCCTTGCACACGGATACCTGGAGCAAGATGTGAGGCCCCACCAGACTATCCCACTAGGCCACTCCTGCAGCTCTGGCCCCGGGTTACAGGGAGCACCAAATCCCTGAGCAGGAGGTAGACAGGATCAGATCTGTGTTCTAGAAAGAACAGGAATACACTAGGGTGGAAATGGTGGTCGTGGTCGTTTTCAAGCTGCGGGCAGAGCTGAAAGGGAGATGGAAGCACTTGGCCAACTTGCAGAAATCCAGTTCACAGAGGTGATGTGTATACTGGAACTAGTTTTCATTGACCAGTTTTCATTTTGCCACCAAAATCACATTGAAAAGGCTGTTCCCTTTATCTCTGTCCCTGCTCCCTGCTGCTGTTGCTAGAGATTCAGGGTTTGAGTGAGGAAGGTAGGGTTGGGAGGGCGTGCTCTGGGGAAAGTGGAAGGTGGGGTGGGGGCTGTGGAGTATGCATCCTGGACCCAAGCTGGCTAGGTTTGGATTCTCCACTTAATAAGTAAAATGGAGATAATAGTACCTATGTCCCATAGGCTGTTGAGAGGAAAACATGAATTAAAAGAAGGTAAGGAGCTTAGAACATGCTGCCTGGTATGTGGTCACCACAGTAGCTGGTGCCCTGAGCAGTTTCACGGTGCAGGGGTTGAGGGGAGGGAGGAGAGGTCAGTGGCAGGAGAGAGGGGACAGGTGTGTAGAGGCAAGGTGGGTGGGGGGAGGACCTTGGGGTGATAAGAGACACTTCAACTAAATCCATGCGCTCCAGTCTAGTGCCCTGGGCGCAGCCTGCCTGTGACACGAGGATACCACACACGTTGCATGAGGTCTGAGGAGGGAAGCCGCATGGGCAGGGCCTGGCATTTGTAGGACTTTCTGGCTGCCCTTTGTCACACAACTGCATGTGGCACTGAGAGTGGGGCTTTGTGTTCTGCGTTCCCAGGAAGTTCTCCCTGGACGACCTGCTGACCAACGTCATGCTCTACTGGACAACAGGCACCATCATCTCCTCCCAGCGCTTCTACAAGGAGAACCTGGGACAGGGCTGGATGACCCAGAAGCATGAGCGGTGAGCCTGGCTGAGCCGAGAACAGGGGCCTCTGAGGCTGGAGGCAGGGGGACGGCCAGTCTTGGGCTCCACGAAGGGCACTTGGTGGTGGGATAAGTATAGCCTTGCCTGCAGGTGCCCCAGGGGCCCTTGGATGGGAACACTAAAGGTCGAGGTGTTTGGAGAAAGCCCTCATGGAGGGACCAGGTGCCTGGCTCCCGGGCGGCCCTCAGTACCGCTCCCCAGTCTAGGATGCTGGTCTGGAGTGGCACTGATGGTTCTGGGATTTCCAAGTCTCACATGGAAACCCTCAAAGGTGGGGATTTAGAGGCTGTCCCATGCCCCTGCCTGGGTGGCCCTCCCAGAAAAGAGAAGGCCCTCAGTGAGGGGAGAGCGGTTGAGACCCTGGATTTGTCCTTTTCTTTATGGCTCCTTGTGGGTGGGCCAGCTGATCTCACCCCCAGGCGCTTTAACCCCCTGCTGTGCAGGACGGAGGGGCGCAGGGCCACAGCCTCACCCCTCCGTCGGCTCTTTCACTTCCAGGATGAAGGTCTATGTGCCCACTGGCTTCTCTGCCTTCCCTTTTGAGCTATTGCACACGCCTGAAAAGTGGGTGAGGTTCAAGTACCCAAAGCTCATCTCCTATTCCTACATGGTTCGTGGGGGCCACTTTGCGGCCTTTGAGGAGCCGGAGCTGCTCGCCCAGGACATCCGCAAGTTCCTGTCGGTGCTGGAGCGGCAATGACCCACCCCTCTCCCCCCGCCTGCCACCTCCCCCCACAAGTGCCCTCCAGGCTTTTCTTGGGGAAGATACCCCTTTTCTGAGGAATGAGTTTGCCTCCGTCCCCTGCCCATGCTGGGAGCCCACGCTCACCCCCTCACCCCTCCAAGCTCACTCCCCAACCCCCAACTCCGTGTGGTAAGCAACATGGCTTTGATGATAAACGACTTTACTCTAAAAGCGGCTGGAACTCAGTGACATGAGCGTGCGCTGACCCCACATGGGGCCCCCTGTGCAAGCAGAGCTGGCCGGCCCCTCCTTGCTGGCAGAGGCACGGGAGGCCTGCTGGGGATGAGGCCACTGGCCAGGGCTATGCTGCACCAGACCAATGGCACCGCCCCCACCCCTCCCAGCGCAGGGGCAGCTTGGAGCAGAGGCAGCACTGGCCACCACTGCGGGGGCAAGTCAGCGTCAAGAGAGTCCCTGAGTGAGAAGGCCCAGATAAGCCCAGGCCCCCCAGGCCAGCGGACAGGCACAGGCAGGGCCTACAGAGGTGCCAAGGCCCCAGGCCAGTTGTGCTAGGAGCCTGGACCTGCTCTTCCACACCCCCATCCCGCCCCTACTGCACAGGCTTGTGCCTTGGTGCCCCCTGGAGGCAGCAGGGAGGAGGCTTCTCAGGCAGAAGTCTTAAGTTGCATCCCATTCCCCAGAATCCCCAGGAGGGAGAAGAGGGATGGGCTGCCCCTCCTTCCTGCCAGAGCCACAGCTCAAGGGCAGTGGGATGGCCCTGCACCCAGCCCAGGTACCCCTTCCTCTGTGCCGACCATGCTGTCCTTTGGCTCCGAGGAGGCCCTGAGCACTGCCCACCCCCACACCTTGGAGGGAGCAGACGGAGGGGGTGAGTACTGCACAGAGCCTGCCTGGAGGTGCAGACTCATGCACTCAGCCCTGAAGAGGTGAGAGAGGCTGGATCTTAACTGTGGTCCAATGGGCATATTATGAGTGGTCCTTGTCCCTGCCTGCTATGGGGTAACCCTGACCCAGCTAGCGTCCCTGACAACATGATACAAAAACACAGAACTCTAGCGGGATACAGAGATGTGTGCACAGCTGGCAGGAGCACTGGCCACCTCCCAACCTGTTCCCCATAGCTTACTCCTGGATGTAGCCTGGAGGGACTGCTGGGCTGGGGAGGGACTGGCCATGGAGCAGGGAGCTGGATGCCAGCGGGACCTCAGACCTGGACTGCAGCATCTCTTTGGTTATCGGTTGTGTGTGTGCTCAGAAGGGAGGAGGCCTTCCCCTTGTTACATCTCTCTCTCCATATATTCTCCCGGACTCATCAGTTTGGGGGGCGAAAAGTCCACCACATGGTCTTGGCGACAAACCACTGGGGATGTCACCCCAGCTGCAGAGCTGGAAGCTTGTGCCGGAGGGGAAACTGGGTGAGCAAGGGAGGGGCGAGGCCTGCCTGTGCTCTCCTCACCACTGCTGGGACCAGAAAAGATGGGCACCTGATAGCTCAGCTGGGCAGTCCCAACGCATTCCCACTCAGCCAAGGGCCTGAGCCCCAGGCCATTCTGGTTGTGTCTTTTCAGAGCAGTGAGACCTAAAACAGATGGGAAGAAGTCATGAACTTGGGAGTCAGGCCGCTTCACCTGTCTTCTCACCCCACAGGCTCCCCTGAGCCTGGCCCAGCCAGCAGCTCACCCAGCCTCAGGCCTCCTGGGGGGCAGCAGCCACACTGCCCGTGGCGCTCTGCGCCAAGCACTGTCCAGGGATAGTCCCGCTGATGTTGTGGATGGCACCATAGGTCTGCTGCTGCTGCTGCTGCGGAGACAGTGCTGTCCTCTCCGAGGCCAAGCCGTTCAGAATCCGAGGCACGTAGGGCTGTCAGCAAATGGATTTGTGCTTGGCCTGGACAGGCATGAGCTTCCACACTGCATCCCTCCCCTCCTGCCCTTCTCCCAACAGGACACAGACAGTGGCCATAAAGGACATATGAAGAAACACCGACATCCATTTAGGACATTAAGACCGAAAATATGACACCTGCAGAATTTCCTAGCAGCCAGGGCAAAAGAGAAAGCACAGTTATACAGTTCTCATGATCACAGAAGGAAGCACAAGAGAGCAGTTCTCAGAGGAAACTAAACTTCCTAGCCCTGGATCCTAGGAGGATTTCTCACTTTGTAGAAGAAACAAGTCTACCTATATAGGGGGGCTTAGAACGCTGCCCTGGGACCCCTGGGATGCTCAACATATCTGTGTGAGTCTCATTTTGAGTCTCATTTCCTCCCAATCCCAGGCTCCAGCCACTGACCCCAGGCACAGAGCCCTGCCATACTCCTCCTGAGACCCTGGCTGTGAGGGCTTGACATCATCCACCTGTCCTGCATGTTCCCTGCTTGGCCAGCATAGCCACAGGTGTGTCGCTGGGTAATGAGTCCTTCTGAGGCCCTCCCTTGTTTGGAACTTGTCCAAGGACAGACACCGATAAGAGAGCCTGACACCTGGGAGGCAGCCACCAGAAAGAACCCTGCAGATGAGGTCGGCTCTGTCCTGGCCACGGCTGTCAGGAAGGCTGGTGACTACAGCTCTGGAACCCTGGGGCTCTGCTTTCCCTTCCCAGCCCCACCCTAGGAGCAGGACCCTGGAGGCTGTGTGCAGAGAGAACTAGGAAGGCAAGGAGCCCTGTGTCTCTCTACCATGGGGTCTTCCTCTGAAGCAGGTGCAATGTTCATTTCTTGAATTCAAAGGGAAGTCTGCCTGACACCCTCTTGGAGCCTAGTGGAGGACCTCGCACAGGCAGGTGCATCGCTGATGACAAACCTTTGTCAAACCCTAGCGCCTTACCATGTGCCTTCACTAAAGCCCCAAACTCACCAGGCATTAAATATGCAGAGAAGGAAAGAGAGCAGGGAACTGAAACCAAGGGGGATGGCCATGAATCGAGACAAGACTCTATCTCCTCAACAGTTTCAAATATGCAGGTTAAAATACCCAGGGGGACCAGGATTCCTTCTCTGCCATTAATTCACAAACTTGCCTGCCATGTGATCTTAGCAAGAGATGATCAAAGATTTGCCGGGGCCCATCTGGTTGGGACTGTTACAACCAAAGCAAAAAAAAGGGCGACAAGCTCAGAGGCTGAGGGGCACAGCTTACTGTGAACGGTGGGGGCATGTGGGCCTCTGCCTCACTTCCTTTGTCACTTGCAGGCTCTTCTGTCTGCAGATAACAGCAAAAACTTGCGATGATAAACAAAACTGATCTCTGTGAACAAACACCCTCCAAACACACAGACTATTAACACCCGGAATAATAGTACCAGCTGGCACCAAGCTCCCCAGCAGCCCGAGAGAGGATGGGGTGGGGGAGTGCAGGGATGAGGGGAGGAAGGGAAGCTACACATGGCACCCAACCACCCACGCCTTTCCCATGGAGAAGCAGAATCTGGAGAAGGCTGCTGCTGTGTTGATACAGACAAGGGTGGGCGGGGTTGACAGCGAGCCCGTCCCACCATCTGTTCCTCCCAGGGCTTGACCGGGCAGTGGGGTCGGGGGCCTTTACTTTGTAGTTCAGAGGGCTGAGGTGCTTGAAGCATCCAAAGCAGGTGTGAGCCAGGCAGACCAGGATGGTGAGCAGCAGCACCAGGAAGGTGAACAGAGTGGCGGGGGCCTTCATACCTGGTGATAGAGGGTGGCTAGCCTTGGGGTGGGCAGGGAGGGGCCACCACCTACCCTCACCCTGCTGAGGAAGGGGCCGCACCTGGTGTGGAAACTGCCCGTGACTTCTCCCTCAGGCAGAAAATAAAGGTAAGGCCTAACCCCCCACCCCCACCCCTCAACTCCAGCAGCAAGGATGGTGTCTTCACAGCCAGGAACACACAGAGGGACCCACTGAATGACTGGCATCATCCCTGGTCAGATTTCAGGCACTGGGGTGCCAAGTCAATGGCAATTCTTCAGCCTCCTTGCTGGTCCGTTCCCTCCAGTCTCCAGTGCCCTGGGCTAGAGAGGATGGACCCTCCCACACCCCCAGTCTGACCGGGGCAGACGTGTCTTTCCCCCAGGAGTGTCAGTTTTCTCTCCTCCACGTCCCCACCTCTTCCATGCCAGGAGGTACAAGGAGCTGGGCCCAACCACCAGCCTCAAAGGGCAAATCTGGATCAGCTTCCCCATTTCCTCTGGTTCAGTCCCTGCACAGCTGATAAAGGCACTATCTTCTCTCCAGGGATGTATGGGACAATTGACCAGGCCTTCACAAGGGTTACACCTGCACTCGGGCTAGCTTAGGAGCCAGGCTGTCAACACCACACCCAACCAGCCCCTCACCCTGGGTATCATGTTTTGATTGGACACCTAACCAGTCCTCACTCTGGGCACCACATTCTGACTAGACATGTAACCAACCCTCATTCTGGGTACCACGTTCTGATGGGACACCTAACCAGCCCTCACTCTGGGCACCACATTCTGACTGGATGCCATGCTGATGCTGTGAAAGCAATGAGGGATCTGACTGGCTGGTGGGGATGCAGGGCTGGGAGGCCAAGGGCTGGCCCCAGGTCAGAAGGGCTGCTCACCCAGGCGCAGGAAGGAAAAGAAGTAGAGCCAGAAGAGGCACAGGATGGGGGCTGCCAAGGCCTGGTTCACAGCGGCAAAGTGGATCCCCTTCTCCAGCTTGGCTGGGAGGTAGACGAAGTAGAGGTTGTGCCGGTCCACCATGTGCTTGAGCAGGATGTAGATGAGGCCTGCAGGGGATGGGGCTGTGAGCTGGAGACCTCGCAGGGCCACACAGACACCTCTGTCCTCTTCCTCTCCGGGGCGGCTATTTTGGCAAGGAGCCAGGGCTGGGGCTGCTGCTCTACTGCCTGAACACAAAATGAGGCATCCTGCACCTCTGGCTACTAGTTTTTTTTCACTTTCTCTCTCCTACCCACTTCCTCACTTATCTGTGACCCCAAGGTGTAGGGGATCGGTCAGGGTGGTGGGAGAAAATTTAAGATAAAGTTATAGGAAATAGACACAAACCTTCTTGGAAAGCCGAGAGGTTTGCATAGCTTCAGTAAAGGGTTTGGCTGAAGGCAGCTGAATTCTCTTAAAAGCTTAGGGTGCAGATACATAGGAATGTGGGGGAGTTTACCTAAATAGCTTGTTTACTCATGTGGTCCTAAGACCAACCTTTGATCATCCACTGGTGCATGATTGCTCGCTATTCAGGGGGTCGGCAATGTTAATTACCCTCTAGTGGTGTTTACTCGAGACCTTTGTCATTTAGTCTGTACTAAATAAATGCGAACTTCGCCTGGCATTGAGGACTACACTGCAGACTCAGGCTGCAGAGCCCCTTAGCCGCACTGACAGGCAAAATATCTGTCAGTGTATGTCTGTCTGTCTGTTTTTTTGAGACAGAGTCTCTGTTGCCCAGGCTGGAGTGCAGTGGTGCGATCTCGGCTCACTGCAAGCTCCGCCTCCTGGGTTCATGCCATTCTTCTGCCTCAGCCTCTCAAGTAGCTGGGACTACGGGCGCCTGACACCATGCCCGGCTAATTTTTTATATTTTTAGTAGAGATAGGGTTTCACCATGTTAACCAGGATGGTCTCGATCTCCTGACCTCGTGATCCGCCCACCTTTGCCTCCCAAAGTGCTGGGATTACAGGCGAGAGCCACCGCACCCGGCAGTGTATGTCTTTCATCCGTCGCTGGGTCAGGGTCTGTGGGACAGACCCTGCACCAAGGGAGTCACAGTGTCTGTGATCCTGTCCCCACAGAACACTAACATTCCAGAATCATCTTGGAAAGAGGCTGTTTCACAGTTGGATGCCTGGCCTCAATTCCTCCCCAGCCCTTCCCATGCTGAGCCCCTGTATGTCAGTGCTCCCACACCCCTGGCCTTCTCCCACCCGGCTGATCCCTGCCCTCATCACAGTCAACAGAGAATGAGGCCCAAGGGTCTTACCCCAGGGGTGGCACAGGAGCACACAGGGGACCAACAGAAAGTGGGTGCTGCCTTTTCTATTATGCCAGGTTCTTTTGTTTTTTTATTTTTTATTTTTTTTGAGATGGAGTCTCGCTCATTGGTCAGGCTGGAGTGCACTGGTGCAATCTTGGCTCACTGCAACCTCTGCCTCCTGAGTTCAAGTGATTCTCCTACCTCAGCCTCCCGAGTAGCTGGGATTACAGGCGCCTGCCACCATGCCCAGTTAATTTTTGTATTTTTAGTAGGGACAGGGTTTCATCATATTGGCCAGGTTGTTCTTGAACTTTTGACCTCAGGTGATGCACTGCCTAGGCCTCCCAAAGTGCTGGGATTACAGGCATAAGCCATCGTGCCCAGCCCCAGGTTCTTTTTTAAAAAATAAATTTTGTTTTGAAAGTGTAAATACTGTAGATTTTTAAAACTACACAAGAAAGTATACAGGGAAAACTAAAACAACTTTTCCCCCTAAAACTCAGCTATCACTGCCAGCAGTCTCTTGGGTTTTTTGTTTCCTTCTAGAGCCTTTCATTAATCTGCCAGTTGCAGATGTTTTATTTCAGTGGCCAGGACCTTGGTCTTTAAACAGTCCTGAGTTCAAAGGCTGGTTCTCCTGCTTACTAACAACATACGAAGTTATTTTGTGTGAAGGGGGAATAGAAACAGGAACTGCCTTGTAGGATGAGGTGAGAAATGTGGTAATCCACGTGGAGGCAGGCATCTGCCAGAGTGAAAGCAGCACGAGAGCTTTGATTGTGACTCTGGCACTGTCTTACTTGCTGCTAAAGAAATCAACCATGAACGACATAGTCAGTGGGCAGAGAACCTCAGACCAGAAATACTAAGAGAGGTCCTAGCTGAGGGCCAGTGGGAGGAATTCATTTAAAAATGAATGAGGCCGGGTGCTGTGGCTCATGCCTATAATCCCAGCACTTTGGGAGGCTGAGGCGGGTGGATCACCTGAGGTCAGGAGTTCAAGACCAGGCTGGCCAACATGGTGAAACCCCATCTCTACTAAAAATACAAAAAGTTAGGCAGGCATGGTGGCGGGCACCTGTAATCCCAGCTACTCAGGAGGCTGAGATGGGAGGATGGCTTGAGCCCAGGAGGTGGGGGTTGCAGTAAGCCAAGATCATGCCACTCCAGCCTGGGCATCAGCATGAGACCCTGTCTCAAAACAAAAAAAGAAAGAAATGAGTGAAATCTGGTGTCACGTGAGTCTTTAGCAGCTTGTGGCTCTTGTGGCTGTGGTTTTGGGAACTCCATTGTGCCCTGGTGATAGCTGTCCCCGAGAGGTTTGGTGCAATCAGCCGTCCATGTACCCATGTACCCTGGGACAGGCTCCAGGGCCACTCACCAAATGGCGCGATGATGGGACAAGTGATGCTGTAGGCCACGATGACAGTGAAGACACACAGCATCCATGCATACATGGCTCCAAACTCGTACTGGAAGGCCTGGTTCTGGGAGGAGGAGGTGGTGAGGAGCTCATGGACTTGTTCCACCTCAAACACCCTTTTGTGCTCTCTAAGTGGTGATGGGAGAGCAGGGTGGAGGAGGACTTTGGAAATAGGAGATGCGTGGCTCCCCGCCTCCCAAGGTCCTTCCCATCCCTCCCAGCCTGCCCTGCTTCACTCAGTGCACCCAGCCCTCCCGAGGCATGGTGATGCGTGTTTGCTAGTGCTCCCTTCGTTCCACCCAACAGGCATGTGAGCCCCTGGAGGGAAGAGGTGGTCAGGGAAGAGGTGTAGAGTGACTCCAGCCCTTCTAGCAGGGGATCCTGGGCCAGCTTAGTTCATGCCTCTGTGAAATCGGGATACTAGCAGTGCCCAGCTCATAAGGGGGCTGAGAATGAAATGAAGGAATGCAGCACTTCTCCCACTTTCCTCGCACAGTGCCCACCATGGCAGAGGAGAATAAAAGAGAAAGCCACACCCTCCAGTTCAGGGAATCCTGGAATAAATGCCACAAGCCGAAAATGCCTTTGACATCTGGGGTTTGGCTAAGAATTTATGCAAATGGGTGCCTACAGAAAAAGAGTCTGTTGGTTTGAGTTGTATGTATGTATGTGTGCGATCAAACCGTTTCAAATGCCAAAGTCCCAAGCTCTCTCCTCCAGCCTGTGAGCTAGAGAGGAGGCTGGAGGAGGCCACGCCTGCCTGGACCCGGGTTTGAGAAGCACTTAGCCCAGTGCCTGCACTAGTGGGTAGTCAGGTAAATGCTACCCACTAGTGGGGGTAGTGGGGGTGAGAGGCCCTCGGGTCAGTGAAGGGGGACATGGGAGGGAGTCAGAGGCACAGCCCTGGGCCCAGGGGATGGCACCTGCTTGACATTCCTGCGGTCAGCAGCCGTCTTGGCCATGATCATGCGGAAGGTATAGAGGATGAGACCTGGCAGCCGCAGCAGCTCCATGCCATTGCCGATGAAGGCCGAGGCGATGACATAGTTCACAAAGAAGGCACCCTGGTCAGGCAGGAAGACGCACCTGGGGAAACCAGGGCCCAGGTCTGTGAGCTGAGAGCCGCTCTTGGAGGGAGAGGAGGGGCCCCTAGGCTGGGCAGGAGCAGAAAGCCCCTGGGAGGGCTGTATACTCTTCCGTTCATTCAGCACATATTTGGGAAACACATCTGTGTGCCAAGCACCTTTCTAGGCACTGAGAATAGAACAAAGCCCCTGCGCCACTCTCTTGAAGTTCACATTCTAGCTGGGGGCACAAACAAGCAGACAAACAAATATTCCATCTGCTGGGGACGGTGAGCACTAGAGGAAAACAAAGCAGGGAGGGTTCCTATGTCATACAGGGGTTGGAGGAGCCTTTCTAACGAGGTGATATTCGTGCAGAAATGTGAAGAGGTGAAGGAGCAAGTCATCCCCAAACCTGGGAAGACAGGATTCCAGGGAAAGGGAACAACATACAAGACACCTGAGGATGTCCTCGTCTGCTGCACATCCAGGGGCTGGACAGCAGTGGGCGAGGGGAGGCAGAAGACAAGGCTGAAAGGGGCTGGGGGCCAGCCCAGGACAAGGGATCTGTTCCAATGGGGTCAGGGAGACTACACAGATGGCCACTGTGTCATCCCCATGTGGGATGAGGGCGGTTGTGATGGAGGTGGTGAGATATGAAGGGATTCTGGATCTACTTTAGAGAGAGTTGTCAGGATTTTCTGGTAGGCTGGGTATGGCATGGGAGGGATAGAAAGGAAACAAGGTGAACTTTGAGGTTTTTTGCCAAAACAAGTAGAAAAACAATATGGAATGGGGAAAGTTGTAGAGTAGCAGATTTGAGGGTAAAAGTCGAGAGTTTGGTTTTGGGCAGGTAACATCCGTGGTACCCAGTAAAACTCCAGCTAGAGTTTGAGGTGGGCAGTTGGGTTACCAGCCTGGAGGTGCAGGCTAGAGGCATAAATGTGGATGTTGTCCGCATAAGTTAATTCAGGAGCAGTATCATGGCATGGAAGCCGTGGGTTCAGCTGAAGTCACCTAGAGAGGCAGTGTGGACCCAGAACTGGGGGCTGAGCCTTCAGGCAGCCAAAATCTAGAGTTGGGGAGATGGGAGAGAACCCACCAAGGAGGGTGACAAGAGGATGCTGCGAGATGAGAGACCCAAGGCCGAGCTTCGAGGAGGAAGGCTCGGATAAATGTGTCAGATGTCGCTGATAGATCATAAGATGAGGATTGAGCTGGTCACTGGACTTGTCAATCTGAAAGTCACTGTCAACCTAGACTATTGCTGGCTGTATGTATGTGTGTCTGTCACAGTCATCAGCTCCCAACTCATCAGCTTACTCAGCAAGAACTCATTTAAAATAACTCGCCCCATCCTTACAGGTAAGCACATTCTTTTAGGAAAGTCAATGCCAAGCCTCTGGACCTATATTAAGACCTAATGTATAGTCTGTAGGGGCTGGGGTTGAATCCCAGCTCTGTTCCTTAACCAGCTGGATAAACTTGGGCAAGTTATTCAACGTCTCCAAACCTCAGTCTCCTCATCTGTAAAATGGAGAGAATAATAGTATCTTCCTCATAGCTCATTGTAAAGATACAGTGAGAAAAAGATGCATAAAGCATTTAGCATAGTGCCTTCTTAAACAATAGCTATTACTATTAAGTGGCATGGTATAAGTTTAAAATACTAACAAGGATACATCAGTAATAAATTTAATTCTATTCTGGCAAAAATAATCCCCAGAGCCCAGAGGCATCCTGGCTGCCATCTTTAATTATTATTCTCCTTTCCCCACTCCCTGGCACCACTGAGACCCAGCAATTCCTTCTCCCCATGTGACTCTGTGCTCAGTAAGTTTCAATGAATGAGACAGCTGCTAATTGAGTTCTGGCCTAAAAAATTAACCACATTTCTGCAAGCATAGCACAAAGTGGGTCAGCTCCCACAGTGTCTACCAGAAACCTGGCAGGGTGGAGGTGAGGCCCCAAGCCCTGCTGTCTGGGGAGGAAGATGCCTGTTCAGAAGCATAGGCTACGACCGCCCCCACCCATCCCACTGCAGCCCCAGCCCCTGTGGGACTTTCACCCAGGGCCATGGCTCCAGAACTCAACTTGGCAATACTCACTCCAACCTGATGGAGGCCTCCGAGGAAGTTTTGTCAAAGAGCCACCGGAAGAAAAAATCTAGACTGAAAAACAAAGGAACCCCCTAAGAGTTTATTTCCAGCATTCCATATTGTCACTACACATGCTTTCATTTTCTTTTGCTCTAAAAACAGGCCAAAGCTCGAGATTGACTTTTGTTCTCAACGATGCCACTTACTACGGCATGACCTGTCACAGTCTGCTTTAACAGAAACTTCCTTCCTTGAGATAAATAAAGCCATGATGAGGCCTTCCCTAAGTGGAAGGTCCTTGATAAGTTTCATTTTCTTTTCTCTTTTGTAGAGATGGGGTTTCGCCAGACTGCCCAGGCTGGAACTCCTGGGCTCAAGCAATCTGCCCACCTCGGCCTCCCAAAATGCTAGGATTACAGGCGTGAGCCACTGTGCCTGGCCACAAAATTTTCAAGCTGGTTTTTTTTTTTTTTTTTTTTGAGACAGAGTCTCACGCCTGTAATCCCAGCACTTTGGGAGGCCGAGGCGGGTGGATCACCTGAGGTCAGGAGCTCAAGAACAGCCTGACCAATATGGTGTTTTTTTCTTTTTTAAAGAAGAACAATCAATCATATTGCCAGAAGAATCAATGACCCAGCCCTACTGCACGCCGAGTGGTTGCGACAGGCTTAGATATTGTTAGAGGTTTGCTTCTGCTGCCAAACCGTTTGCATTCTCCTGGGGACAGTGCTCTCCTGATGTGACTCTTATTCTGAATTTAGAGCAGAAGGTGGTGGCATATACCTGGTGAGACCCAGGGAGGGCAGGATCAGCACCATGAAGATCAAGAATATGTAGACTTTGGTCATCATGATCTGGTTTTCCCCCGACCTGCAGGAAGTCAAAGGTGAGCACTCGCAGTCCCCCAAATGCTCTATGTGCCCCCAGTGAGGCCCCTGCCATGTGCCCACTGCCTGAGCAGCTGGGGGGTTAGGGTGTGGACAAGGGAGCGGTCAGAGATATCCTTCTTAGGGGCAGGGCCTCGGGGCTCCCGGGCACTCACTTGGTCCAGTGAGACTCCAGCAGTGTAGAGTAGTAGACAATGGAGGGGAGCAGGGCCGAGAAGGACCAGAGCAGGAGGGTGGGGAAGAACTGGCTGATGATCGGGTTCTAGGAGAAAGGTCCACAGCAGAGAGAGTCACAGGGGCCGTGGGCCACGCGGCTCTGAGGCCATGACCTATTGGTATGGTCGCTCAGTGGACTCCCAGGGTAGGAGTTTGTCATCTCTGACCCCAGAACCAAAACTGTGCCAGGTACAGAGTTGGTAGTCCATAAATGTTGGCTGAATAATCAGTAACAGCACCTTATATTTGTACAGCTCCTCACAGCACAGCAAAGAAAGCAATTTCACATACGAGTAAACTCCACTTATCTGACTAACCAGATTAAATAACCTTCTCTGCTCCCTATACAAAACCAATGACTGATGCCATGGCAAGACTGAACACCGAAGGCCTGGAGTCCTGGCCGGCGGGGCGGGGGGGGGGGGGTGCCCTGCCTGCTCAGCTCCCACTGTCCAGCTGCAGCATATCAGGGCTCCACTGTGTGTGTCCACAATCCTGCTGTTTGTTACTGGGATTACATGAGCTGATTGACTTATTACTGTCACTGATTAGATGAACATAAAAATAGAGAGAAATTTTCTTTGAAAACTAAGTTGGCTACTTTGGAAAGACTTAATAAAAGTCAATTTCTAAAAAAAAAAACAAAACGCTGTTAATTAGATGAGAGTAAATTAACGATAAAAGATCAAGGGATATGCGATCTAGGAAGTTTCTATATTCAGAATGGCTCGGCAAATATCTAAATTCTTCCTTTACTTTAAAGAAACCAACACTGGAATCACAAAACAATGAAATAAGGGTGTGGTTGATGTAAAGTAGACAAAGGGGAGCTCTCATCAGCAGATCCATCTTCAAAAGAATAGGCCTGTCCTTCTATTAAAAGATTGGCAAAGGAATGCATATTTATAATACCTGCTTTAAATCTTAAGCAAAGCTGCTGAATTTATACTTAGGTAGTTTAAAACTATCTATGGAGTCAGATAAGAGCTTCAACCACACATCAGCTCATTGATTATCATGACAACAGCCTCACGCCCTGTATAATAGTGCAGGTGTTTTAACTCCAGTTCTTGGATGAAAAACTGAGGTTCAGAATTCATCAGATAGGGAATGGCAAAGTGAAGACAAGGAGGCCCACCTGCCCCGTGTGCTTTCCCAGGGAATGATTAACCAAATGCAAAGTGAAATTTAAAAAGAAAAATAATCTAGGGAGATGGTTTGGCAAAGCTAATCATGAGAAACCAATAGCTTTTTGAGTAGATGCCAGTTGAGTGAGTGTTTGGCTGTTATCTCATTGATTCATCTAAGATTTTTGAAAATCGTTCATTACCTATACAGAATAGTTTGTTTTTTTTTTTTTTTTTTTTTTTTGAGATGGAGTTTCGCTCTTGTCGCCCAGGCTGGAGTGCAGTGGTGCAATCTCGGCTTACTGCAACCTCCACCTCCCGGTTCAAGCGATTCTCCTGCCTCAGCCTCCTGACTATCTGGGATTATAAGCGCCCACCAACACGCCCAGCTAATTTTTGTATTTTCAGTAGAGATGGGGTTGTGCCATGTTGGCCAGGCTAGTCTCGAACTCCTGACCTCAGGTGATCCGCCCACCTTGGCCTCCCAAAATGCTGGGATTACAGGCGTGAGCTACCGTGCCCGGCCCCAAAATAGTTTTATAACAAGGTCATTAGCAACCAAAATGTAAAAGAAATAATTTGTGATCCTGCCACCCCAATCAACGAAGCTTTTTTCCTTCCTTCCTGGCCCCTCCCCGTAGTGTCCATGATAGACATGCCTCACTGGTACATCCCTGCTTCTGTCAGGAGCCCTGCATGGGTGCCACAAAATCTATACAATTTTGAATGGATGCTTGATAGTCTACCAACCTGAATATACCACATTCAACTCAAATGATCCCTACCATTCAGTATTTAGATAGTCTATTAAAATATATATGTATGCATGTGTGTGTATATATACATATAATGTGTGTGTGTGTGTGTGTGTGTGTGTGTGTGTGTGTGTGTGTGTGTGTATGGCATTACTATAAGGACTTTGTAATAAATGTGGCCATGCCTGCTCAGGGCTTAAAAGCAAGGATGTGAGCTGAGCAACATGACCCACTGGTTTAGTTCCCCGCACACACCCCACTCCTGTCCCCACTCCTTCCCCACCCACCAAGCCCTCTTCTCACCAGCTATCCTGGGAGGGGCCTTGCAGAACAGTTACTCACATTCAGCGCATGGATGGGTTTGGTGACATTAAACTTGTCCATGGTGGACAGGATGATGGAGGGTGTGGTCAGGAAAAATAGCCCCAGGAAGAGGGTGAAGTTGATGCCCAGCCACTGTAGCCACCAGCGGAGGCCCTGGATAGAGAGGTTCTTCCTGCAGCGGGAGAGGGGATACAGGTCTCGAGGCTTGTCTCCCAGTGCTCGTGGCTTAGGTGGGTCAGAAGGTCAGATTTAGGCAGACCAAGAGACTAGCCTGGGGGCAAGTTCTCTGCACTGACCTTCAACTACAGAAAGACCAAATCTTAGGTCCCCAAGAGCTCAGAGGGAACAATTATTCTCTCAGATGTGGCTCCCCAGCTAAAGTCTGGGGGCCAGAACCTACCCAAAGAGATGGCATGAGCACCCAAGCAGGCCAAACAAGGCTCCAGCATGGCATTTATTTTTTCTTTTTCTGTTTTTTTTTTTTTGGAGACAGAGTCTTGCTCAGTCACCCAGGCTAGAGTGCAGTGGTGTGATCTCGGCTCACTGCAACCTCTGCCTCCCAGGTTCAAGCAATTCTCCTGCTCAGCCTCCCATGTAGCTGGGACTATAGGCGTGTACCACCACACCCAGCTAATTTTTTTGTATTTTTAGTAGAGACAGGGTTTCACCATGTTACCCAGGGTGGTCTTGAAATCCTGAGCTCAGGCAATCCGCCTGCCTCAGCCTCTCGAAGTGCTGGGATTACAGGTGTGAGCACCACGCCCGGCCCCAGCGTGGCATTTCTTAGACACATCTGCAATGCTTTGTGACTAACGACACATTCTTCCCAACGGGGCTGTAGCTGGGGTACAGGAAGGAGGAAGGCAGGGACAAAGGAGTGAAGGCATAGCTTGCACCTGCCCTGGCCTCTCATCCCAAAGAACAGACCCACAAAGCAATCCTGAGTTTAGGAAGCCTTGTGAACCAAAGAGCAAAACTGTCAGAGGCAGAACTAGAACCGAGCAGAGGGGAGCACTTCAAGCTCATTCTGTGCAAGGAGCTGAGGCAGGGCTGGACAGGCAGCTGCGCTGGGGCTTGCGCTGGGTGCCCTTACCCTCAGCACAGCACTGGAGGCTCACCAGGGCCCCCATGGACACAGCTCAGCTCCCCAGCACGGCCCCAGGCTGACACTGGACCTAAGTAAGGCTGCACAAGCTGCATGCGGCTACTGAGCATTTTAAATGTGGCTGGTGTGAATTGAGAGGTGCTAGAAGTGTAAAATACACACCAGATATTGAAGACTAAGTGTGAAAAAGAGAATGTAAAACATCTCACATTTTTCAAAAATTGCATGTTGAAATAACAGTTTGGATATATTGGGCGAGATACATTATTAAAATTAATTTCAACTGTTTCTTTTTACTTTTTTAGCATGGCTATTAGGAAATTTAAAATTAGATGCAGAACTGGCATTATATTTCTGCTGGGTAGCACTTGAATGCTAGGGAGGAACACTGGAGGGAAGGGCTGGGCAGATACCCCAGTTGGGCCACACCGAGCACATCACAGCATCACAGCCCACAGAATTGCAGATGTGTGGAGATCTCCATTGACTGCCAGGTCACACCTGTGCTCCAGGTGATGGGCAGCTCCCACCAGGAACCCAGGCCTCTCTCCCACCTCTCCTTGGTCTAGGAGCTTACCAGCAGATGTCCTCAGGGTCAGCAGCAAAGGTGACTGTCCACTTGGAGGTATAGAGCTCCCTGCTATGGGAGGACGGCTGGGGCTCACCTTTGCACTGAAGGCTCTGACACTTGCAGGCATTGAAATCTTTCAGGATGCTGCAAGGAAATGTAGCAACAGCCAGGCCCAGGCTACTCAGGTTACCAAGCACACATGTGGCAAGTGGGGACTGAGTAGGAGTGGGAGGCAGTGGCATAGGACCTTTGCTTTGTTGTGATTAGTGTATTATGAGTAACGCTATGTAAGAGGTGCCACGCTAGCACAGTGTGTGGAGAATTTTGTTTAATCCTCGCAACCACCAGCAACAAAGGGAGTACGATTCCCATTTTACAGATAAGGAAACTGAGGGCAACACACTGCTCTTCCATAGGGCCATCCCCCTCCACCCTGCCTGTTAAGCTGGAGCTCTGATCAGTGCTACTGCCAGGCCAGTGGCTCAACTTTTCATTCTGTCACTTTTTCCCCAGGCCCAAGTGTAGCAATAGACCACGTTACACATTGCCTGTTCCCAAGCTTCCCTCCTCAGGGCTCCCACCTCGACCCTCACCATCTCAACAGGTCACAGCTTTTCCTCCTTTAACCTCCCGTAAGGAGCCCAGCAGCCCCTCTACTCCTGCCTCAGATGCCTTCCCCTTTCCTCCTGCCCCAGTGTCTGCAAGGAGGCAGGAAGTCCTGTGTGAGTCCATTCCTAGTGTCACAATGCCTGGGGCAGTGGCTGGACACCTTTCCACACCCCTCTCCCGACCCACCCTGTGCTGCTCCTAAGGCGAGATGACACTGAGACCACAGGCATGAGAGCCTAGAGTCCCATGCCAAGGGCCACTGTGAAAAGCCACTCCCCAGGGTCAAGCTCCCCACTGCAGTGAGCGCCCCAGCGTGCCCCAGGGGTCTTCCCCACAGCTTTGCATTTGTGGGAAGGTGGGGAGCCACAGACAGAAGGATCTGTGGCCCAGAGCAGATGTCTGAAAGGAGGGTGCCTCCATCTCCCCTGGGGCAAGGCTGGCACATGAAGCCAACAGGATGGGTCCAGGGCAGCAGGGAAGAGCCCAGCAGTGGGGCCAGGCCACATCAGCTCGAGGGGGTCAGCCAGAATCACCCACTCCGTGGCTGCTGCCCACACCCCCACCGCCTGTTACACAAACATGGGCTGGGCTGGCTGAAAGTGAGTGTGGGTAGCTGAGGGAGGAGAAGGAAACACCACAGATAAATCCCAGGGATGGTGGGTCAGCAGTACCATCTCCACTCGAGAGGGACAGTGAGTTATCTGGAGGGGAACAGGGAGTCAGCCAAGAAGGGGTCTGGATGTGCCTACACTCACTAGGTGGCCATGGACTTCTCCTGGAAGGTGACGAAGGCCATTCCCAGGGGCTGGTCCTGGACGTGGCGTTCTTCCTCTGTGATCCTCTCCAGCAGCCTGTCCTTCATCCGTGTGTAGTAAGAGATGGCGTCTTCCTGCCACAAGACACATCCCATTGGGATGACGTGGCCCCATGCTGGTATCTGGGGCACCCCGATGCCAATGCCTCTGCTCCCAGCCGGGGGGTGGGACCCTTACCCACTCACAGCCCAGCACTTCACAGCAGCAAAACTGGCCACAGGGCTTGGGGTTGATGAGGGTCCGCTGGCCTGTCTTCACCTGCAGGTTTGTGTAATAGGTCAGGCTCTTCTCAGTCTTCTTTCTGTAGGGGTGGGAGCGGGGGCACAAACCTCAGATTTAGAATCCTGTGGCAGGGACCCCCATACCCACAGTTCAACCATCGAACGCCAGGGGAGAAGGAGGGGTCCAGGGCCTCCCGCCTCCCTTCCTAGCTGGGAGATGCGAGGCCAGCAAGGAAGGAGGGGGCATCTTGCAAGGCCCGCCCACCACTCACTTCTCCTTGCACAGGTAGATCAGTTTGGCCACGTTGTAGCACAGCTGCACATCAACCACCTCACACGTGGGATACGCGTCCCTGTGGCCAGGGAGAGAAGGAGGCAAAAGACACCGTTGGAAAAGAAAACACCCCAAGCAGGAGACGTGCCCACGGATCCAAGGGAAAGGATGGCAGAGTGATCTCGCTGCTGGTTTCTGTGCCAGCGGAGACCTCTCTTCTCTTTGTCTTTTATCCTCCAAAAGGGGGAAATTTTGAAATTTAATACAAAGAGGGCTTTTGTTTTGTTTTGTTTTGTTTAGAGACAGGGTCTCACTCTGTCACCCAGGCTGCTGTACAGTGGCACAATCATGGCTCACTGTAGCCTCAACCTTCTGGGCTCAATCAATCCTCCCACCTCAGCCTCCTGAGTAGCTGGGGCTACAGGCACATGCCACCAGGCTGATTTTTATTTTTTGTAGAGACGGGGTCTCGCTATGTTGCCCAGGCTGATTTCGAACTTCTGGCCTCAAGCACTCCTCCTGTCTCACCCTCCCAAAGTGCTGGGATTGTAGGCGTGAGTCACTGCACCCCGCTAGCCTTTTTTAGTAGTATGAAGCTAACTGCCTGGAACTGACAAGTTTATACCCACTTGGCTTGGAATCAGCTGGCACTTCTCCTGGGGAAAAATGAACACATCACTATCCCCTCTAAAGACCCAAAGGAACAGATTTATTGTTTGTGCTAGGTCAGTATCTACCTTGAGCCATCACTGAAATCCTATTCAGGTAGCCTTTTTTAAGGTCACAGACCTTTCAGAGGGTCTAATGAAAGCAAAGGACCCTCAGACCAGAAAATATCTACACACATATTAACAACCAGCAAGGCCAGGTGCGGTGGCTCATGCCTGTAATCCCAGCACTTCGGGAGGCTGAGCCGGGTGGATCACTTGAGGTCAGGAGTTTGCGACCAGCCTGGCCAATGTGGTGAAACGCTGTCTCTACTAAAAATACAAAAATTAGCCAGGTGTGGTGGCACACACCTGTAATCCAGCTACTTGGGAGGCTGGGGCACGAGAATCACTTGAACCTGGGAGGCAGAGGTTGCAGTGAGCAAGATTGCCCCACTGCACTCCAGCCTGGGCAACAGAGTGAGACTCCGTCTCAAAAAAAAAAAAAAAAAAAAAAAAAACCCAGCAAAATACATACTCACTATTGACCAGGTATTGTTACATATATTTATTTATTTAATCCTCATCATAACCTGTGAGGTTTTGTCCCCATTTTACAGATGAGTAAACTGAGGCCGACAGAGGTAAGTGGCTTGTGCCCAAGATCACACAGCTAGTGAGTGTCTGAGCCAGGAGGTGAATACAGGCAACCTGGCTCCAAGGTCAATGCTCATGGCCACCATGCAATACCCCCTCACCATACACGCAAAATTATACATACAATTCCAGGGGATTCCAGAACCATGTAAATCCCCACCTACCACCTGCCAGGCACTGTTCTAGGTGCTGGTAACAGGGCCTGGATGTGCTTACATTTTAGTGAGAGAGACAGCCCATAGGTATATCAATCATGAAATTAAACAGTAGGACAATTTCTGGTCTCAATAAGAGCTGTGAGGAAGAAAACTGCAATTTAAGCATCCCTGCTTGAAAGGCAAATTCATACATCAATCCCCACGGACTGCAACAGCATTCACTAAAAAGGCCTCTTAAAATAGGGGAAAGCATGAGTCATGCAATGTTTGTATGAGAATGAGGAGACTTTTTTTTTCTCTTTAAAGTTATACATTAAGTGGAATTACTGTTTCCAGGTGTTGCCTAGCAGGCAACTTTGAGGAGTTGCTTCAAGGAAATACAGAAAAATGATTCTGGTATTGAGTATTTACATATTAGTAAATATTTCTAAAATACTTAGAGTTTCTGAAGAAGTTTTTCAAATTTTAAACATTCAGTTTACGATCCTGTCTAGCAATTTGCTTAGCAAGTGCTTTCTTCACAAATAGTGCAAAGTTAAAGTGCAGCCAACTCCTAGTCCATGCAACAAATTAGTGGCTGCTGTATTGATAAGGAATGAAGAGAGGCCGGGCATGGTGGCTCACGCCTGTAATCCCAGCACTTTGGGAGGGCAAGGCAGGAGGATCACTTGAGCCCAGCAATTCGAGACCAGCCTGGGCAACATAGCAAGACTCTATCTCCATAAAAAATTTAAAAATTAGCTGGGTGTGGTGCCATGTGTCTGCAGTCCCAGCTACTTGGGAGGCTGAGGCAGGAAGATGCCTTAAGTCCAGGAGTTGAGGCCGCAGTAAGCTATTATTGCACTACTGAACTCTAGCCTGGGCAACAGAGCAAGACCCTGTCTCTAAAAAAATAAGATTACAAAAAAAGGAATGAAGAAAGAATAAAATGTCAGCTCCTCAGCCCAGCCTTCAGGTCCTCCAGCATGGGGTCCTGGGAGCCTTCCCGGACTGCTTGCCCTGCCCCCCTGCACCCCACCGCCACCTTTCCTGATGCTCTGGGCCTTTCCCCGCATCCCTGGCTGCACACGTAATCTCCTCACAGGAAAGACTTTCCTCCAGCCTCCATCTGCAGGAATTGGTGGTGCAGATACTCAAAGGGAGCCGCTGGAAAGGAGGTTCTACCAGGGAGAGCCTGGACTCAGACACAGTGCTCACTCAACAGACACCCGCTCAGTGGGTGGACAAACGAACAAACGCAGAGATGGCCCCGAGGTCCTTCCACCTGTGAGACCCTAGCCCTGTGGGTCCATACAAATGCTCAGCTCACGTCTCTCTTATTCTGCAAAGGTGATGCTAAGAACCCCGGGGTCAACAATTTTTTCCCCCGTATGCTCTCAAGACGTTTATTCGCACCTACACCCTGGTCTGTGCTCTGGACACTGTGCACAGGCTGCTTGAAGAGGATAGGCCACCAGGGCGCTATTCACTGCACAGCACCAGCAGGGCTGGCACACAGGAGCCACTCCATACACGTGTGGCAGGGCCAGGTCCTTCTCAGATCTCACCTGGATACCCAAGCGAGAGACAGAAGGCGCTCACCTAAGGTGCTCGCCCTGCGGGTGGGGCTGTGTTGGTCCTACGTGGAGGGGGCTCAGCTCCCCTCCCACCCCACCTGCTTACCGGAAGTGGCTCTCCACAGTCTCCTTCCTGGCATCTCTGGGGAGTCCTGTGATGAACAGGGTCCGCCTCACCTGTCCGGGAAATACAGCAGGGAGAGAAGTCACCCACAAGCCAGTGTGCCGGTATGCTCAGGTTTCCTACCCAACTCCAGCCTCTGGAAAGTAAACAACAGGAAATCAGAAGGCTCCAGTTTTCTCCTTCTGTGGCCGGGGGAGCCCCCAAAGCATGTCATTTACACAGCGTCTTCTTCCAGGCTGTACAAAGAATCCACTTCCAAAGCAACTCTATGAGCCTTCTTTGCATGGCAGGAGACTGAGAAAGAGGGGAAGTGACTCAAATGCGGTCACACAGCAGATCAGAGGAGGACCCAGGCCTGGAACCAAGCCACAGAAGCTCCCCTCCCCTGTGAAGCTGTGGGCGGCAAAGAGAAAGGGCTGCTCTCAACCCAAATTTCTTTACTTAGCACCAGTAACTGTCCAAATCTTGAAACAATCCACCAGGAAACTGTTTTTTTTAAAGATGGTGCCAAGTGTGAGCAAGAATAAGCAAGCGGGGCTCCTGAGGCCCTCCCAGAGCTCATTGCAGTCAGGGCCTGTGGCAGAGCCTGGGAGGCCCTTCCACTCCGACTCCCACCTGAGTCCCTCCCAGCACATGTCCCTAAGTCCCGCCTCACTCACCAGGTTCTCCTCTTTGTACTTAATGGACTGAGTGTGGTGCCGCATGAAACCCACAGTGAGGAAGAGGTAAATGACAGCAAAGATGGTGTGCAGCCAAAGGAGGTCATTGCTGAGAGGGAAACCACCTGCCATCAGGGCTGGGATCCCAGGCAGGGAGCTGGGGGTGCAGAGCTGGGGCCTGGTTACCCTCAGTGGGCACTGAACTGAGGACCAACAGCTTCACTGCAAGAGATGCCTCCCACAGAGGTTGTGTGGCCAGCACCCCTCAGCCCACAGTGAATACTTCAGAGGGGTCCCCATCCCTGTCCTGACAAATGAACTCCAGATCCACAGGACCCTCCGTGTTTCTTAAAACCCTGGCAAAACAGTGTCTGCCTGTGGCGTGTTCATGCCCACAGCTCAACAACTCACTAGCTGCAAGGGGCCTTCAGATACCAGCCGGCCCCCTTTGGAGTACCTCTGGCCTGCCCCGGGCTCCTGACCTGCCTTCTCCTTGATCTCACCCATCAGCACCTATCCCCACGGGCTCCATACTCACTCAGTCTGTAGGTTTGCTATTGTTGTCCTCCCAAAACTATACGGGTCTTTGTCTGCAGAGAAGCACAGATACTTAGTTCCAGGGTCATGTGGGGAAGCAGGAGGGGGCGTAACCAATCAGCCTTGGTTTGTGGAGCTCTGGGGAGGAGGAGCATGTCTGGACCAGCAGGAAGACAACGTCTGACTGGTCTTTCCAGAGCTACACCATCAAGGCCTCTGCTTGAAACCAAAATGCTCCCTGATAACTTCTCAACCTTCCATTGCAGGTAAAGGCATAATGTGAATTCATTTTGTTTTGAGAAAACTAAAAACATCCTATGTTGTTACAAAACCAACGTTGGGAACCACTGGGTATCCTAAGTGGATTCATGGTGGCATTTTGGAAGGTGGATTCTTGCAGTTGCCCTTAGATATAATGCCACACCCTGATTTTAATTAAGTATCATGGATATCTTCTGGGTCCATTAATTGTGACCTCCTAATTTGGGTGAGGGCAGGAAAGTATAAAAGACTCTCTGATAGCCCCTGATTCTGTAAATCTTGGGGGGCTTTTTTCCCTATTTAAATAGAACCAGACATTGATATTGGGGCCCCAGTTTTAGCCTAGGTTTGCTCCAGATCTTTAATCAGATAGAAATGTTCAGAGTCACCCTGAGACCATCTTACATCTGAAGTGGGGCATGACTCCTGGGGTTCTGGTCTACCACAGTGAGCCCTTTCCCTAGGACTGCCACTCTGCCCCATTACAACATAGACAAGGGTGAGGAGGGTCATTACCCAGCAAGTCCCCTGAGAGGTTGACAGGCAGGATGACACACAGGGACAAAAAGCTGACCACCACCAACAGGAAGATGATGTGCCTCTGGAAGGACAGGTAGTGGATGGCGTCCTCCCCACACCATTCCAGGATCTGGTCATCACTGGCCAAGACACAGAGGAATCTTAATGAGCAGTGGAACAGGCCTCGGGGCTCTGCATGAAGTGTCTCATATCATCCTCACCACACTCTTATGAGATGGTTCGATCGCTATCCCCACATTTTTGTTCACATATGAGGAAATAAAGGCACAGGAAATTTGCATAACTTTCAGGATCTCACATGATATAAATTCCAGAGCCCGTCTTAGCCCCTGTACCATACTCGAGGTAAAGGAATACCAGCACTCCATCTGATGTTGCTAGAAACATTTGTGCCCAAGTTACGTGTGTGGGAAAGGTACGTAAATACAGTCATCTCACAGCCCTGTCCTGCTTCTAAGAAATCACATTCAGAATAAAGTTAGGGCTGGGCGCAGTGGCTCACACCTGTAATCCCAGCACTTTGGGAGGCTGAGGCAGGTGGATCACCTGAGGTCAGGAGTTCGAGACCAGCCTGGCCAACACGGTGAAACTGTCTCTACTAAAAAATACTAAAAAAAAAAAAAAATTAGCCAAGTGTGGTGGCACATGCCTATAATCCCAGCAACTCAGGAGGCTGAGGCAGGAGAATTGCTTGAACCTGGGAGGTGGAGGTTGCAGTGAGTCGAGATCCCACTACTGCAACTTCAGCCTGGGTGACACAGTGAGACTCCATCTCAAAAAAGAAAAAAAAAAAAAGAATAAAGTTGGGAATATGCCCAGGCCCCAGGCCCCCACCTGTTTCCTGTCTCCCCCTCAGATGGAGACCTGAGGTGGAGCCAAGAGTCCCAGTCCATCCTACCACCCTGGCCTCCTCCCTGTGTCCCCAGAGATGGGGAGGTGACTTGCTCCACCCTTTCCCACCCTTGGAGTGCTACACTTGGAGGCTCTGGGTCCACTGGGGACTCAGAAATTTCCAGGTTCACACAAGCCAGACTTCTGTGCTACAGAGGGAGAAGGGGCAGGGCACTCTGCTCTTTCCCACTCCCTGAAGGCGCTACTTCTAGGCTGGGAAAGCAGTGCTTTGGGAAGAGCTCAGGGGGGCAAGGGCTGCATCATAAAAAGGCAGATGTGAAAGATGTCAGCGTGGGCTTTGCAGTCAGACCACAGTGTAATCCAGCGCAGCGGCCTCCACCTGAGGGCAGGTCATGGAGCTTACCCGCCTCTGACCTCGAGCAAGGAAACTGCCCACTGCCTACCTCATCAGCTTAGCAGGGGCTCAAGAGATAATAAGCATCAAACACCTAGTCCTGTACGTGGTATCAGCAGATGCTCAGAAATATGCCTGTTCATATGAGTCCTGATTACTATTTATCTAGAGGACAAAGCTTTGCAATTAACTACATTGTTCTCATTTCTAAATAAACTAACTCGCCTCCTGCTTCCTCCTGTTCCAGACCAGAGTTGACTGTCTCCCATGGGGCTCTGTCTCCTGCCAGTTCCCCTGGGAACAACTCCTACCAAACCGAACATTTACAACATGCTCTCACATGTATTCATTCCTTTGAATTAGGCTGAGCATATGTTATCCTCAGCCTCCTTTTACAGTTGGGAAAACTGAGGCCCAGAACATTTCATCCTTATAACCACCATATTTCATTATATAACCACCACATTTCATCAATTCTAAGATATCATTTTCATATTTCTTTTCTTTTCTTTTTTTTTTTTTTTGAGACAGTTTTGCTCTTTCACTCAGGCTGGAGTTGCAGTGGGGTGATCTTGGCTCACTGCGACCTCCGCCTTCCGGTTTCAAGCGATTCTCCTGCCTCAGCCTCCCGAGTAGCTGGGATTACAGGCACCCGCCACCAAGCCTGGCTAATTTTTGTATTTTTAGTAGAGACGGAGTTTCACCATGTTGGCCAGGCTGGTCTTGAACTCCTGACCTCGTGATCTGCCTGCCTCAGCCTCCCAAAGCGTTGGGATTACAGGCGTCAGCCACCGCAGCCGGCCATATTTCAACTCCTCTGAAATGAGGTGTACGCTATCGTTATAGTTGATGGTAGCTTAGCTGACAACATTTTCTTGTTCTTAGTGCTATATAAAATAACATGCACCTGGGCCGGGCGCGGTGGCTCATGCCTATAATCCCAGCACTTTGGGAGGCCGAGGCAGGCAGATCACCTGAGGTCGGGAGTTGGAGATCCGCGTGACCAACATGGAGAAACCCTGTCTCTACTAAAAATACAAAAATATTAGCTGGGCATGGTGGCGCATGCCTGTAATCTCAGCTACTCTGGAGGCTGAGGCAGGAGAATTGCTTGAACCCGGGAGGCGGAGGCTGCGGTGAGCCGAGATCGTGCCATTGCACTCCAGCCTGGGCGACAAGAGCGAAACTCGGTCTGAAAAAAAAAAAAACATGCATCTTACAACAATAACTTCTTAGATTCAATGGAATATGGCAGCAGGTGAGAACCAAGACTCACATCAGTCCCCGCCCCCCCCCGCCTCCTGGCTCCCTACACCACATGAGAGGTAACTAACTGGCTCTTAATCACCTTTAATAATCTTTTAGCTTTCTCTCCATGGGCCCCATTGAAAAAAAGAAAACTTGTAACCAAATGAATTGAATGTATTATATTTCTTCACTTTTCACTAATTCAAAGACATGCAAACCTGCCTATGAGAGCGTCCATTGACATCTAATTGGTGTTAAATATTAAGTTGAATAATTAAAGCAAAAAAATAGCTTTAATTAGTTTGTGCAGTATTATGAGAGATGAACATATGATTTCCACTGAATATGTTGAAATAAATAAAGTTCATCTCTATCTTCAAGAACTCTTGGGATCCAGCTCAATTTGGGAAGCCCCAGGCTCCAGCAGGCACTGTGTGCCCTCCAGCATGGAGGCTCCAATCCTACAGGCCTCCTTCCTCTGCCCCTGACCCCAGGGGCTGCCTGGTCACCTTGATTCTCAGCCCTCACATACTGCTTTGGACATTAACTAAAAAGTATCTAAGAGACACCATCTTAAGATCAAGCATCTTGGCTCTTGCCTCTTGACTGGCCAAACACCCAAAAAAACCAGCCCAAAGGCCCCCCAGCAGCTGCCCCCGGGTGTACTCACTGCAGACGGAAGATGGCAGTCAGCCAGGGACAGCATCCCTGGAAACGGAGAGAACAGGGATTAGCTTCCAACATTTGTGTCTTTGAGAGGCAGATGTAACCATTGTCTTTGACATTAAATAACCATTTAACCTCCTGTTGTATAAAAAACAGTGCTTTTATCCCATATTCAGCAAGCATGAGCCCAGTACTTCACAATATACACCACATGCCTGGAACTCTTGCTAAAATCTCCTGACAACTTCGTGGTCAAATCACAAAACTTAGATCAAAAGCTGATGAAAGCTCAGGGCAGCTCTGGGCAAAGTGATGTGGGCTGCTGTTTGATTGTTTACAATCACTGACCAAGAGGTGAGGCAAAAGAGAGGAAACAAGCCTAATGGATTGGACGGTCCGCTGGAGTGGGTGTTAGGGGGAAAGGGTGTCTGCAGGTTTTATTGTCCTTCACATCTCTTAAACTTAATACCCCTAAAGCTGGGCTGTTATCCAGCTAGGAAAGACAAATATTTGTTCAATAATTCATTCAACAATGACTAAACACCTACTATGCATCAGGCGCTGGGAAACAGGGCTGGAGAGGGCAGGGCTCCTGCCCACATCTGGCTCATAATCCAGCCAGCAAGTCCATAATTAACTGTCATACAAAGCCATAGGTGTAAGAGAGAGAAGTGCTGGGGAAGCCCAAGGGATTCCGTACCCCTTCCTGCCTGCAAATTCATCCAGTCTCAAGGTCCCGGGTCATCCAGCTGCCATCCCTCCTGTGGTATTTCCCAAGTTCAGGTGCCTTCGTCGATGCAGAAAAGCACTTTCTCCAGCACTTGCCGCTCAAGATCCGCCCTGCTCCCTCCCCAAAACCATGACTGCCAGTCCCCACCCCCTGGCCATGACCACAACTGGGCCTTAGATACCAACCAGCTCATTTTCAAAGTCTTGTTGACCTGAGGAGGAAGTCGATGACAATCTCTGAAATCTGGACTCGCTAGAGACACAAAAAGAAAAAAAATGACAGATAATTCTTAGAAAAAAAAAAAAGCCAAACAAGTCAAAAAGATCACATCCAGTATTTTGCTGCCTCTTGGAGCTCAGAACCAAAGCTACCAGCCCTCGATGGCTGGGACAAAATATAACTCACTCTGTGAAAGATAGAGACAAGGACAATGACCATTCCCAGGCATGGTATAAAACTCTATGTTATACGGGATGAATAGCAAGGGGTCAACACCCAGAAACCACACCACTGTGACTCGTCTAGCTAAACTGACTTCAAAGTGTTGCCTATTTATAGCATATTTCCCTATATTATCAAATAAAACTTGGAATAAATACTACATTTTATCAAATCTAAGATACCACTGGTTGTAATTTGCACAATTATTTTATGAAACACTAAAGAAAAAATGCTGCCAAATAAACTATGACCACCCATCAATAACAAGATGCCTTCCAATTTCAGAGATGAGAAAATGTCAAAACATATGTTTTAGAGTGGACAAATGATGGCACTTTATATTGTGGCATTTTAATCAGATCCTTTCTTGCGAGTACCCCCATAAAAACACCCCATGCGCTATAAATCTGAGGTGTTTGCAATACGTATATGTGACTGCTTTTCTTCTTTTTTTTTTTTTTTTTTTTTTGAGACAGAGTCTGGCTCTGTCACCCAAGCTGGAAGTGCAGTGGGGTGATCTTGGCTCACTGCAAGCTCTGCCACCCGGGTTCAAGCAATTCTCTGCCTCAGTCTCCCGAGTAGCTGGGCTTACAGGCACCCGCCACCATGCCTGGCTAATTTTTGTATTTTTAATAGAGATGGGGTTTCATCATCTTGGCCAGGCTGGTCTTGAACTCCTGACCTCATGATCCACCCCCGCCTCGGCCTCCCAAAGTGCTGGGATTATAGGTGTGAGCCAACATGCCTGGCTGTGACTCCTTTTCTCTAGTCTCCTATTCCTGGTTCTACTGCCCCCCTACTAAAGACAAAACACATGACGAAACTTAACTTTAAAAGCCTTTGCAGAGACACTGTCCCTTTTGACCTTCACCGTGACCTCATGGGGAAGAGAGGACAGAAGGAGACCGACCCTATTAAGTTTGGGGCCTTGACCAAGGTCGCACAGCCAGGGATACAGCAGGGCCCTCTGATCCCCAGGTGGTCTTTTCAACCAGAGTACATGGCCCCACTTCCAGCTGAATGTGCCGTAAAGGCATCAGATGTCCCAAAAGTTTCTCTCCAACAGTCCAAGGTCATCATCACCTCAGGCTTTAGCAAATCCCAGAGCAGGGATCACGGGGAAAGATGGTGCATTTTCAGGTACACCTCCTCTTCCCAGTTCAAAGGACCCTGCCGCACAGGCCACATGTCAGGAGGCGCCCGAGAGTGGAGGGTCTGCCAGAGCCCCTCTGGGGCTCTGGGTGGCAGCTGGGGCCAGTCCCTGAGTTTTCATCACTCACTTCCTATTACCACATCTGACACAAGATCCTGGGTGCAAACAGCCAGCTGGAGCTGGAACGTCAGGTTGTGCAGATCCAGAATTCACTGTCACCCTTCAGGCGACATGAACAGAGAATCCTGGAGCCCCACGCAGAACTGGAAGGACCTGAAGCCTGGCCGAGGGAGCCTGTGCTTTGTAACAGACTCATCCAAACCCGGCGCTGACCTGGCAGGAGGGTGGGGCAGTTCCCTGATGGCTCTGCTGCCCTTGATCCTCACTCAGCCCTGGCCCCAAGCTAATTAATTTCAAAGATGATCACTTAAAAATACTCAAGGTGAGAAAGAAAATGGGCATCCTCTTCAGAGGATGACGAAAGCCCTCAGTATCTAAAGCAACCAGTCTGAAGCCAACAAGGTTCATAGCCTTGGCCCAACAGAAGCCCTGAGGGAGCTGAGCATCTGAGCCTGGGTTTTTGTTTTTGTTTTTTGTTTTGTGAGCACAATGAGGGTAGCGAGGCTGACCTCATGGGTCTGTGGTGAAGAGCAAAGAGAACAGCTATTGGTACAGGCCAGGTAGATACACTTAATGAACACAATCTCATAGCAGTGTCATGTGTGGGTCCTGCCCACATGGAGGGCTTCATAAGCCCCTAGCCCATTCCAGGGACACACACACACACACTATACACACATATATGCACACACGCACATATACACACTCACGCACATATACACACTCACACGTACGCACACGCATGCTCACAGCCTAGGCGATATGTCTTTACCTGTCTGCTTCTGACACCAGGGCAATGCGGCCATAGTCCCAGAATCTTCTTCTTATAATAGAAAACACCAAGATTAAGAACTAAAAACAGAAAAGAAACCAAGTAAAAGCATATTGGATGGCTTCTCATTAGAAGACACAGCGGTCTCAGGGGTAAAGCCCACCTGCCCGCACTCAGCAGGGCTAGAAGGAAAACACCCAGGCCCAGAGAGGGCACTGAAGTGCCCAAGGCCATGCAGCTCAGTAGCCCGGATGCTTTGCTCACCCCCTTCACCAGGCTCCTGTCACCTGTGCCCACGCCACCAAGGCTGCCAGCGCTGACGCCAAGCTTGCCTGGAGCCTGCCTAGTTCTGCACGTCAGCCCTGTCTCTTGCTCTCAAGGCAGCGGTAACACCACAAGGCCCAGTCTCGGGCCCTGCTCTGCCTTCAGTGGCCCCGAGCAGGAGGGTAAGGTCTGGCCCCAGAGCAGCCCCAGGAACCAGCATCCTTCTTCACTTTACAGAAAATTTTTTTCTTTCGGCTCACTGCAACTTCCCCTCCCGGGTTCAAGCAATTCTTGTGCCTCAGCCTCCAGAGTAGCTGGGACTACAGGTGCCCGCCACCACACCCAGCTAATTTTTGTATTTTAGTAGAGACAGGGTTTCACCATATTGGTCAGGCTGGTCTCGAACTCCTGACCTCAGGTGATCCACCTGCCTCAGCCTCCCAAAGTGCTGGGATTACAGGCGTGAGCCACCATGCTGGCCAGAAAATTTCATTTTAAATTACAGAACCAAGGTAGCAGAGCCTCCTCAGGCTGAGCCAGAAACGGTCAGTTTTTTCCTCTGAGTTTGATTCCCCTGAAGGCAGGCCCCGCAGGCCCTGCAATCCCCCAGCAGAGAGCATGCATGCAGGCAGCAAGGCACCACGAGAACCTGTGCTCGGGCTGGCTTGGCCTCCGTAAGCTGGGACACCTCAGCAAGCTTGTGTCCAATGGCAACCTCAGGGCTGGACTAAGCCGCTTAGCTCTAGACATCTGTACACTCTAGACTGTCCTCACTCCCCACAGTCCACCTTGGCAGGCTCCATGCCATGTTCCTGCCTCTCTTCCCTCCCTAGACAGGGTCCCTCTCTTTGAGGTTCAGGGAGGTAGAGAAATACATCTTAGTAAGCACATCCCTGCCTGCTCTGATCAGAAACGGGGGTTTTGAAGGTAGGCTTTGTTTTCCTAAAGGAAATCCAGAAGACCTGAACCCCAGAGGCACTGAGTTCTCGTGGAATTTTCTTCAGGTGAATCAGGAAGTTGGTGACATATTTTCAAAGGCAGGTGAGTCATGTTGTAGGAAAACCACGAAACCTGCTCAGCAGGTGCCTGCCCTCTCTGTCCACAGCGGCTGCCGCCCTGGCCTGTGCAGTGCAGACACTTCCCACAAACCCATGCTCTCCAGGGCCCTCTGGCTCTTATGTGTCCCCCCTCCCCCACCCCCAAAACTTACTGCAATAAAAATCCACCCCTGGCCGGGCACCATGGCTCACTCCTGTAATCCCAGCACTTTGGGAGGCCAAGGCTGGTGAATCGCTTGAGCTCAGGAGTTTGAGACCAGCCTAGGCAACATGGTGTGAAATCCCATCTCTACCAAAAATACAAAAATAACCCAGACACGGTGGCATGTGCTTGTAGTCCCAGCTATGCAGGAGGCTGAGGTGGGAGGATTGCTTGAGCCCAGGAGGAGGAAGTCGCAGTGAATTGTGATTATGCCACTGTACTTCAGCCTGGGTGACAGTGAGACCTTGTCTCAAAAAAAAAAAAAAAAAAAAAAAAAAAAAAAAAAAAAATTCACCTTCAGCAGCACAATAGAGGGTGACTCTCTTCTCAGCCAACACTGTTGCAACAATACCCACCCAGCCCAGCTAGGGTCCCTGCCCAGGTCCCCCTCTCTGTACTCCTCACCTTGGCCAAACTCTCCCCACCCTGAAGACCCAAGGCCACCCTCCTCTAATCCCACCAATTCTGAAATCCACCCCCACACCCCTGCCCACTCCTCCTTGCTACCCTAAGCCACCCTCCCCATGTTCCCCACCCGAGCCTAGTCTCCAGCTCCAAGCAGTCCAAGGATGTTTACTCCATCAGAGCCATCTGCCCCCTTCACTCAGATGGTCTCTGCCACATGTTAGGAGACAGTATCAAGAGGCACTGGCCAGCCCATGGCATTTGTGAAAAGAAGGGGCACTTTAACCCCAATAAATCTCAGCCAGCCAACGTTGAGTCTGCATAAGGAAGAACAATGCCATGGGGCATCTTTGTGAACAAGGAGATCTACGTTAAAGAAAGGCCACCTGCTGAAGGTACGCTCTAAGAATCAGCTTCTAATTCTTTTTTTTGTTTTTTTGGTTTTTTTTGAGACAGCGTCTCGCTCTTGTTGCACAGGCTGGAGTGCAGTGGCGTGATCTCGGCTCATTGCAACTCTGCCTCCCAGGTTCAAGCAATTCTCCTGCCTCGGCCTCCAGAGTAGCCGGGATTACAGGCGCCGACCACCACACCCGGCTAATTTTTTGTATTTTTAGTAGAGACAGGGTTTCACCATGTTAGCCAGGCTGGTCTCGAACTCCTGACCTCAGGCAATCTACTCGCCTCAGCCTCCCAAAGTGCTGAGATTACAGGCATGAGCCACCGTACCTGGCCCAGCTTCTGATTCTTTAAAAACCCCAGGGATGCCAGAGGGGAACAGGAGGTGACACTTGGGAACTGCAGCTGCTCTATTCTAGTCCGTACTCTCCAGTCACATGTCTCAACCCCTTGAGATGACCCTTCCCAAGGGCCTTAAAGATACGACAGGCTGAGAGCTCTGCAATCACGGTAGTAATCACAGGCATAGCTATATGAGTATTCTGGCCTTATCCAAATTCCAAAATTCTCTGAGATAGGAATTATGATCTCCATTTCCGGAGCAGAAAGGGGAGGTGCACAGAAGCTAAGTAACACGCCTAAGTCACAGAGCTGGTAAGCAGCAGAGTTGAGATTTAAACCCAGCTATGTCTGACTTCTCATCTAAGTTTCCCAGAAGGCCCTGGGTGGGGCATTTAAACAAATAACTGAGGCAGTGGGACACGACTCATGAGGGCTCTCACCAGGAAGCAGCTGACGTCTATGAGCAGGACAGTGGGGATGCCACCAAAGGTGACCCCCTGGAGCACGGTGCTGTTTTTGGCCGAGTTGTAGCAATAGGAGTCGTTGGGCCGGTCCCCGAGTCCCAGCTGCTCCCTGATGGACACTGCCTTGGACTGCCACAGCTCCAGGAACGGGGAGTCCATCATCGCGCCTGTCTTCCCTGGAGCACAGGACAACAGGACAAGGCAGACGTTCAGGGCTCAAATTTCTTGCAGGTTCCCACCAGTGCTGGCAGAGCCAAAGGCAGGCGTTTCCCAGGGACTGATCGGGCAGTGAGCCAGCAGCAAGGAGTCCGGGAGAGCCAGACATTGGACCTCTGCGTGCCTGGCAGTGTCCACAGAGAATGGCTGCATTGTGGGACAATCTCAGGGGATCAGATGGTCAGAGTGGATGGCTCATCCAGGACACAGTGGGCAGATCCCCAGAGGGGGCGACATGGAGCAAAGGAGGGACAGAGTTGCTGCAGCTGCTGTCTTAAGAAGTCCTAAAGTTCCTCTAGCCTCGAGGACTCGTGTTGGGAAAGTCACTCCTGCAGAAGCCACTGGCGGATCTAGAGTACAGGCAGAGGAGAGGGAGAAAGGCACACAAAGGCAGGAAGAGGAAAACACCGGGATAAACAACCAGGGAAGAAGGGAACATCCAAGTATTCACGATGGTCCATCCACGAGCCACAGACAACACCTCACTCCCACTGCTCACAGAATGTCAGAGCTGGGACCTCAGAGATGGGTCCATCTGCTATACTTGGAAACCAAGCCTCAGAGGTTTAATAACTTGCCCCAAAGTTAAGGTTAAGGAGCTGGTCAGGGCAGAATTGAATCCCAAACCCAATATCCTGACTCTCAGATGCCACTTCTCTTTTTACTTTGCCACAGAGGAGAAAGTAAAGGGGGTGGTCTAGGGTAGGGACGGGGAGGGAGTCAGGAGTCCCAGGGCCTCCTCAGGGACCTCTGGGTCCCCTAGCTCTGCGCTTTCACACACACATACCCCTCCTGGGTACCATCAGTCTAACTGCAAGGCCCAGCATTTCCAAAGCAAACACTGCTCCAGGCTGGGTTGTTGACCTTTCCTTCCTGAGGCTCCTGGCGCCCCTGGTGAAGCTAATAGAAATCTCCAGTGTCTGTCCCCTGACACCAGAGGACCGGGAGTTAGTGTCCAAGTTCTCATGCTGTGGCTGAAGGGCCAGAACACATATTCAGCCTGGACTTGCTTAAGATCCTACCTGCCCAAATCTGGTAAATCTAGAATTCCCAGGGGATTTTTCTGCTAAGTCTGGTGCTTCTAGCTGTTACAGGGACAAAGATCTTGAGAACAAGAAGAAAAGATATAGAGAACCCAAACAGATGTTTGGATACCAGTAGTGCTGGTGAGGTGTGTATGTTGGGTAACCCCTAGGCCTAGAGTGCTGGGGACAATCACACATGGACACCTACCTACCTACCTACCTACCTACACACACACACACACACACACACACACACACACACACGAAGCACAGGAAGCATGAATGAGTGGAAAGCCCAAGAACATGGGAGCATCCCACAGACAGCCAAGTGACTTTCTCAACCTTCTAAGAGACTTGGCAATGGCTGGAGGTAGTGGGGGTTGTGATGCCAGAGTCATGGGGCTGCTGACTCTGAACAGAGTGTCACAAGAGTGACCTCTGGAACACAGATGTTCTTGGCTTCCCTTTAAAATCCCCCAGTGGCACCACCCAATGGAACACACCAGCCCAACACTTCAAGGCCACCACCTACCCCTCCTCCTTCCTGTCCCCACACTTACCAGACACTAGGGGAAGGAAGGACTGTGGATGGGCCCGTTGGAGAGGTCCTCAGTTGGAGCTGTCTCTGGCAAAGGCAAAAGCAGCCCCAGCCACCTCCCAAGCTGCCAAGGGCCAGGCGTCGGGCCTAACACTCATGTCCTGCAGGGCTTTCCTGACCAGCGAGTCCTGGGGTACCAAACTGTAGACTTTCCTGAAGGATCACAGACACCAAGCATCACATGGGAGCCACCCTTTTCCAGTGTAGGGGTCTGGATGGAAACCCTCCAGCACACACCTGTGTATGCATGCTGCCCATATGGACCTTTAGGTTCTGCCCAGTGGGCTCCCTCCTGCCTTGATCTCTCCCCAAACTCCCAGAACTGGTTCTCCATCCATCAGTGCTCCTCTGTGCGACCCTACTCCTCCTTCCTCGGCCAGCACCACCTGTGGCCCCAGCCTCTCTCCTCTTTGCCAATGGCTCAGGGACCTGCTGGGTCTAGGGGAGCAGCCCTCTCCCACAGAAACCCTGGAGGTTGTGGGCTCACGGTAGGGCCCCAAGCAAAGGACTTCACCTGGGCCCCAAGGGCCAATGCTACTGGGGAGGCTCCCCAGGGTTCCCCAAGAGCTAGAATCAGGAAAAGGGAACACAGCAGCATGAACAAGGAAGGCTTGAAATGTGAAGTGGAAAGAAAAAACATCCCCATAAAATGCTCACAGAGAGAGCATTGTCCCTGGAAAGGGGAGGGTGCTGTGGTGGTGCTGGGAGTGGCATACCCTCGCCAGTGCTGCAGAGGAGAGAGGCCTCTGCGGAGGGAAACACCTGCGGCTCCTCTTCCCCCTCCCTCCAGCCCCAGTCATGCCTCTAAGTTACTTGTCTCTTGCCAAATAGGCTTCCCAGGGTGGTTTGACAAAGTTTGATATGAACTCAGGGAGGTGGCTAGCAAATACTATCAGCCTGAGACGGAGGTAAGGTCAGGTGGCCAGTCCTGTCTGCCCTCTCCGATGAGCACCCAGGTTAGGGTAGAGCTCTGGGGACCCACAATCTCTCTCAGACCTTTCAGCTCAGTCCCAGCCTGTCCCTGCCCATTAGACACATAAAGTCCAGATCCCCCTGAAACAGCTCCGTCCCTCTGGCTCTCCATGGGACAGCTCCTCTGCATTTTCACAAACAGGCACGCTCTGAGCAGGCAGCTGGGAACACAGACACCATGGGACAGTGCTGCCAGGCTGAGGAGAAGGCAGGGGGAGGGGAGCACCCAGCTGGCAGCTGTATAGAGGAGGCCAAACCAGCAGCTAGGCACTGTGGTTGAAGTGGCACTGCCTGGCTGAGAACCCCTGGCAATATTCAGTCATCCTAGATGTATGTGAATGCCTAGCACTTACCTGTGCCTTCCAGAAATTCTCCATTCATCCCCTTATTCCTACTCAATATGCCGAGGGTAGGAAAGCCAAGAATTACTGCTGAGGCCCAAGAGCCAGAGTGGGCAGCAGGTGACTTCACGCTCCCAACCCAAAGTTCAACCCATGTGCAGGCAAGCGTCTGATTGTGGCCAGTGGGAGAGGGCTAAATCCAACAGCTGGTCTAAATTTGCCAAAGTAAACTACCTATGCTAATCCACTGCCAGTCTCCATTGGCAGCAAGGACTGGCCTGGTGGTCAACTTGACAAGCTCTAGAAATACCAGCAGAATGTTGCAGGAAGTATATGGATATTGTTCGTTCTTGCAAGAAGGCCCGTACAAATTCAGGGTAATTTTATCATCACCAAATCTTTCAATCCTGTGATGACAATAGCGAAACTACAAGCAGCTCCAGGCCTTCTGCCTCAGGAGCTAACTCTGGTCTTTCAGATGCAGAATAAGGTTGCAAAGTAAAGTACAAACTTCTCCTTATGGCAACACCAAACAGGACCCAGTAACCTGGACAACTGTTTACCTCCTACCCTGGAGCACAAAGGAAATGACACAGCCCCTGGCTGAAACCAGAGGCAGTGTGGCTCAGGGATTATGTGAGCAGGCTCTGGAGTTAGGGTCTCAGCACCACGCAGTTCAGACAAGCAGCCTAACCACTCTGTGCCTTGGCTTCCTTCGCCAGGAAATGCGAGTGATGACTTTCTCTCACGGAGCTGTTGGGAGGCACAGATCCCAAACAACACCTGTAAAGCACTTAGCCCAGGACCCGGCCCTAGCAAGCAATTAGAAGCTGTCTGCCTTTATTTTAAGTCGCCCCTCCAGCTAATGGGAAACACAAGGGCAGGATCCCACCTGACGTCTTCTCTGTTAGAGCCCAACGAACAGCTAGGAGAGACCTTTGCCCCCACACTAAACAAAGGAGAGGGGCGTGTGAAGGGAAAAGGAGCCTCGGCTTCCGTTCATATCCCCCTTGAAGGCACAGCAGACTTGAGGATGACCTGAGAGGTGTCAAGGGAGGGTCAGTGGGTCCGCCACGCTGTCCACCCCTGCCCTTGAAGAGGACACCACCTGCCTGGGGCTGAATGACCAAGGCCCCTCCAGGGCCTCAGGTAGCTAGTCTTATCAGGTGCTGGAACCTTTGCGGATTTGGTTTCTTAGCAGAGCTCGCCTCACCCTTTCCGCCCCCGCCCTTCCCCCCAGTCCCCGAGTCCCCAGCCTCCCTCCTCAGGACTCCGCCAAGGCTGCAGGAAGTGGTCACCCAGGAACAGCCCGAGGGGTGGCCTCTGCCTTCCTGGCGTCAGGAGAGTCGGACGCTTGGCCCTTTCCCAGCCCGGCCTCGTATAGGGTCCGAGGAGCCCATAGCTGCACTCCTAGTTAGGTGGGAGGTCGGACTCCGCCGACAAATCCCAAAGAGAGGGGTGGGGAAGAAGGAGATACCAGCCCTGAAAGCGAAAAGCCGGAGAGGAAAGTCCTGAAAAGCCGCCAGGAATTCCCAAGGAGCGCAGGGCTGGAATGGAGGCGCTGCCCGGACCCTCTCCTCCCACCCAATCCCGCGTCGTCACCCCCTGCTTGGGGTCGGGGGCTCTGGGGTCTGCGTAGGCTGGGAGCCGTTCCGGAACCGGACACCTGGCGCGCACGTCCCGGGAAAGGCGGAGGGTGCATTGCCCCTCCTCACGCCCCCTGTCCCCTGTACCTGCGGCGGCGGCGTGTCTGGCGGGACCCAGCAGCGCGGGGCGTGTTCCGACCACTTAAAAGTTACAAAGTGAAACTCCGGCGCCTCCTGCACATGCGCAGAGCTGCGGCCACCCCTTTCCCAATTTGGAGTCTTGGCCCGCGGCGGCGCAAGCCTGTACGCAGCTGACTGCGCCTCCCGCGGTGGCCCTCGGCGGTCCTCTGCCCCGGCCTGGCCTCCTGGTCGCCGCTCAGCCCCGCAGCTCCTCCCGGAGGTCTGCAAGCCCCGGACCGGCCAGCTCACGTCCAGGCTCCAAGAAGGGATCCGCCGGGGCGCACCCTCTTCCGTCCCCCGGCACGAGCCCAGTCTCTGGACGCCTCCGGGAGAACTGGGCCAAGCACAGGGTGGTCGCGGCGCAGGGAGAGCATCTGCAAACGTTGGTCCCTGTAGTGCTTTGAATTTCCCCGAAGAGCTCTTAGACCCGCCCCGGGAGAGTGGGGTTGCGGGGGTGGTAGCATGGGGAGCTCAGCAGGATTCAGCCCGCACCTCGGCTCCGGGTAGTCGGGAACCGCGCGGAGCGCCCTGCAAGAGGCCACGGCTCCCCCGCCGCTGTAGAAGGCCGGACCGTGAAAGCCCGGAGGGTCTCCGTTCGGGCAAAAATGTGGGGGCGGGTCGCAGCATTTCCAACGCCCCCTGGGGCTAGTCCATTACTGCTCGAGCCAGGGCCGCCAAGGGCACCTACTCCAGCCCAGGTCCGAGAGCGCGGCATGCCTCCCGGCCGGGAGCCAAATGTTTCCAGGGAGCCGGTGGCCTCCACAACCGGACCGCAAGCTCGCGAGGGCAGGGCCGGCCCGCCGCGCCAGGGACTGCTGGGCGCTGCGCGGGAAGCGAGGCTGGGTTCGGGGAGGACCGCGCGCCCTGGGAATCAAGGAGCAAACCAACCCGTCCGCAGGCCCCTGTTTCCCTATCTGTGAAATGAGTGGTTGGACCAAAGCTTCCTCTCAGGTCCCTTCCAGCACCCCTCTCTGAGCTCTGAGCAGTCCTCACCCCACATGCATGCCTTTGCAGGTTCTCCGACCTCCCTTCCATTTCTGAGCTTTCATCTTTTTCTGTAACGGCATAAAAATATCCTCCTTATGGCCGGGCGCGGTGGCTCATGCCTGTAATACCAGCACTTTGGGAGGCCGAGGTGGGCGGATCACCTTAGGTCTGGAGTTCGAGACCAGCCTGACCCGCATGGAGAAACCCCGTCTCTACTAAAAATACAAAATTAGCCGGGTGTGGTGGCACATGCCTGTAATCCCAGCTACTAGGGAGTCTGAGGCAGGAGAATCGCTTGAACCTGGGAGGCGGAGGTTGCGGTGAGCTGAGATTTCACCATTGAACTCCAGCCTGGGCAACAAGAGCGAAACTCTGTCTCAAAAAAAAAAAAAAAAAAAAAAAAATTCCTCCTTACCTCCCTGTCCCTGATTCTAGCGCCAGTCTGTGGCTGTCCAGGAGTGGGGTGGGGAGGGTCTCTTCCTGCCTCTCTCAGTTCTTTTCTGTCCCATCTGTCTTTCCCCTTCTCTCCCCAAAGCTCTAGCCACTAGTTATTTTCCAGGGTTTTTCCTCTATGCCCCCCGCCAGTATCATCTCTGCCCTTGTCCCTCCATAGCTGCGCCTGGCCATCCCCCCTCCCTGCTCTCTTACCTCCACATCTGACGGTCTGCAGAGTCCTGGGTGTGGCCCCTGGACTCCCCGTTGGCTCCTTAGACTGTCCCTGTCCAATCTTTCTTCCACTCCCCACTCCCGCACCTGCCTGTCCTCCTTCCTTCCTCAATGAATGGTGCCCCCACCTGTCTGGTCTGTGCCATGGGTCCAGGCAAGTGCAAGGTTCCGGTCTTGGTAATTAGAATGCTGGAGCCACTGACAAAGATTTCAGAGAGAGAAAGGATTTCTAAATTTGTTCTTGAGTAGGTTAAGGTTATTTCAAAATCAAGAGAAGGCCTTGATGGATCGATATGTGAGTTGAGATAGCCACAGCCTTTGTTATGTCAGTTGTGTGAAGTGCTTGTAAAATCACTATTTTATTTTTTAATTTTTAATTAATTATTTACTTATTGAGACACAGTCTCACTCTGTCGCCCAGGCTGTAGTACAGTGGTGTGATCTCAGCTCACTGCAACCTCCACCTCCTGGCTTCAAGCGATTCTCCTGCCTCAGCCTCCCAAGTAGCTGGGATTATAGGCATGTGCCACCACACCCGGCTAATTTTGTACTTTTAGTAGAGACGGGGTTTCTCTATGTTGGTCAGGCTGGTCTCAAACTCCCAACCTCAGGTGATCCTCAGGATTATAGACGTGAGCCACCGCGCCCAGCTGCACAGCTCTTACAGCTATAAATTCCAGATCCTCTGAAGCTTTATTTTCTTCTCTAAGTATAGATGATAATTTTGATCACAGATTTTATTTTGATGCAAGTAGGATTGGAATAAAGCCCAGTCACTATGCCCAGGAAAGTCAAAGTGTCAAGAACAAAAAAATTTCAGTATTGGCCGGGCGCGGTGGCTCATGCCTGTAATCCCAGCACTTTGGGAGGCCGAGGTGGGCGGATCACAAGGTCAGGAGATAGAGACCATCCTGGCTAACATGGTGAAACCCCATCTCTACTAAAAATACAAAAAAATTAGCCGGGCGTGGTGGCGGGCACCTGTAGTCCCAGCTACTCGGGAGGCTAAGGCAGGAGAATGGCGTGAACCCATGAGGCGGAGCTTGCAGTAAGCGGAGATCGCGCCACTGCACTCCTGCCACTGTACTCCAGCCTGGGCGACTCCGTCTCAAAAAAAAAAAAAAAGAAATTTCTGTATCAATTCTGGGAGGGCAGGTACCATAGATTCTAGAATCAGAATGCATTTTATTTTTATTTATTTTATTTTTGAGACAGAATCTCACTCTATTGCCCAGGCTGGAGTGCAGTAGTGTGATCTCAGCTTACTGCAACCTCCGCCTCTTGGGTTTAAGCGATTCTCATGCCTCAGCCTCCCGAGTGGCTGGAATTATAGGCGCACACCACCATGCCCAGCTAATTTTTGTATTTTTAGTAGAAATGCACTCTCACCATGTTGGCCAGGCTGGTCTTGAACTCCTGGCCTCAAGTGATCCGCCCACCTCGGCCTCCCAAAGTGCTGGGATTACAGAAGTGAGCCATCGTGCTGGCCCTGAAAGCATTTTAATCCTAGTTTCATGTATTACCTAACCAAGATCTTTACCAAGTCTTGGCCAACTCAAGCTCCTTCCTTAGTTTTACAATCAGGTTGACCTAATCGCTGTAGAACTTTCTGCTCCTTCCTCAATTTGCAGAGCTTTGATTAAAATGGAAAATTACAGCCGGGCACAGTGGCTTGTGCCTGTAATCCCAGCCCTTTGGGAGACTGAGGCTGCCGAATGACTTGAGGTCAGGAGTTCCAGACCAGCCTGGGCAACATGGCAAAACCCCATCTCTACTAAAAATACAAAAAATTAGGCCAGGTGCAGTGGCTCACGCCTGTAATCCCAGCACTTTGGGAGGCCGAGGCAGGCGGATCACGAGGTCAGGAGGTTGAGACCATCCTGGTTAACACAGTGAAACCCTGTCTCTACTAAAAAATACAAAAAATTAGCCAGGCATGGTGGCAGGCACCTGTAGTCCCAGCTACTCGGGAGGCTGAGGCAGGAGAATGGTGTGAACCCGGGAGGCAGAGCTTGCAGTGAGCCAACATAGCGCCATCTGTACTCCAGCCTGGGCGACAGAGCTGTCTCAATAATAATAATAATAAAAATACAAAAAATTAGCTTGGCGTGGTGGTACATGCCTGTAATCCCAGTTACTCAAGATGCTGAGGCATGAGAATCGCTTGAACCTGGAAGGCAGAGGCTGCAGTGAGCCGAGATTGGGCCACTGCACTCCCGCCTGGGTGACAGAGTGAGACTCTGTCTCAAAAATAATTAATTAATTAAAATAAAATAGAAAATTACAAAATTATAGAATAAAATGTGTTTTATTCATGTTTTACAAAGTCTTTATTATCTGGATTGGGGATGCACAACCCACACTTAACCCCAGGTCTTAGGTCCAGAGTGGTGGTGGAGGACTTTAGCCCAGATCCAGTGACAGGACAAGTAAACAATGACACATTGGGCTTTCTGCCCTCAGGTTACAGTATCTCCACATGTAAGTGCTTAGAATATAGTGCAGTGAATAATAAGAATAGAGAAAACTGAGCAAGGGCTCTCCAGTGGCCAAAGATTCTCATTCCTGAGAAGCAAAAATTAGGTGAGGTAACTTGTCAGAGGAAGCAAATTCAGGGCTCACTAGAGAGCACAGAGCATTTGTCCATCAGCAGTTCAGTCATCGCCAGCTCTCCTGGTACCCTCGAACACTTCAGAAACACACACAAGTCAAGTCCCTCGATGGCTACACTAGGCGCCTATGGCTGGAGCCTCCTTGGCACGAGCGCACCATCCGAGGCACAGCTGCACTTCTGCACCCTCATGTTGGGCAGGCTGACCACCTGGGGCCTGGTCCTGCCTCCCTCCTTGATGCTGACGATCATGGGCAGCGAGTCAGTCTCCGAGGCGATGCACTGTCGAGGCCCCAGAAACGGCCACTTGAAGGCCAGGGCCTCCGGGGGCTGCCGGCAGGTGCCCACACACTCATAAGCCAGGAAGCCCGGGGGCTCCAGCACCCAGTTCTCGGCCCACTTCATCCCCTGCAGGTCAATGTACATCTCCTGGCGGCAGCAGCGGGTGCCCTCGGTCATTGGTGCTTCAGGGTCACAGTCGCCCTGAGCTCTGTGTGGGCAAAGAGAGCAGGGTCAGCGGTCAGCTGGGAGGGCTGAGGTCAGAGGGCGTCTGGGATGGAGATTTATGATCCACCTCTCAACTTCAAAAAGCTGGATGTTTGTGATATAGGATGGACAGCTAGAAATAACTTGAAAATTAATAACCGATATTTACTGAGGATCTCCTAAGAGTCAGAGGAAGAATTGTATACATTGTCTCATTCATTCCCACAGCACTCTGAAAAGTTGTCCATTTCAAAATAAATGTAATTGCCTGTCTCTTTATTCCGGCTTACCAGTTTGACCCTCAGCACCTACCCATAGTCCCCAAGGTCCAGGGTGTGCAGCTCCAGCTGGGGCTCCCCAAGCCCGGCTGGCGCCCCCTGCGAGGCAAAGCGGACCAGCTTGTGGGCGCCGGACGCCAGCGGGCCCAGATGCTCCCTCTGCACCGACACCTGTAGCAGCAGCGGCTGCCGGGGCCGGCTCAGCTGCTGCCAGAAGTTCACGGCCTCGGTCACGTCGAAGGCCTTCCAGCCGCTCTCGTGGACGGACACCAGCCTGAGACATGACACAGAGACCCAGCGCCGCTTGAGGGCGGGGACTGGGACGGGCCCCGAGGACCCCGCACCGCCCCCCCGCGTCCCCGCCCCCAAGCCGGGCCTAGCAGCGCCCTCCCCCTACCCTGCGCGCCCCCGCGACCCCCACCTGGAGTCGATGAGGGAGGTGCGGTTGGAGCCGTCGTCGCGGACGCGCAGCCACTCGACGGTCACCCGGGCCCGGGCGCTGCGCGGGGACAGCCGCCCGTGCCTGTGCAGCGCGGCCTTGGGGACCGGCTCCTGGAAGAGCCGCAGCACGGCCTGCACCAGCTCGCTGTTGGGCGGCAGCCGCTGCTCCATGCCGAACACCAGCAGGTGTGTGCTGGCCTCCAACGCCAGGAACCTGCCGGCCACCTCTGGGGACAAGAGCAGGGTCAGCAGGGCCTCCCCCGACTCCAGGGGAGCTCTGAGGATGGCAGGGCCACTGAGCTGGCAGCCAGGCCAGGAGACACCGGCCCTGTTCTATTTCTGGGGCAAACCCAGTTTACAAATCTTCCTTGGATCTGGGCCTTGTTTAGTAACAATTTCCATCCAGCAGGCAGGGGCGCCTGTGGGACCCTGGCTAGCAAGTTTGCCTCAGCTGAGATGCTGGGAGCAGAATCCTCACCCAGGTGCCTGGCATTGGGTCTAGCTCTGGGCACTGAGGAGCTAGGGAGGCGAGAGGCTGCAGGAGGATTCAGGCCGGCTGCAGGAGGATTCAGGCCCGCTGCACCCCTGACAGCCAGGTATAACCCAGGTTGTCTACTCAAGTGCAGTATTTTTCAGTTACCCAAACACGCTTCTATTTACAATGACTCATTTTGATGTTCACAATGCTGGAAGATGGGCAAGACATAGTTATACCCCAGTTCCATGTGAGCAAATGGTTGTGAGATGATTTTAAAGCAATATGCTCCAAGTAGAACTCAGACCAGAGTGGCAGTACGAAAACAGACCCCCGGAGTCCTGACTGCATGCACCGCTGCATGCTGAGGCCCCGCCATCCTCACAGGCCCGGCCCCACCTCACTGCCCCTTAGACCGTGGCCCTCACTCAGCCTCCCACAGACCTCTGCAAGGCCAGGAGCCCTTTGACACCACCGGAGTGGGCACATCTGACCTGCCCCATGGGACCAGGGGCAGCAGGGAGGGAGGGCCTCACCTCGGAAGCTCTGGCTGAACCTCTTTCCGCGGGAGCGGTCCCCGTGGCTGCGCTGCAGCAGGGCCACGTACTGGGCCCTCACGTGGGTGGGGATGACCAGCTCCTCCATGTCGGCCCTGTCCAGGGTGGGCACCTCTTTGAGCTGCAGCTGCCGCAGCAGGCTGCCCAGGAGCTGCTCCCCGGTCAGGGCGGCCCCGGGGCTGGCCAGGGGCAACACCCAGAGTGCCCAGCAGAGCCACAGGGGCTGCATGGTGCTGCCCTGGAGGAGCAAGAGGCAGAGTGGGGCTGTCCCTTGAGAAGGCTGCAGGAGGGTCTCAGGCAGCTGGATGTGCTGAGAGCCAAGCCTGGGCAGCTTTATAGCCTGGGGTGGAGGGAGGAGGTAGGGAGTGGGGAGGGAAGGAGGGAGGGAGGTCACACCCCTGAGACCTCCTGGAAGCTCACAGCCAGACGAGTCCCTGAGCTGGGAGGAGGGGGCTGTCTAGATAGGGCAAGTCTGTCTGGGCTGTGAACAGCTGGCTACAGCTGTCTATACAATGGTCATGAACCCCTAATGTGGGTTGAGGCCTGACCAGTTAAATTAAAAAGCTCATTTCCTAGAGTAGAGGTGGGGCTCTCGTTCTCTGCAAGAGGCTCAGTTCCCCCAGCTGCTGGTAAGTGGACCTAGAGTCTTGTTCCTTGCTGCAACCAAACAACTGACAGGAACCAGAATGGCTCAGGCAACGCCAGGGCTCTAAGGGCCAATCCAGTCTGCAGGGATGAGCATCCGGGCCCGTGCTCAGAGGGTCCCGGGGCCTCATGAGATCCTGAGCTGGTGGTCCCCAGTTGTGAAACCAGATTTCCCACTGTTCTGGGGGGACCTTCCTAGGCAAGGGAGCCTAGGAGCATTTAGTTCCAACGGGGTTTTGTCCAATAAGGAAGGAGCCTCATCCTCTCCCTCATCCCTGCTGTTCACAGAATTAGAGTTTAGAGTTGAAAGGAATATCCAGGCTACCTTCTCCCCCAATTTTTTTTTCTTTTGAGACAGAGTTTCATTCTTGTTGCCCAGGCTGGAGTACAATGGCGCAGTCTCGGCTCACGGCAACCTCTCCCAATTTTTGAGCTGAAAAAAAACCGAGGCTCAGAGGTGTCAACTTCCCGAAGCTCACAAAGTTAATGATCAATGTCCATATAAAGTCAGGTCTTGCAATTCACAAAGTTCTTGGCACACTCAAATTATTTACAGCCTAGTTTTGATCTATGCCCTAAAGGGAGCCAGGTGGTCTCAATCCAGGTGATCAGGTCTAGGCTGGGGCAGGGGGACAATCCCCCAAGACAGAGGACCCCTATCCTGAATGTGGATTTGTAAGCTGGTTGAAGAGTTTTGCTGGGGAAATAAAACATTTGGGTGATCAGCCAGGGGTAGGGCTACCAGATAAAATACAAGGCACTATTTGGGACATAATTATACCAAAAAAATTATTCATTGTCTACCTGACATTCAAATTTCACCAGAGTCCTATATTTTTATTTGCTAGATCTGACAACGAAAAATAAAACAAATGTGGATTGGGAGACTGTTTACAATGGTCTGAAGTGTTGCCAGGAGGGAGGGCAGCCCCACCCTTTGTCATGCAGAAGACGGAGCCTGGCTTCCCCAACCATCCCCACCTGGGTCTGCCCAGATTGGGCTTGAGATGGTAAAGTGGCCCCAGAACCAGATCTTCTATCTAAGGGAGGAGAGCGGGGCAAGGGAATGAGTGATCCCTACCCTGACTCAGAGCACATTTGGACCTGGCCCTCGGCCCAGAGCTAAGGGCACTGGAGGGCAGTGGTCTGGCCATACTGGGGAGAGGGGGAGGGGGCCCAGGTAGGAGGGTGGATGAGGAGTGGGGCCCTTTGCCCTCGAACACCCTCCTGCCCCTGGTGGGCCAGGATGTGACCCCAACCAGAGGCCAGGTTGCCAAGTGAGAGCCATGGGAAAACATGGGGGTCAGAGGTCATCCTGGGGCCTCCATGGATGGGGATGAGCTGGACTCAGGCCTGGGCTCTGACGTCAGCAAAGCTAAGAGTCCAGGAGTGGAGTGGCTTCTAAGTCAGAGCCCAGCATCTAGGGTCTCCAGGGTGGCTTTTGCCCCCTTCCTGGGCAGGGGCAGATACTTCTGAGAGTGCTCAGGAAATGCCCCAAGGCCAGTCCAGGTGTCCTGGGCTGCCCCAACCCACACCATCAACCTCCCTGACCCCAGGCCTGGGGGCCCATGTGGCTCCTTGGTGGTTCCAGGCACCCCCTGTGTGGGCACTTCCTGTTCTCCCAAAGTAGCTCAGACTCTGGCATCATCAGGGGTCCTTCCCTGGGGCTCTGTCTGGGCTGAGGAGGGTGGGAAACAAACCAGGAATAGGGACCCGTTTCAGTTCATCCAGCACCTTTGTGTGGTGGGCACATCTTGCCAGACAGCAACAACTCAAGCATGGCCTGGGAAGGACCCTTTGTCCCTTGGTGATGTTTGTTCAGTGTTCCAGGCTATGGACCGTGGGAACGGCCAACCTGGATGTTTAATTATGTTTAACTATGAAGAATGTCAGGCCCCTGGCCTGTTACTTGGAACACAGGCTGTACAAGGAACAGAGGTCCATTGTTTTGAGGTAGGTGGAGGCTGCTAAGTAGAGGTTGCTAGATGGAAGTTGCAATGTGGTTTTGGGCTGGGCGTGGTGGCTCACGCCTATAATCCCAGCACTCTGGGAGGCCAAGGTGGGCGGATCACTTGAGGTCAGGAATTGGAGCCTAGCCTGGCCAACATGGCAAAACCTCGACTCTACTAAAAATACAAAAATTACCTGGGCTTGGTGGCAGACGCCTGTAGTCCCAGCTAGTCAGGAGGCTGAGACAGGAGATGCGCTTGAACCTGTGAGGCAGAGGTTGCAGTGAGCCGAGATTGCACCACTGCGCTCCAGCCTGGGCGACAGAGTGAGACCCTGTCTCAAAAAAAGCCAACCAAACAAACAAATGTTGCAATGTGAAGGTTTCTACATGACCTGCACACTTTTCACAAATGGCAGCGGTTGCTCCTGTCCAGCCTGCCGCTCCTGGACTTCCCCCTGTGCGTAAGTCCCTTGAATAAAGCTCATGTCTTGCCTGCTGTCTCTGGGTCTTTTCTTTGGTCTCTCCAAGGTGGTGCCCTCCCAGCTTGCCTGCTTGGGGGTCCAACATGACACCCTTCTTGGCAAGAGTGAGTTCAAACCTTGCTATGCCACTCACATTTACTAGCTGTGTGGCCTCTGGCAGGTTTTCTTTTACTTTTTCAAATTAATTTTTTAATATTATTCTTATTTATTTATTTATTTATTTTTTGAGATGGAGTTTCGCTCTTGTTGCCCAGCCTGGAGTGCAATGGTGTGATCTTGGCTTACTGCAACCTCCGCCTCCTGGGTTCAAGAGATTCTCCTGCCTCAGCCTCCCGAGTAGCTGGGATTACAGGCACCCGCCACCATGCCTGGCTAATTTTTTTGTATTTTTAGTAGAGACGGGGGTTTCACCATGTTGGCCAGTCTGGTCCCAAACTCCTGACCTCAGGTGATCTGCCCACCTCGGCCTCCCAAACTTCTGGGATTGCAAGCATGAGCCACCGCGCCCTGTCATATTTTTAAATTTTTTTTTCTGAGACGGGGGTCTCACTATGTTGGCCAAGTTGGTCTTGAACTCTTGGCTTCAAGCCATTCTCCTGCCTTGGCTTCCCAAAGTGCTAGGATTACAGGTGTGAGCTACCACACCCAGCCACTGGCAGGTTTTCCACATTCTTCAATACAATACGTTTCCACCTATAAAATGGGAATAATGTATTTTTCTTGCAGTGTTTGTATTAATTGAGATGTCTACAGGGTGCCTAGCACACCCTCTTGGTACACACTAGGTGACCAATAAATAGTAGGAGTCTCTTATACTGTTAGTAATTTTTTAAATGTTTAAATTTTTTAAATTGTGTGTTAACATTGTTTCTTTTTTTTCTTTTTTCTTTTCTTTTTTTCTTTTTATTTTGTTTCCTTTTTCTTTTTTGTCCTCTGGTGTTGAAACTGAATTTTTTTGGTTTTGTTTTGTTTTGTTTTTTGTTTTTTTTCTTGAGATGGAGTCTCGCTCTGTCGCCCAGGCTGGAGTGCAGTGGCACAATCTCGGCTCACTGCAAGCTTCGCCTTCCGGGTTCACGCCATTCTCCTGCCTCAGCCTCCCGAGTAGCTGGGACTACAGGCACCCGCCACCGCGCCCGGCTAATTTTTTTGTATTTTTAGTAGAGACGGGGTTTCACCATGTTAGCCAGGATGGTCTGGATCTCCTGACCTCGTGATCCGCACGTCTCCCCCTCCCAAAGTGCTGGGATTACAGGCTTGAGCCACCGCGCCCGGCCTTGTTTTTGTTTTTGTTTGTAATTAATACAAATAGCACAACTTTCAAAAGATAGGAAAGGGAATATGGAAGAATGTCAGTCTCTTTTTGTTCCTCATCTGCACATTTTTATTTTATTTTTATTTATTTATTTTTTGAGACAAGGTCTCACTCTGTTGCTCAGCCTGGAGTGCAGTGGTGCCATCTCAGCTCATTGCAGCCTCAACCTCTTGGGCTCAAAGGATCCTCCCGCCTCAGTCTCCCGAGTAACTGGAACCACAGATGTGCACCACCACACCCAGCTGAATTATTATTATTATTATTTTGAGATAGAGTCTCACTGTGTTGCCTAGGCTGGAGTGCAGTGGCAGGATCTCGGCTCACTGCAACCTCCACCTCCCAGGTTCAAGAGATTTTCCTCCTCCAGGGTTCAAGAGGTTCTGCTGTCTTAGCCTCCCAAGTAGCTGGGATTACAGGTGCCCACCACCACGCCCGGCTAATTTTTGTATTTTTAGTAGAAATGGGGTTTCACCAGGTTGGCCAGGCTGGCCTCGAACTCCTGACCTCAGATGATCTGCCCATCTCCGCCCCTTCAAAGTGCTGGGATTACAGGCATGAGCCACCGTGCCCAGCCAAAATTTTTTATGCTTTGTAAAGAGGAAGTCTTGCCGTGTTGCCCAGACTGGTCTCGAACTCCTGGGTGCAAGTAATTCTCCTGTCTCAACCTCTGGAGAAGCCGGGAACATAGGTGTGTGCCATCATGCTCAGCTTATATTTCTGTTTTTGAGAACTGTTTGTTCATACCTTGTGTCAATTTTCTACTGAGTTGTTTTTTCTTATTGATATGTAGACACTTTATATATCAGGGACATTAGCCTTTTCTCTGTTATATGCATTGCAAATATTTCTCCCATGTATAATTTGTGTTTTATACTTTGTTTATGCTGTTTTTTTTTTTTGTCATACTCTAATGTTTTTATTGAATTATGTTAAATTCACAGATTAGGAAGCACTGGCATTTTCTCATCTAAGAACACAGTTTGCCTTTCCTCATGGTTTGTCTTATGTCTTACATATAACTTGTTAAAACATCTTATAAATAACTTGTTAAATCAACTCCTGGGTAGTTTGCTTTTCATTTGTATTGAAGATGGGATTTTTTTATACCATCACACTGCTTAAGTGTTATTTGTGTCATTAAAGACTTGATTTCTTTTTCTTTTTCTTTTTTTGAGACAGAGTCGCTCTGTCGCCCAGGCTGGAGTGTAGTGGCACGATCTCTGCTCACTGCCACCTCCACCTCCCAGGTTCAAGTGATTCTCCTGCCTCAGCCTCTGAGTAGCTGGGATTACTGGCACACACCACCACACCTGGCTATTTTTTATTTTTAGTAGAGACAGGTTTTCATGGTCTTGAACTCCTGACCTCAAGTGATCCACCCGCCTAGGCCTCCCAAAGTGCTGGGATTACAGGCATGAGCCACTGTGCCCAGCCTGAAGATTTCAGGCTGTGGTACCAATTGGTACATAGAAGTCCTCTTCAAACTTCTTACAAACAATAAGACATTCCAGTAAAGTGAGTTCAAAATTGGTGCATAGAAGACTTTACTGGAACTTCTTATTGTACCTAACAGTTCTTAGTTGATTTCTTGCATTTTCTAGGTACAAAATCTTAATATTTGCTACTAATAATTTAATTCCTCTTTTTCAAAGTTTATTCCTCTGGAATTTTTTTTTCTATTGTCTAACTCCATTTAGTAGTTTTTCTAGAACAATATTCAATAAAAGTGATGATAATGGATAGCATTGTTTTGTCCTGGTTTTAATAGGACTCCTTTACTATTTCCCCATTGAGTATGAGCTTTACGGTTGAGCTAAATACATTTTATCATGTTAACGAAGTATCCATAATAGAATTTTTTAAAAATCAAGAACGGGCTGGGCGCGGTGGCTCCCACCTGTAATCCCAGCACTTTGGGAGGCCGAGGCGGGCGCATCACGAGGTCAAGAGCTCGAGACCAGCCTGACGAACGTAGTGAGACCCCGTGTCTACTAAAAATACAAAAATTAACTGGGTGTAGTGGCGCACGCCTGTGATCCCAGCTACTTGGGAGGCTGGGCAGGAGAATTGCTTGAACCCAGGAGGCGGAGGTTGCAGTGAGCCAAGATCGCACCACTGCATTCCAGCCTGGGCGACAGGGCAAGACTCCATCTCAAAAAAAAAAAAAAAAAAAAATCGAGAACGGGCCAAGCATGGTGGCTCATGCCTTAAATCCTAGCACTTTGAGAGTCCAAGGCAGAAGGATTGCTTGAGGCCAGGAGTTCAAGACCAGCCTGGGCAACATAGCAAGACCCCATCTCTACAAAAACATTTTTAAATTAGGTGTGGTGGTGTGCACTTAGCTACTCAGGAGGCTAAGACAGGAGGATCACTTGAACCCAGGAGTTTAAGGCTGCAGTGAGCTATGATTGTGCCACTGCACTCCAGTCTGGGTGACAGAGTGAGACCCTATTTCTAAATAATAATAATAATAATAATAATAATAATAATAATATAATGGATGTTGAGTAAAACCAATTTGATGAATATCTGGAGCAGTGAGAACTCTCAGATATCACTGGTGAGAGCGTAAAGTGCTACACCACACTAGAGAACTTGGCAGTATTTACTACAGTTCAAGATACCAGGTAAACTTAAGACCCAATGGCCAGGCACCACGGCTCATGCCTATAATCCCAACACTTTGGGATGCTGAGGTATGAGGATGGCTTCAGGCCAGGAGTTCAAGACCAGCCTGGGCAACATAGCAAGACCTCATCTCTACTATAAAAAAAATCAGCCAGGCATGGTGGCACACACCTGTAGTACTCCCAGCTACTCGGGAGGCTGAGGTGGCAGGATTGCTTGAGCCCAGGAGTTCGAGGCTGCAATGAGCCATGATTGCACCACTGCAATACAGCAGCCTGGGCAATAGAGCGAGACCCTGTCTCTTAAAAACAAAAAAGGGGCCGGGCACAGTGGCTCACGCCGCTAATCACAGCAATTTGGGAGGCCGAGGTGGGCCAATCACCTGAGGTCAGGAGTCCGTGACCAGCATGGCCAACATGGTGAAAGTCCATCTCTACTAAAATTACAAAAATTAGCTGGGTGTGGCGATGGGCACCTGTAATCCCAGCTACTCGGGAGGCTGAGGCAGAAGAATCACTTGAACCCCCGTGGCGGGGTGGGGCACAGAGGTTGCCGTGAGCCGAGATCACGCCACTGCACTTCCAGCCTGGGCAAGAGAGTGAGACTCCATTTCAAAAAAAAAAAAAAAAAGAAAGAAAAAAGGCACAGTCATTTCATTCAGTTGGACAGAAATGCATGCATAAGATTGATGATACAGCAGCATTGTTTATAAGAGTCCAAACTGAAGCAACTCACCAAAAATATCCATCGACACTGTAAAGCACAAATAAAATGTAGTATAGTCTTATGGAATACTTTATGGCAAAGAAAATGAACCGAAACTGTCTACAACATTGGCAAATGTCACAAGCAGAACATTGAACAGAAGCCAGACATGAAAGATGAATACGATTCCATTTGTTTAAAATTCAAAACCATGCAGAAGTAGAGTGTGTAGAGATGGATTTGTTTGCTTTTGTGGGAAGGAAAAAAGTCATTTGCTAATTAATAGTGATAATTCTGCTCCTCGTTTCTAATATTTACACCTCCGATTTTCTTCTACAGTTACTCATTTTGATTATTTGCAGTCATTGTATACAAACTTTTCAGGAAATACCCTCAGGCATGCAGAGAGCTGTAGGTGGAAATTATAAGAGGACCTGTGTCCCCTATATTCAGGGACCTATCCCACCAACACTCTGCCCTCCTAGCCCCAGGGCCTCATTGGGAAGTCTGTCTGCTGCCTAAGCGACCACAGTCCAGCCCAGCGTTTCAACACCACCCAGTGCTGGCAGCAACAGAAGCAAGTTGTCCCCTGGCAGATGAAGTAGGTGCCACTGGCTTCCCAATCTCCCTAGATCCAGGCCTGCCCTGTGTGTAGGGAGCTGCCCCCAGCTGCCCAGGCTCATGCAGTGAAGTTTGGTTTGTTTGTTCTCTTTGTGGCTTAAGTCATACCTCAGCTCCACCTATCAGTGAACCACTTCCTGTTGGGGAAAACACCTAGACGGTGTTTTGATTCCACCACATCTCTGTGGCAGCATAAACGTGCATACTGCCTTGTGCCATAGCAAAAGTGATTTCATGATTGACGGCTGCTCCTGCCACTCTCTCCACAGCTGACACTTTAGCCTCGACTTCCCTCCTTCCACGCCTCCTGAAAGCTGCTACTTCCCAGCATCTCCATCCAAAAACACCTCCTTTCCCTTTTCAAAGAAAAGTCTTTCCAGGATTGAGAAATGACAAAGAAGGCCGGGTGCGGTGGCTCAAACCTGTAATCCCAGCACTTTGGAAGGCCAAAGTGAGCAGATCACCTGAGGTCAGGAATTCGAGACCAGCCTGGGCAACATGGTAAAACCCTGTCTCTACTAAAAATACAAAAAATCAGCCAGGCGTGGTGGCGGGTGCCTGTAATCCCAGCTTACTTGGGAGGCCGAGGCACGAGAATCCCTTGAACCTGGGAGGCAGAGGTTGCAATGAGCCGAGATCGCATCACTACACTCCAACCTGGGCAATAGAGCAAGACCCTGCCTCAAAAAAAAAAAATGTTCAAAAAGGAAAACACTCACATAAACCAGTCCCTGTCCTCAAATCTTGCCTTGAAGAAGGAAATTCTAGAAGCCATTCATCTCCATAAGCTCCTCTTCCGGCCTCCCTTTCTTTTCAATTACTTAAGCAAATATTTGTTGATGATTCTGCCCCTTTTCAGTATCCTGAATGAACCTGAAGAGACAGGGGCAACCTCAACAACAGGAAGTACAGGTGCAGTGTGGGGACCTGGGCCAGGCAGGCACTCCGCAAAGGCGAGTTCCAGAGCCCACAGGTGCCCGAGCTGCCCTTGCAGTGGCTGGTTCCACAGTCACCTTCAGGAAGCCTGGTTTCTCCCCTCGCTTCACTTACCTCTCCTTTTCTCCTTCGCTGTCCCCCATGCCCTGAGAGGAAGGCATTGTTGACATTTCATAAAGGAGGCCCAGAGCATCTAAGATCCTTGCCCGAGGTCGCAGATTGTTAACGAGAGCACTGTAGGGGGGCAGGGGAGGAGCAATCCTAGCTAGGTGACCTTGGACAAATTCATCATCTGCCAGTGCCTCAGCTTCCTTGACTATGAGATGGGGCATCAATTCTATCTATGCCCCGAGTGCACAGTGAGGATTACATGCGTGCCAGGCAACCACACGGAGCCATCCTGGGCAACAAGGTCCAGCCACCACTGGGGCCTGGCTGCAAAGCGTCCTCTCTCGCCTTCTTTCGGAATCCAGCCACTCCCGGCTTCACCAACTGACTTGTGGACGGCCTATCAGAGGCAGGGTCAGCGACTTGTCCAGGGCCACACAGCTGGTGAGTGGCACACTGGAGACTGAACTGAGAACTCACTCTTGCCAGGAAGGGGCTGGATGACCTGAAACATGGGTCTTTATTCCTGCCTCGTTCCCCACTGTCCTCCATGGGAGTCTGAGCTACTCAAGGACAACAGGGAGGGCCCACACAGGGCATGTCTGGAAACCCCAAGGAGCCACATGGGCCCTCAGGCCTGGGGTCAGGGAGGTTGATGGTGTGGGTTGGGGCAGCCCAAGACACCTGGACTGGCCTTGGGGTATTTCCTGAGCACTCTCAGTAGTGTCTGCCCCTGCCCAGGGAGGGGACAAAAGCCACCCTGGAGACCCCAGATGCTGGGCTCCGAATTAGAAGCCACTCCACTCCTGGACTCTTAGCTTTGCTGACCTCAGAGCCTAGGCCTGAGTCCAGCTCATCCCCACCCATGGAGGCCCCACGATGACCTCTGACCTCTGTGTTTTCCCATGGCCCTCACCTGGCAACCTGGCCTCTGGTTGGAGTCACATCCTGGCCTATCAGGGGCAGGAGGGTGGCTGAGGGCACAGGGTCCCATTCCTCATCTGCCCTCCTACCTGGTCCTCCTCCTCCTCCCTGCATCATGTCCTCAAGTTCAGTCCCAGGGCTGGGCCCTCAGTGGGGGTGGTGAGCTTCCTCTCGTTCTCCCATTTCCTGCCCCCTGCTGCCCTCCAGGATGGCAGATGTGGCTTCAGGATGACTTCACAATTCCTGGCCTTTTGGGCCCTATCTGACCCTGCAGACCAGCCAGATCCCCCACCCCCACCCACCCACAGGCCTAGGAAGCCAGGCTCCTTCCTCTGCATGACAAAGGATGGGGCTGCCCTCCCTCCTGAGGATGCAACAGCCCATTGTAAACAGTCTCCCAATCCACATTCGCTTTCTTCTGGCTGATTGCCCAATTATTTTATTTCCCCAGCAAAACTCTTGAACCCATTGGAAATCCACATTCAGGAAAGAGGTCTCTGTTTGCAGAGGGATAATAGGTCTGGGGGCTTTGCCTTCAGTCTGCCCCTACTGATCTCCCTTGCCCTGGCCCACACCCAATCAGTCCTGTGAATTAATAGTGTCTTACCCTCTCTCCAACCCCTGGCCAGAAGGGTCCCAGGGTGTGAACTGCGTGTTACAAACAGCCAGAGGTCAAGAAAAGAGCCTGCTTCTCTTTTCTCCTCTATACCAAGTGCCACTTCACATGCCAGTCATTCACAGCTGCCTCCTGGGCTCCCACTGCCAGCCTGGCCTCTCCAATGGGCACCAGAATCATCTACCCGAATGCCCTTCCACTGCCACCTGTTCCCATCTCAGTACACCCAGCCAGGTCTCCAGACCTGGGGCTCATTCTGTTGTTTTTTGTTTTTGTTTTGTTTGGTTTTTGAGACAGAGTTTTGCTCTTGTTGCCCAGGCTGGAGTGCAATGGCATGATCTCAGCTCACTGCAACCTCCATCTCCGGAGTTCAAGAAATCCTCCTGCCTTAGCCTCTCAAGTAGCTGGGATTACAGGCGTGTGCCACCACACCTGGCTAATTTTATATTTTTGTAGAGGTGGGGTTTCACCATGTTGGTCTGGCTGGTCCCGAACTCCTCACTTCAGGCAATCTACCCACCTCGGCCTCCCAAACTGTTGGGATTACAGGCATGAGCCACTGCACCCAGCCCTGGGGCTTATTGTTGTTGTTGTTGTTGTTATTATTATTATTATTATATTATTATTATTATTATTATTATTATTTGAGACAGAGTCTTGCTCTGTTGCCCAGGCTGGAGTGCAATGGCGAGATATCGGCTCACTGCAACCTCCACCTCCCAGGTTCAAGCGATTCTCCTGCCTCAGCCTCCCAAGTAGCTGGGATGATAGGCGCATGCCACCACTCCTGGCTAATTTTTGTATTTTTAGTAGAGGTGGGGTTTCACCATGTTGGTCAGGCTGGTCTCGAACTCCTGACCTCAGGTGATCCACCGGCCTTGGCCTCCCAAAGTGCTGGGATTACAGGCATGAGCCACTGCACCTGGCCAGGGCTCATTCTTGAATACTTCCTATCCCACATCCCTCAGAGTCAGTCCCCAGCAGGTGTCTTGGTCTCACTTCGAAAACACATTTTATATCCATTCGTGACCCTCCATCACCTGCCAGGGCAACTGCAACTGCCTCCACCTGCTCGCATTCTCCATCCTCGGAGTCAACAGTGGTCTGTGACAAACTTTAATCAGAAAACATATTCCATTAATCAAAGCTCTCCAAAAATTAACTCAAAATGGATCATACACCTGCATGTAAAACACAAAACTATAAAACTCCAAAAAGAGAACATAGTAGAAAACATAGATCATCTTGAGTTTGGCAATGACATTTTTTGACCCATGAAAGGAATAATTGATATAAAGTTGGACTTCATTAAAATGAACCTCTGCTTTGCAAAAGACACTGTCATTCCCTCAGTTATACCTTTCAAGAAGAAAAAGAAATAGACACTGTCAAGAGAATGAGAAAAGCCGCAGTCAGGGAGAAAATATTTGGAAAAGACATATCTGATAAAGAACTGTTATTCAAAATATACAAATAACTCTTTTTTTCTGTGTTTTTTTGTTTGTTTGTTTTTTGAATTTTTGAAGCAGGGTCTTACAGGGTCTTACTCTGTTGCCCAGGCTGGAGTGCAGTGGCACAATCATGGCTCACTGCAGCCTCAACCACCTGAGCTCAAGTGATCCTCCTACCTCAGCCTCCCAAAGTGCTGGGATTACAGGGGTGCACCATTGTGCCCAGCTAATTTTTGTATTTTTTGTAGATGGGGTTCAGGCCCATGTTGAACTCCTGTCTCAGGTGATCCTCCTGCTTTGGCCTCCAAAAGTACTGGGATTACGGGTGTGAGTCACTGTGCCTGGCCTGAAGAACTTGTAAAGCTCAACAATAAGAAAACTAACCACCCAATTAAGAAATGGGCAAAAGACCTGGACAGATACCTCATCAAAGAAGATATACAGATGGCAAGAAAGCATATAAAAAGATGCTAACTGGCCAGGCACGGTGGCTCATGCCTGTAATCCCAGCACTTTGGTAGGCCGAGGTGGGTGGATCACCTGAGGCCAGGAGTTCGAGAGCAGCCCGGCCAACATGCCAAAACCCCATCTCTACTACAAATACAAAAAATTAGCCAGGTGTGGTGGTAGGCGCCTGTAATCCCAGCTACTTGGGAGGCTGAGGCAGGAGAATGGCTTGAACCCAGGAGGCGGAGGCTGTAGTGAGCCGAGATCACGCCATTGAACTCCAGCCTGGGTGACAAGAGCGAAACTCTGTCTCAAAAAAATAAAACAAAACAAAAAACAAAACCAAAAAAAGATGCTAACCATTGGCCGGGCGTGGTGGCTCAAGCCTGTAATCCCAGCACTTCGGGAGGCCAAGGCGGGCGGATCACGAGGTCAGGAGATTGAGACCATCCTGGCTAACACGGTGAAACCCCGTCTCTACTAAAAATACAAAAAAATTAGCCGGATATGGTGGCGGGCGCCTGTAATCCCAGCTACTCGGGAGGCTGAGGCAGGAGAATGGCGTGAACCCAGGAGTGGGAGCTAGCAGCAGTGAGCTGAGATGGCGCCACTGCACTCCCAGCCTGGGTGACAGAGCGAGACTCAGTCTCAAAAAAAAAAAAAAAAGAAAGATGCTAACCATCATTTGTCATTAAGGAATATGTCAGTGGGGAACAACAATGAACTATCACTACACAACTATTAGAATGGCCAAAATCCAAAACATGGACAACATCAAACACTGATGAAGTAACAGGCAGAGTAACAGAAACTCTCACTCGTTGCTGGTGGGTATGCAAAATGGCAGTCCCTTTGGAAGATAGTTTGGCAGTTTCTTACAAAACTAACCATACTTTTATCAAATGATCCAGCAATCACGCTCCTTGGTACTTACCAAGTACCATATGAGCTGGAAACTTATGTCCTCACAAGAACCTGCACGCAGATGTTGATGGTAGCTTTATTCATAATTGCCAAAACTTGGAAGATGTCCTTCATTGGGTGAATGGGTAAATAAACTGTGGTACATCCAAACAATGAAATATTATTCAATGCTAAAAAAAAAATGAGCTGTCAAGCCATGAAAAGACATGAAGGAATCTTAAATGCATACTACTAAGTGAAAGAAGTCAATCTGGAAAGGCCATATATATATGATTGCAACTATATGATATTCTGGAAAAGACAAAGCTATGGAGACAGTAAAAAAATGTGTGGTTTCCAGGGGCTAGAGAGGAGGAAGGGATGAACCGGCAGAGCACAGAGAATTTTTAGGGCAGTGAAACTACTCTGTGTGTTACTGTACTGGTAGACACATGCGTTTATACATTTGTTCAAACCATCAAATGTGCGCCAAGAGCCAACCCTAATGTAAACTCTGAACTCTGGGTTATAATCATGTGTCTGTGGCCGGGCGTGGTGGCTCATGCCTGTAATCCCAGCACTTTGGGAGGCCAAGGCGAGTGGATCACCTGAGGTCAGGAGTTTGAGACCAGCCTGGCCAACACAGTGAAACCCCATCTCTACTAAAAATACAAAAATTAGCTGGGTGTGGTGGTGGGCACCTGTAATCTCAACTACTCGGGAGGCTGAGGCAGGAGAATCCCTTGAACCCTGAAGGGCACAGAGGTTGCAGTGAGCCGAGGCTGTGCCACTGCACTCCAGCCTGGTGACAGAGCAAGACTCTGTCTCAAAAAACAAACAAACAAAAAAACAAACAAAATGATGTGTCTGTGTAGGTTTATCAAATTTAACAACTGTACCAGGCTGGTGGGGACATTGATAGTGGGGGAGTTTATACATATAGGGGGAGAGAGTATATAGGAATTTTTTGTGCTTTCCTCTCAATTTTGCTGTGAACCTAAAACTGCTCTAAAAAATAAAGTCTACTAGAGAAAAAAAACAAACCTCCAGTGACTTCTTATTACACGTTGGATAAAATTCAAATTTCTTCCCATGTCCTTAAAGCCCAGCTGACCTGGGCCAGGTTTGCCTGCTCCACCTCAGGTCCTACCTCTCCTCCTCTCCTCACTTGCTCCCTGAGAACAATGCACACAGGCCTCTTTACTCTCCCCAAACGTGACATGCCAGTTGCACCTCAGGGCCTTTGCACAAGCTGTTCTCTCTACTTGCAAGGGTCTGTGCCCAGATCTTTGCGTGTTAACTTGTTCTTATCATTCAGGATCGGATGTCACCTCCTCAGAAAGGCCTCTCTTATCCATGCATACATATCTACATGTTCCTTCCTGCCTCTACCAATTACTATCTCTCTTTATCATTCTGGTTTATCTTCCTCATAGTACTTAGTACTATCTAAGATTTTCTTCTCCACTTCTTTAACCATCTATTGACTGCCTCCCCGCTGGAGCGTTGCTTCCAGGAGCTCAGAAAATTTGTCTAACCTGTTTCCTGCTATGTCCCTGTGCCTAGAACAATGACCAGCACAATGAGGTATCATGGTAGACACTTCATCAATATTTGTCGAATGAATTAAAAGATGGGCATTCTCACTGTGCAAGCTTGGTGAACTCTGGATTTCAATTCTTTTGTAAAATGAGGTAGATAGACGAGATGATTCCTTTCAGCTCTAAATCACTAGGAGAGAGAAAAGGGGTGCTTGGGACTTCTCTCTGGATTAACCCCCATTGGTGCTAAATGCTGCCAGGCCTCTGCCAAGGAAGGTCTCCCAGGACTGAGAAGGGTAATCAGTTTCCCAACCAGAAGTCAGCTGTCCAGAGCCCTCTGAGCCCCAGGCCCATGCCTGCAGGCCGGATTGTTTCTCAGTCAGCAATCCTTGGTGTGGACTGGGAAGTTTCTGTGCCATCCAAGGCTCAGCTCTGGCAAGGAACAGGATTCAGAGTCCACACAGAACACCAGTTAGTTCTCCCCTCTTGGGCTGACCAGCATCTGCCGGCTGTGTCTTAATAAGAAGTGGGCTCCACTCCATCTCCTTCTCTGGAAATAAGCTATTATTTATTTATTTATTTATTTATTCATTCATTTATTTAGAGATGGAGTCTTGCTCTGTTGCCCAGGCTGGAGTGCAGTGGTGCAATCTGGGCTCACTGCAACATCCGCCTCCTGTGTTCAAGGGATTCTCCTGCCTCAGCCTCCCGAGTACCTGGGACTACAAGCGCCCACCACCATGCCCAGCTAATTTTTGTATTTTTAGTAGAGACGGGGTTTCACCATGTTGGCCAAGCTGGTCTTGAACTCCTGGCCTCAAGTGATCCACCCGCCTCAGCCCTGTAAAGTGCTAGGATTACAGGCGTGAGCCACCGCGCCTGGCTAGCTTTTAAGGGTTGGTTTCCCTAGACCCAGGGTGGAGGGCTCTGGCCACCCAGGAATTCCCAGAGCATCTTCTGACAGGAAGGCACCTAGTGCATTGTTCATGGACCTTCCTGTGAGGGGGCAGCACCAGTGGCCTGTCCTCCTCAGCCCAGTGACAGCAGGTCCTTGCTGAAACCAGCCCATGCTTCCAGCTCCAGGGAGCTCCCAGCGAGTCCAGATGTTGGGAGGTTGGGGAGGAGCACAGCTTGCAGTGTCAGACCAGGGAGACCCCTGGGGTGGAGTCTGGAGACCTGGATTTGGCAGGGCTTTGTCACCGACTCATAACCAAGACATTCTGCACCTTGGGTCTGAGGAACAGAGATCCTACAATTTCAAAAACAGTAAATGTCTCCAACCTTTCAGAGCAAGAAAGCTGCACAGTGTAACTGAGAAGGGAGGTGGATCAAGCTATTTGGGGGAAGCTAGGAAGAGGGTCCTTCCTCGCCCTGAGTCAAGGCCCATCCTTCTGGTCCCAGGGCCAGACCTTGCACTTGCCTGGACCCATGGCATAGATCAGGCAGGGTGGAGGGGGCACCATTCATTGAGGCAGGGAAGGGAGGACAGGCAGGTGCGGGAGTGGGGAGTGGAAAGAAGATTGGACAGGGACAGTCTGAAGAACTGATGGGAAGTCCAGGGGCCACATCCAGGACTCTGCAGAAGGTCAGATGTGGGGTCTTTGGCAGGAGGTAAGAGAGCAGGGAGAGTAGATGGCCAGGCACAGCTACAGAGGTACAAGAGCAGAGATGATACTGAGGGGAGCACAGAGGAAAAACTCTGGGAAATAACTAGTGGCTAGAGGTTTGGGGAGAGAAGGGGAAAGCCAGAGGGGACAGAAAAGAACTGAGAGAGGCAGGAAGAGACCCTCCCCACCCCACCCCTGGACAGCCACAGACTGGCGCTAGAATCAGGGACAGGGAGGTAAGGAGGATATTTTTATGCCGTTACAGAAAAAGATGAAAGCTCAGAAATGGAAGAGAGGTCGGAAAATTTGCAAAGCCACGCATGTGGGGTGAGGACTGCTCAGAGATCAGAGAGGCTTGGTGCTGGAAGGGACCTGAGAGGAAGCTTTGGTCCAACCGCTCATTTTAAAGAGAGAGAAACTGGGGCCTGCGGAGGTCACCCCACTGTAGATGGTGAGCCAGCCTGGAGTCAAGCATCTATAGGTTAGAGGATCTAACCATATCTCCAAGGTCCAGGCCTCATGGTGCCCCTGGAGCCCCTTGTTCTCCTTTGGGAGAACAAAAATCAAATTAAAAAGCTGATTATTTTCTGGCTCAGCCTGAGAGGCTCTGCTACCTTGGTTCTGTAATTAAAAATGAAATAATACATAAAGCGAAGGAGAGAGCTGGTCCCCAGGGCTGCCGTGGGACCAGCCCTCATTTTCCCACATAAGGCTTCAGCTTCCTGCCCTGGGTCTCCAAAAGCAGACGGTGATATGGGGGACAGGTTGAAGGCTGGCCACATCAACTTTCAGGCCAGGAAAGCCCCACCTCAGATCAAAGCCAAGGCTGCTGTGCCCCTGGGAGGGAGCATTATGTGAGCCTGTTTGTGGGTCAGCATTGACAGGGCAGGCCTGGGGAGGCCTGTGTGACTTGAGCATGAGCTGAGGGAGGCTGCAAGGGGATTGGACATGGCACAGGGCAGTGAGCTGTGTGGCCTTGGGCAGCCCATGACCCTCGCTGGACAACGGGGAATTTGACCTGCACCACGTTCGTGTCCCTCCAGGGTCTCTGGATCTAGACTAGGGCTGTTTCCGCTAATTAGGAATCATCTCGGGTGTGTGTTTTATTTCCACTTTCCATGTTTACTGTTGGTGTTTCCATAAGAAGTTTCCAAGATGTGTTAGTTTGGTGTCAAATAAAACAGAAGCATCCTATGGTGTGTGTGTGTGCGTGTGTGTGTGTGCACATGCGTGTGGGAGCATGTGTGGGTGTGTCCATGTGTAAGTGTGAGGCTGTGACTGTGGCAGTGTGTATGATCCCTTCCCGGACCACGAGCTGACTGAGGGCAGCACCGAGGCCAAGGCTGGCTCTGTGGCTGCCCCATGCCCACGGAGTAGGCTCCTGAGGGTCCTGTGACATGGTTTTGGATTTTGTTAATGAAAGATGCTGGTCCCTGGGAAGGTTTGATCCTCCTGCTTGGTACCTGGAAGCCCCCAGAATGTGTCCAACAACAGAGTTCAGCCTTTTCCTATCTTACAGCCCAAGGTCCTTTGGCCACCAGATGGGAGCCGCCACAGGCCGATTCCAGACAGGCGGCAAGGAGAAGGAAAAGAACAAAGCTGGCCCCTTCAGAGGTGGGCAAGATGAGGAGTGCTCACAGTGGTTCACAGTGGGGGTTGAACTGGGGCTCTGGGTCCTGTGGCCAGGGGTTCAGGGGTGGTCGTGACCGCCTTTGTTCCAGGTGTGGCCTGGGCCTGAAGCAGACTCTGTGTGAGGAGTGGGAGGGCTCCCTGAGGAAATGGCTCCCCTGCAGCCTGGATTTCCAGCTGCTCAGCCCAGCAGGGAAGGGGTCAGTGCGGCCTGAGCCCTGCACACCACAGCTCTGGGGAGCGGCCTGTATTCTCCATGATGAAGACACCACAGCCCTGGCTGGGGATGACCAGCGGGGCCTCCACAGCCACACTGACCTTCGTCTGAAGTAGGTCTGCCTGACGGGTGCATTTGCCATGCAGCCTCATTCTTCTCCTGAGCATCCTCCTATCCAGGGGTCTGGGTTCAGGAACGTGGCCCTCCTCACCCTGCCCCTCTCACCCAGGCCAGCTGGAGGCTCCACTCCACCCTTGTGCTGAAATCCTCCCCCTGCTTCCCCAGGCCCTCTGTCTCCTTCTTCTCCCTCATCCCTTGACTCTTCATGATCTCCAGGCTGCTTGACATGGGCTGAATTGTGGACCCCCAAAATTCATATGCTTAAACTCTAACCCTCAGTACCTCTGAATGTGTCTATTTGGACATAGGGCCTTTAAAGAGAAAATTAAGTTAGATGAGGTCACTAGGATGGACTCTAATCCAGTATGACTGGTGTCCCTGGTCTTGAACTTCTAGCCTCCAGAACTGTGAGAAAATAAATTTCTTTTTCTTTTATTTTTTGTAGAGATGGGGTCTTGCTGTATTGCCCTGGCTGGTCTCAAACTCCTGTCCTCAAACAATCCTCCCACCTTGGCCTCCCTCCCAAAGCACTGGGATTACAGGCATAAGCCACCATACCTGGCTTTCTTTGGTAGAGACAGGGGTCTCACCATGTTGCCCAGGCTTGTCTAGAACTCCTGGCCTCAAACAATTCTCCTACCTCAGCCTCCTGAGTAGCTGGGATTATAGGCATGAGCCACCACCGTGCCAAGGTTGACAAACACATTTCTGTTGCTTAAGCGACCCAGGCCTGGTCATTACAGTTTTGCTGTAGCAGCCCAGGAATGTGATGTGCCACTCTGCCTACACTGATGTGGACTCAGCTCCAAGTCCACAGTCACAGTGCCAGGTTGCAAACCCACATCTGTGCCTCCAGATTCTTCTGAGGCCCTGCCTCTTTCCCTACGGTCTGAAAATGGGGGGCCCACCTCCCCTTAAAGAGGAACTCCCGATGGCAATGGGGTTCAGCGCAGGCTCCAGCCATGCTGCTCATCTCATCTCGGCCCTGGGCAACCCCAATGAGCCTCATTTTTCTCATTTGTGAAAACGGGCGTCAGATAGAAACACGCACTGGATAGGGTTGTTTGTGGGGACTGGGGAAGGTTGGGGAAGTCCAGCTCCAGCTTTGACCTGTATCTGGCACTCCATGAACGCAGCTTTTATTTTTATTATTCCTCTCAAACCTATCCCCTTCCAGGATTTTCCAGGTCAGTTAATGGTGTCACCAAGCAGAAGCCTTGGCCTGGCTTCCACACCTGCTTCTCTCTCACCTGCCCTCATCTCATGGCTCAACAATCCTCATTAAATACCTGCTAAACAATAGCCATTGTGCTCTGCACTGAGCAAACAACAGGAACCCTGTAGACGGTGGAGGTTTTAGCTTATCTGTGCATTAAACAAATTGAATTTTAAACAAGCAATTGATATTAGGGGGATACACTGGGGGAAGCCAAGGCTCTTTAAGCCTTGTGGATTACCCTCTTCAACTGGCTTCCCTCATCTTTTATACCCAAATGGCTGCAAGACTCAAGGCACTGTTTTCCAACATTTCTGGAGTTTTCTTTCTTAAGCAAAAATTAGGGCTGATCCCTCCCTACTTAAAAACCTCTTAGGCTGGGCACGGTGGCTTATGCCTGTAATCCCACCACTTTGGGAAGCCGAGGCAGGCGGATCATCTGAGGTCAGGAGTTCGAGACCAGCCTGGCTAACATGGTGAAACCCCATTTCTACTAAAAATACAAAAATTAGCCAGGCGTGGTAGCACACACCTGTGGTCCCAGCTACTCAGGAGGCTGAGGCAGGAGAATCGCTTGAACCCAGGAAGCAGAGGTTGCAGTGAGCTGAGATCACACCACTACACTCCAGCCTGGGCAACAGAGCAAGACTTTCTCAAACAAAACAAAACAAAACAAAACAAAACAAAACAAAACAAAACAAATTAACCTCTTGCTGCCTCAGCTGCCTTCCACTGTGCCAAGTCCAGCATCTTCATTGTTCAGACTCACCTGTTGTCCAGTCACACACACACCCAGCACACACTCACTCTTCACTCCATCATATGAAGGACTTTACCAACACTGGGCACTGGTTCCCGCCACCCTACCTGGGCACAAGCAGTGCCCATCACCCAGGGTGCCACTCCTCAGCACCCTGGTCCTTTAACACTTCTCCAGCTGGAAAACTCCCCTCATCTTTTCTAACCCATGTCCAACCTGACATTCTCTGCCAAGTCTTCCTGAACACCTCCTCCCTTCTCCCAGTGCTCCTCACTGCCACCATTTATTAACTTGTCATATGGAATTTGCAATCACTTCTTTGTATCCTGATTTCCTCCACCAGACCAGGAACTCCAGTGGGGAATAAAGTGATCAGGTCTGATTGTATGCGTAGCACCCGGTCTGGCCCACAGTGGACACTCAATAGGTGAGGATTGAAATAAATGAATGAATGTGTGCATGCAAGCAGGGCGGGTTGAGGCAGGTGCTTTTTGCACCTCACCCCACTGAATTTTTACACAGCAGAGGAAGTTCAAGTTTATAGGAAGTCCAGCTTCTCTCTCTATCCTCCCCACCAGCCTTACCTCCACAATGCCCTGAGGCTTCTCTTTGCCTGGAACTCCATTTCCCAGGGCTGGCCCTGAATGTGTCGGGATATTGACACCCTAACATAGGGGGTCCTGGTCCATGAATAATTTGCATTTTATGTGCCCATGATCTAAATAAATATATATTGACTGGTAATTACAGTGTTTCCTCTTCACCTTCTTTCTGGTCTATCTCTTTGGACACCTAGGAATGTTGGCTGCAGGCCACAACCAGCTCAATTCAATTTAACAAGGATTCATCAAGCTCCACAGGCAGTGGCCCCACACCCAGCTGAGGGTCAGCATCTCCAGTGGAACCTCCAGAGATTCTGATTCCAAGCTTTGGGGTGGGAGATGAGGGTCTGTCACATTCAGAGAGGCAGAAAAGACAAGGAGAAGGCATTTCTGGTGGAGAAAATGAGGTGACTAGTAACAGTGGGTTGTACAGTTAAGCACAGGTCTGGTTTTCAGATAGAAAAAGCATTTTGAGGAGTCAAGGGTAATAAGGTTGGAAACAGAACTCAATAAATGCTAGTTTCCTCTCTATTTCCCTTAATTTAAAAAGGCAGATGATCAATTAGGTTTGGGAACCAGGTCTGGAGCCAGCGGTGCCCTGGGGAACAAGGACCCTGAACCCTCCCAGAGTGGAGCCTGACCCACTTCCGGTGCTGGGTCCTGTCTTTCCAGTTAACCTCTCCAGGCCTCAGTTTCCCTAACAGTTATAATCAACACCACAGCAACCTCTGGTTATTAGCGCTGTCCTGCCAGACACCAAGCCCAGCCTTTATCTCATTGAATCCTCATCTCAGCCCATGAGGTGGGGATCCTTCTCACCCTCACTTGACAGATAAGTTCTTGGAGGTTGAATAACTCACCCAAGGTCACCTGTCGTTAAAGTGACTGACTCTCTAGGCCTCGTCTTGAGCAAGATGGGTGTATTTCGATTCAGATGGCCCACGTCAGGCTGGACACGCGGGCCCCTGGTGAGGCCTGAGTCCCTGGCCGGGGAGCTCCGCTAAGCTGCCCGACCTCCCATGTGCAGAGGGCGCTGCTGGGGCCACAGGCGAGGCTGCGTGGGGAAGCGGAGCGTGGATTCCAGCGCTTTCCCCTAGATCCAACTCTGAGCTGCTTTGCTATGTGAACTCAGGAAATGACCTGCCACAACTAGCAGGTGGGCACCCAGCCGGGGCTGGGGTTTGCACCCGGTTTCTCTCCAACCAGGCCGGGGCTGGCGGCCTGGGGAGTTCGGCTGTGGCGCCTGGCGCCCTCTGGCGGCGCGGGGAGGTCCTCCTCGGCCGCGGGCGGCCGGGACCGCTTGGAGCCGCGAAGGGACGTTTTTTAGGAACCACTAGCCAGGCGCGGGGGCTCACGCCTGTAATCCCAGCACTTTGGGAGGCCTAGGCGGGCGGATCACGAGGTCAAGAGATAGAGACCATCTTGGCCAAAATGGTGAAACCCCGTCTTTACTAAAAATACAATGCTGTCCTCAAGGGTCTTCTTAGGAACTCTTCTGTGAGCTGAGTGGGGAAAACGGGAAAGAAGACTCGAGTCTGGAGGCTGAGATTTTGACACCGGCTTCCCCAGTCATCTTGGATGGGTGCCTTGAGTTCTTCCTATGGGGGACGGGAATGGCGATGGGGACAGGGATGGGGATGCCCCCTCCCTACGTGCCTCCAGATCGCCGTGGGACTCCTGCTGGATGCGACGAGTGACAGCCCCTTGTCAGCCCAGAAGCGCTACTATAGAGCAAAGACTTGTGTTCATGAGAAAATAACTGACAGTCCAGGATGCCAAGGACCAATGGCCCAGGAAGGAGCTGGGGAGAGAAGAGGCAGCCCCGGAGATGGGGCGTGAGCAAGACAGCGGGGCACTGGGGAAGGCCGTGGGGTTCAGCAGAAAGATACACTGTTTAGGGCAAAGGGAGCATTATGCGGGGATCCGGGCAATGGCATAACTTTATAAATGCTCATTTCTTGTTCCTTTCCCTTAATTCAAAGAGCAGATAGTAATGATGGTTATATTTGTTTCTACAAAACAAAAAAATTAAAATATTTGCTTCTCTGAGTGGGTTTCCCAGTGACTCAGGCAAGGTCCCCACACCACTGCAGGCTATATGGAGGCCAGTCCCCATCCCCCCCTGTTTTTTGGGCCTTCTTCCCAGGCACCTATCCAGGGATCCCCACAGCATCACCCTCTGCCTACATCTCCACCTTCTCACCTAGCCTAGTTTTGGGGGATCATTCCTTGTTTTCCAGCCAGAGGACCCCTCAGTGAGAGCAGTGAGGGCAGCAGTGCCTGCACATGGAAGGTCAGGTCAGTGCACTGTAAAACGGGTCTTGGTTTTAGACATACCTGGATTGGCACCCAGGCCTTTCCCCTCACTGGCTGTGCTCCCAACTTGTCCAAGCCTGAGTTTTCCAAATAACTACATCATAATTATTAAAGATTAAATGAGATCATGGGCCTTGCATGCGTAAAACCAGATCTGGTGCATAAAAAGAAGACACGTGTTTGTTTTTAAAGCTTCTACGCCTCAAGTCATATATGTGAAGTTGCTTGACAAGGAGCATTGGCTGGGCTTCCCATCTTAGGAAAGAGGAAAGCTTGCAGTGTGTGGGATTGTAGAAGGGGGAGGGATTGTGTCAAAGCAACATGGTCACCTGCCCAGGGGCCTCCCGGCTGCACAGTGACCCAGGTTACCCAAAGGCTTTGCCCAAAGCAACTGACCACCCTGAGAGAAGGATGAGCAAGTATTATCTATTTCCCATTTTAATGAAATAATAAGTTGAAACCAAAGCAGACTAATGACTTACCTGAAGTCACCTGAGCAGTGAGGATTAGAACTCAGGCCTTTGCTCTTACTGTTACCAGAAGTTCATTAACTACACTGGCAGAAGGAAAGCAATCTTTATTGTAATTTAATTGAAAAGATACTACACATGAAATTCTAATTTCATATTCACATATCTTAGAATTCAGGGTGGAGCAGTAACTGAGAGGTACATACCCCCACTGGTTTCTTTTTGTTTTGTTTTGTTTTTTTGAGATGCAGTCTTGCTCGGTCGTCTGGGCCAGAGTGCAGTGGAGCGATCTCGGCTCACTGCGACCTCAGCCTCCCGGGTTCAAGTGATTCTCCTGCCTCAGCCTCCTGAATAGCTGGGATTACAGGCACCTACCACCACACTGGGCTAACTTTTGTATTTTTAGTAGAGACGGGGTTTCACCATGTTGGCCAGGCTGATCTCAAACTCCTGACCTCAAGTGATCCATCTGTCTCAGCCTCCCAAAGTGCTGGGATTATAGGCGTGAGCCACCACGCCGGACCCCACACTGGTTTCTCAGCCTCTCGTGGTCGCTCAATATCAAAGTACCTCAATTGACAAGTCTCTGATGTCCAGCCAAACCTCACATGCTCTGCTGCAGCCCACCAGCATGTGTTTTCAGTCACTTATTTTCAAGGAGGACAGAACATTTATCCACATAATCCTTCCTAAAATGGAAAACTGTTATAAATTTGATAACCATCCCAATCCCTTTTTACTTGAATATTCCTGAGGTACTTCCCTGTTACCTGAAGAAGCCTAAAGCTGTAAGAATTGGGAGGATGCCTCTGAAGTATCCATGTACTGAACAGGCTCTTGGGCAACACACGGGGGGAGGAGCAGGCACACTCATAGAGCACCCATGAGGCAAAGTGGCCAGGACAGAAACGTACTAGGCTTCCCCACATCCCAGCCAATCGGGCACAAGCACAGCCCTTCAGTGCTCAATCAACACCTGCTGATTGAATAAAAGAAAGTCAAAAACAAACCAGGGCCAGGCGCAGTGGCTCATGCCTGTAATCCCAGCACTTTGGGAGGCCAAGGCAGGCAGATCACCAGGTCAGGAGTTTGAGACCAGCCTGGCCAACATGGGGAAGCCCCGTCTCTACTAAAAATACCAAAAAAATTAGAGAATTGCTTGATCCAGGGAGGTGGAGGTTGCAGTGAGCAGAGATCTACACTGCACTCCAGCCTGAGCTCCGTGTCAAAAAATAATAAATAAGTAAATAAATAAACAAAAAAATAAATACTTTAAAAAACCAAACCAGGAATGACCAGGTCCAAGGACAGTCTAGGAGTTGCACAGAGTTTTCACCCCAATACACCAGAGACCTCGTTGGGCACTCAGGCAACAGCCCAACCTGACATTCAAGCAGAAGAGCTGTCATTCATTCAAGCATTTGTTCAGCTGTGTTTATTGGGTACCATGCACTAGGATTGGGAAGATGGCCTGCAGCCCAGCTCTCATGCTAAGTGTTCCTGCAGGAGTGTCCAAGACACAGCTCGAGGCCAAAGTAGGGCACACAGGACGTGCTCCCACCTTGACTGACCACGTGGGGCCACGCATCCTGCTTCAGTACCGCATGGCCAGGGCAGCCTGGCCCCTCTAAAGGCTGTCCAAATGCATTTTGTAACTAAGCAATCCCCTTATGTGATTCCTAAATCAATACTATACAAAGAGGTTTGTAATGAAAGGTCTCCCTCCTGCCCTGCCCCTATCTGCCACATTCCCACTGCCCCCCACAACCAGGTACTGTTTTAGTGGTTTCTGGTATATCCTTCTAGAATTTCTTTATCCAATTTTGTATTTTCCCCCTTTCTTACATAAAGGTAGTATACTACCCACACTGGCTTGGACCTTGAAAAGCGGGGTATTTCATTTTCAAAATGCTATGGACTTCATATAATCACAATATCCACTTCTGTGTTCCATCTAGTTTATTGGTAAAAGTGAATACAAGTCAAGGCTTTACAAGTATTTTGCTCAGATGTGCAGAAAGGACTAGCTCTCCTGCTTGAAACAGTGAAGGAAAGCGCAGCCAGCCCCTTGGGCTGAGGCTGACTCTCGGTGTTTCTTTGGAGAGCGTTGCTTAGTAACAGTTGCAGGGGACACGCACAGACAGGGGGATGAAAGAAGGATGCAGGAGATGAGGGAGGGTGCATTTGTTTTCTAGCATGCCCCACGAGTGGGAGCAGTGGGAAAAATCTTTAGATCTTTTAACCACCAAAATCATGCCGGCTTACTGCAATCAACAATCTAAAGTAAAATAAAGAAATCAAGAAATTAAGTGAAAAGTCAATCTCAATCCTACTTCCCCGAAGTAATGATCATTAATAGTTGGGGCAATAGTTTGCCCCATTTTATAGGAGAGTAACATGGAGGCAATAGGTAAGGAAGCGTTTTTCTGGGGTCCTAAGAGACACCCACTGGGAAATCGGGATTGGGGGGTACTTAAGGCTATGCTGCTCAGGGGTCCTGAGAAGAGGGCAGTGCAGGGAGCTGGGAACAGGGAGAGGGGGCTGGTTCCTGTGCGCAAGTGGCATCTGTTGCCTATTATCAGGAGCAGAAATCCTAGCACTTCTGCTCACTGAGTCTCGTAACTGGAGTTGCCAGGGGCAACAGCACAGTCAAGCCCGGGCTACTCCACTTTACTCATACTAGAAAAGAGCAGCGAACACAGCTTCAGTGGTGGGTGTTGGTCCCCATGGCCAGCAGGTCCCTCCCAGCGGTAACCCAGGGCCATGGGCCTGCACACACCTCTCTGTGCTGCAGCAGAAGGACCTTGCCCCTCCCCAGTGGGAACAGATATAGTGGTGGGCTTGGCCAGGTGCCATGTGATGCACACTTAAGCAGACTAAAGGAATATACATCAAGTCTAAACAGGAAAGACGCGCCCATGCAAAGTGACAAGTCCACCACAGGCTTGAGAACACTTTAGCTCTTTGTGAGGAATGTTCCAGGCCCATTCTCATGTGGCCTTTCAGAGGGGGCAGAAAGGCTGAGGCTGTCTTTCCCAACAGCACGCTCCCCTACTTTCAGTCCACTCCAGGCTGCCTTCTCTCGCTTCCCGTATTTGTCACATTGCGGTGTCCACATCTGTTCTCAGCCCTTGTACAACTCTGAACAAGGACAGTCTTTTGTTGTTCAGACAGGGTCTCGCTCTGTGGGCCAGGCTGCAGTGCAGTGATGCCATCTTGGCTCACTGCGACCTCCGCCTCAAGGACTCAAGCGATCCTCCTACCTCTACCCCGAGTAGCTGGAACCACAGGCATGCACCACAACACCTGGCTAATTTTTGCATTTTTTTTTTTTTTGTAGAGACGGGGTTTCACCATGTTGCCCAGGCTGGTCTCAAACTCCTGGGCTCAAGTGACCTGCCTGCCTTGGCCTCCCAAAGTGCTGGGATGACAGGCGTGAGCCATCGCGCTGGGCCAGGACAGTCTGACTGCCTAGGGCACACCCAGGCCTCACAGGGCACTGAGAGGAGCATTCAGCAAATCCTTAGTGAAAAGGCTGCGCTAACCCTCAATGCCAGCTCTTGCAGGGGTATCTGGTTGCTTTCCTGGTGGCTTGGACACCTGATGGGCCTAGAATGCAAGCTCTAGTGCCTCTGTCTGGGGCCTGACACACTGGGGGCTCTCTTGACCACCTCGGGGAGTTGCCAGCCCTCACTGACTGCCGGCAGCTCTGGCCCCAAGGCTCATCAGCCCTGTGAGAAGGTGGGAAGCTGGGAGGCGGAAGTCCTGGGTACTTCCTGGCCTCCCCAGACAGGCCTGAGGTCTTGGGGAGAGATGACTGGAAATTTTCTCCAAGGAATGGCCCTCTCCTCCTCTCCCTGAAGCAGGACCAGGGCCTCAACCACCCTCATTCCCATCTGGCCCTGATCATACCTGACTGAAGTTCAGAAGGTAAGGGCAGCAGTGCTCGGCAGGTGAGGACACATCTTAGCCAGGGTGACCCCGTGCACCAAGACATAAGATGGGGCCTGGCAGTCAGTAGGTCCTCAGTAAATGTATGTTGGTATATTTAGGCCTGGAAAAAGGGGTGGTCTTGCAGGGGATGGAGGAGAGGAAAATGCAGGCAACAATCTCTTGTCATCTAGGATGACTTGCCAGCAGGCCTAGCACAGAGAGGATAGGATTTGGTATCAGATAACAGATTTGAATCCTGGCACCACTTCCTAGCTAATTAAAACTTGGGCAGCTTATTTCATTTTTAAAAACATTATCGTGTATGATTTACATGCCATAAAATTCACCCACTTTTAAGTGTACAATTCAATGACCATATGTATGGAGCTGTGCAAACCATCACCGTGATCTTATTTTACATCATTGCCATGGCTCCAACAGAAACTCTGCGCTCTTCCCATTGCCACCACAGTCCCTGGCAACTTCTATTTCTGTCTGTATAGATTTGCATTTTTTGGACATTTCATATAAATGGAATCATGTAATACATGGCCTTTTGTGACTGGCTTCTTTTACTTGGCATGTCTTACAGGTTCATGTGTCTGTACTCGCATCTCTTTTACTGCTGAGTATTCCATTGTGTGGGTGTAACATATTTACCCATTCACCAGCTGATGACCAATTGGGTTGTTTCTACCTTGGGGCTACTTAATAACACTGTCATGAACATTCATACGCAAGTCTTTCTCTTCACTGTATAACTTGGAGCGAAATTGCTGAGTCATTTGTTAACTCTTTTTTTTAGAGGTAGGCTCTTGCTATGTTGCCCAGGCTGGATTTGAACTTCTGGGCTCAGGCCATCTTCCCTTCTCAGCCTCCCGAGTAGTTGGGACTACAGGCGTGCACCACCACACCCAGCTTGTTTAATCTCTTAAGGAAGTGCCAGACTGTTTCCCAAAGTGGCTGCATCATTATACATCCCCACCAGCAATGCACAAGGGTTCCAATTTCTCCACGTGCTTGCCAACATTTGCTATTTTTTTTAAAACCAAGAACAGTCATATTTGTGGGTGTGAAGTGGTATCTCATTGGGCTTTGATTTGCATTTCCCTAATAACTATTTTAAGGCTGAGCATCTTTTGACGTGCTTCTTCACCATTTGTTTATCTTTTTTGGTGAAATGTCTGTTCAAATCTTTTTGGGCAACTTGGATTTAACCTCTTTGAGCCTCACTTTTCTGGGGAAAAAAAAAAATATACCCAGCTCCTAAGGCCATGAGAGTATGTGTGAAGTGTCTGCAAAGGGCCGGCCACATACTGGGGACTTTAAATGAGTTTTTAGTATTGCACTTGCTGTGTTGGCCCAGAAGAATGACTTCCCATGTGCTCTCAGGTTTGGAGTTAGAGCTGGGGCTGCCCTGACTCAGTGGAATGGAACAAGGCTCCACTCTCTTCTCAGCAGGAGGGTGAAGGAAGAACACCATTTACACGAAGGGGCCATGGTGTTCCAGATGTTCTGTTGAGCACTGCCACATGGTCTCATTTAACACCCTGATGAAACATGGGCTCCATATTTATAAGGGATGAAACCCTGAGATCAGAGAAATTGGTAACTTCTCCCGGGCTGTGAGAAATTTGGTAACTTCTCCCGGGCTGTGGAGTAGAAAGCAGGGGAATCTAAGATTTGAACCCAGAGCTGATGCTGATGCCAATGCCCATACCTTTTTTCTTTTTTTTTTTTTTTTGAGATGGAGTCTTGCTCTTTTGCCAGGGTGGACTACGGTGGCACGATCTTGGCTCACTGCAATCTCCGCCTCCCAGGTTTAAGCAATTCTCCTGCCTCAGCCTCCCGAGTAGCTGGGATTACAGGTATACACCACCATGCCTGGCTAATTTTTGTATTTTTAGTAGAGACAGGGTTTCACCATGTTGGCCAGGATGGTCTAGATCTCTCTGCCTCATGATCTGCCCACCTCGGCCTCCGAAAGTGCTGGGATTACAGGCATGAGCCACTGCGCCCGGCCTCGCATGCCTTTTCAAACAGCCCTGCTGCACAGGCAGGCAGCTCGTAGGAACAAGTACCAGGCACACACCGGCCTGCCTAGAGAAACACTGGATGTCTGGCTATGTGGATGGCATGCCCAGCTATTTCTGGGAGGCTGCAGAATTGATAGCTAAGAACACAGACAGCCCCACCACTGACCGGCAGCACAAATGGGGTAAGTTGCTTATCCCTCTAGGCCTCCAGATGGTTTTTTTTTTTTTTTTTTTGAGACGGAGTCTCACTCTGTTGCCCAGGTTGGAGTACAGTGGCGTGATCTCGGCTCACTGCAAGCTCCGCCTCCTGGGTTCACGCCATTCTCCTGCCTCAGCCTCCCGAGTAGCTGGGACTACAGGTGCCCACCACCACGCCCGGCTAATTTTTTTTTTTTAATTTTTAGTAGAGACGGGGTTTCACCATGTTAGCCAGGATGGTCTCGATCTCCTGACCTCATGATCCGCCTGGCTCGGCCTCCCAAAGTGCTGGGATTACAGGCGTGAGCCACTGCGCCTGGCTGGCCTCGACATCTATACGGTGAGAAAAGAACAGTTCTTCCTTCAGAGGGCAGCTGTGAGGATCAAATGCTCAGCACAGTGCCTGCCCCACATCAAAGCAGACGGCTTTCCCCTTTATTCTGGGCTGCTGACCCACAACCCATGCAGCCCACTTGGCTCTTCCCTGCCATTAGCTTTGGCTCATTCTAGAACAACACCTTGATCCAGACCAAGGGCCTGGCCCCTTATTCCTCTCATCCCTACTTCTAGCCCTTGGACAGTGCTCTCGCAGAGAAGCAGGGAGGACCTCACAAGGGCATCAAGTTCTCCAGGATGATTATTTAAGATTAAGCCTAACAAAAGCAAGATATTTAAAAATAAACTTTATTAAAGCAGTTAAACTTAGCATTAAATAACACTCTTTAAATGGTACACCTATGAAGCAAGAGTTAAATATAAACCCAGTCTAATCCTGTACACTTGTGATTAATTGTGACAATCTTAAGTTGCTCACTTCTTTCCCATTTACCAATTCAGAGAAAGCCCGTTTCCTGTTTTCTCCTCACCACTTTGCCTTGGCATCACACCAACCCTGCCTCGGGCTTCAGCTGCAGATCCTCCCCAGCCCCTCCTCCCAGCTGGGCTGACTCCAGTCCCAGCCCCAGTCTCCACCAACTGAGCAGCGTACGCAGGGTTGTGTCTGGCTTCCAGCATCTACCACCCCTTCAGAGCAACTTCCAACATGGGACAGGAGAGGAAGCTCGCATTGCTTGGTCTGAACAGATTTAAGGAGGTTTTATCACAAGGACCTGAAAACTTCCTAAGCATGCTTTCTCCTTGCACAGCTGAGGAGGGGCAATGGTGGGAGCGGGGCAGGGGGGTGGCAGGGGCGGCAGGGGCTCTCAACTAAGGGCTCTGAATCACAGAGGGGACAGATGCTGCCTTAGTCCTTCTTGCCTCCCAGGGCCAGGCTTCTTGTGAGGAGCTTCCCTGGGCTGGAGGGGGTCAGTGTGGAGACTGTGGGGGATTCCAGCTTCACTCTGTCTAAGAGGGTCTTCTTAAGGGCAGCTGGGGAGATCTTTTCTTGGTCGGCCATGGACTGTAGCTCTCTGCAGACAAAACCCCAGAAGGATTAAAGGAAGGCAATAAACCCTGGGGCCAGAGCTTTGAGTCTCCACTATCCACACAACCCTCAAGCTTGTTGATGTGACACCACCAAAAATTAGAGCCCCAAGACAAACGCTTCCCAACTAGTACTTCCCAACTAGTACTTCTAAGAAGTATTAGTTACCTAAGTTAGGGTTTGCTTATTTATCTCATTTGATCAGAGCCCCAAGTGGTATCTGTGATCACACGGGAAGAGTGACAGGCTTTGGAGTCATAGATTCAAATTAGAATCCTGTCTCCATCACTTTTTAACTGTTTGACCTTGGGAAAATTATCTCTGAGCCTCAACTTCCCATCTACAAGTCAAAGTTAATCCTGGTTATCTGAAATGCAGTGAGAATTAAGTGAAGTAAGGCTTGCAAACTCTTAGGTAAACAAAATCTACTAAGTTGTGGTTATTAACAGAGCACAGACTCCAACACTGCTAAATGGGACCCAAGACAGCAGGTTCCGCAAATGGTGCTCAACCCAGCCCAGGGACCAACCAGGACTGAAGGGTCTGGGACAGAAGTCCGCGGGATGGACTCACCGTGTTCGGATACAGGAGGCCTCAACTGCATTGATGAGCAGAGAGCGGAAGCCCCCACTCTCTAGAAAGTGCAGGGCGTGGATGGTGGCTCCCCCAGGGGAGCAGACATTGTCCTTAAGCTGGCATGGATGCTGCTCCGAGTCCAGCAGCATCTTGGCAGCTCCCTATGGGGAAGGGCACATTAGGAGAAAGTTGCTGGTGTGCGTTGGAACAGGCTTCCCATACCCACTGCTCCTGCCCAACTGCTACCCCAGCTTCCCAACCAACTCCCACCTCAGTTCAGTGATGCACAAGAACCCCCATTCTACACCCTGGTCCTGAACATGCGGGGGAAAGATACTGACCAGCAAAGCCTGGGCCCCGAGTTGGATTGCCAGGCGCCGTGGCAAACCCATCTTCACCCCACCATCAGCCAATGCGTCCAGAGCCATGAATGCCTGTGGAGACACTCACTAAGCCCCAGGCCATAGGCACTGAAGGGCCTTTCCTTAGGTCTGCTTTCTGATGACTAGAACTAGCTCCAAGGGTCAGCATCCTGTACCAGCCAGCTGTGCCCAAGAGGTGGGCGCCACCCCCAGTCCAAGCCTGCCTGCCAGCCCATCTTGCTGCCTGGGTTCCTAGAAGGCTGAGCGAGCAAATGAGGGCCTCACATAGGCAGGCCCGCTGCCACTGAGCCCCGTGACGGCATCGATGAGGTCCTCTTCCACCTCAGTGCAGAAGCCCACGCTGCTCATGAGCTGCTCCAGGAGCTGCCCATCCTCCACCAGGGCATGGGTGCCCGTGGCGTACACTGTAGCGCCTTCCTGCACTACCACAGGTGTGTTGGTCATGCAGCGAATCACTTTGGGGGCTGGCTGGAATGCCATCAGCTTCTAGGGTGAGGGAGAGAGCCGAATGAGTGGCCAGGGCACGGCTCCCACCAGCACCCACCCATTAGCTGCCATTCGTGGGTCAACCCTCCCCTCACACAAGGGGCATCAGGGCTGAGATGGGCACCTTCTCCACAGAGCTGATGGTGACACCAGCCGCACAGGAGACCACGATGTGTCTGGCTTGCACGTCGGCCCCAATCTCATCCAGGATGAAGGGGATGATATGTGGCTTCACAGCCAGAAACAGGACGTCGCTGTGCTTCACCGTCTCCTTGTTGCTGCGTGTCAGGTTCACACCCATCTTCTGCAAGAGGAGACTCCCAGCTCACAGTGCTGGAGCAGCCTGGCTATGCCAAGGCCTCCCAGGGAGCAGCTGAACCCCTGCCAAACCGATTCTGCCAGATGCAGCCTGGAATTCTTAGCTTTATGCCCTCAGGGTTCTACCCCTACCCCAAATAATACAGTTTCCCATTGTTGCTACTGGACAAGTAAGCACAGGCTTGGAGCATGACAAGCTTCTCCATGGTAACCAGGAAGTGGCTGCCCTTCTTCCCTGCCAATCTTCTGGTATCTAAGGCACTCCTCTGCCAGGTAAGAAGGCCCTATGGTGAAAGTGGCAGGGCAAAGGGAAATGCTAATACCTGGTCGTTAAAAGCACAGCTGAGTCAGGCCCTATCCTAACCCTGGCCGCTTGTTCGTGGGGACCGCACAGTCTCCATGTGGTCCAGGGCTAGGCTGGAAGCCATCCATCCCTCTATGACTCCAAACTGAGAAGCAGGACCCTCCAGTGCTAGGGACATCAGCCCACCCTAGGCACAGACACTGCCTGTCACCTGCCTCATCAGCCATCCTCTCCCACAGAGCACAGGTTTTGGGTGAAGACTTGGAATATGTTTTTGGAGAACAGAACAACTAACTCACCAGATTCTTCCCAATATGCTCATTCACGACTCAGAATAACAGCAAAGTGGCCACTGTTGTAAATGAGGAAATAGCCTCAAAGTGGCTGAGTACTTTAAGGTCATACAACTCGTCTATTAAGAAAAATGGCTGAGCGCAGTGGCTCACCCCTGTAATCCCAGCACTTTGGGAGGCCAAGGCGGGCAGATCACTTGAGGCCAGGAGTTCGAGACCAGCCTGGCCAACAGTATTCTCTACCAAAAATACAAAAATTAGCTGCGCGTGGTGGATGCCTGTAATTCCAGCTACTCGGGAGGCTGAGGTGGGAGGCTGAGGTGGGAGGCGGAGGTTACAGTGAGCTGAGATCGCGCCACTGCACTCCAGCTTGGGCGACAGAGTAAGACCCTGTCTGAAAAAAAATTTAAAAAATGAGTATTTATTAGGTACCTACTATGTGCCAGGTGCTTTCATCACATAATCACCTCAGTTAATCCTCTACCACTCCAGTGTCTGGATCTGACCCCCAGTTATGTCTCCCTGGGTGTTCCCACCACATTGAGCTGCCCAAGAGAAGGTGGAAAGATTGTCACGTTCCTGGAGTAAAGGTCACCGCCGGCCAAAGACCAGCACTTGGGCGCAGGGGCCGGCCAGACTCACTTCATCTCAGGTCATCCTTTTCCTGGGCCTCCACCCGCTTCCCACTCCGCCCGGCTCCACCTACCCTGAGCGCGGACACCGTGGGCAGGTTCATTTCTGGGGAGCTGGCTATTATCTTGTGAGCCGACAGGATGCCTGCAGAAGACAGAGCTTTTCAACTAGGGGTCGCGGCCCAGCCCGTTACCACGCTTTCCCTGGCTCTAAAACCCAGAGCCGTCCTAACAGTGCCAGTCTCCCTCTCCCCCTCAACCCTCTACGAGGACAGAAGACGCACTTGCTGCTCAACCAGAGTCTCATCTACCCCACCGGACGCAAACTCCCCTTTCATTCGCTCATGCTGGTGGGACGGAGGCCCCCTCGGGCCTCGGGACCGCCCGCGAAGCCGCCTCCCGCCTCCACGCGCTTGCCTGCGGCCGTGAAGCCCCGCGCCAGAGCATAGGCCAGCTGGCCGGCCCCGATGAAGCCCACGCTCATGGTCCGCGGTTCACGCCTCCTGGGAGCCGCACGAACCCCCTCAGCGAGGGACCGGAAGTAACGCTAGGGGAAGGGCGGACAGCGCAGGGGCGAACGGGCGGCGTGCCGAGGACCGGCGAGCTAACAGCAGCTTCTGGGATGGTGCAACCCTATTCTCCCCCGGCGGATATCTCCCGGGCGGCTGATGGCGCCTTAGGCCACGTGGCCCCGCCCCGTCCGGGCGACCAATCAGTGGCCAGGATCTCGGGGCAGGCCAATCCGCGGCCCGAGCCAGGCCGCGTGCCCGCCTCCTCCGCTCGCGACTGGAGGGCGGAACTCCGGGCTGGAGTCCCGGAAGCCCCTGTGGCAGCTTGGCGTGAGCTCCAGGCGCCCGCCGGCCCAGGACGCCCGGCCGCCCCCACCCCCCCCCCCCACCCCAAGGCTGAGGTCGCCGTCCCTAAGCCACCTCGGGCTCAGGGCTGAGGCCTGGCCCAGGCCTGGCTAATATTATTTCTGGCGCTGGCCATCAGATGCCCCTCAAGGCCCACAGGAATTCTCCAGGTTGCCGATTTGCGGGGATGAACGAGGCCCTCCTGGCGTAGGTTCAGACCAGGTGGCGGCGAGGTTCAGACCAGGTGGCGGCGAGGCGGCACCAGGGTGGTCAGCCGCGGCTTATTCACTTGAACTTGAGTGTTTCTCGCGAATTTGTCCAAACTAGATACAAGAAGGACAAGTTCGAGTCTCCGACTCTTCCGCGATCCCGCACCCCCCAGCCCCTTGCTGTCACTTGCCTTTTTTTTTTTGAGACGGAGTTTCACTCTTGTTGCCCAGGATGGAGTGCAGTGGCACGATCTCGGCTCACTGCAATCTCCGCCTCCCGGGTTCAAGCGATTCTCCTGCCTCAGCCTCCCCAGTAGCTGGGATTACAGGCGCCCGCTACCACGACCGGATAATTTTTGTATTTTTAGTAGAGACGGGGTTTCACCATGTTGTTCAGGCTGGTCTTCAACTCCTGACATCAGGTTATCCGCCCGCCTCGGCCTCCCAAAGTGCTGGGATTATAAGCGTGAGCCACCGCGCCCGACCTGTCTCTTGCTTTTAAAAGCTCCACCAATGTGATGTTTCCTTTTCTATCAGTAGTAAATATAAGGGGCCGCAGGGAACAAATGACAGAAGTAGAGAGGAAGAAGGTGGCGTTCCTAGAGGACTCAGAAGAGCTGAGGACCCTTAGTTCCCATGGTCTCTCTGCTAGCTTTTCTAGTCCTTTCCGTGTAATGCACACCCCCACTCCCAGGCAAGGGGCTGCTTTCTGTGAACTTCCCTGAGCAAGTCCCCAGGCCCTCAGTTTGTGCACCCTTTAAAGTGAGGACCAAATATAATATTTACTATTAAGCAAAATAATGCTATGTTTTATTTATTTATTTATTTATTTATTTATTGAGACAGAGTTTCGCTCTTGTTGCCCAGGCTGGAGTGCAATGGCACGATCTCGGCTCACTGCAACCTCCACCTCCCGGGTTCAAGCGATTCTCCTGCTTCAGCCTCCTGAGTAGCTGGGATTACAGGCATGCGCCACCACGCCCGGCTAATTTTTTGTATTTTTAGTAGAGACAGGGTTTCTCCATGTTGGTCAGGCTGATCTTGAACTCCCGACCTGAGGTGATCTGCCTGTCTCAGCCTCCCAAAGTGCTGGGATTACAGGCGTGAGCCACAGCACCTGGCCTCTGTATTTTTTAAATTCGAAAAGTAATACAGACATATTGAAGAAAGTTTGGAGATAAAAGTAAAAATAAAATCATCCACATCATACTTCCCAAAGATAGTTTCTTACAAACATTTTTGGTGTATTTCCTTACACTATCATGTCCTATGCATATCTACTTTCTCCATCATTGGAAATAAATGATGTACATGTAGTTTTGAAATTTCTCTAGTAGACATGAGCATTTTCCAATGTCACTGAAAAGTTATTTAAGACAGTTTTAATGACTACTTATTATATGTATGTACCTTACTGATTTAACCATTCAAAGGTCAATGTTAGGTTTATTGATTTATATAATAGATAACTTACTGAGCCAGGTTCTGGGAGTATAGCTATGAACAAAACAGACAAGTTCCTGTCCTCATAAAACATCAATTTATTATTATTTCTTATTTTTATTTATTTATTTATTTTTGAGACGGAGTCTTTGTTACCCAGGCTGGAGTGAAGTGGCATGATCTCGGCTCACTGCAACCTCCATCTCCCGGGTTCAAGCGATTCTCCTGTCTCAGCCTTCCGAGTACCTGGGATTACAGGCATGTGTCACCACGCCTGGCCAATTTTTGTATTTTTAGTAGAGATGGGGTTTCACCATGTTGGCCAGGCTGGTCTCCAACTCCTGACCTCAGGTGATCCACCCGCCTCAGCCTCCCAAAGTGCTGGGATCACAGACATGAGCCACCACTCCTGGCCTTCAATTTTTTAAATTTTTGTTCATATTATTGTGATAAAATCTTTGCCTGACTCATTATTTTCTTAACATGACTCCCAGAAGTGAGATTTGTAAGGTCCAGTGGTTTGGGGCTTTAAGAGCTCCCATAGCTGCCATGTTGCAGCATAGCCTAATGGTTACCAGCGTAAAGCTCTGAAACCAGAAACCCAGCAGAAACCAAACTGGCTGAAGGAAAAGGGGGGCTTCTGTACAGCGCTTGGGAGAGGCACAGGGGAGCTCACAGACCAGAAGGGGCACCTACAGAGAGCAGGACCTCAGGAATGGAACTAGAACACTGCGCTGCCAGCACTTCCCCTCTTCTCTTTGTCTCATTTCTGTTTGCCTGCATTTGGCCTCCCTTTTGTTGTAGAGGAGTCTTTGTCAGGTAGTGAGGAAGTTGGGGGTTTACCCTCCTTCACAACTTCCTAATGCTGCCTGCTCCTCTGCAGGATACTCACCCTCCCCATAGTCCACCAGGGCACTGCAGGGCCCTTTGCTTTTCCTGGCTGTGGTCTGTTGTGGGGAGCTCTGGATCTGACCTGCAATACAGGAGGTTGTGCTGAAGCTGAATGTGTGTTTTGGAGTGAGGTGTGGGGGACACTTGTGTCTCACTCCTTTCTGACCCCTTACATACACCCATCCCTTACCTGGTTGCCTTGCGTTGATATCTCCCGTTTCCGCTTCCGGGAGCCAGGGTGAAATGGGAGAACTGCAAAAGCCTAAGAAAGGATGGCCGGGTGCGGTGGCTCACACCTGTAATCCCAGAACTTTGGGAGGCTGAGGCGAATGGACCACCTGAGGTCAGGAGTTCGAGACCAGCCTGGCCAACATGGTGAAACCCCATCTCTACTAAAAATACAAAAAATTAGCCGGATGTGGTGGCGGGCACCTATAATCTCAGCTACTCAGGAGGCTGAGACAGGGGAATTGCTTGAACCTGGGAGGTGGAGATTGCAGTGAGCCAAGATTGTGCCACTGCACTCCAGGCTGAGTGACAGTGTGAGACTCTGTCTAAAAAAAAAAAAAAAAAAAAAAAAGAGGCCATGTTGGTGACCCCCAGTGTTGGCTTCATCCCCAGCCAGGACTGGCCACATAAGACACGGAGTAGCAAAAGCACTTGCTCCCCTCAGTTTGGACTTAGGGCAGCAAGTGAGCCACTGACCACAAACTGTTCTTTTTTGTGGTAGTTTTGATCTATTATTTTTTCATCTCCAAAGTTTAAAGTTTATATATACAAAATCTATTATATTTTATTTTTTAAAAATATAAGATGGAAATAAAAAAGAGCAAAAGAGAAAAGAAAACAACAAAAAATAAAAACAAAGTAAGAAAACAAAAAAAACCCAAATATATGTATATATAAAATATATATATAAAATAGAGACGGGGTCTCACTATGTTAGTCTAGGTTGATCTTGAACTCTTGACCTCAAGCAATCCTCCCTCCTTGGCCTCCCAGTGTTAGGATTACAGGCATGAGCCACCGCACCCAGCCTGTTACCTATTTTAAATATAGGTAAGACCATTTTATTCTCTTTTAATGACCTTGCTGACTCTAACGTCCCATTTCCTTGGTGCTGTGGCCACTGCCTTGGTTTCTAAGGCAGTCACATCTGATGCCTGTGGAGTTCCTCTGAACTGAAGTTGAGGAGAGGAGAGGGGAAGCCCTTCGTTCCCATCCAGCCACCCTAAAGGACACCCCAGCCTTGCACTGCCATCCTGCCATGGGACATGCTCAGTCCCTGCTGGCACTTGTCTCCTTGGGCACCCACTATCCTTTTGCTGTCTCGGAGCAGACACGTCCACAAAGCTGCCAGGACTGCCCACCTTCACCCCTCTACTCCCATCCTCTCATCCACCAGTCAGGTTCTGCTGTTTGTACCCTTCCTCCCTCTTCACTCCCCTCTGTCCTGCCTGATGGCCCTCTCCAGCTGTCTCAGACAAAATGGATACTGCTTCACTTCTGTCTACTTCTGCTTCTTCACTATCAGGGCCTCAGGGCCTCCCTCTAAACAGCAGGCCAGTCTCTCCTATCTCTAAACAGCAGGCCAGTCTCTCCTAAGAACTGAGATGACCTAGGAAATGAGAGAGAAGCCTGTGCTGCTCCCAGATAAACAGATGGCAAGTGCCTTGGCCCTCAATCCTCCCTGTCCTAGGAGCCTCTCCAAAGAGGCGCATTTTTGAGTGCATTTTTGCATTCTTTTTGTTATTGCATAAATAATCCATGTTTATTTTAGAAAAATTAGAAATGAGATCAAATGGAAGGCTGGGTGCAGTGGCTCATTCCTGTAATCCCAGCACTTTGGGAGAACAAGGCAGGCGATCATTTGAAAACAGGAGTTCCAAACCAGCCTAGCCAACGTGGCAAAACCCTGTCTACTAAAAATACAAAAATTAGCCGGGCATCATGGCCTGCGCTTGTACTCCCAGCTACTCTGGTGGCGGATGCACAAGAATCGCTTGAACCCAGGAAGCGGTGGTTACAGTGAGCTGAGATCGTGCCACTGCACTTCAGCCTGGGCGACAGAGTGACACTCTGCCTCGAAAAAACAAAAAAGAAAGAGAACAAATGGAAAAACATTGTTTTCAATTCCACCACACAAAGATTTAGAACAAATGTGACCCTTTTGGAGAATAACTCTCTTCACTTCTTTTTCCCATGCAATAAGCACATTAAAACTTGATTTTGGCCGGGCGCAGTGGCTCATGCCTGTAATTCCAACACTTTGGAAGGCTGAGACAGGAGGATCACTTGAGCTCAGGAGTTTGAGACCATCCTGGGCAACATGGCAAAACCCTGTCTCTACCAAAAAATAAAAAAATAAAAATAAATAAATAATAAAAATAAAAAATTAGCCGAGTGTGGTGGTTCGTGCCTGTAGGCCCAACTACTCAGGAAGCTGAGGTGGCAGGATCACTTGAGCCTGGGAGGTGGAGGTTACAGTGAGCTAAGATCCTGCTACTGCACTCCAGCCTGAGCAAAAGGGTGAGACCCTGTCTCAAAAAAAAAAAGAAAAAGAAAAGAAAGAAAAAAAAGCAAACTATCGCAAGAACAAAAAACCAAACACCGCATGTTCTCACTCATAGGTGGCAATTGAACAATGAGAACACTTGGACACAGGAAGGGGAACATCACACACCAGGGCTTGTTGTGGGGTAGGGGGAGGGGGGAGGGATAGCATTAGGAGATATACCTAATGTAAATGATGACTTAATGGGTGCAGCACACCAACATGGCACATGTATACATATGTAACAAACCTGTACGTTGTGCACAAGTACCCTAGAACTTAAAGTATAATTAAAAAAAAAAGAAAGATAAGAAAAACTTTTTTTTTTTTTTGAGACGGAGTCTAGCTTTGTCACCCAGGCTGGAGTACAGTGGTGCAATCTCAGCACACTGCAACCTCTGCCTCCCAGGTTCAAGTAATTCTCCTGCCCCAGCCTCCTGAGGAGCTGGGACTACAGGTGTGCACCACCACACCCAGCTAATTTTTGTATTTTTAGTAGAGACGGGGTTTCACCGTGTTGGCCAAGCTGGTCTCGAACCCCTGACCTCAGGTGATCCACCCACCTTGGCCTCCCAAAGTGCTGGGATTACAAGCGTGAGCCACCATACCTGGCCAAAACCTTGATTTTTTTTTTTTTTTTTTTTTTGAGACAGAGTCTCGCTCTGTCGCCCCAGGCTGGAGTGCAGTGGCGGGATCTCAGCTCACTGCAAGCTCCGCCTCCCGGGTTCACACCATCCTCCTGCCTCAGCCTCCCGAGTAGCTGGGACTACAGGTGCCCACCACCACGCCTGGCTAATTTTTTTTGTTGTTTTGTTTTTTTTTTTTTTTAGTAGAGACAGAGTTTCACCATGTTAGCCAGGATGGTCTCCATCTCCTGACCTCGTGATCCACCCACCTCGGCCTCCCAAAGTGCTGGGATTACAGGCGTGAGCCATCGTGCCCAGCCAAAACCTTGGTTTTTAAAATAAGTATTTACTCATGCTGCATGGAAACAGGTGATATGCAAAAACCAAAATAATTTTGTTTTAGGATGGTGGGATTATGGGTGGTTTGCAATACATTAAAAATTATCTTTAATGTTATTTATTTATTTATTTATTTATTTATTTTTTGAGACAAGTTCTTGCTGTGTCACCCAGGCTAAAGTGTAGTGGCATCATCACAGCTCACTGCAGCCTCAACTTCCCAGGCTCAAACACTCCTCCCACTTCTGCCTGCCAAGTAGCTGGAACTACAACCACTACTCCTGGCTAATTTTTTGTATTTTTTAAAGTATAGATGATGGGGATGGTCTCACTATGTTGTACAGTTTGGTTTTGAACTCGCAGGCTCAAGCAATCTGCCTGCCTTGGCCTCCCAAAGCGCTGGCATTACAGGCTTGAGCCACTGCACCTGGCCCTTTATTTCATCTTTTAAGTGAAAAAAAATTGTAATTACATCCTACTTCTAATGGGATTTGGCTTACTGTCTGTATTAATTTTCTATTGCTGCTGTATTAATTCATCACAAATTTAGCTGCTTAAAATGAAACAACTTTATCTCACATTTTGTAGATTTAAAGTCTGAGTTTGAGGCCATGCTGGGCAATGTAGGGAGACCCCTGTCTTTACAAAAATTGTAAAAATTAGCCAGTATGGTGGTATGAGCCTGTAGTCCCAGCTACTTGGGGAGAGGGAGGTGGGAGGATCACTTGAGCCTGGGAGATAGAGGCTGCAGTGAGCTATGATCGTGCTTTACTCCAGTCTGGGTGGCAGTGAGACCCTGTCTTTAAAACAAAACAAAACAAAACAAAACAAAACAAGACAAAAAAACAGTCTGAGTAGCCTCAGCTGGTTTCTCTGCTCCAGGTCTCATAAAGACAAATCCCCATGTCAGCTGATAATCTGGGCTCTTATCTGGAGGCTCTGGGGGAGGATCCACCTTCAGACTCATTCAAGTGTTGGCAGAATTCGACTTCCATGTGGGTGTAGATCTGAGGTCCCCTTTCCTTGCTGGCTATCAGCTGGGAGTCAGCCCACCTTTTAGAGGCCACTCACATTCTCTAGCTCATGGCTTCCCTCATCTTCAGACCAGCAATGGCAGGGCAAGTCCTTCTCATGCTTCAGATCTCTTTGACCTCTCCCTTCTACCTCATCTCTCCTGCCTCCAGCCAGAGAAAGTTCTCTGCTTTGAAGGGCTCATGTGATTAGATTGGGCACACTCAGATAATCCACGATAATCTCCCTATTTTAAGGTTTGTAACCTTAATTACATCTGCAGAGTCCTTTTTGCTATGTAACATAACAGTCACAGGTTGCAAGGATTAGGGCCCAGGTGTCTTTGGGGAGAGCGTTCTGTCTACCACACTGTCTCCCTATCCTAATGAGCACGCCTTACATTTTGAAATGAAGCCAATCTCCTACATTTTTTTTTTTTTTTTAGCTCACACTCAGCCTGGTGTGAGCAGGCCCATCTTTGTCACTGATTGCATGTGACTGCCTGGGAATCCACAGATCTTTTAGAGCCACAGATACATCACTGTGTAACTGGTAGAGTTCTTCAGGTGGATATTGATATCCTTCTGGTACACAAAGCAACCATATGCCCTGGTATTTACAATACCCCAACTGGAAAATCTTGGCCCTCTTTAGACATTTTTTAGCTCTATTTTTCTTCTGTTATGATTTTAATTTTTTTTTTGAGACAGAGTCTGGCTCTGTCACCCAGGCTGGAGTGCAGTGGCACAATCTCGGCTCACTGCAACCTCCACCTCCCAGGTTCAAGTGATTCTCTACCTCAGCCTCCTGAGTAGCTAGGATCACAGGTGTGCACCACCATGCCCAGCTAATTTTTGTATTTTTAGTAGAGATGGGGTTTCACCATGTTGGCCAGGCTGGTCTAGAACTCCTTGGCCTAGAGCGATCTACCCGCCTCAGCCTCCCAAAGTGCTGGGATTACAGGCATGAGCCACCACACCCAGCCTATTTTTCTCTTATTATTTAGTTAGTATTAATTAGCTTTGCAGGTAAGAAATAGAGAGTCCTTTATCCCGAAGTACAGCCATGCCTCACTTAACAATGGGGATATTGGCCTGGTGCGGTGGTTCATGCCTGTAATCCCAGCATTTTGGGAGGCCAAAGTAGATGGATCATGAGGTCGGGAGTTGGAGACCAGCCTGGCCAAGATGGTGAAACCCTGCCTCTACTAAAAAATACAAAAATTAGCTGAGCGCGGTGGCGGGTACCTGTAATCCCAGCTACTTGGGAGGCTGAGGCAGGAGAATCGATTGAGTCTGGGAGGCGGAGTCTGCAGTGAGCTGAGATCACACCACTGCACTCTAGCCTGGGTGACAGAGCAAGACTCCAACTCAAAAAAAAAAAAAAAAAAAAACGATGGGGATGTGTTCTAAGAAATGCATTGTTAGGCGATTTCATTGCTGTGGAAACATCATGGAGCGCACTCACATAAACCTACACGGTGGAGTTTACTACACACCTAGACTATGTGGTGTAGCCTATTGCTCCTAGGCTACAAACCTGTGCAGCATATTACTGTACTGAATACTGTAGGCAATCGTAACACAATGGTAAGTATTTGTGTATCTAAACATACCTAAACATAGAGAAGATATAGTAGAAATATAGTGTAAAATATTTTAAAATGGCACAACATCTATAGGGCACTTGCCATGAATGGAGCTTGGAGGAGTGGAGGTTGCTTTGGGTGAGTCAGTGAGTGAGTAATGAGTGAATGTGAAGGCTTAGGACATTACTGTACACTACTGTAGACTTTATCAACACTGTATACTTAGCCTACACTAAATTTGTAAAAATAAATTTTTCTTTCTTTAATAATTGACCTTAGCTTACTGTAACTTTTTTATAAACGTTAAATTAAAAAGAAACTTTTTGACTCTTTTTTTTTTTTGGAAACGGAGTCTCACTCTGTCACCAGGCTGGAGTGCAATGGTGCGATCTCAGCTCACTGCAACCTCTGCCTCCCAGGTTCAAGTGATTCTCCTGCCTCAGCCTCCCGAGTAGCTGGGATTACAGGCATGCACCACCATGCCCGGCTAATTTTATATTTTTAGTAGAGAAAGGGTTTCACCATGTTGGTCAGGCTGGTCTTGAACTCGCGACCTCAGGTGATCCGCCCACCTCAGCCTCCCAAAGTGCTGGGATTACAGGCATGAGCCACCACACCTGGCCAACTCTTTTGTAATAACAATTAAAACAGAAACATATTGTACAGATTTATACAATATTTTTCTTTTTATCCTTATTCTTTTATTTTTTTGGAGGGGAACAGAGTCCTGCTCTGTTGCCCAGGCTGGAGTCCAGTGGTGTGATCTCGGCTCACTGCAACTTCTGCCTCTCGGATCCAAGTGATTCTCCTGTCTCAGCTTCCCGAGTAGCTGGGACTATAGGCATGCGCCACCATGCCCAGGTAATTTTTTTGTATTTTAGTAGAGTTGGGGTTTCACCATGTTGCCCTGGCTGGTCTCAAACTCCTGAGTTCAGCCAATTTGCCACCTCGGCCTCCCAAAGTGCTAGGATTACAGGCATGAGCCACCGCGCCTGGCCTCTTTTTATCCTTATTCTATAAACTTTTTCTATTAAAAAGTTTATTTTTTTTCTAATTTTTAAGTTTTTTGTTAAAAAATAAAACACAAACACACACAGTAGCCTAGGCCTACACAGGGTCAGGATCAGCAATATCACTGTCTTCCACCTCCACATCTTGTCCCAGTAGAAGGTCTTCAGGGGCAATAACATATACGGAGCTGTCATCTCTTATGATAACAATGCCTTCTTCTGGATTCCTCCTGAAGGAACCGCCTGAGCCTGTTTTACAGTTAACTTTTTTTTTTTAATAAGTAGAACGAGTACTCTAAAATAATAAAAAGTATAGTAAATACATAACAGTAACAGTCACTTATCAAGTATTATATACTATATATAATTACATGTGCTGTGCTTTATTTTATTTATTTTTTGAGATGGAGTCTCACTCTGTTACCCAGACTGGAGTGCAGTGGTGTGATATCAGCTCACTGCAACCTCCGTCTCCAGGGTTCAAGTGATTCTTCTCCTGTCTCATCCTCCTGAGTAACTGGGACTACAGGCACCCGCCACCACGCCTGACTAGTTTCTGTTTTTTTAGTAGAGAAGGGGTTTTACTATATTGGTCAGGCTGGCCTCGAACTCCTGACTCCAGGTGATCCACCCTCCTCAGCCTCCCACAGTGCTAGGATTACAGGCGTGAGCCACCATGCCCGGCCTAGCATGTGCTATGTTTTTATACAACTGACAGCACAGTAAGTGTGTTTATATCAGCATCACCACAAACACATGAGTAATGGGTTGTGCTAGGACATTATAATGACTATGATGTCACTAGACCATAGGGATTTTTCAGCTCCATTGTAATCTTATGGGACCACCATTGTGTATGTGGTCTGTCATTGACCGAACTATCATTTTGCGGTATATGACTGTATAACTTTCTCCATAGACAAGCATAAGGAAACCCAGCTCAATGGGAAAGCTAAATGGAGGGGAATTGCATAAGACAGCTCCCAAATGACATTTTAACCTGATGCCTGTGTCATCAGCAGAGCAGCTTATTGGGGACTGGCATAGGAAGAAGTTTATAACCCATTCTGTGGGATAGAGATTCAACATGCTCGCATTACCTCAGGCTGTTTCTTCATCTAAAAAATAGGATTAATAATACCCACCTTATGGGATAGCTGCAAGAATTAAGTGACATGTGACAATGCCTAGTCCAGTTCCCTGGTTCATAGTGAATGATAAGAAATGTTAGCTCGCTTACCACACTATTGTCAACCCCCATTGCCCATCACCACTATTGTAGGGGTTACAGTGCTTTCTAAAGAGGAGGTAGGCCGGGCACCGTGGCTCACGCCTGTAATCCCAGCACTTTGGGAAACTGAGGCGGGCGGATCACTTGAGGTCAGGAGTTCAAGACCAGCCTGGCCAAATAGCAAAACCCCGTCTCTACTAAAAGATGCAAAAATTAGGCTGGGCACAGTGGCTTATGCCTGTAATCCCAGCATTTTGGGAGGCCAAGGCGGTCGGATCACCTGAAATCAGGAGTTCGAAACCAGCCGGGCCAACATGGTGAAACCCAGTCTCTACTAAAAAAATACCAAGGGCCGGGCACGGTGGCTCACACCTGTAATCCCAGCACTTTGGGAGGCCGAGGCAGGTGAATCACGAGATCAGGAGTTCGAGACCAGCCTGGCCAACATGGGGAAACCCCATCTCTACTAAAAATACAAAAAATTAGCCGGGCGTGGTGGTGGGCGCCTGTAATCCCAGCTACTTGGGAGGCTGAGGCAGGAGAATCGCTTGAACCTGGGAGGCAGAGGTTGCAGTGAGCTGAGATCACGCCACTGCACTTCCGCCCAGGTGACAGTGCGAGACTCATCTCAACAACAACAACAACAAAACCCAAAAAATTAGCTGGCCATGGTGGTGGTCGCCTATAGTCCCAGCTACTAGGGAGCCTGAGGCAGGAGAATTGCTTGAACCCAGGAGGAGGAGGTTGCAGTGAACCGAGATCATGCCACTGCACTACAGCCTGGGCAACAGAGTGAGACTCCGTCTCAAAAAAAAAAAAAAATTAGCTGGGCATGGTGGCACATGCCTGTAATTCGGGAGGCTGAGGCGTGAGAATTGCTTAAACCTGGGAGGGAGGCGGAGTTTGCGGTGAGCCATGATCGTGCCACTGCATTCCAGCCTGGGTGACAGAGCCACACTCTGTCTCAAAAAAAAAAAAATGAGGCTGCAGTGCTTGCTTTGGCAACACATAAACTAAAGAGGAGACATCCGTGAGTGATTGTTTAATATTTTTGGAATGAGAGTTGTGTGAGAAAATAGAAATATCATAAATGAAAGCCTCATCTATATAAATTTAACTATTATAGTCTTGCGCCCTAGAGGTTGGGGGTCCTTTCTTCAGATCATTGTGTTGCTCTCATTCCCCATTATTGCTCCTGGAAATTAAAAACAGACACAGAGTGAAACATCATTTTTTATTTCTTCTGAGTATCTACATTCAATTGCTTTAGCTAAATTAACAAAAAACATGCAAATACATGTGGTTTCTGGTGACAAGTTCTCTAAGACAGTGTGGGAAATGACCTAAATATGCACGGGCAAGGCTCAGTCTCCAGAGGAGTGGGCAGGGGTAGGTAGGGGCTGTCTGATCCCCAGGGCAATGAAGTTCTTAGAGCTGAAGCCCAGCTCCTCCTTTTTAAGAGGAAATGACGAGCCAAAGCCTTCTGCGTTTGTTAGAGATCCTAGCTTGTGGCCCTGTCAGAACCAGAATCCAGGTATCCCAATTCCCTGTCCACTGCCCCCAGCCTGAAGCCCTTCATCCTTCCTCTTAGCACCCTCTCAGGGGAACAGGGGCCTAGGTATGTTTACAAAAGTCCAGAATGGGTCAGTATTTGGGGGAAATAGAGATTTGAAGGTTTTAATTCCTCATATAACACAGCAATTCAGTTCTGTTTCCCCAGTTCTAATCATAGGGTATTATTGTTCCAGACTCAGTGAAGAATTTGCCAGAGAACAGAAACTCCCAGCTGAAAATGTGTGCATTGCTCAGCTGTATCTTGTAATCAGCATGCCAGCATTTCCTACTAGAGCTCAGCATCTGAGCTGCATTATTTACTCACGTAAGTGCTTAGGATGGGTGATGGACGGGAAAGACAGGAAATGGAAGGACACAGGGCGAAGGTCACACAGGAGCACTAAATTGGGATGGAGTAACTTGCTAAGTATAAAGTTAAGACCTACATTAAGACCACCTCTATGCACACGTTCAGTTAGAGGGCTCAATGGATACACCAGGCGCCTATGGCTGGAGCCTCCTTGGCACGAGCGCCCCATCCGAGGCACAGCTGCACTTCTGCACCCTCATGTTGGGCAGGCTGACCACCTGGGGCCTGGTCCTGCCTCCCTCCTTGATGCTGACGATCATGGGCAGCGAGGCAGTCTCCGAGGCGATACACTGTCGCGGCCCCAGAAATGGCCAATTGAAGGCCAGGGCCTCCGGGGGCTGCTGGCAGGTGCCCACACACTCGTAAGCCAGGAAGCCCGGGGGCTCCAGCACCCAGTTCTTGGCCCACTTCATCCCCTGCAGGTCAATGTACATCTCCTGGCGGCAGCAGCGGGTGCCCTCGGTCATTGGTGCTTCAGGGTCACAGTCGCCCTGAGCTCTGTGTGGGCAAGGAGAGCAGGGTCAGAGGTCATCTGGGAGGCTGAAGTCAGAAGGCCTGGGGCACAGCTTAGTGGGCACCTGGGAGGGAGGTTTATGATCCAGCTCTCACTATGTTCTAAAAGCTGGATATTTGTGAGAAGATGAATAAACATATCTGAAACATAAATAATAAATCAGCTACTATTAATTAAAGGTCTCCTAATAGGCCAGACAATGAACTAGGTACTTCACATGTATTATCTCAGGTGATGTCTGCATTTCATCCTCAGGTAGGTTCCAGCATTATCCCCATTCCACCTGAGGCCACTGACACCCAGAGGTGTTCGGTGATGGGCCAGAGGACCTACAGCCAGTGGAAGGCAGAGCTAGATGGAGCCCAGGCCAACCGGCTCCAAGGCCTCTTCTTAACCACTGTGCTACACAGCCCCCATCTGCTCCAGAGAGCTAACTTGTCCATGAGAAAGAATTCACCAAAGCAGGAGGAAAGCTCATCGCCCCTAGTAACAGCTAAAGCTAGGATTTTTCAAAGATTTAATCATGGAGAAGGGTAAAGTGAAAGTAGATGATTACAATCGTGTATATGGAGTCAATGGCAATAGAAAAATCCATTGAAGATTGTCAAAGATATTTTTAAATAAAATAAATCATACAATTCTCCTGCCACAGCCTCCCAAGTAGCTGGGATTACAGGCGCCCGCCACCACGCCCAGCTAATTTTTATATTTTTAGTAGAGACGGGGTTTCACCATGTTGGCCAGGCTGGTCTGGAATTCCTGACCTCAGGTGACCCGCTGGCCTCCACTCCCAAAGTGCTGGGATTACAGGCGTGAGCCACCATACTTGGCCTTACAATTTTTTTTTTGTCGTTTCTTTAAAACTTTTTTTTTTTATTTATTTTTTTAAGGATAGGATTTCACTGTGTGGCCGAGGCTGGTGTCAAACTCCTGGCTTTAAGCAATCCTCCACCTCAGCTTCCCAAAGTGTTGGGATTACAGGCATGAGCCACTGCGCCTGGCCTGAATAATATAATATTTCTTTTTCTTTTCTTTTCTTTGTTTCCTTTTTTTTTTTTTTTTTTTGAGACAGAATCACGCTCTGTCCTCCAGGCTGGATGGAGTGCAGTGGTGTGATCTCAGCTCACTGCAACCTTCACCTCCCGGATTCAAGTGATTCTCCTGCCTCAGCCTCCTGAGTAGCTGGGATTACAGGCACGCGCCACCACGCCCGGCTAATTTTTGTATTTTTGGTAGACACGGGGTTTCATCATGTTGGTCAGGCTGGTCTCAAACTCCTGATCTTGTGATCCAGCCCGCCTCGGCCTCCCAAAGTGCTAGGATTACAGGTCTGAGCCACCACGCCTGGCCAACAATACAATTTCTGCCATTAGAAACCCTGACATGTAGTGGGCAATCGCTGGCATCCTGGGACAGTCTGCACCGCGCTCTCCCTACCCCTAGCCCACCGCCACCATCCGGTCCCCCAGACAGTCCTGGGGACGGGGGTCTGGACCACTCAGTGGCTGCTTGCCTCCCTTCTGCCCAGTCCTGCACCTACCCATAGTCCCTGAGGTCCAGGGTGTGCAGCTCCAGCTGGGGCTCCCCAAGCCCGGCTGGCGCCCCCTGCGAGGCAAAGCGGACCAGCTTGTGGGCGCCGGACGCCAGCGGGCCCAGATGCTCCCTCTGCACCGACACCTGTAGCAGCAGCGGCTGCCGGGGCCGGCTCAGCTGCTGCCAGAAGTTCACGGCCTCGGTCACGTCGAAGGCCTTCCAGCCGCTCTCGTGGACGGACACCAGCCTGAGACATGATACACACGACACGGAGACCCAGCGCCGCTTGAGGGCGGGGACTGGGACGGGCCCCGAGGACCCTGCACCGCCCCCTGCGTCCCCGCCCCCAAGCCGGGCCGAGCAGCCTCCTACTCCTGCCCTGCGCGCCCGCGCGACCCCCACCTGGAGTCGATGAGGGAGGTGCGGTTGGAGCCGTCGTCGCGGACGCGCAGCCACTCGACGGTCACCCGGGCCTGGGCGCTGCGCGGGGACAGCCGCCCGTGCCTGTGCAGCGCGGCCTTGGGGACCGGCTCCTGGAAGAGCCGCAGCACGGCCTGCACCAGCTCGCTGTTGGGCGGCAGCCGCTGCTCCATGCCGAACACCAGCAGGTGTGTGCTGGCCTCCGACGCCAGGAACCTGCCGGCCACCTCTGGGGACAAGAGCAGGGTCAGCAGGGCCTCCCCGGACTCCAGCGGAGCTCTGAGGATGGCAGGGCCACTGAGCTGGCAGCCAGGCCAGGAGACACCGGCCCTGTTCTATCTCTGGGGCAAACCCAGTTTACAAATCTTCCTTGGATCTGGGCCTTGTTTAGTAACAATTTCCATCCAGCAGGCAGGGGGGCCTGTGGGACCCTGGCTAGCAAGTTTGCCTCAGCTGAGATGCTGGGAGCAGAATCCTCACCCAGGTGCCTGGCACTGGCTCTAGCTCTGGGCACTGAGGAGCTAGGGAGGCGAGAGGCTGCAGGAGGATTCAGGCCCAGTTGCACCCCTGACAGCCAGGTATAACCCAGGTAGTCTACTTAGGTATTTTTCAGTTATCCAAACACGCTTCTATCCACAAGGACTCACTTTGACGTTCACAGTGCTGGGAGATGGCGAAGACATAGTCATACCCCTGTTCCAGATGAGCACATGGTGGAGAGAGGATTTTAAAGCCATTTACTCAAGGTCAGGCTCAGACCAGAGTGGCAGTGTGAAAACATACCCTGGGAGTCCAGCTGCACCAAGTGCCTTGAGGCACACACTCACCTGCTCCCCCAGCTCTACTTTCTCTCCTCTACCCTCCCCTTCTCTGAAGTCTTGGTTTTTCCAGCAGGTCTAGCCTGGTGCACCTCCCCTGGGCTGGAGGGGGGCCTCAGTGCACAGCTGGAGACCCTGGACCCAGGCCCGGCTCCTCCTCACTGCTCCTTGGACCGTGGCCCTCACACAGCCTCCCACAGAGTCCCAAAAGGCCAGGGGCCCTTCGACACCTCCAGAGTGGGCACAACCGGCCTGCCCCCGACCATGGGACCGGGGCCAGCAGGGAGGGAGGGTCTCACCTCGGAAGCTCTGGCTGAACCTCTTTCCGCGGGAGCGGTCCCCGTGGCTGCGCCGCAGCAGGACTACATACTGGGCCCTCACGTGGGCGGGGATGACCAGCTTCTCCATGTCGGCCCTGTCCAGTACGGGCACCTCGCTGAGCTGCAGCTGCCGCAGCAGGCTGCCCAGGAGCTGCTCCTCGGTCAGGGCCGCCCCGGGGCCAGCCAGGGGCAGCACCCAGAGTGCCCAGCAGAGCCACAGGGGCCACATGGTGCTGCCCTGGGGGAGCAGGAGGCAGAGTGGGGCTGTCCTCTAGGGAGGTTGAAGGAGGGTCTCAGGCAGCTGGGTGTGCTGAGAGCCAGGCTGGGCCAGCTTTATAGCTGGCCCTGGGCTGGCCTGGGGTGAAGGGAAGAGGGAGGGAGGGAGGGAGGGAGGTCACACCCCTGGGACCTCCTGGGAGCTCACAGCCAGACAGGTCCCTGAGCCTGGAGGAGGGGGCTGTCTAGAAAGGACAGGGCTGTCTGGATGCCACCCAGGCCTGGGGCCTCTGGCTGTGCTGTCAGCAGCTTGACAATATTTTTAGTGCCTGTTGAATTTTCCTGGCCTTACCCCAGCCCTGTTCTATGAAAAAGTGAGTCTATTCTGTGAAAAACAAAGTCCTGCTAGCCAGCTGCTTAAATCTCTTTAAGTCTCTTCTGGAGGCTGGGCTGGGTCCAGGTCTGCAAATCATAAAGGAAGGGCGGGAAGGATTCTGCCTTCCTGCTGGTTCTGGCCACATTCACAGAAGCCCCTTGGTCATCTCCCTCCAACCTACACTCCTTGCACACCCCCTGCCTCTCCCCACACCAGGGGTCCCTCAGGGTTGTCGCACCGTCCTTGCCCTCCCCCCATGACATCCTCTGTCTAGACACGGTCAGGACACAAATCTGGCAGCTCTACTGTCTTTAGGAGTCCCAGGAACAGCAATTTCAGCAAGTGCCTTTGCAGTCACGTGACCACAGCACAGGAGTCCTCCCTTCAGACAGCAGAATTATTCTGGGGTGTGCTCTCCCCAGTGAGCTGGCTGGCCGGTTCATGCCACCAGCACTCAGCTGGAGCCCAGGTCATTTCCAGACACAGACAAGGGACAGGGACTTAGAAAGCAGAGGCCAGAGCTGCCCAAAGGCATGGCCTGTCCAAAGCCACAGGTACTGGGGGCAGATTGAGGTGGGAGCCCCCCTGTGTCTCTTCAAACACACATTTTAGACTGGCCACGTTCAAATATGAGAACTGCCATCTGCTAACTGTTTGACCTGCTAGCAAGTGAGTTAACTTCTCAGTGCCTCAGTTTCCTCATCTACAGAAAGAGGGTGATGATCATAAGGTCTTCTTCATAGGGTTAGTGTGAAGATTAAATGCATTAATACATGCAGGATGTTTCACCCAGTGTCTAGTGACAGGTAAACACTCTGTAAGGGTTTGCTATCATTATTATCTGCCTGAAATCTGCATTCACAGGGTCGTGGCTTTTTGCATTTTTTTTTTTTTTTTGACGTAGCCTCACTCTGTCACCCAGGCTAGAGTGCAGTGGCGCGATCTAGGCTCACTGCAACCTCTGCCTCCTGGGTTCAAGCAATTCTCCTGCCTCGGCCTCCCGAGTAGCTGGGACTACAGGCGCATGCCACGCCCGGCTAATTTTTTGTATTTTTAGTAGAGATGGGGTTTCACCGTGTCAGCCAGAATGGTCTCGATCCCCTGACCTGGTGATCCGCCTGCCTTGGCCTCCCAGAGTGCTGGGATTACAGGCATGAGCCACCGTGCCGGGCCAGGTCGTGGCTTTTTATAAAACTCTCAACAACAATAATAGCACACATTTCCTGAGTGCATGTGCCAGTCATTGTTCTAAGCTCTGAATGTGTATTCACACAGCCCTTAGGAGGCAGGTGTCAGTTTCAGGTGCATCTTGCAGATGCAAGGTCAGACCACTGCCTGGGGAAGTGACCTGCTCGCCAACCTCAATGAAGGGCTTGGGAGCTAAATGGAGCCTCTGTCTCTGTAGGCATCTCCTTCTGGCACTGGCATAGGGGATTTGAGGATGTGCAGGGGGAAGCTCTTCCCAAAACTCCACAGCCTCACTTGCCCATGTTCTGTCGCATGAGTAAGGATGGTGGAGGAGGACAAGGACCCTGGGCCAAGGGGGCTGCCGGGCAAGGGGCATCCCCCTTCACCTTCTAAATGGGGGCACTCTGGCCCCTTTGTGGGAATGCTGTGTCACTGACAGGTCTCTCCATGTCATCCCCCTTCACCTTCTAAATGGGGGCACTCTGGCCCCTTTGTGGGAATGCTGTGTCACTGACAGGTCTCTCCATGTCATCCCCCTGCTTCTGTCCTCAAACATTTCAGGCAGAGGAAGAGGGAATCTTCTGGTGCTCGAAGGTGGAATTTCTTTTGGATGAAAGCCCAGGGACTTCATGCCACCACATATATATGCAAATGCATATGTATATGTATATGGAAGTCTCATATTTGAACCCAGCCAGTCTACAGTGTGTGTTTGAGGAGGCATGGGGGGCTCCCACCTCAATCTGCCCCCAGTACCTGTGGCTTTGTACAGGCCATGCCTCTGGGCAGTTTTGGCCTCTGTTTTCTAGGTTTCTGTCCCTTGTTCTGTGTCTGGAAATGACCTGGGCTCCAGCTGAGTGCTGGTGGCATGAGCCAGTCCACTAGCTCACTGGGGAGAGCATACCCCAGAATGATACTGCTGTCTGAAGGGCTTTTAGCAGTGTGTGTGTTGGGGGAGTGTTTAGCATCAGAGAAGGGGGAGGGATAAGAATAACACTGATAATAAACGTAATGGGCTGAGTGTGGTGTGACTCACGCCTGTAATCTCAGCACTCGGGGAGGCCAAGGCAGGAGGATCACTTGAGGCCAGGAGTTCGAGGCCAGCCTGAACAATGTAGCAAGACCCCATCTCTACAGATAAGCATAAATAATAACCACAATGGCTAATAGTGCTTGTGGGCCATGCACTGTTCTGAATGTTTTATATTTATTGTTAACTCTTTATTCTCACCATAACTTGAGGAGGAAGTTGCTGTTATTATTTCCTTTTTATAGATGAAGAAACTGAGCATAAAACTGCTGTCTGACTAGCCCAAAGTCATACAGATAGTAGATGCTAGAGCTCAGGGTATCTGAAGGGAAGGAACAGGGATTTGGTCACATGTGTCCACAAACCAAGGTAAGAGGAAATACAGAAATCCTAACAGCTGACCCCGGGGTGGGAGAAGGAGACCCTTGGGGTCATAGAATCATGACCTCAGCTGCTTCTCTGTTTCCCTTTCCTTTTCTCTCCCATCTATATTTCCGTGGGATTTGTGTAATTCACAAGGAGGAATTCAAATCCCATCTTGGCACTCATCTCCCATAGTTGGAACATCCCGTGAAATATAAATTCCCACCACTGTGTCCGGTCCAAACAAGACCTCCTGTTCTCTCTGTGACAAGGGTAGCTTTCTTCAAAAGAGAAGCTGTTGCCTTTCTTTGCAAGTGATTAACAGGGAAAGGACTTACTTGATGCAAACATTTGGGTCTTAAGTCAGGCCAAAAGGTGCAGAAGTGTCACATTTACAGGCAAGCCGGGACCTGCGGGCCTCAGTCTCTGGAAGCTGTTCTGGGCTGGTGTTTCATAAATATGCAATAGTCCACTACCCTTGCTGCTGGGTGACAGGAAGCCCTGTGGCTTATCACTGGTGCCAAGGATATCACACCCAGGCTGTCCTTGCATGCCACTACCCCCTCCCCAGAACCCCAACATATAGACCCACTGGGAGCTCACTAAGGCTGGACACTCACAATGAGACCTCACAGGCCCCTGTTCTGGTTTAGCAGGGACCTGCTGTTCCAGGGCTGAGGGAGGCCAGGCCCCTGCTGCTGCTGCTTCCCTGACCTGCAGATGCCCATTCGAGGTTCTCTTCCAGCTATGAAACACCACAGGGCTGAGAACCTCTGGAAGTCCCCAGGGATTCAGGAGCTCCTTCTACATCTGGGGTAACAGACCAGCTAAATTGAAACCTCATTTCCAGAGAAGATAGCAAAGTGGAGGGACCCCCCTACACCTTCTTGATTCCCTGCCTCCCCCTGGAGGGACCCCCCACCTTCTTGATTCCCTGCCTCCCCCAGATGTCTTGCTGATATTTCTGCATCGGCCCCTCAGCACAGGACCAAAGCTAGAGCAGAGCCCTCAACAGGAAGTGAAACTACACAGTCAATATCCAGCCTCTCTAAGGACCGATCCTGCCTGCAGGGATGGGTGTCTGGGACGTAGTGCTCAGGGTGGCCCTGGGGGCCGCTGGTAGCCTGGGCAAGTGATCCACGATTGGGAAACTGAGATCCCTTCCTGATGTTGGGGGACCTCCCTTAGGTGGAGGAGCTGGGGAACATTTAGCACCAATGGAGGGGTTTGTCCAGCCAGACGCGACTTACCCTCTTTATTTCACCTGCTAGTTTGTAGAATCAGAGAGAGCTTAGCACTGAAATTGGCTATCCAGGCCATGCTCCTGCCCCCCGGGTTTTAGAAACGAGAAAATGAGGCTCAGAGAGATGACATCTTCCCCAAACACACACAGTCGATGATCCACAATCAATACCCCCATAAAGTCAGGTCTTCCCACTCCCAGACCAAAGTTCTTTCCATGCCCTCAAACTATTTCCAGTCCTGCCCTGACCCCCTGAAGCCAGTAGGGTCATCTGTCAGCCCCAGGCAAGCTGGGGACTCAGTCAACCCAGGGTCGGGTCTGGGCAGGGGGCAGGGAGGCGTGAGAAGCAGACAAACAGACAAAGGCCAAATCCCCCAGACTCCTGAGGCCCAAGATACAGGCCTGGGTCCTAAATGTGGATTCCCGGCAGCCTGAAGAGTTTTGTTTGGGGAAATAAAATAATTGGGCAATTAGCTAGCAGCCAAAAGAAGAGCTTGAATGTGGATTGGGAAACTTTTTACAATGGTCTGATTAGTCGTCAGGAGAGAGGGCAGCCACCCTTTGTCATGCAGTGGAAGGAGCTGGGCCTCTGAGGGTCTGAGTGGAGAGTCTGGCTGTGGGGTCAGGTCAGGCTTGAAAAATTGTAAAAAAAGCCTCTTCTGTCCTGGTGGGAGGGACGGTGTTTGAAGAACAGGGAATACTACTTAACCAAGCTGTCTCAATCAAAAATTACTAAAGTGGAAAAAATGCAGACTGTTTCTGAACCTCTATTGTTAGGGGTTTTAAGATGTTGTGAAGACTTTTTTTTCTTTGGAGATGTTATGTTGCAGATGCTCTAGGTGTAATTGTATGGATGCTGTGTGAGGATGTGGATGCTTTGCACTGCCAGCTGTTTTGTTGGTGTGCATATCCGTTAGGACTGAGGCACTTAGGACCAAAGTCTCTTCCAACCCAGATGACCTTCAGATAACCCAAACTTCTCCGCTTGCTCTGTCCTCCCTGGACCACTCCTGTCTCCCTAATATGGTGTTATCCGTCCCAGCCATCCCACCCACCCAGCTTGGCCATGATGGAGCCACGAGGCAAGCTGCCCCTGAGCTTTGGGGATGGGCTCCCCATTCCTCACCTCCTCTTAGCCCCAGACAGCTTTTCCACAACCCACTGCTCCAGCACCTCCCACCTTCCACCAGGTCTGGGGATGTTCCATGGGGGAGTCTCTGGGGCTAGTGATTTCTGCCCAGAATCACCTGAGAAACCTGTGTAAATACAGATTCCTGGACCCCAACTCAGGCCTCCTGAATGGACTTTGCTGGGGGCAGTGTCCAGTAATCTGAGTGTTAAAGATTCTATGCGCATTAGGTTTGAGAAGCAGGGGAGGGTGAGGATAGGTGGGGGCCAATAGCAGGCAAGGAAGCTGCCGGAGAATTCAGGTGAGAAGAACTCCGTCATTCCATTACACTTATAACCTGGCCCTTCTGGATGATTCCTCCACTTCATGATTGCCAGTGATGAGAGAAAAGAACACAAATGGGAACAAACTAGAAAAACATTTTTTCCTGAGGTATTTTCTGGGCTTTCTCTGAATATTTGAGAGTAAGAACAGGTGAACAGAGGGGTTTCTTTTCTCTCTCTCTAAATACCCTGAACATAATCAGGTTATATGCAAATTCAGCATTAAAACATTTATTTATTCATTTATTTTTTTGAGACAGAGTCTCACTCTGTTGCCTAGGCAGGAGTGCAGTGGTGCGATCTCGGCTCACTGCAACTTCCACCACCCGGGTTCAAGTGATTCTCCTGCCTCAGCCTCCCAAGTAGTTGGGACTACAGGCACCCACAATTACGCCCGGCTAATTTTTGTATTTTTAGTAGAGGTGAGGTTTCACCATGTTGGCCAGGCTGGTCTCAAACTCCTGACCTCAAATGATCCACCCACCTTGGCCTCCCAAAATGCTGGGATTATAGGTGTGAGCCACTGCGCTCGGCCTCAGCATCATAACATTTAATGCTCCAAGGTAACAGTATGTAGGTCAATAGATCTATCAAAGTGTAATTATTTCCACCCTCCTCTAAATTTTTGTTTCTTCTCCACCCACTCTGCCTCACTCTCCTGCAAAAAACCCTTTTGTATCTTTCCCCACAGCTTCAGTACTTCCGGAAATTTTCTCCTACAAGACCCCTGACATAGGAGGCAGGAGACCAAGGTGCTGATTCTGACCTGTGCCTGCCTGGGAACACTTAGCCTGCCATTTCCATGCTTATGCAGAGAAGTTCCTATCTTGCCCCTGATCAGAAGCCACTATCATGACTCCCCGCATCACAGAAGTTTCTTCTCCTTAGTTTACCTGGAAGCTCTTCTCCAGGTTCCACCCTGGCTTTCCAACCCCCACATCCTGCCCTTGCCACTGCCCTTCGCCCCCAGCATTCTGAGGCCCTGAATGGTCATCTCTTTGCTCATTCTTTTTCCCATGCCTGCGTGCCCTTCATCTCTTCTTTACCTTTGAAATCACAGCTCATCTGGCAAGCCTCGGCATAACACTCACTTTCTTCATGAAAATCCTCCCGTCCTGTTCTGACCACTCCCGCCTCTCGCTGCTTTGCTCATCGCTGGTTCTCCGGGTGGCCCTTGGTCCCTCATGAACACAGTGGGATGACACCTTCTCCTGGCATCATAGAGAGATATGCCCAGGTGCTCCCATACAGCACGGGCTCAGCAAAGGGATTCCCTCTTACTCCATCCTGTAATTATGCCGAGCATACTGCACAGAAAATAATTGGTGCTCAAATGCTATTTGCTGAAAGAAAGAAAAAGAGAGAGAGAATAGATGGATCATACCTTTTTTGCTAAGAAATTTAAAATGGAAAATTTGAGACATGAGATTTTAGTCCAGATTAAGGCCAGTATTCTTTAAGGAAACTGGTAACCAACAAACACAACTTTAAAGTTGAAAAAACAGGCTGGGTGCGATCGCTCAACACTTGTAATCCCAGACCTTTGGGAGGTTGAGTCTGGAGGATTGCTTGAGTCCAGGAGATTGAGACCAGCCTGGGCAACATACTGAGACCCCATCTCTACAAAAAATTTAAAAATTGGCCATGCATAGTGGCATGCACCTGTGGTCCCAGCAACTCAGGAGGCTGAGGCAAGAGGATACTTTGAGCCCAGGAGGCAGAGGTTGCAGTGAGCCAAGATCGTACCACTGCACTCTAGGCTGGATGACAGAGCGAGACCCTGTCTCAAAAAAAAAAAAAAAAAGAAAAAGGAAAAAAATACAGACAGTGAAGAAGGTAAGAAGTGTCTCTCTTATTCTGACACCTAACCCCTGGTCAGCTTCCCCAAAGCAGCGCTCTATCTTGTATGCACTTCCAGGACAGTCTAAGCTTGCCAAAGCCCAGGTGTGTGATAACACTGTGTATGCAGGAACATTGTTCCCCTGTACCCTGATTTCACCTGGGGACACATCTTCAACCACCTCCCTTCCCTCGGAGATGCAGTTCTCCTGACCTCACAGGATTCCCTTGGCCTTTCTTTAGGATCACCCTGTTCTAGATGGAAAATGTTAAAGACTCGGATCGTGTCTTCTAGGCTGTGGGTACTAAGTCCATGAAGCAGAGGGAGCGTTCTCACCAGCCCAGGGAAGAGGATCCGTGGGGGCTGTGGTATTGATAATGAGGGTCATTACCCTGTTCCCTAATCTCCAGAGTGTGGCTGATAAGCAGGGAGGGAGGATTTGCACATTCTGACAGATAATTGGAAAGGTGGGCCAAGTAAACAAAATTCAGAATAATGAATATGGAGTCATTTGGGAATCCCCGGGATAAGCCCTGTCCTGCTGGGGTAGATCCTCTTCTCCAAACCTGCAGCATTTCATCAACAGCTCAGCCCTGCAGCTGTCGTGGAGAGGAAACGAGCTTTTGCCATCCACACTTGTGAGAAGCTACTGGCGTATTTGACCCCCTTCCTGCATGTTCATTAGGGAATGTGACACTCCAGCCACCAAGCGGCCCTGACACCTCCTAGAAACACTTTTTGCTTCCTCTGCAATGCAACGCTAAGCTATCCCTTCAGCATTTGGCCTGCCTCTTGGTTTTGGAGCCCTGAGAGGTTCCTGGTGGGAGCTGATGAGTTTTCCAAAGAACCTTTTGGGTGGGTAGGGGTGTATGTGTGTGTGCACGTGTGGTGTATGTAATTAAAGACATGTCTTGGTACAAAATCAAATAGCACAGAAGAGTCTACAGTGAAAAGCAGTAAGCAATAATCTCCACTCCACCCTTCCCCACTCCAGCGGTCAGTTCTGAGGGTTTACCTCCAAAACAATAAACAGAATACTTGTGCCTCTTTTTTTCTTTTCTTTTCTTTTTTTTTTTGAGATGGAGTCTCGCTCTGTCACCCAGGCTGGAGTGCAGTGGCACAATCTCGGCTCACTGCAACCTCCACCTCCCAGGTTCAAGCAATTCTCCTGCCTCAGCCTCCCGAGTAGCTGGGACTACAGGCAAGTGCCACCATGCCCGGCTAATTTTTCGTATTTTTAGTAGAGATGGGGTTACACCATGTTGGCCAGGAAGGTCTCAAACTCATGGCCTCAGGTGATCCGCCCACCTTGGCCTCCGAAAGTGTTGGGGTTACAGACTTGAGCCACTGCGTGTGGCAATTTTTTTTTTTTTTTTTTTTTTTTGAGACACAGTCTTGCTCTGTTGCGTAGGCTGGAGTGCAGTGGTGCGATTTCGGCTCACTGCAACCTCCACCTCCAAGTTCAAGCGATTCTTGTACCTCAGCCTCCCAAGAAGCTGGGATTATAGGTGCGAGTCACCACGCCGGGCTAATTTTTTGTATTTTTAGTAGAGACAGGGTTTCACCATGTTGCCCAGGCTGGTCTTGAACTCCTGGCCTCAAGTGCCTCCTGGCCTCAACTCCTGCCCGCCTCAGCCTCCCAAAGTGCTGGGATTACAGGCATGAGCCACCGCGCCCAGCCTTTTTTTTTCTTTTTAGCTTCATTCTTTTATCCATTTAACAAACATTTACGGAAGGTCTGAACCAGCCGTACACGGTGCTACGCGCTTTAAATGGCTTTGCTTTTCCCTGAAACCAAGAGGCAGAGAGGAATGGAAGGGCTGGTTGAGGGAAGAGAAGCAGAGCAGGAAGTCAGGCTGGTCAAGGCTGGGTCAGGAGACCCCATCTGCAGGAACCTGCTCCTGCACAGAGGCCGGGCTGCTCATCCCGACTGGATGCTTCTGTCCACCCATAACGCCCACTCGACGGGCAGTTTCAACACTGTGCTGCTGGGAAGAGGGCTTTCAAATTTGGCTGGGAGTTGGAAGAAGCTAAAAGGGGAGAGGGTCCCAGAGCAACCCCCCCACCACAATGAGAGGAGCTGGGAGCAGAGCCCCTGGACCTTAGGAGATGCACCATGAGCTCCCCGGGCTCCCACTGATCTTTTGAATACTGAACTAGAGAAGGTAGAATGACCAGGTCCATGTGTAAGACCTGCAAAGACCTTAAGCCCTGAACACCACTAGGCTGTGAACTCTGCCCTCCAAGGCTGACAGTGAAGGGCCCGCTAGGTTGGTCTTCAGGGCAGCAAGAAGGAGGAGTCAGGAGGTGGCATCCACACACTACCTCCATACCCAGAAGTGGGGAGGGGAGACCTAGAGGCACAGAAGGCAAAAGTAGCTTGAAAATGGCAGACAAGAGGGCTGGCAGGGGACAACAGGCTTTGCCACCAGCATCTACGCAGCCCACTGGCCTGAGGGGCTCCTTTTTGTGGGGGGACTCTGGGGAGGTGGTCCTGAAAGAAAGAGCTGTGGAATCAGGCCAGGGGCTCCGGCCTCTTCTGCCTAGGCGGAGCAGCAACAGGCTCAGCAGCGTCCCAGCCCCCTGCTTAGCTCCTCCCCCTAGGTCCCCTGCTGGGCACAGGGCAGGACAGACAGAGGCAGGGAAGTAGAGGGAAAGGGCGAGCGGGCAGATGGAAGTGCAGGGAAATGTTGCGACTTCCATCCGTCTTTTAAAAAATGACACACAGGAGTCCGTGTTTAAGGAACTCTAAGGTGGTGCCAAGAGACAGAAATGTTTCTGGGCCAGAAAATAGGAAGTTAGTGGCAGGTCCCCAAAAAGAAAAGGCACTCCAACTGTCAAAAGGAAGCAAGTCAGGAATACTTTTTTTAATTTTTATTTTTAGACAGTGTCTCACTCTGTCGCCCAGGCTGGAGTACGGTGGCGTGATCTCGGCTCACTGCAACCTCCGCCTCCTGGGCTCAAGCGATCCTCCCACCTGAGCCTCCCAAGTAGGTAGGACTATAGGCACACACCACCACTCCTGGCTAATTTTTGTGTTTTTTTTTTTTTTTTTGTAGACACAAGGTTTCACCATGTTGCCCAGGCTAGCCTTGAACTCTAAGTTAGGATTCTTAACTTGGACAATATCTACTGGCTCCCTGTTGTGAAAGACAAGAATTTAGCTCCTTCCCCCTTTGGCATTTCATTCCCTACCCCCCACCAATTGTAATAAGTGCACTGGTAATTTCAGTTCTTTTTGTTAATTTTGCACATTTAAACAATACACTAAAACCTCTATTTCCTGCTCCCCAAGCTTTAGGGAATGTCTCAGTGTTTCACCAGGTAAAGCCAGGCAATGAGGCACCCCTCATCTACCACCTCTACCAGCTACATCCTTACCTGTGTGTGCTCAGGTCTGACAACCTTTACATTCTGTTCAGTCCTTTGTTTACAAATTGATTTTAAATGCTGAAAACACCAATTAATAACATTATATAATTTTTAGATTAAGCAAATAAATTTCACCGTAGAAGATTTAAACAATCCTGATACTGCCGGGCACTGTGGCTCACGCCTGTAATCCCAGCACTTTGGGAGGCCGAGGTGGGTGGATCACCTGAGGTCAGGAGTTAGAGACCAGCCTGGCCAACATGGTGAAATCCTGTTTCTACTAAAAATACAAAAATTAGCTGGGTGTGGTGGCGGTTGCCTGTAATCCCTGCTACTCGGGAGGCTGAGAGGAGGTGGAGGTTTCAGTGAGCCAAGATCGTGCCACTTGTACTCCAGCCTGGGTGACAGAGCGAGACTCTGCCTCAATAATTAAATAAATAAATACATAAATAAAAATAAACAATCCTGATAAAACAAAAACGTCCATATTCTAATACCCCTTCATCTTCCCTGCCTCCCTGCAAACTCTTCTTTTACATTTTTTTCTTCTTTTTTTTTTTAGAGACAGGGTCTCGCTCTGTCACCCAGGATGGAGTGCAGTGGTGTCATCATAGCTCACTGCAGCCTCAAACTCCTGAGCTCAAGCAACCTTCCCACCTCAGCTTCCTGAATAGCTGGGACAACAGGTGCCTGCCACCACACCTAGCTAATTTATTTTTGTAGAGATGTTTCAACATCTCTACAACTGTCGACGGGCAGTTTCAACACTGTGCTGCTGGGAAGAGGGCTTTCAAATTTGGCTGGGAGTTGGAAAAAGCTAAAAGGGGAGAGGGTCCCAGAGCAACCCCCCCACCACAATGAGAGGAGCTTGGAGCAGAGCCCCTGGACCTTAGGAGAAGCACCATGAGCTCCCCGGGCTCCCACTGATCTCCATGTTGCCCAGGCTCGTCTCAAACTCCTGGGCTCAAGTGATCCTCTTGTCTCAGCCTCCCAAAATGCTAAGATTATAGATATGAGCCATCATGCCCAGCCTCTGAAAACTCTTGCAAGGTAATTAATCATTGCTATCATTCTGGTATGCATCCTTTGAGACATTTTTTCTATTAATTTGTACTTATATATACATACAAAATATATATTTTGCATTCTTTTCTCTTTCACATAATTGGGATCAAACTGCACATAACTCCATGCAACTTGCTTTTCTCACTTAACAGATGTCTTAGAGATATTTCCATGGTGGCCCACCAAGTTCAATTCCATTCTTTTCACTGCTGAATACTATGTCAAGGTGGAGAAGCATTCCTTTGGCTTGAGCCCGGGAGTTCAAGACCAGCCTGGGCAACACAGTGAGACTCTTAAACTGTCTTAAAAATTAGAAGCATTCGCCTGATGGACTTTTAGATTTTTTCCATGTTACAAACAATGCTGCAATGAAAATTCTTGAGCATTCCTCTTTGTGCACCTGTAGGTGGGTATTTCTCTAAGGTAGATACTGAGAACTAGGGAGAAGGATGTACATATTTTACAGTGTTATCAGATTCTGGCAAATTGCCCTCCAAGAAGTTTCCACCAATTTATAGACTCATTCATTTGTGTGAGAGAGCCTATCTCTGCATGTCCTTACCCTTTATTTTTTTTTTTGAGATAGAGTCTCGCTGTGTCACCCAGACTGGAGTGCATTGGCGTGAGCTCAGCTCACTGCAACCTCTGCTTTCCGGGTTCAAGCAATTCTCCTGCCTCAGCCTCCCAAGTAGCTGGGATTACAGGCGTCTGCCACCATGCCCAGCTAATTTTTGTATTTTGGTAGAGATGGGGTTTCACCATGTTGGCCCGGCTGGTCTCAAATTCCTGACCTCGTGACTCGCCCGCCTTGGCTTCCCAAAGTGCTGGGATTAAAGGCGTGAGCCACCGCGCCCAGCCTGAAGTCCTTTAACTGTGGGAAATCTCTGCCTTTTCTGTCTTCTTTTAATACTATCTCATCCTACCAACCCTCTTCATCTCCTCTCCATGATCTCTGTTCTCTAGATCTAGAACTGATGGAATATCTACATTTCACCTTTCCTTTGTTTTTCTCTGCCCTTGGCCTCACATTCTGAAATATCATATCTTTATAGTTTATCCCTTCTCTTGCTGTTTTTTAAACAAAGTTTTTATTTTAGAATAATTTCATATTGATAGAAAAATTGCAAAGATGGTACAGATAGTTCCCATATATCCCACATAAGTTTACTCTATTATTAACATTTACATTAGTATGGTACCTTTGTTATAATCATTGAAGCAATATTGATACAAAATCCACACTTTACCCAGATTGTCTTAGCTTTCACCTAATGTCCACTTTTTGTTCCAGGATCCCACTCATCACACTATATTACATGTCGTTGTCTTGTCTCCTCTTGGCTGTGACATTTGGGTTTTTATTTTCACAAGTAATATTAAAATGTCCAAAGCTCCTTTTTTATTATGGAATCATTCTGAGAATATGAATTATAATCTTAAAGTATTTTATGTTCCCCCCAAGTATTTGCTTGCTCTACAGTCAGTTCTTCAAAGGGGACCAACCTAAGCCATCATCTATTACCATAGAGAAAGTAGAGCTGGGAGTCGTCATGATGAACACTTGTTCTTGGACAAAGACTCCCATTGGGCAGCTCTCCCATTGTGAATTTCAGCCATGTGCTGACTGCAATGGACAGGAGCATAGGCATCGAGGCCTTATCCACTGGGAGGTCCACGGGGGCTGTGAGCACAAGAGGCCACCTTGGACATCACCCAGATCCCTTCTCAATCTGGGTGATGGGCAGCTTCTGGGCTTCCCTAGGGGTACTGACCTCAGGGCTGGGTAGCCCCTTCCTTCTGTCCTGAGGAAGCCTCCCCTAAACAAAGGAGCACCCACCTGTGCCCAGAGCCTGGAGAAACCTCTGAGGTATGCAGATTGGGGGACTGTATGTAGGAGCCCAAACTTTACCAAAACACCTGTAGAGTCTGTGAGAAAGGAAGACTCCAGCTAGGTGGATGGGATGACCTCTGCAAGGCAGTCTGGAGACCGTCTGGAGGCCATGGGGATGGCAGCTCTCACTGGTGTGAGCCAAGCCACCTTTTCTTTTTCTTTTCTTTTTTTTTTTTTTTTTGAGTTGGAATCTCACTCTGTTGCCCAGGCTGGAGTGCAGTGGCCCAGTCTCAGCTCACTGCAATCTCTGCCTCCCAGGTTCAAGTGATTCTCCAGCCTCAGTCTCCTGAGTAGCTAGGATTACAGGCGCATGCCACCGCGCCCGGCTAATTTTTGTATTTTTAGTGGTCAGGCTGGTCTCGAACTCCTGACCTCGTGATCCACCCGCCTCAGCCTCCCAAAGTGCTGAGATTACAGGCATGAGCCACCACACCTGGCCACTGAGCCACCTTTTCTAAAAATTGGTATGAAATAGATAACGTATATATGGTCACCTTAAACAGGTCGCTCATGTTCTCTCCTCAGTTAAGGACCATGGAGCAAAGGCTCGAGGCTGGTCTGACACTCGTTGGGAGGGTAGCAGGGGTCCGATTGTTTGCATTGTCCCAGCATGAGGAACCACCAGTCTGGCTGAGCCCTGCCCCTCAGACCCACCATGGCTTGGTTTACATGTTTCTGTGTAGCAAGCCAAGGAGGTCTTGGTTGAACCTAGCGGTCATTAGAGGTATGGGAGTGGGGGACCATATCAGCAGTTTCCACTTTATTCTGAAGACAGTGGGATTTCTGAGACTGTCATGGTTTGAAAAGCTCGCTCATCAGCCTTGTGGGGAATGGAGGAAAGGAGGCCAGGAGGAGTGGCCTCTGTGGTCACACAGAAGAAAAATTGTGGGACCTGAATCATGGCAGTAGCAAATGGGATAAAGCCACTAGCCATCCAGGAGGTGAGTCTATGGTGACCAAGGACCGAGTAGATGTGGCAGAGGAGACTCCCAGCCTGTAAGAGGAGGCGGGTCCAGATTTCAAGGGAGAAGACATCAGGTTCTGTCTGAGTGATGAGGAGCCTGTGGGAAATCTGGGAGGAGAAGTTACGGAACCATGACCCTGGGCAACATCAGCATAGCATGTAGGTGGTACCTGGAGCCATGGGGGGAAGAGGCCATCATCAGATGATATAGGAGAAGGACACTTATGAAGCCCTTTGGAGACATCCACCAGAACCTCTCCAGAGAAAGATTGTTGTGTAACAAATTATCTTGACTCGGTGGCTTAAACACCAAGCATTTATTGTCTCACCATTCCTATGGATGAAGAATCTAGAAACAGTTTAGCTGCATGGTTCTGGCTCGGGGTTTCCCATGAGGTTGCCATGAAGATGTCGGCTAGGGCTGCAGTCGGCTGAAGGCTTACCTGGGGCCCGAGGATCCACCTGCAGGATTCACTCACATGGCTGTTGGCTGAAGGCTTCAGCTCCTCTTTGGCTCTTTGCAGAAGGCATCAGGTCCTCCCTGAGTGGACCTCTCCATGGGTCTTCAGAAGGCAGCTGCAGACCCACAACTTTTACTCAAGAGAGGAAGTCAGGGCTTAAAAGAGAAATCTGTGGATTGTCCAAATAGAAGTAATACTTGATGTCACAAAAACAAATGTCACAGAAAGAGAGAGACGGATTCTGACTTTATTTAAAAGTTGGGCCGGGCACGATGGCTCACACCTTTATTCCCAGCACTTTGGGAGGCCGAGGCAGGTAGATCACCTGAGGTCAGGAGTTCGAGACCAGCCTGGCCAACATGGCAAAACCCTGTCTCTACTAAAAATACAAAAATTAGCCTGGCATGGTGGCGTGTGCCTGTAATCCCATCTACTAGGGGGCTGAGGAAGGAGGATTGCTTGAACCTGGGAGGTGGAGGTTGCAGTGAGCCGAGATTGCGCCACTGCACTCCAGCCTGGGAGATAGAGTGAAACTCTGTCTCAAAAAAAAGAAGTTTGGGCCAGCCACAGTGGCTCACACTTGTAATCCCAGCACTTTAGGAGGCTGAGGTGGGGATTGCTTGAGCCCAGGAGTTCAAGACCAACCTTGGCAACATGGTGAAACCCCACCTCTACAAAAAATACAAAAACAATTAGCCAGACATGGTGGTGCACGCCTATAGTCCCAGTTACTTGGGAGGCTGAGGTGGGAGGATCACCTGAGCCTGGGGAGGTCGAGGCTGCAGTGAGCTGTGATTGCACCACTGTACTCCAGCCTGGGCAACAGAGTGAGACCCTGTCTCAAAAAATATATATATATATTTTGATATTTTGCTCATTGTGATTTTTTGGTGTTAATTTTCACTTAAAAAATGTTAAATTAAAATATTGTTTATCATGATTACTCAATTCTTTGGTGCCCTCTTAGATTTTGCATCCAAGGTGAGTATCCCACTGACCCCACCTGGGCCCAGTTCTAGGGAGAGTGGAGGGTCCCAGCTGGGGCCTGGGAGAATAGCAGGAAAGTGAGAAAACAAAGTCGAGAGAGGAAAGGGTTTCAGAAAGAAGGCATGGTCAATGAAGACACAGCAGCGGAGATGGGACCGTTCCTTCCTCTACCTTTGCCACGTCACTGTGGTTTTTTCTTAAATTTATCAAAGGTGGGAGGAGAATTTAGAACTTCCTAGAGTCCAGCCTCAGGCAGTGAGAGATATTTCCAGGCAGATCCCCAGGGAGCTTTGTGGCTTCGATGCCTGCCTCCCAGAGGTTGCAACACTATCTAAAGAGCAGAGCCCCCTCTAAGAAAATCATTTTTGAGGAGGGGGAAAAAGTTAACCCTGAAGCTTCAAATGGTGTCACCTCTCTTCAGAAGGACCAAGAATGCGAGTGAACTGGGTACAGTGGCTCACATCTGTAATCACAGCACTTTTGGAGGCCATGGCAGGAGGATCCCTTGAGCCCAGGAGTTCAAGGTCAGCCTGGCCAACATAGTGAGACCTCATCTCTAAAAACAAAATAAGATAAAATAAAAAATAAAAGAATGGGAATGAACGAGGAACGCTGTGGCTCCCTGATCCCCGTTTAAGGCTCAGTGTGCAGCGTTTGCATCTACATCTACCCGGGCTGGGTCTCCTTGCTGTCACACATGTTCTATTTCTACCCTCAAAACAATGGAGGACTTTGGAAGGGAAACTGAGGCCAAAACGCACAAACTAATTCATCCAAGGCCTTGCAGTGTGACTGCCATGTCAACAGGGTCAGGGTGTCCTGCTGGGATTTGAACCCACGCCCCCTGACCAGTCTAGGCTGCACCTTTGGCCCCTTAATCTAATGGGTAAACAATCTCCTAATCCTAGTAGATGGGCTACTTCTGGGCAGCAGGCTAATCCCATCCACAGTTCATTCATGCAATCCACATCTACTGAGCACCTATCCATCATCAGCCACCTCAGAGCTGGGGATACAAAGCCCGGGTCCCACCCTTGAGGAGCTCAGTGTTTAGTTAACAGGATGATAGTGGACAGGATACGAAGTGTGGCTGGGCCCAGGCCATGCTAATGTGGATTTCCATCAGCTTCCCACTGAGCAGCTGATTTCAGAATTTCCTTCTTTTGGGGTCAGAGGCCCTTCCACGTTGACTGAACGGATGCAGCCCTGCCACCGACTGAGCAGTGGGCCTGGAGAAGGCCCTGGCACAGGGACGCACAGGTATAATCCTGGGTATAATCCCTTCAGATCTGCCTCTACTCTTGCCTCATTGCAGGAGGGCTGAGCCACAGCCTTGCTTGCAAAGCAAGTGGCATTCTTGCCACCCTAAAGGACACTGGCCCCAGTTAACGTGACCTGGCTTTGAAAGACCATCAGTGAAATAAGACTGGGATGGCCTGGCACAGTGGCTCATGCCTGTAATCTCAGCACTTTGGGAGGCCGAGGCGGGTGGATCACTTGAAGTCAGGTGTTTGAAACCAGCCTGGCCAACATGGTGAAATCCTGTATCTACTAAAAATACAAAAAATTAGCTGGGCGTGGTGGCAGGCACCTGTAATCCCAGCTACTTGGGAGGCTGAGACAGGAGCATCGCTTGAACCCAGGAGGCGGAGGTTGCAGTGAGCCAAGATCATGCCATTGCACTCCAGGCTGAACAACAAGAGTGAAACTCCATCTCAAAAACAAACAAACAAACAAACACAAATTAGCTGGGCATAGTGGTGCGTGCCTGTAATCCCAGCTACTCGGGAGGCTGAGGCAGGAGAATCACTTGAATCCAGGAGGCAGAGGTTGCAGTGAGCCGAGAACACACCAGTGCACTCCAGCCTAGGTGACAGAGTGAGACTCCATCTCAAAAAAAAAAAAAAAAAAAAAAAAAGAAATAAAAAGAAATAAGACTGAGCCTAAAAGAAATAAAGTGATGTCAGGAAATCCGTGGCTGAGACCCACATCAAGGATGCTGGCTTCTTCGTTCAGCAGAGACCCCTCCAGCCTGCACTGTTCCTTCCTGCTTCTGAGTGGCCTTGCGCCCACTCCCAGGCAATGTCATGTGCTGGCCAAGCCCACAGAGCCCTGAGCCACATTGCCCAGGCCGGAGCCCAGTTCACCACTCCAGAGTCAGGTGGTCTTGGGTACCCTCCTTGCCTTGGCTTCAACATCTGCAGAATGAGGAGGATAATAGAGTCTTTTTTCTAGGTTTTGTAAATCACTTGCTGTTTATTAGGCTCTAAACAGTTCCCAGAACATGGAAAACACTATGTAAATGCTTTAAAAAACAAAATAAATAAAAGAAGGGACCCGGGCACAGTGGCTTACACCTGTAATCCCAGCACTTTGGGAGGATCGCTTGGGCTCAGAAGGTCAAGCAGCCTGGGTAACAAAGTGAGACCCTGTCTCTACAAAAAATTAAAAAAATTAGCTGGGCATAGTGGCATGTACCCGTGGTCCCAGCTACTCAGGAGGCTGAGGCAGGAGGATCCCTTGAGCCCAGTAGGTTGAGGCTGCACTGAGCTGTGTTTGCACCACTGTACTCCAGCCTAGGTGACAGAGCAAGACCCTGTGTCAAAAAATAATAAAAACAAAATAAAATAAGGAATCCAAGAGGCTCTTTGATCCCACTGCTTTCAGCAAGGATCCCATCATCCATGGAGTGTGGAAAGCCTCAGAACACAGCCTTGGCTGGCTGAGGTGGCTCACGCCTGTAATCCCAGCGCTTTGGGAGGCCGAAGCAGGCGGACCACGAGGTCAGGAGTTCGAGACCAGACTGGCCAACATGGTGAAACCCCATCTCTACTAAAAATACAAAAAATTAGCTGGGTGTGGTGGCGCCCACCTGTAATCCCAGCTACTCAGGAGGCTGAGGCAGGAGAATCCCTTGAACCCAGGAGGTGGAGGTTGCAGTGAGCCAAGATTGTGCCACTGCACTCTGGCCTGGACAACAGAGCAAGACTCTGTCTCAAAAAACAAACAAACAAAAAAAAAAACAGCCTTAATCAGTGGAAGGTGGCATTGTTCAGGCACTAAATTAATAAAGACTTCTTTTGACCCACCTGGGCAATATGGCGAAACCCACCTCTACAGAAAATACAAAAGTTAGCTGGGCATGGTGGCAAATGCTTGTTGTCCCAGCTACTTGGGAGGCTGAGGTGGGAGGATTGCTTGAGCCGGGGAGGCGGAGGTTGCAGTGAACCGAGATCATGCCACTGCACTCCAGCCTAGGTGACAGAGCGAGACCCTGCCTCAAAAAAAAAAAAAAAAAGACTTCTTTTGAGAAGGGAATAGCATCGGTGAGGGAGCAGTGAGATGGTTGCTAGGCACACTTACAGGTGTCATCTTGTCGTGCAGTATCTTGATAATATGTGTCAAGAACCTTAAAAATATTGATCTCCTTGGCTGGGTGTGGTGGCTTACACCTCTAATCCCAGCACTTTGGGAGGCCGAGGTGGGCAGATCACTTGAGGCCAGGAATTCAAGACCAGCTTGGCCAACATGGCAAAACCCTGTCTCTACTAAAATACAAAAATTAGGGAGACTGAGACAGGAGAATTACTTGAACCTGGGAGGCAGGGTTTGCAGTGAGCCGAGCTCGCGCTGCTATGCTCCAGCCTGGGCGACAGAGTGAGACTCCGTCTCAAAAAATATATACGTACATATATTCATAGACTAGCGCCAGTAAGAACCTATCTGTGAATGTCCCAGGGAGATCATTTGAGATTCAGGCAAAGGTCAATATGCAAAGATTTTATACAATTTCAAAAAAATTAAGAAATGCAAATGCCTCACAAAACAAGAAAGGTCAAATGATGGTGCATACACAGAGAAAACTGTTATATAGTCATTAAAAACCACATGTGGAAGAATTTTACATGCCATAAAGAAAGCTCATACTATGCAATGTCAAATCAAAAAGGAACACATATCATCTTCACTCATAATATATGATTTCAGTCAATATACACAGAAAAGCAAACAAACAAGGATATTTACCAAAGTATTAACAATGACTATTACTGAGTTGAGGACATCTGGGTGATGTTCAGCTTCATCTTTATATTCTTTATATATTTTCCAGAATCTCTGAAAGCTTTTTTTTAAATAATCAGAAAAAAAGAATTTTTATTCTATTTTATTTTTAATGCACAAACTCTGAAGTCTCGACAGATAAATTCTGCCAATAACCTACCTCACCTACCTACTTAGAAGCTTAGGCAAGTTATTTAACCACTCGGACACTCCGTTTGATCAACCATGAGATGTGAGAACATCAACTCCATGAAGTGTGGGGATGGAGAATGAAGCAAGGCACCAGAACCTGTGGTCCAGACCCCACCCGCCACATCCCCTAGAGGGGATGTCTAGGGGAAGAGTCCTATCCTCCCTTGGGATGTCTTAGAATTTTTAGTTTCCTTTCTTTCCTTCCTTTCTTTCTTTCCTTCTTTTCTTTTTCCTTCCTTCCTCCCTCCCTCCCTCTCTCTCTCTCTCTCTCTTTCTTTCTTTCTTAGATGGAGTCTCACTCTGTCGCCCAGGTTGGAGTGCAGTGGCGGGATCTCTGCTCACTGCAACCTCCACCTCCCGGGTTCAAGCAATTCTCCTGCCTCAGATTCCCGAGTAGCTGCGATTACAGGCATGTGCCACCATGCCCGGCTAATTTTTGTATTTCTAGTAGAGATGGGTTTTCTCCATGTTGACCAGGCTGGTCTCGAACTCCTGACCTTGTGATCCGCTCGGCTCGGTCCCCCAAAGTGCTGGGATTACAGGCGTGAGCCACAGCGCCTGGCCGGAATTTTTAGTTTCTGAAGGAAGTACTTCTTGGCTGTATAAGCTGTCTTCATAAACCCACACATTCAAAGAAATTTCCTTCTGAGCACGCCAGTGAAAGAGTATTCGTGAAAAAGGTCTTGCACACTAAAGTGGTCAAGCAATGTCCAAGGGTGGGGGATAGTTACCGGGAAGAATTGTGTGAGGTCTCTCGGGGTTCCTGTCCCACCCCAGGCTGTAGCGGGGGAAGGAGGAAAGAAGACGAAAGGGAGGACTGGGGAAAACGGACTCAGAGGACCCACCCACCTGCAGCTGCCCAGGCTCCTGGGCAGTGCCCTCCAGGAAGCACAGAAGTAGGGGCTGGAGGCGGGCTTCGGTGGACCCCGAGCCCGGGCCGGCAGCCAGCAGGGGTCGCTGCAGACATGGGAATCACGGTGCTGACCGTGCCTCTGCAGCGCTGTCTTCAGGTGCTTTTGCTGAACGGTCATATCTTCTCTAAACCCAGGGGGTGCAGAGGGTCCTCCCAGACGAAGAAACCGAGGACAGAGAGGTCAAAGGACTTGCCCAGAGTCCCTAACTGGTTAATGGAAAAACTCCTGCTCTTCTAACTTAACGTCAAGCCGGAGGATTCAGGCAGCGACTATGAGACGCCCTGTAAGAGAGGAAGGGTTAGGGCAAGAGCTTATCAAATGTTTAAAAATTATATATTTTATAATAATTCGGCCAGGCACCGTGGCTCACACCTGTAATCCCAGCTCCTTGGGAGGCTGAGACGGGCGGATCACCTGAGCTCAGGAGTTCCAGACCAGCCTGGCCTGCCTCTCCTTTCTCTGTAGTAGAGAAACTCCGTCTCTACTAAAAATTCAAAAATTAGCTGGGTGTGGTGGGTGCCTGTATTCCCACCTGGAGGTGGAGGAACGAGAATCGCTTGAACCCGGGAGGCGGAGGTTGCAGTAGGCCGAGATCGCGCCATTGCACTCCAATCTGGGCGACAAAGTGAGACTCTGCCTCAAAAATAATAATGGTAGTAATAATAATAATAAAATTAAAAATTAAAAAAAATCTTGAGCAATGAAATGAGTGTATTTGTTTCCCAGAATCCTCAGCAGTACAGGGAAGTTTCAAAATTAGCTTTCTTGTTTTGTTACCGGTATAACAGCTATAATATGACTTCTCAGTATTGATTTAGGCTATTCTTATTTACAAAAACTTGGTAATTAAACTATATTAAATTTAAGAAGTCCTGTTCCTCAAAAGACACCAATAAGAATGAAAATTCAAGCCAGAGTGTGGGAGAAGATATTCATAATTCATATACCCGACAAAGGACTTGAATCCAGAATATAGAAAAACTTGCTAAAAGTCAATAAGAGGCTGGGCGCAGTGGCTCACGCCTGTAATCCCAGCACTTTGGGAGGCCGAGGTGAGCGGATCACCTGAGGTCAGAAGTTCGAGACCAGCCTGACCAATATGGTGAAACCCCATCTCTACTAGAAATACAAAAATTACGCAGGCATAGTCATGGGCCCCTGTAATCCCAGCTACTCAGGAGTCTGAGGTAGGAGAATCTCTTGAACCCAGGAGGCAGAGGTTGCAGTGAGCTGAGATCGCACTACTGCAACAGAGCGAGACTCCATCTCAAAAAAAAAAAGAAAAAAAGTCAATAAGAAAAGGACAGTCAGACAATTCAATGAAAAAAATGGCAAAAAAAAAACCTCACAAAATGGGCAAAAGACTAGAATAGGCACATGGTAGAAGAGGATATCCACGTGGCCAATCAACAGGAAAAAATGCTTGGCTTCATTAGTCATCAGGGAAATGCAAGTTAATACGTGATGTGGCCGGGCACGGTGGCTCATGCCTCTATTCTCAGTGCTTTGGGAGGCTGAGGCGGGAGGATTGCTTGAGCCCTTCAAGACCAGCTTGGGCAACATAGTGAGATGAAATCTCTAATCACACACAAACTCACACACTCCCACTGTAATAAATATATATATATATATATATATAAAGCCGAGACCAAGATGGTTGTGAGACTTGGCGCCTTCCTCAAGAACTCCTGGGCCAAGGAGCCAGTGCTGGTGGTCTCCTTCGTCATCGGGAGCCTCACTGTAATTCTGCCCCCACTCAGCCCCTACACCAAGTATTCCATCATGATCAATGAGGCCACACCCTACAACTATCCAGTGCCCGTCCACGATGATGGGAACATGCGGACATGTGCAGCCACCCCCAGGGCCCCCAGGGCCCCAGCTTGGAGTGGCTGAAGAAAGTGTGAGCACCTCCACTGACAGAAGAGGCCCCTCGCATGGCTCCCAATAAAAATGTGAAAACCAACAACTTTATATATATATATATATATATATATATATATATATACACACACACATATATATGTGTATATATATATGTATATATATACACACATATATATGTGTATATATATATGTATATATATGTATATATATGCGTGTATATATGTATATATATGTATATATGTATATATGTATATATATGTATATATGTGTGTATATATATGTATATATATGTATATATATGTGTGTATATATATGTATATATATATGTGTATATATATGTATATCAAGTGTTGCTATTTCTCCCAATATCTCCTAAAGCTGAATATTTACACATCCTGTGACCAGCATAGGTATATAATCAACAGAAATATGTTCATGTGTGTGATGGTTAATATTAAGTGTCAACTTGATTGTGGCCGGGCGTGGTGGCTCACACCTGTAATCCCAGCACTTTGGGAGGAGGCTGAGGCTGGCAGATCACTTGAGGCCAAAAGTTCAAGACCAGCCTGGTCAACATGGCAAACCCCGTCTCTACTAAAAATACAAAAATTAGCCAGGCATGATGGCGCGCACCTGTAGTCCCAGCTACTCAGGAGACTGAGGCAGGAGAATTGCTTGAACCAGGGAGGCAAAGGTTGCAGTGAGCCAAGATTGCGCCACTGCACCCCAGCCTGGGCGACAGAGCATGACTCTGTCTCAAAAAAAAAAAAAGTGTCAACCTGATTGGATTGAAGGATGCAAAGTATTGTTTCTGGGTGTTTTTTTGTGACAGTGGTAGCAGAGGAGATTAACATTTGAGGCAGTGGACTGGGAGAGGCAGCATGGCTAGAAATAGCAGGCAGGAGATGGAAGGGCAGAGTTGCTGAGTCTTCAGGCCTTCATCTTTCTCCCGTGCTCGATGCTTCCTGCCCTGGAACATCAGACTCCAAGTTCTTTGGTTTTTGGACTCTTGGACTTACACTGGTGGTTTGCCAGGGGCTCTCGGGCCTTTGGCCACAGACTGAAGGCTGCACTGTCAGCTTCCCGACTTTTGAGGTTTTGAGACTCAGACTAAGCCACTACTGGCTTCCTTGCTCCTGAGCTTGCAGAGAGTCTATCGTTGGACTTTACCTTGTGATCTTGTGAGTCAATTCTCCTTAATAAACTTCCTTTCATATATACATACATCCTATTAGTTCTGTCCCTTTAGTTCTGTCCCTAATACAAGGTGTTGATCAAAAGCAAGTTCTAGAATGTTCAGGCTGACTCTGGGCACAGTGCCTATGGGTTAGTCCTCCTACAAAAGGAGCAGCACCAGTTCAGTAAAATTGCTACAGAGAGAGAGAGAGAGAGAGAGAGAGAGAGAGAGAGAGAGAGAATGTTCCATAGTGTAGGGAAAAGAAAGAGAGATCAGACTGTTACTGTGTCTATGTAGAAAGGAAAGACATAAGAGACTCCATTTTGAAAAAGACCTGTACTTTAAACAGTTGCTTTGCTGAGATGTTGTTAATTTGTAGCTTTGCCCCAGCCACTTTGACCCAACCTGGAGCTCACAAAAACATGTGTTGTACGAAATCAAAGTTTAAGGGATCTAGGGCTGTGCAGGACGTGCCTTGTTAACAACATGTTTACAAGCAGTATACTTGGTAAAAGTCATCGCCATTCTCTAGTCTCAATAAACCAGGGGCACAATGCACTGCGGAAAGCCGCAGGGACCTCTGCCCTGGAAAGCTGGGTATTGTCCAAGGTTTCTCCCCATGTGATAGTCTGAAATATGGCCTTGTGGGATGAGAAAGACCTTACCATCCCCCAGCCCGACACCCATAAAGGGTCTATGCTGAGGTGGATTAGTAAAAGAGGAAAGCCTCTTGCAGTTGAGATAGAGGAAGGCCACTGTCTCCTGCCTGCCCCTGGGAACTGAATGTCTCAGTATAAAACCCGACTGTACATTTGTTCAATTCTGAGATAGGAGAAAAACCGCCCTATGGTGGGAGGCAAGACATGTTTACAGCAATGCTGCCTTGTTATTCTTTACTCTGCTGAGATGTTTTGGTGGAGAGAAACATAAATCTGACTTACGTGCACGTCCAGTCATAGTACCTTCCCTTGAACTTCATTATGACATAGATTCTATTGCTCACATGTTTGTTGCTGACCTTCTCCTTATTATCACCCTGCTCTCCTACTACATTCCTTTTTACTAAAATAATAAAAATAATAATCAATAAAAACTGAGGGAACTCAGAGACTGGTGCCGGTGCAGGTCCTTGGTATGCTGAGTGCCAGTCCCCTGGGCCCACGGTTGTTTCTCTATACTTTGTCTCTGTGTCTTATTTCTTTTCTCAGTCTCTCATCCCACCTGACTAGAAATACCCACAGGTGTGGAGGGGAAGGCCACCCCTTCACATAGCAGCACCATTAATAATACCCCCAAACTGGGAATTATCCAAATATCCATCAATAGTAGAGTGGATGAATTGCTGCACACTAGAATACTATAAAGCAACGAACATGAATGAATGACCACTACTCATGAATGAATGAAACCGTATAGGGAATCCCACATACATCATACATGTAAAAGAAAACTTGCCTTCTCTCAGATTCCATTTATACAAGTCAGGATAATGGTACCCTTGGAAGGTAGTGACCAGAAGGGGTCTCCAGGGCTTTGGAGTTCTTATAATGTTCTGTTTCTTGATCTGGATGCTGGTTACAGAGTTCATTTGTAAAAAAAAAAATTCACGTTGTACATTCTGATTTATTCATTGTTCATACTGTTTGTATGTTATATTCAATAACACAATTTTTAAGACACCATTAAGGAAATGGAAAGCTGAGAGTAGGAGGAGACATTTGCAACACATAAAAATATCACTTAGGTCTTTGCCTTTACTCTAAATTAAGTAAGGGGCCAGGCGCGGTGGCTCATGTCTATAATCCCAGCACTTTGAGAGGCCAAGATGGACAGATCACCTGAGGCCAGGAGTTCAAGACCAGCCTGGCCAACAGAGTGAAACCCTGTCTCTACTAAAAATACAAAAAAAAAATAGCCAGGCATGGTGGCGCGCAACTGTAGTCACAGTTTCTTGGGAGGCTGAGCCATGAGAATTGCTTGAACCCTGGAGGCAGAGGTTGCAGTGAGCCAAGATCACACCACTGCACTCCAGCCTGGGCAACAGAGTTGAGACTCCGTCTCAAAAAAAAAAAAAAAAATTAAGGGCTTTTTTTTCTTATGATCTCTTCATCTTTCTCTATGAATTTTATGTGTTTCTACAGACATATATAATTTGAAAATAAATTACTCTTTTTGATTTATGGAATATGTTTCTCCCCATTACAAACTTCTAAATGGAGATGAGTGGAACTTTTGCTATTTCTCTGGAGAAAAATTTCAAATTATTTATGTTGCCCTTGTTTTCTTCCCCCTTTGGCTAAAAGATTTTGTAGTTTTATTTTTTAAGCTCTTCATTTCCCCCCCCACATTCTTCGTTTCCCTCTCTCCCTACATCTTCTTCTTTTTTTTTTTTTTTTTTTTTTCTGAGACAGTCTTGCTTTGTCGCCCAGGCTGGAGTGCAATGGTGCGATCTCGGCTCACTGCAACCTCCGCCTCCTGGGTTCAGTGATTCTCTTGCCTCAGCCTCTCCAGTAGCTGGGGTTACAGGCACTCGCCACCATGCCCAGCTAATTTTTGTATTTTTAGTAGAGACGGGGTTTCACCATGTTGGCCAGGCTGGTCTTGAACTCCTGACCTTAGATGATCCACCCACCTCGGCCTCCCAAAGTGCTGGGATTACAGGTGTGAGTCACCGTGACTGGCCTCTCCCCACACCTTCACAAAACTGCTGGCAACTCACGAGAGGATGCCTGCTGTCAGCATCACCCTCCTTGATGTGACGTAAGAAGAAACTGAGACCTTCAGTCCAGCTCCATGATCTGCAGGGTATAGTGCAAGGAAGAGGAAGAGAGGGGAAAACTAGGCTTCCTAGCCGTCGAACTCAGCCTTTTCCAAGGCCATACATCACCTTCTACTATTAGTATCATTTATTTATTTATTTTTGAGACGGGGTCTCACTCTGTTACCCAGGCTGGAGCGCAGTGACGCGATTATAGCTCACTGCGGCCTCAACCTCCCCAGGCTCAAGTGATCCTCCCACTCAGCCTCCTAAGTAGCTGGGACTACACACGCACCACCATGCCTGGCTAATTTTTTTTTTTTTTTTTTTTTTTTTTTTTTTAGTAGAGACAGGGTTTTGCCCTGCTGCCCAAGCTGGTCTCAAACACCTGGGCTCAAGGGATTCGCCTACCTTGGGCTTCCAAAATGCTGGGATTACAGGCATAAACCACCGTGCCTGGTTCTATTAGTACTTTTATAAACAGCATCTAGGACAAGTGAGCAAGTGACAACAAATCACGCCAGGTGGCACCCCCAGCCAGCCGGCCAGCGCCACATCCAAGCGCACCGAGGCATCCTTACTGAGCCCTGAACACAGCAGTGACCCCGATGGGCCTGTGCCATGAGGCCCACATTCCACTGAGGGGAGACAGACATAAGCCTCCAGGGAAACCAGATAATGGGAAGGAAGCAAACAGGGTGATGAAAGGGAGTGACTAAGGAGGGCTCGCTGAGGAGGTGACTTGAGAATGAACGGCACAAAAAGGCCTGGGAAGGTAGTTCCAGACAGAGGGAGCAAGGGGCGGGGTTGAGAAAGGGCTTGGCGTAGTTCAGGATAAGAATAGAGCAGGAGGCGAAAGCCAGGGGCCACAGGAGGAAACCCAGGCCGTGGTGAGGCTCTGACCCTGACAGCCATAGGCAGCCACTGAGGAGCTTCAAGCAAAAGAGTGACATAGTCTGATTTGCATTTAAAAAAAAAATCAGACCAGGTGCGGTGGCTCACGCCTGTAATCTCAGCATTTTGTGAGGCCGAGGCAGGCCGATCACCTGAGGTCAGGAGTTCGAGACCAGCCTGGCCAACATGGTGAAATCCCATCTCCACTAAAAATACAAAAATTAGCCAGGCATAGTGGTGTGGAACTGTAATCCCAGCTACTCGGGAGGCTGAGGCAGGAGAATTGCTTGAACCCGGGAGGCGGAGGTTGCAGTGAGCTGGGATTGCGCCACTGCACTCCAGCTGAGAGGTGACAGCGTGCTGGCAGTCCTCACAGCCCTCGCTCGCTCTCGGCGCCTCCTCTGCCTGGGCTCCCACTTTGGCGGCACTTGAGGAGCCCTTCAGCCCACCGCTGCACTGTGGGAGCCCCTTTCTGGGCTGGCCAAGGCCAGAGCCGGCTCCCTCAGCTTGCAGGGAGGTGTGGAGGGAGAGGCGCGATCGGGCACCGGGGCTACGCGCGGCGCTTGCGGGCCAGCTGGAGTTCCGGGTGGGCGTGGGCTTGGCGGGCCCTGCACTGGGAGCAGCCGGCAGGGCTGGCCCTGGGCAATGAGGGGCTTAGCACCCGGGCCAGCGGCTGCGGAGGGTGTACTGGGTCCCCCAGCAGTGCCAGCCCACCGGCGCTGCGCTTGATTTCTCACCCGGCCTTAGCTACCTTCCGGCGGGGCAGGGCTCGGGTCCTGCAGCCCGCCATGCCTGAGCCTCCCACCCCCTCCATGGGCTCCTGTGCAGCCCGAGCCTCCCTGACGAGCGCCACCCCTGCTCCATGGCGCCCAGTCCCATCAACCACCCAACAGCTGAGGAGTGCAGGCGCACAGCACCGGGACTGGCAGGCAGCTCCATCTGCAGCACCAGTGCGGGATCCACTGGGTGAAGCCAGCTGGGCTCCTGAGTCTGGTGGGGACGTGGAGAACCTTTATGTCTAGCTCAGGGATTGTAAATACACCAATCAGCACTCTGTATCTAGCTCAAGGTTTGTAAACACACCAATCAGCACCCTGTGTCTAATCAGGGTTTGTGAATGCACCAATTGACACTGTATCTAGCTACTCTGGTGGGGCCTTGGAGAACCTTTATGTCTAGCTCAGGGATTGTAAATACACCAATCAGCACTCTGTATCTAGCTCAAGGTTTGTAAACACACCAATCAGCACCCTGTGTCTAGCTCAGGGTTTGTGAATGCACCAATCGACACTCTGTATCTAGCTACTCTGGTGGGGCCTTGGAGAACCTTTGTGTGGACACTCTGTATCTAGCTACTCTGGTGGGTAGGTGGAGAACCTTTGTGTGGACACTCTGTATCTAGCTACTCTAGTGGGTAGGTGGAGAACCTTTGTGTCTAGCTCAGGGATTGTAAACGCACCAATCAGCACCCTGTCAAAACAGACCACTCGGCTCTACCAATCAGCAGGATGTGGGTGGGCCCAGATAAGAGAATAAAAGCAGGCAGCTGAGTCAGCAGCTGCAACCTGCTCGGGTCCCCTTCCACACTGTGGAAGCTTCGTTCTTTCGCTCTTTGCAATAAATCTTGTAATTGCTCACTCTTTGGGTCCACACTGCTTTTATGAGCCATAACACTCACCGCGAAGGTCTGCAGCTTCACTTCTGAAGCCAGCGAGACCATGAGCCCACCGGGAGGAACGAAGAACTCCAGATGCGCTGCCTTAAGAGCTCTAACACTCACCGCGAAGATCTGCAGCTTCACTCCTGAGCCAGCGAGACCACGAACCCATCAGAAGGAAGAAACTCCCAACACATCCAAACATCAGAAGGAACAAACTCCAGACGCACCACCTTAAGAGCTGTAACACTCACCTCCAGGGTCCGTGGCTTCATTCTTGAAGTCAGTGAGACCAAGAACCCACCAATTCCGGACCCACAACCTGGGTGACAGTGAGAATCCATCTCAAAACAAACAAATCAAATGGATAAACAAAATGGAGTCTATTCATACAATGGAATATTATTCAGCCTTAAAAAGAAAGGAAATTCTTGCCCGGCGCGGTGGCTCACACCTGTAATCCCAGCACTTTGGGAGGCCAAGGTGGGTGGATCACAAGTTCAGGAGTTTGAGACCAGCCTGGCCAACATGGTGAAACCCTGTCTCTACTAAAAATACAGAAATTAGGCCAGGCGCGGTGGCTCACGCCTGTAATACCAGCACTTTGGGAGGCCAAGGCAGGTGGATCATGAGGTCAGGAGTTCAAGATCAGCCTGGCCAAGATGATGAAACCCCATCTCTACTAAAAATATAAAAATTAGCTGGGTGTGGTAGCGCTCCTGTAGTCCCAGCTACTCTGGAGGCTGAGGCAGGAGAATCACTTGAACCCAGGGGGCAGAGGTTGCAGTGAGCTGAGATCCTGCCACTGCACTCCAGCCTGGGCAACAGAGTGAGACCCGTCTCAAAACAAAAGATACATCATTTGTTTCAACAACAAGATTTTAAAACCCACAGGAAAACAAAGCAGGGTGCAGTGGCTCATGCCTGTAATCCCAGCACTTTGGGAGGTGAAGGTGGGTAGATCGTTTGAGGCCAGGAGTTCAAGACCATCCTGGGAAACATATCAAGACTCCATCTCTACAAAAAATAAATAAATATTAGCCAGGTATGGTGGTGCACGTCTGTAGTCCCAGCTACTCAGGAGGCTGAGGCGGGAGGATCACTTGAGTCTAGGAGTTTGAGGCTGCAAGGAACTATGATGGCACCTCTGCATTCCAGCCTGGATGACAGAGCAAGACTCTGTCTCAAAAAAAATAAAAACCAATAGGCAAGGCCACTGCAAGTCCCCAAGCCCAGCATATGTCAGGGTGTGGGGTGCCTGGCCTCAGACCTCATGACCCTGCGGCTCTCATTCCAGTGGAGGCTGGCTCAGCGAGCTCCATTCTTTCCTGACTCCCAGGGGGGTTGTCTAATGGTAGAGGGCGACATTCCAGTCCCTGAGCATGGGAAGGCACCATGATGGGTGCTTTAGGGAAATCATCTGCAGCGTTCCAGAAACTACCGTATGAGGCAGGACCTGTGTCCCATAGATTACAAATAAGGGAGCTGAGGCTTGGAGAGACTGAATGGGCTGTGAGCCTCTGCTCTCTGTAGCTAGGTCCCAGTGGTCAGCCCATGCTGCTGTGCCCCGGGGTGGGCACAAGGTGGACTCTGATAGCAGGTGGGCTGAACACAAAGCTACCAGTCCACAGTGGGGAGAAGCTCTCATTTCCCAAGGGGTGGGAGGAGGCTCAGGAAAGGAGTCCCATCCAGAACCCCCCTGGGGCCAACAGAGGCAGAGGGGGAAACAGAGGTCCTGAGGACAGGGCTCTTTCTGGTTCCTTCTCTGGGGATAGGGCTGGGCCTGACCGGCTGAGAGCATGGTGCACTACAGGCATTGTCTGGAGAAGCTGGTCTCGGTAGGACTTTAGGACCACCCTTCAGAAGGGGAGCCCCACTGACGCCAGCTTGGACCAGAGCAGGGTCAGCGGCGAGGAGGCCACAGGCGGAACGGAAGCTCGTGGACTCAGAGTTGGAAGTCCTCGGCCTTGCCCCGGCTCTGCCCTCTCTGTGCTGCGTGCCCTTGGGCTGCTTATTTAATATTTGTCAGCCTCGGTTTCCTCACCTGTAAAATGGGGATGATAACAGTATCTACGTTGAAGGGTTGTAGTGTGAAGCAAATGAGATAAGGCATTTGAGCAGTGTTTTATTCAGACTGTGTGTTGGAGGAGGCTTGGGAGGGTCTGAGGGAGATTATGAGGGGAAGGCAGCAGCGAAACTTCCCCACCTAAGCCAGCCCTGGGCACTGCCTCTCAGTAGGAGAGGATTTATTTATCGCTCTGTGGCATGGAAATGCTATTTCCTCTTAAGAGCCTTCTCATTTGGTCTCCATGTTTTGCCTGGGTTGGGAGATAGCTTTTAAAACCCAGGGCTCAATTCACCTCCCCAGTGACCTCGCCTCACTCCACCAGATGGAATGCCACACCTCCATCCACTCCCCGGATGACTGCACTTCATTACTGTACGCTGTGTGTATACAACAACTGTAATCACATCATAGCCACCTGCTCTTGCTAGATTTGAGTTCTCTCGGTGAGGGAGGCATCCCGGGCTGGTACAGAGCAGAGCACAGAGCAGGTGCTCAGCAGGCACTTGTTGAATAAAATTGAACTAAATCATCATGATATACATATTCTAACAAAAAAGCCCTAACTTTTTTTTTTTTTTTACTATTATAAAAGTATATCTGGGCCAGGTGCAGTGGCTCACACCTGTAATCCCAGCACTTTGGGAGGCCGAGGCAGGTGGATCACCTGAGGTCAGGAGTTCGAGACCAGCCTGGCCAACATGGTGAAACCCCATCTCTACTAAAAATACAAAAATTAGCTGAGCCTGGTGGTGCATGCTTGTAATTCCAGCTACTTGGGAGGCTAAGGCAGAAGAATTGCTTGAACCTAGGAAGCAGAGGTTGCAGTGAGCTGAGACTGAGATCACACCACTGCACTCCAGCCTGGGTGACAGAGCGAGACTCCGTCTCAAAAAAAAAAAATGTGAACATAGAAAGCTTAGAATAACATAAAAGATTGGGAAGAAGGGAAAACAATCCACCTTTATATCCCCAAGGAAAATTTTGGGAAACATTAACCTGTATTTTCCTTCTTGTCATTTTTTCCTAGGCATAATCTTTGTTTTTGCATTAATGATTTTGCAATCTCTACAAAAATTTTATGTCCTTCCTCTTCTAACATGACAACAGGTGCAATATTTCATTCTTATATCTCAGAATCATTTTTCATCTTTTTTCCCACTTTACTCAGTTAAGAGCTATCCATTTTTCCAAAATCCATATTTCTGTATAGTGATATAAAAATTAATGCCTGCAAACTTTCAATTTTATCAGTGAATGCTTTTGTAAATAGAATCTTACATAGAACTCCAATATACAAAAATATAACAGTAATTATCTATCTATTTATCTATCCATATTTTTAATAGAGATGAGGTCTCACTACGTTGCCCAGACTGGTCTCGAACTTCCAGACTCAAAAGATCCTCCTGCCTCAGCCTCCCAAAGTGTCTAACAGTGATATTTTATTCAAATAAATATACTTTCTGAGTGTAAGGCTTGATGCTCACTTTGGTCATGTTGGTCAGTATGTGCCCTGAGGCTCTTCACATGAAGACAAAACTGGAGCCTGGAGCCGGGGAGGCCCACCTTACAGCCTCATCGTCCTGAGCAACCACAGAAACACAGCCCGTGAAATAGCGCTGCCACAGTACCGGGCCTGGCCTGAAGGATCTGTCAACTCCTCGGAAGCTGGGCGGACGAGTCCCCTCCCCACACCTTGCTGTGCCCACTCAGGACTTCCAGGCAGTTCTAGCAGCCCCACTAACTACACCCACGTGAATGGAGCTGGGGAGGAAGGGCACCTCCTGGACCCCGTCTGCCTGAACACCAACTAAGGATGACCTGGGGAGATGAACCTAGATCAAAAGCAGCCACTTTTTCTCTGAATTTCCAGGGTGTGGGCTGGGATTTTGTCCTCCTCTTCCCCTAGCCTTGTGTTTCTGTCTTTTCTAGATGCAGACTCTGGGCAGAGGCCTCTTTTGCCTGCCTGGTCTAAGAGCAGCTCAGGTTGGGTGTAATAACTGAGTTGAATCCTAATGTCAACACGTACATTTCCCACCAAGGAGAAATGCAGGGGCCAGTCACAAATAAATATGTCAGAGCTATACACAACACAGCTATATATACCCCCAGATTTATTTATTTATTTTATTTTTATTTTATTTTATTTTTGAGATGGAGTCTGGCTCTGTTGTCCAGGCTGGAGTGCAGTGGTGTGATCTCGGTTCACCACAACCTCTGCCTCCTGGGTTCAAGCAATTCTCATGCCTCAGCCTCCTGAGTAGCTGGGATTACAGGCACCCACCAGCATGCCTGGCTAATTTTTGTATTTTTAGTAGAGATGGAGTTTCGCCGTGTCGGCCGGGCTGGTCTCAAACTCCTGACCTCAGGCGATCCGCTCACCCCGGCCTCCTAAAGTGCTGGGATTACAGGCATGAGCCACCGCACCCGGCCCCAGATTTATTTTTGATAACACAAAAATAAAGACATGGTTGTATACACAGACACTGAAATTCCTCTAGCGGAAAACAACAGCAAATGATTAAAGATAACGTTGTTTGTTGAGGACAGAAGTAATAATGTTATGGGATATTCAGCAAGACTAAATGATTTATTCACCACCTGTACAGTGAAAACTGAAGCTAAATCTGAGAATTAAGGAATCAGAAAGAACAGGGCGCCGGGCGCGGTGGCTCACGTCCGTAATCCCAGGACTTTGGGAGGCCGAGGCAGGCGGATCACGAGGTCAGGAAATGGAGACCATCCTGGCTAACACGGTGAAACCCCGTCTCTACTAAAAATACAAAAAATTAGCCGGGCGTGGTGGCGGCGGGCGCCTGTGGTCCCAGCTACACGGGAAGCTGAGGCAGGAGAATGGCGTGAACCCCGGAGGCGGAACTTGCAGTGAGCCGAGATCCTGCCACTGCAATCCAGCCTGGGCGACAGAGCAAGATTCCGCCTCAAAAAAAAGAAAAAATAAATAAAAAAAGAACAGGGCCTAGTCCACCCCAGGCCAGCTGCACCTAATCATCAGTCTGCCACTTATGGTGTGTAGGGGAGTGTAGGGACGGGGAAAGGTGGGTCTCACAGGATTTGGCCATCCTGCTACCTGCTACCCCACTGCCAGGCAACACTGCCGCGCCACCTCCTCCCCACCTTCCCCAGCAGTCTCTCCCTGACGGCTTTGGCTGGCATTTGTTAGTGCACAGCGCCCTCTAGTGGTTACAGGAAGACTCTTCCTCAGAAATAGGTAACCTTTTTAATGGTTGGCTGGTGTTGAGCGACTCAACAGAATCCCTTTCTACAGAATTGCCACTCATGCACTCACTTCAGTTGCTCTCAGATTTTGGTAAAACAGTAAGTCCCAGTCATTTTCCTCAACCACCTTCAAAGACACCCATTTCTTTCTTTTTTTTTTTTTTGAGGAGGAGTCTCTCTCTGTCACCAGGCTGGAGTGCAGTGGCGCGTTCTCGGCTCACTGCAACCTCTGCCTCCCAGGTTCAAGTGATTCTCCTGCCTCAGCCTCCCGAGTAGCTGGGACTACAGGCGCCTGCCACCACGCCTGGCTAATTTTTTTGTATTTTTAGAAGAGACGGGGTTTCACCATGTTGGCCAGGCTGGTCTCAATCTCTTGACTTCGTGATCCACCCTCTTCAGCCTCCCAAAGTGCTGGGATTACAGGCGTGAGCCACCGCGCCCGGGCTAAAAGACACACATTTCTACAAGCAAATGTTTCAAAGCAGGTACATACACCCCAGTGGACATGTCATGTGGTCTGTTGAGAGATGATGAATTTATTTGGAATTCTGTTTGTTGTTTTATAAATATGTTAGTACACTGGATTCATTCAATAGATATTCATGGAGCACATTTTAGGTATCCGGCACTAATAAAACAGATCAACTCTCTGCCCTGGCAGAGCTTATTTTCTGAGGGGAGAGGGACATTTAACTAAAAAAAAAAAATATGATAAGGGGTAATAAGTACTATTAAAACAAAACAAAACAAAACAAAACCTGTCAGGACCTGGCACGGTGGCTCACGCTTGTAATCCCAGGACTTTGGGACGCCGAGGCGGGCGGATCACGAGGTCAGGAGTTCAAGACCAGCCTGACCAACACAGTGAAACCATGTCTCTACTAAAAATACAAAAATTAGCCAGGCGTGGTGGCACGCACCTGTAGTCTTAGCTACTCAGGAGGCTCAGGCAGGAGAATTGCTTGAAGCCAGGAGGCGGAGCTTGCAGTGAGCCGAGATCGCGCCACTGCACTCCAGCCTGGGCGACAGAGCAAGGCTCCATCTCAAAAAAATAAAACTGTCGGCCAGGCGCGGTGGGAGGCCGAGATGGGCAGATCACCTGAGGTCAGGAGTTTGAGACCAGCCTGGCCAACACAGCAAAACCCCGTCTCTACTAAAAATACAATCAATCAATCAATAGCTGGGCGTGGTAGCGCACACCTGTAGTCTCAATTACTTGGGAGGCTGAGGCAGAATTGCTTGAACTCCGGAGGCACAGATTGCAGTGAGCTGAGACGGCACCACTGCACTCCAGCCTGGGCGACACAGCGAGGCTGTCTCAAAAAAACAAAACAACCAACCAGTCAGGAAAGAAAGTGATGGGGGTGGGGGTTGCCATTTTAAACCGAGTGAAAGGTGAGAGAGTCTTCCCTGGGGACGTCTGGAAAAAGACTGTTCTGGAAGGAGGGACAGTCTGTGCCACGCCAGGGGAGCACAGTGTGTTTGGTTGGTTCAGGAAACAGCAAGGAGGCCCCGGGGGCTGTGGTGGAGTGAGGAGGAGTAGATGAGGTCAGAGAGGGGAGAGGCGTGCAGCCTGAGAGGGGATTGCTGGCCACTGCAAGTGCGTGGGCTTGTACTCCAAGGCCGATGGAGGGCTCTGACAGATGAGTGACATCATGTGGGGTGCACCCCCAAATGTTTTACTAATCAGACATGCACAATTAATGTTTGCAGGCTGGAGGGCTGCAGAATAAACTCCACAACAAGCCCACTGTTTCCTCACTGAGGCTCGCAGTTGGAAGAGGCAGCCTGTGAGCCGTCTTCGAAGTTAAGTACCAGCCTGGCAACACAGTGAGACCTTGTCTCTGCAAGTAATTTTTAAAAGATTAGCCGGGCAAGGTGGCACATGCCTGTGGTCCCAGCCCGAGCGGTGGAGGCTGCAGTGAACTGTGATTGTGCCACTACACTCCAGCATGAGTTACATAGCGAGACCTCATCTCAAAAAAAAAAAAAGCAGAACTTCAACAAGGAGAGATGGGACATACCAGGCTAATCGCCATTCCTACACTACCCCGTAATTGGACCAAAAGATCTACTTAGTAAACTGAGGGATCCAGCACTACGGTATGGTGCAATACCCAGTATCACACTCCTGTTTTCATTGAGCATTTGTCTACAACTCCTAATTCTTACTACTTTTTTGCAAGATGCTTTAAAGTATGTTTGTCACCCCCATGCAAATTTCAGCTATGCCTCACAGCTCAATTCATAAAATTAAACAGATACCGCAGTTTGCCAGATGAGGTCACCCAGCCCCACACCAGCAAGGCCAAGGTTAGGACTCACAGACCACAGCTCTCGCACTTGTTTCTGCACCTCTGCCAGCCTGGCATGTAAGGAGTCCCCACAGGAAAGACATCTGACTGGTCATAACGCTTTTATTTTACATATATTCCACTTATCACAAGGGTGGCTGAGGGAAGGGCAGAGCGTGCTAAAAGCCCCAAGTCCTCCCAGCCTCATGTGGCTTTGATTCAGCTCTGTACACGTGTGTTTGGATTAAGGTGGACAGTTCTGCTGTGCTCACTGCCTTGCCTTAAGATGTGTTCTAGAGGGGCACTGCCTAATACAGGAGCTCAAAGTCACACGGGGCTATTAAGCACCTGGAATGTAGCCACTGTGAATTGAAAAGTGCTGTAAGTATAAAATACACACCAGATTTCAGACTTAGCACAAAAATGTAAACTATCTCAATAATTTTCTATTATTGAAATATTTTGAATATTTTTGGGTTAAATAAAATATATTGCTAAAATTAATTTCACCTGCTTCTTTGTAATTTTTTTTTTTTTTTTTTTTTTTTTTTTTTGAGATGAGGTCTCACTCTGTCGCCCAGGCTGGAGTTGCAGTGACGCCTTCAAAGTTCACTGTATCATTGGCCGGGCGTGGTGGCTCATGCCTATAATCCCAGCACTCTGGGAGGCTGAGGCATGCAGATCACCTGAGGTCAGGAGTTCAATACCAGCCTGGCCAACATGGTGAAACTCTATCTCTACAAAAAAAATACAAAAATTAGCTGGGCGTTGTGGCACGTGCCTGTAAGTCCAGTTACTCAGGAGGCTGAGGCAGGAGAATCACTTGAACTCGAGAGGCGGAGGTTGCAGTGAGCCAAGATCATGCCACTGCACTCCAGCCTGGGCAGCAGAGTGAGATTCCATCTCAAAAAAAAAAAAAAAAAAATTTCACTGCAGCCTCCAACTCCTGGACTCAAGCAATCCTCCCACCTCAGCCTCCCAAGTAGCTGGAACTATAGGCACGCACAACCACACCTGGCTAATTCTTTGTACTTTTTAATGACTGAAAGAAAATGTAAAATTACATTATCTGGCTCATGTTACATTTCTATTGGACAATGGTGCTGTAGAGTATTCCAATAGCTTCCATTTACTGAGCAACTACAAATTTGCTAAGCACTGTGCTAGGAACCTTACATACTACTTTATTTAACCCTAACATCCCTAAAAGTAGATATGACCCCATTTAATAGCAGGAGCAGAAAACTGATGCTCAGAAAGGCTATGGAGCTTGTCTGAGGAAACACTATTAGAAAGGAGGAAAATCAGGATTTTAGACCCAGATCAGTAACCCTAAAACCCTTGCCCTAAGGCCCACCACACCACATGGCCTGTATTCCAGGGAAAACCGAAGTATGACCATGCACATTCTTTCCTTCAGCTCAGCAGTATTATGTGGGGGCCATCCTGAATCAATGACCTATGAATGGTTTGAGTGTAGGCTTACTTTATAGAGCATCATTAATTTAGTTTTTCTCAAAGGAAATCTCATGAAGGTGAATGCAAAGAAAAAGTAGTACCAAACATACCAGAGATGAGACTGGCACTGACTGAATCAGAGATCCCTCCCAGAAACAGGCCAATAGGCAGGTGACTTGCAGCAACAGTGTGGGTGGCACAGGGCCACCTGGAGTCCATAATATCTTTTCCTGTATTCTAGTTCAGGCACACAAATAAGGCCATAAAGTTTAAGTCAACATTTTTAAGATTTTGATCAGAACCAGCCTAGAATTAACACCTGGTGTTCCTAGACTTTCTCGGGGGGGGGTACTTTTCACCTTGAAAATCACTAACAGGTGCTGGCTCAAGATGGTAATCTGAGCATATTTGTTTAATTCCCTCTTGCAAACTCCCATTTGAACTGACAAAAGGAATATAATGAGGAAGCTTGCGGTACGAGTACTAGAAGAGGAAGGAGGAAGGTAGCTATCTCCAAAACAAAATGTGTGGGTGAGTGAAATGGACCCACAGCAAAAGCCCATTAACATCCCCACGCACAGATCAGCGAGGGCTGGAAGAACTACAGCCACCTAGGAAGAGAGGCTAGATGGTCAGTTTCTGCTCATCAGCAGCCTCCTTACTTTTAGCCTTTAATGCTACAAGAGAGGGGGCAATTAGAAAACTCTATAGTCTTTTCATTTTGCCAGTCAAGGTCTATTTGCCTGCAGGGAGCAGGGCAACAGCTGCTCACACTCCCATGCTAAATAAAGCAGGGCCCAGCTAGTGCTCTGGCAACCTGAAGAGGATAACCAGGCCAATTAGGAAAGGGGCACTGGCCCAGCCAGCTTCATGCTGCCACAAAAGAAAGAAATTCTTTGGGCATGGCTGCCTGAGTCTCTCAAAGATGAACCCTGATCTTGTAAAGTAAACCTTCACTATGCTGGGCGCGGTGGCTCAGGCCTGTAATCCCTGCACTTTAGGAGGCCAAGGTGGGCGGATCCCCAGGTCAGGAAATCGAGACCATCCTGACTAATACAGTGAAACCCCGTCTCTACTAAAAATACAAAAAAATTAGCCGGGTGTGGTGGCACGTGCCTGTAGTCCCAGCTACTTGGGAGGCTGAGGCAGGATAATGGCGTGAACCCGGGAGGTGGAACTTGCAGTGAGCCAAGATGGCGCCACTGCACTCCAGCCTGGGCGACAGAGCAAGACTCCATCTAAAAATAAAATAAAATAAAAAAATTTTAAAAAGTAAACCTTCACTAAATCTAAATGTTTCCCTTCTCCCTTTGGGTGTGCTTTTTAAGATCTGAACAGGCACCCACATAATTTGAAGAAAACTGTTTCCAACTACCCAAGCTAGAAAAATAATCCTCCCTAAGCAACAGAACATACTGTGGCAGCCACGAAAATACGCCTCTCAGATCTCCTGCTGTGGGGAGCATCACTCAGTGATGCTCTGGGGCCACCGGGTTCACACTCAGGCCACACTTTCTGGGGACTCTTTATAGCCAACGTGCACAGTACAGGTACTAAGGCAGGCCCATTCTGGCAAGATGCCAACTCCTCCAAAAGGCAACTTTGGCTTGAAGACTCTCCATCAACTTAGCTATATTACAGAAATCATCTGAAGAACAGAGAGAAGCGTTTGGTGGAAAAAAAAAAAAAAAAAGACAGAGACTCGGAGACTGAGACCGAAGCTTAGTATATTTATAACTGAAGTCCCAGGAAAGAGAAAACATGGGTCAGGAAAAAGATCTGAGGAAATAATGGCTGACACTTTCCTATATTTGATTAAATGGCATAAATTTAGAGAGCCAAGAAATTCATCAAACTCCCAAGATAAATACATAGAAAACCACACCTGAAAGCTGCCAAAGAGAAAGACGCATTCTATAAAGGGAAAAACTATTTGAATACCCACTGATTTGTCATCAGAAACAATGAAGGCCAGAAGACAGTGGAACAAGATCTGTAAAGAGATTCTTTTTATTTTTTGAGACAGGGTCTCACTCTGTCACCCAGGCTGGGGTGCAGTGGCATGATCTTGGCTCATTGCAACCTCCGCCTCCTGGGTTCAAGCAATTCTCATGCCTAAGCCTCTCAAGTAGCTGGGATTACAGGCACGCACTGCCACACCTGGCTCATTTTTTTGTATTTTTAGTAGAGACAGCATTTCATCATGAAGGCCAGACTGGTCTTGAACTCCTGACCTCAAATGATCTGCCCGCCTCAGCCTCCCAAAGTGCTGGGATTACAGGCCTGAGCCACTGCACCTAGCGAAGAGATTCTTTTTAAAAAAGAGAAAACTGGCCAGGCACGGTGGTAATCCCAGCACTTTGGGAGGCCGAGGTGGGTGGTTCACAAGGTCAGGAGTTGAGACCAGCCTGACCAACATGGAGAAACCCCATCTCTACTAAAAATACAAAATGAGCCAGGTGTGGTGGCACATGTCTGTAATCCCAGTTACTTGGGAGGCTGAGGTAGGAGAATTGCTTGAACCCAGGAGATGGTGGATGCAGTGAGCCGAGATTGTGTCATTGCACTCCAGCCTGGGCAATGAGAGCGAAACTCCATCTCAAAAAAAAAAAAAAAAAGGGAAAAAGAAAAAGAAAACTAATTTGTTGCCAGGAGACACAAAAAATGCTATAGAAAGTTCTTCCGTCTTAAGGGAAAGGCTATTAGATCTTTAAGAAGAAATGAAGAATATTAGAAATGGTAAATATGTGAATAAATACAAAAGATTTTATTTTTTCCTCTTAATTTCTTTAAAATACATATCATTATTTAAAGCAGAAATTGTAACTTATGACAGGACTTACAATATTTAAATATGTAGATTTAATATGTATGACAACTACAGCATAAAAGACAGGTATGATAAATGGATGTACATACTTACAAGATTTCTACATTTTATGTGAAGTGGCACATCAACTCTAGGTAGACTGAAAAATTAAGAATGTATATTGTAATCACTAGAACATCCAACTTAAAAAAATTATTAAAACAGTATAGCTAAAGAGCCAATAAATTAAAATACAATTATAAAATAATCTTATCTAAACAGGAAACATGTAAATTAGAAACCTATTAATAATTACATTTAATGTTAAACTTATTAAAAGATACAGAGAGAACAGATAAAAATGCAAGTCTCAAGTATATGTTGTTTAAAGAAACTACTTTAAATAGGCACAGAAGCACAAAGTAAATTAATAGAAAGAGGTATACTGTGCAAACACTAAGCTTAAGAAGGCTGCAGTGGCTATATTCACATAAGATAAAGTAGATTTCAAACCCAAATTACCAGAGACAGAGGGAAATTTCATAATGATAAAATGGTCAATACATTAGGAAGACATAAGTTATTAGAGCTTCATACAAAAACTGGTAGAATTTAAGAAATAGACAATTCCACAATCATAATTGAAGATTTTAACATCCTTTCTCAGCACCTGATAGAAATAAACAAAAGGATCAGTAAAGACATAGAAGATCTGAACAATACTATCAACCACTTAATCTCATCGATATTACAAAACATATTAACCCAACAATTCAAATTACATATTGTTTTTCTTAGAGACATGGTCTCACTATACATTGCCCAGGCTGGTCTCGAAATGATCCTCCCACCTCAGCCTCTCAAATTACAGATTACAGCTGTAATCTCAGCATGTAATCTCATGCTGGATTACAGGCATGAGCCACCACACCTGGCCTAAAATACGCATTCTTTTAAACTGTGTATGGTACACTCACCATGACAGACAACATATTGGGTCATAAAACGAGTCTCAATAAAACTAAGAGGATTGAAATCATAAAGAGGATATTTTCTGACCTCAATGGAATTAAAGTAGAAATCAGCAACAAGAAGATATTAAGAGGAAAAAAAACAAATGTTTGCTGATCAGACAACCCACTTCTGATAATCCATGGGTCAAAGAAGAACTGAGGGAGGAAATTAGAAAATAATCAGAGGCTGGGCATGGTGGCTCACACCTGTAATCCCAGCACTTTGGGAGGCCAAAGTGGGTGGATCACCTGAGGTCAGGAGTTCGAGACCAGCCTGGCCAATGTGGTGAAACCCCATCTCTACTAAAAATACAAAAATCAGCCAGGTATGGTGGCTGGAGCCTGTAATCCCAGCTACTGAGGAGGCTGAGGCAGGAGAATCGCTTGAACCCAGGAGGCAGAGGTTGCAGTGAGCTGAGATCGTACCATTGCACTCTAGCCTGGGCAACAAAAGCGAAATTCCATCTCAAAAAGAAAAAAAAAAGAAAATTAGAACTGAATAATAAAAATACGACATAATAAAATTGTAAAGTCGCAACTAAAGTAATGCTTAAAAGAAAATGTATAGCTTTAAATATGTATTTTAAATAACGTCTAAGATCAATGACCTAAGGCTTATCTTAAGGAACTAAAGAAAAAAGATCAAAGGAGACTCAAGCTAAATAGAAGAAAGAAAATAACAGAAATTAATTATATAAACAATTGAGAAAAATAAAACCAAAGGTTGGTTCTTTAAAAGTTATATCGTCGGCCAGGCACGGTGGCTCACGCCTGTAATCCCAGCACTCTGGGAGGCTGAGGCGGGTGGACCACGAGGTAAAGAGATCGAGACCATCCTGGCTAACACAGTGAAACCCAGTCTCCACTAAAAATATAAAAAATTAGCCGGGCGTGGTGGTGGGAGCCTGTAGTCCCAGCTACTGGGGAGGCTGAGGCAGGAGAATGGCATGAACCCGGAAGGCAGAGCTTGCAGTAAGCCGAGATCGCGCCACTGCACTCCAGCCTGGGAGACAGTGTAAGACTGTCTCAAAAAAAATAAAATAAAATAAAAAGTCAGATCAGTAAAACTGATAAACCCCTACCCAACCTGATTAGGAAAGTGAGAACAGAAATTACCAGTATCATAATGAAAAGGAAATTATCAACACAGCTCCTAAAGACATTAAAAGGGTAAGAAGGGACCATTATAAATAACCTTATGTCTACAAATTTGATAACCTGGGTCAAAAGGATAGATTTCTTGGATAGATTCATTACCTAAATGACACCAAGATCAAACCAAAAAATGTGAATAGCCCTATATTTATTAAATACACTATAGAAAACCAGACAAAGAAAATTTAAGGCCCAGATGGTTTCAGACATTAATTCTACAGCCCTGACAAGGAAAAAGGGGATAGTTAGAATTGGGTTACTAAAAAGTTAGCTTTTAATATCAACAGGAATACTGGTCAAGAGTCCACATTATGCAGGTTGTAAATGGTAGACACTATAAACAAATAGGAATCAGCTCTGATGATACTCATTTTTTCTTCCCTTTCAAAGGCTTGGCAAATAAAGCCGGGTCAATTTGCTCCTTTGCCAGTCCTCTGACAGAGAAGAGTCTTGCTGCCCGCTCCTGCAGAGTGCCCCCACATTTCAGTCCAAGGGCCATCAGTTCACATTTGAGCTTCTCCAAACCCAGCAACTCCAGTTCTGCAACAGAGGTGAACGCCAATAAATCTATAGTTTCCTTATCAATAACCTGAGGGAAAAAAATAAGAAAATATTTAAAACAGGCTCCTTCCTCTGAATAAAGACTCTTTAACTGTCAACTACATTTCTTGAGAAATTTTCATTTAATTTGCCATACCTTGCAACTGAATTTTAATCATCATCCATCCACATGTTATTCCATAAGTATTCTCAACACACATAATAACTAATTTTTCATCTATACATTTAGAAACAAGCATTCAGAACAGTAACAGAAGTATAGCATTCCCAAACAGATTTTTAATATTGCTTTCTTTTCCGATTTTTCTAGTAAACATCTAAACAGTAAAATATAGCCAGCCTATCCCCACACTATTCCCACAGAAAGAGCAGGCACTCCTAAAAGCTTAATGAGAATCCCATGCCTCTGAATCTACTAATTCCATAATCTTAATGCTTTCTATTCTAATTGAGTAATTAAAACTAATTGTCAGACCTCTCCCTTATATAACTCAACAAACTCAAATGCTGTTCAATAGACTTGCAACTGTTCTACCCACCAAGTGCCTTTATAGACTTTAAGACAAAATTAGCCTGTAATCCCAGCCCTTTGGGAGGTGGAGGCAGGCGGAACACTTGAGATTAGGAGTCCGAAACCAGCTTGGTCAACATGGTGAAACCCCGTCTCTACTAAAAATACAAAAATTAGCCGGGTGTGGTGGTGCGTGCCTGTAGTCTCAGCGTGCCTGTAGTCTCAGCTACTTGGGAGACTGAGGCAGGAGAATCACTTGAACCTGGGAGGTAGAGCAGAAATCACACCACTGCACTCCAGCCTGAGCAACAGAGTGAGACTCTGTCATTAAAAAAAAAAAAAAGACAAAATTAAATACTGCTAATGATACCTTGAAAAGAATGAAAATGTCTATCTTTGAGTGATTTTTTATATTCAAAGAATAACTTTCACAGTTTTAAAATATTAAAGAGCTCTGGAGACATACTCTATCTTTCTAGTTGATCTTTGTTTTCTTAAAAAAGCTGTTTTGTTAGATTTCTGGGAGTTAACCTTGGCTTATTTATGACCAAATTCTAAAATGCCACTTATGTGTGTTTAAAGAATCACACTTGGTTGTTAGGAATACAACAGCTATTACTACAACATCAAGAACAAAACTCCATGGCTAACACTGAAAAATATCAGGTTTTATCCTATGATTCCTTTTTTATTTTTCTAAGACTTCAGTCAGGATAAAGCTCTTACCTGTATACACATAACACAAAAATTACATGCTTACAAATTCAGAGATTGTAAGGACCTTAGCATAAAAAAATTCCAATAGTCTCACCAGAAAGGGCAATTTATGCATTTTTACTTACTTACTGGGGGCAGGGGAAGGTGCTGGCTAAACAAATGGTAGGTTTTGTGTTTATCGAAGGAAATTAAGTAGTTTAGGTTTCACCTATTCTAAAAAGCAAACCATTAGATCAAAGCACAGAGATTTTTGCTGGAAGCCAGTCCATTGTAGATAGTGAAAAACCAACTTTTTGAGAGAATGTACTATGAAAATGCCTTTTTATTATTATTTTTTGAGATGGAGTCTCACTCTGTCGCCCAGGCTGGAGTACAGTGGTACAATCTCATCTCACTGCAACCTCCACCTCCCAGGGCACAAGCCATTCTCGTGGCTCAACCTCCTGAGTAGCTGGGATTACAGGCGTGCACCACCATGCCCGGCTAATTTTTGTTGTTGTTGTATTTTTAATAGAGACAGGGTTTCACCATGCTGGCCAGGCTGGTGTCAAGCTCCTGACCTCAGGTGATCTGCCCACCTCAGCTTCCCAAAGTGCTGGGATTACAGGCGTGAGCCACCGCACCTGGCTGAAGATGCCTTTTTTAAAAGGCTGACTGTGGGTACTTAAGATTTAATGATAAATTTAAAAGGAGGTTCCTCTTCTATAGAAGAGGTCTTCACATTCAGCTGAAACTATTGTTCAAGCTATCCTCACATTAGAAAAAGCTGAGTAGCAATTTAGTGACGGGAAAAATGAGCACATTTCATCAAATCTAAAATGCCATCTATCATAATATACCCTCATTCATGTATTACTAAGAATAAACAATACCAATTAAGTTATAATATGTTATACACATCTCATTTTAGACATGCTAAAATGTGGAAAACATGCATCTTACAATTGATGCAATATGGAATCAAGGACACCACCTAGTGGCAACATAGTATAAATGCCAGAACTTAAAAAGTTTTTGGGGAATAAGGCAAGCTTCACCATAATCTGTACTTCTTAAAATCAAATAAGCCTTTCACTAAGCAGCTGAGGGGCAAAAGCACATTTTCATTTTAATGACTTATTGTGGAGATTAAACTGATTTGGCTCTAGGTATCAACCCCAAAACATACTTACTGCGTTTCCTGGCTGGCTTTCCTGCAGTTTGGCAACGGCAACGTTTTCCCTTTCTTCAGGTGCTACCTCAGCAACTCTTTCCCCATCAGTCCTTTCTTCTGTCTCTTTATCCTTATTCAGTCCAGCCCCAGTGGGCTCCTCTTCTATGGGTTCTTTACTCTCTGCCTTCTTCTCCTGGGTCTCTTCTGTTTCTGTAACCATCCTGCTTTCCATGTGCTCTTTGGACTCCCCCAGCTCAGCACATGAGTCTTCTAAAATATGCCTCCCAGAGTCAGTCACCGGGATCTGCAGTTGTTCTGGTGATCCATGGTCTGTATTCACTACTCTCGCCCTCTGAGAACCACTGGGAAATTTGGCTGCCATCTCGACACCATTGCTACCAATTTTTGGAGCATGGAAACCCATTCCTGAAGTGCTTGGTGCTTCTTCACTGTCATCATCTGAACTCTCAGAGTTGGACCCTTCTGCAGTCTCTAGTCCCTCCATGCCCAACCTGTCAGAAGCAACAGAAAGGTTTAACAGCGTTTGTAGCTTCTATTTAAAGCAAAGAGTTGGCTGGGCGCAGTGGCTCAGGCCTGTAATCCCAGGACTTTGGGAGGCCAAGGCAGGCAGATCACGAAGTCAGTAGTTTGAGATCAGCCTGGCCAACACAGTGAAACCCCATCTCTACTAAAAATACAAAAATTAGCCAGATGTGGTGGCATGCACCTATAGTCCCAGCTACTCAGGAGGCTGAGGCAGGAGAATCACCTGAACCTGGGGGGCAGAGGTTGCGGTGAGACGAGATCGCGCCATTGTACTCCAGCCTGGGTGACAGAGTGAGACTCCGTCTCAAAAATAAATAAATAAAGCAAAGAGTTATAGTTTGTTCAGGAAACAGAATCTGTTTCTGCTAGCTTGAGATGGAGAACAGGCAAATTTCGGAAAAAGATATTCTAGAGCTTATAAACAGAAGGAAAAAACATTTCAATGAGACTGGGACCAACTGTCCCAAAGATCCAAGAGGATCTCCTTTCTAAAGTCCTGAATCTCTAAAAGCAAAATTGATTTTGCTTAAAGCTTTCTTCCCCCGCATTACATTACCTTCGACGGTTGGAAATTAGATAAAATAATAAATAGTTGGCCGGGCGTGGTGGCTCATGCCTGTAATCCCAGCACATTGGGAGGCCGAGGTGGGTGGATCACAAGGTCAGGAGTTCAAGATCAGCCTGGCCAATATGGTGAAATCCCGTCTCTACTAAAAATACAAAAATTAGCCAGGCCTGGTGGCAGGTGCCTGTAGTCCCTGCTACTCGAGAGGCTGAGGCAGGAGAATCACTTGAACCAGGAGGCAGAGGTTACAGTAAGCCATCATCGCACCACTGCACTCCAGCCTGGGGGACAGAGCAAGACTGTCTCAAAAAAAAAAAAAAAATAATAATAATAATAATAAATAGTTATAAAGAAAATCCATCCGGGCATGGTGGCTAACGCCTGTAATCCCAGCACTTTGGGAGGTTGAGGTGGGTGGATCACTTGAGGTTAGGAGTTCAAGACTAGCCTGGCCAACATGGTGAAACACCATCTCTACTAAAAATACAAAAATTAGCCGGGTGTGGTGGCACATGGCTGTAGTTCCAACTACTGGGGAGGCTGAGGCAGGAGAATTGCTTGAATCTGGGAGGCAGAGGTTGCAGTAAGCCGAGATTGTGCCATTGCACTCCAGCTTGGGCGACAGAGCAAGATTCTGTCTCAAAAAAAAAAAAAAAAGAAGGAAAATTATTCGGTGCCGCCCCTTGATTTGATTGGTGAAAAAATATATAAAGAAAATCCTAGGAACAATTATTCTGTTTTACAGAGGTGTTTCCCAATAATAAATATTAATACACACACACACACATTTATAAATCCTATGCTTGGGCTGGACGCGGTGGCTCACGCCTATAATCCCAGCACTTTGCGAGGCTGAGGCGCGAGGATCACCTGCTCAGGAGTTTGAGACCAGCCTAGGCAACATGGCAAAACCCTGTCTTCACAAAAAAATAAAAAAAATCAGCTGGGCATGGTGGTATGTACCCTAGCCCCAGCTACTCAGGAGGCTGAGATGGGAAGATAGCTTAAACCTGGGAGGTCAAGGCTTCAGTGAGCCGAGATCGCGCCACTGCACTCCAACCTCAGCAACAGAGTGAGGAACCTGTCTCAAAAAAAAAAAAAACACACACAAAAAAAACACCCATGCTTTATTAATAATTACTCAAACCCAGAAATTACCCAAATGTCTACCAAATGGAGACTGGATAAACAAACTGTGGTACATTCACACCATGAAACGATACGGAGTGATAAAAAAGAATGAACTACTGATACATACACTACCATGGATGAATCTCTAAAGCTTTATATTAAGTGAGAGAAGCCAGACACTAAAGGCTATATGACATCCTAGAAAAGACTAAATCATAGTAACAAATATCACACTGGTGACCAATGGTTGCCAGGGTCTAGAGGTGGGGAAAAGGGACTTAACTGCAAAAGGGCACGTGGGAACTATTTCAGGTCATTAAAATACACTCTATCTAGATTGTGGTGATGGTAACGTGACTATATAGTACATATACATTTTTCAAAAGTCGTAGAACCAATCAACCAAAAAGGGTGAATTTTGCTATATATAAATTATACCTCAATAAACCTCATTAAAAAAATACAAACCACAGGTAGTGTCACCACCCTTTCTCTCAGGAACACTTAATTCCCATTTCAGAAAGAACAAACATTGTATGCTGAACTCATAGTGTTATATGATCTTTGATTAATAATTATCTGTTTATCCCCAAAGGGGATAAACTTATTTTCAAGAACTTGGCCCAAGGGAAGTCACTGGCAACAAGAGGACCAACTAGAGGGACAAGAGAACTATCAGAAAAATGGACAAGAAAAAGTACTGCTGTGCTTTTTACCCTCAAGTGCGAAAGTGGTGAAGAGAAGTCTGGCAAAGTGACCAAAGACCTCAATGATGACTGTGAAAAACCACAGACAACCACCTGGAAAGTACAGCTTGATTTCCACCTAGAATTTCTAAAAGTTAAACCCCTTCAACACCAAAAAAGTAATTCAAATATAAAGCTATTTTTATGTTTCAGTGTAAGGAAAAAATTCATCCTTTACATTCAATTAATGGCATTCACAGCAGAAACCATTACCAGTACAATGTGACAATCACTGAAACCTAAAGCTTGAAGCACTCTGGAAATTTTCTGAGCTCCCACCAAACACTACACAAAAATGTGTTTATGCCAGATAAACAAGGAGGAAATGTCTCAAGTCAGTCCTCAAAGATCAATTGGGAACGAAAGTGAAACACTTACCAGAAGCATCTCCTCTTTCCCGCACTGGCTCCTCTGTCTGTTTGAGATTTAGTAGGCCATTGCCGTTTCCGATTCTCACTGATTTCTGCTGAAACCATCTTGCTGGAGGCAGCCTGCATACCTAACCAGAAATTTTAACAACTCAGTTTCTACTATAGGGACTAAGTTTAAAGAAATCATAAATAACATGGATTGCAAAAAGAGCTGCAATCTACAGCTCCAGATTTAAATTTCTTAAGATACCAACATTTTATACAGTTAATCTCAAATTTACACAGATTTAAAATGATAAACATTCTAGTCTAGGAGCAGATTTTTTAAAGCACCACTGCACAATTTGTAACCTTGAGACTGACAAGTTCATACCCAGCCCTCCCCAAACCTAATTATTTATCCCTGCGTTAGTTATTTGCATACACTTGTCTTTTTCCTGTTATGTCATAACCTTTTTGATGCAAAAAGATTGTTTCTTATTCGATTGTTCCCATACTAGGCCTGCCATGTTTTGGATGCTAAAAACAAAAGTTAATGAGAATCATTCACATTAAAAACTGACTTAAAACTGGCAGCAAATTCTTTGAGGTCTAGACATCTTCTGAAGACTTAGCTTATCCCTAAACACAAACAAAAAATTTTCTTACCTGGGGCCCATGGCCCCATGGAATTCAGGGGTTAAATATGCCAAATGTTGGCTGGGCTCATGCCTGTAATCCCAAGCACGAGGTTAGGAGTTTGAGACCAGCCTGGCCAACATGGTGAAACCCTGACTGTACTAAAAATATGAAAATTAGCCAGGCGTGGTGGCGTGTGCCTGTAATCCCAGCTACTCTGGAGGCTAAGGCGGGAGAATTGCTCGAACCCAGGAGGCAGACGTTGCAGTGAGCCGAGATCACACCACTGCACTCCAGCTCTGGGCAACAGACCAAGACTCCGTTTTGGGGGGAAAAAAAAAAGCCAAATGTTGTATATGTGTTCTTTTTTAAAAAAATACTGTGTTCATTTTTGAGGATAAAAGTGCCAAGGTTTTCATCAGATTCTCAGACATCTGTAACCTAAAAAAAGCTTAAGAACTGCTCTTTGTGCGTAGTGTAGAGCAGTCTGAACAGCTGGCTTCAGGGGTGCCAGCTGAACACACTAAGGAATCCTCATTCTCACCTTTGAGGACGGAATCCTCCAGACGCTCAGCCATCTCATGGCACTGCTGCTGGTAGTCGGGGCTGGTGAAGCAGTGCTTGGGTTCTACAAGCTTCCGCTGCAGTCGCTCCAGCCGCTTCTGCTCCTTTTCAGCCTCTCGCTCGGCTTGTTGTTTTACCCATTCAGCCATTCTGGGGATGAGGGAGGAAGAGATATAACTGAATAGATATATTACATATACACTTTTATATATAAAATGTCTCTGACGAATTAATGCACTTGTTCATACTGTGATATTCTCTTAGAAAGGTGAGCCATGCTTACTACTAGCATATGGTACTGAACTTAATCCCAAAGATGATTATTAAATTATGGAAAAGGTTAAATCTGATAATAAATTTGGATGTAAATATTTTAAGTTTCCATTTCCAATATGCGTGGCATATGTATAATCACTACTAATAGGAAAGTATATGTCTCTCCTCAAAAACACAAAAAAAGGTGGGCATCTTACGCTTTTTCATGATTGACATCGCGTAGTCTCCTTCCACTGAGATCCCGACAAGCTTCTCGATTGGTTGTCTTCTCAATCTGAGCACCAAGTGCTCGGAGCATAGATCCAAAACCTGAGCAGATGTATTTGGAGAAAGCAGGTTAAAATGTGTTCAAGGATGGATAAAAGCAGAATTTGTGAAAACAATCTGTATCACAAGATTAACAATGATCTCTACTTTCTTTCTTTTTTTTTTTTTTTAAGAAAAGATGAACATCAAGGTTCTAATTCAGGCAGCGAAAGTAAAAAGACTGATTTAACCTCATGCCTTTCACCTTTCATTTTATAGTTCTGAGATAAAATACCTAGCCTTCCCAAACCTAATTATTTATCCTTGTGTTAGTTATTTGCATACCGGTATAATACCTGTACAGCTAGAATATTTAAAAAGCTTTACCCAGGCCAGGTGCAGTGGCTCACGCCTGTAATCCCAGCACTTTGGGAGGCTGAGGCGGGCAGATCATGAGGTCAGGAGATCAAGACCATCCTGGCTAACACAGTGAAACCCCGTCTCTACTAAAAAATACAAAAAATTAGCCAGGCGTGGTGGCGGGCGCCTGTAGTCCCAGCTACTCAGGAGGCTGAGGCAGGAGAATGGCGTGAACCCAGGAGGCAGAGCTTGCAGTGAGCTGAGCTCGTGCCACTGCACTCCAGCCTGGGAAACAGAGCCAGGCTCTGTCTCAAAAAAAAAAAAAAGAAGCTTTACACAATCACAGAGATCCCAAGATTCTCAGATTAAGAACTTAAAAAGTATATAGTGAGATTTTTCAATGAGTTTAGAAGGAAAGGCAATTTTAAGCTCCACTGGCTGATATAACATGCTTCATTCATTCATTCTTTTTATCCCCCCTAAGAGATGGGGCCTTGCTCTGTCATCCAGGCTAGAGGGCAATGGCTTGATGTAATCAAAGCTCACTGCAGCCTTGAACTCCTGGGCTCAATGGATCCTCTTACCACAGCCTCCCAAGTTGCTAGGATTACAGGCGTGTACCGATGCAGCTAGCTATTTTTTTTTTTTTGTAGAGACCAAGGTCTCACCATCTTGCCCAGGCTAGTCTCAAACTCCTGGGTTCAAACTGTCCTCCCACCTTGGACTCTCAAAGTGTTGGGATTACAGGCATGAGCCACCATGCCTGGCCACATGCTTCATTCTTTTTTTTTTTTTTTGAGAGAGTCTCACTGTGTCGCCCAGGCTGTAGTGCAGTGGCACAATCTCGGCTCACTGCAGCCTCCACCTCCAAGGTTCAAGTGATTCTCCTGCCTCAGCCTCCCAAGTAGCTGAGATTACAGGCTCCTAACACCACACCTGGCTAATTTTTATATCTCTAGTAGAGACGGGGTTTTGCCATGTTGGCTAGCCTGGTCTCGAACTCCTGACCTAGGTGATCCGCCCGCCTTGGCCTCCCAAAGTGCTGGGATTACAGGCGTGAGCCACCGTGCCCAGCCCACGCTTCATTCTTAATCATACAATTTCAAACAGCTGGATATAGTCTGAGATGTCAGCTCTCTGAAAACCAAACCAAATCACTGTAGATTTTGAGAAAGCTTAGGGATCACATGTTACTACATTAGGAGAAATACCAACAACTGTTTATATTGTTTTCGCTCTTTGTTATCTTTCCTAGTAGTTGTGTTAAACAAACAAAACCTTAATCTGCCTCAACTTATAAACAATTGTGTTTCCTAAGGTAACTTTAGACTTCCTTTGGAACTACAAAAACGAGACAAAATCCTGATTAAAGCAGAAGGAGATTTAGAAAAAAAACTCTTTATTCAGCAAATTGAACAGAATAATGGCCATCTCTCTTCATCTAATTTTCCCCCAAAGTTTTAGAGCCTAGGTTCCCTAAGAGCTATCCAGCTGAACAAAGTGGGAATTGTATCACACAATATTTCTTCCTCGACCAAAATAAAAGACAGCCTGGGCAACATGGCGAAACCCCATCTCTACAAAAAATACAAAAATTAGCTGCGCATGGTGGCATGTGCCTATAGTCCCAGCTACTGGGGAAACTGAGGTGGGAGTATTGCTTGAGTTCAGGAGGTCAAAGCTGCAGTGAGCCGTGATCGTACCACTGTACTCCAGCCTGGGCGACAAAACAAGGCAGTGTCTCAAAAGAAAGAAAACAAAAGAATAAGAGAGAAAATGTCCAAAATCAGGTTAAGTAAATAAAAGAATTCATAAGGTAAAACAATATTGGCATACTAAAGAGACTAAGAAGGTTGTTAATTTAATACCATGGCTAAAGACAGCAAATGTCAGCAGCAGAATATGAAAATAAATGAATAAAGACTGCAAATGTGTTACAACTAAGTAGTCAATGTTCAGGTCCTACCTCCTTTTCCACCGCAAAGTCTGGGTTCCAAACTATAAACAGCTCCATGCTGCACTGTGTCACTGGTGTTAATGAGTGCTCCATTGCATTTCACAAAGAAGTTTTCCACTGGAACATTCTAGAGACAAATTTGTTTTTTTAATGCCTTTTATGAGATAATAATCTAAGTTTGTTACAAGAAGGGACCTAGCTGTCTTTTTATTACTCTGGTTACAACAGAGGGTGTTCAATTAATATTTGTTGAATTGAAAATGTAAACTACTAGGAGAAAAAGTCATTTCACATGATGCATTTTGGGTATAATTTTTTCCCAATATTACCTAATCATCACATATAGAAGAAACTTCAGTCTTTGCGGTGACAACAAAAACTGCTTCTTCTTCTCTGATAGGTAATCTGAGTCAAGGTAGAAGACTATGCAGGACTCAGATTAAATAACTGTGGAGGTCCCATTTTCTGACTTTCTTAAACAGGTAAAATTAAATTGAACATCAAAAGTAGTCCTCAATCCTAAAAAGTGCAGGTAGGAATAAGAAGTAGAGAAGGAAGGAGTCAAGAGTGTGGTTTTTAATACACCTATATAAGTACACCATAGGAGACATAAATACATGAAAAATGAGCAAAAATGAGCAAAGTTGCTGAAGATAGCCTAAGATGCTGGGCAGCCCCAGATTCTGTGTAGCTGCCCCAGAGCCTACATGAATCAATACTCTAAGCAGTCCTGTAACCCAGTAAAAGCCCACTCTGGACCAAGGAAATACAGAATTACCAAGCAGCACCAGGCTGGTGGATGTATGGAGACTGAGCTATGTGATTATAGTTCTCTATCACAGTCACTGCCCAGATGCCAGGGCAGAACAGGTGGAGAGATGGATTTATGCTGTCTGGGGTTCTCCCAGACAAATATAATGGCGGGAGAGAGGAGCAAGGGAGCTCAGGCTATCTGCAATGAGGTAACATGAACGACTATTCTTGTCTTTAAAATACTGTCTACCTCAAAGAGCTGTTGTAAACATTAAATGAGATATGTAATACATTTTGTATCTGTTTAATGTTTACACATTAGAAGCCTTTTGTATGTCTAATGGGTATGGTATTTCTAAATAATTTTAAAAGATATTAATATGAAGGCAGAAAGTATACACCATGAAAATGATGTATACTTCATTTCCAAACAGAATGGCTTATTAAACAAAACAACTGATCAACAAAATTGCATTTTCTACTTAAGATTCTTGTCAATGAAGTCACAAGCAGAAAAAAGGATACAACATTTAGACTCAATTTAACTGCTTTTAACCATTTGTGCATTGTAAAGTGCTTCAAACACAAATTATCATGTGTGTTTTAGCACAACCAGCCTAAGGCTATCAGAGATAAACCTGTCAAACTTACTGATTCACTGCAACGAGGGGAACTGCACACCAGGAGTCATGGGTATCTCACCAACCCAAAGAAAGGAGTGTCATTACAAGATTTGGGGCTAGGGTGGAGTTGAGGTGAAATTTACATCAAGCAGTGTTTAAAAAGGTTCAAAATAAAGCAGGACTGTATATAAAAACGTCAACATCAGATCTGGATTGTGAAGGCTCCTCTTTCCTTGGAAACTACAAATTTAAGATAAATGTGGAAAGTTGTGTCCAGAAACCCTTAATGGGAAGCTCTGACCTGGGTTGGAAATCAAGAATGCTTCTCTACAAGGCAAGAGTGGGAAGGTTCCCTCTTATTGAGAGAACTTTAAACAGCAAAATTTCTTATATATTCTATGGTTTTTGAGACCAAGGTTTCTCAGTGAATAAGAAAGCAGCAGACCTTCGTGGGGGTCGTTATGACATTATGACACATCACCATTTCCTGTTAACTCTGCAGCTGTACATCGGTGTAGTGTGGGGGAAACAAAAACAAAAAACAAAAACTTTGCAGCTGGCTTTATCTGTGTCTGTTATCCCAGCCTGATGAAAAGCAGGGCAGATTTTTATTTTCTCAGTGGGAGTTAACACTAACTTCATCATGTCTCAGAATAGTTTTGTTTTTAAAAACATAGGTGTGAACTTGAGCTATTCTTACTTGTTCCAGTATCTCAACTAATATTCTTTTGTGTTTCTATTCATATTTGCTATGGTCATGTTCCTTAAGTTTCTGACTGAATCCACTCATTTATATTTCTTTATATATACTTTTTCAGACCGAGTCTTGCTCTGTCACCCAGTTTGGAGTGCAATGGCTCAATCTCGGCTCACTGCAACCTCCACCTCTCAGGTTCAAATGATTCTTCTGCTTCAGCCTCCTGGGTAGCTGGGATTACAGGCGTCTGCCGCCACGCCTGGCTAATTTTTGTGTATTTTTAGGAGAGATGGGGTTTCACCATGTTGCCAAGCTGGTCTCGAACTTCTGACCTCAGGTGATCTGCCCGCCTCGACCTCCCTAAGTGTTGGAATTACAGGCGTGAGCCACCACGCCTGGCCTATATTTCTTGCTTCCGATTTAAAAATTCTTTTTTCCAACATACCTCATGATTAAGATCCTATTTTTTCTGGTTTCACTTTGGATCAATTGTCAGCAAGTTTGAAAACTGTACTCATAGGCCGGGAGGAGTGGCTCAAGCCTGTAATCCCAGCACTTTGTGAGGCTGAGGTGGGCGGATCACCCGAGGTCAGGAGTTCAAGACCTGGCCAACGTGGTGAAACCCCGTCTCTACTAAAAATACAAAAATTAGCCAGGCATGGTGGCGGGCGACTGCAATCCCAGCTATTTGGGAGGCTGAGGCAGGAGAACCGCTTGAACTCAGCGAGGCGGAGGTTGCAGTGGGCCGAGATCACGCCATTGCACTCCAGCCCGGGCAACGGGAGTCAAACTCCGTCGGGGGTGGGGGAGGGGGAGAAAAGAACACTGTACTCATGAAATAAGAATTATTTTCAAAGGAATTAGAATGCAATTATTTTCATGGTCAAAAACAGTTGTGCTTACAGTTTTTAGACTGGATTACAGAGCAGGAAGGAAAACATGGAAAGTGAAAAACCGTATTATTTGCAAACACACATTGCTTCTTCACGGAATCGATCCAAGTCTCTTAAAATTTTGGTCTAGACTGCAGTGTTAACATTTGTTAAGCTTATAAATAGTAAGCAGAGGAAATAGCCGAGGAAAGCACGGATGAGGTGCGGAAAGAACAGAGTTCTAGATCAAGTGCCAACATTAAAATTAGATTCAGGGAAACCACTAAATTCTTTTGACAACTGAACAGGTTTAATATCTTATAGCTGGTAAAAGCTTACTTACTTGAAAGTTCAGTAAAAGCTCACGTGTAACTCTGGAAGTCCCTGGTAGGTTTTCACAAATATGCACGGACAAATGAGACCATCAAATTAATAGTGAACACTTCTACGTAACAGGCCCTAAGAACCCAGGCCCTCAACAGGACACACGTGTGAATGCTTGGTCACAACGACTGACCAGAAGAATCAATTTTCCTTCCCAATCATCCTTTGGCCTGGGTTTGGATATGACATACTTCTCTAGGCTGGGGCTAACAAGGCTGTGTGATGAGTGGACAAAATACACGTCACATAACCATAGTAAGAAGGTGAAGACTGGAGCCTTAAAAATCAGCCGGCCCAACTGCCAGAAGACCATTATATTTACGGATAAAGAAAGAGAAACAAAGTATTTGTAACTGTGAGCGGGACTAAGTGCCTGTAACAGTTTTTTTCTCCCTCTTGGTGGGAAGGCAAAACCACCACCACAAAAGAAAAGCAAAGGAAGGTCTCAGTAACAATTCGAAGCACCTTAACACTGAGGAACTCTCAGCCTCAACGAGTGAAAACCCCAGAGAATAAACGTACCCCCGCCCCGGACAGACCTACTCCGCACCCAGCGCTGCCACCTGTCTGCCTCTTTCTCCTTCCTAACAGGAACCGAAATCCTCACCTGATCTTGGCAGTGCCGGTGGATAAAATCCCGGACGGTGCACCGACCCGAGGCACACCGCACCGCCTTGCACCCGAAGCCAGGGCCGCGAATCCACACCAGCGCCGCGGCCTCCGCCATGTCACCGACTACCCGAACCTCAAGCCTCTCTGAGACACCAGGCGCCGCAACTCGCCCGGCGCCTCTTGATGACGCGAGCATCTTCCAACGCCCCGCCCCTCACGCTTCCGTTCACCCCTCCCCTCCCCTGGGGCGGGTCAAGTGAGCCGGGCGGCGGGGCGGTGCGGGCTGGGGGAGGGGAACAGGAAAGGCCTGGCGGAGGCAGATAAGGCGGCAGAGCACGGGGCGAGGCGTTGCTAGGAGAAGTTGCTAGGGCGGGGCTCGAGGGACCGGCTATAAAAGGCTGGCGCTGGGTTAGGTTTCGAGCTTCCTGGCCGTAAGCGATAAGGCTTTAACTGAGAACCACCTTGTGCTGTAGGCTTTGGCCCTTTTCCTCACATCTGTGTAGTTATTTTTGGGTCGCGGAGAATTGTGGCCCGAGAAGGCTCTGCTCCTTGAGAGTGTGGGGAGAGAAGCTGCAGTCCCGGAAGCGGTTTTAGGGGGCCGCTTCCTTGGCCTAGAGGAGCTCCCCAACCCGAGGGGGCAAGGGAAACGACCCCCAGGAGGCCCCTAAACAGTGGCCGGCGTGGTTTCTCCTCCAGCTTTACAGAGCCTTCTCTTCCCCTCCAGAAACAGCCAACCTCCGGGTTTCTGCCTGCCACGCACGGTTTATTCTTATTTCCGCCTGTTTGTGCACTGCGTTATCTCCACTTCAGCTCTGTTTTCAAAATATTTCACAGCAAGTGGGCTCTTGTGAAAGGCAGTGACAGGAGTGACGTTTATAGTCATGCTGCTTCAAAAAACCCTACCATAACTTTTATTCTGCACCATGGAAACACACTCGGACAGATTTGCATAACGTAACCTTAAGGCTCAGGGAATCCGAAAGAGTCCCTTAATATTTAACAGAATGAGATTATGGTATTTCTAAAACCCTGAACAATTCAAAAGCCACCAGTGTGAAGATAGGAAGGTTATTTGGAGATATCTGTGCCTGCTAAACACAAATGCATCGGCCCACAGAATTGCCTTCTCTGCTGTTAAAATGCTTGGCAAATGGAACTCCTAGCTGAGGGGGTAACAACAAAAAATTCAGAAATCGTTTAGCGGTGGCAGTATGTGCGAAAATGGAATTTCAAGGCCTGGGAAGTTAATAGATTCAGTGGTCTTTATTTCACACACGAGGGAAAGTTGGGGAGAGAAAGGGCCTCCATGGGGATGCCAGTAGATAAATAAAAATTACAAAAAAAAAAATAATAAAGATAGATTGTACTGGCCGGGCGCGGTGGCTCATGCCTGTAATCCAGCACTTTGGGAGACTGAGGCGGGCGGATCTCGAGGTCAGGAGTTCGAAACCAGCCTCACCAACATGGTGAAACCCCATCTCTACTAAAAATACAATAATTAGCCGGGCGTGGTGGTGCGCGTCTGTAATCCCAGCTATTCAGGAGGCTGAGGCAGGAGAATCGCTTGAACCCGGGAGGCAGAGGTTGCAGTGAGCTGAGATCGTGCCATCGCACTCCAGCCTGGGCGACAGAGAGAGTCTCCGTTTCAGAAAAAAAAGATATATTGTACCTAGGAAGCAGTATTTCGGAAAGGTGGTGCCATGGCAACCCTGGGGCGTGAAGGTGTCGCCAGGTTACATGTAAGCCGTCCAAACTCCAGAAACCTCAAGTCCCTCTGCAGTCTGCTCCCCAGCTCTCTGTCCTCCAGGTTCCTGAAAAAGTAATCTACAGATCTGAGCCTTAAGCCTCTTCTTTTTTTATTTGTGATTTCTTCCTTCTGGTGATCAAAAATGACTATTTCAAATAAATAAATAATTTTTTTAAATGACCATTTCAAAGGTCTGAGATCCTACAAGTAACTGTATAAAGGTCAGTTTGGGTTTCCAAAACATTTTTTGTGTCGGGATAATGCTTCGTGTCTTGTGAGGAATTATTATGATTAGTCTTTTTTTTCTTTCTTTCTTTCTTTTTTGAGACACTCGCTCTGCCACCTGGGCTGGAGTGTAGTGGCGCAATCATAGCACACGCAGCCTTGAACTCCTGGGCTCAAGTGATCTGCCACAGACTCCAGATGGATTACAGGTGCATGCCACCACACCTGGCTAATTTTTAAATTTTTTGTAAAGACGAGTTTTTCGCTAAGTTGCCCAGGCTGGTCTTGAACTCTTGGGCTCAAAAGATCCTCCCGCCTCAGCCTCCCAAAGTGCTGGGATTACAGGCGTGACCTGCCGTGCCTGGCATAAGTAGTACTTTCCAGTAAGGAAACTCCACATCATTTATTACTAACATTATATTTAGTCCTCATAAAACCTGATGTCTGAATGGAATTTTTCGCTTTTTATCCCTCTGTTGCATTTAAATTCCTATTATTTAAAGAATCCCAAGTATTGAATAGGTATTTGTCATTTAAAATATGAAATAACCATTGATATTAGCTTTTGAAAGACACAAATTTCCAAGTAATATATAATTTGTTGTTAAAACTTCAAAATGAGCGTGTAGTACCATGACATGTACAGAGTAGATATTAAGTAAATATTAGTTGGATACTTGATGGATTACTAAGGTAGAAGTTAATTATTCTCAATGTACATATGATGAAATATATTTTGCACTAATATAACAATCTATTGTAAGGATGCAGAATTTAACTTGGATTGCTATTAAATTCCTTTAAAGAATGAGGAAATTGAAGCATGTAAAGTTAGGGCTATGGCCAAGAACACAGTGCACATCAGTGAAAAAAAAAAAATCTAGAAAGACAGCTATTAGCTGGGTTACTATGGGTGTGTGGTAGCTTCCAGTTGACAGTGCTATGTGGCGGGGCTGATCAGTGATTATGGAAAAGAGCCAACTGCTGCTACCTTTCCCACCTCATGACGTCAGGGAAGGCACAGGAAGGCACGTGTGTGGTTGTGACAACTAAATGGTGAGTGGGAGGGGGGCCAGTTCCTCTATTGTCTACATAGTGTGGCCATGCTCCTCAGACTATATTTGGTGTGCTTTCCAGTAAACCACACTGGCTTTGTTCCTGCCTATGTTCTCCAGAAGAATGCTCTGGCCACACATTTGCCTTTTGAGGACTGGTTCTGCTGCCGTGAGAGGGACACTGGGAGGGCATCTTGAGGCAATGTGGAATAATTGTTCACTGCCAGGAAATGACAGCACCAGACAGACAATGTTTGTGTGGCAACCCATGACAGGGGCTCAATCGAGCCAAATGTCATGCTGGTCTGCAAGAACAGGAAGCAGAACTGTATGCTGGCAATTTCCATAAACAGCAGCCACGCTCCTAAACTAGTGAATCGATATCCATGTGTGACATGCAAGTCGCACTTCTGTGTTTTCAGCCATGTTTGTGCGCAGAGAGGAAAGGTGGTTGCTAATACCTTATTTATGACAAAAGACAATGGGACAGGCTGACTCCTTCTGTGCCAGAAATGCAAAAATGCCATAAACCCCCAAATTGGCAAGTGTTGCCTTATAGATGGCTCCAGCCCCAGGGACAATGAGGTCAGCTCCTAGGATGGAAAAACAGCATCTGGGTGAGAGCTGTGTAGTCCACAGCGGGTGGTGGATGGTGTGGGAGGTGGAGCCTGAAGCAAGTCCCAAGATGCTGGCTGTCAGGGAAGGCACAGCCCCGCCCTCCTTCCTTATTGGATGGAAGAAAACAGGACAATGGTGAGGTGGAGTTGAGAGGCAGAGAAGGGTTGTGTTCAGCACTGACACTGGAAAGGAGCATGAGAGGGCAGAAAAGAACACTAGGGTAGAGGTGCAGAGCAGAGATAAAAAGTTGGCCTCACAGTCAGTGCTGAGTGTAGAAGCCCACCTCTTTGTAGTATCAGCAAGACAAAAGGACCGTCCTTCAGAGTGGACTTCCGCCAATAAATTCTATCACTCCCAGTTGCTCTAGATATTACCTTGTTTGCATTATCATGACAACACTAGCTTACAAAGCCCTACTGGTTATCATTACTCTTATCATCACCATCAAACAATGCTGTTTCATTTAAAAAATAAAATTTCTATATTATTCACTGTACTAAAACTATAAAGCAAAACTAGCATAGTGCCTATCTTCCAGAAATTTAGTATCTCAGTACTAGAATTTTTTTCAACATTGAACTTGATTTCTCTCTGGTCAATAAAAATCCATGATCCTGTTTGAATTCTGTATAGCCAAGCATTTCAAAGAGGGATTTTCTTGCTGGAGAAGTGATAGGCCTTTGGGGGTAGTTTAATTAGTTGACATTGGTGTATGTCTACTCTATTAGGGTTTTCCAGAGAAACAGAACCAATAGGATGAATGGATGGATGAATAGACAGATAGATCAATAAATACATAGATAGATAATAAGGAATTGGCTCACATGATTATGGAGGCTGACAAGTCCCAAGATCTGCAGGGTGAGTCGGCAAGCTGGAGACCCAGGAGAGCTAATGGTGTAGTTCCCACAAGAAGGCCAGCAGACTGGAGAACTAAGAAAGAGTCTGTGTTTTAGTTCAAGTCCTCAAGTCCAAAGGCAGGGAAAAGCTGATGTCTCAGTTCAAAAGGAGTCAGGCAGGAGGAGTTCTCCTTTACTGGGGCAAGTGTCAACCATTTTGTTCTATTCAGGCCTTCAACTGATTGGATGTGGTCCACCCACATTAGGGGAGGCAACCTGCCTTACTCAGTCTACTGATTCAAATGTTAACCTCATCCAAAAACACCCCAAAGGAACACCCAGAATCATGTTTGACCAAACATCTGGGCACATGATGGCCCAAGCAAGTTGACATAAAATTAACCATCATATCCACTAACTGAATATCTTTGATAAATAAATAACCTTTGGCTGGGCACGGTGGCTCACGTCTGTAATCCCAGCACTTTGGGAGGCTGAGGCAGGCAGATCACTTGAGGTCAAGAGTTCAAGCCTGGCCAACATGGTGAAATCCCCTTCTACTAAAAATACAAAAATTAGCCAGGCATGGTGGTGCATGCCTGTAGTCCCAGCTACTCGGGAGGCTGAGGCACGAGAATCGCTTGAACCCGGTGGGCAGAGGTTGCAGTGAGCCGAGATCACACCACTGCATTCCAGCCTGGGCAACAGAGCAAGACTCTGTCTCAAATAAATAACCTTCATTATTTTATTTAAATTTAGCTGTGCAACCGAAGAGGAAATGTTATTTGGCAAATAGAGAGAGACTGACTGAAAGTCAAATGTCTCTTATTCCCTAGATGTTTTGCTGTGTGAACTCAGGAAGCTCATCTGACTATTTTACACATTTGTTTCTGAATGGTTGAAGAGTTACGACTATGACTATTGGTAGAATTTACCTATCTACCACAGGATGTGGCCAGACTTCCAGATTGTGAATCCTTTGAGATTTCTTTTCTTTTCTTTTCTTTTTTTTGTGAGACAGAGTCTAGCTCTGTCACCCAGGCTGTAGTGCAGTGGTGCTATCTCGACTTACTGCAACCTCTGCATCCCGAGTTCAAGCTATTCTCCTGCCTCAGCCTCCCAAATAGCTGGGATTACAGACATGTGCCACCACATCTGGCTAATTTTTGTATTTTCAGTAAAGATGGGGTTTACCATGTTGGCCAGGCTGGTCTTGAACTCTCAACCTCAGATGATCCACCTGCCTTGGCCTCCCAAAATGCTGAGATTACAGGCGTGAGCCACCACTCCCAGCCTTCTTTGAGATTTCTAAAATAGAAGGTGTTGTGCCCTATCAATTAAAAAGTCAGGTGCTGGCCGGGCACAGTGGCTCACACCTGTAATGCCAGCACTTTGGGAGGCCGAGGCAGTTGGATCACTTGAGGTCAGGAGTTCGAGACCAGCCTGGCCAACGTGGTGACCCTATCTCTACTAAAAACACAAAATTAGCTGGGTATGGTGGTGCACGCCTGTAATCCTAGCTACTTGGGAGGCTGAGGCAGGAGAATCGCTTGAACCCAGGAGGTGGAGGTTGCAGTGAGCTGAGATCGCGCCATTGCACTTCAGCCTGGGCAACAAGAGCAAAACTCCATCTCAAAATAAAAATGCCGGGCGCGGTGGCTCGCACCTGTAATCTCAGCACTTTGGGAGGTCGAGATGGGTGGATCAGGAGGTCAAGAGATTGAGACCATCCTGGCCAACATAGTGAAACCCCGTCTCTCCTAAAAATACAAAAATTAGCTGGGCGTGGTGGTGTACACCTGTGGTCCCAGCTACTCGGGAGGCTGAGGCAGGAGAATTGCTTGAACTCAGGAGGCGGAGGTTGCATTGAGCCAAGATCATGCCACTCTACTCCAACCTGGTGACACAGCAAGACTCCATCTCAAAAATAAATAAATAAATAAATAAATAAAAATAAAAAGTCAGGGGCGGAAGCTGAAGTAGGAGGATCACTTGAGCCCAGGAGTTCAAGTCCAGCCTGAGCAATATAGCAAAACACTGTTTCTGAAAAAAAATTTTTAAATAAAATAATATAAAAGGTCCGGGGTCATTGGGCAATTGAATTAGGATTCAGCTTTGAATAAGTTTACTGAATTTATTTGAAAAACCCAACATTCTGTAACTCACCTATCTGGAATACATTTTTGTTTTTTTGAAACAGGTTCTTGGCCAGGCGTGGTCACTCATGTCTGTAATCCCAGCACGTTGGGAGACCAAGGTGGGTGGATCACTTGAGGTCAGGAGTTCACGACCAGCCTGGACAACTTGGCTAAGCTCCATCTCTACTAAAAATACAAAAATTAGCCGGGCGTGGTGGTGCACATCTGTAGTCCCAGCTACTCGGTAGCCTGAGGCAGGAGAGCCTAAGGCTGAGGTTGCAGTGAGCTTAGACGCACTACTGCATTCCAGTGTGGGTGACAGAGCCAGACTCTGTCTCAAAAAAAAAAAAAGAAAGAAAGAAAAGAAAAGAAACAGAGTCTCACTCTGCCACCCAGGCTGGAGTGGGCAGTGGCCCAATCTTAGCTCACTCAGCCTCAAACTCCTAGCCTCAAGCAAACCTCCTGCCTTAGTCTCCCAAGTAGCCAGGACCACAGGTGTATACTACCACACCCAGCTACCTTTTTAATTTTTAATTTTTTTTTTTGGTAGAGACAAGGTCTTGCTTTGTAAATTTTAAAAACATTTTTTGTAGAGGTTTTTTGTAGAGGTTGGTCTTGAATTCCTTGCTTCAAGTGATCTTCCCACCTCAGCCTCCCAAAGTGTTGGGATTACAGGCATGAGCCACTGTAGCACCCTGAAAAACACTTTTAAAAACTAAAAATAGAAATAAGTGCAATGGCTTCTGAACAGTTAATGTCTGTATAATTTTCTTGTAGAATTCTAGGCCCTTCTTGTTTTAAAAAATATTCTAGGCCATGCGTGGTGGCTCATACCTGTAATCTCAGCACTTTGGGAGGCTGAGGTGGGATAATCACTTGAGTCCAGAAGTTCAAGACCAGCCTGGACAATATGGCAAAGCCTTGCCTCTACAAAAAATACAAAAATTAGCTGGGCAAGGTGGCACATGCCTGTAGTCCCAGGTACTCAGGAGGCTGAGGTGGGAGGATCACTTGAGCTTGAGAGGTTGAGGTTGCAGTGAGACAGGATTGCATCACTGCACTCCAACCTTGGTGACAGAGCAAGACCCTGTCTCCAATAAAATAAAATAAAATAAAACAGATTCTAAAATAGATTCTATTGTGCTCTGCTTAACAGCCTGCAGAAAATTAGTGAGGAGACAGGAAGAGAAGAGAGCAAAATGGGGGCTGCAAGAGGCTGGCATGGGGACAAGAATGAGAAATAAGGGCTGCCTACCAGAGTGATTTTTTTTTTTTTGAGACTGAGTCTCTCTATGTCACCCAGGCTGGAGTGCAGTGGCGCAATCTTGGCTCACTGCAACCTCCACCTCCCAGGTTCAAGTGATTCTCCTGCCTCAGCCTCCTGAGTAGCTGGGATTAGAGGCACCCGCCACCACGCCCAGCTAACTTTTGTATTTTTAGTAGAGATGGAGTTTCACCACGTTGGCCAGACTAGTCTTGAACTCCTGACCTCAAGTGACCCGCCTGCCTCAGCCTCCCACAGTGCTAGGATTACAGGAGTGAGCCACCGCCTGTATTTAAAGACAAAAATCAGGCCGGTGTGGTGGCCCACGCCTGTAATCCTAGACCAGGAGTTTGAGACCAGCCTGACCAACATGGCGAAACTCTGTCTCTATTAAAAATACAAAAAACTAGCTGGGTGTGGTGATGCATGCCCATAGTCCCAGCTACTCCAGAGGCTGAGGTGGGAGGATCGCTTGAGCCTGGGAGGTCAAGGCTGCAGTGAGCCATGATCATGCCACTGCACTCCAGCCTGGGTGAAAAAGTGAGGCCCTGTCTCAAAAAGAAAAAAAGAAAAGAAGAAGAAGAAGAAAAGAAAGGAAAAGGAAAGAAAGAGAGAGAAAGAAAGGAAGGAAGGAAGGAAGAAAAAAAAAATCAACACAGAGAAGAAACTCCAAATCACCACCATTGGGGAAAAGATTGTATTGGGTCAAACAATGTGACACACGACAATAGGCCCTAAAGGGATTTTCCATATCCCGAGTCTAATGCAAAGGCTCAGTTATGTTCAGTGTTTTCTAGTTATGATGGCAAGGCAGCACAAAACACATTTTAGAAAAAGTCGGCTGGGCATAGTGGCTCATGCCTGTAATCCCAGCACTTTGGGAGGCCGAGGTGGGTGGATCACCTGAGGTCAGGAGTTCGAGACCAGCCTGGCCAACATGGTGAAACCCCGTCTCAACTAAAAATACAAAAATTAGCCGGGCGTGGTGGCGTGCCTGTAATCCCAGCTACTCGGGGGGCTGAGGCAGGAGAATTGCTTGAACCCGGGAGGCGGAGGTCGCAGTGAGCCGAGATCGCGCCATCGCACTCCAGCCTGGGGGACAAGAGCGAGACTTTGTCTCAAAAAAAAAAAAAAAAAGAAGAAGAAGAAGAAAAAGTTCTCTAGAAAGGGAAGAATTTTGAATATTCGTGAATTTATGGGTTAAACCCTAACAATCAGGGAACCTCAGCTATCCAGAACAGCAGGTTTTCTAAAAGTTCCAGACAGTGAAGGTCTTAGCTATTTAGGCACTCCTCCAAATAATTTTTATTTTTATTTTATTTATTTATTTGAGATGGAGTCTTGCTCTGTCATCCAGGCTGGAGTGGAATGGCTTGATCTCAGCTCACTGCAACCTCTGTCTCGTGCGTTCATGTGATTCTCCTGCCTCAGCCTCCCAAGTAGCTGGGATTACAGGTGAGCACCACCACGCCCTGCTAATTTTTTGTATTTTTAGTAGATTCAGGGTTTCACTATGTTGGCCAGGCTGATCTCAAACTCCTGACCTCAAGTGATCCACCCACCTCAGCCTCTCAAAGTGCTGGAATTACAGGCGTGAGCCACTGTGCCCAGCCGATAATTTTTATATTCTAATGTATTTCAGACAGAGGGTAAGACAAGCTGCTTTATGTACAAAAAACAATTTCCTCCTTGTTAGTGTAATGTGACATTTAATTAAATACCTCACTTTTCTTTTTAATTACCTGTAGCCTTTGAATACAGACAACCTACATCATTCTGAATAAGAAGGTAAGGATAGGAACGATACAAAAATTCTCTCATTTTCCATAAATTAGTAGAAGGTTTTCCTTAGAATATTTACCAGAAATCTAGAATCCATGTATTTGGGCTGTGTAAAGGATTCATAAAGAACATGAAATGCATAGTCACTGTCGAAGTCCTCTGGACATTGATAGAAGGAAAGGCATAATGCGCATCATGTGCTGCTGTTAGGAGATGAAACAAATCTATATACAGGCTCCAGATTCTATGAAGGTTAAATCAGAGCGGCATCTCCCAAAGTGCACTCCAGAAAACCCTAGACCACAATGCGCTGTTATAAAAGAATTCCATTTTCAGATACATTTGAGAACACTCCTGTCTTAGTCTGACTTGGGCTGCTGTAACAAAATACCATACCAGGCCGGGAGCAATGGCTAACGCCTGTAATCCCAGAAATGTGGGAGGCCGAGGTGGGAGGATCACGTGAGGTCAGGAGTTCGAGACCATCCTGGCCAACATGGTGAAACCCTGTCTCTACTAAAAATACAAAAATTAGCAGGGTGTGATGGCGCCTGCCTGTAATCCCAGCTACTTGGGAGGCTGAGGCAGGAGAATCACTGGAACCCAGGAAGTGGAGGTTGCAGTGAGCCGAGATCGTGTCACTGCACTCCAGCCTGGGCGACAGAGCGAGACTGTCTCAGAAAAGAAAAGAAAGAAAGAAAGAAAAACATACCAGGTAACTTACACAACAGATATTTATTTCTCATAGTTCTAGAGGCTGGGAAGTCCCACGATCTAGGTGCTGGCAGATTCAGTTCTTGGTGAGGGCCCTCTTACGGCTTATAGACAGATGCCTTTTTGCTGGCATGTCCAGATGGGAGAGAGAGAGAGCGAGAGCAAGATGCAGTCTGTTCCTCTTCTGATAAGGGCACTAATCCCATAATGAGCGCTACATCCTAACCTCTCTAACCCTAATTACCTCCCAAAGGCTGCCTCTCCTAGTACCGTCGCACTGGGGGTTAGGGCTTCAATATGTGAATTTGAACCAAGCATGGTGGCTTGAGCCTGTAATCCCAGGAGGCTAAGGCAGGAGGATTGCTTGAGGCCAGGAGTTTGAGGCTGCAGTGAGTTATGATGGTGCCACTGCACTCCAGCCTGGACAATAGAGTGAGACCCCATCTCTTAAAAAAAACTGAGTTTGGCAGAGACACAAACATTCATTCTGTAACAACTCCTATACCATGTGCCCTCTTTTAGAGATTCACAAAATTTATTAACATAGTAAAAGCCCTGAGAAATTTTATTTTGTTTGTTTAATCCAGTATTTTGCAAACTTAATTGACTATGGAACTTCTTTTCAAGTCACACCTAATAGTATGCCCTAAGATTGGTATTCAAAGAAGTCTGAGATTGAAGTAAGGAACTATAAGTTAACTAAAGAGTTTCTACACAAAAAACCAGAGATGCAGATTACAGAGGCACTGCCTTCGATTCCTCAGGATATTATAGAGCTCAGTTCTTTTCTTTTCTTTTTTTTTTTTTTTTTTGAGATGGAGTCTCACTCTGTCACCAGTCTAGGGTACAATGGTGAGATCTCAGCTCACAGCAACCTCTGCCTCCCAGGTTCAAGCGACTCTCCTGCCTCAGCCTCCCAACTAGCTGGGATTACAGGCACCTGCCATCATACCCAGCTAATTTTTGTATTTTTGTAGAGACGGGGTTTCACCATGTTGGCCAGGCTGGTCTTGAACTCCTGACCTCAGGTGATCCGCCCACCTCCGCCTCCCAAAGTGCTGGGATAACAGGCATGAGCCACCATGCCCGGCCAGAGCTCATTTCATTTTAATTCATAAACACCCACACTCTTTTTTCTCCACACACCATCAAAATCCACTTTACTGTATCTTTTTTTCTAGTTGTTAAGACTGACGTGATGAGCTAAGTCTCCCCACCTTCTTCCACTTGGAGGATAAGGTAATTACTGAACACAGCTACCCTGTGTGTCCTCTTTATGCTCACGTGCAGAGCCAATAACCACAAAGGAATTCGCTGTGTAAAGATGAAACTCTGTATCATCACAGCTCACTCTAAAGATTTAGAGACCTGCAGTATGAGTGGCTTGTTCAATTCAATTTAACAACCATTTATTTCTTACCTCCTAAGTGCAGGAAAAGAGGGATGAGAGGGAGGGAACTTGACAGAGAGACACCAGGATAAAAAAGGTAAGGGCCTACTCTCCAGATGTTCTAAAACCATAATAAATAAAAAATCATTCTTGAAATGTCTCAGACCAGTAAATGCTGTAACAGACCCACAGACACACACAAGCTACATCCCAAAGGCACTTAGGTGAGACAGAGAGACAAAGAATTGGGGTTTTGAATGGGTATGCATTGGATAGGCTGATCAGGTTAAAAAATAAAAGCATTGATGACAAACACACAGATGCACTTAATAGAAAGGCACTGAGGAGGAGCACGCGGTTCATTCAAGGAATGGAAAGAAGTTATTGCAAGAGCATACATAGCAGGGGAAAGGGTGAAAGCGTGGAGGATAATGGCTGAAGAGGCAGACTGGGCTTTTAACACCTGGCTGAGACATCTGGACCTCACTCCATAAGGAAGGAGAGACCACAGCAGGTTTTGAACAGAAAGGAGACATGGTCAGATCCATGCTTTAGAAAAATAACCCTAGGAGCCAGGTGTGGTGGCTCACGTCTGTAATCCTAGCACTTGGGGAGGCAGAGGCAGGCAGATTACTTGGTTCACGTCTGTAATCCTAGCACTTTGGGAGGCAAAGGCGGGCAGATTACTTGAGGTCAGGAGTTCAAGACCAGCCTGACCAACATGGTGAAACCCCATCTCTACAAAAATACAAAAATTAGCTGGGCATGTCTTTAATCCCAGCTACTCGGGAGGCCGAGGCAGGAGAATCACTTGAACCTGGGAGGTGGAGGTTGCAGGGAGCCAAGATCACACCATTGCACTCCAGCCTAGGTGAGAAGATTGAAACTCCGTCTCAAAAAAATAAAAAAGAAAAGAAAAAGAACCCTGGATAGAGATTGAAGGCATAAATAACAACAATACTAGTCACCATTTATTGAGTAGCCATCTCTGTTTTACAAGTGTGGAAACAGACTCAGAAAGGTGAAGTGACTTAACCTAGGTCACACAGCCATAAGGTATCAGAACCAAGATTTCAACTCGGGTCTGAGTGATTCCACAGCATAAAGACCAGTCAGGCTTCTGCCAAGGTCCAGAGGGGATGAAGGCCTGCAGACAAGGGCACCGAACGAAGGAAAATGGAGGAGACCCTGAGGAAGCAGAATTGACTAAATGGCTCCCTCTTTACTCATGGGAATCTGGTGTCCTCAAAGACAAAGCACAGGCTGGGCGCGGTGGCTCACGCCTATAATCCCAGCACTTTGGGAGGCCGAGGTGGGTGGATCACGAGGTCAGGAGATCGAGACCATCCTGGCTAACACGGTGAAACCCCATCTCTACTAAAAATACAAAAAAATTAGCCGGGCGTGGTGGCAGGCACCTGTAGTCCCAGCTACCCAGGAGGCTGAGGCAGGAGAATGGCGTGAACCCAGAAGGCGGAGTTTGCAATGAGCCGAGATCGCGCCATTGCACTCCAGCCTGGGCGACAGCCGTCTCAAAAAAAAAAAAAGACAAAGCACAGTCCAGAAGGTAGAAGATCAGGGAGGAGGAAAAAAGAGACATTTGATCAATCTCCTTGAGTGTCCTCTTCCTGCCAGAAACCTTCATGATCACTCACTACTGAGTGCCGAGTCGGAAGGCTTGGGTGGGAATATTTCCAGTGTGTCTTCATCTTCAATGTACTCCTAGCCAGGTTCTTTTTCTTTGCCTTTCCCTTTCTATAGCTGGGTTCCATGTACAGCCCGTCAATGTCTATGTCATGAATTTATAATGATATTCTGTATTATCTGCATAAATCTGGAAAATGCCTATGTGATTGTATCACAGATCCCACCGAAATAGAAAAGTCCAATGAGAAGGGCTGGATGCTGTTAGGATATTGGTGGAACACAGATGCAGATGAAGATATTAGGCCTGCGCCTGCCATTCTGAGTTACGTTCCTTTGCGTGATTCTTGCAATTTTGGATATATATCTTGTTTGTGCATCAAAATTATTGTTTGCTGTCGATGAGGCAAGAGGGACTATGCTATAATTCTGACACTGTCTAGGATTTATTTTAGAGTAAGAGTGGCTTCTTACAGATATCATTACCTTTTCTTTGAAAGTTCAATATCCACAAGATGTAAGACATAAAGATGGGATTTCTCCATCAAATATTCCAGTTCTACTGGCTTCTTTTTCACAATCTGGATACATATTTATGTTTCACATGTCTTAAACTTAAAAACCAGCCTTGGCTGGGCATGGTAGCTCGTGCCTATAATCCTACCACTTTGGGAGGCTGAGGCTGGAAGATCACTTGAGGCCAGGAGTTCTAAATCAGCCTGGGCATAGAGCAAGTCCGCATGTCTACAAAAAATTACAAAATTAGCCAGGCATCGTGGCATGCATCTGTGGTCCCAGCTACTTGGGAGGCTAAGGTGGGAGGATTCCTTGAGCCCCAGAGTTTGAGGCTACAGTGAGTTATGATCACACCACTGTATTCCAACTCTGATGACAGAGCAAGACCCTGTCCTAACCCCCCAAAAAAACACCCTCTTCCACCGTGTGCCCTTTGTCTCTTCCACTGTCAATCCGCCCCTCCCAGCCAGGTTCTGCAGAGGTTTCTCTGGGCTTGCCCTGCCCCTTTCCTTGCCCTGGCTCTGCAGCATGCCATGGTGGGCCTCTTAGCTCTCTGGCTCTGCCATCTGGATGTCCCATATGTATCTCAAGATTAATTATCTTCCCCGTAAACTTGCTTTAGCTTTTGTATTCTGTAATTCAGTGAGTGGTACCACCATCTATCCACCTGGGCATCTAAAACAGAGTCATCCTAGATCCCATGCTTTGTCATCTCCCAAATCTAGTCAACATCCAATTGCTTCACTTCTCTCTCAGTGCCCTTCCTCTCCCAATGCTAACTCTGTGTTTCAGCCACCATGGGCTCCGGTCTGGGTGAACTTCCTACCACCATCCTCAAACCCTTCCGCCCGCACTGCACACTGCAGCCATAGTGATCTCCCTGAAACCAAATATAATTATGTCACTCCTGGTTGGGCACGGTGGCTCACGCCTGTAATCCCAACACTTTGGGAAGCTGAGGTGGATGGATTACCTGAGGTCAGGAGTTCGAGACCAGCCTGGCCAACATGGTGAAAGCCTGTCTCTACTAAAAGTACAAAATTAGCTGGGCATGATGGCACATGCCAGTAATCCCAGCTACTTGGGAGGCTGAGGCAGGAGGATTGTTTGAACCTGGGAGGTGGAGGTTGCAGTGAGCCGAGATTGCACCACTGCACCCCTGCCTGGGCAACAAGAGCGAAACTGTCTCAATAATAATAATAATGCCACTCCTGTGTTTGAAACTCTTCAGTGGCACCTCTAGCTTCTGAAGAAAGTTCAAACACCCAAACTGGCCTCTGCCTCATGCTGTGCCTTGGTTCTCAAGCAGTCTCCCCACTGGGACCCTGTGCTTCAGCCATGCTGACTACCTGTGCTTCTCTGTGTTCAGCTGCTTATTCACACCTTCATGTCCTTGCTCAAATTGGACCTTTCAAGCTTCTCCTATCCCTGCCTTTCCCCAACCTTCCCCACTCTCCCTGCTATCACCGCCCATTCCTTCCTGTGTGCTCTGCTGGGAGCTTACAGAACTCTAACATAGTGCCAAGCACACTGGCCCTAGCATCTCCTTGTCTTCCTTTAGAACAGAGACTGGATCTTATGTTTCCTTTTTTTTTCTTTTCTTTTCTTTTTCTGAGACAGTTTCGCTCTTGTCTCCCAGGCTGGAGTGCAATGGCACAATGTCAGTTCACTGCACCCTCTGCCTCCTAGATTCAAGTGATTCTCCTGCCTCAGCCTCCCCAGTAGCTAGGATTACAGGCACGCGCCACCATGCCTGGATAATTTTTGTATTTTTAGTAGAGACGGGGGTTTCACCATGTTGGCCAGGCTGGTCTCGAACTCCTGACCTCAATGATCCACCCACTTCAGCCTCCCAGAGTGCTGGGAGTAATCACGGTGGCTGAGCCACCGTGCCTGGCTGCATCTCATATTTCTATTTCTAGCTTCTAGCACAGTGTCTAAGAGAGAGTTAATGCTCAAATAAATATTTGAGGAAGGAATATTAATTAATTTCCATTAGCTTCTTTATTGTTGGTAACTTCAAATTTTTATCTTTGGGTGAGGATAATATCCCACTTATGTTTTAATTCAGCATATTTTGACCTTTCTCTCCCATTATGGTTTCCAGCTAGTAAAGGCTCTGATGTTTCTATTCTAAGTGGGGTGAAAGAGGAAGCAGGAAGCAAGAAGGGAACACTTGGTTAAGATGAACCAGGTCAAGGGAAGAGGGTGATTTGGCACCAATAATGTTACTGCAGTTTGGGGGAAAGAATGATTCCCTTTAAGACTATGAAACCCAGACAACATGGTGAAAACCCATCTCTGCAAAAGATACAAAAATTCGCCGAGGCCGGGCACAGTGGCTCACGCCTGTAATCCCAGCACTTTGGGAGGCTGAGGCGGGCAGATCACGAGGTCAGGAGTTTGAGACCAGCCTGGCCAACATGATAAAACCCCATCTCTACTAAAGATACAAAAAATTGGCCAGGCATGGTGGCTTGGCCTGTAATCCCAACTACTTGGGAGGCTGAGGCAGGAGAATCTCTTGAATCCAGGAGGCAGAGGTTGCAGTGAGCTGATATCATGCCATTGCACTCCAGCCTGAGAGACAGGGCGAGACTCCGTCTCAAAAAAAAAAAATTAGCTGAGTGTGATGGTGCATACCTGTAGTCCCAGCTACTCGGGAGGCTAAGGTGGGAGGATCACCTGAGCCTGGGAGATCAGGAGATTGAGGTTGCAGTGAGCCAAGATCATGCCATTGCACTCCAGCACGGGCAACAGAATGAGACTCTGTCTCAAAAAAAAAAAAAAAAAGACTATGGAGTCAACTGCAATTGTATTTATTTATTATTATTATTTTTTGAGATGGTGTCTTGCTCTGTTGCCCGGGCTGGAGTACAGTGGCACAGTCTTGCCTCACTGCAGCCTCTGCCTCCCAGGTTCAAGTGACTCTCCTGACTTGGCCTCCCAAAGTGCTGGGATTACAGACATGTGCCACCACGCCCAGCCTGCAATTGTATTTATATTCAAATCTAATCTCAAATTATAAAAAGTTTATTACTGGGGAGTGGTTAAGAGTAGCAGAATAATCTTTATTCTTGGAAATTTTTTTGCAGAAAAATCTATGTGTGAAAAATGTTCTTACATTTAATATAGTCAAATTTATCAGTCTTTCCTTTTCAGTTAAATACTGTTTAGGTATTATTTAAGAAGTCTTTTCCAACTTCAAAGTCTGAAAGATTCACCTATATGTTCTTTCTTTTCTTTTCTTTTCTTTTTTTTTTTTTTTTGGAGATGGAGTTCCACCCTTGTTGCCCAGGCTGGAGTGCAATGGCACAATCTTGTCTCACTGCAACCTCTGCCTCCCAGGTTCAAGTGATTCTCCTGCCTCAGCCTCCCAAAGTGCTGGGATTACAGGCATGAGCCACAATACCTGGCCCTCCCACTGGTTTTATATGCCACCTCTGGCATATGCCAAAGTTCCACACCATTCCATTCTATTCCATTGGTCAGTTTGTCTCTCCCCAGGCCAGTACTGCATTGCTTTAATTATTATATTTCATAATGGGTTTTGTTATCAATAGGTTAAGTTGCTCCTTACTGATCTTTTTCCAGACAGGAACATCTTGTCTCCTGTTTACAGTAACAAAAACCCCAAAACAATCCAAATGCCCATCAAGAGGAGAGAAGATGAGTAAGTTGTGTTTTATTCCTACAATGGAATGTGATTCAGCAGTTAAAACAAATGAACTATTCTTTCAGTGGGCTCTGAAAAAAATAAACAAACAAAAAACAAATGAACTACAGCTACAGATAACAATATGGTTGAATCTTAGCAATATAATATTAAGTGAGGCGATGGCCCTTTCCTCAAGAACTCCCAGTTGAATTTGTGTCCAGCAGAGAGATAAATAGGAAAAAGTCACCCACACGTAACAAACACGCATTTCTGTGAAAAGTCTTCATACTATGGCTTTCTCTGAAAGGGCTCAGAGCCCTGTGGGTGCCCCTGCCTTGCCATTAATTCTGATAACAGCCCATGGAAGGTTATTGAGGATGTTTGTCCTTGCTTTGTGAGGCCCTGGCCCTCAGCTCTCTGACCATATGTGGACCAGGTGTTTCCCGAGTTGGGGAGCTCCCCAGCAGGACCAGGCAGGACTCGAGTGCGCGAGCTGATTTCCTCCCTGTCAGGTGGTGGCCAAGCCGTCAAATCCCTTACCTCAGCTTGCCAGCCTGCTTCTGAATTGTATGGGAAGCACCTTGCCTGGTGACCTCCAGGGCTCAGAGGCCTGGTACTGGCAGGAGCACCTTTCTCTGAGCAGAATCTTGGCTCCATCGTGAGATCAAAGACAGGTAGAGAGAGAATGTTCAACTATAACATCGTCAACCCGCTTTTGATGGAGGGGGCAAAATGAGGTCATTTCTGTTTTTCACATGCAAAAAGCAGGTTGCAAAGACAGGACAAAAATGGCTACTTACACACATATTTAATATTAAGCACACTCAAGGTAGACAATAAAGCATCTCCCCACAACTTTCTCCCTTGATAAATACGTTTTTCCTATAGACCGGTGATTCTCAAACTAGTACCACACAGAGGAGTTGTTAAAACCGATTGCTGGGCCCCATTCCCAGAGCCTCTGATTCTGTAAGTCTGGAGAGAGGCCTGAGAATCTGCATTTATAACAAGCTCTCAGGTGATGCTGTCGTTGCCAGATAGTCGGGGACCACACTTAGAGAACATGTTACAGATTATGAGCAATATAGTTGTGACAAATCTTTTGATCCCATGCCTTAGAACAATCTAAAGGAAGGCATTAGAAAATCTGGAGTTCAACTGTATGGTCTCTAAGGTCTCTTCCAGAATCAGATTCTATTGTGAGGGCACAGTCAGCAATTTACTGAGGAATTTGTATCCCAAAGTCAATAAGCCAGTTGTGTACACCTCAGGAAACATTTTCCTGCAAAAATATGGTTACAGGTAGTGGTTGAAGGTCCCAGTCCAAATCACAAAAAGCCATTTAGCCCATGGTTTACATGAATTTATAGTATTGTTTCAACTATAACTTACTAAAGATTCTCTTTTCCCTCTGGTTCGTTGCATCTCTTCTTCCGGCTTAAGGGGCTGCTAACAGCTGAGCCTCAGTAGAAGCCACTGTTTGTGCTAGGGAGGGGCCTGGGGAGGAGGCACCATCAAGTTATTCAGATATATTTGCCCAAGATACATCGTTCAGATATATTTGCTGGGCATGGTGGCTCATGCCTGTAATCCCAGCATTTCGGGAGGCCGAGGCAGGTAGATCACTTGAGGTCAGGAGTTTGAGACCAGCCTGGCCAACGTGGAGAAACTCCATCTCTACTAAAAATACAAATATTAGGGCCAGGTGTGGTGGCTCACACCTGTAATCCCAGCACTTTGGGAGGCCGAGGCAGGTGGATCACCTGAGGTCAGGAGTTCGAGACCAGCCTGACCAACATGGTGAAACCCTATCTCTACTAAAAAATACAAAAATTAGCCGGGCATGGTGGCGGGGGCCCGTAATCCCAGCTACTCAAGAGGCTGAGGCAGGAGAATTGCTTGAACCCGGGAGGTGGAGGTTGCAGTGAGCCAAGATCACGCCACTGCACTCCAGTCTGGGCAACAGAGTGAGACTCATTCTAAAAAATTACATATTATATATATTATAGAATATATATGTGTGTGTATATATATATGTACATGTATATATATATATGTTATATATATATATATTCACACACACATGTATATATATATATTTGCCCAGAAGAAAGACCTCCTTCTTCCACGAAAGCATATCCTGAATTGGGCTCAAAGGGTAGTTAGAGACTGAGAGTCGGTGCCTCCTCCAGTACTCGTTTGCTTGTTTTCCAAGTCTGAGTTGGAAATCAAGGAATGTCCACACTGACATTAGCTGTGTAGGGACCAAAACCAACAATGAGCCTCCGAGGCCAGAGCAAGGTACAATGAGGCCAAATTACTCCATTAGTTGATGGCAGATCCAGGTTAAAACCCTACACCTTCTAGCTGGGCGTGGTGGCTCATGCCTGTAATCCCAGCACTTTGGGAGGCCAAGGCGGGCGGATCACCTGAGGTTGGGAGTTTGAGACCAGCCTGACCAACATGGAGAAACCCTGTCTCTACTAAAAATACAAAAAATTAACCGGGCATGGTGGTGCATGCCTGTAATCCCAGCTACTCGGGAGGCTGAGGCAGGAGAATCACTAGAACCTAGGAGGCAGAGGTTGCAGTGAGTGGGGATTGCACCATTGTACTCCAGCCTGGGCAACAAGAGCGAAACTCTGTCTCAAAAAAAAAAAAAAAAATACAAAAAAAAAAAAAACCCTACACCTTCTAATTTAGGGTCTGGAATTAAGTCTTTATATGTAATTTTCTGGTCATTGTTTTAAATAAATTGTACTTTTTTGGCATGCCAGTCATAGAGGTCTGGGTTCTTCTAATCTCACAATTAGTCTAATCAAAGTTGCCCCTTGCAAACCAGGAAATGATTTAACCTGATCTGCTAAAGAGGGAATTAGCATTTGGTATGTAATATAACCCTGGCTCTTTGTACAATGGATTTTTCATTCCTGGAAATATAAGCCAGGAGTGGCTTTATGATCATACTGGGTATAAGCCCTGTCTGGTTAAGCTTGGCTGGGCTTTTCATTCTTTTTTTTTCTTTCCTGCTGGCAGGTGAGGACATTCAACTTTCGCCAACACATCTGAGACATGCTCTAACAGCATCTTGTTGTGATTTACTGCTTAATTATAACTGTATCCATGTTTGCCTGGGCCTGCAAAAGTATTGAAGCTCTTTTAGTTCCATCTAACATAGGCAGTCATAGCTACAGACTCAGAGAAGACATTTTTTATGTTTAGTGAATTATTGGTAAAGTGGTACCAACCCAAGTCAACTAAAACAAGGATGCAGGAATAAAGCAAAGAGAACAGAGAGAGGAAACTTGCTATCAAGGAAAATGGAAGTTGAAGAAAATCTAAGCTTCGATGTTGAAGCAATATTCCCGAGCTTGGGTCATAACAGATTTTCAAGTGGTAATCAAGAGATGGCTTCACCCATGCCATGAGTGAGAGGGAGGGAAAGAGAGAGAGAGATTGATTCGTAGTGCTTCATGAAAGCTGAACTCAGGCCAAAATTTATATACTCAGAACAAAAATAACAACTTGAACGTGCAGGTCCTTTTTTTTTTTTTTTTTTTTTTGAGACCAAGTCTGGCTCTGTTGCCCAGGCTGGAGTGTAATGGCGTCATGATCTTGGCTCACTGCAACCTCCGCCTCTTGAGTTCAAGCAATTCTCCTGCCTCAGCTTCCTGAGTAGCTGGGATTACAGGTGCCCACCACCACATCCAACTACTTTTTGTATTTTTAGTGGAGACAGGGTTTTGCCATGTTGGCCAGGCTGGCCTCGAACACCTGGCCTCAAGTGATCCGTCTGCCTCGGCCTCCCAAAGTGCTGGGATTACAGGTGTGAGCCACCATGCCTGGCCTGAACATGCAGGTTCTGATCCAGGTGACTGCAGGCAGATCCCAACACCCGAAAGCCTGTGAGTGCCACTAGCCAAGAGGACAAGATAGGAAGACAGGTGCAGATGACTGGTCTGGAGTCCAACTGTCCCTGCTGGAGGACAACACATAGTATCTCGGTTTCACTTTTTCTCAGGAAGCCAAGAGTTTGTTTTGTTGGGACTTTTGCTATCTCCAGCCTTATTTTAAAGTTTGTCTTTCCTGAAAATCCTGAGTGGTGGGTGTTGAGAAGTCACTTTTTAGCCACCCTTGGAGGAGTAGCCCTGAACTCTTCCCAGTCTGAGGAAACCTGAGGGATGCTGTGAAATTTGGTTTCAGGCTTTGAAAGGGTGACATGGGCCGGGCATGGTGGCTCATGCCTGTAATCCCAACACTCTGGGAGGCTGAGGCAGGTGGAGCACCTGAGGTTGGGGGTTCAAGACCAGCCTGACCAACATGGAGAAACCCCATCTCTACTAAAAATACAAAAATTAGCTGGACATGGTGGCTCATGCCTGTAATCCTAGCTACTCAGGAGGCTGAGGCAAGAGAATCGCTTGAACCTGGGAGGTGGAGGTTGTGGTGAGCCGAGATCGCACCATTGCACTCCAGCCTGGGCAATAAGAGCGAAACTCTGTCTCAGAAAAAAAAAAAAAAGGGTGACATGGATCATCATCATAATTCTGGACTCTTTTAAAGCCCCTTTCATCTGAAGATCTCAAAGACCTGCATAATCATTAATTATTCTCATAGCACTGCTTGGATGTGCATAGATGATAGGATTCTATGAGCCTTTCCCTGGTGCTTATCTATATCTGTAGACTTCAGGTTCCATCCATTATTAGAAAAAACATATTTCCCCCAGTTTGCAGGGAAAATGAAAGTGCCTATTAAGAACACAGCTCTGGGCCAAAGTCTGTGGGCTGCACAAAGAAGTTCTGTGTAAGGCAAGGTCTCTGCTCTCAAGGAACTGACAAGTCTATTGAGGAGATAAGGAGCATGAATACCCAGCCTGGGCAACATGGCAAAACGCTGTCTCTACAAAAAATACAAAAATTAGCCAGGCGTGGTGGTGCATGCCTGTGTCCCAGGCAGACTAAGGTTGGAGGATTGCTTGAACTCAGAAGGTCGAGCCTACAGTGAGCTGAGACTGTGCCGCTGCACTCCAGCCTGGGTGACAGAGCAAAACCCCATCTCAAAAAGCCAAAAAAAAAAAAAAGCACGAATATAAAAAAATATAAATTATTACATGATGGTATGACTAGTGTAAAGTGAGAAGTTTTCAGTGGGAAGGATCATCATGGATGCTGATAGCTTCACAGAGAAGGGGAGATTTGGACTGGACCTTTTGGTTACTCATTTTGTGTGTGTGTGTGTGTGTGTGTGTGTGTGTGAATGCAATGTATGCATTTCAGGAGGGGATGGTGGCAATGGGTAAAGGTACTGAGGTAGGAATATGTATGACTCACTTAGAGTACAAATATCCTGATATTGCTGGAGTCAGGGGAATAAAGGAAGAAAAGATTGAAAAGTTGGGTAAGTCAGAACCAAACAATGAGGAGGCTTAATTATCAAATTCTCAAGATTTTGACTCTCAGTATATTCCAGAATAAATTAAGATAAGAAACTGGCCCATAAGGACAGGTAAAGCTCATGCTTGACGTGAAATAGTAAAGGAATGGAATTGGCTGCAGAAAGAATGAAGAAGGATAGCTTAGAAGAGATGGTTTACCTAGAGAAGTAATTCTCACGGCGTGGTCCCTGGACTGGAGCATCAGCATCAACTAGGAACTTGTTGGAAATGCAAATTGCTGGGCCCCTGCAAGACTTATTATCAGAAACTCTGGGGCTGGACTCAGCGATCTGAGTTTTAAACAGCACACTCAAGTTTGAGAACTAGTGAACTAGATAAATAATCCTTTTAGCAGATAAACAGTGTAGCAGAATTCTCTCTATCCAATTTATGTTCTACATATGAAAAAACAAAACTGTTAAACCAATTATTTGAATCATTTTTAAAACTTTTTTTGTTGGCCGGGGGTGGTGATTCACGCCTGTAATCCCACCACTTTGAGAGGCTGAGGTGGTTGGATCACTTGAGCCAAGGAGTTCAAGACCAGCTTAGGTAACACAGCAAAACCACACCTCTACCCAAAATACAAAAATTAGCCAGTCTCATAACCTGGTCTCAAAATAAATAAACACATAGATTAAATTTTAAAATAAAATAAACAAACCCTTTTTATATAAACATTTTAAACCTACACAAAAGTAGACAGAACAATAAACCTTCATATACCCATCATCAGATTTAACAATTATCAAGATGTTGCCACGTTATCACTTTCTCTCTCTGTGATTTTTTGTTTTAATCCTAGAAATTATTTCAATTGCCCAGGCATGATGGCTCATGCCTGCAACCCTAGCACTTTGGGAGGCTAGTCAACATAGCGAGACCCCATGGTTAATAAATAAATAAATAAAATTTTTTAAAATTTCAATTCACCCATATATATTTCAGTATGTGTCTCTTAAAAATGTGCATATGTTCTTGTTTGACCATAATGTCAATTTCACACCTAACAGGATGAACAATACTTCCTATTTTCACCTAATACCCAAACTATAATCAAATATCTCTGATCATTAAAGTGCAGCCTATTTAATTCTATTGTACTTGGCTATTTTCTGTGATACACACTTAATAAAATTAGAGAATACTAAGATGGAAAAAACTTTAGAGATTTTTTTTCTTTGTAAAATGTCTTTTAAAAAGAATATTCCTGGCTGGACATGGTGGCTCATGCCTGTAATCCCGCACTTTGGGAGGCCAAGGCGGGTGGATCACTTGAGGTCAGGAGTTCGAGACCAGCCTGGCCAACATGCTGAAACCCCGTCTCTACTAAAAATACAAAAATTAGCCAGGCATGGTGGCCGGTGCCTGTAATCTCAGTTATCTGGGAGGCTGAGACAGGAGAATCAATAGAGCCCAGGAGGTGGAGGTTGCAGTGAGTGGAGATCGCACCATTGCACTCCAGGCTGGGCGACAGAGTGAGACTCTGTCTAAAAAAAAAAAAAAAAAAAAAAAAAAATCCTTTTAGACATAAACAAGTTTAGAAGTATCTGGATGGGGGAGGGGGTGTCCTTCTTTATTATCTATGGATTGGATATTATCTGTAACATGAGTTTCCATTTTGGATACTGTGACGTCGTCATGCTAGTTGTCAGAAAATGTAATTAATCAGATAAATCGTAGTTGTAAGTACATCTCCCTGCCACATGTCAATAGTTATCTGCCCCATTCTCTGTGTAGTCAGCAAAAAGTGTTAGGGAAATGTGTGGTGTTTCCTGACATTGCCTTGGAAATACCTGTTCTGTTATTATCCCAAAATGGGTATAGAAAATGTGGTAAAATGGGGCTGGGCACGGTGGCTCACGCCTGTAATCCTACCACTTTGGGAGGCCAAGGCAGGCCTTGAGGTCAGGAGTTCGAGACCAGCCTGTCCAACATGACGAAACCCCGTCTCTACTAAACATACAAAAAAATTAGCTGGGTGTGGTGACGGGCGCCTGTAATCCCAGCTACTCGGGACACTGAGGCAGGAGAATTGCTTGAACCCAGAAAGCAGAGATCGTGCCACTGCACTCCGGCCTGGGTGACAGAGCAAGACTCCATCTCAAAAAAAAAAAATAAGTAAAAATATAGTAAAATGTTCTCAGCACCTTAAAAATATTCTTAGCTCTGTTAATTTCCAGAGTCAGAAATAATAATAATGTACACATTTATATAGCACTCTTAAGCCTTTTATCCACATTTACTCATTTAGTTTGTTTAAAAAGCCATTAAGAATGTACTTACATGATGCAAAAACAACAGGATAAAAACAGACAAATGAAATCATAAGCTAGCTGACCAAATGTTTAGGTAGTAGGAAATGGTTTTTTAAACTTAATTCTTTCAGCAAGTAATTTTTTCTGACTTGGATAGATAGATAAATACTGTTATATATGACCTGTCATTTCTACAATGATAAACTTTGATATTTATAAAGTAAATAATTTTGGCCGGGCTCAGTGGCTCACGCCTGTAATCCCAGCACTTTGTGAGGCCGAGACGGGCGGATCACGAGTCAGGAGATCGAGACCATCCTTGCTAACACGGTGAAACCCCGTCTCTACTAAAAATGCAAAAAAATTAGCCAGGCGTGGTGGCGGACGCCCGTAGTCCCAGCTACTCAGGAGACTAAGGCAGGAGAATGGCGTGAACCCGGGAGGCGGAGCTTGCAGTGAGCCGAGATCCCGCCATTGCACTCCAGCCTGGGCGACTGAGCAAGACTCCGTCTCAAAAAAAAAAAAAAAGTAAATAATTTTATTAGTATATGCTCAAGACATGCACATAGTGTATGTGTACTTTATACTCTTGCAATTATACTTTGATTTAGAAGATATAACAAAATACAAATAGTAAATTTAGGGCAAAATTGAACTGTACTACCACTTAAAATGTGGTGCAAAGACTACGGATTTTAATTGATTGATTTTATTTTATTTTTTATTTTTTTGAGAAGGAGTGTCACTCTGTCGCCCAGGCTGGAGTGCAGTGGTGCTATCTCCACTCACTGCAACCTCCGCCTCCCAGGTTCAAGCAATTCTCCTGCCTCAGCCTCCCAAGTAGCTGGGATTACAGGTGCCCGCCACCACACACAGCCAAGTTTTTGTATTTTTAGTAGAGACAGAGTTTCACTATGTTGGCCAGGCTGGTTTCGAACTCCTGACTTCAAGTGATCCGCCTACCTCGGCCTCTCAAAGTGCTGGGATTACAGGTGTGAGCCACTGTGCCTGGCTTTTTTTTTTTTTTTTTTTTAATTTTCTTTCTTAACCTTTCTGGGGGTGGCAGGGAGGAGGTCTGTCTCTCTCTGTCTCTTATTCCTACCATCTCTTCTTTTGCCTGTTTCCTCCCTACTTCTCCCTAGGCCACTTCACAGCTGCATCACTTATTTGTTTGTTTGTTTATTTATTTATTTTTCGAGACGGAGTCTCACTCTTTCTCCCGGGCTGTAGTGGCGCAATCTCGGCTCACTGCAACCTCCGCCTTCCGGTCTCCTGCCTCCTCAGCCTTTGGAGTAGCTGCGGTTACTAGTGCCCACCACCATGCGCAGCTAATTTTTGTATTTTTAGCAGAGAGGAGGTTTCTTTCTTTTTTTTTCTTCTTTTTTTTTTAGACGGAGTCTCTCTCTGTCGCCTAGACTGGAGTGCAGTGGCGTGATCTCGGCTCACTGCAAGCTCCACCTCCCGGGTTCACGCCATTCTCCTGCCTCAGCCTCCCGAGTAGCTGGGACTACAGGCACCTGCCACCACGCCCGGCTAATTTTTTTGTATTTTTAGTAGAGACAGGGTTTCACCGTGTTAGTCAGGATGGTCTCGATCTCCTGACCTCGTGATCCGCCCGCCTTGGCCTCCCAAAGTGCTGGGATTACAGGCGTGAGCTACCGCGCCCAGGCGGGGGTTTCATGATGTTGGCCATGCTGGTCTCCAACTCCTGACCTCAAGTGATCTGCCCACCTCTGCCTCCCAGAGTGCTAGGATTACAGGCGTGAGCCACTGCGCCTGGCCCTGCTTATTTATTTTTAGAGATAGAGTCTCACTCTGTCACCCAGGCTGGAGTGCGGTGGCGTAATCTTAGCTCACTGCAGCCTCAACCTCCTGGGCTCAAGTGATCCTCCCACCTCAGCCTCCCCGAGTAGCTGGGACTACAGATGTGTGTCACCAAATATTTTGTAGGGATGGGGTTTCACTTTGTTGCCCAGGCTGGTCTTGAAATTCTGGCTTTAAGTGATCCTCCTATCACCTGAGGTCAGAAGTTCAAGACCAGCCTGGTTAACATGGTAAAACCCTGTCTCTACTAAAAATACAAAAATTAGCCAGGCATGGTGGTGGCCGCCTGTAGTCCCAGCTACTCGGGAGGCTGAGACAGGAGAATTGCTTGAACCCGGGAGGCAAAGATTGCAGTGAGCTGAGATCATGCCACTGCACTCCAGCCTGGGTGACAGAGAGAGACTCTGTCTCAAAAAAATAAGAAAAAGAAAAAAGTGATCCTCCTGCCTCAGCCTCCCAAAGTGCTGGGATTACAGGCATGAGCCACTGCACTCGGCCAGCAAACATGTCATTTTATGATGTTTTATTTAGACTGATTTGTAAAGTTGCAAGTACAGTAAACAACTTGATAAATGTATAGAGTAGATCGTGTTGAAGATAAGGACAATTCCAAAAATAGTTGTCTGCCTCTCTCTGTTTTTGTTCTCCCAGTAACAAAGCTCACTGCCTTTAATTATAGTTTGAGACACTGTGTTGAAATATTTAATCTCTGGGTAATGACTGGATTTTAGTTTCCTAATTGGCATCTGTGTGTTTAGCATCTCTGCCAAAGCCCAACTCCGAGAATGAGCATGTAATACAAGATGTGGACTACATGTAAAACACTCTGATACCTGCCACCTAAGCTCTGGGGAAATACTGTCATAACAAACAAAGGAAGGATAAATATCATATACTTTATTATTCCACATATATGCATATTTTTAATGATCAGATTCCCCATCATTAACACATATTTTCTTTCCTTCTTTCTTTTTTCTTTGAGACAGGGTCTCACTTAGTCACCCAGGCTGGAGTACAATGGGACGATCACAGCTCACTGCAGCCTTGGCCTCTCAGACTGAAGAGATTCTCCTGCCTCAGCCCCCCAGTAGCTGAGACTACAGGCACATGACACTACACCCGGCTAATTTTTTGTATTTTGTGTAGAGATGGGGTTTTGCCCTGTTGTCTAGGCTGGTCTCAAACTCCTGAGTTCAAGTGATCCTCCCAACTCGGCATCCCAAAGTGCTGGGATTACAGGCGTGAGACCCCACGCCTGGCTGACACATATTTTTTAATGCCTGCCAACAACAGGCTAGGGTTTACAAGTCAAACCAAAAATCCATGTGTGAACAGCACATAGTGAAGTGTAACTATGGCCCCAAAGAAGCCCTTGGCCTTGTGAACATGTCTTGCTCATTTCTGAATGATATTTCATGTACCTGGGAGTAGCTCCCAGAAGAAAATGCTCCACCCACAACTGGGTGGCTTCCTTAAAACCTTGCAAAACCAGCTTGAAAGAACTAAAAGAATAATTTAGGTAGAAAAGTCATTGGCTTGAACTCCATCCACCAAAACTGCTTTGTGTTTTCTTAGCTGGAGAATCCAGAGAAGTGTCATTTTTCCTATTATTGTTGGCTTTGCATTGTTTGAAACAAGATGCCACTCATTATTTGCAACACATCTCTTTGGTGAGTCCATGACACACTGTGGGCGTGGGACCTACACACTCACATTCCCTGAATAATGTATGTTTCCTTTGGTAGTGTTTATACAGCCTAATGTTACACATGGGCGAAGGTGGAGCGCTGTTCTACCTATTGAGAACAGTCTAAGGTGAGAGGCCAAATCATAGATCAATGACAGGCTCTGTAGGACAGCAGACAGTGTTGCTCTTTCAGATGTGGAGAGGGAGAAGAGATTCCACTTTTCCGGTCTAGCCAATATGGGGCAACAGACATCCGACAGCAGTGTCATAAACCTTGAGCAAAAACTCAGGACAAGGGATAGCCAGCTATTTTAGAAGCTTTGAAGCTGCATATTCATCTGGAGGCCAATGTGTTCGTGTTCTTCTGAAAATGAAAACCACTCTCTTTCCTAACATGGATAACACTCTAACACTCCCGTGGGAACGAGATTGGAAGCTTTCTGCCCCAGGTCACAGTGGGTGACCAAAGAAGGCCGCTCCAAACACTGAAGCATCCTGGTGGTTTACTTAACAGGATCGAAGCAAAGCCAGCTCTCACCGCAGCAGCCTTCTACCAGTCACTAAATGATGGCAGGGCCAGCAGACTCTGTCAACTCCTGTGGTTGCCCGAATCTGATCTTCACCTCATATCCACCTTTCCCAGGCACAACCCAGAGTTCAAACTTTTGCCCTCTCCAAATTCAGATGAAGGGATCGGGTGCAGTGGCTCACGCCCATAATCCTAGCACTTTGGAAGGCCAAGGCAGGCAGATCACTTGAGGTCAGGAGTTCGAGACCAGCCTGGCCAACATGGCAAAACCCCGTCCATGCTAAAAATACAAAAATTAGCCGGGCATGGTGGTGCGTGCCTGTAATCCCAGCTACTTGGGAGGCTGAGGCACAAGAATCACTTGAACCTGGGAGGTGGAGGTTGTGGTGAGCTGAGATCGGGCCACTGCACCCCAGCCTGGGTAACAGAGCAAGACTCTGTCTCAAAAAAAAAAAAAAAAATCAGATGAAGGGATCCAATCATCTCCCAGAAAAAATGCTCAGTCCTTTCACTAAATTCTCCCTATAAGATGGGAATTTTCTCCTTGTGTCATAGAAGTGGAAACTAAAGCTCAGAAAGCTCATGTGACACAGCAGGTCAGAGGCGGTGCCAGGAGAGAAACCCAGGTCTGTGTGACTCCAAAGGTCACGTTCTTTTCACTTCCTCATTTTCCACCAAAAAAAAAAAAAAGTACCAGTTTTACACATAAACAAATACTGTTGTCCATTGACACTTCGGTATTAGCAGGTTCTGAGTTTCACTCTAATGGAGCTCATTGGGCCTGACTGGGTCTAGTTAGAGGTGGCAAGTATGTTAACGATATGAGGCCAGAGAGTTCTCCGCCCCTTAAGAAGCAATAACTTTATTCCTGGCCAAGGATGATGAGTTGACTATGTTCTTTGGACCCTTTGTCACGGCAAGGTATAATTCTCAATCTAGACTAGACAGATTGGCTGGCGCTATCACTTGGAAAGAAAGGAGTTTACTCCTCTTTGATGTCCTCCTTTGTGTCTGGAAGCAATCAATATAAAATTTATTTAGCCTTATCTTCTGTAACAAACCAAAGAGGGGAAAGTGTCCCAGAGAAGGCCGCGGGCACTTACTCACCCTTATTAATTCCATGTAACAACTGAGAGGCACTTTGAGCCTCTTAACCAAAAGCTTCACATCTTCAGATGCCAAGCCTCCAGCAGCAGGGCCACATGGCTCAAGCAGACAGGGAGCAGACTGGAAGTAGGCTGGAAGCCAACCTGAGCACAGCACCATGTCTCCAGGACCAGGCGGCACAGAAACTTGAGGCCACCTGTTCATCCACTGTATTTTTACCTATTTTTAAAATGTTCAACTCTCAGGGCTGGTGTTAGATGCTTATGATGCCACCAGGTAAGCCCACAGGTGCCAAAACATTATGTGCTTCTGCTTTGATATTCTCTGATGGATATTGCTGGCCCCAGCTCCCCTCTGGTACTTGGGGGGAAGTGGAAGAAGAAGAAAGATGAGCTGGTTGTTCTTGCTGCTGTTTCTCCACGATGAGACAGAATGAAAACCCTCTTTGGTTCCCTTCTGAATCCACCATCTGAGGACCAAGATATTCTCGGCTTGAATGAAATCAAAGTGGTTTAAATTAAAACTAATTATATCTGCTTTTAGAAACTGTAGGAATAGGCCAGGTGCGGTAGCTCACGCCTGTATTCCCAGCACTTTGGGAGGCCGAGACAGGCAGATCACCTGAGCTCAAGAGTTCAAGACCAGTCTGGGCAACATGGTGAAACCCCGTCTCTACTAAAAATACAAAAATTAGCCAGGCGTGGTGGTGCGTGCCCATAGTCCCAGCTACTCAGGAGGCTGAGTCAGGAAAATCGCTCAAACCCAAGAGGCAGAGGTTGCAGTGAACTGAGATAGCGCCACTGCACTCCAGCCTGGGCGACAGAGCGAGACTCTGTCTCAACAACAACCAAAAAACAATAGGAACAACCAATGGTTTTGAAAATACACCTTATCTATTAAAAGCATAAAAACATGAATGAGAAAGAAATACATTGAAATTCTTGTTGCTAGTTCCTCTGAAGAGGGAGAGAGAACAGAAGTGGAGGAGAAGGGAAATACTGTTCAAGTGGATTTTAACCACATCTGTTTTATGTTTGATTTCTTTTAAACGTAAAACGAAATTTGAAATAAATATGGCAGAAAGTTAACATGTGTTAATATTGTTAATTCTGGGTTATGACTACATAGGTGCTTGATATGTTGTTCTCTGTATTTCGTTATACTGAACGTTCTCACAATAAAAATATATTTACAAATGTTTTATGTTACAACTATGACTGAACGCTAAAAACAATGAGGTACATGGACTGTGAGAATGTGTAGGAGTCCTGAGGTTGGGAAGTGTGGCCAGGGGCAGTTCCCTAAGAAGAAACTGAGGGGGTGTCAGGAGGGCTTTGTATGCCCAGAGTGTATTAGGCTTCTCCAGAGAGACAGAGAATCAATAGGAGAAAGAGAGAGATGGATGGATGGATAGATAGATGACAGAGATGAGAGATGATTTATTATAGATGATAGATAGATAGATAGATAGATAGATAGATAGATAGATAGATAGAAGATAAGATTTATTTTTCATTTTTTTTTTTTTTGAGACAGTCTCACTCTGTCACCCAGGCTGGAGTGCAGTGGCACGATCTCAGCTCGCTGCAAATTCTGCCTCCCAGGTTCAAGCGATTCTCCTGCCTCAGCCTCCCGAGTAGCTGGGATTACAGGTGCCTGCCGTCACGCAGGCTAATTTTTGTAGTTAGTAGAGATGGGGTTTCACCATGTTGGCCAGGTTGCTCTCAAACTCCTGACCACAGGTGATCCGCCCGCCTTGGCCTCCCAAAGTGCTAGGATTACAGGTGTGAGCCACCGCGCCCAGCCGAGAGAAGATTTATTATAGGAATTGGCTCACATGATTATGGAGGCTGAGAAGTCTCACTATATGCTGTCTGCAAGCTAGAGAACCAGGGAATCTGACAGTGTAATTCTGAGTCCAAAGCAAGAGGCCTGAGAAACAGACTGGCTGCTGGTGCAAGTTCCAGGGTCCAAAGAACCAGAGAACCTGGAGTTCTGACATCCAAGGGCAGGAGAAGAGGGTGTCCCAGTTTCAGGAGTGAGAAAGTGAGAATTTGCCTGTCTTATACCTTTTGGTTCTATTCAGGCCGTCAAAGGATTGGATGGTGCCCAGCCACATTGGGTGAGAGTGGATTTTCTTTACTCAGTCCACTGATTCAAATGCCCATCTCTTATGGAAATACCCTCACCAACATACCCAGAAATAATGCTTCACCAGCTCAGTATCCCTTAATCCAGTCAAGTTGATGCCTAAAATTAACCATCACACAGGGATTGCCCTGTTACTGAGTGACACAGCTGGGAAACTATTTTGGAAGCTGAGATGGCAGGGACTTGGACTGGAGTAGTCATAGTGGTGGATACAGAGAGAAATTGATGAGTTTAACAGAAATTGAGGAAGTAGGCCTGGCACCATGGCTCACACCTGTAATCCCAGCACTTTGGGAAGCCGAGACGGGTGGTTCACCTGAGATCAGGAGTTTGAGACCAGCCTGGCCAACATGAAGAAACCACATCTCCATTAAGAATGCAAAAAAAAAAAAAAAAAAAGAAAGAAAAACTTGGCTGGGTGTGGTGGTGCATGCCTGTAATCCCAGCTACCTGGGAGGCTGAGGCATGAGAATGGCTTAAACCCAGGAGGAGGAAGTTGCAGGGAGCCGAGATCATGCCACTGCACTCCAGCCTGGGTGACAGAGCAAAACTCCATCTAAAAAAAAAAAAACAACAACAACAAAAACAAAACAAAACAAAACAAAAACCCATAAGAAATTGAGGAAGTAAAATTGCAGGACTTGGTGACGGATTGTATACAGGGAAGGAGAGAAGGGAACCAGTCTGGGGCCATCATATTTGGCTTGCCTACATAGATGGATGATGGCACCATCTTGACCTATGGAATGCTCAAAGAAGCCTGGGTCTGGCAGGGAGAATCATGAGTTTGGTTTTCGACTTACTGATTTTGAGGTATCTTGGAGACATTCAAGGAAAAACAGGGTACAATTAACAAGATAGTGGCAATAGGTGCTGGGCAGCCCAAAACTGCTGGTCACTTCTACTTACTAATCGCTGGAGGGCTGAAGTCTGGCTGCCTCTTCTGTGCCCTGCCTCTGTGACATGTCCAAATTGCTACGTTCAGGTTTAGGATGCAAAAAATCTGCTTTATTACACTGTGAGGAATCTTAGGATATTACCTATCTATAGCTGGGAAATTTAACCATTCCCAGGTTAGTCACATTTGACTAACTTGTTGAAGATGGTGTCTGATTCTTCATTTTCCTCCCCAGACCTGCTAGACTCTTTTTCTCATTTCTAGTCTTTGCTGATTTCAGGTTTCTTTTAGTTGGATGCCATGTATAAATAACCCTAAACTCAGCTTGTAAGTGCTTTTTTTCTCTGCTACCCAAAATTAATATAGATTCCTATTACCTTAGGTTAGGTTGTCCCAGAATCACACCTTAAGGCAGGATTTGAGTGCGACTAGTTTTGTTCTGTATATTTCGTTTTGTTTCATTTTTTTAAATTGTGGAAAATACATGTAACATACAATTTACCATCTTAATAAGTTGTTTTTTTTGTTTGGTTTTTTTTTTTTTTTTTTTTTTTGAGATGCAGTTTCGCTCTGTCACCCAGGCTGGAGTACAGTAGCATGATCTTGGCTCACTGAAACCTCTGCCTCCCGTGTTCAAGCGATTCTCCTGCCTCAGCCTCCTGAGTAGCTGAGATTACAGGCATGTGCCACCACACCCCGCTAATTTTTGTATTTTTAGTACAGACGGGGTTTCACCATGTTGGTCAGGCTGGTCTCGAACTCCTGACTTGATGATCTGCCCGCCTAGGCCTCTCAAAGTGCTGGGATTACAGGCGTGAGCTGTCGTGCCCGGCCCCATCTTAATAAGTGTTAGTGTCCAATTCAGTGATATTAAACACATTCACAATGTTGTGCAGTCATCACCATCATCCATCTCTATAACACTTTTCATCCTGTAAAACTGAACCGTATACCTTAAACCAAATAACTCCCCATTCCCTCCTTCCCCTACCCCCTAGCAATCACTCTACTTTCTGTTTCTAGATTCAACTAGTTTGTTTAAGAGGTGATTGCGGGAAGACTAGAGTGGGGAAGTAAGGCAGGAAAGGGAAGGAAGCCAAGAAAAGGAACATTATTAAGCAAGTTGCTTCTGTGTAACTGCAGCTGGGGTTCAGTCCTACTGGGGACCCTGGGAGACAGTGCAGAACATGCCTCTGAGCTTTCCTACCCAAGAGGTGAGGAAGATGGGGAGCCTCCGGTTTCCATCCATCATTGGCTGAGGCCTGCTCGTAGGGTCAGTAACCCTTCAGCATGTCTGTGTCTCAGGTGGAAGGAAAACTGTCAGGTGAAGAATCCCAGGTGCTTGCAGTAGGACAGCCACTGGAATGTACTGGAATGCTGAATGACAAGGGGATATGGATCCCAAAAGAATTTCTGAGCTCCCTTTAAGGAACAGACTCTAAAGTGGTCCCCATGATCTCCACCTCCTAGTAACTCACACCTTTGTATAATCATATAATTCCCTCCCTTTGAGTGTGGGTGGGTCCAGTGACTGCTTCTTTTTTTTTCTTGTTTTTTTCTTTCTTTTTTTTTTTTTTTTTTTTTTTTTTTTTTTAAAGAGATGGGGTCTCACTGTGTTGCCTTGGCTAGAGTGCAGTTGCTGTTCACAGATGCAATTATAGCCCACTACAGCCTCTAACTCCTGGGCTCAAGCAATCCTTTTGCCTCAGCCTCCCAATCTAAGACTACTTCTAACCAACAGAATATGGCAAAGGTGATGGGCTGTTAGTCTGTGATTAGATTACATTATATACAATTCTACCCCACTAGCTCTGTTCCTCCCTTAGTGGCTTTGAGGAAGCAAGCTGCTATTTTGTAAGAGGACCTATCAAGAGGTCCACATGGCCAGGAACTGTGAGCAGCCTCATAGAGCTAAGGGCAGCTAACAGTCAGCAAAAATCCAGGCCCTTGGTCTTACAGCAGCAAGGAACCAAATTCTGCCAACAACCCGAATGAGTTTGGCAGCAGATCTGTCACTAGTCAGGCCTCCAGATGGAGCTGAGCCACGGCCGACACCATGATGACAGCCTTGCGGCCTGCACTATGCCCAGGCCCCTGACTCACAGGGTGTGGGATAATAAAGGGAAGTTGTTTTAAACTAGTGCATTTGTCGTAATACGTTATGCAGCATAGGAAACAAATATGCTCCCTTATCCTATAAGCCTCCAATCTGAGCAAGATGGCCTCAGCCCTTCTGCTTTTTCTTCTGATAACCTTTACTCCATGTCCGCTAATGAGCAATTCTTTTTTATCTTATTTTATTTTATTTATTTTATTTTTTTAAGACAGGGTCTCTGTCTGTTGCCCAGGCTGGAGTGCACTGGCATGATCATAGCTCACTGCAGCCTCGACCCTGGCTCAAGTGATCGTCCAACCACAGCTTCCCGAGTAGCTGGCACCACAGGTGTGTGCCACCACACCCGGATTTTTATAGGTTTTTTTCTTTTCTTTCTTTGTTTTTTTTTTTGTAGATGCGGGGTCTCACTATGTTCCCCAGGCTGGTTATGAACTCCTGGCCTCAAACGATCCACCTCGGCCTCCCGAAGTGTTGGGATTACAGGTGTGAACCACCACGCCCGGCAGCAATTCTTAGGGTTTAAATAAACGTATTGCTTTTTTCTCTTATTAGGAAAGTAAGACATATTCATTGTAAGGCATATAATATATATAAGCAAAAAAAGGAAAAAAAACAACCAATGCTGTTCATCTAACTTTTTGTTAGGTAAGTTCAGACTTTCTTCTGGAGAGTTCTCTCTGTCTTTAAGTTCTATATTCTCTTTGATCCCTACTATGAAAGAACTTTTACCCAAATATAAATGTATAATTAGAAAAGATTGTATTTATATGGCTTGTTCTTGACCTTTTCCAAAGAGGTGTACACTGAAAATGCCCATATAATTGAGAAAGGCATTATTCCCAGGGGGAAAATTTCCATGGACATAGTAAAGCCATTATCCAGCTTTGTTCAGAGGGATTCTCATCCTACCTGAGGAGGAAAGAGGTGCCAAGCATTTGGGACCATTGAGTCCAAACTTCTTTTGAGTAAATAAAGGGCTTTTGCATTTAGCATGTAGGTGCTGAATTCAGCAAAGGAGGCACAGCAGAGACAGAGGAGCTCTCTGTATCTTCCTTCACCTTTTTACTTCCCTCTTTGCCTGTGGGCAGCAGTGAAAGAAGAATCTCCTGCTGGCTCTAAGACTCCCAGGGAATAGCCCCAAGGTTTTTCCCTCTTCCTTTCTCACTTTCCTTCTTTCTGCTGCTCACAGAGCAGTTCCAATTCTACCAATTCTACCATGATGTAGTCTCCATGAGGCCTCTTGCCAATAGGAAAAACTCCTCCCCTTCCTACTGCACTTGTGCTCCTTTCTGGAGCATCACTGGGTGTTTTCAGTTCACCCAAGTGTTCATTTAACAAACACCAGGTAGGCCGGGTGCAGTGGCTCATGCCTGTAATCCCAGCACTTTGGGAGACGGAGGCGGGTGGATCACAAAGTCAGGAGTTCAAGACTAGTCTGGCCAACATGGTGAAACCCCGTGTCTACTAAAAATACAAAATTTATCTGGGTGTGGTGGCTCAATTTTTTTGAGACGGAGTTTCACTGTTGTTGCCCAGGCTGGAGTGCAGTGGCACGATCTCGGCTCACTGCAACCTCCGCCTCTCGGGTTCAAGTGATTCTCCTGCCTCAGCCTCCCAAATAGCTAGGATTACAGGCATGTGCCACTGAGCCCAGCTAATTTTTGTATTTTTAGTAGAGACAGGTTTCACCATGTTGGCCAGGCTGGTCTCGAACTCCTGACCTCAAGTGATCCACCCACCTTGGCCTCCCAAAGTGCTGGGAATAGAGGTGTGAGCCACTGTGCCAGGCCAATTTACATGCAATTATAAGAGACAGTACAATCCTGTCTCTATAAAAAAGAAAATAATTAGCCAAGCATGGTGGTACATGCCTGTAGCCCTAGCTACTTGGGAGGCTGAGATAGGAAGATCACTTGAGCCTGGGAGGTTGAGGCTTCAGTGGGCTGTGATCACACCACTGCACTCCAGTTTGGGTGACAGAGCAAGACCCTATCTCAAAAAAAAAAAAAAAAAAAAGGGAGATAATATAGAATCACAATGTCTTACAATTTCACACTTACTAGGATGGCTGTAATTAAAAAAAAAAAAAAACCAGACAATAACAAATGTTGGTAAGGATGTGGAGAAATCAGACCCCTCAGACATTGCTTATGGAAATGCAAAACAGTGCCACCCCTTTGAAAAAAGCTTGGTGATTCCTTAGAAAGTTAAACACAGAGGGCCGGGCACGATGGCTCACGCCTGTAATCCCAGCACTTTGGGAGGCCAAGGCAGGTGGATCACGACGTCAGGAGTTCGAGACCAGCCTGACCAACACGGTGAAACCCCGTCTCTACTAAAAATACAAAAATTAGCTGGGCGTGGTGGCGTGCACCTGTAATCCCAGCTACTCAGGCCTCAGGCTGAGGCAGGAGAATCGCTTGAACCCGGGAGGCAGAGGTTGTAGTGAGCCGAGATCACGCCACTGCACTCCAGCCTGGGCGACAGAGTGAGACTCCATCTCAAAAAAAAAAAAAAAAGAAAAAGAAAGTTAAACATACAGTTACTATATGACTCCGCAATTCCACTCCTAGGTATAAATACCTAAGAGAATTAAAAACACATGTTCACACAAAAACTAGTACATGAATGTCCACAGCAGCATTATTCATAGTAGCCAAGAAGTAGAAACAACCCAAATGTCCATCAACTTATGAATATGATAAATAAAATGCAGAAGTAGACCCATACAATGAAGTATTATTTGGCTGTAAAAAGAAATGAAGTGCAGACACATTTTATAAAATATTAATAGATGGATTTTGAAAACCTTGTGCTAAGTGACAGAAGCCAGACACAAGGCCACATATTGTATGATTCCATTAATATGAAATATCTAGAGTAGGCAAATCCAGAGACAGAAAGTAGATTAGTGGCTGCCAGGAGCTGGGGGAGAGGGGAACAGGGAGTAACTAATAATGGATACAGGGTTTCTTTTGGGGGTGATGAAGAGGTTCTAAAATTAGATAGTGCTGAAGTTGCACAACTTTGTAAATATGTTAAAAACCACTAAATTTTACACATTAAAAAGGTAAATATTACGTGAATTTTATCTCAATAAAATTTATTGAAAAAAGAAATATGCAGAGAGATCCTGCGTACCCTTCACCCATTTCCCCCCAATGGTAACATCTTATATAACTATTGTACAATATCACAGCCAGGAAACTGACATTGATAGAACCCTTCGCCATTACTCAGATGTCATCAATTTTTAGTTTTTTAGTATTTAGTTCTTTTTTTTTTTGAGATGGAGTCTCACTCTGCTGCCCATGCTGGAGTGCAGTGGCGCGATCTCGGCTCACTGCAACCTCCACCTCCAGGGTTCAAGTGATTCTCCAGCCTCAGTCTCCTGCGTAGCTGGGATTACAGGCATGTGCCATCACACTCAGCTAATTTTAGTATTTTTAGTAGAGATGGGGTTTCACCATGTTGGCCAGGCTGGTCTTGAACTTCTGACCTCAAGTGATATGCCTGCCTCAGCCTCCCAAAGTGCTGGGATTACAGGCATGAGCCACCATACCCAGCCACTCATGTGTGTGTATTTGGTTCTAAGCAAGTTTACATGTGTGGATTCACGTGACCACCACCAAACTCAAGATGAAGAACAGTTCCACCACACAGACCCCTTATGCTACCTTTTTATGGCCACAGTCACTCTTCCCTTCTACCTGACCCCTGATCTGTTTTCTATCTCTATACATTTATTGTTTCAAGAATATTATCTAAAACGAATCACACAGTATGCAACTTGAGATTGGCTTTTTTCACTCAGCAAAATTCTCTGGAGATCCATCCAGATCGTCATGTGTATCAATAATTCCTTCCCTTTTATTGCTGAGTAGTATTCCATGGTATGAATGTACCATAGTTTATTGAACCTTCCACCATTAAAGGACATTTCAGTTGTTTCCAGTTTGGGGCAATTAGGAATAAAGCTATTGTGAACAGTTATGACCAGGAACATAAAAACTTTCATTTCTCTGGGTAGATGCCCAGGAGTGTAATTGCTGCATCATATGGCAGGTGCATATTTAATATTGTAAGAAGCAGTCATATTCTTTGCTAGAGTGGCCATGCCATTTTATTTTCCTACTGGCAATATGTGAGTGATCAAAGTTCTCTCTATCCTCACCAGCATTTAATGGTGTCATTATTTTTTATTTCAGTCATTCGGATCATACATATACTTTTTACAAGTTAGACAAACATGCACCATACTCTTGACAGCGGTGGTTTCTAGTGTATGTATGGGTTAATTCAATGGAAGACTCTCCTTTATATATTATATACTTTTGTAGTTTTTTGTTTTTGTTTTTGTTTTTTTTTGACAGAGTCTTACTCTGTCACCCAGGCTGGAGTGCAGTGGCACGATCTCGGCTCATTGCAAGCTCCACCTCCCGGGTTCACGCCATTCTCCTGCCTCAGCCTCCCGAGTAGCTGGGACTACAGGCACCCGCCACCACGCCCAGCTAATTTTTTGTATTTTTAGTAGAGACGGGGTTTCACCGTGTTAGCCAGGATGGTCTCAATCTCCTGACCTCGTGATCCGCCCACCTTGGCCTCCCAAAGTGCTGGGATTACAGGTGTGAACCACTGCGCCTTTTTTTTTTTTTTTTTTTTTGCGACAGAGTCTTGCTCTGTCACCCAGAGTGGAGTGCAGTGGCACAATTCGGCTCACTGCAACCTCCGCCTCCCGGATTCAAGCGATTCTCCTGCCTCAGCTCCCGAGTAGCTGGGATTACAGGCATCTGCCACCATGCCTGGCTAATATTTTTAGTAGAGACGGGGTTTCACCATGTTGGCCAGGCTGGTCTCGAACTCCTGACCTCTGGTGATCCGCCTGCCTAGGCCTCCCAAAGTGCTAGGGGCATGAGCCACCACGACCGGCCTGTAGTGTTCAAATTTTACATAACTTAATGTTGTACTTGTAATCTAAAACGCAATAAGGATTTTAAAAAGTTGGCCAGGCACAGTGGCTCACGCCTGTAATCCCAGCACTTTGGGAGGCTGAGGCAGGCGGATCACCTGAGGTCAGGAGTTTGAGACCAGTCTGGTCAACATGGTGAAACCCCGTCTCTACTAAAAGAACAAAAATTAGCCAGGCATGGTGGTGCATGCCTGTAATCCCAGCTACTCGGGAGGCTGAGGCAGGAGAATCACTTGAACCTGGGAGATGGAGGTTGCAGTGAGCCGAGATGGCACCATTGCACTCCAGCCTGGGCGACAGTGAGATTTCGTCTCCAGAAAAAAAAAAATTGTTCTTCTGCATCAATTTTTTTTTTTTTTGAAGACAGAGTCTCACCCTATTGCCCAGGCTGGAGTGCAGTGGTGCAATGTCAGCTCACTGCAACCTCCGCCTCCTGGGTTAAATTAATTCTCCCTGCCTCATTCTCCTGAGTAGCTGGGATTACAGGCACCCGCCACCACACTCAGCTAATTTTTGTATTTTTAGTAGAGATGGGGTTTGGCCATAATCCCAGGAGAATTGCTTGATCCTGGGAGGCGGAGGTTGCAGTGAGCTGAGATCGTGCCATGGCACTCCAGCCTAAGCGACAGAGCAAGACTCCGTCTCAATAAATAAATAAATAAATAAATAAATAAATAAATAAATAAAGTTAATAGGTAGTAAGGAAGTGGAGACGATTATTAGAAACTATTCTGTAGATTAATTGTCCCTGGAAGGAAGGGGAGATGTGGGTCAGCAGAGGAGAGAAGACAGCATTCTAACAGAGAAGGGGAGGCTGAGCACACAGGACGGGGAAGCCATGCGCTGGCTATGCTCCGTGTACCCAAGACCCTCACTTCTCCACAACTGCTCCGTGTTCCAGGAGACTCCATCAGGCAGCCTCCACTGCCCTCCAGCTTCCAGGAGCCTCTGCACCACGGATGGGCAGGAGAGAGAGCGGCAAGGCTTGTTGCTGTCAAATACAACTCTACTCCACCTCACTCCCAGGCCCCCACTCTCCACAGAGCCCACTTGTGCCAGGCCCCAGGGTCACCGTTTACCCCCCTTGTGGGTCCTTGCTATTGCCTGTGCCCACACACCCTGTCCTGTTCTGCTTACACCCTGTGGGTGGGCTCTTCATCGAACCCTGCTTAAACTCTGACGGTGCTCGGCAGCCCAAGTTTTGAGTGCACCACCTCTCTTCTGCCAGGACCCTGATGGGTGCATCTAACGAGGCAACCCCCAAAACAGTCAGGAGGGACCTAGATCAAGAGCTAAAGCAAGGGCAGACCCAGTTCTCTGAGACAGGAGGAAGGCAGCAGAATGGTCTGACAAAGATGTCTGCAGGCAGGAGGGTCTGCAGAATTCATACCTAATTCCCTCAGTTTTCTTGGTGAACCAGGGGGTGGTGACTTGTGCTAGGCACCCAAACTAGAGACCAATCACTCCTTTTCACAAACATTTTATAAAGAATAGTCTTGTTCTCTTCTAATGAAGAAAGAGTTTTCTCTGCTCTTTTAGTTAGGCTGCTGAGCACTGCTGGGTTTTATTATCACGAAGCTAATGAGGGGTTAAGGATGTTGACTAGAGCCAGACTGTCTAGTTTGAGTCCTCATTATTGCTATTTTGTGACCTTGGACAAGTCACTTAGTCTCCATGCCTCAGCTTTCTCATCTGTAAGATAGGAGTGATAATAGGATTTGTTTCATAGGTTTCAAGAGGATTAAAGGATTTCACACATGTAAAAACACTTAGAACAGTGCCCAGTCCACAATATGCACTCAGTAAACGTTAGCTATTACTGCTGAAGAGAGAGGCAGCAGGAGGGTAACTTGAGCAAGTGGAAGAGCCAGGGCAGGAAACAAACAGGACTTAAGCAAAGACAGGTGAAAAGTGCTGAGAGAAGACAGAGAGCTCAGATAGCCCAGCAGAGGTTGAAGCAATGCATTTCATTCATTCAAACACTGTCTTGAGTGCTCACTATGTGGCAGGAATTGCACTAGGGGCTAGAACCACAGCAGTGAATAAAACAGAGTTTCAATCCATGCAGACAGGGATATGAACAGTAGTGGGGTCCAGTCTTCTGGCTGCTGTTTCTCCAGGTGCTCGGCAGCCCAGGGACGGGGTGGCTGGACTGCTCCCCGGGTAAGGACAAGATGCTGCTCCGGGCAAGGTGAGGGGTTACAATGAACAGGTATCCACTTGAGCTAGCTCAGGTCAGAGAGGGTGGGGCCAGCAGTGGGCATTACTAGGACACAGCAGGCAATCTTGGATTGCTGGATTCAAAGAGCAGGAAACAGGGCGAAAGGATGCGCCTTAGGGGACCACGGTGGGACAGAAAAGGAGGCTCCCCTCTGCTTTCTGTACTTCAGGTTCCTTCAGCTCCACCTCTCTCCACTCATCTCTCCTGAGCAGTGTCTTCTGCCTAGCTTTCTCTTAAAAGGCATCTCTCAGCCGGGCGCAGTGGCTCACACCTGTAATCCCAGCACTTTGGGAGGCCAAGGTGGGTGGATCATGAGATCAGGAGCTCGAGACCAGCCTGACCAACATGGTGAAACCCTGTCTTTACTAAAAATACAAAAATTAGCCTGGCATGGTGGTGCGTGCCTGTAATCCCAGCTACTTGGGAGGCTGAAGCAGGAGAATTGCTTGAACCCGGTAGGTGGAGGTTGCAGTGAGCCGAGATCGTGCCACTGCACTCCAGCCTGGGCGACAGAGTAAGACTCTGTCAAAAAAAAAAAAAAGGCATCTCTCTGTCCCTCTTATCCACAGAATGATGGCAGACCTGAGTGAAAGTGTTCAAGGGAGGGCATCTAGGGCACAGTTTATCCAGTGGACTGGCTGGTCTCAGGACCAGATCCCCAACCCTGGTCCATCAGCAGTGGGCAGGGCATACACCTTAGCAAACTCATTGCAAAATTAGTATTCCTATAAAATAAGTTGCATTTCCACTCTCATGTAACATTATCAAAGTAGAAATGGACACTTTGGTTGATTTCACTGAGGGATTTTTTTTTACTTCATCACAACTTCCTCTGTCCACATCCGGTGTCCTTTGTCATCCTCTGCAGAGTCCCCAGTTTTCAGATTTGCACAAGTGATGATGGTTTACAAATGACTTGACTCTGTGGCCAGAGGAAGTTCTGATGGAACAAAATCTCAATGTAGTGTTGTGCCCGTCTTTTTCTTTTTTTTTTTTTTTGAGATGGAGTCTCACTCTGTCACCCAGGCTGGAATGCAATGGTGCAAAATTGGTTCACTGCAACCTCTACCTCCTGGGTTCAAGTGATTCTCCTGCCTCAGCCTCCCGAGTAGCTGGGATTACAGGCACATACCACCACGCCTGGCTATTTTTTTGTATTTTTAGTAGAGACGGGTTTCACCATGTTGGCCAGGCTGGTCTCAAACTCCTGACCTCAAGTGATCCACCCGCCTTGGCCTCCCAAAGTGCTGGGATTACAGGCATGAGCCATCCACTGTGCCTGGCCATGTGCCGGTCTTGTCTCAGTAATGGCAGTCAAGTGTAGGTCAAGAGAGGAAGCATAATGTGAGTTACTTTAGGCCAGGATCAGTCTGTGCCAGAGATGGAGGGAAATCATCTTCCCCAAATCCCTGGCCTTACATGGGTGCCATTAACCGTCTCAAGTGTTGGATGGGCCTTGGCAGCCTGAAGGCCAACAGCCCCATGTGAGGGGCTGAGCTCCCACTGACCTGCCCACCTTCTCCAGGAAGTTCTTCCTCTGGAACTAATCACAAATAAGTATCTCCTACAAGAAAGGTGTATTTTTTTGCTGCCATAACAAAGGGCAACAGCCTGGATAGCTTAAACAACAGAAATGTATTGTCTCGCATTCTGGAGGCTGGAAGTCTGAAATCAAGGTGTCAGAAGGGCTGCTTGGTCCTCAGAGAGCTGTAAGGGAATCTGTCTGTGGCCTCTCTCTTTGGCTGGTAGGTAGCCGTCTTCTCCCTGTGTCTCTTTGCACCATCTTTCCTCTATGCATGTCTGTCAAATTTCTCCCTTGGATAAGAACACCAGTCTTTATACAATATTGTTTAGAAAAAAAAAAAAAGAACACCAGTCATATTGGATTAGGGGCCCACCCTATTCCAGTATGACCTCATTTTAACTAATTACATCTGTAATGACCCTATTTCTTATTTTTTTTAAATAACTAATTACATCTGTAATGACCTATTTCTCCTTCCTTCCTTCCTTCCTTCCTCTTTCTTTTTTTTTTTTGACAGAGTCTCACTCTGTCACCCAGGCTGGAGTGCTGTGGCACAATCTTGGCTCACTACAACCTCCACCTACTAGGTTCAGGCAATTCTCGTGCCTCAGCCTCCCAAGTAGCTGGGATTACAGGCACGCACCACCATGTCTGGCTAATTTTTGTGTATTTTGCAAAGATGGGGTTTTGCCATGTTGCTCAGGCCAGTCTCAAACTCCTGAGCTCTAGCAATCCTCCTGCCTTGGCCTCCCAAAGTGCTGGAATTATAGGCATGAACCACTGCACTTGTCCTGTAATGACCCTATTTCTAAATCACGTCACATTCTGAAGTGCTATGGGTTAGAACTTTAACATGTGAATTTTGGGAGGATGAAATTCAACTCATTTCATAGGGATTTGACTCTGATCTCTGATGGGATGAAGCCTGAGGGCCATCTAATTGTACATGAAGGAATGATGCTTAGGAAATATGTGGAAAAGATTGAAATAACTCAAGAACCCATCAGAATAAGTACCGTTGCTTTGTATTTCTGGCAGCATAGAAAACAGACTTTCTCTAAAACAGCTGTTCATATGTTTATGTTTCTGCTTTGGTGTGCCACATGTGGCGTGGCTGGGACATGGTTTGTTTGTCCCCACCAAAACTCGTGTTGAAATTTGATCCCCCATGTGGTGGTGCTGAGAGGTGGGCCTAGTGGGAGGTGTCTGGATCATGGGGGGGATCCCTCATGAATGGCTTGGTGTAAGACTGGATTAGTTCCTGTCGGAAAGGATTAGTTCCAGTGAGAGTGGGTTGTTTATGAAGCTGAGACATCCCTCAGGTTCTCCCTCTTCACATGTGTTCACTTCCCTTTTGACCTTCCCTACCATGTTATGTTGCAGCATGGAAGCTCTCACCAGAGGCCAGGGCCATGCCCTTGAACTTCCCAGCCTGCAGAATTGTGAGCCAAATAAACCTCTTTTGTTTATAAATTACCCAGTCTCAAGTGTTCTGTTATGGCAACACAAAATAGACCAAGATCACATGGTTTCACAGAGTCTGGAGCAGTGATTTGCTTCTGAGGTTAATTTTATAATACAAACCTAAGTTGGAGGTGGTGGCTCACACCTATAATCCTAGGACTTTGGCAGGCTGAGGCAAAAGGATTGCTTGAGGCCAGGAGTTTGAGACCAGCATGGACAACAAAACAAACCCTCTCTCTACAAAAAAAAAAAAAAAAAATTTAAAGTTAGCTGGGCATGGTAGTGTGCATCTGTAGTCCTAGCTAATCAGGAGGCTGCGGTGGGAGGATTGCGTGAGTTCAGGAGTTCAAAGCTGCAGTGAGCTATGATCATGCCATAGCACTCCAGTCTGAGCAACAGAGTGAGACCCTGTCTCTAAAAAATAAGAATTGTTTTCATTTTTTTATAGACTGTTTCTCAGTGTGGCTATAATAAATTTTTTTTAAAGTTAGAAAAAAGAATACAAAACTATAATAAAGTATGAGTATTCTATTTTTCTTTATTCTTTTTGTTTTCATCATTATTTTATTATTCTCATACTTCCAGAGCATTAGTTACTAATACTAATCATCTAATGGTGCTACAGTACAGTAGAGATGTTCTAAAAGCACGTGCAAATAGGCATTAGTCTGCCATATCTTTATTTTATTTCCAACCAGATAGATATATACAACCTGTGAGAAACAAGACTTATTTACCAACTACCTACCTATTATATTTCACCAAATCAGACAGGAAAGGAATTGAGAGGCCCCAAGTACAATTTTTTAAATCCTGAATTATGAAATTTGATTGCCTATGTCATTTAAATAAATTGGATAATCATGACACAGTAGGATACATCCATTTACTAATGACTTTATAATTTGTTGCTTTTTATTATTTTATTTTAATCTCACAACAAGTCTGAAAAGGAGGGAATTCAAGTATTATTGCCATTTTACAGATGAGAAAGCTGAAATGTCTCAGCAAAGTTATTTCAGTTTCATAGATTGGGCCATTGCTATAGAGGGCTGATCTCAACAATTTTTCCTAATTTCATTCTCAAAGGATAGTCTTTGCTTCACTTAGACTTTGCAGGTACCTTCCCCTTGACCCTGTGTACCCACTATAGCACCAACCTGAATTAATAATGAAAACCTTTTTGGAATGCTACTAGTGGTAGTGATAGGGTAATGGAATTATGAGTGGATTGTTTTCTTGATCTATTCTCTATTTTCCAATGTGCCTTTCTCTCTTTTTTTTAGAGACGGGGTCTTGCTATGTGTATCAGCAGTCAGAGTTCTCCAGAGGGACAGAACTAATAGGATAGATGTATATATGAAAGGCAGTTTATTAAGGACAATTGACTCACACAATCACAAGGCAAAGTCCCACGATAGGCCGTCCGCAACCTGAAGAGCAAGGAAGCCAGTTGGCTCAGTCTGAGTCACAAAACCTCAAAAGCAGGGAAGCCGACAGTGCAAACTTCAGTCTGTGGCCCAAGGCTGGAGAGTTCCTGGGAAACCACTGGTGTAACTCCAAGAGTCCAAAAGCCAAAGAACCTGGAGTCTGATGCTTCAGGGCTGGAAGCATCTAGCACAGAGGAAAGATGAAAGCCAGAAGATTCAGCAAGCCGTCTTATCCCACCTTCCTCTGTCTGCTTTGTTCCAGCCATGCTGGTGGTCGATTGGATGGTGCCCACCCACATTGAGAGTGGATCTTTCTCTCCCAGTCCACTGACTCAAATGTTAATTTCCTCTGGCAACACCCTCACAGACACACCCAGAAGCAATACTTGACCAGCTATCTAGGCATCTTTCAATCAAGTTGACGCCAAATATTAACCATCACACTATATTACCCAGGCTGGTCTTGAATTCCTGCCCTCAAACGATCCTCCCATCTCAGCATCCCAAAGTTTTGGGATTACAGGCATGAGACACTGCTCCCAGACAAATCTTTCATTTTAAGTTATTTGGAGTTAGAGAGGCTGAGTTCAGAATATTCACTTCTGGAAGGGCTGACCTCCCTTCTACCTAAGCCTGGTCCCCAGCACCACCAACCCTTGCACATGTGTGTGCAAGGCAGGGGCAGCAGCACTCTGTGAGCCCCAGCTTTTCTCCAAGACATGGCAGGCATTTGAAGACCATGCCCCAGGGATGGATGCTTCACCCAACTGATACACTCCAGACTGGGCTTACTTTTTAAATTAAGTGGCCTCAGCAACCCAGGGGTGTAATTTCCCACGTGCTTCCATGAAGGAAGTCTTGGGATTTGCTATAAAGAGAAAAATAAATAAGAATGGACTTTCCAGCCCTGACCATTCCCTCCCCACTCCCTAATCCATTTGGCCAGAATAGGGAATAAGAGGGTAGAGAAAAAGGGGGGAGAATGGAGATGAAGAGAGAAAGGAAGATCCTAGAAGGGGAGGAGTAGAATTAATAGACAAAAAAGAACTGGAGAGCCCATCCTCTTGCCGTCCCACCTCCTAGGCTGGAGAAGAATCTTGCCTGGTACTCTCCAGAAATCTTCTCAAAGGCAAGAATGCAAAGGCTAGACCACCACATAGGCCAACAAGCATGTGCTTAGTGGATGAGGAAATAGCCTGTACTACTGCAAGTTCTCTGCTAGGGAAAGACACAATTTGCAGAGCTGGCCAACTCTGAGAATTCTGCTTTCATGTTCAACAGTTAGGAATTTGTTCAGGCTGACTCTTGGCAAATATCAAATCCCGGGTATCAAAGAAATTTGCTCAACAAATTCTTAGGAAGCCTCCTGGGCAGGTGGCCATGAACACTTCCCTATTTGCAGATCTACCCAAAGGGGACCAAACTGCAGAGGTGGATTCAGGAAGAAAAAGCAACAGTCCTACTGTTCCCTCACTCAAGAGATAGACTTAAGCAAAATTGTCTAGTATGTGACATTTGTCTTCTTTCATCTCTTTCCTGAATCTCCCTTTAAGTTTCAAGCTACACTCAGCTCACCAGTAGTTACCAGCCCTCCCAAGACCTTCCTGGGCCACACCCGAGTCCCACTCCCTTCAGCAATTCCCAGAGCCTCTCCCCTTCCCCAGTCTGAGCTCTACTCCCTAAGGAACATGTGGTCCCATCTCACTCTCATTACCAGGTCCTAAGCACACCCATCACGGCCCCCACTTCCCCCACCACCCCCCAACCCTGCCAGCTTCCCCAGCAATTTCTGGAATACCACGCTGAGGATCCTTAGATTTTTATCTGTGAGCCTGATTTAGCCTATAAACTGAAAGAAGGGTGGTGGTTTTCTGTGTTCTTTAATTCCAGTATGTAATAAATTATGCCTGTTTTTGTTGTTGTTGTTGTTTTGAGACAGTTTCACTCAGTCGCCCAGGCTGGAGTGCAGTGGTGCCATCTTGAATCACTGCAACCTCTGCCTCCTGGGTTCAAGCAATTTTCCCATCTCAGCCTCCTGAGTAGCTGGGATTGCAGGCACACACCACAACGCCCAGATAATTTTTGTATTTTTAGTAGAGACGTGGTTTCACCATATTGGTCAGGCTGGTCTCGAACTCCTGATCTCTGGTGATCCACCCACCTTGGCCTCCCAAAGTGCTGGGATTACAGGCGTGAGCCACTATGCCTGGCCTATTATGTTTGTTTTAATGAATCCTTTAATAAATGAAGAAATGACCAAATGAATGAATGAATCTTCAAGACATTCACCAATATATTTTTATTAAAACTTAATTTGGAGAGAGAGAGAGAGAAAGAGAGAGACAGTGTCCAGAAACTAATAACAAGACATTCTCCACTGCACCATCACTCCAGATGCACTGCTGAATGCAGGGACTAGGAGGAAGGCTCTTCTCCCAGGACAGGCTGAGTGAATGTCCTGGGAGAGGGGAAAAGTAGAAGAATGTGGTCATCTGAACACTAACAAAAAGCTTCCAATCATGGATAAGACATTGTAATGCCTTTGTACTGGTATCTGTTAGTTAGGACTGGCCAGACTTGCCTTTGTATAGAATGATGACACTATCAACAGAGAAGTTTCCTGGGCAGAACAACTGCTGACAAGACTCACTGTCTGAGCCACATGAGGGCATATCAATTTTATTTGGTTCCCTGACAGCTTGTACCGGGGTTATGTATGGCACCATGGGTGGCCATAGTTCCTGCCAACATAATGTCTGGAGGGGTTCCCTCAAATAAACTTGAGTTACCCAAATCACTTTTGGTTTACAGCCATCATTGCCAATTTATCTATGGATATGTGTATGTCTTGGATTTGGGGGAATAGTTTCAATTTCAAACCCTGTGTCCTATTGCTAGGCTTTAAGTCAGGCCAGGTGTCCTGGTATCCTTAGTTCTAAAAATTCTCCTCATAATGGCATACGGTTCTACTTGCACTTACGAGTTTTTTAATTATTAAAAAATCTTTCCACTATAAAAATAATGTAATCACATTATTAAAAATGTTGGAAAAGTAGAAAGAAAAACATATCACCCATAATACCACCATCCTGGTATATGGGTATACTTGTGTATAATTTTCCCAGCATAAAATAAATATACAATTTTATATCTCACTTTCTCCAACCCACATTACAATGTCTTTTTTTCTTTGTAGAGATGGGGTCTTGCCATGTTGCACAGGCTGGTTTGAACTCCTGGCCTCATGTGATCCTCCCACCTTGGCCTCCCAAAGTGCTGAGATTACAGCTGTGAGCCACCACACCTGGCCAACATTACAATTTTAAAAACATTTTTAGAAACATTTCTAGTAAAACTTACTAAGGATAGCATTTTAATGGCAGGATATTTCACTTGGGGTTTACTAAAATATATTAATCATATGTCTATTTGTTTATACTTCTGCACTATTAATAAATCTGCAATAAATACCATTAGACATATATTTTCTGTATTTTTATTTTTCCTTGGTTTAGATTCTAGATGCTGAATTATAGGCTCAGAGTATGAATATGCTCATGATCCTTGATGCATGTGCAAATTGCTTTCAAAAGAGGTTTTATCAATTTATACAGTCATCAACAATATCTGAGGGGGTCTGTTCCATATAATCACCACCAACAAACTAAAGTGGTAAAGTTTTGAAATGATTTTCATGATAATTTCATTGAACAATGGCCCCCTACTTTAGTAGGTAAAGTACAGATACAAGATGAATAAAAAACAGATGCTATACTGAAGATGATAAACTGAAGAGCGGTGTCATTTAAACCACGTATTAAAAAATAAAAAAACCCTTAAATGATGCTCCAAACCACAATTTCCAATGATGTATCTATGGACTGCTAGGAAACAAAGCAATGGCTGTCACATAAACTGGAATGTAGCAATCACAAACAGGGTAGCTTTCTCAGAAAAGGCTTTTGCAGATTTGAGTCTCAGGCTAAACTCCAAACAGCTCCAGGCATACTGCCTATTCGAAGGGCGCACTTTCTATGCAAATGCCACAGAAAGCACTGTTGCCCTATGTTGGTCTTGTCAGCTCTAGTCACAGATGCTGTATGTGGGAATGATGCTATTATTTTCTAATATAGCAATAAATAGGAGATGACACAAACCAAATAGCTATTTATTGAATAAGAGAAGGGGAAACCACATTTAATGAGCACCCGCAAAGAACCAGTCCCTTTCACATTAGTCTTGTCCATTTCATAAGCCTGGGTCCAGTGTGCTGGCCCTTCAGCCTCACACCGCAGTTTGGAAAAACACATTCCAGGGGAGCAGAGAGACTGAGCTCTGGGATCCTACGGCTGGAGCTCCCTGGGCTTCTGAGTTTCATCCTGGCCGCTACATCTCTCTAGGAGCTATGGAATAGCAGTGCTTCTACCCCTCAAAGATGACAAAAAAGTATTTGTGAAGCACCACTAATAGGCTAACTGCTGATTCATGGCAAATGGGTAGTTACTCACCTTCCTTACTGGAGGACTCTTGTATCTAGGTACTACTTTCTTTGAAAATTACTGCAGCTTTTAACATTATGCATTATAATCTTTGATACATATATATTTATTAATTTCAGCAACTTGTTGTGAGGTTATTAGTATATTTATATGACACTCTAGAAAACTGGTCCAATTCTTGATAGGTAAAAATATGATCAGGCTGGACGTGGTGGCTCACACCTGTAATCCCAGCACTTTGGGAGGCTGAGGCAGGTGGATCATGAGGTCAGGAATTTGAGACCAGTCTGGCCAACATGGTGAAACCCCGCCTCTACTAAAAATACAAAAATTAGCCAGGCACAGTGGCGGGCGCCTGTAATCCCACCTACTCAGGAGGCTGAGGCAGGAGAATTACTTGAACCCGGGAGGTGGAGGTTGCAGTGAGCCAAAATCGCACCACTGCAATCTAGCCTGGGAGACAGAGCGAGACTGTTTCATAAAAAAAAAAAAAAAAAAAAAAAAATCAAATATGGCCCTTTTTAAGATTTTAAAGGTAAATTTCTGATAACTGTCTGTGACTAATTTTAGTTGAATAAATGCTTGTGAATCATATGGACAGCAGAGCCTGGGCTACTGAGCAGATTCGGGGTGGAGTCCCAGCCCTGCCACTTGCCAGCCTGGTCAGTTACCCAACCTTCCTTAGCCTATTTCCTCATCTGTAACTGGGGCAGAATAATAGACACATTATTATTATTGAGAAAGCACATGTAACATTCAACACAGGGCCTGGCACACCATAAATGCTCAATAAATATTAGCTATGTTTTTCTCAACTATTTGATGGACTCTCTAATAATAATGTTATTATTTATACATAATATATAACAAAATATATAATGTAATAACACAAATTATACATATATTATTATACATAATATAAATTTTTTTGAGATGGAGTCTCGCTCTGTCGCCCAGGATGGAATGCAGTGGCTCACTGCAACCTCCACCTCCCAGGTTCAAGCAATTCTCCTGTCTCAACCTCCCAAGTAGCTGAGACTACAGGCACACGTCACCATACCTGGCTAATTTTTTGTACTTTTAGTAGAGACAGGGTTTCGCCATGTTGGCCAGGCTGGTCTCAAACTCCTGACCTCAGGTGATCTGCCTGCCTCGGCCTCCCAAAGTGCTGGGATTATAGGCATGAAACACTGCGTCTGGCCTATTTTCTCATTTCTGATAAACATGTTGACCTTTAAATTTTCAACCATTGGGCTTATTAGGGAGTCAGGGGATTTCATACCCACACATGAAAATTTGTAGGAGTGCTGGGCACAGTGGCTCATACCTATAATCCCAATGCTTTGGGAAGCTGAGGCAGGAGGATCACTTGAGGCCAGGAGTTTGAGACCAGCCTGGCCAACAGAGCAAGATCCCATCTCTATGTGACATCTCTATGGGAAAAAATTTTAAAAATTATCCAACCATGGTGACATATGCCTGTAATCCTAGCTACTCAGGAGGCTGAGGTGGGAGGATGGCTTGAGCCCAGGAGTTGGATGTTACAATGAGCTATGAGCCACTGCACTCCAGCCTAAGCAACAGAGCAAGATCCTATCACTATTAAAAAAAAAAAGAAAGAAAAAAGAAAAGGAAGAAAATTTATGGGGGCAATAGTGGTTATAGAAAGACTTTCACTAGCTGGGCGCAGTGGCTCATGCCTATAATCCTGGCACTTTGGGAGGCCGAGGCAGGCAGATCATGAGGTCTAGGAGTTCGAGACCAGCCTGGCCAATACAGTTACACTCCGTCTCTACTAAAAGTATAACAATTAGCTGGGCGTGGTGGCTCACGCCTGTAGTCTCAACTACTCGGAAGGCTGAGGCAGAAGAATCGCTTGAACGCAGGAAGCAGAGATTGCAGCGAGCCGAGATGGTGCCACTGCACTCCACCCTGGGTGACAGAGCGAGACTCCATCTCAAAAAAAAAAAAAAAAAAAAAAAAAAGACTTTTACTAATATCTGTATCACCCGCATTTAATGTTTGTGGAAATAATGTTACCTTATTTCCTAATAAGTGTAAAGGGCGCATTTTGGAATGACAATGGACCTCTCTTTCATCACTGACTCCTGGTAAATATGTGTGACTTAAGCTACTTTGGGTGTTCAGGAAACATGGCTGGGCACAGTGGCTCACGCCTGTAATCCCAGCACTTTGGGAGGCCGAGGTGGGCAGATCATCTGAGGTCAGGAGTTCGAGACCAGCCTGGCCAACATGGTGAAACCTCATCTCTACTAAAAACATAAAAATTAGCCAAGCGTGGGTGGCACACACCTGTAATCCCAGCTACCCAGGAGGCTGAGGCAGAAGAATCGCTTGAACCTGGGAGGTGGAGGTTGCAGTGAGCCAAGAAGATCGTGCCACTGCACTCCAGCCTGGGTGACAGAGTGAGACTCTGTCCAAACAAAAAAAAGAAAAAAAAAGAAACCTATAAGCAAGAAAGGAGCTGATCACCCTCAAGGAAACACAAAACTATAATCCCAACATAACTGGTAACTTTTCCTGTGGCTTTTGAGTAGCAGTGGGGCATCCTTGATGACTGAGAGGGAAGGATACCACTCACAGGCCAGAAGACTGCCTTGGCAGAGTCTGTTTCTCTCTCTCCTATGGAACCAGTCTGGAGAAATCTTCTACCCTCCTGATGCTGCAATTACTTTTCTACCTCACAGACTGGGGACATTGAGGGGCTTCTAGTAATGTGACTATTGCTTTTTTTTTTTTTTTTTAGACTGGGTCCACTCCAGGCTGGAGTGCAGTGGCACGATCTCAGCTCACTGCAACCTCCACCTCCCAGGTTCAAGTGATTTCTGGCTAATTTTTGTATTTTTAGTAGAGACAGGGTTTCACCATGTTGGCAAGGCTGGTCTCGAACTCCTGACCTCAAGTGATCTGCCCACTTTGGTCTCTCAAAGTGCTGGGATTACAGGTGTGAGCCACCACATCCAGCCAGCTATTGCTTAATTAAGCACCTTCCCCCTAAAGGTAACCTGAACTTCATGGTTCAAAAAGGTCACATTTCACAGACATGTTTGGGAAGCATTAATACAGCTATTTTAAGTTGTAATAATAAAGACCGTATCACTCTTTTGAAAGCAGTAAAGATGGGTATGACACAACGGATCATCATTAGTGGAGTCTGGACTCTGCGTCAGGTACTCCATCTTCATTCTCTCTAATCCTTACAGCAACCTAACAAGGTAGGACTATTAATCGTACTTTAAGGTAAATTTACTCATTTTACAGACAAGGAATCTAGGATCCAGAGGGGTTAATACTCCCCTAGTAATAAGTGGCAGTGCTGGGATTCAAACTCAGCCCCGTTTGACTTCAAAGTCCCTGCCATTCCCATTTGGTCCTCTTTTATCCTGGTTATGCCTAGGGATTGTCACTGGGTAGGTTCTGCTTTGTGAAGAACTAATTAGGAATTGAACTTGGATGGCACTGTCAACTTTCACAGCGAGCTTTGTACAGTAAACTGTGACAAGAACCTGACAGCTCCATGGGGTAGGTTTCTTGGCAGAGTATCTAGGAGGGAGACCAGAGTAATCTCAGCTATTATGAAGCTCTGCCCTGTCTGTGGAGAGTTTTAAATGTCCATGAAAGACAACGGTTAAGGGACCTGAGAGGGTCTGGAAACTCTTTACCTTCAATATGGAGACCTATACATGGAAAAATTCTCTTGCTAGAAAGGGAAGGATGGATGTGGCAAGAATGCAAGTGGACAGCAGCCCTTCAGGCCCACGGAAGGAAGCCAGGTTCAGCTGCTAACGAACAGCTCAGAACAATGTCAACAACCAGGAGCTGGGGCCATGGAGAGTTGAAAGAAACAGCACTATAGCAGGCGGTTAAGTCTGCCAGATTTAGCAAATCAAAACATACAATGCCCAGCTAAATTTGAATTTCAGATAAACAACGAATTATTTTCTAGTGTAAGTATGCCCACGCACCATTTTATCTGGCAACCTCAGCAGGGGGTGACTTCCTGGGCTGCATTTGGAGACTAACAGTAGGGAGCACTCCCTCCATGAGGCCTTGGGACAATGTATACAGGATGGGTCATACTGTGGGTGGATGTCAGTGTAGAAAGTGAACTTGGGAAAGCTTATTGTCTTAATAGGGAGCCATGTAGCCCCTAAGTCCTCACATTGCAACCTAGGGAGGGACAAACCATCTGAGACTGCAAGAGAGGTAAATGAATTTTTAGGCTGAGGTGACTTAGAAATTTTCATCATTGAGATAAAGGCTTCACACTTAAGGTTTGATCTGTTCTTCAATTAAACTTCTTATTAATAATATAATTGGAAGCAGTCTATGAAAAAAGTTCTTAATAGGATAACTTGTCTGGTATTTCAGATATTCTCATAAATGTTAGGAATGAGGCAGGCTGTATGAGAATTCACTTTCTTTTTCAGGCCGGGTGCGGTGGCTCATGCCTGTAATCCCAGCACTTTGAGAGGCTGAGGCAGGTGGATCACCTGAGGTCGGAAGTTCGAGACCAGCCTGACCAACATGGAGAAACCCCCATCTCTACTAAAAATACAAAATGAGCTGGGTGTGGTGGCGCATGCCTGTAATCCCAGCTACTTGGGAGGCTGAGGTAGGAGGATTGCTTGAACCTGGGAGGCAGAGGTTGTGGTGAGCCGAGATGGTGCCATTGCACTCCAGCCTGGGCAACAAGAGTGAAACTACGTCTCAAAAAAAAAAAAAAAAAAGTAAACCATGCTATAAACAGATGTACTGTCATCCAGGCTTTGTTGTTCCATTTATATAGCGCACAGGCAGAGCAGATTTAGCATAATTCTTAAAGGCCCTAGAATTTTGAGAACGCTAAATAAGCACTGACTTCCACTGAAAGTCACAGCTGTGTTAGCCCCTACCAAGAGAATCATCCTGTCCTTGGAAACTTGAAGGCAGGCACTGATTTCTCTTCTCTAGCTATGAAAGTCTTAGATGGCATCTCCTTCAAATAGAAACTGTTTCATCTTCAACAAAAATCTGTTGTTTAGTGTAGCCACCTTCATCAATTATCTTAGATCTTTTGGATCACCTATGCTTCATCTTGCACTTTTTTGTTAGAGATGACTTCATTACTTAAACCTCATTAACCAACCTCTGCTCGCTTCAAACTTTCCTTCTGTAGTTTCCTCACCTCTCTCAGGATTCAGAGAATTGAAGAGAGCTAGGACTGTGATCTGGATTAGGCTTTAGCTTAAGGGAATGTTGTAGCTGGTTTGATTTGTCCAGACCACTAAAATGTTTTCCATATCAGCAAGAGGGCTGTTCTGTTTCTTAACATTCAGGTACTCACTGGAGTAGCACTTTTAATTTCCTTCAAGAACTTTCCCTTTGCCTTCACAACTTGGTTAACTGTTCGGTGTAAGAGCCCTAACTTTTGGCCTATCTTGGCTTTCAACATGCCTTCCTCACTAAGCAAAATCATTTCTAGCTTTCGATTTAAAGTGAGAAACGTGCAACTCTTCCTTTAACTTGAACACTTAGAGGTCACTGTGGGGCTATTAATTGGCCTGGATTTCAATATTGTGTCTTAGGGAATTGGAGGCGCAAGGAGAGAAAGAGAAATGAGGGAACAGCTGATCCGTGGACATCAGAACACACAGGACATTTATGGAGTTAAGTTTGCCATCTTATACAGGTGCAGCTTGTGGCTGCCCAAGACAATTACAATAGTAACATCAAAGATCACTGATTACAGATCACCATAACTGAAATAATAATAATGGAGGGCAGGTGTGGTGGCTCATGCCAATAATCCCAGCACTTTGGTTGGCCAAGGCGGGCAGATCACTTGAGGTCAGGAGTTTGAGACCAGCCTGGCCAACATGGCAAAACCCTGTCTCTATTGAAAATACAAAAAAATTAGCTGGGCATGGTGGCACATGCCTGTAATTCCAGCTACTTGGGAGGCTGAGGCAGGAGAATTGCTTGAACCTGGGAGGCGGAGGTTGCAGTGAGCAGCGATCACACCACTGCATTCCAGCCTGGACCACAGAGTGAGACTCTGTCTCGAATAATAATAATAGCAATGGAAAAGGCCAGGCGCGGTGGCTCATGCCTGTAATCCCAGCACCTTGGGAGGCCGAGGTAGGCAGATCACCTGAGGTCAGGAGTTCAAGACCAGCCTGGCCAACATGGTGAAACCCCGTCTCTACTAAAAATATAAAAACTAGCCAGGTGTGGTGGTGGACGCCTGTAAACCCAGCTACTCGGGAGGCTGAGGCAGGAGAATTGCTTGAACCCAGGAGACGGAGGTTGCAGTGAGCTGACACAGTGCCACTGCACTCCAGCCTCGGCGACAGAGTGAGACTCTGTCTCAAAAAAAGAAAAAATAGTAATGGAAAAGTTTGAAATACTGTGAGAATTACCAAAATGCTATTAGAAAAATGACTTGCTCAAAGCAGGGTTGCCACAAACCTTCAAATAGTAAGTAACACATCTGTGAAGCACAATAAAATGAAGTATGCCTGTAATGAATTTTATATTTATTTTTTAAGTTTCTTGTTTGCTTATTTATTTATTTATATTTTTGAGATGGAGTCTCACTCTGTCGCCCAGGCTGGAGTGCAATGGCGTGATCTCAGCTCACTGCAACCTCCACCTCCTGGGTTCAAGGGATTCTCCTGCCTCAGCCTCCTGAGTAGCTGGGATTACAGGCAACCGCCATCATGCCCAGCTTATTTTTGTAGAGACGGGGTTTCTCCATGTTGGCCAGGCTGGTCTTCTCCTGACCTCAGGTGATCTGCCTGTTTTGGCGTCCCAAAAGTGCTGGGATTACAGGCGCAGTGGCCCACACCTGTAATCCCAGCACTTTGGGAGGCTGAGGCAGGCGGATCATCTGAGGTTGAGTTCCAGGCCAGCCTGACCAACATGGAGAAACCCGGTCTCTACTAATAACACAAAATTAGCCAGAACTGGTGGTGCATGTCTGTAATCCCAGCTGCTCAGGAGGCTGAGGCAGGAGAATCGCTTGAACTCGGGAGGTAGAGGTTGCAGTGAGCCGAGATCGAGCCACTGCACTCCAGCCTGGGCAACAAGAGCAAAACTCTTGTCTCAAAAAAAAAAAAAATAAACAAACAAACAAATAAAAAAGTGCTGGGATTACAGGCTTGAGCTACCATGCCAAGCCCAAATTTAAAAATCAAGTTCCATATGAGTGGCTCCAAATACCCTCCACTAATCCTCGGTGCAACTTACAAATATGATCATTTTCTTCTTTTTTTTTTTGACATGGAGTTTCGCTCTTGTTGCCCAGGCTGGAGTGCAGTGGTGTGATCTCAGCTCACTGCAACCTCCACCTCCCGGGTTCAAGTGATTCTCCTGCCTCAGGCCTCCCAAGTAGCTGGGATTACAAGTGCCCACGACCATGCCTGGCTAATTTTTTATATTTTTAGTAGAGACGGGGTTTCATTATATTGGCCAGGTTGGTCTCGAACTCCTGACCTCAGGTGATTCACCAACCTCGGCCTCCCAAAGTGCAGGGATTAGAGGTGTGAGCCACTGCACCTGGCCAAATATGATCATTTTCTAAGAAGAAAATGACATGGGAAAGGTTAGAAAGTTTGCCTTAGAAGATGGTGAGACAGTCCTATCAAAAGCTGGTGGAAGAGAATTCAAGCTTCAGAAAGAACAGATGCAATGATCCTAAGGCAGAGGAGGACTTGATGGACCAGGGGTGGCTAGTCTGCAGCACAGTGCGGAGGGGAAAGAGGGGTAATGCCAGGGCCCACACATGTGGAATTTAACCAAGAGCAGTGGGAGGCCACTGAATGGATTAAGCAAGAATGCAACCTAATCTGATTTATATTCTATAATCTAATCTGTGTCTGCTTGGTAGCAAATAAAATACAGAGGTGCAGGAGTGGAAAGAGAAAGGTCATACAGAAAGTTACTGTTGAAGGGCAGGTAAGAGATGAGAAGAGGAGTAGGTCATTCTGATAAGCATTTCAGAGCAAGACCAATAGACTGGCTATCGGGGTGAAAGAAAAAGAGGCTCAAGGAGGCTGTCTGTACTTTTTGGTTTGAGTTGAGTAAATGGTAGTGCTATTTACTGGACAAGACTGAGGGAAAGGACAGTTTTAGACAGTGTGGATCCAAAGCCTCAGGATAAATGATCCATATTTTTCTTTTGTTTGAGACGGAGTCTTGCTCTGTCGCCCAGACTGGAGTGCAGTGGCGCAGTCTCTGCTCACTGCAACCTCCGCCTCCTGGGGTTCAAGCAATTCTCCTACCTCAGCCTCCCAAGTAGCTGGGACTACAGGCGTGAGCCACCACGCCTGGCTAATTTTTGTATTTTTAGTAGAGATAGGGTTTCGCCATGTTGGCCAAGGTGGTCTCCAACTCCTGACCTCAAGTGATCAGCCCACCTCAGCCTCCCAAAGTGCTGGGATTACAAGTGTGAGCCACCACGCCTGGCCAATCCATATTTTTCAACAAAGTACAAATACAGAGAAAGAATCTGTAGATTATAAGAGATTTAAGGGGCACATCAATCATCTATTTGACTCCTATGATACATACTAAATTATCTACAGATGAAATAATGCAGGCTGGGATTTGCTTCAAAATAATTCAAATCGGTGAGGTAGAAGTGAGTAGAGTATAGAGGGAACCCAATATTGGTCATGAGTCAGTAATTTCTAAAGATGGGTACAAGGGGTTCATTGTTTTATTCTATTTTTCTACATGATAATTTCCATGTAACTGGATGAGATCACCTAATAAAAAGGTACAGCAAATGATCAGGGACAGGAGAAAAAACAGACAAGACCACCATTACCTCAGAGGTTATATTCTTTGGGGAGGAACTGGACAATAAGCAAGTGAACAAATGATAGATGTAAATCAATGTGATAAAAAGGTGATGTGAAATCAATGTGATAAAGTGTGCATGGAGATAGCATTACAGTGACCAGAAGCATCTCCATGAGGCAGTAATCTTTGCAGTTGATTGACAGGAGCCAAGCAGATATGAATAGCGTTGCTTTTAAAATCCTTTCCATTCTACTTTTCTACTTATAAACAAATCTAAATTCATGGCCATAAGTACTCTATTCTAAGGAAAATATTTTAACTTAAAACCTTTTGCTCCCATCCTCCCCATTTCTTTTTTAACTGCAAATGTTGAGGCCATTATTAGCCCAAGAATTCTATTTTTTTTTTTTTCTGAGATGGAGTCTTACTGTTGCCCAGGCTGAAGTGCAGTGGCAAAATTTCGGCTCACTGCAACCTCCACCTCCCAAATTCAAGCAATCCTCCCACTTCAGCCTCCCAAGTAGCTAGGATTACAGACGTGTGCCACCATGACGGCTAATTTTTATTTTTAGTAGAGACAGGGTTTCTCCAGGTTGGCCAGGTTGGTCTCAAACTCCTGATCTCAAGTGATCCACCCACCTCGGCCTCCCAAAGCGCTGGGATTACAGATGTGAGCCATTGTGCTGGGCCTGAGTTCTAGTAAAGCCAATTCAGGACTGACCCGTAGGGCCCTGTGAGAATCCCTTCTTGCTCTGGCACCTCTCCTTCCCCATTATCTAGACTCTACAGTTCACCTCTCTCATTAGCTATAGTTTTTGCCAATCTTGGGGCTCCAAAGTCCCTCTTTCTTTACCCCCTCCTGGTGCTACTTCCCTGTGCAAAGCAGTGCTTCCAGAGATCATAAGCCCCATGAGGGCAGGAACACTGCTTGTGTTATTCACTGCTGCATTCCCAGCACCCCTGAATTGTGCTGAGCAGAGTTGGCACTCAATAAATATTCATTCAGTGAGAAAACTTCCTGAAGCCACTAGGAGGGTAACCAGTCACCTCTCCAGGTGCTTAAATACTTGAACCTACTAGAAAGAATTTGTGGCCTAACTTCATAGAGATAAATATTATTATTCCCATTTCACAAATGGACAGACAGCTGAGTTAGTTCAAATCATCTAAGATCATAATTACTCTACCTAAAATGGTCTGACCCTTGGTTAGAAATATTTTTTAAAGCCAAGAAGTAGAAGCTATTGAAAAATCCAGCATACAAAGAAAACATTACCCATGTCATTTAACATTTCTTGAAGATATGATGCATTTAACTAATGCAGAACAGCCTTCCTGGATAAATCCAACAATAAATATTTCGGTTTCCTGAAAACAAAACAAAAAACAAGCAAAATAACTCATCTTGGCTTGAATTATAGGAAATTCTTTGCTGGCAGCTCGGTCCAAGCTGATTGCATATGTGCTTTTAGGATAGGATTAGAGATTGCATGTGTTCTGCACAGCAACCATGGACACTTAACATTCATGAAATAATAATGAAACGGGAGGCCTGGATTTTTGTCTGTTTGTTTCTCCTAGGTCTCTTCCTCACTTAAGTGACCTTGGACAAATCCATTTCTTCCCTCGTATCTGATTTCCATGTATCTGTTTCGGGATAATGTTTATCACTAAGCCGCTTTGTGAGATCTTCAGATTACAAATAATTACTGCCCTTCATTTATGAAATTTTCCTCCTTCACTACCCTACGGGATATTTGCATGACCCTTCCATTGAAAACCTTTACACACAGTTGTGAAGCGTCAATACCATCTAGGGACGGTTCAGAGGTTCCAAAGCCAATCAACTGACAAGTCGTGAGGATAACTTGGGCCATGAAAAGTCCGTTTCCTATGCTACTGAGAATTGGAAAACAGGTATATGTACTAATTCCCAAACCACGTTTGCCTTCTTTCTGCCGTTTTCAGCCTCTTCTAAACTATGCAGAAGCTGCGGACATTTGACTATCTATATTCGGCAATTCCTTTCCAAAGCAATCCTACCGAAAACAGATCACACGGCCCCCACGGGCGGGCAGGACAAGCCACCAGGCCCTGGTGCAGGAGCTGCGCGCTCCACACATTGTTTAGAGGCCGACGCGACACAGCCATCTTGCGTCGGGGGCCCGGGCCCGGGAGGAGAGCGAGCCCCGTCCCCTGATCCCGGAGGCCAACACCGGCGAGGGGCTGCCCTGCACGCAGGCGGCCGGCCCAGGAGTCTTAGCGGATCAAGTTGTCTACGGCGGACTCGGGCCGGTCCCGCAGGACCCGGCCGCACTTGGCCGAGCGCGCAGGCGGGAAGGAGGCCGTCGGTCCGCCCCTCCCGCTGCCGCAGCGGCCAGGTCCGACAGCGGGCGCGGGACGCTGGATTCCTATTTGCCAGCTTCCTGCTGGGGAGCGTTTTCCAATGGGGCGCGGCGACCCGGCCGACCGCGTCCTCCTCCCCCACTGCCGCCCGGGTCTCCTCGGGGGCGCGCGCCGGGGCCCGCGCGGGGGCAGCCCCTCCCTCCCCTCCCCGCCGCGGCCCGAGACGCCCGCAGGCCGGGCGTTCACCCGCCGCGCCTCCGCCCGCCTTCCCCTCCCCCCACTTCCCTCCGGGCGCCCCAAACCCGGGCTTCGGGGGTTCGACGCCGTGCGCACACGGAGCGGGATGGGAGTGCAGGGCCGGGGGCGGGGGCTGGCCGGGTGCGGGCGGCAGTCTCGGCGGGAGCCGGCGGCCCCTCAGCGTGTCTTTTGTGTTTGTACACACACGGCGCGAGGCGGCCTGGAGGAGGGAGCGGGCGGCGCGCGGGGGAGGGGCGAGCGCGCGCCAGCGAACGGGCGCGCGGGGGGAAGGGCGGGGGCGGGGCGCGAGAGGAGCTATGGGGGCGGGGCCGAGCCTTCCCTCCATTGTGTGTGATTGGCTGGCGCGCGGCGCGGGGGCGGGGCGGCGTGTGTTGGGGGATAGCCTCGGTGTCAGCCATCTTTCAATTGTGTTCGCAGCCGCCGCCGCGCCGCCGTCGCTCTCCAACGCCAGCGCCGCCTCTCGCTCGCCGAGCTCCAGCCGAAGGAGAAGGGGGGTAAGTTTCCCCGTCTGCCCGCTTCCCCGGAACCGAGCCCCGCTTGCCGTCAGCCCCGAGCCGGGCCCTGGCGGTGCCGGGAGGGGACCCATAGCCCCTCCGGCTTAGCCCACAAACTTTTTGGCCCAGAAATGGAGGTGAGGAGCGAGTTTCCCTGTTCCCTCTGGCGGCGGCGGCTCCCCCGTCTCTCGCCGCCTCAGCCCAACAGCAGCAACCGCCGCGGCGCCGAGCCTGCTCTCCCTCCTCCTCCCCGCGCCCCTGGCTCCTCTTTCTTCGGTGAAATCCCGCCCGCCGCCCCTTCCCCGGACCCCAAACCTTCACCATGACCCGCGCGGGCCTCTTAACTACCGCCCCCGGGCCCCAGCCCCCAGTTTTCGAGCGGGAAAGGGGTGGAAATCGCCGCCGCTTCGCACCCTGGGGTAACTCGCTTTTTGCTGCCTCCCCACAGTTGTTGCTAAGCTTCACCATCTTGTCTCTCTTCTCTGGTCACCGACCATATTTTTTCCCCCGTTTCTCTCTTCCCCATTTCAAAAAAGCAAGAATTTTTAAAAGAGGGACGTTTTTTTCCCTTTTTTGGAGAGGCGGAAACTTGATGCATTTGAAATGCAAAAAAAACTTTTGCATTTTGGAGGGCGGCACGTGGCAGGGGATAGGGGTATTTTCGAGCGATTTGGTGTTTTGTCTCTTTGGAACGGAATCGGATACGTTTTGCGATTGTTTCCATTTTGTTCTGGTCGGGGAGCCGAGTTGGTTCCTGCTCGAGGCGCTGGGAGCGAGGCGGGCAGGTTGGGGGACCCTGTGCCGAGGGACCCGAAGGAGGCAAAACCAAAAGTTTATGTGGTGCTTGGGGTGGACCGGTCGGCGGATGTCGTGCGTTAATTAAAGCCTGGGTGCGGGGCACTTTTTATTTCACTGCGAAGCCTGTGAGGACTGGACGCGAGGACGGGGCTTTGTAGAATGCTCGCTGGTGGTAGCTGTTGTTCCTCTCTTGTTTTTTCGAGACGCCTTTTTGTCAACATAACTGTAAAGATGCAAAACCAAGAATATTTTCAGATATTTACAGCAATCCATCAACAGTCAGACGAAGGGGGGGCAGCCAAAGTGGGGGGGAGTAAGACCTTTTTTTTGCTGTAATTTGACTCGACCTTCCAGTGGTTTGTGCCTTTTTTCTTTTGACTTGTTTGTGGATGGAATGTTTACAGACATTTCTAATTACTGCTTTAATTAAATAAATTGGATCAAAGGCCGTTCGAGGTATTTTTGTTTTGCCGTTTGTCGCTCAGAATTGGCATTTTGAGAGGTGATTGATACTGCTAACAATTTTCTAGTACTCTAGTTTGTTTCAAGAAGAGATTTTGGGTAGACGTAATCTTCACCCTTTCAAATTATATAACAATACGAACATTATTTTTTATACTGATCATAATTTCCAGATTTGGGGAGGGGGTGATCGTGGCAGGAAAAGTTGTATGTTTGGTAGTTGCATATGGTGATTTTTGATTTTTCAATGCTGGTAGGTAAGTAAGGAGGTCTCTGTACCATGGCTCGTACAAAGCAGACTGCCCGCAAATCGACCGGTGGTAAAGCACCCAGGAAGCAACTGGCTACAAAAGCCGCTCGCAAGAGTGCGCCCTCTACTGGAGGGGTGAAGAAACCTCATCGTTACAGGTATTAAAAAACAGGAAAAAAATGGGACAAAGTCTCTCTTGTATGTATCCACATAATTTAACAAAAAGATGGATAACAGGAAAACTTTTTGCTTTAGAGAAACTTTTTTTTTTCATTTGAACACTTAACTACTGCTTAAATAAATGTACTGTATGATCATTTATATATAAAGTTAAGTATTAGGTTTTATTGAAAACGTTTAACTTTGAAGCCATAATCTTACCTGGAGGTCTAAGGAGACCTCGTATATCACTGATAATGTTAATGGGATATATTGACATTTTAGTTAACTATTAGTAATTCTTTAAAAATAGTTAAGTGTTGCTTTCTTGAATACACTTTTGAGGTTATCTTTCCTAGTTTTTGGCAAAATAATAATATAATCGAGATTGGGTGTTTTATAAAGTTCCTACCCCCTCATTTACTTGATTAGCTTATTTCCTTCTGTATTAGCTCTTTTGATTGTGAACTACCTGAGCCACTGTGTTGTTAAGGGCATCTGCCATTAGAGGGCAGAAGTTGCCTAGACTTAGCCTCCGCAAATATTACGATTAACCTAAAATAAAAGCTCATACAGTGGAAGAAATAAGTCAGAATGAGAGGTAAATTTCTTGCTGACAATTACTTAGTAAAAAAAACTTTTCCACGTGGAAGGAACACTGCACAATCGGGTGTATTCAAATTTAATAGTTGATGAGGGGTGAACTGTAGTCAGGGTAGAGGTATTCTGGGAAATAGAACTTGAATGCCACAAGCAGATTTTTAAATGAAGTTCATTGGGTTGTGTTGGTCATCTTTAAGGGCTCTTAAGATAATAGAGGGTGTAGGGAAGGAGAGTGGTGCTAAATTGAGGGGAGCCAACTTCTTCATTAGCCTGACAGCTAATACCTTCCCAAGGTTTATATACATGAATAACTTTTTAAAATGAAAATAAATAGGGCTTTGATGAATTTCTTGCTAAGAATGCATTTTAATTTCATGCTTTTTGCTTTAAAGGTATTGTTACTAGATTTGAATGTTCACATCTTAAGTTGATCAGTGAAATTTGATACTGAAGCTGAAGAATTGTTGGGTGGCTTATTTTTTGAAAGATTACTGCATTTCTTTGAAGCTGCCCACTTACCTTTTTGTGCTAGTTATGTTTTTGGTAACAGTTTCTTTATTAATTTTTTAAAGGCCTGGTACTGTGGCGCTCCGTGAAATTAGACGTTATCAGAAGTCCACTGAACTTCTGATTCGCAAACTTCCCTTCCAGCGTCTGGTGCGAGAAATTGCTCAGGACTTTAAAACAGATCTGCGCTTCCAGAGCGCAGCTATCGGTGCTTTGCAGGTAAAATGGTGGGTGGGAAGACTCAGAGTTTGTATTCCTGTTGTGTACCAAGAACAGTTCCAAATTGTTGCATGTGCTTATATCATTTAATCACAAGCCTGTCAGGTAGTTGATATTGTTACTTCACTGTTGAGACTTCAGAAAGGTTAAATTGCTCAAGGTCATACACGTAGAAAATGGCAAAACCATAATTTGAACCTATTTGACTCCAAGGCTTAGTGCACATTCCATTATACCATTTAAAATTTTGAAACATTGCACTAAAAACAATATTTAAAGAAAATCCTCTGGTTTGGTTTATGGATGCTGCAGGACATTAAGAAGAACTTGAGACTAGAGGTCTATATTTGTAGTAACAATTTCAAACAACAGTGCCTAGAATAAAAGAAATGTCTCTTCAGGTCCTGAAGAAACATATAGGTAGAGAGAGCTTAATACCTAGGATGGGAATAGGCAGTATTAAAAAATTATGCATTAAGACGTAAAAGGAGCAGTGAGTGGAGGATAGGATTGGATTGGCAAGATTGGGGGAACGGTGCTTAAAGGTGATACTGGACGTGTAAAGGGGCCAGGATTTGCCTTGTGGTTTCCTAAAGGGGATTAGGGATTGCCACTTACATGTGGAGCATATTGAATTTAATCTTAATCTCTAGCATGTCAGGACTTAGAGAAATACTGTTCTAGAGATATTTATGTATTTGAGATATTTGTGGTTTAAGTTAAGACCAAAACTTGAAATTCCTACAAGATACTTGATAAAGGTATGTAGACGTCATTAACATCAGTCACTTAAGTAACCTATTTTATATTGTGTGGTTGGATTCTTTAGTTGCAAGTATCCCAGAATACAGTAAAGCTACCACCTCCATCAGAAGCATGCAGTTGGGGGTCGTTAAAAATGCTGATTGTTAGGCACCATTGCAGACCTGAATCATTCTGGGGGTGGGGAGGGGGCATCCAGAATCTAAGTACATTCCATTGGAGGATTTTCAAGGCTGCTGTTGCTGTGCTGGGCTTTTGCTTTATGTATGAGAAAGATAGGATAGGTGGATTCCACCCTGAAGTGTAATTGGTCGAGCTGTTTCTATGGTTAATCTAAACTTCATTTGATTGGTGAATTCCAGGAGTAGGCATCCATTAAATTCTCAGTGAGTTGCTGAAATTTCAACTACTAAAATCTTCCATGTTTTTACTTAAAACTTTATTTTCTGTTTTAATAGCCGATTATCTTCAGTTCTTATTTATTACTAAATACAGAAATGTTACTAAGATTCGTAAGCATTGGTACAAAGCTGCTAATATTTTCTAGTTAGAACTGTGCTTAAAGAACAATACTGTACTTGAAAAGTGTAGCGTTTTTAGCTTAAATGTCAATAATGTAGCCTTTTAAATTGAATTTACTAAACAATCTGGGTAAAAGACTCATCTTTCTAAAATTATTCACATGTAAACTTCCATTGTTACTATTACATATTTGTCATTAAGTGTGGTTGTATTGGTTTTAAGCAAAATGTTCACCTCTTCTGTCCACAGTTCTCTTAGTGTTAGATAGCTCTTTATTGGAAAGAGTGATCTTTGTTAAGCTTTTGTGTTTTCTGTTTGCTTTTTTATGCATATATTTTAGTTATCTTAAAAATACAGAGAGTGGGCCGGGCGCCGTGACTCACATCTGTAATCCCAACACTTTGGGAGGCTGAGGTGGGTAGATCACCTGAGGTCAGGAGTTCCAGACCAGCGTGGCCAACATGGTGTGAAACCCCTTCTCTACTAAAAATACAAAAAATTAGCTTGGCGTGGTGGCAGGCGCCTATAATCCCAGCTACTAGGGAGGCTGAGGCAGGAGAATTGCTTAAACCCGGAAAGCAGAGGTTGCAGTGAGCCGAGATGGCGCCATTGCACTCCAGCCTGGGCAACAAGAGCAAAACTCTTGTCTCAAAAAAAAAAAAAAGATAACAGAGGGAGAATTTGTTAATGGAATAGGATAATAGAAGATCGCAATTGAAGTAGAAATCCAAAGGTCCTTTGTTTTTGGCCTTAGAATTACACACTTTACAACTAAAGGATAGCAGGCAGTCCAGTGAGAATGGTAGAGGAGAAATTAGTCTCAGTTTGCCATAGATAATCAATAATTGACTTACTTAAAATATAGTCTTTGCTTTTAATGTCTGAGAACTTGAACTCAAATATTCTTGTGTTAAGTGGACAGTGTTGCTTTGAAATGGTAAAGAGGCAGACGTTGAATATACTCAAAATGTCCTAAACTAATACTTTCTTGTAGTTCTTTTTTTTCTTTGCCATTAAATCAAAATTAATTCATTAGGTCATAAATTAGTGTGGCAGTCTTTAATTCCCATTACAGCCTTAATGTTTTAAGGGACTTTGGGTTACTTGTAATAAAATTGGAAATGTATGGGTCATGGTCAGATCCTCTCGTAGGAGTTCAGTCTCCTCTCAGAGCTGACCAGACACAATCCTTATAAACTAGTAGCCAGGTTCTAAGACAGCAGTGAGAGCCCCAGCTACCACATGCCACATCTGAGTGGTTCTAAGTGATACCACTCTGAAAGGCCACCAGAACCATGGTGCCTGATGGTTTGCTTGCATAGTAGCTTGTACCACATTTTACAAAAGCATTCTAGCTTTCTGTAATCCCGAGGTGCCAGGTTAAGCAAAATTAAACTGTTTTCTTTCCTGATATAATAGCTGATATGCGTTGTGAGCCCCTAAGGAGGCTACAATATGCCATTTTTTCCAGGATTTCTACCCACTTCTAGAATATCTTAAGAACGAATCTCGGAATATTAAGGACTTTTGCTTTTAATACCTGTGGAATAGGTAAGATGCGAGGGACTACTTGCATAGAATAGAAACATTTTTTAAAACTAGCAAATATTGAAAATCTACTTGAGGACAAGGCATTTGGAGTATTAAATGAGATTTCTGTTATCAAGTAACTTAAGGGCACCAAAAAATGGCTGATAATGCAAGGTCATTGTGAGTGCCAAGGAACTAGGAGTTCAGGGTTGCCTGCACTGGCAACAGGAGCAAGAGACAAGTATGCGATTTTCTCCTTCATGGAATAGTCTTGAGCTGGGCCTTAAAGGGTAGATAAGTAAGACTTAGTTGTTAATAACAAATGCTGGAGAAACACACGTGAAAATAGTTCAATTTGAATGAAGGAAACTTGTAGAAGAGTAGTGATAGGGCTAAAAAGGATGAAGCTAGAAATGTGAAAGTACCTTTTTTTTTTTTTTTTGAGACGAGTCACACTCTGTCACCTAGGCTGGAGTGCAGTGGTGCAATCTCGGCTTACTGCAGCCTCCGCCTCCCGGGTTCAAGCAATTCTCCTGTCTCAGCCTCCCAAGTAGCTGGGACTACAGGCACATGCCACCACGCCCAGCTACTTTTTGTATTTTTAGTAGAGACAAGGTTTCTCCGTGTTGGTCAGTCTAGTCTCAAGCTCCTGACCTCGGGTGATCTGCCTGCCTCGGCCTCCCAAAGTGCTGGGATTACAGGCGTGAGCCACCACGGCACCTGGTCTGGAATTTTTTTTATTAGAATAAAAATGCAACTATAAGACTGTTTTCTCCCTTAATATATCTTCAGCAGAGAAATAACTTTTCCTTATAGAAAAGGAGAGAGAGCCAACTAACCTATCATTTCATGCTCCAGATCCAAAACTGTTGGATTTATGATTATTTTTTAAAATGGTAATTTCTCCATTTCAAAATGAGTAAGCAGGCCGGGCATGGCGGCTCACACCTGTAATCCCAGCACTTTGGGAGGCTGAGGTGGGCAGATCACCTGAAGTTAGGAGTTCAAGACCAGCCTGGCCAACATGGTGAAACCCCATCTCTACTAAAAATACAAAATTAGCTGGACGTGATGGTGCATGCCTGTAATCCCAGCTACTCGGGAGGCTGAGGCAGGAGAATTGCCTGAGCTCGGGAGGTGGAGGTTGCAGTGAGCCGAGGTTATACCACTGCACTCCAGCCAGGGCTACAGAGCAAGACTCAAACCTCAAAAAACAAAAACAAAAAGAGTAAGCAGATGTTTTGGCTTAGACTAAAAGATTCTTCAGCTTTTCAGACAGCTATAAGTATACTAAGAATTTGAGTTATGAGTTAATTCTAAGTGGAAACGCCCCTTTTTCCTCTTCACAAGTTAAGTGTCAATGAGTGATTCATACACTGTCATTTTTAAGTGGTAGTAGGAATAAGATAACTTGAAAGGATCTTACAGTCAAATGGGAAAAACCAGAGAAATCGATACTAGTACTAGAGGGCAACAAATGCTGTTACAAATTGGGGTACGTAGAGGAAGGTACTTGGTAGAGGACAGGGGCATGTTTCCGGGGCATAGATCAAAGTATATAAATAAGGAACTGCCAGGCCAGTTGCGGTGGCTCACTCCTGTAATCCCAGCACTTTGGGAGGCCGAGGCAGGAGGATCACGAGGTCAGGAGATCGAGACCATCCTAGCTAACACAATGAAGCCCCATCTCTACTGAAAATTAGTCAGGCGTGGTGGTGGGCGCCTGTAGCCCGAGCTACTCGGGAGGCTGAGGCAGGAGAATGACATGAACCTGGGAGGTGGAGCTTGCAGTGAGCTGAGATCTTGCCACTGCACTCCAGCCTGGGCAACAAAGAGAGACTCCGTCTCAAAATAAATAAATAAGGAACTGCCGGGCGCGGTGGCTCACGCCTATAATCCCAGCACTTTGGGAGGCCAAGGTGGGTGGATCACGAGGTCAGGAGTTCGAGACCAGCCTGACCAACATGGTGAAACCCCTTCTCTACTAAAAATACAAAAAAGTAGCCAGGCATGGTGGCGCATACCTGTAGTCCCAGCTACTCGGGAGGCTGAGGCAGGAGAATCGCTTGAATCCGGGAGGTGGAGGTTGCAGTGAGCCGAGATCGCGCTACTGCACTCCAGCCTGGGCGACAGAGTAAGACTCCATCTCAGAAAGAAAGAAAGAAATACGGAACTAACTTGTGATATGTTCTGGAATCAAAAGTACTCTTATGATAAAACAGGTATGAAAGGGAACATAGATGAGAAGCATGTGATAAAAACCACTTGTTCACCATGTTATACTACTGGACAAGGCAGAGGTTCACATACTGTGTGAATGGGATTCAGAGTGAGGAGGAGACTAGGCTGGGATGGGGTATTTGGATTGGACATGATTGCGTTTATAAGAATGAGAGTGTTAAATTGGATTTCTTGCTTTATTTGTGACATTTCAGTTTATTAGAAATCATGTTACCATTAGAAAAATTGAAGTTTCCTAGTAACAAAGTAATTTGATTTGTGTAACTTGATAAAAGATTTACTGACTTAAGCTTTTGTTTTTTTTCATAAGCTGCTTTTGAGCTTTGTCCCACAGGTTGTAAAATGTAAGCATTTGGTAAAATTGTCAGCATCTTGCCCAGTCATTTTTTTAAAGGGTTCAAAAACCTTTTTGTTTTAATTCGTATAGTTGGGTCTTAACTATTGGAAATAACATCATCAGTAATTTTTTCTTCATTCCTTTTGCAGGAGGCAAGTGAGGCCTATCTGGTTGGCCTTTTTGAAGACACCAACCTGTGTGCTATCCATGCCAAACGTGTAACAATTATGCCAAAAGACATCCAGCTAGCACGCCGCATACGTGGAGAACGTGCTTAAGAATCCACTATGATGGGAAACATTTCATTCTCAAAAAAAAAAAAAAAAATTTCTCTTCTTCCTGTTATTGGTAGTTCTGAACGTTAGATATTTTTTTTCCATGGGGTCAAAAGGTACCTAAGTATATGATTGCGAGTGGAAAAATAGGGGACAGAAATCAGGTATTGGCAGTTTTTCCATTTTCATTTGTGTGTGAATTTTTAATATAAATGCGGAGACGTAAAGCATTAATGCAAGTTAAAATGTTTCAGTGAACAAGTTTCAGCGGTTCAACTTTATAATAATTATAAATAAACCTGTTAAATTTTTCTGGACAATGCCAGCATTTGGATTTTTTTAAAACAAGTAAATTTCTTATTGATGGCAACTAAATGGTGTTTGTAGCATTTTTATCATACAGTAGATTCCATCCATTCACTATACTTTTCTAACTGAGTTGTCCTACATGCAAGTACATGTTTTTAATGTTGTCTGTCTTCTGTGCTGTTCCTGTAAGTTTGCTATTAAAATACATTAAACTATACCTGCTTTTGGTCTTTATTATAGCCTTGCCCTACAATTATATTCCAAATAATTTCAGTATTAAGTCCTTTAATAGTCACTTTATATCTGAGACGTGAGACTTATTGAGAGAGAAGGAAAGTATAGACTTGGTGGCAAAAGGAACTTGGCTTTATTTCTAATTTTTAGAAGCTTGCCACTACCCAGTGGTCTTAACTCTTTGGATGTGTTGTCTTCTGAACCAATAATTCGAAAAGCTAATCAACAGGATCACCTGGAAATAGTGGAATCTGTAAGTAGATTGAACTTTCATGAATGTTTAATAACAAATGAGAGTGTGTAACAGTCTTTAGCTCAAAAATTAATGCATTCAAGATCTGGCTATTTTAAGATGCTCTATTAGTTAACCCTGAATTTATTCAAGCACTAATAGTTAATTCTTAGCCCTGTTTTATTTAGTGTTGGTACAATTAATGTGAAATGAGGATAATTAAACCTTCTAAGACTTTTAACACATCCCATTAGTTGTAACGTTTGAGTGTTTGAAACTGCCCTAGAAGTGATACGAAATGTTAATAACTATGCCAAGAATAGACGCATGTCAGTAAGATACGACACTGGGCTTGCATTCTTACTGCTCTTAAACATTTAGCCATAACTTAATCTTTTGACTATAGGTGACTATAAAATTCTTTAATGGGAGAATTAATTACTTTAAGAGGCTGATTTTGTTAGCATGCATCCTAGTTTTCAGTATGATCTTTTGCATGTACTTCTACAGGGAAGTACGGGTAACACTTGGAACTTTCTCAATATAAGTTACTAAAAGCCAATTGTAGTTGAATGTTCTCTGTTCAATCCAGTTTTTCAGTGCAAAAGACCAAATGGCCTTTTCATGAAACACTTCAGAAGAAAAAGGTGTCTCCAGTAAGGGAGGAAGTTAATGTTACCTGCTGGAATCTGATAAAGACCAGTTATTTACAAGTAGACAATACAGTCCTTTGAGTTCTTGGAATCCTAAAATCTCGAAAAGTTTTAATGCTCTAAAAGTACATTTTTTATTGCCCCATGAAGTGGTTGTTAACAATTCTTTTTTTAAACATAATTTCAATGTTTAAACAAATATTTAGTACTATGTGCTCACTGTCCAGGTATAATACAGTAAGTTGTACATTATAAAATGAGCCAGATAGAAAAAAGCACAAAGATAAACTTGGCACTCAACGTATGTACACAAATGTCTGGTCAATTTATTGAATTGTCTCATACAATGCTATGTTAATATTGGGCATGTATTCTTATATATTCCTAGTTTACCAGGACCTGACAAATATGCATAGTAGTTTTGAGCTCAGGGCTATCCTTTGACTCAGGTGTAAGTGGATCTGCCAGCTCTTTAATCCCTGGGTTAATGCTCGGTAACTGTTAGGCTCATAATCCTCTTTCCTATGATGCTTCAGAGTTGCTATATGGCAGTCCCACCCAGAAAAAAAACCTAGAGTGAATTGGAATTCGGCCCAAAATGTATGGAGACTAGCTAGAATTACCACTTTGTTTCAGCTTTTCAATAGCAAAGTAAATAGCCAACAAACACCTTCTAAGATTCCAGAAAAGTTCACTAAAGTCTAAGTTAACGGATGAAAAACCCCAGAAAATTATATTTTAAGATTAAAAAAAAATTTCAGGTAAACGTCTTAGGAAAATCGGGAATACTATGGAAGAATCTTTAGGAATTTGAAAACATCCTCTTAAGCAAATGGGGGGAATCTCAGCTATTATGAATAGGTGGGTGCTTGAACAATGCCCAAACTCTTGCCTTTTCTTGACAGTCCAGAATCTTTAAGAGGAAATACATTCAAATTTGCAAATAAATCAAGGGCCTGCCAAATGCTGAGGATGCAAAAGTATGCCCCAATTCAAAATTTAATTCTCAACAACTGTGAAGTGGGTACTATTGTATGCTCTATTTTACAGGTAAAGAAATGACGAAAGAGGTAGACTTTGTCCCCAGGTAGGCTAAATCGAAGACCATTCTCTTAAGTGATACATAGAATAAATTAGAGCAGTTAATTTTGCCAGGGATTGTAGAAGTTGAAGTCTTGGCAGTAGTAGAAACAAATGGGGGTTGGGAGGGAAGACAAAATTAGGATTGAGGGTGATATTTTAGAAATCATAAGAAAAGCCTGTATGCAGTCAAAACCATGCTGCTCATCACCTGCTCAGTCATAACCTACCCCCTTTAATTCCACTCTCATTACCTATTCCTTTAGGCTCTTCCTCCAAAGGGGCATCCAAAACTTTTCACTCCCCACTTCTACTGCCCTAATCCAAGCTGCTATTTGCTATTTTCTTTACTTTTCTTTTTTTTTTTTTTTTTTTTTTTGAGACGGAGTTTAGCTCTTGTTGCCCAGGCTGGAGTGCAATGATGTGATCTCGCCTCACTGAAACCTCCGCCTCCCGAGTTCAAGCAATTCTGTCTAAGCCTCCCAAGTAGCTGGGGTTACAGGCGCCCATCACCATGCCCAGCTAATTTTTTTGTATTTTTAGTAGAGAAGGGGTTTCACCATGTTGGCCAGGCTGGTCTCAAACTCCTGACCTTAGGTGATCCCCCAACCTTGGCCTCCCAAAGTGCTGGGATCACAGGCTTGAGCCACCGCGCCCAGCCCAAGCTGCTATTTTCTCACCTAGACTCTTGAAATAATTTAAATCTATCTGCATCCATCCACTGTTACTCTCCTCTGGACTCCTCCGCACAGCCTCCAGATAAACTTTTAAAACGTAAATTGTTTCAGGTCATTTCCCCACTTAAAGATCTCTAACGGCTTCCCATTGCACACTGGATGAAATCTAAACTACTCACTGACTCAGGAGAAACCTAATGTGATCTGACCTTACCAATCTTTCCACCACTTAAGTTCCAGCCAAACCCTCTGCTCACACACCCTTTTTCACATTCCTTAGTATTTACCAAAAATCTGAAATTATCTTGTTAATTTGTCTTTTTTTTTTTTTTTTTTTTGAGATGGAGTCTCTGTTGCCCAGGCTGGAGTGCAATAGCACAATCTCAGATGACTGCAACCTCTGCCTCCCGGGTTCAAGCAATTCTGTCTCAGCCTCTCAAGTAGCTGGCACTACACGCACATGCCACCACGCCCGGCTAATTTTTGTATTTTTAGTAGAGACGGGGTTTCACCATATTGGTCAGGCTGGTCTTGAACTCCTGACCTCAGGTGATCCACCTTGGCCTCCCAGAGTGCTGGGATTACAGGCATGAGCCACTGCGCCCGGCCATTTATCTACTATTTTCTTGACTGCTCCCACTAGAATGCTACAAGAACGGGGGTTCGCACTATTTCCCATTATAGCCCCCATGCTGATATATAGTAAATCTGAATAAAAATCTGTCAAATTAATGCTAGAATGAATGAGTGGTCCTGCTCACCTCCATGTCAACGTTAAGCTTCTGTAAACTTAATATATGGTAACTGATTTGTTATTTTGAGGATTAAATGAAAGTAGATACAAAAACACAAGGCCTGGCTGGGTGAGGTGGCTCACGCCTGTAATCCCAGCACTTCAGGAGGCCAAGGTGGGAAGATCACGAGGTCAGGAGTTCAAGACCAGCTTAGGCAACACGGTGAAACCCCGTCTTGACTAAAAATACAAAAATTAGCTGGGCATGGTGGTGCGTGCCTGTAATCCCAGCTACTCAGGAGGCTGAGGTGGGAGAGTCACTTGAACCCAGGAAGTAGAGGTTGCAGTGAGCCTAGATCTCACCACTGCACTCCAGCCTGGGCCACAGAGCGAGACTCTGTCTCAAAAAAAAAAAAAAAAAAAAAAAAAAAAAGCAGAACACAATAGTAAGTGAACTAGAATCTAAAATTCTGATAAGGCAAGCCAACATACATACTGTTCCTTGCAGAATTGTAGGGCAAAACCTGGTTTCAAACTTAACTTTCCAAGTAGCATCCCTACTGAATTAGGTATGATTCTTATGCTAGTGAATATTAGTCTCAAAGTGAAATAGATCCTGCAGGAGCTCGATTTTATGGAAAAAAGTGAAATAGGACTAGGTGGGTTACAATTTTATCATGATAGCAAATAAATCAGTAACAACATAAGTGGTGAAACTAGTTAAGAGGCATTCTCAAAAGTCATTATGAATACTTTTTTTTTTTTTTTAAACCACTAGCTAGCTACTTGGGAGGCTGAGGCAGGAGAATTGCTTGAACCCGGGAGATGGAGGTTGCAGTGAGCCGAGATCACGCCACTGCACTCCAGCCTGGGCAACAAGAGTCAAACTCCGTCTCAAAAAAATTGAGCCACCACATCTGGCTAATTTTGTGTTTTTAGTAGAAATGGGGTTTCACCATGTTGGCCAGGCTGGTCTCTAACTCCTGACCTCAGGTGATCCACCCGCTTCAGTCTCCCAAAGTGCTGGGATTACAGGCCCGAGCCACGGCGCCTGGCCTGGAAATTATTTTTTTAAGGAAATAATTATTTGCAGTGTAGTTCCACAGTTAAGAGTTCAGGCTCTGAGCTGGGCGTGGTGACTCACGCCTATAAGAGGCTGAGGCAGGAGGGTCACTTGAGACCAGAAGATTGAGACCAGCCTGGGCAACATAGTGAGACCCTGTCTCTACAAAAAAAATTTAAAATAACCAGATATGGTAGCACCCACCTGTGGTCCCAACTGTTCAGGAGGCTGAGGTGGGAAGATCAGTTGGGCCCAGGAGGTTGAGACTGCAGTGAACCATGATTGTGCTACTTGCACTCCAGCCTGGGCAAGAGAGACTTTGTCTTCAAAAAACAACAGTAGCTAAACTGCCTCTGTACTAGCCGAGTGACCTCGGGCAAATCACCCAGTCCCCCTATGCCTCGTTCATTCATTCATTCATTATTTATGGAGTACCTTCTATGTACCAGACACTGTTGTGGGGACACAGAAGTGAACAAAGTTCCCTATTGTTATGGAGCTACATTGTAGTGGGAAAAAACACAATAAAGATGAAGTAAATGCAGACTCTCCTTGACTTAGGATAGGGCCATGTTCCAGTAAACTGACTGTAAGTTGAAAATACCCTAAATCGACAATGCATTTAATACACCTAACATACCCAACATCACAGCCTAGCCTAGCCTACTTTAAATGTTCTCAGAATGGCCAGTCATGTTGGCTCACGCCTGTAATCCCAGCACATTGAGAGGCTGAGATGGGCAGATCACTTGAGGTCAGGAGTTCAAGACTAGCCCGGCCAACATGGTGAAACCCTGTTTCTATTAAAAATATAAAAATTAGTCTGGACGCGGTGGCTCACCCCTATAATCCCAGCACTTTGGGAGGCCAAGGTGGGTGGATCGCCTGAGGTCAGGAGTTCGATACCAGCCTGGCCAACGTAGCGAAACCCCATCTCTACTAAAAATACAAAAATTAGCTGGGCATAATGGCACACGCCTGTAATCCCAGCTACTCGGGAGGTTAAGGAAGGAGAATCGCTTGAACCCTGGCGGTGGAGGTTGCAGTGAGCCGAGATCGCACCACTGCATTCCAGCTTGCGCAACGGGAACAAGACTCCATCTCAAAACAAAACAAAAATTAGCTGGGCGTGGTGGCACGTGCCTGTAATCCCAGTCACTTGGAAGGCTGAGGCAGGAGGATTGCTTGAACCCGGGTTCAAGCAGAGGTTGCAGTGAGCTGAGATCTTACCACTACACTCCAACCTGGGTGGCAGAGTGAGACCCTGTCTCAAAAAAAAAAAAAAATGTGCTCAGAATACTTAATATTAGCCTACAGTTGGGCAAAACCATCTAACAGCCTTTTTGTTTTTTTGTTTTTGTTTTTTTTTTTTTTTTGAGATGGAGTCTTGCTCTGTAACCTAGGCTGGAGTGCAGCGGCGCAATCTTGGCTCACTGCAACCACCACCTCCTGGGTTCAAGCAATTCTCCTGCCTCAGCCTCCTGAGTACCTGGGACTATAGGCACATGCCACCACGCCCAGCTAATTTTTGTGGGTTGTTTTTTAGTAGAGACGAGGTTTCACCATATTGACCAGGCTGGTCTTGAACTCCTGACCTTGTGATTCACCTGCCTCGGCCTCCCAAAGTGCTGGGATTATAGGTGTGGGCCACTGCGCCCGGCCTATTTTTTAAATAAAATGTTGAAGAGCTCATGAATACTAAACAAAGTGACAAACAATGGTTGTGTGGATACTCCAAGGACAGTTTCTATTGAATGTGTGTCACTTTTGCATCATCGTAAAGTTGAAAAATTGTAGATCGAACCATCATAATTTGGGACCAACTGTACATAATTTATCAGATAGTGGTAAGTGCTAAAAAGAAAAAAAGAATGTGGATAACAAGTGTTGTGGACTCGGGGGGGAGATGTTGGAAGTTAGCGTAGCCATGGGAGGCATCACTGAGGTATCTTTCGAGTCAAGTCTTGAAGAAAATGAGACAGCAAGCCACACAGATGTGAGAGAAGAGTATTTCAGGTCCTATTAGGGGTCCCATTGGAGGAGCCAGCCTGGTATGTTCTCGGAACAACAGGGAGGTGAGCATGCCACAGCAGAGCAAACGAGCAGAGAAGCACGGTGGGAAACCGGAGATGTAATGGGAGTCAGAGCATGTAGCGCTTTATAGGTCCTGCAAGGACACTGAGTGAGACGGGAAACCTCTGGAGAGTTTTCAGCAGAAGGATAAAATGGTCTGACTAATGTTTTAACAAAATCACTCCAGCTGCTGTCTGGAGAATAGACCGAAGGCAATAAGGGTAGAGCAGAAAGGAAAACCAATTAAGCTATTGCAGTAACCTAAGTGTGACATGATATAGCGGCTTGGACTTGGGTGGTGGCAGTGGCAGTGTGCAAAGTGGCATTCTGGATATTTTACAATGATAGGAGGATGGCTAGGACTTAATGGATGTAGGCATGAGAAAAAAAAAGGGAGAGGGGGCGGTTAATGGGGCCAGGGTTTTGACCTGAGCAACCGCATGAAGTTGCTATTGCTTCACTTAGGGAAGACTGTGAGGGAACAGGTTTGGGAAATATAAGGAGCTCAGTTTTGGACGTGTTAAGATTGAGATGCTTAATTAGACTTTTTATTGATTTCATGGAGACTATTGGATATGAACCTGGGGTTTAGGAAAGAGGTTTGGGCTGGAGATATAAATTTGGAAGTCATCAGCATGGTCTTAAAACTAGCTGAGATCACCAAGGAAGCAGGTGCTGATAGAAATTAGAGAGGAAGGCCGGGCGCGGTGGCTCACGCCTGTAATCCCAGCACTTTGGGAGGCCGAGGCGGGTGGATCACGAGGTCAGGAGATCGAGACCATCCTGGCTAACAAGATGAAACCCCGTCTCTACTAAAAATACAAAAAATTAGCCAGGCGTCGTGGCGGGCGCCTGTAGTCTCAGGTACTCGGGAGGCTGAGGCAGGAGAATGGCGTGAACCCGGGAGGCGGAGCTTGCAGTGAGCCGAGATCCTGCCACTGCACTCCAGCCTGGGCAACAGCAAGACTCCGTCTCAAAAAAAAAAAAAAAAAAGAAAAAAGAAAAAAAAAAGAAATTAGAGAGGAGCTCCAAGGACTGAGGAACTCAACATTTAGAGTTTAGAGACTGAGTGACAGCTCCAAAGAAGACTGAGAAGAAATAGGCAGAGAGGAAGAAAGCCAGACATATGTGATCATCTGGAATTCAAAAGAAGAAAGTGCTCCAATGAGGACGAAGTGATCTACGGTGTCAAATACTACTAAGTCAAGGGGAGCGTGAGGTCTGAGAATTGACCATTGAATTTCTAGAGGTCATTGGTGATCCTAATAACAGTTTTGATGAAATAGAGGGAACAAAACCTGATTAGAGGGAATTCAAGAGAAACTAGGCTTTAATCAAACGATGAAACTTCATGTCATCAAAAAGGAGACAAACTGACATCGTACTGAGGACACATCACCCAAACTTTTAGCCAAAATGTTTAAACTGAATATAATAAGGATAAAGAAACAACCTGATAAATCCAAAGTGTAAGACACTGGGCCGGGAGCAGTGGCTCACGCCTGTAATCCCAGCACTTTGGGAGACTGAGGCAGATGGATCACCTGAGGTCAGGAGTTCAAGACCAGCCTGGCCAATGTGGTGAAACCCAGTCTCTACTAAAAATACAAAAAATTAGCCAGGCATGGTGGTGTGCGCCTGTAGTCCCAGCTATTCCGGAGGCTGAGGCACAAAAATCACTTGAACCCGGGAGGCGGAGGTTGCAGTGAGCCGAGATCCTGCCACTGCACTCCAGCCTCTGTGACAGAGCAAGATTCCATCTCAAAAAAAAAAAAAAAAATTAGCCAGGCATGGTGGCACATGCCTGTAATCCCAGCTACTCGGGAAGCTGAGGCAGGAGAATCACTTGAACCCGGGAGGTGAAGGTTGCAGTGAGCTGAGATCACACCATTGCACTCCAGCCTGGGTGACAGAGCAAGACGCCATCTCAAAAAAAAAAAAAAAAAAAAAAAAGGCCGGGCGTGGTGGCTCACGCCTGTAATCCCAGCACTTTGGGAGGCCGAGGCAGGTGGATCACGAGGTCAGGAGATCGAGACCATCCTGGCTAACAAGATGAAACCCCGTCTCTACTAAAAATACAAAAAATTAGCCAGGCATGGTGGTGGGCACCTGTAGTCCCCAGCTACTCAGGAGGCTGAGACAGGAGAATGGCGTGAACCCGGGAGGTGAAGTTTGCAGTAAGCCGAGATCGTGCCACTGCACTCCAGCCTGGGCGACAGAGCAAGACTCCGCCTCAAAAAAAAAAAAAATTAGCTGGGTGTGGTGGTGTGGGCCTGTAGTTCCACCTACTGGGGAGGCTCAGGTGTGGGATTCCAGATCACCTGAGCCCAGGAGGTAGAGGCTGCAGTGATCCCTGATCAGGCCACTGCACTCCAGCCTGAGCGACAGAGTGAGGCCCCATCTCAAAAATAAAAACAACAAACAAACATAAAAGTATACTTTAAGGGAAGAAACATAACAAGAGGTAAAGAGGCCATTTCATAATGCTAAAGGAAGCAATCAAAAAGGAAGACATCACAATCCTAAATCTGTATGCACCTAACAGCACAGGTTGAAAATATACAGAGCAGAGAAAACTAAAAAGAGAAGTAGACAAATTCACAATCATTGTGGCAGACTTTAAAATATATTTTATATCAGCTGAGAGAAAAAACAAGAAGTAAAGATATAGAAGATTTGAACAACACAATTAACAAACTTCATCAGCTAACATATATAGAGCTCTGAACTCAACAACTGAATTCATTCTTTTCAAATTCACAAGGAAAATTTTTACCAAAGTTGTTCACATGCACAGCTGATAGAAAGCCTAACAAATATTCTTAACTGCAGTTACGTAGAGTATGTTCTTCAATCACAATGGAATTAAGATAAAATTAATAGAAAAATACAACTAGAAACAGACCAGCTGCCTGAACATAAAACAACTAAATAATTCATAGTTAAAGAAAACAATAAAATACGGATTTTTTGAGCCCAGGAGTTTCAGTCCTCCCTGGGCAACATACTCTAAAACAAAACCCAAACAAAAAATTTTAAAAAGAAATACCACATAACCATCAAAAAGACTGAGGCAGGGCTGAGCATGGTGGCTCATGCCTGTAATCCCAGCACTGTGGAGGGCGAAGCAGGCGGATTGCTTGAGCCCAGGAGTTCCAGAACAACTTGGGGCAGCATAGCAGAACCCATCTCTACAAAAAATACAAAAATTAGCCAGGTGTGCTGCTGCGCGCCTGTAGTCCCAGCTGTTCAAGAGGCTGAGGTGAGAGGATCGCCTGAACCCGGGGAGGTTGAGGCTGCAGTGAGCTGTGACCGCGTCACTGCACTCCAGCCTGGGTGACAGAGTGACACCCTGTCTCAAAAAAAAAAAAAAAAAAAAAAGGGCCGGGCGCAGTGGCTCACACTGTAATCTCAGCACTTTGGAGGCCGAGGGGGGCGGATCACAAGGTCAAGAGATTGAGACCATCCTGGCTAACACGGTGAAACCCCGTGTCTACTAAAAATACAAAAAATTAGCTGGGCGTGGTGGCGGGCGCCTGTAGTCTCAGCTACTCGGGAGGCTGAGGTAGGAGAATCGCTTGAACCCGGGAGGCGGAAATTGCGGTGAGCCGAGATCGCGCCATTGCACTCTAGCTTGGGCAACAAGAGCGAAACTCAGTCTCAAAAAAAAAAAAAAAAAAAAGGCCGATCCAATTTGTTAAATGTGTGTATGTATGTATTTTTAGTTTTTGAGACGGAGTTGCTCTGTTGTCCAGGCTGGAGTGCAGTGGCACAATCTTGGCTCACTGCAACTTCTGCCTCCCGGGTTCAAGTGATTCTCGTGCCTCAGCCTCCCGAGTGGCTGGGACCACAGGTGCGTGTCACCACGCCTGGCTAATTTTTGTATGTTTAGTAGAGACAGGGTTTCGCCATGTTGGCCAGGCTGGTCCCAAACGCCTGATCTCAGGTGATCCGCCCGCCTCATCCTCCCAAAGTGCTGGGATTACAGGCGTGAGCCACCACGCCCGGCCAGTTTCAAACATTTGCAAGGTCTATATGTTGTATATGAATTAGTAAAAGAAACATTACACATCAAACCTGTGATTTCGTATAACACCTCTAAATTTGAGTCAATTAAAACATCGTAATAATAAGAGTTCAGTTTTACAATTAGTGCTGGCAAGGCAAAAATAACGAAAGTGGTAGGAGGTCCGGGGATTATGTGAGAGAACGCATGACAAATGTTTAGCACAGAGCCGGGCACACACAGTGAGGGCTCAATTCACGGTGGATTTTATTTGGTCATCATCATCACATTTGGAGCTGAAATAGAACAGTTCTGATTCCAAGTGAAGGGGAGGTAGAGTGGAGGGGGTGGGGAGGGCTAGCTTGGATTTCTGCTAAGATGTCACAGCCTCGGATACCCTCAAGGCATGCCATGCCCGGGCTTAGCTGGGTGAGGGGCCTGTGAAGCTTGTTGGTGTGTAAGAGACCTCGGTGGCATCACTGTCAGCGCAGCCGAAGCCACCACGCTAGCTCCAGACTGGTCAGCAGATGGCCGCGCACCAGGCCCTTCCTGCGGCCCGGGCGACTCGTCTCTTAGTGGAGGAAGTAGCCGGCCCCGGACACACTCCTGAGGAGCGCTGCCCGCAGTCTCGGGAAACGGGGCGTGGGGCCAGCTGCTCCTTCCAACTCCTCCTCGGGGGCAGCATGAGGGAGGGTCGCTGTCAGGGCCTCGAGGACTAAGGGTTCAGGGTGCCCGCCGCTCGTCCCCTCCCCCCTCCCCCCCAGGTCGTGGAGGCCGGTCCCCAGCATCTCTCCAGCGTCCCCACTGTCGTGGCTCCGGGGCGGGCTTCTCCCTTTTCAGGCATTTCTGAAATCGCCGCCTCACCCGGGCTCTCTTCCTCCGGCTCGCCCTCCCCAGCCCCAGGTGCCAGAGAGAACTTTCCCCAAAACGCGAAACTGATCCTTTCAGACGCCTCGCGTTCGCCCAACAGCACCTCTAGCCTCGGTCGTTGTCACGTGACGCGGCCCCAAGGCCCAGGCCACGCCCCCGGAGCTCGCCACGCCCACCGGGTCCGCCCCCACGCGGCCGCCTGCACAGGGGGTTCCAGCCACCCGCGCTCTCCCAGGTTTGCCG